>NC_000002.12:158739618-159989618 GCF_000001405.40 Homo sapiens
ACTTTAGAGACTCAGAAGGGGAAGAATGAAAGGGGGGCCAGGGATAAAAAATGACACCTTAGGTACAATGTATACATACATTACTTGGGTGATGGGTGCACTAAAATCTCAGAATTCACCGCTATGTAATTCATCCATGTCACAAAAACCCACGTGCATCCCAAAAGCTATCACAATAAAAATTAAAAAAATAAATAAAATAAATAAAAGTAGGGGCTGGACCTAACCATCTTGAATGCCTTTTGCAGCTCCACACTTTGCAGATGCTAAGTAAGAAGCAGCTGGGCCAGGTGCAGTGGCTCATGTCTGTAATCCCAGAACTTTGTGAGGATGAGGCAGGAGGATTTCTTGAGGCCAGGAGTTCAAGACCAGCCTGGGCAGCATAGCAAGACCCCGTCTCTACAGAAAAAAAAAATAGCCAGGCATGGTGGCTCAGCCCTGCAGTCCCAGCTACTTGGGGGGGCTGAGGCAGGAGGATTGCTTGAGCCCAGGAGGTCTAAGGCTTCAGCAAGCAGTGATCATGCCACTGCACTCCAGCCTGGGTGACAGAGCAAGACCTTTTCTCAAAAAAAAAAAAAAAAAAAAGATTTAAAAGGCAGCCTGAACCCCTGACCCAGGGATGATGCAGGCTAGACGCAGGAAATAGGAACTGCTCTGGAAACCAGGACTGGAAGGGCCTGAGACGGAAATGGATGGACTCGGCTGGCTGAGCAAGGAATCTGGAATTTGAGGAAAGGCTCCCAGGAAGAGCCGCAGCCTCGGCTGGACAAAGCTGCAATCCATGTCACCCTTTGGCTTTAGCTAATCTGCATGGGGACCTGCCCTGACAGAGACAAACAAGCCTGAGGCACTTTCTGAGGAGGGGTGAGAGAAAAATGGAAGGCAGCATCTCTGAGCCTCTGTCCCAGATGGAGGCTGTGATGGGGAGGCCCCAGTCTCAATTCAACACATACAGTGAGTGTCTACTGTAAGCAGCTGAGCATCTTCTGTCTTCACACATACCCCTCAAACACATACTATACAGGCATATCTGCAAACACACTCATGTGACACATACACACCTCCCACAAACAACACAAAAATACATGCAAACACACACACATGGTATCTGGTATGACCTCTTCCTTGGAGCCAGGTTCTGGAACTGTGCCACAGCCTTATGAGGAGTTTTAGATCTGCAGTGACTAAATCCCCTTGGATAAAGTCCAACGAGGTCTTCTTGTTCCAAATTCTCCAGCAAATGCTGTTGCAGTGAGGTTCCTGCTGATGGACAGAATCACAAAGCCAGATGCTAGCTGAAGTGGTCATCTAGCACTTAAGGGAACGGGCAGGACACCCCTGCAAGTCTTCCCCGGGGATTATGGTTGCCTCGTGTTAATTCATTCTTGGAGGAACACATGGCCCAATCTCGATCCCAGAAGAGTCAATAAAATCTTCTTAGTGTGGAAATAGTGCAGAGTTACCGTGGTTTAGAACCAGGCTCACAATATGATGCCCTCATTATCATTATCATTAAAGCATGACTTTTTGCCAGAATCTATCATTTTTGATTCAACACGAGTCCTCTTGCACATTCTCTCCCTCATGCACATAAGAATTGCTTTATAGTGGGAGATGGGGAGGCTTCTGGGATTGTGTTTGCAGGGTGGAAGCTCTCCTGGGGGCAGAGCAGGCACTTAAGAGAATGAAAAACACAGTAGTCCAATGGTATTGGTCCGAAAGTCTCTGGAAGGCACCCAAGCCCGAAGGTGTCTATGGACAGCAGACCACGTCTCCTACTCAACTAACCTTTCATCCTGTGGTTGAGGGGAGCCCGATACTTGGGTTGGCTAAAGCTTGAGGGCTCACCTACTTCAGATCTTTAGGTACAATTCGTCCTGTTCAGAGCTGCCCAGTGGCCCTGTTGCTAGTTAGGAAATGGGTTGGTAACCCTTGATCTTTTCTTTGGGGAAAAGTCAAATCCATATGGTTCTTCAATAATCAGAAAAGGACAGCAAACACAGAGGACATTGGGGATGAGAGGAAAGCTTTGCAACTTTAAACGTCTAACAACTCGGCCATGAAGCCTAAGCATTGAAAGCAGCAGGTTTTGCAGGTTGTTAGTTCTCAAAGTGAACAGCTCCTTCTGTTACAGTAGGTAGCTAGTCAGGCATGAGCCGAGCAGGAGAGGGCTCCCCGACACACATACCAGGAGTGTCAGGCGACCATCAGGTGATGGTCAGGCGGTTGTTAACTCTCTAAAATAGTAATTGGTCACAGCCAGTGCCAGGGAAAGGCAGGCTCCCAATAAATAGAAAACACTTGAAACTGGTGAGCAGCAGCTTCCTGATAAGAGCTCAGGAGTTGGGCGAGTGGGCTCCAGCATGCGCATTAAGAGGCAAAATGGCAGAGTTTAACTGGTATATACCTTCCTCTAGGAATGCTAGCCTAGTAAGGGAGGATGCCTCAGGTAAGCATGCGTACAACTCCAGTTAACACACTACATGTTCCCTTCCCAAGCCCTGGCAGGCCACTGAGCATGCAGACAGCCCACCCCAAGGAAAGAATCGGGAGAAGTAACACACAAGACCCCAGAAGTATGCCAACATATAAAACCCCAAGTCAAAAGATCAAACAGGGCATGTAGCCACTCAAGCCATTCCGCCTGGCCCTCTTCCAAGTGTGCCTTACTTCCTTTCATTCCTGCTCTAAAGCTTTTATTTTTTTTTTGAGATGGAGTCTCGCTCTGTCGCCCAGGCTGGAGTGCAGTGGTGCAATCTCGGCTCACTGCAACCTCCGCCTCCCAGGTTCAAGTGATTCTCCTGCCTCAGCCTCCAGAGTAGCTAGGGTTACAGGTGCCCACCACCACACAGGGCTAACTAAAGCTTTTTAATAAACTTTCACTCCTGCTCTAAAACTCCCTCGGTCTCTCCTTCTGTCTTACGCTCCTCAGTCAAATTCTTTCTTCTGAGGAGGAGGCAAGAACTGAGGTTGCTGCAACCTGGTACAGATACAGATATGTTCCACTGCTAGCATTTCCACCAGGGCCAAGACAAAAGTTCTCGAAGGCAGTGTTGTTTCAGCCGTGCTCCTGTTTTGTGCAGCAGCAGGAGTGCAGCTGATGCTAATCCAACAGACTCCAAGGGCTTTCCTGTGTGGGCAACTTCCGCCTCCCCCAAGGCATCTCCTCCAGAGCAATTGCTAAGGGGAGCAGGGAAAGATGATGCTTTTCAGCTGTGACCTTTCTGCTAGGAAATCTCTCAGTTGATCAGTGCCTGATATGTTTAAAGTGATATTTGCAAGAAGGATGACCTTCATTAAATAAGGTCAAGGGCACCATTAGGGGAGGGAGCTGAGAGATGCCAGAAGAGTGACAAAGAGACAAAGACAGAATCACAGCCCTCCCCGGGGTTGTTGACTGAATTCTGAAAGACTGAAAAGTCTCTAAGGCAGCAACCACAGCTTTCCAACATTGAAGGGAGTCGAGTCACCTGCTGGTTTACCAGCAAACTCCCTGGATATGCAATAAATAAAAGCAAAGGGTAAAGGTGAGATCTGGCTGCCCAGGAGCTCAGTTGGCTGAACGCTTAAAAGAGCTAAGGTATTTAATTTAATTCACCTGGTGAAAGGCAGGGATTTCAGCAGTTCTGTCTAGAAGTTTCTCATCCACTCTTAAAAAAAAAAAAAAAGCCAAAAGCCCAAAAGAGTTCCCTAAGGGCCCTGGGAAAAAGCAAGAAATAAATAGGACCATCAACTCTAGCTGCCAATGAATTTTTAAAGTCTGGTTTGCAATTACCTATAAAAACCAGACTATCAGAGCATTCTCAGGTAATATTCGAGGTAAAAGAGTATTCTTGGGGCCTCAGAGGTCTGATTTCTTCAGTTTTGTCTTCATGGTTTCTCCCCTAGGTCCTTTGAAATACCAGCATGGTTCATGCAGAGAAGAAACAGTGTGATAAACAAAAGAGCATGTGTCTGGGGTCAAGGATATCTGTATTTCTAACCCGGCTCTGCCTTTTCCTAGCTAGGTAGTTCTGGGCAAGTTATCAAATTCTCTTAGCCCGAGTTTCATTATCTGCAGAAGGGAATGATCATTTGGTGTTTTGTGGGCTGCAATCCCAGAAAGCCTAAGGCTAAATGCTGAAACAACAAAGGGGTTGACTGGCTGGCATCACTGAGCCCAGAGCACCAGCCATAGCCCCTTCCAGGCCCTCCCGCACCCTTTCTCTGCGAGTTCTTGGCTCTTCTCTCTGCTATGTATTGAGCAGCACAGAAATGGATGAGGTCTTATATCCATACACTAGGAAGTCAGTGGAAAGACACATCTCTAGTAACTCTCTTTTAAGATAAAGCAAACTTCTTTCCCAGAAGCACTTAGCTAACTTCCTCTTGTTTCCTATTGGCCCAAAGAAGTCACACCTCATTTCTCAACAAATTGTTGTGGCAAGGAGATTGGCCTTGAGCTGTGTTCCTCAGCCTGTTGATCACAAAAGACTCCTTTTGGATCAGTGAAGCCCTCCCTTGGAGCTGGGAGTGCAGTCCTCTTACTGGGACAGCCAAGGGCTGGGGAGAGCAGGAGTCATATTTGGGGAGAGGAAATGGATCTCTTGCTTAGATAGGCAGCAATTCCAATTCACAGAAGGTGGTGGGAATTAAATGAGATGTGTGAAAGCACTTAGCCCAGCCCCTGACACATAGTAAATACAATAAGAGGGAGTAAGAGAGAGTAAATACAGTAAGAGAGAGGAAGGCAGAAGGTGGGGAAGAATACCACAGATGAAGTGAAACCAGAAATGAATCACTCACATATCTGGGGGGCTACAGCTTAGAGAGCGTGCTTCTAGTTACCTTGAAATCTATTCCAATAGCTAACCCACCACCACCACACTAGTGCTCAACCCCACTCCCCACCCCAAATGCAAACATTTCATGTATTAGGGTCAAGACCATCCTCAGGATGCTTCTAAACTCTGGAGTAGAAATCAGAAGACCACTTACTGGCTGGAAGACACAATTCGTCTGAGCCTTAATTTCCCCCCATTGATTTGCTCTTAATTTCCACCTTTGTAAGTGGCCTTATATCGTTCCCATAGATGCCCAAAATGCCACAATACTGTCCAGCAGAACTTTCTGCAAGGATGGAAATGGTTTTTGTGCTGTCCAGTATGGTAGCCACTGGCCAAATGTGGCTACTGAGCACTTGAAACATGGCTAGTTCAACTTAGGAGTTGAATTTTTTGTTTTAGCTACTTTTAATTTAAATAGCCACATATGGCCAGTGGCTACCATAATGGGTAGTGTAGCTCCAGACTGTACCCTCCTGAAGCCTGAGACAGAAGTTTCTGCTTCCTCTGCACCTCACCACTGCCTTGAGTCAAGCATGGGGCCCTTGGAGGGCCTCCCGTAAATGCATGTCACCAACTAGCTAAGTGCTCCCAGTTTGCACAGAATCATGAATAGACCTGCTCAGCATAGGTGAAGTGACTGAGCCCTTGTGGTGTAATGGAGAAAAACAGAACTAACCTGGGCACTGAGAGTGAGCGCCGCCTGCTCCACTCTCTGCAGCAATGGATTGCCGCACTCTCCAGGCCATGTCAGTCTGTCCTCACAGGGCTTTGCATGTGTGCGTGTTGGTTGTGTGTTGCATGAGAATGGCCCTGGGAGGGTGAGAGGAGCTGCCTGCTCCTCCAGCCCTGCCTCCCCAGTGGCTGGCCTCTGTCCTGTCTGCTGCTCACTTGAGGCACTTGCTGAGATGATACAGGCTTGAAAAGAGGAGGGGGGAAAAACACACTCCTAGAGCTGAGGGCCTGAATGCATTCTCTCCTGACGGCTGAGAGATCACCCCTTCCACCACTGCGTTCAGCCAGCGCCCCCACTGACACCCTCCCGGGAGTAACAATAGGCCTTTTCTTCTCCGAGCACTGAATGTTTCCATTGGCGCACTTCACCTCCCTCCTGGCGGGAAAGGCCACAGCTGATGGCTCCGCGGCATCCTCAGGGAGCTGTGATGCCTTCCCCCCATTGTCATCAAGATGATCAAAGCTCTGCCATCTTTAAATCGACTCCAGGAGGTTCATATTTAGGGCTTGCCTTCAGCTGGGGCAGGGAGTAGCATCCTTACAAAAATCCCCTGCTTCTGAACTGAGCCATGAAGCTTGATTCACTGACAAAAATCTCATCCTCTTCTCAGGTATTTATCACGGTCTGTGCACCACCTAGAGGCCGCTGTCTTAAACTCTTTCCAGTAAGCAACCTGTCTCCTTCCCTCACCAACAGAAAGACCCCAGAAATGCTGTGTTTCCTGAGTAGACTCCACTGTGCTTCTACTTTCTCAAAGTTGGCTTTCTGTGATCCCACGCACCTCTCACGGAGTCCTTAGACTGAAGCAGACCTGCTCAACCAGGACAGCTTTCTAACACTTTCTAGCCTCTGTCAAAAGAAAAAAACTTTTCGGTTTGTCTTCAGAAGTAAGAAAGGTACCTAGGAAAGATGAGCTGAGCCTTCCTGCTGATGTCCAAACCCACGCGAGCTCTCAGTGCTAGGAGATGCTTGCAGCTGCCTGACGGGCACTCCTGGCTGGGTCTTCCCATATGGGGCTCATTCTCCCAGGACTGGAGATCCTGTCCACTTCACCCTCCCTCCCATGACCATGTCGCTGCCACACAACACAGATTAGGAGCTGTCCCCAGGGGATGACACCATTTTGGGGGAATTGATATCAAATATGTTATTGTTGTCATTGTTTGCTCTGGTTTATTGTGGCAAAATATATATATATATAACATAACATTTACCCTTTAGCTTTTTTTTTAATTGAATGATTCAGTGCTGTGCAACTGTCACCCCCATCCATTTCCAGTACATTTTCATCATTCCAAACAAAAACTCCATGCCCATTAAACAATAACTCCTCCTTCTTCCTTCCCCTCAGCTTCTGGTAACCTCTACCCTACTTTCTGTCTCTGTGACTTTGCCTATTCTGGGTACCCCCTATAAGTGGAATCATACAATATTTGTATGGCTGTGTCTGTGAAAACTGCTGCGGTCTACAGGAAAGGCAGAGCCAAGTTCAAACTTCTCAAAACAAACAAGGAAGAGTCCATTGTTTGGGAGCTTGGGCAAATCAAGCCTCAGCTGGTGTTTACTATCTCCATTTTGAAGTGATCTGAAGAAAGCTCCACTGCAGAGCTGCGGGTAACTAGAGGATCTGACCCTGGAGGTTTGAGGGCAGGCAGGAGGCAGCTCTGAGTGTCTGGACGTGTCGGCGTGGAAGTTTCTGGATTTGCGTGTCTGGATATAACCTCAGGATTCAAGGGGGAGTGATGTCTACACTTCTTTCTTCCTGCATTTGACAGAGAACTGATGATGTACTTTACAGTCATTTTCTTATTACACTAACAGAACGGACCCTTTTGTAATATAAATGGCTATTACTATTTGTGTAGGTTTCAATTATTTTTATATTATGAAACTACAATTCTGTAAATGCTGCATCCCAGGGAGAAAGGGATTGGAGCACCAGAGTGAGTCATTGTAACAGTGACAATTAACATTTATACAGCATTTAAAGGTTGATAAAGCAGCTTTCATAACCGTGATCTCATTTCTTATAATAAGCAGAGAATATAAAAAAGTAGGAAGAGTTTATAAGAGACACCCAGAAAAGATGCATCATTTATTGGTTTCAAGAAAATAATGATCATCTCAGATCTGCAAATGGGATTTAAACCTTAGATATCTCCTTGGCTGAAAAGAGGGACTCAGTAGGAGTTCCCTGCCCCCACCCACTCCCACCAGGAACAAGAAAACTGCATATGAGAGAAAAGCATATTTGACTAGGAATTATAGGAAATTTGAGATGTTCAGGACACACCCTCCTAAAGCTGACCTCTAAGCCAAGCTTTCTCAGTCCGTAAGTAGGAAACATTGGGTTGATTAATAGTATTTCTTTGCAGGACTTCTCAGATCCTTTAATATGCTAATGTGCATTTTGACTTCCCAGAGTGAGACTAGAGTATACAGTGCTTCCCACACATAGTTGATAATGGAATCGTGTTTGAGATTAATGTTCCTAAGGACACACTTTGGGAAGTGCAGACTAAAATGGGTGGGTCCCTGAACCCAGGAGAAACCAGGACCACCAAAACGTGGATACAAAGAGCTTTCCAGAGAGGTAAAGGAGGCTGATGATCTAAGCAGAATGGTCTGAAGCTCAGAAAAAAATGGAACCAGCAGAGGCTTACTCCTGGAGTGGGTACAGGGCAAGTCTGAGAGCAGAACGTCCAGCCGCAGAGCTTCTGTGGTGGCCTGGCCCGCTTGAGTGTGGTCAGGGCAGCATCTTTCCTTCCATCTTCACCAGGTTGGCAGCAATTGGGTCAGGAAAGACCCATGTCCCCGAAGTTCACAGAGAGTCTCTCAAACTGTTCACACCCCCCATACGGGAATGCAAGGAACCTCAAATCATTTAGTCCTATGGAAACTGCACTTAAAAGGAGTCACCAATCCAGATTTGGGAACCCCTCCATCATACTTTTTGGATGACATGTTTGTTTGAATGGGATTTAATTTTTATCATATGTTATAAACGTTATTGAAACTTTGCTTCCCAAGCCCTTTAAATCAGAATCCTAGTAATAGCTGTCACTTTGAGCTGCTTTCTGGGTGCCAAACACTGTGCTAAGCACTCTGCATCTACATCATTATCAGACTCTCACAAGCCTTTGCGGGAGTCTTGATTACTTTCTTTATTTCACAGATGAGGAAACTGTGTCTTAGAAATGTTAGGTGTCTTGTCATTGATCACACAGTTAGTAGGTGATAGAGCCCAGATGCTTACTCAAGTAATCTGGCATTAGAGGCTCCACGGTTAACCATGAGGCTTTACTGCCTCAACATATGTGGAAAAGAGGACAGGCTGCCCCACCTCCATGTTCATTGTCTCTGGCAACCCTTCCAAGAGAATCTCAGTTTATTCCAGGAAGCCAAGTCTGTATTTCTCAGCCTGCCTTTCAGCTAGGTACGCTCAATGAAGCAGAAGTTGTCAGGTGTAGCTTCTGGGATGGCTACTTTAAAAAGCTACCCTGCTTCAAGACACACCTTGTTGACCTTTTTTCTGCATCCTTTTGCCTAACACCTGGATGTGATGGCTGGTGTGTCAGCAGCCATCCTGAACCCAAAGCAGGTGACGTACCTCACCTGCTAAGGATGGCAAAGCAGGAAGGTAGAAGTCTGGGTTCCTAACAGTCATGGAACCCACATGCCAGCTATGGACTGCATACCTCTAGAGAGAAACTAGCTTTATTGTATTTAAACCACCTTTATTTGGGTTTTCTATTCTATGCAGATGAAGCTAATACTAACAGATACACAAGCCCATATTTCAAATTGTGCTTCCTGGTCTTTATTTCCAACTGCCTGCCCCATCAATGAATAGTTTCCTCCATTAAGCTCTGTTTCTCTTCCACAACCCATTCCCCGGGGATGCATGTTCCCTGCCTCTGTGACTCAAGTCTGAAGTCCCAGTTTTCCACATCCACCCAGCCTCTGCCTTTCTAGATCTTACAATTAATACCGTAACCAGACAGCTGGGCCCTGTATTCTTTTCAGCATCATTCAAAATAGCAATAGGAATGTTTTATACCAACAGCTGTTGAGGGAGAAGCATGGTTTGGTGTAAAAAGCACTTGACCTGGTAGAAAAATAAGGGGGTGACTCTATCCTTTGTAAGCTGCAATGATGTAAAGAATCAGTAGGTGATGTCTTCCTCAACATGGGTCTGAGACCCCCTGACTCAGCAGTAATGACTTTTCCATTTTATAGAAAGCAGATGGGATTTTAATGGACTGTGACTATTGTCTATTTTCTTTAAGCAACATACACCAAGATCTATGCACTCTTACAGGTGATAGTATGCATAGCTGCAAAAAGAAAGGTAATATTTACAACTTCCTACTTAAACCCTTTCCTTTAGAAATCAGACTTCTTTCCTCCCCCTCCCACCCCCCAAAAATAAATAAATAAATAAATGAAGGAGACATGGATCCTTCTGTTTTCTAGATGACATAAGAGAGTCATGATTGAACAGCACCACAATGCCACCTTTTTTGCCCTAAAGAAAACAATAAAATGGAGCACTTCTGGATATAATAAGCATTCCTTCCACTCTTGGGGAAGGAAAAGGGGGTAGAGTTTGGGCAGAGCAATGGAGGACTCCTTGGGTAGCTGGCAAATTTCTGTCTTCCAACACAGATATTCGTTACAAGAATTTTGGCCTTATTTAGAATCCACTTGTTTTATGCCATATTCTGTATCTGTGTTTTATTTAACACAAAAGGTTAAAAGGAGGGGAGAGATCACATCTTCCCACTGGAAATGTCTCTTAGTCATGTTCCTTTGTAGATAGCAAAGGGATTTTTTTCTACCATCCATCCCCATCAGCAAGGAAGCAATGCTAGCTCCCAAAAATGGAAAGATCCCATTTCTGCAGGTGGAGACGTGACAATAAGACAATATCAATTGCTCACATTTCCCTGAGTACCTACTCCAGCTAGTTACAATTGAAGAAGCAGTGTGTGTGTGTGTGTGTGTGTGTGTGTGTGTGTGTGTGTGTTCTAATCTTTTAGCAACCCCTTGAGACAGGTACTTTCATCATCCTCATTTTACAGATGGAGAGACTGAGGCACAGAGTGGTAGATCAACTTGCAGTTAGTGAGTTCTGAGGTCAGAATTGAAATACAGGCAGTCTGGGTTTTGCTTCCAATCCATTTGACTGGGAGGGTGGGAGGGGACCTGCTAGAGTGGCCAACTGTCTCAGTGTGCCCAGGACTTTGGGGTTTCCTGGGACATGGGACTTTCACTGTGAAAACTGGGCAAGTCCCAGGTAAACTGTAACAGTTGATCACCCTAGATGGGCTCCTCTCTGCATGTCTCAGATGCAGGGACAATCTCCCCTAAAACAAAACTCAGGTGACAGCTGGGTCATTACGATGCATCTGTGAGCCACAAATCCCCATCAGTGTGCACACCAAGAAACAAAGAGGTCTGGTGGCTCAGAGCCCTCCCTGGGATTGAGTCAACTTCCTAATACAGAAAGCTGAATTCATCTTGACACTTAGAAAAAAAATCAATAGTAGCATAGGATTGGTTTGAATGAGAACAAAATTTACATTTCTTTATATTGGGCCATAAATCCTCCTTGGACTTCCCATCAGTCTAGACCATGTTTAATTCTGTCAGTCACTCTGAGACAGTACGGAGGTCTTAGAGACAAGGATTTGTGCACACTGCTATAATCCCTTGCTGTGGAACAGGGCTCAGGGCATCCACAAATGTCACACGCACCTCTGCAGCTGACTCGGAGCTGTTAACAGTGTTCAGCTCATTGTTGGTGGGGATATGATTCAGCAGAGGACACACAACTTGCCACCGGCATCCCTTTCCTCTGGTGTATAATGAATAGGAGAGGCATACATGTAATTGCAGAGTCACAGAGGTGGAAGGGACACAGGGGGAGGTGTGTAGCCAGGGCTCTGTGGGGAGGTGTTTGATTCTGCAGTTGGTAGCAGGGGGATAGGGGAGCAAGGACATAAAAAATGACAACTGTCTGACTAAATTTCATTCACATTCCTCACTATATCTCCTTCTATGTTCATTCAACAAATATTCATTAAGCACCTGCTCAGTGTTGATTCTAGGTGATCTGTGGTGCTCCTTGGCTTATATTAGGGATGCACCACTCCAATCTCTGCCTCCAGCTTCACACAGCGTTCTCCCTGTCTCTCTCTCTTTACATGGCCATCTTCTTATAAGAGCACTGGTCTCAGCCAGGCACAGTGGCTCATGCCTACGATCCTAGCAGTTTGGGAGGGCAAGGCAGGAGGATTGCTTGAGCCCAGGATTTTGAGACCAGCCTGTGCAATATAGTGAGACCCCATCTCTACAAAATACTTAAAAAATCAGCCAGGCATGGTGGTGTATGCCTGTAGTCCCAGCTACTTGGGAGACTGATGTGGGAAGATCGTCTGAGCCCAGGAAGTTGAGGCTGCAGTGAGCTGTGATTGTGCCACTGCACTCCAGCCTGGGCAAGAGTGAGAGCCTGTCAAAAAAAAAAAAAAAAGGACTAGTTGCATTGGATTAGGGCCCCCCTATTCCAGTGTGACCTCATCTTAAATTCCATCTGCTAAATTCAAAATTCCTATTTCCAAATAAGACTACATTCTGAAGAACTGAGGTTTAGGGTTTCAACATATCTCTTTGAGGGGGACACAATTCAACCCTGAATTGTGACCCTGGGTGACAGTGACCCTGGGTGAGTGCTTTAGTTCCCTCCTCCACAGAATGGGGATAACTAGTACCAACCTCTGAGGATCAATGAGCTAATAAATACATAAAACTCTCAAAGCCGTGCATTGAATGTAGTAAGTGCCATTTAGGAATTTGCCATTATTTTATTTTTATATGCCGGTTATGAACCACTGTGTTCGTTTCACACCCCACATTTTAAAGACCATTGCTCACATAATGTGATTCCAACATGGTTTCCGAGGCCTTCATGACTGGCCTCTGCTGACCCCTTAGCCTCCTCTATCCCAGTATCCCCTCCCACACGTAACTCATTTTCAGTTACCTGAATATGTCATAATCACTCTTGTTCCCAGGGTTTCATTCAGTCTCTTATTCTACTTCTATACCCGATCATCTGGAAAATGCCTAGCTTATCCTTCAGGTCTCAGGCAAACAGCACCCCCTCCAGAAAGTCTTTCTTCACCACCAGTTATGAGCTACTGCCCTTTAGTTCTCTATGCATAGTACTTAGACGCTAGAATGTAAATACCAGTTTGCTTGTCCATAACCTTCCGTACTGTAAGCTTTCCAGGATGGCATCTGACTTATTAACTACTATATGCCCAACACCAAATACAGGGCCTGGAAAACAGTCTTGGTTGCCTACCCAACAGACATTTTTTCCCTTTTTCTTTACGTAATTGATTTCTTTTCTAGTACCAACAACTCCAGAAGACCAAGAGAGATCTAAGGTTGATTCATGATTGGTCTGTTCCAATCATGGAAACCTATTCACCCTCCCAGAGGCTGACTTAGGGATGCGCAATGTGACCCACTCTGGTCAGTGAGACATGAGGGGAGATATGCTGGGATGATTTCTGAGAAACAGTTTCAGGAACATTTTAAAGAGTTTCAGGAGAGGAAACAACCCATCCCTGTTTTTAGGTGAGTGGGAGGCGGCTGTTGTACAGCCATGATGAAAGGCACAAGGACAAATATTCACCTGCTGAGGATGGCAGAGCCAAAGTATGGAATGAACCCAAGTCCTTGATGATTTTGCTAAGACGTTGAATCAACCAGCCCTGGAACTGCCCTGCTGCTTGACTTCTTGTGATGAGATAATACCTTTTCACTATATTACCTATATAATAATATTGTGATTGTATCTCACTATAGAGATAATACTGTTTTCCTTGTTGTTTATTTAAGTAACGTGTTCTGTCACTTGCAGCTGA
Organism: Homo sapiens; assembly: GCF_000001405.40. NCBI lineage: Eukaryota > Metazoa > Chordata > Mammalia > Primates > Hominidae > Homo > Homo sapiens. The sequence goes on from NC_000002.12 coordinate 158,753,115, forward strand.
ACATAACCTGACAGACACTTAGGAAATATTGTTGACTGCATAGGTGTTCAGATGTTAAACGTGCTAGAGACAGAAAAGAGAGATGAGAACTAGAAGGCCAGCCATCTCCCAGGGGTCAGGCACAGGAGGCCTGTTTCATGTGCATCGTAGAATTCAACTTTCCCAGAAAGCTTGTGACCATACAAAGTTTACCCATTTTAGAGATGAGGAAACTGAAGCTCAGGAAAGTTTATCAACCTATCCAAGGTCACGGAGTTAGTAAGTGCAGCAGCTGAGCAATATTTAGTTACTATTTTATGAAGACTTAGTTCAGCATTTTAATTCAGACTTTTCATTCATAATACAAGATTTTAAAATTTCTTTTTTTTCCCATTTCCACTTCCCATGGATTTTCACCTACTAGTTTAAAGTTAAGCATTCTAATTTTGATGTTATCCTGGTCACTCCTAATGTTTGACCGTACTCATGTTTATTTTCCCACGTTAATTTATCAGTGCCATCACTCTCTCTTTCCCTCCAGAGTATCTGAGCCCAAGGGACACTCCCGTGTGATTTGGTCTCCCTAACCGCTCCCCTACCTCCCTTCAAGTTAATGTTGGAGCTTCTCCAGGGCTGACTTGGGAGAGGAGCCGGCAGACCGGGCCAGTGCACCCTCTTGGCAGGAAGCCTGCGTGTGGGAAATAAATCCCAGGTTTGTCTACTTCCAAAACACATTCTTTTCACTACACCATGAGGCCTGAATAGACGCATGTGGCCTACAAGTATATTCTCTTTAGCCATCTGAGAAAGAACAAAACTCATTTGAGCAGCTTTCTGCAGCCCTTTTCTCCTCCCCTTGGTGGGAATGAGTGACGGGAACAGAGAATACAGTCCTTCCTCTACCCGCCAGAATGTCTGCTTGCAGCCAGCATTTCACAGATGAATGCTGAAGAAAATGTCTTAGCTGCATCCAGGGAATTTCAAGTGCTTTCCTCCTGTTTCTGAGGGAAAACAAACAAACAAACAAACAAACAAAAACTGTCTTTTTCTGCAGCAAAGCCCCAGGAATTGGCGGTGTAAAGGGCTTGTGAGCTGGGAATCATGTGCCCTCTAGTGGTCATCTCTAGGAAGTCCCAACCAGATGGTCATTTCCACAGAAAACAGCAGGAGGAACCGCTACAGAGTATGGGAGACAAGAAGAGAATGCCTCCTAACACCTACATAATAAGCTGTAATGGTGGAAAGCCATTTGCTTTTGAATTTTATTGAAAATGCCAAATACAGGTCGTGAATATTGAAATGGACGTCTGAGCGGTGCACAAATCCTCGCAGGTCTTACTGAAGCTTCCCAGGATTAGCTTCCCAGCACAGAGCTCCTAAGGCTTGATTGGGTTTGCAAAGCAAGGATGCTGAGCTGGAGAAAATCAACTAGCCAGAAGTCATCTTGGGAAGGGAAAGTTATTTCTGATGGGAAAATATTTGATAAGAAGCTGATGCCTGTGTGGACAGAATGGTCTAGGGTTTGTTTTTGTTTGGTTGGTTTTTTTGTTTTGTTTTGTTTCTTTTTTGTTTTTGAAATGGAGTCTCGCTCTGTTGCCCAGGCTGGAGTGCAGTGGTGCAATCTCGGTTCACTGCAACCTCCACTTCCCAGGTTCAAGCCATTCTCCTGCCTCAGCCTCCCGAATAGCTGGGATTACAGGCGCCTGCCACCAGGCCCGACTAATTTTTGTATTTTTAGTAGAGAGGTGATCCACCCGCCTCAGCCTCCCAAAGTGCTGGGATTATAGGTGTGAGCCACTGTGCCTGGCCTGTTCTATTTTATTATTATTGTTATTCATCTCTTATTGTGCCTAGTTTATACATTAAACTTTATCGTAGGTACATATATATAGCAAAAGACATAATATATATATGGTTCAGGCATCCACTGGGGGTCTTGGAATGTATCACCCACAGATAAAGGGAAACTATTGTAACTTCAGTTGAGAAAAGCTCATAGTCAAATGCTTCTCTCTGACTTAACGTACTGCCCATCTATTGGTACTAGAAAAGTCAATGTTATAACAGCCCTAAAACTGCCAACACATGTGAAAAATATTTAGCTTTTTGTCTAACGATGGGACCCAACTGACCAAATAAAACCCAAATAAAGGACCTGTAACTGCTCATATCTTTCATGTGTGCCTGCAAGCAAATTTTATATTCCTTCCCACTGAGATTTCTTTCTTTCAAAATATTCCAGGTATGTGGCTTCAAAGCATGTGGCATCTGACATGTGGACACATTGAGAGTAGGATGAGATTGTATTTACCTTTGCCTTGCTGGAGCTTAGCACCTTTGTGGTGTCTTTTGATAAATGGGAAGTGACAAATGTTCTCACGTGGGCAGCAGGAAGGATTCATATGCTCCTCCAATTTTACAGCAACAGACAACAAATGAAAAGGAAGGGCTTAGTCATGCAGGGGCACACTCTCACCTCATCACTAGATGACAGTGCAGCACCCCAGACTCACAGCTTGCCCATAAGTCTTGCATTTAGTGCATGAGGATTCCATTCAGATGCCACCGAATGCCATTTCCATGATCTGGACTGACTTTTCTTTTTTCAGGCACAATAAAGTAAAGACAATTTGGAGTCATTTGCCTTGTTTCTTCAATAAAAGAAAGACTTGGATTTACACAGCCTCTTTTCTCCAAAGAGCTCAGCATGCTTGCCCATCTGGTGTCTCATTTGCCTTCGTTTCATCGCTTTAAAGTCAATAAAGTGTGTTATGCTAGTGTCAGGGCCAGGGAAGGTGAGAGAGTGTGTAGGCTTATTCCTGCTCGCCAAGAGGGGGCGCCCCTGTGCCCTCCTAGTAACACATTCCTAGACACCCATTGCCCACCTACGAGGTGGCCAGTCCACATTCTGCAGGCACCAGAGGCTCTCTGCCCACAAGCAATGCCAGTCTGCAACTGCCAAGTCTAACACAAAGAGACACGTGAACAGAGAATCACAATATAGCATGATAAGAGGTAGGCTGCAGGGATGGGTTAGGTTTGGGTGTGGAGAGAGTCAGAGTTGGGCACAAGAGGAAGTTACTGAAGGGTTTAAAAAGTAAAGTTTCAGTACAAATTGTAGTAAATGAAGTAATTGGAAAAACAGTGTTAACCCCTTTTTAATTAGTTAAATTAATTAAATCAGACTTTCTGCTCACCAAAATGTATCCTATGTGTTTTCTAAGCTTGATTGACAAGTTTGGCTGAAAGGACCAAACTACTTTTTGCTTAATAATTACAAAATAGGTAGAAAAAATGCACCCCCTCCAAAAAAGTAAAGCTTCAATAACAAGGCTGTGGAGGAGTAGCAACCCTCATACATTGCCAGTGTGAGTGAAAAATGACTCAGATGCTATGGAAAGCAGTTTGACGTTTCCTCAAAAAGTTAAACACAGAATTACCGCATGACCCAGCATGCATACCCAAAATAATTGAAAACCGGTGCTCAGACAAATCCTTGTACACAAACATTCATAGCGACATTATTCACAAGAGTCAAAAGGTAGAAACAGCTGAAATGTCCGTCAACGAATGAAGACGTAAACAAATTGTGGCTACACACATACAATGGAATAATATGCAGCCGTAAAAAGAACTGAAGTACTGATACACGCTATAACTTGCATGAACCTGTAGACTGTTATGCTAAGTGGGAGATGCTAGACTCAAAAGGTCACGTATTGTATAACCCCGTGTATATGAATTATCCAGGTTATGCAAATCCATAGAGACAGAATGTGGATTGGTGGTTGCCAGGGGCTGGGGAAAGTGTTGAATGGTGGGGGGTGACTGCTTAATGAGTGTGGGGTTCTGTTTTGGGATGATGGGATTGTTTTGGAACTAAACAGAGATGGCGGTTGCATAACACTGTGAATGTACTAATTGCCATGGCATTGTTCAGTCTAGAGTGGTTAATTTTGTTACGTGAATTTCACCTCAGTAACTTTTTTTTTAAGTAGAGCTTCACTCAAGAGGTACGTGGAAGCAGGACAGCAGGATCTTGACAGATGGCCCTGGGGGGGCGGCGCATTTGAGTCAGAGACAGCATCATGAGTAAGAGGAACCCAGCCTGACGTGGGCAACTCAGGCTACCGCAAGTAATCCCGTGGGCTGGATGCGGGGATACATGACTGACTTGGGGTCGGAGAGGGCTCTACCAAGGGGTAGAGAATTAGATGGCACATAGTTCACAAATTTATCTTCATTATGTCTGTGTGTCCTGTGAAAGTCAATTTCAAATTCTTGGATAACTGGCCGAGTAGGGAGAGGAGTTGCCCACCAGGGGGCTACCCTAGAACCCCACAGAGCAGACCAGGTGCCACCTGAGGCCAGGATCAAGATTTTTCTCTGACACTCTCCACTCTAGGACCATCACTCCTTGAGAAACGAAGAATCAAAGCCCCGGCCTTCTCCACAGGGCAGGGTGCAGTCATCTGTGCTGGGGAACCTTCTCAGCCCTTTAAGGTACACTCCGGGCACAGGTTCTCCACCTTTACTATTATCACACATTCTCAAAATGAAAGAAAGGCTATTATAAGATAAAACTTTCAAACCAACTTGAAAAATAACTGAACAAATGGCTGGGCATGGTGGCTCATACCTGAAATCCCAGCACTTTGGGAGGCTGAGGTGGGCAGATTACCTGAGGTTGGGAGTTTGAGAGAAGCCTGGCCAAAATGGCGAAACCCCACCTCTATTAAAATTACAAAAATTAGCTGGGTGTGGTGGTGGGTGCCTGTAATCCTAGCTACCTGGGAGACTGAGACAGGAGAATCGCTTGAACCTGAAATGTGGAGGTTGCAGTGAGCCAAGATCACACCACTGCACTCCAGCCTGAGTAATAGAGTGAGACTCCATCTCAAAACAAAACAAAACAAAAAACTACTAATCACCAAATTAAAGACACTGTTTGTCTTAATATTCAAAGAAGACCTACTCAGAGAACAGTACCCAGAGAATCTTAAGAAAGTCAACCACACTCGTTCTGGATCCTCAGAGCGTGGGGCCCTCAGCTCCGGCTGGTTCCTGCTGCCTCAAAGCTCTAGACCTGCCTCTAGCTCACTTTAGCACTGCTGGCCAGGTAGGTGGTGCTGATGTAGCAGTACACAGATTCAACTTTAAGCTTGGTTATGGACTACATTGTGTTTCTCCAGTGTGACTGTATTTGGAAGTAGAGCCTTTAAGGTGATAATTAAGGTTAAATGAGGTCACAAGGATGGGGCCACAATCCGAAAGGACTGGTGTCCTTATAAGAAAGGGAAGAGATATCAGAGAGCCCTCTTTTTTTCCTTGAATGTACAGAAGAAAGAACATGTGAGGACATAGTGGCCAACTGCAAGTCGGGAAGAGAGGCCAGAAAACAACCTTGATCTTAGACTTCCAGCTTCTAGAAATGTGAGAAAATAAGTTTCTGTTGTTTAAGCCATCCAGTCTGTGGTATTTTGTTATGGCAGCCCAAGCAGATTAATACAAGCTTGTAAGAAATGCAGAATCTTAGGTCCCACCCAACCTAATGAGAACCTGCATTTTAACAGGTGGATTATGTGCACATAGCAGTTTGAGAAGCATTGTCCTAGAATACTGCTATGGTTAAATGTGTCCCCCAAATTTCATGTGTTAGAAACTTTATTATTCTTTATTTATTTATTTTGAAACTTTATTATTTTATTTATTTCACTCTTTCACTCAGGCTGGAGTGCAGTGGTGCAACCACGGCTCAATGCAACTTTGACCTCTTGCGCTCAGGTGATCCTGATCCTCCCACTTCAGCCTTCCAAGTAGTAGGGTCTATAGGTGTATGTCACCATGCCCGACTAATTTTTTGTATTTTGGATAGAGATGGGGTTTCAACATGTTTCCAGGCTGGTCTCAAAGTGCTGGGCTCAAGTGATCCAACCACCCTGGCCTCCCAAATGCTGGCATTGCAGGCCTAAGCCACCTCACCCAGCCTGTGTTGGAAGCATAAATCCCAAATTCATATGTTGATTGGAGTTGGAGCCTTTGGAAGGTGATGAAAATTAGATAAGGTCATCAGGGTGGGGCCCCCATGATGGACCTGGTGGCTTTAAAAGAAGAGAGATTGGCCTGAGTGAGCACACTTGCTCTGTCTCACAATCTGATGCCCTCTGCCTTGTTAGGATGCAGCAAGAAGGTCCTCACCGGATGCCAGCACCATGATCTTAGACTTCCCAGCCTCTAGAACCATGAGCTAAATAAATCACCCAGTCTGTGGTATTCAGTTATAGCTACAGAAAGTGAACTAAGACAAATACCTACTGTCTTTAACCTCTATTCTGCTTTCAATATGATAAAATGGGCCACTCATGAACCTCAGCTACACAATCATAAAAGCTAACAGACAAATTGAATGATTATTTTTTTAATGACAAGTAAAAGGAACTACTATCCTAACACAAACATGCAACTAAAGTGGACATCTGATGCTTTGTCTGCCCAGCACTCCTCTTCCTGCGAAGAACTGCACCCATCCTATGTCATTCCCACAGGGATAGTCATTCACAATGCTGCATCAGTGTTGCACACCTACCTATCCACGGGGGTGGATGTGTGACCCAGAAGTTGACCGGTCTGGTACCCACCTATTTTAGCTTTATGTGCCAGGCATCAAGCTGAACGTGAGGGATACCGACATGAAGAAGATGCAGTCCCTTCCTTCCGGTTACCAGCAGTCTGGAAACTGGGACTACTGCAGAGTCCAAGGTATTAGCAAACCATGCAATACAGGGTGATAAGTACATGCTGAAGCACTGAGCAAAGTGTTGTGAAAATACAGAGAGCAGGTAAAGACTGAAGAAAGGAGTTCGTATTTCAGCAGAATCTTAAAAAGAAGTTCCATATGAGCAATCAGCATGTGCAAAAACAAGGATTTTTGAAACAGGGCTTGTGGCCTGGTGGGTACACTGGAACCCCACTAGAGGGTGAGATTAAGGGGAATGGTGGGGAGCAAGATTGCAGGACGGAGTGAATGACATGAAAAGATCGAGTCCAGCCAAGGAGTTGCATTGAATCCTAGGCAACAAGGAGCTAATGTAGGTTTCTGAGCAGAGAAGAGTTAAAAGCAGATTTGTAATTTAATACAATCCCTCTGGAGGTTAAATGGGATCATTAAATGATGAACCCTTGGATGGTAGGAGTGTCTTTGGTATGCAGTAGTGTTGATAAACATTTATTGGGAAATGATGACAGTCTCAACAGAGGCAGTAGCAGAGGGGATAGAAAAAACGGAGCAATTTTGAAAGACATTTTTGAGCTAGAACCAACAGAACTTATCCAACAATTAGGAAGGAAAGGCAAGAATTAAGAATGTTTTAGCAGTTTCTCTCTTAAGTGATAAAATGGATGGAAATAAGAACTAGGTGAAGATAATAGTCGTGCTTTTGAACATATTAGATTTGAGAGGCCTGGGAATCCAGGGAACGAAGTAGGTCTGACAGGTAAGGAATTTAAGAACGTCTGGGGCAAAAGATAGGAAGGTCTAGAAGTCACCATCACAGAGATGCAGTTTACAAGAGAGGGTGTTAGTCAAGAGAATTAACCTCCGAAATGCTAGAAATTGTTCAAATTATGACTTTCCGAAGGAATATGTCAGGCTCAAGTTCCTTTATAATTGTTACATACAAGATCAAAGCTCCCCCACCTACACCCACATTCCCTACACCCCTAAAATAGAATTGGCAAAATGCCTCCACACCACAGGTAGGGATTAAAAAAAAAAAAAAACAAGACTCCAGCTATTTGACTCCCTTAGCATGTCTGGGCCACCAACAAATCATAAGCTGTTGGAGACTCTGCCTGGCAACCAATGCTGGACCATTCATAAGGAGAAATGGCATCAGCATCCACTAAACCAGACAGTCTTTGAAGTACTTCTGCCAAACCCAGGGTAACTACTGAGCCAGGAGGCCTTCTGGTCTTTTCATTTCCCTGCCAAACTGGCCACGTGCTGACTCTCCCTTGCCAGGAGTTCATGCCTGCACCTCCATGGGTACCTGATAAGATGCCACAGTCCTTGTCATGGGCATATGCATGGGGGCTGGGGGGTCAGGTGAGAGGAGGCAGCAGTGGCCAGGGAGCTGGCAGCCTGGGGTCAGTTGTACCAGTGATTCTCAGCTAAACTTGGCTTAGTGGAGCCACAGAACTTTGTCTGAATATGTACCTATCAGAAAGCCGATGACTTTTCTTGTTATACTTTTTCTTTAAAAATGAAACAAAACTGAATTAACATAGAAAGATCTAACTGATATGATAATTGATAAAGGCACATGGTATAGCTGTATGCACAATATGATCTATTTGGGTTTTTTTCCTAAGTGTATGTGAAGGTGTGTGTGTGTGCGCCTGTGCGTACGTAGAACTTATCTGAAAGGATACATACCCAGCACTGGGGAGCTGGGATGGGGAGGGGGAATGGGGAGCTTCTACATTTCACCTTTCTCTATCGTTTGCGTTTGCTTTTTTTTCTTTTTTTTACAAGAAACTTGTTAATTTTCATGTAAAATTTTTTCAAAAGGCACCAGACATTTTAATCAATCATAGAAGGGCAGCTCAATACTTAATAGATTTCTAAGGTCTGTGTGTGAACATGCATTGCTTAACAGCGTGGTTTTCAAGTAGATGCCTCCTAACCAAGTCAGCACAAGTTCCTAATGACTGACTGAGCAAGAGCGTGGCTTCCTGAAGGCAGAGTCCCTCCCTCCCCCTTCCCTCACTTCCAGCCATCCCAGGTCAGGTAAGAACCTGTCTGGAGAATGTGTGTAGGAGAAAGGAGGCTCCACAATGGTGAATAGGAGAGTCACTGGCTGCAAAGACGCTTGTGAAACAAGGCCAGGCCTTGGATTACTACCTTCATGTTCATGGGGATGCGACAGTCTTTGCCCAGACTAACCCAGGTTTGTCACACCCACACTAAGCTAGCGTGGAATCAGTAACTAGGTCAATAATCAGCTCTAAAGCTGGCTTATCCCAGGGTTGAAGGCAGGTGGATCCCTGTGTTGAGCTGGCTTCTTTCCTTGGGTGAGAGGTGGGTTCCTGACTGGTTGAGGTGCCCTCTCTGCCAAGCTGGGAAAGGCCATCAGGAGCATAAATCCTGAGAGCCTCCTCAGAAAAAAAAAAAAAACAAAACAGAAGAAGCCAGGAAGATTCAGGAATAACTGGCTCAGAAAACATTTCCTAAAGGCAGGGGTAAAGGATTCCCATTTAGAAAATTTAAGCAAGAAATTAAGTAAAACAAAGAAACATAAAAATCAGTTTGAAAAACAACATACTCCATGTTGGATTTTTGATGCTCTTTAAATAACAGCAAATTGAAAATGCGGACATCAGTGACATGGAGCCACATCCTGTGACTTTTCCAACAGCTCTACCACAAGAGCCCTGCCTGCCCTGGGCAGCGGAGACTTGTAGGGAGGAAGTTGAGGAAGCTTCCTCTCTCTGCCCAACCCCCATCACCACCCCCTGCCACCACCCCCATCAAAAGGCAAGTCTACCATTCGCACAACTGCCACTCTATATTGTCCTTGTCTTCCCACTTTTTAAAATAAGATTTTATTTTTGTATACATATTTGCTTAAAATCAGTGAGTTTCTGGTCAGGTTGTGGTACCAGAAGGCTTTTATGAGTAGTTTATGTTGCCAAGACCCAAGATATGCTGCAAACAGTCTGGAGTAAAGTAGACAATAACATCTTTCTAAAGAGAGGTTAGAAATTTCTAATCCAGCAAGTTTTTTAAACATGTTTTCATTTTCCAGAAGCAAAGCTGAGTTAAATTTGGCTACCAGGACACTATTCACAGGTATCACCAAGGAAACAGAGTATAGACCACCAAAAACAAGTTCAACCCATCCATTCATGTTACAGTACAGCTATCACAATTCAAACCCCCCACACTCAAAGGCAAGCTTACAAAATCTTTGTAAGGTAAATGTGCTGTCAAAAATGCCAGGTAAGGCCGTGCATGGTGGTTCATACCTGTAATCCCAGCACTCTGGAAGGCTGAGGCAGGAAGACTCCTTGAGCTCAGGAGTTTGAGACCAGCCTGGGCAACATAGTGAGACCTCATCTCTACTAAAAATAAACAAAAAATTAGCTGGGCATGGTGGTGCATGCCTGTAGTCCCAGCTACTTGGGAGGCTGAGACAGGAGGATTGCTTGAGCCCGGGAGGTTGAGGCTGCAGTGAGCTATAATGACGCCACCACACTCCAGCCTGGGTGACAGAATAAAACCCTGTGTCAAAAAAATTAAAAAAAAAAAAAGCAGGTAAGCATGTAAGCTAAACTAACCTGTGTCACACTAAAGATACATCAATAAAGACTGTAACTGAGAATGTGAATAAATCAGAACCCTTGTGCATTGCTGGCAGTAATGTATAATGATGCAGCCACATGTGGAAAATGGTGTGGAATTCCTCAAAAATTTAAACGTAGAATTGCCATATAATCCAGCAACTCCACCTGTGGATATATACCCAAAAGAAGTAAAAGCAGGACTCAAAGAGATATTTGCATACTCACAATATAGCAGCATTGTTCACAATAGCCAAAAGGTGGAAACAACCCAAGTGTCCATCAACGGAAGAAAAGATAAAAAAAAAATGTGATCTATTCATGCAATGGAATATTATTCAGCCTAGAAAAGAAAGGAAATTTTGACACATGCCGCAACATGGGTGAATCTGAAGACATTATGCTAAGTGAAATAAGCCAGTCACAAAGAGATAAATATTTTAAGACTCCACTTATGCGAGGTACCTGGCCACGTGCTGTCTAGAGTGGTCAAATCCATAGAAACACAGTAGAAGGGTCTAAACCTCCTAGCCCTGCACAGCAGGGTCTAAACCCAGTAGGACTGAGACCCTGACAGGACCCATGAAAGGAATCCAGAGACCCAAGACCTGCTGAAAAAGGACATGCTTATAGGAGTGGTCTGAATCCCTGTAGGCACTGACTGAGTTGGTCTCAGTTAGTTCTTTGGTTTGGACACTTGCAGTTGGGCCTTTTCCATGATAGACCCCAACAATGACTCATCTCCTTTTCCAAAACTTGCCACAAGCTGAAATATGTTGACTTCCCTGGCTTAGAGCCTCAGATATCCTTGCTAGGGATTCTGCTCACCTGGCCACACACCCAACCCTGCCATCCATAATTACCACTCTTCCTCTGAAACTCCTGCTAACTCTTTCCTGGAATATTGATGTCCCATTGTCTCTGTAATTTAGAGAGTAAAATCCTTGAACAAAGACTATTCAAAACTACTTCAGCCAACAGGCATTTATTAAGTACCTAACAGATGCAAAACTTGTATGAAGTTTGAGTTTGAATAATCACTAGCCATCAATTGCATTAACAACTAACCAAACAGACATTTATGTGTGTAATTTACCCTACATGTAGGTGGAGTAGGTGGCCAGTGGAAACTTCCAAAACCTTGCCCAAATTATCGTCCTATCAGATTGTTTAATGTGGAACTGGCAGGGAAACCTGGGAAGCCAGACACACCCAATTGCTACCATTAAGGAGGCTTTTATTGACTGAGCATTGTTGGAGCCATTAGCAGTATTGTGATAGTAGCTGAGGGAAGCTCTCAGAGGGACACTGCAATGGAACATTTTTACAGGAGCAGAGAAAATGGAAAGTCTGAAGTAAGGCACTGGCCAGTGAAAGCTGGCCTAAGGAGTGAATGACACTGAGTGACCTTGGACAATCAAAGTCTTCATGAGGGCCGGGCGATATGACTCACGCCTATAATCCCAGCACTTTGGGAGGCTGAGGTGGATGGATCACCTGAGCTCAGGAGTTCAAGACCTGCCTGGCCAACATGGTGAAGCCCCATCTCTACTAAAAATGCAAAAATTAGCCAGGTACAGAGGCACGCACCGGTAATCCCAGGTACTTGGGAGGCTGAGGCAGGAGAATTGCTTGAACCCGGGAGGCGGGGGTGGCAGTGAGCTGAGATCATGCCATTGAACTCCAGCCTGGGTAATAGAATGAGACTGCTCTGTCTCAAAAACAAAAACAAAAACAAAAACAAAAACAAAAACAAAAGTCTTCATGAGGACACCTAGCACCAGGGGAGGGAGTGTCTAAAGGGCCAAAGAGAGTGGAAGGAAAGGCAGTAGAGAAGGCATTGTCATCCTCCTCCACGGGTTTACCATGGGCCAGCCCTGCAGATGGCTCATGGAAGCCTTTGGAGGAAGAGACACAACCTCTTGATGCCTCGCAACCTAGTCAGAGCCTGGGAGGGAATGGATAATGTTTCATGGTTGAAACGGTGGCACATACTTTCGAATATTATGTTAGTTTCCAAAAAAACAAGACTAAAGCGGCCTCTTCTCTGGCAGCTCTCCACCTAACGCTTCTCTGAGGCCTCTACTCTATAAAGAGGACACGGCTATCCACACTTGAGGTTCCACAGCCTCCTGGAGTCTTCTGAGGAGAATAAGATCCTACTTGAGTTTTCTAATCCATCCAATTCACTGGCCAAATCATTTTTTGCATAACATTAAGTCTGTGACCAGCCTTCCTTTGGGGGTCTGCCATACTGTTAATGTGCCAGAAAACAGCTGAGATTAAAGCATAATGGAGCTACGGGAAATAATTTGTAATGAGCATCAATAAGCACCAAGTGTGACACTATGAGTAAAATTGTTACTGGGATAAATCGCCTTTGTAAATGGCGTGGGATACTTTATGGTCCACAGAGTATAGCCCTCTGTTCCTAATACTCTGTCAAACTCTGGAAAGCATTCAATATTTCAACTAATTCTCTTGGACAGTTTTCCCCTCTACCTACTAGAAATCAAAACCATATCTATAATGGGAATTTTAAGGGCAAGATTTTACAGCAATTTCATATTTATAAAATGTAAACATTGTATGATATTTTGCAACTGGCAAATTTTCTATGACTTTTCATTTTCGTACATGTGAATATATGAACCAGGTGAACTGGGGGCTCATTAATATTGGAATTTTCCTTAAAATGTACAAACAATGATTTTCCTTTATTTGGCTATTTTACTATGGGAATGTGTACTGTGTCAACTGGGTTAATCTAGAACTACATTTCCCAGAACCCCCATATGGTTCTGAGAGAGAGCTGGCCAAAAGAAGAATTTGTGCAAGATTTGTAAGGCAGGAGTAAAGCAGTAGCCATTATTCTCTGAAGTTGACAGACAGATGGAGAGGAGGCGGCAGCTTGCAGCTTCTTGCTCTCTCCTGCTCTGTGTTCAGCTTTTGCTAACTGCCAACACTGCTGACCAACCGCATCCAACAGCCCACTGCCAGATGCCTGGCTACAGACCCTCAGAAGCAATTGCTATGCAGAGATCACAACTTTCAACCAGCTTTCCCTCACGGTCCAACTCTGGCAACTGACTGTATCTGGGTTCCCAGATTCCCCAACAAGTTCCAAATTGCCCATCTTGGGGGCAGATTAGCAACTTTTCTCTGATCTTCCAATTCCTCCTTTCAGGCCTTACTTTCCCAGCTTCTCCCACAATTGTGTAATGAATCCTTTCCTCTATAATACTCCTAGTAATTCCACTTCCTTGAGTACACCCAAACTGATTCCTTTGCCTCATCATGCTGAGAGCAGTGAATCAGTCAAAGAGATTTCACACCAGAGTCAAGAGTTGGCTCCACAGTTCCTCTTCCTGAAGAAAGGCATACAAAGCTAAAATACACCTATATCCACATCTATCCAATTATATCTATGCATTCATTCTTTTGCTGTGATCAAAAATGAGGGTCTGGCCTTGTAAAAGGGCTAAAAAGTTATTAGTTTTATATACATTTTTTTTAATTTCAAAGGTGAGATAGTTGCCCAAAAGAAGAATTTGTGCAAGATTTGGAAGTTAAGATACAATGTTGAGTAGGATGTGTCAATTTTCTGCAAATGTTGATACCCCAATTTTACTTGCTACTTCAAAATAGTGCACAAAGGAAAAAGAAAAAGAAATTGAAACCCATGGTTATTATGCCCTGTTCAAATGATAAAGCTCCCATCTTTAGTGTTGAGCTGTGTACAGCAACAACACAGTCAAAAATCGTAAATATTTTTTCACCTTCTGAAAGTATATTACACAAGAGACCACCCAAGCACTAAGACTTCCTTTATTATTCACATATTTCACCCTCTTACATACCCTCAAGGGTATGTAAGTCTCAGTCTCTGCCAAAGGCAGCTTCCCCTGATTATCTCGAGAATTACTCCATGAGCTGCAACCAATTCTTGTTTGCTCCTTGCTTTCTCTGCACTTTCTTAGGTGCCTCAGGGACCATCCTAAACCCCAAATATCTTATCTATGGTGACTTGAGAGTATTACGCTATGTGGGATTAAGTGTGGCAAGAAGACTCATACACAGTATCACGTATATTAAATATTACCAGAATGTCACACACCCACAAGGGAAAATGGCAATTTAAGAAAGCTAGAGAGGCATTTACCCATGAGACAGATATGTATGCCATTCAGTGGACAAGATAAGGAGCGAGAATAAAAATGATATGAGACAGAAGGCAGCAGGAAATCTAGGAGAACTAGCTTCTATCTAGTCCCAACCCTGGACTGAATTGCCATGTGGCTGTGGGCAAATGACACATATCTGTTGGGGCAGAAAATGCTAGTTACCTCTAATAATAATCCCTGCTAACTTTCAAAATAAGCACATTCTAAATTTTCTCTTCTTGAGTGTCCACAGTTTATCTGAGCACATGACAGCCAGGAATAAAGACCCAATTTCCCAGCCTCCCTTGCAGCTAGATGTAAGGTATGACTAGGCTCTGGCCAATGGGATGTAACAGATAACATGGAAATTTCCAGAAATTTCCTTAAGAGACAACTTAGATGTATGCCCTTGGCTCCTTCTCTTCCTCTTTCCTTCACCCTACTTCTCGAGATGTGGAAATGTTAGATAGACTTCTATCTTGGATAGTGATGACAAGAGCCCCACTCTAGTGACTATGCAGTCAAAAGCTGGAAGTAGCCTGGGTTGCCAGTGATTGTGGAGCCTTACACCACATTTCATGTGATAGAGAAATAAATTGTACATTATTTAAGCCACTGTTTTTCAGATCTCTGTTACAGGTAGTCTAATCCTAACAAATACATGTGTATTTTCAACTGTTTATAGATGCTGTTAAAATTAATAAGATAAATATTCCATTGAAATGTTTTTGCATTAGCAATATTTTTGACTGTATGCATTTTTTAATCAGTAGAAACAAATGCTCTTATAATTTTCCTGGATTTTTTTTTTTTTTAGACAGGGTCACGCTCTGCCACCTAGGCTGGAGTGCAGTGGTGCAATCTCGGCTCACTGCAACCTCCACCTCCCAGGTTTAAGCAATTCTCATGCCTCAGCCTCCCAAGTCAAGTAGTTGGGACTATAGGTGTTCACCACCACACCCAGCTAATTTTTGTATTTTTAATAGAGATGGGGTTTTGCCATGTTGGCTAGGCTGGTCTCGAACTCCTGACCTCAAGTGATCCACCCACCTCAGCCTCCCAAAGTCCTGGGATTACAGGCATGAGCCACCATGCTTGGCCTGGATATTTTTGATATTCAACAATCTTTATGATAAAAAAAAATGTTTGCACTCTCTGCTCTGGAGGATGGACAGAAATTAGAAGTGAACAGAGGAAGAAGTAGGACTAGGAGAAAAGTCACAAGTGTGCCCTTTTCCACCATGTACAGCCACCTGCTTAATCTACTAGGCATAATTGGAGAAATAATAAGCAATATTTGGAGAAAGAAAAATTAAAGGCAGATGGGTGAACAAAGCCCATGGCTTCACCAAAGCTCAGTAGGGTAATCTTCAACAACATTGCTTAAACTTGTCCCCAGGCATTCCAAGTTTTTTGCCTAGCCGAGCCTCTTAACCATGTTTCTCTATGACTTGTGGTGCAAGCTACTTAAGCCTCAGTGATACAGGGATGTCTGCATCACCTGTCCCTCTTCTCACCATGCTGTCACTCCATGTCTGTACTTGAGCTAAAATCTTGACAGAGCTCCCTTCTCAAATTCCCTCTGGAATTCTAACCCTTTTTATCTTTCTCTGTATTTTTCCCCATCTCATCAATGTCAGCTCTCCCAGAGTTATGGTCTCCTTAGTCCACTGAGTTTTCTTTCCTCCCTCCCTCTCCTGACTCCTTGCCAACTTTCAAAATAAGCACATTTATAACTTTTTAACCTTTTTATTTTATTTATATATGTATTTACTTTTAATCAACAATAATTGTACATATTCATGGGGTACATCGTGATGTTTCAATATGTGTAATGTACAGTGATCTCATCAGGGTACTTAGCATATCCACCATCGCAAACATGTATCCAACATTGTTTCAATGTTGGCAACATTCAATATCCTCCTTCTAGCTACTTGCAATTATGTATTATCATTAACTATAGTAATTCTACAGTGGTATGAAACACTGGAAATTATTATTCCTCCTATCTAGCCGTAATTTTGTATCCTGTAAAAAAAATAAGCACACTTTTATCAAGGAAGATGCCCACTGGTCAGCCACCCCTTCACCCCACTGCATTAACTACATCCTGGTCCCATGCCAACTTGAAGGCAGAACATTGACTGTCACAAGAAGCTCATTACTCCTAGCATTTGGATTTCATTTTTCTGGTCTTTACTGAAGCTCTGTGGGTAACAAAGAGAGGTCAAATCAGGCAGCACATTAGATACTTCTCTTCTCTTAAAGGCCCCCTCTAGTCTTGCCCCCCAACAGAATTGATGTAGGAAAGCTTTTTTCTCCAAGACTTCTCCATATGGTTCCCAGTCCCTCTGGCTTCTCCCTCCTTTATTCTCCTTCTGTACTTCCTCCTCCCTGATCTGTGCAGAGCCTTTAAGCTCTGCTCCAGCTTCAAGCCCATTTTTGCATAGGCCATGCCTGCAGATCCAAACTCTTTAAGATGCTTAACCAAGGGCCTCTCAATTGACAGAAACCCTCTTTGGAAGGCAGTTTACCAATTCTGTCTTGTGGCCTGACTGCCCTTTGAGGCCTCGCTCTTTTCTGCAGCTTCTCATATATATTTCTTTCAAACAAATGGAAGACCCTGCTCAAAGGAAAAGCTAAGAGCATAAAACATCTCTGTATGCTTCTGCCCTATGTATTTCCATGGAACCACTAACCTTATCTCAGGTATATCCTCAATTACCAATTCATTCCATGGTTTGTTAATTTCATGGACTCCTTAAAAATAATGCAGTTCTTTCCTTTTTGCTTCATTTTTTTTCTTAAACTTACTGCCCTTGGTGAGCATTATCTAGAATACTTTTGCATATGCACTTAAAGGCAGGTAGGTATTATCCTTCTAGAAAAGTCTACTCTTTAAATAGGATTTTCATATTATTAAATGGACATTTAGCAGAATAGACATTACTGACTTTACCTTGGTGTATTAGTCAGAGTTCTCCAGAGAAATGGAACCAATCGGATATAGATAGATAGAAAGATAAGGGATTTATTATGGAAATTGACTTATGCAATTATGGAAGCAGACAAATCCCAAGATCTGCCATCTGGAGCTGAGGAACAGGAAAGCCAGTGATGTAATTCAGTCCAAATATAAAGGCCTGAGAACTGGCAAGCAAGGAGGGAGAAACAACTTATATAAGGCCCCAAAGTACCACAAACCAGAATCTCCAATGACTGAGGCAGGAGAAAAGAAACATCCAGAAGAAAGCAACTTTGTTCTTCCTCCACCTCTTCATTCTAGTCAGCCCCTCAACAGATGAGTGATGCCAACACACATTGATAAGGGCCGGTCTTCTTTTCTCAGTTCACCAATTCAAAGTCTCATCTCTCCCAGGGCACCCTCACAGACACACTCGGAAATAATGTTTTACCAGCTATCTGGACATCCCTTAACCCAGCCAAGTTGACACATAAAACTAACCACTGCAGTTGGAGAATTGAAATAGAATTGAGTCTGACCCTTAGCTCTGGGCCCTAAACTATACATATAATTTTCAGCAGATCCCATTAACCTCTACAGCATAAGGAAAAAGCCATAATTCCTCAGTAGGGCATACAGGTAGGAAGCTTAGAACAGTCCTGGCATAATTATAAAGAGAATCCTTTTTCATTCACAAAAGTGTTCCATTTTGGACAATCATCTGTATGGTCCCCCTCAGAAGGCACCGGGCCTGGTACCTGGCACAGTGACTGAACCATGGTAGAAGGGGCTCCTGCAGGGCTTAGGAGTGTGGGCTCTGTAGTCCAGCTGCCTAGTTTCAAGTTCTGGCTTCCCTAGCGGAATACCCAAATCAGTTAGGGTCTTAGCTGCAAGTGACAGACACTGACTCTGGTTAATTTAGGCAGAAAAGGGACTTATTAAGAGGATTGAGAGAGGCTCATCCAAAATTGCCAGGAGAGCTGGAGAACCATGCTCGGAGGCTGGGCATTTGGGAAGACACCCAAAAACCACAGGGCAGAAGTGATATGGCGGTGGGGACTACTGCTGTGCCCTTGAGAACTACAGCGTCTCACCCATCCCTTTCCACTGATCCCCCCATACTGCTCCCACCTCTATCTCCCCACCTGCCACAAATGCCTCCCCATTCCCTCACCCTCCCACCCCAGTACCAATGGCCAACACTGCAGGCCCTAAACCTGGTCTCTGCCTGGGGGACCTCTACTGCCCTGAGGCCCTGACTTTGCTGCAGCCAGCACCGGCCCTGAGAGGCTTTTCATGGCCCCTGCTTCTTTTTGTTACAGGACATCTATAAAGTGGACCTCCAGGGATATCCCTTCCCAAGGTCATTTTCACAGATCTCTTGGATATTCACTCTCATTTTGCTTCTAAGAAGCCCTATCTACCATTCACATTGGAGCTCCTGGGTCTCTGATTCAACCACCTGGGAATATTTTATTATAATATTTGTATGAACATATGAGTTAATGAGCAAAACTCGGGCTCTTCTGCACAGCAGTAAACCATCACTATAGATAAAAAGAAAAAGGAATGTAAAAATCCTCTATTTTATCTAAAAATATTAGGAGAACATGCTCAGACTTTACTTAGAAAAGCAGTATATGCTGACAAAAATTATTAATCTACCCCTAAATCTATCCCCACAGTAGATTCGGATATACCATAGATTTTTTTATGGCTTATACTGAGCAATTATGTCATTATCTCAGAGTCCTGTACCTGCGAGCTCTCCAGAGAGGTTGTAGGCAAGGAAATATGGTCCCCATTCAGATGTACCCAACTCATTTGGCAAAGATGCCCAGACAAATAAATTCATGAGAAGGCTGAGCACAGCGTCAGCACTAAATGGAGAGACAGATGCTGTTCAGGCTGGTCTCCAAAGCTGGCACTCCCATCCCCAGTGAACAACCGAGATCCTGTCCATGTTTGCCAAACTCCAGAATTAGAAAGCTGAGCCTGGGCTACTGTGGTCCAACGAATTGAATGGACAATGACTAGATTTAAAAGTGATTCAGATGTTTCAGTGCTCAATCATGCTACTGGGAGAGGAGGTTCACACTGTGGTGGATGGTATTTTCTGTTTTAATTACAAACTACTAGCGAAATATATCTGGAATTTTGCAAATAATAAGCAAGTCAAGATCTCCATTTTCATTCCACAGTTGGCTGCTGTGAGAAAATAGCGACCATTGTTTCTTCCAGCTTTTCATATGCTGAGCCTGTGAGGCACATGTGAAGGCTGAACGGAGGGGAGGCAGGAAGCAAGGCTGCCTCACCTGCCTGGATTCTAATTCATCCCACACACATAGGCTTGTTATGCTGCCTTCTTCTGAACCTTGACAGTTTTTACAGAAAAACCAATTTTGAACTGATCATAAAAATTATAATCGTAATGCTGTTTCTGCTAAAAGAAAGGCTAAACTCATTTTTAAAGCAAGACAAACTACAGATCTTATATAAGATCACAAGCCTAATATGACGGAATTGGAAAAAAAAATCTGTGTTCAGCATAGCAGATATCCATGAATAAACCAGACATTCACCTTATGAGACTTCAGCCAGCTTGTAGAGCACCTTGGTGCAAATTAGGAAAAAACAAAAACAAAAACAAAAAAGCAAAACAAAAACCTTTTGGGTGGTTGAAACCTCATGGGATGTGTCATGCATTGTGGTAGAAGGCTCAGGGGGCATGGCTTGGAGAGGGGCCTAGTTGGAGTTTAGCCTTCACTGCCCCTGAGCCAGCTGCCTGGGCTCATGCCATGGCCTGAGTCACAGATCAGTTTCTTTACGGGCTTTTTTCCTGGTCCTTCACTAAAAGCAGAGTGAAAGCAATGGGACTGTTATGGATTGGATTGTGTTCCCCCAAAAGATATTGAAGTCCTAACCTCTAGTACCTATGAACATGACTTTATTTGGAAATAGGGTTTGTTGATTGATGATTATTCCTGTCTTTTCTTCTTCTTCTTTTTTTTTTTTTTTTTTTTTTTTTTTTTTTTTTTTTCTGAGACAAGGTCTTGCTCTGTTGCCCAGGCTATAGTGCAGTGGTGTGATCTCGGCTCACCGCAACCTCCACCTCCCAGGTTCAAGAAATTCTTATGCCTCAGCCTCCTGAGTAGCTGGGACTGCGGGCGTGCGCCACCACACCTGGCTAATTTTTGTATTTTTAGTAGGGATGGGTTTTTGCCATGTTGGCCAGGCTGGTCTCGAACTGCTGGCCTCAAGTCATCCACCCACCTCAGCCTCCCAAAGTGCTGAGGTGTGAGCCACCATGCCCAGCCAAATTTCTGTCATTTAAACCACCCAGTTTGTGGTACTTTATTACAGCAGCCCAAGAAGATGAATACAGGGACCAATAGTAGGGTTGCAGCAGAAGGCAAAACCACAGAGCACAACCTGGACGGGAAGGCCAGGGTTCAGCAGAGGTCACCACTCATCCAAAGCTGTCTCCCAAGGCTGTGGAAAGCACTCAACTGAAGCAAAAAATAAATAAATAAAAATAAAAATAAAACAAATGAACAAACAAACAAACCTAGGGCAGAATTGCAGAACTGCAACCCTGTGGGGGAGAGATGGAGGCCTGTCCTGGAGGAAGAGTGGAGGGTAAATGAAAGCCTGATGGAGTCATGGGGCAGTAGGCTCTAGAACTGCCAAGAGAGCTGCCAATATACATCTCCTTAATAGCACAGGAGTAAGACAAAGCCATAGAGCCTTGGGCCTACAGAATAAAGGGGACATTGTCTAAAGATGAGACCTTGGGGTGAAGAAAGGCATGTTCAGAGCTTGAGCCATTAGGAGATGGAGAAAGGAGTTCCTGGCTCTGGGCAGAGCCACTGGATTTGAAAGGAAAACGGGAACAAACAGTTCTTCAAATATAAAAATGTGTTTATAGTATGTCAATTTTACCTCCATCATAAAAAAAAAATAAGATAAAAAATCAGAATATACATTAGTGGTTATTATTGATGGGTCTAGTTTCCTTACAGAAACTAATAGAACATTTGAGGCTGTTGGAGGATTTCCAACTTTGGTCAGAGAGGGATGCCCATGTTCATATGGTTACATCACACCAAGAATTGGCTCCCTTTAGGCAACATTTCTGATTGTTTTCTATCTCCTACAAATAAACATCAAGCCATAAATCCTCATGTTTGATCCAAGGAAACTACCAAGGCAGTTGCCAGTGCAGAAAAGATAAAGTCAGATGGCCTCGGAGTGAATTTACTGAGTCTCATGTTACATTTGCAAAACAACCAGAACTGAACTGAGCCTGCAAGTGAAATGGAAATCAGTAGTTAAGAACAGAAATAGAATAATGTGTGAACTCTACCCACTCTTTATGACATCTGAGTAGAGGCAGAGGCCCTGGGTTTTCATTTCTGTTTGTCACTCTTGTCTTGCACATGAAATGAACTGGCTGAGGTATAATCATAGTGTCCCAAATGGGATCCATTTTCCTAGACAGTTTCAAATCATCCCACAACCATATTCAGTTTAAATATGCTTTTTTTGTAACCATGAAAGGAATGTTATGTTCCTTTGTCACACAAAATATGAGCATTATCCACGTCTCCAAATGAGCAAAAGACTGCCCAGATGTTTGTTATTCTGAATCCCTCCAAATCAAGAAAAACTGGGATTCTTTTTCTTCTGAAGAAAATTGTCGGCTGGGTGTAGTAGCTCAAGCCTATAATCCCAGCACTTTGGGAAGCTGAGGTGGGAGGATCACTTGAGGCCAGGAGTTGGAAGCCAGCCTGGGCAAAATATTGAGACCCCATCTCCATAAGAAAAACAAGAATAAGCCAGCCATGGTAACACGCACCTGCAGTCCCAGCTACTCAGGAGGCTGAGGTGGGAGGATCTCTTGAGCCCAGGAGTTCCAGGTTACAGTGAGTCATGATCGTGCCACTACACTGTAGCCTAGGCAACAGAGAAAGATTCTATATGTAAAAAGAAAAAAGAAAATTGTCTCTGACTCTTAGAAAAAAGAGCCATAAATATATCACATATCAACAACAACAAAAATACATAAAATCTTTGGAAATACAAAAAAAAAATGGGAATGCTGTTTTCCAACTTTGTTTGCCATGGCAGCTGAGATGAATGAGTATGTATATGACATTTATTTTATACGATCAAAGTGAAATGCTGCCATATTACTCCATGCAGATAATCTCTCAAGAGTGTTACCTGGAACTTGATTTCCTGGAAAGCTTTAAGGAAGGTCAAAGGTCATTCATTAAACACCATTAGACATTGTTTTTACCAGATTACAAAGAGCTTTGCAATAAGTGCAACAACTATAAGGTTACTGAATTATCCAGTTGAAGGACATTTTAATCAGTAACTAGACTCAACCATGAATCAATCTGATCTTGGTAATAAAAATGATTAAAAATACTTAATTGGGCATTTAAAATCTGACACATTCCATTGTGTAAAGACACAGAGAAGAAGATACCAATATACAAACCACACCAACCCAACCAGTTAGATGATTGAATTAGAGCAATTATATCTAATAAGAATTATAGTTACAAACTGTCAACATCTGTTGAAGACTTATGTCCTGGGCAGAGTGGTCAGGCTGAGGACTCTGAAAAACTGGTACATTTCTTACTCACAACTCTCTGAGGCAGATGTTGACATCTGCATTTAACAGTAAAGAAAATGGAGGCTTAGAGAAGGACTTGCCAAACATCTCACTATCAAAAACTGTGAGGTGTCTGAGACTTTACCCTACTTGCAAGCTAATGAGTTAGGCTGCCAGTTTCATGTGTGCTTACAAAAGACATATGATTCCTGGGTCAGAGACAAAGGACTTAATTTTCATGACATAGCAGACAGCTGTGTAAGCATCAGATACTCATCAGTTTCCCAGCTAAAGTGATCATTTTGCCCAGGACTGTTTCAACTTAACATTGAGAGTCCTGTGCAAACTGGGATGGTTGGTCACTCAAGTTCCCCTTACCTTCCAAGTCCCACGAAGTCAATGGGGATCAGTCCAGGTGGATGACACACACGCAATGGGCCTGAGAGCTAAGGAACCCCAAGCTTAGGAAACTTCCAGTCTTGTAAAAGGGCTGCTAGTAAACTCACCCAAATTTTTTCCCCAAAAATGCCATTAATTTTATGATCTAGCAAACACATCTGCTCCCTGACCTGGAAGGAGACATTGTATCTTTGAAGACTATTCACTATACAAACATCCTTGAATAGATTCTCTGATACAAAAGCTGACACAAGAAGAGCAGAAATGTGAGAAACCCATGGAGAATCATCCCCCAACACTTACCGCTAGCTAAGAAGAGGTGAGGACAGTATTCAAATCCAGCTCCCTCAGACATGAAAACCTATGTGCAATCCTGTCTCTTAAATTACTATGCTCAGATTTACAGAGTTAAGCCCCAACGAGAGTGGCTTTTCTTTTAATTGAAGCTTTGAGCTTTTGGTTATATTTTTAGAACAGATGGTACAGAAGTCCCCTCCTTATCCATGGTTTCACTTTTCATGGTTTCAGTTACTCTCAGTCAACTGCAGTCTGAAAATATTAAATGGAAAATTCCAGAAATAAATTCATAAATTTTAAGTTGTGCCCCATTCTGAGTAACGTGATGAAATCTCTGGCCGTCCCACTTCATCCCACTTGGGACATGCAACCTCCCTTTGTCCAGCATCTCCATGCTGTATTCAAGTGGCCAGTTGTCTATTAGTCACTTAGTAGCCCTCGTGGTTTTCATGTTATCACAGTGCTTGTGTTCAAGGAACCCTTATTTTACTTAGTAATGGCCCAAAACACAAAAGTGGGGATGCTGGTACAATATTATAATTGTTCTATTTTATTATTGGTTATTGTTGTTCATCTCTTACTGTACCTAATTTATTAATTAAACTTTATCATAGGTATGTATGTATTTTTTTTAAACATAGTATATATAGGATTCAGTACTATCCAAGGTTTCAGGCAACTACTCGGGATCTTGGAGCATATTCCCCTAGGATAAGGGGGACTATTGAATTGTGTCCATCTTGTATGCGCTTATGGAAAAGAAATGTGGAGGTACTGTATTGCAGAATAATACTGTCATCCAAAATACAGTTAAACGAGTCAGATGGGCTAATTGACCTCTACTTGGCTCTTCTTGCCCTGGGGGTCCGTCACTCTGCTTCCATATTGTTACTATTATTACTACTCGCTGTTTTCCATCCTCTTGCTGTGATCAATGCCTGACCCAAAATGCTATTCTTCTGCCTCATTTTTTAATTCTGGCAGGATTTCAGCAATGAGCAGTGTACTTTCAAAGCACTGCACCTTTCAACAAAGGTGCAGTGTATATTTAATACTAGAGTAATTTTAAAAACATGTTTCACTATAAAAAGAAAAGCAACTAAGATTATTGCATAGGGACTCACTTTTTATAAATTTTCATTCTTTTGCACAATGTTGACCACATCATCAAATTGTTGTGACATTTTTTAGGCAGAGTTTAAAGTCTATTTTTTCCTGGAATATTCAGATCAAATTTCCTTTTCCTTTTTTGCTTAACCCAAGGTGAGAACAGGAGCAGATATTACCGTATGTTTTTAAAAGATTATTTTGATTTCCTTTCTGGGTAGAGCTGGTTATTATCTCTATTGCTCTCTAAAGATCAGAAGATGAAAAGAACAAGCAAATAGAGAAAACAAAAGGCATGTGATAAGAGAGTTTCTATATTGCCTAAGTGATAGTTTGCCATAGTACATTGTAGCGAAAAGGTTGCACAAAAGTTATAAGCAAAGTATGAAAAAGTTAATAGAAACAGCCTATCCTTTGTAGAGATAGTTGGTGATTAAGATGCCCTGGGGTGGAAAACAGTTTGTCAGTTTCTTTAAAAAGTAAACATGTAACTACCATACAGCCTAGCAATCACATTCCTGGGTACTTATCCCAGGGAAATGAAGACTTACGTTCACACCAAAACCTATATACAAATGTTTATAGTATATACTATAAAGTATATACTGTAGCTTTATTTGTAATAGCCAAAAAGTAGAAATAGTTCCTAAAATTGTTTATAGAAATGAACTATTTATTTATATATTTTGTTTATCTATCTACACCAGAGTAATAAAAAGAAATGAACTATTAATACATGCAACAACCTGTATGAATTTCCAAAAAAAACATGCTGAGTGAAAAAATCAATCCCCAAAAGTTACAGACTGTATGCTTCCATTTATAGAACATTCTTGAAATGACAAAAATTACAGACAATGGAGAACAGATTAGTTATTGCTGGGGATTAGGAAAGAGGTTGGCAGGAGGGAAGTGTGTGAAGCCAAAAGGGTAAGAGATTCTAGTGGTGAAGGGATGTTCTGTATCTTGACTGTATCAGTGTCAATATCCTATAGTGATATCGTATTATAGTTTTGCAAGATGTTACCATTGGGTGAAACTGGATAAAAAGTACATGGGATCTGTCTGTGTTATTTCTTACAACTGCATGTGAATCTACAGTTACCTCAAAATACAAATTTTAATCATAAAAAAAGATGGCCTTGGAATGTGATCACACCAGACAGAAACCACATAGGTTACCTGGAATGTCCAGTTATGGTCTCTATTCTGGGGTCTCCAGGATGCTCAGGGACTGTAAATGTTAGAAATCAGGATCCAGAGCTATTTTCCATTCATTCAGAAGATTTGTGGAAGTTATACCTTCTCCTGGAGCCCTCAGGAGCCAGACCTTCCATTGCAATGCATGAAGCCAAAGTAACACCAAAGGAAAACTAGACAGCATTTGTCCCACCTCAAGATGTTCAAATTCAATTTTGGCAAAACTGCCCGAATAGAGTCAGCTATATTGGCAGTCAAAGGGTCAAATTGCAACTCCTGCCTCCCAGACTATCTCAGACACGAAGTTGTTTGCTGGAATTGTATCAGTAATAAGAAAATACCCATCCAAACAAAGCTTTGGTCTATACATTTGATTTAAGAAAAGTGGAAATATAAATTGCTCATCAAAAGCAGTTTGGCTGACAAAATCTTTCAAAACATGGAGTCCATGGGATAGAAAACAATGAAAAGAGTGCTTAAAATGGAGTTGTTTTTCTCTCCTAATGAATCAGGATCTGGCATGCTAGGAAGAAAACCAGAATGCATGTGGATTGTGCAAGAAAATGTAATAAAAGTTGATTTTCAGTAGGCTTATTGTCAGAAGAAATACTCTTTGCAGACCTAAGAGCTCTGTTTTATACTGCCCAACACAAAGCACGGAGATCCCTCTGGCTTGGGAGGCACAGGCACACAAGTCTTATTGACATTTCCACTTTGAAACTAAATGGGCTTCAGCAAAGGATATTGCTACTCTTCTAAAGCATTTCCTGCTGGCTTGAAAACACAGAATGCTGGCATTTTTTTTTTCTTTTTTTTTTGATTTTTTTTTTTTATTATACTTTAAGTTTTAGGGTACATGTGCACATTGTGCAGGTTAGTTACATATGTATACATGTGCCATGCTGGTGCGCTGCACCCATTAACTCGTCATTTAGCATTAGGTATATCTCCCAATGCTATCCCTCCCCCCTCCCCCCACCCCACCACAGTCCCCAAAGTGTGATATTCCCCTTCCTGTGTCCATGTGATCTCATTGTTCAATTCCCACCTATGAGTGAGAATGTGCGGTGTTTGGTTTTTTGTTCTTGCGATAGTTTACTGAGAATGATGGTTTCCAATTTCATCCATGTCCCTACAAAGGACATGAACTCATCATTTTTTATGGCTGCATAGTATTCCATGGTGTATATGTGCCACATTTTCTTAATCCAGTCTATCATTATTGGACATTTGGGTTGGTTCCAAGTCTTTGCTATTGTGAGTAATGCCACAATAAACATACGTGTGCATGTGTCTTTATAGCAGCATGATTTATAGTCATTTGGGTATATACCCAGTAATGGGATGGCTGGGTCAAATGGTATTTCTAGTTCTAGATCCCTGAGGAATCGCCACACTGACTTCCACAATGGTTGAACTAGTTTACAGTCCCACCAACAGTGTAAGAGTGTTCCTATTTCTCCACATCCTCTCCAGCACCTGTTGTTTCCTGACTTTTTAATGATTGCCATTCTAACTGGTGTGAGATGATATCTCATAGTGGTTTTGATTTGCATTTCTCTGATGGCCAGTGATGATGAGCATTTTTTCATTTTAAAAAGCCCAGTTATCTATGTGAGTTTGCTCTTGAAATCAGTTCCTCTCTCCCTCCCAGCCCTGTATTCCCCCACCTTCTATTTTATACAAGGTATTTTTTTAACTTTTATTTTAAGTCCAGGGATGCATGTGCAGGATGTGCAGGTTTGTTACGTTACATGGGTAAAAGTGTGTCATGAGAGTTTGTTGTATAGATTATTGTTTCATCACCCAGAATACTAAGCCTAGTATTCATTAGTATTCATTAGTTATTTTTCCTGATTCTCTCCCTCCTCCCACCCTTCACCCTCCAATAGGCCCCAGTGTGTGCTGTTCCCCTCTATGTGTCCATGTGTTCTGATCTTTTACCTCCCACTTATAAATGAGAACATGTGGTGTTTGGTTTTCTGTTATACAAGGTATTCTTTTCATCTGCTTTTTTACCTTCTCCTTTCTCTCTTCTGCCCAATTTTTGACATTTCTAGTTTTTGCCTGCTACCATAGCTATTTTCTGACCCTTTCCATGGTTCACAGGCTTAAGATTCCTTTTTTTGGCATGCCTATTTTCATGGAATACACACTGGTAGCAGAGGAGAACCCTAAAATGACTATTGATCACACTGTTTGTCATATTGCCTTTGAGGTGTACCCATGAGATTCTCTGGTGATCTGAATCAGTGGCGCTCCATTTCTTAAGTGGAATTCTAGAAGTCACAGCTGCCAACTCTCCTGCTGACTGCTCTTCATGCCGCACAATTAAGAGTGAAACACCTCCCACAGCTGTCTATCCTGGTATTCTCAGCATCATCAATAACATGCATCTATTTTCTGCCAACTGCATGCCATGTGATCTGAATAACAAACAGAGCCTACTCTCAAAGAGCTCCTAATCCTGCCCCAAAGGTAGGAGAAGTGCAGGCAAAGAGTGAAATGCTGATGTTGCAAGTTATCCTGTGCTAAAATCCACAAAGGGGCTGAAGAGACGGAGTCCAGAGTCAAAGTTCCTCTCCTGATTGTTCTGCGTCTTAAAACCCATGACTTACTATTTCCACCCACACCCAGCCTTGGGATTTCCAACAGCACACTGACTCAGCATTCCAAAGCAAAGGGAGTGAAATGAAGGGACTGTTTTGTAAAAGTTCTACATTAAGTTGTGGTCATATAGGAAAGGAAGAATTGTATTATAAGTATTTACCTTGGAAAGATTTTTTTTATTCAGAAATTAAATTCTTGGGTAAGACAATCCATTACATCTATTACTATAAAAATTTAAATATGTGTGTATAAATGTGTATAAATGTGTGTGTATAGCCATTTTGAAAATCTCCAACCAGTGTTATTAAAGAGAAGATTACTTTCAGAAAGTGGGTGTTTTCTCACAACTTCTCTTCAAGTAACAGTTGAAATTAAATTCTACATGATCTGTCGGTGTCTTTGGATTCTCATTTATTTTTCAATTTCTAAAGCACACCAGCCGTTTGTGAGATCAGAATCACATGCATCCACAGCAAAATACCCAAGAGAGAACAGGGCACGTGCACCTCTTTTCCAAGCCCGCGTGCTCCCAATCCAGGCAAACACAAATCTTTCACATGACTGCAGTTTCTTTTATACCCACAGGGAAGGGCGACGGAAAGGAGGGCCATCCGCGGAAACCTTTCAAACAAGCCACTTCACTTGTCGATTCATCCGTTTATCACTTTAGGTATCACTTAGGATCATCATAAGATGTATTTAGGAAAGTCATTTTTGTGGTTTAAATAAGATTAATCGGATTGGCAGAATTTTAAGGCAATTGCAGATACTGTAGAATGGCTTTGGGAAAGTAACTTTCCACTGAGACACCACTCAGGCTACTTGTCTTTGAAGAAATGTAGTTTTTAAAGTAACACAAAACAAGGAAATTTGATTCCCTTTTAAAAAGTACTTATTGAAGATCTACAGGTTGGTTCAAATTCAGGATACTATGAGATTTAATTCATCAATCCCACAAAGTATGGTGAATGAGAAGAGTGGAATGATTGCAGGAGCAACTCACAGACTGATGGGGTCATGGAAGGCGTGGGAGTTGACCAAGAGTAGAGGATTATAGCAGACTGAGGAAAATGAAAGCTCAGAGGCAGGGAAAGGAGAGTGGGCGACAGTCATTTAGACACCGAAAGTCCAATATGACTACAGCCGAGACCCCAGCCACCGAGGCCTCCTGGAAAGACATCTTCCAAGCCCCCTAAATTATCACTCACGTTTTTGAGGCAGCTGTTTGTTTCTTTGTTTGTTTTGTTTGTTTTTTGAGATGGAGTCTCGCTCTGTCGCCCAGGCTGGAATGCAGTGGCGCGATCTCGGCTCACTGCAAGCTCCGCCTCCCAGGTTCAAGTCATTCTCCTGCCTCACCCTCCCGAGTAGCTGGGACTACAGGCGCCCGCCACCACGCCCGGCTAATTTTTTGTATTTTTAGTAGAGACGGGGTTTCACGGTGTTAGCCAGGATGGTCTCGATCTCCTGACCTCATGATCCGCCCACCTCGGCCACCCAAAGTGCTGGGATTGCAGAGGTAAGCCACCACGCCCGGCCTGAGGCAGCTGTTTTAAAAGTGAAACATAATAAGCAAGATGAAAATATTCTTATTCTGAGTCAAATTAAAAAGATGGTAGAAAAATGCCTGAAATCTAAATACATTCTGACACAGTAAGCCAGCAAATAAATCACACAAATATCTTTTTTTTTTTTTTTTTTTTTGAAGTGGAGTCTCGCTCTATCGCACAGGCTGGAGGACAGTGGCACCATCTCTTCTCACTGCAACCTCCACCTCCCGGGTTCAAGTGATTCTGCTGCCTCAGCCTCCCGAGTAGCTGAGATTACAGGCACCTGCCACCATGGCCAGCTAATTTTTGCATTTTTAGTAGAGACGGGGTTTCACCATGTTGGCCAGGTTGGTCTGGAACTCCTGACCTCAAGTGATCCACCCATCTTGGCCTCCAAAAGTGCTGGGATTATAGGCGTGAGCCACCGCGCCCGACCAAATCACACAAATATCTGATGCTGAACTGGGGACTAAAGGGAACTTGAACCAGAAGGGCAAGTTTTTTCTGTGAGTCTTTCACTGTGTTAAATATAAAAGCAAGCTACCCACATTGTGCATTCTCTCTTCTCAAAAATGAAGTTGTGGGTTTCTCCTTTGGCACTTCATTTTCTATAGAGAGGCAAATTTTGTTTTCTGTATCTAATAGCATTCTTTAGAACAGAATGTCAGCTAAAATGACAGATCAGCCTCAACATTACACAAAGACAACCAGACTTTATGAGCCTGTAGATGTGCCTCAACAGGAAGTACACAATAACACCCTTGGGTATACTTGCCCAAAATAAATCAATCAAGCATGAGTCTGATCACGCCTCTAGATCTAACCACCAGTTTGCAGGAAATACAAAGAACAGGACATGTTCATGCAATACAACAAATCCAGCCAAATCCAGAATGTAGCAAATTCTACAGGACTAAAGACCCAGCGTCTTCAACAAATAATTGCAAAAATAAATTAATTAATTAAGGAAGGGGCCAGTTTGGATTCTGGTGTGAACAAACCATCTGTTAAAAAAAAGATATGAGACAATCAGACAAATTTGAGTACTTACTAAGTATTTAGTGATATTAAAGAACGTCTGTTAATTTTGCTAAGGATACATAATAGTAATACTTCAATGTAATAGCAATCATTACCGTGAAATTATGTAACACCCAGGATTTTTACATCTTAATAGTCCAAGGGGCAAGGGAAAATTTGTGGCAGAAGTGGGGTCGGTCAGGGAGAAGGTTATGGACAATAAGATGGCCATGTGTTGATAATTGCTGAAGCTGAGTAATGAGTGCATGGGGATTTGTTAATGTCATTCTCTCTACTTCTGTACATGTTTAAAAGTGTCAATAACAAAAAGTTTCAAGACCAAGACAGGAGGATTGCCTGAGCCAAGGAGTTTGAGACTAGCCTGGGCAACACAGTGATACCCAGACTCCGTAAAAAAAAATTTTTAAATTAGCCCAGGCGTGGTGGCTCACACCTATAATCCCAGCACTTTGGGAGGCTGAAGCTGGAGGTTCGCTTCAGCCAAGGAGTTTGAGGCCAGCCAGACAAACATAGTGAGGTCCCATCTCTTAAAAAAATTTTTTTTTAAATTAGCTGGTGTGGTGGTGTGCACCTGTAGTCCCAGCTACTCAGGAGGCTAAGCTGGGATGTCCACATGGGCCCAGGGGGTTGAGGCTGCAGTGAGTCATGATCATATCACTGTACTCCAGCCTAACAGAGAAAGACCCTGTCTCAAGAAACAAACAAACAAACGAACAAACAAAAAGTTTTTGTTTAATGAATATGTAAAAGCATTAAAAATAACCAAATTTCCTCTAGAGACTTTTAATATATACATCAATAATTTATATTTCTTTTGATTTACACAAGAAAATTATAAAAGTGTTGCTTGTTGCACTGATTACAGTATATAAACAGCTTCTAAAAAGTAATAACAAAAATGACCAAAATACCATCAAACCCCTACAAGAATCAACATGGTGAATAATAATTCACAGCAAAGAAAATTCAAATAAGTCTGAAGCATTAAAAGATATTCACTGTCTCAAAAAAAATAAAATTAAAAAAATAAATAAACTAGCCGGGCATGGTGGTGTGTGCTGATAGTCCCAGTTACTCGAGAGGCTGCAGTGAGAGGATCAATGGAGCCCTGGAGGTTGAGGCTGCAGGGAGCCATGACCATGCCTCTGCACTCCAGCCTGGGTGGCAGAGTGAGACCCTGTCTCAAACAAACAAACAAACAAAAGATATTCAACAGGCTGAGCACACTGGTTCATGTCTCTAATCCCTGCACTTTGGGAAGCCGAGGCTGGAGGACTGCCCGAGGCCAGAAGTTCAAGACCAACCTCGGCAACGTAGCAAGACCTCATCTCTACAAATAAATAAATAAATAAATAAATAAATAAATAAATAAATAAATTTAAAAATTAGCTGGGTGTGCTGGCTTTCACCTGTAGCACTAGCTACAGGGGAGGCTGAGGCGGGAGTATTCCTTGAACCCAGGAGTTCAAGATTACTGTGAGCTATGATCACCCCACTGCTCTAGCCTAAGTGACAGAGTGAGAACCACCTCTAAAAAGATGTTCAACCTCACTCATACTCAGAGAAGTGTAGACAAAAACAAAATTGAATACTATTTTTCACCTATCAACTTGACAAAGAGCAAGTTGGTAAGACTTGGCAAATTGGTAACACTTGGGGGAAAAAGGCACTCATTTATTTCTGGCAGGAATTGCCCTCCAACATCAATAGAGAGCAATTTGGCAGTATCAGTATTACAAATACACATGTCTTTTGACACAGCAATCTATTTTTAGGAATTTAGCTTATAAATAAAATGGCATACACAGGCAAAGTTGTATTTGTAAAAGATTATTCACTGCAACATTATTTATGGGAGTAAATGATTAGAAACAACTTAAATCTTCATCAGAAAGACACTGATGAAATAAATTCTGATCCATCCATAACATGGAAGGGTACAGTCACTAAGTAATTGCAGAGCTTTTATTTCTAATGAAGGAAGTGTCTTCAAGATATTCTATAAGTGAAAAAAGTTAGGTACACAATAATATATGTATATATTACCATATGTGTTATAAAAATTAAAAAACATGCCGGGCGCGGTGGCTCACGCCTGTAATCCCAGCACTTTGGGAGGCTAAGGCAGGCGGATCACAAGGTCAGGATCGAGACCATCCTGGCTAACATGGTGAAACCTCGTCCCGTCTCTACTAAAAATACAAAAAAAAATTAGCCGGGCGTGGTGGCGGGCGCCTGTAGTCCCAGCTGCTCAGGATGCTGAGGTAGGAGAATGGCGTGAACCCGGGAGGCGGAGCTTTGAGCGGAGATCGCGCCACTGCACTCCAGCCTGGGCAACAGAGTGAGACTCTGTCTCAAAAAAAAAAAAAATTAAAAAACATATGTATGAATTTCTCCTAAATGTATGAAATATCTTAGGAAAACTTATAACTTTGGTTGTCCCCAAAGAGTGGACCTGGAGGTTGGAGAGGGAAAAAATCAATTTTCACTATATTCCTTTTTGTATCTTTTGAGTTTTGAATCATATGAATGTATTACTGAAACAGGGTATTTCCCTGACCCCTTCAAGGGACTCATGACAGGGGCGCCTGGTTTACTCAGCCTGCCACTCAACTCCTCACAGGAGGGAGCACGTGAGCAAACAAGATGTAAACTGGAGTGCATAAGCACTGGAACCACCCTACCACTTCAGCACTGGCAGGAGCAAACTCCGTGTAGGCCCCACGGCAGCATCCAGGTGGGTGCCTGCGACCCCTGAAGCCCCAAAGGGCATGTTACATTGCTCTTTTAGCACTGCCATCCGCAGACTGCTTAAGTGTCAACAGTTCAGCGGGCCCTTTCCCTTTTTGCGTGAGGTGGCTGCCCTTTGCCAGAGCAGGAAAAGAGCCAGTGTGACAGCCTTTTGTGTCCACACTCATGGTTCCCAAGCTCTTGTCCAGCATCCAGGAAAAATGAGGTCACACTAACAAATTGAAGGATGGTAAACGTGGGGGATTTTATTGCCGAAGAAAGTGGTTCTCAGTGGGAAGGGGAGCTGAAAAGGGGATAGGATGGGGTAGGTAATCTTCCCCTGAAGTCCTGCTATCTCCAGCCAGATTATTCTCTGAAGTTACGCCTTTGAGCTGTCCCTCTGAAGTCGACAACATCCAGCCGTAGTCCCCAATGTCCAGCTGCTTCTCCTCTCTGCTGGCTGAATCTGGGGTCTTTATAGGCAGAGGATGGGGTGGGGCAGGGCCCTGGGTGGTTTAGGAAAAGGTAACATTCCAGCGGGAAACCAGGGATATACGTTCTCACTTTGGGCCACCGTTTCAGGCTTTTCAGCTTGAGGATGAGGTTTTCCCTAGGGACATGCCCTTTTCTGCCTGAAATTTCTCTGCCTCCTGTCTCCATCATTACCCATTCAATAAATAAAAACGTAAAAATCTTTGGAGAGATTAAATGAGATGAATAATTTGTAGGAGACTTAACACAGGGCTTTGCCAATAGAGAGATAAATAATAAGTTTATGATTAAATGGATGAATTTGAGGGTTTTCCCAACAGTAGGATGGGACTTACAGAGTGAAGTGGAGTCATCATATCATGACTACAAGGGCCCAGATTCATGAAAAGGGATCTCCAGGCTCCGAAATTCACCGCTGAACCCTGAGTGGCACCAAGAGATGGTGCCCACAGGCAAGAATGTCTTGGTCTTTTAAGCCCAAGGACCAAGGGAATGTTTTCTCCATAATCACTCCCATGATCCCACCACACACACCCCACCTATAATACATATAATGGAGAAACAGCAGAGAAAATACTGAATGAAATCTAAAGAGAAAGCAAACACTTAAACAAATGGATATAGACTAAAGGAAAAAACTAGAGTAAAAATGTCTATAAAGACTGCATTTTATATAAATTTCCAGCTCTAGTTTTTCCTTTAACAGGAAAGGCAGGGAGGGTCCTTGGCAGAGAGAAGAGGGAAGCAGTTAGTGAAGTAAACACTGGTCCAAAAAAGTCACATCTTGGCCCACAAAAGGCTGGCCCTCTTTCCAGGTATGTCTTTCCCATGGCCTAGTCTGGCTATGGTTGGAATTCATTTCAGAATCTTTGATACCTGAAACATCTCAACCCATGGAAAGGGTACAAAACCCTGTAACAGATAACTTACTAGCATCCGCTGCTCAGACAGTATGCTGTCCTTTAGCTGTTTTATTAGTGGTGCATTATACAGCTTCCTGGCATGACTTTTCAGATGCCCAATGCGGGTTTCAAGCTGCTGGACAATAATAAAGACTGGGCCGACAATGGATCAGTAGCAGCTTCTGATCTTTCCACTGCCATCTTGTTATGTTTTACGACTAATTTACCTCTCTTTGTTTCCTTTTATGGCCTTTTCCCACCTGTAAAATGGGGTCAGTAAATTTTGGCTTTATAGAAGATGTGGAAGGTAGGGAATTGCAGAAATTTGTGTTTTAACTAATCTCGAGTGTATTTCTAAAAGTAAAGTGAACTATTATTATCTTCCAATTAAGTTTATTTGCCTCTTGGCTCCAACACTCACCACTAAAACTTCAAGACCCCAAGGCAAGAAAAAATGTACTCTTCATTGTTTACCTTGTTATCAAGATTGGCTAACTTCTAAACTGTGTTTCTATATTCCTGCACACAGAATTGTGATTGTTTTGTTGCTGGGGGAATCCCTATACATAAAAGTGTCTATCTGCATGATAACTCGGAAGAAAGATCCTTACACACCTCTCCAAATTATTAATGGATTCTTTGTTTCAGGTCCAGCAAATGGAGAGAGAAAACAATGAGTGCTTTCTGCTAAAGAATACTAGGAATTAAAAATGTCCTCGGATGAAAGGAAAATCCCAGTGTTTTGGAGAGAGGGAAGAGAAAGACACACTATATCTAAAAAACAGACCAAAAAAGCTGGTAAGCACAGTTTTCTCCATAATGTAACTCCCATAATACCGCACCCCCCAACACACCCCACCTAGAAAACATATAATGGAGAAACAACAGAGAAAATACTGAATGAAATCTAAAGAGAAAGCAAAGCACCTAAACACATGGATATAGACTACAGGGAGAAACTGGAGTTAAAATGTCTAGACAGGCACTGGAAGCTCAGAGACATCTTACAAAACAGGAGGCAAGATGCTTTGGAGAGGGCTTTCTCTAAACCACCTGCTATGGTTTGAATGTCTCCTCCAAAACTCATGTTGAAACTGAATCGTCAATATGCCAGTATGGAGAGGTGAAGACTTTAAGAGGTGACCATAGGGCTCTGCTCTTCTGAACAGATTGATCCATTCATGGATTGATAGGTTAATGGGGCCAGGTGCAGCCTGTAATCTTAACACTTTGGGAGGATGAAGAGGGATGATCACTTGAACTCAGGAATTTAAGACCAGCCTGGCCAACATAGAGAGACCTCATCTCTACTAAAAATTTTTTAAAGATTATCTGGGCATGGTGGCACACATATGTAGCCTGCGCTACTTGAGAGACCAAGGCTTGAGCCCAGGAGTTCGAAACCAACCTGACCAACACGGTGAAACCCGTCTTTACAAAAATGATAAAAATTAGCCAGGTGTGGTGGTGCACACCTGTAATCCCAGCTACTCGAGAGGCTGAGGCAGGAAGATCACTTGAGCCCAGGAGTTTGAGGCTACAGTGAGCCATAATACAGCCACTGCACTCCAGCCTGGGGAATAGAGCGAGACCCTGTCTCAAAAAAAGGGTTAATGGTTATCCTGGGAGGGGAGCTGGTGGCTTTATAAGAAGTGGAGGAGAGGCTGGGCATGGTGGCTCACACCTGTAATCCCAGCACTTTGGGAGGGCCAAGGTGGGCAGATCATCTGAGGTCAGGAGTTTGAGGAGTTCGAGACCAGCCTGGCCAATATGGTGAAACCCCATCTCTACTAAAAATACAAAAGTTAGCCAGGCATGGTGGCACATGCCTGTCATCTCAGCTACTTGGGAGGCTGAGCCAGGAGAAACTGCTTGAACCTAGGAGGCAGAGGTTGCAGTGAGCCAAGATCATGCCAATGCACTGCAGTCTGGGTGATAGAGTGAGACTCTAAAAAGAAGTGGAGGAGAAACCCCGAGTGAGCAGGTTAGCTCTGTGCCGCCTTGGGACTCAGCAGAGAGTGGGACCCCACCAGCAATAAGGCTCTCAGCAGATGCATGCCCTCCACCTTCGACTTCTTAGCCTCCATAACTGAATACTGTTTTTTGTTTGTTTGTTCTTGTTTTGATACAGGGTCTCACTCTATCCCTCAGGCAGTGGCGAGATCTTGGCTCTCTGCAACCTCTGCCTAGTGATCCTCCTGCCCCAGCCTCCTGAGTACCTGGGGCTACAGGCATGCGCCACCACACCTGGCTAAATTTTTGCATGTTTTGTAGAGATAGGGTTTTGTCACATTGCACAGGCTGGTCTCAAACTCCTAGACTCAAGCAATCCTCCAGCCTTGACCTCCCAATGTACTGGGATTACAGGCATGAGCCACCATGCCCAGCTGCTTATTTTTATAAATTACCAAGTTTCAGGTATTCTGTTGTAAGCAATAGAAAACAAATTAAGACACCACCCCACCACCTAAGAGTCACCACCCTCCCAGTTAGCTTTCTTGCCCCTGATTTCTAACATAGATTTCTCATACTTTCAGAACTTAGCATAAGGTACAGCATGTAACTAATGTTAAGAGAAAAAAGAAAATATAAAAATTAGATGCACCCTGCAAATATACAGGTGCATGAGGAAGGTAATGTCTCCCACATACAAATTAAAAGAAGAAAGTGCAATACTACGATGAAAGTGTTGTATGATTTTAAAATATGATTAATGTTAAAGCATCCTTTCATTTTAAGACAGAAAGCTCTCTGGCAACCTCAACGTCGTGAGAATCCATTTTACTAGGCTTTTTGCATTACAAAGCACAATTTCAAATACTTTGGTCCTAGCATGAACTGCTCTCCTGTTGCAGTTAACTCGACTGATGCCATTTTTAAAGTGAGCTTTATAAGCCCATTTAAAGAGTAATAACATGTTGTCTTCTTTCCATGAGACTTTCACCCTGATGGAAGCTCCAGTATGTCCCCAGAGTAAATCACTTGGGCTCCACTTACCTCACAGTGTACAAAACAGGCCTGGGCTTTTCATGACGAACATAAAGAGAAGGCAAGGGAAGACCCCACCCCACTTTGGGGCTGCCCTGTGCTCCTAAGCACACACAGAGGGAGACAGAGTTGGGACCCTGGGCCTCCTCCAGTGGAAGCAGAAAGAGTGGCAGGGCAGGAAGGCTGTGCTGGGCGGGGCCCAGAGGAGGCCACATTGGCCTCATTTTTGCTTTTGCCACTTACCTTTTACCATCACCCTGTGGATACCACTACTCCCGTTCCCTTAGATCAGAATTTTCCAACTTGGATTTCAAGAGCACAAATTCTTTCCTCCCTTCTTTCTTTCCTTCTTTCTTTCTTTCTTTTTCTTTCTTTCTTTCTTTCTTTCTTTCTTTCTTTCTTTCTTTCTTTCTTTCTTTCTCTCTTTCTTTCTTTCTCTCTTTCTTTCTTTCTCTCTTTCTTTCTTTCTTTCTTTCTTTCTCTCTCTCTCTCTCTCTCTCTCTTCCTTCCTTCCTTCCTTTCTCTCTTTCTTTCTTATTTATTTATTTTGAGATAGGCCTTGCTATGTTGCCGTTGAATTCCTGGGCTCAAGCAATACTCCCAACTCAGCTTCCCCAAGTAGCTGGGACTCCAGGTGCACAACACCCCACCAAGCCAAGAACACAAATTCTAGGGGGTTTTTGTTGGTTGGTTTCTGTTTTTGAGACAGGCTCTCAGTCTATCGCCCAGGCTGGAATGCAGAGGCATGATCTTGGCTCACTGCAGCCTTGACCTCCTGGGCTCAAGCAATCCTCCCACCCCAGCCTCCCAAGTAGCTGGGACCAGAAGCGTGTGCCACCACTCCTGGCTAATTTTTGTATTATATTTTTTTTAGAGATGGGGTTTCTCCATGTTGCCCAGGAGGCTGGTCTCTTAACTTCTGGGCTCAAGCAATAGGCTGGCCTCAGCTGCCCAAAGTGCTGGGATTACAGGCGTGCACCACCAATCCTGGCCCTCTAAGGGTTTTTTTTAGGGCCATGAGAACGAACGTTTTCATGATGAAAAATGCTCTGCGGATGCTGCCTACTAAATCCCCCTGGGGAGGGTCACAATGTACATCTGTGAACTGAAGGCTTTACATGCGAATGATGTGAAAAGAAATCCTGTTTAACATTACTTCATGGATAAATCGAGTATTTGCCCCAAAGAAGCCTTCTCTGCTTGGGCATGCATTATATTCTGGTCCAACCACTCATTCCTCCACATCACTTAGGCTGTCCTAGGTGCAGGCTCTCCTAAGGGGTGGTTGCCCTTTGATTTCCTCCTTGCCTTTTGCACTTTCGCAGCTTATAGATATAGAAGATAACCAATAAAATCTGGTACCAAACAGTCACACATCTAGGCTTTATGCTACCTACCTATGCTGTCCAATACCAGAGTCACATGCCACATGTAGCTATTCCTATTTCTATTAATTAAAACTATTTAATTTTAAATAAATTAAAAATTCAATTTTTCAGTTGCACCAGCCACATTTCAAGTGCTCAAATGAATGTGTGGCTTGTGGCTACAACACTGGTCAGAGCAGATACAAACATTTCCATCTTCTCAGAAATTTCTGAGGAATAATGCCACAATAAACCTTGTCAATCATAGAAGGAATTCTGTTAACCTTCTCATCATGTCCATATCCGCATGAGAATGTGAGATCGCTGAAAGCAAGAATGAGATTTTCTCATCTCTGAACCCCAGCTCCTAGTCCAGGGCCCTGCAGGAAAGGCCACTCACAAAATAACTGCTAGATGATATGAATGTTTCCTCTTTGCTCCCAAAAATGTGCCAACCTTTGTCGCAACACTTTACCATACTTTTCCCTCAAAAAAAACTTTTATTAGTTTTTATTTATTTAAAAAGTAATACAGAATACTGAAAGAAGATTTAAAAATCCACATGTAATACTCCCACCTACAGAATGCCACTCTTAACATTTTGGAGTATTTACATTCATTTATTTACAAACAGATTTTTTGTCATTTGTTGAGGCATATTTTGCATATGGTAAAATTCACCCTTTTAAGGTGATGTGTGTATGACGTATGATGAATGTAACAACCACTACAATCAAGATACAAATTATTTCCATCACCCTCAAAAAGTCACCTCCTCACCTTTGTAATTAAGCCACTCTCCCCAACCGCTCTCCAGCAATCACTGATCCAATTTCTGTTCCTAGGGTTTCAACTGTTCAAGAATGTCATGTACATGGAATTATATAGGAAGTAGCTTTTTTTAGTCTGGGTTCTTCCATTTAACGTGTTGCTTTTGAGATTCATCCATGTTTCCCTTTTTATTGCTGAGTTATATTCTATGATATAGATACACCACAATCTGTTTACCCATTCTACAGTTGAACTTCGGAGTTGTTTCTAACTTTTGGCAATCCTGATAGAGCTGTTATAAACATTTGCACATAGGGTTTTGTGTGTACATATGTTTTCATCACTCTTGGGAGAATTCCTAGCAATTGGATTGTTAGTCATATATAGTAAGTGTATGTTGAATTTTATAAGAAACTGTCAAACTGACTTCCAGAACACCTTTGCTTTTTTGCGTTTCCCCCAGCAATGTATGAGAGTTTCAGTTGCTCTGCGTCTTCACCAGCATTTTGTATTTTCCTTTTTTTTCTTGTCTTGAGCCATCCTAATACATATGTAGTGGTATTTTATTGTGGCTTTAATTTGCATTTCCCTAATGACTAATGATGTCGAGCATCTTTTTGTGTGATTATGTGTTGTCAATATCCTTACTTTGTAATGTTTTATTTGAATCTTTTGCCCATTTTTAATTGGGTTGTCTGCTTTCTTATTATTGAGTTGTAAGAATTCTTTATACATTCTAAATGTCGGTACTTCATCAGAAATGCATTTTACAGATATTTTCTCCCAGTTTGTAGCTTGTTTTTATTTTCTTAACAGGGTTTTTCGAAGAGCAGACAACTGCTCTTCAAGTTGTTTTTTAACTGTACTGAAGAACAAAGAAATTTTTATAAATATCTGCCACATGCTAAACTTTTATTGGCGCTGGAATTACAATAATGGCTAAGCTTAAAGTTGTATTTTTCCTTTTTAGCAAAATTGGCATTGATTGGTTTCTTGTCTACTTTTTCACTATCTTATCGTTAATATTTCTACATCATTAAATATTATTTGAAAACATGATTGTAAGGTATACTCTCACAGTGATTTCTTGATTCATCTTAACTATCCCTCTGTATTTGGAGATGTT
The DNA here is from genome assembly GCF_000001405.40 of Homo sapiens. Taxonomy (NCBI): domain Eukaryota; kingdom Metazoa; phylum Chordata; class Mammalia; order Primates; family Hominidae; genus Homo; species Homo sapiens. Next base: position 158,794,772 of record NC_000002.12, read on the forward strand.
TATCTTGATTCCCATCAATATTTTAAAAAGAAAAGAAGCATATGATTCCCATCCTTGCGCAGAAATCTCTGTATACATTTCCAATTATTTTCTTAGTATAAATGCTTATAATTGCAAAAACTGGGACAGAGGCACAGGACTTTGCTCTATACCTGTCTCTTTAGAAAGACTACAGATGTCCTGAAGCAAAGAGCTTGTCTTGGCCCCCTTGTCATGCCAGAATATGACAAAAGCCTGTTACATTGCAGGTGCACTATACACACTTGAGGGATCAACGGTTGGAGAGAAAAAGAATTCCACTGAACTCCATCCTCTCCCTTTCCTCCTGTGGAAAAAAAAGAAAGAAAAGAATATCCTGTCTCCTGCAGACATCTACCTTGCCTTCCCAGATGAAGGGAAGAAGAAAGTCTTCTTCTAAGAGAAAACTTGCCAAGGAGATGCAGGTTTCCCAGAGAGCTGGATGACAAGCCCTGTTGCTGCTCAGCAATGCCCTTAAGGGGCCCTGCCCCCTGCCTTTATAAAGCCGGTGCGGTGGTGGGGCAGCCACAGCTGGCATTCAGCCTCCAGAGCACCAGCACTGGCACTGGCACTGGCACACGCTATGGCAAATGAAGTGCAAGACCTGCTCTCCCCTCGGAAAGGGGGACATCCTCCTGCAGGTAGGCTGCCACCTGCCCTCAGTCCTGCAGGCTGTTGCTGCTCCCCTCTTCCACCAATGCCTTCCATGGAGCACCCCGACAGACGGAAGCTTCTCTGTCTACCCAGTATGACTTTAACTCCATGCAGCCTGACTTCCTCTTATGTCTTTGATCCTTCTTAGCTTGTATGTAAATCCACCCGGGGATTTGTCAGACCCCCAGTGAGTTAAAACCTAATTACCTACGGCAGTGTATGGATTTGGGGCTTGTGGAAAGGCATAGGTAGAGAGGTTGCACCTTTCCTCCCTCGAGGCAGCATTCCTTTCACGGGGCCCTGGCTGTAGATTAGCAGTGACACATCTACACCAGGAAGATGATTTGCTACCATGGAAACCTTTCTCTTTAGAGGTTCCAGCTGTAAGACTCAGTCTCCCCAAGATGCCTGTGCATCATGTGACTTCCTACCCAGGCAAAGCAGCTTCTGCACAGAGGACAACAATCACATTTCTTTCTCCCTCCTCAGGCTTTGGGGATGTATTTACCTGTCAACAAGCTGAGAAGTACTTTTAAATAAAGACACAGGACTTGAGGAGGCTGACTGGAAAAAGTAGCTGTCAAGGTGTTTGCAAAGCATCCATAGTTGTCTTTTTTTTTAATTTATGCTATCTATATTGACTCTCTGGAATATGGAAATTAGTTTTATTGTACTTAACCATATGTTCATATAGATTGGCTGAGGTGTACAGGCCTATTTTTAGTCAGTTTTATATTCTTCCAACTGCCTTCCTTCTTTTTTACTGAAGAAAGAACTCAAAAGCTTGACTGCTTTGTTCTTGCCTTTCTCCATTTACAAAAACATATTTACTGTCTAATTCTCTGGCACCTCTAGGCCAAGGTTATTTCAATAATCTTTGCTGCAGAGGGTGATGGCGGGTATTGTCTTCACAGAGAGTCAAAATGTAACATTGTTTTGGTGGCTTTCCGGCGGGTAGCCTGGCCAAAAAGAGTCCAGATTTTACTACTCATTCTGAGTTTCCAGCTCTAGACATCTTGGTCTGATCTCCTCTGGTAGATTACTGATGTTTTATATTTGTAATCAAATTTAGCAATATTTAACATTACCTATATTTAAAGTTAATTATGCTAGCTAATAGTCAGGAAGTATATATGCAAATCATTGGAAGACAGGCTCCTTACATAGACAAAGACAAAAGAAAAAAGAACTCCATTCTCATTATGTTGTTTCCACTCCAACCCTTCATAAAATGGCTAAGATGAAACCTGTTTTGCTAAACTACATTTATGCACAAAGAACACAGACATAAACTTAACCAAATGAAAGTTCGAATGAAACCACCGGGAACTTTCTGTCCCCACCACTAATGATTGCTAATTACTCTGTGTACATAGCACACCATGACTCCATCAAGCATGTCACAATGCCTCTGGCATGACAATTAATTATTATGAACTGTGACACTACAGATAAGAGGTTTTGGATAATTAGAATGGAGATGAAGGCAGACTTTTGCCTCCCCACTGAGCACAAGGGAACAAAGAAGTGTCATCCTTCAGCCTGTCTTGCCACTAATTTTAAGTCTGAATCTGTTTGTGGTGGTGCAAAATTTTATTTATGGAACAAAAACAAGTGCCAAAATTCTGTTAATTTTTCACTTGATTTTTATAAGCAAAATACAGATCCCTAAAAGTGGGAAGAAGATACGATTCGGTGGGGAGGGTGGGACATACATAGCCTTTGGAATCAGACAGACCTGGGTTTGAACCTCAACTTCATTTCACATCTTCGAGCCTGAGTTTCCTCATCTCTGAAACAGGATGCAATAAATAACATCTATCTAGTAAGTTTGTTGTAATGATTAAAAGAGATCACCTCTGTAAAGTATCTGGCACCTGAATGTTAGCCCCCTTAAAATGCAGGCCCGGTAGAACACATCACTATCAAAAGAAATTATCCTCCCCAATTTCAAGACATCCTGATGCTGGAGCGGCATTAGACACTACTGCAGTAGTTGGAACAGAAAGAAACTGCAATGGAAAAAATATGTGCCTATCCCATCACAGTTAAAAATGAAATCACTCAGCTGGGTACAGTAGCTCACGCCTGTAATCCCAGCACTTTGGGAGGCCGAGGTGGGTGGATCACCTGAGGTCAGGAGTTCAAGACCAGCCTGGCCAACATGGTGAAACTCCATCTCTATTAAAAATACAAAAATTAGCCGGGCGTGGGGCATGTGCCTGTAATCCCAGCTACTTGGGAGGCTGAGGCAGAAGAATCGCTTGAACCCAGGAGGCAGAGATTGCGGTGAGCAGAGATCACGCCACTGCACTCCAGCCTGGGCAACAAGAGTGAGACCCCGTCTGAAAAAAAAAAAAATCACTTAGAAGTCAGCCTGCTGCATCTCTTTCCTACCTATCTATGGAGCAGTCAATGGTTTCACTTTAATGTATATTAATATAATATATTGCATCTCTGATAGCCCTAGTTATACATTTATGCTGTGAAATGAGACTACATAAAACACAAGGTGGCCTGGGCTCCAGTAAGAAGAACTTGGAATTTTCTGCTTTTTTGATTTGTCTCACCCTCACTTTCAGAAGAACCCCATTATATGAACAGCAGCACCAAAAATGTGTGAGTAGAAGTTGACCCCAGGAAGCCAGATATATGATGAATAGAAAGAAGAGCAGTGGTTCATGACTTTTTCTATATTTCCTGCACTTTTTAATTGGGTCTAAGCCAAATGAATCAGAGCCATTAGAGGTGTTGCCACTGAATCCCTAAAGAGAATATGTTTTCTGACTCATTAAAGAGAGAAGGAAGTTGGAGGGGGAGTATGACCAATTGTAAAACTAATGCAGAAAATGGGGGACAACCATAAACTGCATATGGACCACGGTCATTTGAAAACCCTCACACACTCCAAAGGCTTGAATCTCTCAATTCCATCTGCTCAAGTCAACTTGGGGGCATTGGAACAGGACAGAACCATGAAGTTAGAAGAGAGAGGCTGTGAGATTCACCTCCTCCTGCCCCAGGGGACAGGGATTTGAGGACTGCAAGAACAGCTGCCATTCGCTCAATGCTGACTGCACCTGGCACAGCAAAGAGACTTCTAGACGTGGCAACAGCCCTGCAGATGGGTGATGTTTCACGGAAGAGTGAACGGAGACTCAGTGAGATTGAGGGACTTGCCGAAAGCCACACAGCTAGTGGGAAGTGGAGCTGGAATTGGAAAATGAAGCTGACCTCATGTCAAAGCCCTCTTACTCTAAAGCCTTTTCTGTTTGCTCCACAACCTTCTCTTGATGAGGGTTTTGGGGGTCTTGATTGGCAGCCTAAAATTTCCTGATAAATTAACTGTGAATGCAAAGTGAGCATTTTGCAAACATCTAAACTTTTCATTAAACCTTCAAATAGATGTTCTCATTCACAAGGCAGAGTTTGCACAAACCTTTGTGCCTTTCAGCTTTTTCACATACATTGTCCATGGATTTGTGAAGGAAAAAGCCTAATTTTTTTGCAGGCTTATGTTTATCTTCACTACTCTCTACCAAAAACTGTGAAAAAGATTGGAAAATCTTAGCTGGAAAATTATTATTTAGAATTCTAAACTAACTGATGTATTTTTAAAAATTTATAAACTACAAAAGCAGTCACAAGAGTATAATTCTCATGCAGAGATGGGAAAGCAAAGCTTCATTTTCCCCGCTTAAATTTAGGTTTTCTAGTGAAATTATCTAAAAGAGCATCTCCCTTTTTTACATTGTCTATCTCTAGTTCATCTTCATTATTGAAAGGACTGAAAGTCTTAATTTACATATTTGTACTCAACATCCTGTTAAAATGTTAAATCAGTTCATATTTTACTTTGCCCAATTCCAATTGATCTTTCTGCAAAGGTTCAAAAAGCAGGATAGTCCCAAACATGGAGTTACGTAAAGGATTACAAACTTAAATGGATCGATTTGGATACAGTGAAACTTTGAAAAGGTCTCTTGAGTCAGAGGTATCTAGTATAAGCAAAATGAGCAAGAACCTGATTGTGTTGCATTGTAAATAATGGCTTGTCTAGACCCCAGGAGATCATTGTGATCAGTGTTCCCAGCAGAGATTTTAAGATAACCCTCCCACAAACTGACCCCACCTGGTTCAGTCACCCCAGTGTAGTGACAGCCCAAATCTATATCAGTGCATCCATCTGTAGTCTAGGGATATTATCTTCCGCTTCTTTCTACTGTACATAGATGACTGAGTAAGATCAGCTACCAGAACAAGTTTGGTACAAGAACTCTGTTCTGGAAATCCAATGTGTGTTTCCCTTATGCTTCCGAAATTGCTGAGTTAGAGCCTACAGCCCTATGACAGAGACGATTTAAAGACTGCTGGATGGAAGTAGGAATCTTTATGGGGAGGACTTTTTCTTCTTCCCCCTAAAATGTCTATCTTATTGTTCCTAAGGATGAGGAATTCCCATGTTTATGGTTTAGCTGGGTGTGGTGGCGGGCACCTGTAGTCCCAGCTACTCGGGAGGCTGAGGCAGGAGAATCACTTGAACTCGGGAGGCAGAGGTTGCAGTGAGCCGAGATCGCTCCATGGCACTCCAGCCTGGCGACAGAGCGAGACTCCATCTCAAAAAAAAAAAAAAAAAAATTTGGCATTTATTTCTTTGTTAAATGCCTTATGCTCTTTCCAAAGAGAAAGAAGTGATGGATTTTTTTGAGAGGTAGATGAAAAGAGTTGAAATTATAATAAGGACTTTATAATAAACATAATCTAGTTCAACTTCCACTGAATTCCCCAAAGTTCTCCTAAGGTATTCATGACAAAAGAACTTCTTTCCTTTACTTTAATACACTGAGGTACAAAAAACTCGTTATTGTATTAGGCAATCTATATCATGTTGAATAAGACAAGCTGTTACAAGTAGCCAGACTGTACCTTTCTAGAACTCTTAGTCTTTGGTCTTCGTTCTCACCTCTGGAACCACATAAAATAAATATAAATAATAATTAGTAATTAGTAAGTGCCTACCATGCACCAGGTTCTTATGTCACCTCTATTTTCTGACAGCAATAGTCAGTATTATTCCCCATTGAAGGACGTGGAGACAGTCTGAGAGCAGTTTTAAGTGTCCTACTCACAGTCACAGAGCTTAGGAGGAATAGAGTTGTCCAACCCTACATAACATTTCCTCACCAGTAAACTGCTCCTCTGCCCTCATGACAGCCCTTCAGATCTTTGAAGATGGCTCCCTAAGTTCTCTCGCTTTGCTTCTTCAGGAGTTATCTTACTAGATTCCCTAGTTCCTCATGTAGCATGCCTGCCTTCACTCTGGTCACTCTCCTCTGAAGATTCCCAGATTATCAATGTCCTTCCAAATGAGTGGTACAGAACTCAGCATTCCAAAGATCTTCTTTTCTTTTTTTTAGACAGAATCTCACTCTGTCACCCAGGCTGGAGAGCAGTGGTGCAATCTCAGCTCCCTGCAACCTCTGCCTCCCAGGTTCAAGCAATTCTCCTGTCTCAGCCTCCCAAATAGTGGCTGGGACTACCGGCAATCGCCACCACACCCAGCTAATTTTTGTATTTTTAGTAGAGATGGGATTTCGCCCTGTTGGTCAGGCTGGTCTTGAACTCCTGACCTCAGGTGATCCACCTGCCTCGGCCTCCCAAAGTGCTGGGATTACAGGTGTGAGCCATCGCGCCCAGCCAGTTCTTCTCATCTTTAACTAAAACAATTTTGCTTCTATAGTTGGTAATAATAATTAATCCAGGTAGAAGAAAATGTGTAGGAATAATAGCATCAGGGAAAGCAAAAGGAACACTAACAAGAAAATAATTACAGCACACTATATATGAAAGGCACTTGTCATAAGGAGAATGAAAAATACTGTTGGGAGGTGTATCAAAGGCCCCAGAGCTCTTATCTGATTCTTCTTAGCATTAAGCAACAGTGCTATGAGCAGTCACCATCTCCCATACAGAGGCACACACGCCTCAAACATTCTTTGGGAAAAAGCCCATCCCTTGATTTATTTCACCTGTATTCCATGGCTATTCAGAAATGTTTCCCTATAATTTCATTTTTGTTGCAGATTACTTTGTATGCCATATGCGTGTGTATAAATAATTTATGTATATAAAGAATGTGCATATATATATATAATTTAAAGCAGATAATGTATAAAGATAGCATTTTCTGAGGCTTATATACAAAAATCAATATTTTTTAAACTTGGTAATTCAAATGACCAAATGGAGTTTATTCCATGAATGCAGGAATGGTTGAATAGTAAAACAACAGATCTTAGTGATACAAAACCCATAAGAGATTGACAAGGTCATATAAAAACAGCAAATTTCTGACTGGCAAAAACATTATCAATAAAGTCAAAAAGCAGTAACTGGTACAATATAATATTTTATATTTGCAATGTATCTCATGGAAAAATAGCTCCTATAAATCGGTAAGAAAAAGATAGGAAAAAGACTAGCAATCCAATTGAAAAGGACAAAAGATTTGAACAGCTTACAGAAAAGGAAATGCAAATGGCTTCTAAAACACAGAACCAAGCTCAACCTTTAATAAAACATGAGAAATGAGAATTAAAACAGTGATATACCTTTATCTATTTTGTAACTTACTGGCTGACAAAACCAAACACTTTGTAGCTCGCGTTGTTAACAGGGGTATGGAGGAACAACAACTGTCATCATGGCTGGTGAGATTCTAAACTGGTGCAACCTCTGCTAAGGGCAATTTGGCAAGATTTAACAAAATTCCAAACACGCATACTCTTAAGAACTAACAAGATCACTTTTAGGAATTTCCCCAACAGGTATGCTTGTATTTGTGCAAAATTATGTATCTAAAACTGTTAGGAGAGCAAGAACCTAAAAGAGCCAGAGTGACATCATTTGAAAATCACCTCCATCTTAGAATGAGCGAGGCACATTCCTTGCTAGTCACAACCCCATGATGCTAAGATGTTTACAGCTGAGGAAGCAGCTTGGTAATGCCTGCAAGAACAAACTCTTAGAACCACAGAAAGTCCAGATGGGCCAATACCCATAATGATAATGCTTTCAAGATAGTAACAGTTATGCTTTGATGTACTCACACACCAAATCGTCAAGGATGGTTTTCTTTACATCAGTAGAATAATAAATCTTGTCATGTTGTCTGCTCACCTGCATGTAGTCACAGTTTAGTCTTTACATAGACAAGACCCCTATATAAGAAAAACTGAAAAACAGTGTGTTTGTGCACTCACTTTCTGAGGACACCCTACTCTGTAATGGAATTGTTTCTAATAAACTTGCTTATTTCACTGAGCTCTGTGCCTCGCCTTGAATTTCTTCCTGTGCAAGATCCAAGAACCTTTTTTTGGATTCTGGATCAAGACACCTCTTTCTGGTAGCAAAAGGATATTCATTGCAGCATTGTTTGTGATAGCAGTAGATTAGAAACACATGAAATGTCCAACATTAGGGAACTGGTTAAGTAAACACAGGATGTTCATACAATAAAATGTTAAAGCAGATGTTAAAAAGAAAAACACACAGATGATATATAGAGATATAGATGTAGATGTAAATATAGATTTGGAACTTTCTCTAAAATATGTGATTAAGTGAAGAAAATAAACAAGATGTAGAGCAATGTGTACCTTAGGCTACCATTTTATAAAAAATAAAACCTGAGTGTATGTGTAGAATAACTGTGGATGAAGACACAGGAAGCTTATAACATTAGCAGTATCTTGGGAGATAATCTAGGAAGTTGGAAAATAATTGTAGGAGGGAGACTGCAGACCTTTTTATGGCTTTTGAATTTTGGGCCTTATGCAGATAAGATAACCAAGACAATAAATTAAGTAATAATTGTAAAGAACAATGATGAAGTCAGTTGACAAGGGCACAGAAAAATAGAATACATTTTCTTTATTTTTCACTTTATTGGACCACAGTTTTAGAAAATCGCCAATCTGGCATTTTCATAAAAAGAATTAACAGGCTCAAACAAATCAATGTCCATTTAGCTTTTTCTCATTTGAGCTTGTCAGATTTTAGATGTGCAAATTTCCTGGGAACAGAAAAAAAGCATTTGCTTTGACTTGCTATCTTGAAATGGGTTGTTCCTTTTCAAAAGTTGATTTCATCTGACATTGTTAAACACTTGAATTGCTGTTAGGTCATCTGTAGCCTAATTAACACTAATTGATCACTTGAATGGCAGGATTATTAATGCAGTTTAATTACTCATTAGAACATCTGAGCTTGGCCAACACCGGAGTTTTGGGGTCTGGATGGAAGGTGGGTATCTGGTAGAATCAGAACCATCTCTGTTGAATTAAATGCCTTTTATCACTGTGTGCCCTGACTTTTGGCTCATCTCTCAGAATCTGGCTTTTGAAAGCTTTGGTTGGAAAAAAAAATGCAAGCCACGCACAACTTTAATCTGGTGGGAAAACAGAGGGTCACGTTGTAATTGTCGGTTGCTATTGTGGGGAATGTAATTGGTTTGATAATAAGAAAAAATGTTTTTCAGTGAAATGCCTAAGGGAGTATGTTGTTATTCTCCTCCCCAAATCTAAGGTGTAACCTCTGCTTTTTCAGTCTTGGTTCCACTTCTCTGAGCATAAACAAGTAGCTCTCAGCCCTTCCTCCACCCACACCTGGTTTGCCAATAAAATATATATATTTTTTATTGTGTTGTTTTATACAAACGTTTAGATCTTTAAAAAATAAGTTCAAAAATTATTTTCAAATCTAAAGTCATACCTTTAATAACAAAGCAAGCCTTCTCTCACTGTTCTAACTTCCATGCTGATTTTTATCTGTTTGTAGTAAAAGCTGGAGGAATGAGAATTTCCAAAAAACAAGAAATTGGCACCTTGGAAAGACATACCAAAAAAACAGGATTCGAGAAAACAAGGTAGGGACTCTTAATTTTTCTCCATCACCTTGAGGAGTTTTGAGTGACTCTGCCTCCAGGAGTTATTTTAGGACAAACCAAGGCTCCCTATGCCTTTGGAGGCAGCCAGAGAAGGGGGCAGGAGGGGGAGGGCGTGATCCGTGGTGACTTAGGGTGAGGGGTGGGGAAAGGTAGGTGGCTACCCTCTGGAGGGATCCCTCTGAGAGGGCTCCCATCACGACCCCCACCCATTCTCCTCCTGTCTGCATCCAGCCCAGCGGCCTTGCACTTAATAGGCACAGGCCTAAATGCATCCAAACCTGACACACATCCTTTTATCCTATTTTCAGATCAGCCTTTAAAATATTGTTCCTAGGCTGGCCCTGTTTTCATAATATGCTTTCTGCTGAAGTAAATGTCCTGAATTAAAAATAAATGTCTTTTTTGTTTTAAACCCATCACTGAATTATTTAGAAAGTAATGGCCACTATATTTGGCATAGCCAGAAACACATAGGTACCGAGCAGCCTCCCCGCTGCTCCTTCCACCATAACATTGACGCCTGCCCTATTCTCAGAACTCAGCAGAGAGCTGTGGGCTGGATCAGGTAAGCAAATGGCCCAACCAGTCTAGGCCTTGGGTAAGGAAAACCAGAGCATTCCAAAAAACAAGAAACACGCAGAACTGTTTCTTTCTGAGGAGTGCTTCAGAGACTATTAATTTTGAAATGGTTTCCACAGATCAGTTGATGAGTAATTCAAAAGGATCTGAGTAGAGGATGCTCCAGGCACCTCCATAAGAGTTAAACCATATCAGAAAGAGAATGGAAATAGACTGTGGCACTTCTTTGACTCTTTTCTATAAAATTATTTTTAAATCACTTTTAAAGATTGCTTCCTAATTTCTGGGAAGACATTTTTTGAGGATTTGCCTCCCTCCACTTTAGAATGAAATACTGATTCGCTCCATTAGCAGCAAGTCATTTGTTATTTCTGATATCAGAAACTAACCATCACATGACAAAAGGGAAGCTGTGCGTCCTCAAGAGTGGAGGTCACACGTTATTTTTCTTCTGACCCAGCATCTAGGACAGTTCCTAGAATAGTGAATGCATTCTGTAAATGATATCAGACTGCGATTGAATTGCAAGCTGATTAACTTTGAGACCTATTCATTCTGTATCTAAAACCTGAGTCAAGCATGTGCCCTGCTTATTGTGACATTAGTTAACCTGCCTGAGCCAGTGGCTCAGGAACTAAAGTGTCTTATCTTGGAAATGACTTACTAGTGGACAGCCAAAGGACAGGTCATTCATTTCTCTGCATCTCAGAAAAATGGGACTTACTATTAATTCTAACATCCACTGAACAATGCAGGCAGGGGAGTTGGCTAGAGAGTAATAAGATGGTGATTGGAATCTTCTTTAAAAACTCAATTGTTTTCTAATAGTCGTTAAATGACAGGAATTGGACTTTTACAGAACTTAAACAGCAAAAGATAGCTCTTGCCCTAAGTACCAGGGACAGAAACAGGTTATGCGGAGCTTGAATCTTATGGACTTTCAGGGCCATTTTAAAAGAAAAATAACCAAAAATGACCGATATGAAATGGGTAGGGCCCCTCCCAGGGCCTTGGGAGGAGCCACTGTGGCAGGAGACCCTAGGCTTAAATATCATTAGCTCCACATATATCCCCCTCTGCTATTTACATCTCCTAGCAGGGCATGTGCACAGGATAGGAAAGCCTTGTTTTCATGGACAAACACTCCTTTGTATGTCATCTTAGAGAATAGCTTTTTAAAAATATGCTCTAGACCAGAATTTTCCAAACATCATCAATCCATGTCCACTTCCTAATAGCTTCTACAAACCAACACAAACCATCCAGAAAAAAAAAAATATGCCAAGTGCAGAGTTTCTTCAAGACATTGTACTGTAGATTTGGCCCTGATTGAAACTCTCCTACAAAATAACTTGGCCTGAGAGAAAGAAGCCAGATGCAAAAGAGTACAAGCTGTAGACGGTTCATTTTACGAAGCACAAAAACAGTCAAAACTAGTCTTTGGGGCTATAAATGAGGATAGCAGTTATCCTTAGGGGCAGCTGGTTTGACTAGTGGTTTCAATTTTATTCAATCTATATGCTTATAGCATGTGCATGTTTCTGTATGTATATCATATTTCAATAAAAAGGTAAAAAAAAAATGGCTAGGCACAGTGGCTCACACCTGTAATCTCAGTACTTTGGGAGGCTGAGGCGAGTGGATCACCTGAGGTCAGGAGTTCAAGACCAGCCTGGCTAACATGGTGAAACCCCATTTCTACTAAAAATACAAAAAATTAACCAGGCATGGTGGTGCATGCCTGTAATCCCAGCTACTTGGGAGGCTGAGGCAGAAGAATCGCTTGAACCCAGGAGGCAGAGGTTGCAGTGAGCCGAGATCATACCATTGCACTCCAGCTTGGGCAACAAGAGCGAAACTGTGTCTCAGAAAAAAAAAAATAATAATAATAATAATAATAATTTGGCCTGCAAAGCTTGTTGTGTGTAGCACATAGGTACACAGAGGCAAAATCTGTGTCTTCTAGATGTTCCTAAGCAAAGTGAAAGCATAAAAGGCTGGAGAGACAGCCCTCTATAAATCATGTGGCCTTTTCAGTGGGAAAATTTTTTAAGTCCTGTTCAAAGTTTCTTTTCATCTTCACAGTGCCATTGCAAATGTTGCCAAAATACAGACACTGGATGCCCTGAATGACGCACTGGAGAAGGTGAGCCGTGGGCAAATCACATAGCGCTCCAAGTCAATCTGCCCAGTGGATCCAGCTGCATGGGTGAATGAGCGGATGACCACTGAGGTTTTTTCCAACCCAGAGGTTTGAGGTCCTTGTGAAAGAATTTGTTCTCTGTCAGAGGAACACAAAGTGATTTGAGTGGGAAAAGCTGCTTCTCTCAAATTCCTAAAGTGTCCATTTAATAAATCATTTCAAAAATAAGATAAGAAAGTGGGAATCATGATGGTGAGTTTGCAGAATGGTACTTTGCCATCCCAAATATTTCTTGGAAACATTGGCATGTTTTTATAAAAGGCAGCCTGTGGAGTGGGGCTTCAGTGGTTTTTGACCTTCCTCCCTGCCCCTGTGTTCCTATAAGGAGATATTGATTTGAGGAGAGGGTGGGTGGTAGAGGGTTGCATGGTCTAGGGTTGGAGGAAGGCTGGGTACCAGCTGGGTTTACCCAGTGAAGTCTGCTTATAAAGGTAGTTGACCAGGACTATTTTTATTTCTATATTCTGAATTCCTTCTTTTCTTTTTTTCTTTGAGACAGAGTTTCGCTCTTTTTGCCCAGGCTGGAAAGCAATGGAGCGATCTCAGCTCACTGCAACCTCCACCTCCCGGGTTCAAGTGGTTCTCCTGCCTCAGCCTCCCGAGTAGCTGGGATTACAGGCATGTACCACCACCCCCAGTTAATTTTGTATTTTAATAGAGACAGGATTTCACCATGTTGGCTAGGCTGATCTCGAACTCCTGACCTCAGGCCATCCGGCCACCTCGACCTCCCAAAGTGCTGAGATTACAGGTGTGAGCCACCTCACCCAGCCATATGTCCTGAATTCCTTCTAGGTAGTTCTAGAAACTCAGAAAACTCTTACCAAGTAGACAGTGGTTTGGTTTTCCGGATTGAAAAGTTTGTTTTCAAATTTTGTAGGTGAGCTGAGTGAGGGCCCTTATTCTATGTCTAGTAGGCAGGTACATTACAGTCAAGGTAATATAGAGCCACTCTTTCTGCTACTGCCATGTTTATGGAAGGCGTTGGACAAAGTGTCCTCTGTAGAAGGAAGACTTGCTGTTGCAGCCAAAATCAGATGCCTGAGGACCACCAGCTCAGCCTTTGAAAAAGATTAGTGCAGCTGGCCTCCTGGAACCCCATTTGGCACTGGCTTCATCACCATCTATATGGCCTTGAGCAAGTTATTTATCCTGTGGTTCAGTTACATGTGTGTATAATGGAGGTAAGGAAGAGTGCACAGCTTATAGGGTTGTTACGTGGAGACAATGAGCTCACATACATGAAGGTCTTGGAAGAGTCTCAGCACAGAGTAACCTCTTTGCACTCTGTCAGGGATCGTAGTATTGGTTTTTATGACAGTGAAATAAGACAGTATATCTAAAGTCCATGATGTTACAGGGTAGATTGCACAAGGTAAGATCTTGATGATGAGCCATAGCTACAGAGCCTTCTCACATGGGAGCCTTGGTTCTCCACTCAGGTCGATTTAGGGTGAAGTCATAAGTGACTCTCTGCCTTCCTGGCTTCAGAGGCAGGGCTGGTGCATGACACCCTGTAACATAAGCTGCCTGCTCCCACATCTTATATTCTCTTGCTCCCGCCCACTAAACACCACTTCCTTAGGGCAAGGGAATGCTCACAGTTGTAAGTGGATAGGATAGAATAGACATGTTCCCCTAAAATATTTGTTAACTCGAAATAAAGTATTGAAAAGGAATGGTCAATAAAGGTTGGTCATGCTGTGTATTAGGTATGATGCCAGAGTTTACGTTCTGTTCTTATAGACATGTGATATGCTTATGTCTTTGACATATCACCTCTTTATTTCAAAGGTAAAAAGAATAATCTCTTCCCTAAGTAACAATACTTAACAACAATAATCAGTTGTATTTGGAAACCATAAGAGAACATTGAGATGGTGTGCTGTTAGAAATATTTTTAACAGGCCAGGCACGGTGGCTCACGCCTGTAATCCCAGCACTTTGCGAGGCTGATGTGGGCGGATCACAAGTCAGGAGTTCAAGACCAGCCTGGCCAATATGGTGAAACTCCATCTCTACTGAAAATACAAAAATTAGCCTGGCGTGGTGGCAGGTACCTGTAATCCCAGCTACTCAGGAGGCTGAGGCAGGAGAATTGCTTGAACCCGGGAGGTGGAGGTTGCAGTGAGCCGAGATCACGCCACTGCACTCCAGCCTGGGTGACAGAGCGAGACTCCATCTCAAAAAAAAAAAGAAATATTTTTAACAGAAACTATACCTATTTTTTAAAATATACCTTTGTGCTCAGCTCAGTGTTTAGTGGAGTAGGACTGTGGCTAAGATTGCACGGGTTACTGGTTAGGAGAGCAGGTCCTGGCATCAGCCATAGGCTGCCGGGTTCCTGTGTTGGCTGTGTCTCTTACTAGCTTTTTGTCCTGGGGCAGGTTTCTTCACTTTTTTGTGCTCCTCTTTCCTTATCTGTAAATGGGAGTGTGAGTACCAGTATCTACTTCATAGGGACATGTTGAGAGTAAAATGAAGTTACATAATACATGCGCAGTGCTAGGATACTTAGCCCTCAGCAAGTGATATCTTCTGTTCCCAGGCCTGCATCCTGCCTTCACTTGGAATCCCAGGTAAAGCGTAAGGCACCAGCAACAAAAATAAGCTCCAAGATTACCATAAGGGACTATCTCAAAAACGAACATTGGTAGAATCCATGTGTTTCCATATAGCTAAGAAAAATCTCACCGAATCCATCATTCAACCTGAAACCTAGTAAGATTTCACAATAAAGGTCAACCTGGGGTTGACACCTGCTGACCACTAGATCTACCAAGATCAGCAGTTGTGTGGGACTGAGTAGGAGGATTGATTACAAATGACCAGAGGAAATTTGGGGGAATGATGGGATGGTTACTCATCTTGATTGTGGTTGTAGTCACAAACTGTATGTACTTGTCAAGACTCATAAAGCAGCACATGAAAAAGCGTAAATTTTACTGTAGGTAAGTACTTTGATTTTTAAAACAGAATAGCCATGCTGCATAAACTATACAGGGTGATTCAAAAAATATATGAATCGATATATAAAAGATACAGACATACAGGTATCTTTTAATACATTTTTCCTGCACTACAATGATTCTCCTCACGGTATGTATTGCCACAGAGACCTAACAATATACAGCTGGTCAGAATAAATGCAGTGGCAGAATTGAGAGTCACATCCTCTGCATTTATTAACATGCATTCATGCCCTCAGTTACACTCATGTCTAGTCCCAAGAACCCATGTTATTTCTCATACTTATTTTAAGAAATTAAGTCTCTAAAGAAACTCCTCTCCATAGGAACTCATCAACCATTCAACCATGGCAGGAAAATTCTCTCTGTATGCTACTCATCTCTGAATTCCTACTTCAAAATCAACATGGGGTTTAAGATTTTGGAGATTGAAAAATAGTCCCCGA
Source organism: Homo sapiens (assembly GCF_000001405.40). Classification (NCBI taxonomy): domain Eukaryota; kingdom Metazoa; phylum Chordata; class Mammalia; order Primates; family Hominidae; genus Homo; species Homo sapiens. The sequence continues at coordinate 158,810,588 of NC_000002.12, forward strand.
AGGGCTGGAATTGTGTAAATCAAAGTGGGAAGCAGCCTAGAATCTACCCCCACAGTATTTCCCCACCTCTCCCCTCCACACAGCCTGCTTTCTCCCACCCTACCTCATTTCTGCTTTCCTCCTCACTCTCCAGCCAGCCTTCCCCACCTCTTGAAGCCCTCAATAAGAGAATTCATGTTGCCCAGTGGCAGAACACAAGACATGGTATTCCTGCAGAAAACAGGCTGTGTAGCCCAAAAGCTCTTTAGGCTAGAAATCTGGGAGACCTGGTCTTAGATCAAGTTCCACCCACTACTTAGAAGTTATTTGACCTTTTAGATGTCACGTAACTCCTCTGGGATTTGTGCTCGTTCATTTACTTTTAAAAAATTATTTTAAGGCAGGGAGTGAACAAGAATGATACTGCCAAATATATTAATCCTCTGGACAGTCATGGCAATAAATTTGGCAATAGTTGTGAAACTTCTCAGAACATAAAAGTATCCAGTTAAAACATCCATAATGGGGTTGCGTTATGGTGTGGAGGGGGAAATGCTGAAGCCTGGTTAAAGTTGGGGCTACTTTTCTCAAGCTGCCAGACTTTGGGTCACCACTGCCAAAGCCAGTGAGATGTATGTGAAATGGGATCCTGAGGGAGAGAAAACTATAAAAGGCATCGCAAATTTTAAAAGGCTTCTCTTGTTCTGTAGATTAATATCACTGTAGGAGTATCCTTGAATTTCATTGACGAGAGCTGAATGTTTTGTTTTAAGCAGTTTGCTTAACAGGGTGTGGAAATTTAAGTGCCAATATTCGAGTTGGAAGTTAACACCCTGGAAAGATGAATGAAAGTGCTGCCAGTCTGCTAATACTACCCAACTTCAGGCTCTAAAACAAAACCTGCAGCTGATTTTCTTGCGTCTAGAATTTCAGGGCTCTCTAGTCATAAAGACCTCTATCACACTTCTTTTGCTTTTTCTCTGAAATGAAAAATATAGGTTCTGAGGTCGCAGCTACCCAAGATGAAGGTAAATTCTCAATGTGGAAGTTTCTATTGATCCACTTTCTAAGTTCAATATGTTGCCCCTGTAATGGAGCCACAGCAAGGCAGGATCCTTGTACATATACTGGCTTTGAATTCTTTCTCTCGTGGGGTTACCCTAGATTCTCTTACCCTAATGAATGAGACAAGAAACACCTTTTATTCTACAAATACTATCATTTTACAAAGACTAATGATGAAAATTCCACAGCTTCCCCGAAGTTAAAATGTCAGACTAAAACACAGCTGGCTGTAGCTTATACTCTGGAAAGCTGTTTCTACTTATTTGTAGTTTAGAGTTGAAAATAAACTTTTCCTATCTCCATTGATATAAAATCTACCACAAAGAATTAGTACATTTAGGAGCTGACCATTTTACCGACAGTTTCATCAATTCTGATGAAGATCCTTTATAGACTCTCCACCCATAGCCCCAAGTCCTACATCAGGATGCCCCTGACTGAGGCAGGTAGGGAGATGAGAAGGAGAACTTGACTTTCCTGTTATCATATTTTCAAGTTGCTATGAAACCCTGCTCTGGGCACCCCAAAAGCTGTACACTTGTAGCTTAACAATTATGGGCAGTTTCTCTATTATCTTTGCCAGAATTATTCCTACTTTTTTCTCAATCCTGTTGATTTTCTTTTCTTCTCTAAAACTTTCCAGATCAGTTCAGATGGCCATTGGGCCACAGGGGCTGACTTTGTTTCCCAAATATTCTGATCTGTGGCATTCCTCTTCTGAGAAGTAGTTGAGCAGTGCTTTTAGAACTTCGGTTGAATGCCTCAGTTAAAATGTAACCCTTAACACTTCTGTATTGCTGGTGGGAATGTAAAATGATCCAGCTGCTGTGGAAAACAATACAGTGGTTCCTCAAAAAATAAATATAGAATTGCCATATCAGGCTGGACGCAGTGGCTCATAACTAGAATCCTAGCACTTTGGGAGGCCAAGGCAGGAGAATTGCTTGAGCTCAGGAGTTCGAGACCAGCCTGGGCAACATAGAAAGACCTTGTGTCTACTAAAAATATAAAAAATTAGACCAGCATGGTGGCACATGCCTGAGGTCCCAGTTACTCAGGAGGCTGAGGCAAGAGGACCACTTGAGCCCGGGAGTTCAATGTTGCAGGGAGCAGAGATCACACCCCTACACTCCAGTCTGGGTGACAGAGCAAAACCTCAGCTCAAAAAAAAAAAAAAAGCAAAGAGAAAGAGAGAGAATTGCTGTATGATCCAGCAATTCCACTTCTTCCAATATAATCTTCCCATATATTGGAAGAATTGAAAGTAGGGACTCAGAACAGATATTTGTACACCAATATTCATAGCTGCATCATTCACAATAGCCAAAAGATGAAGAGATCCTAACCAAGTATTCATCAATGGATGAATGGATAGAAAAAACGTGGTATATATATATACAATGGAATATTATTTAACCTTACAAAAGAAAGAAATCTCAACACATACAGTAACATGGATGGACCTTGAAGACATTATGCTAAGTGAAATAAGCCAGACACAAAAGGACAAATATTGAATGATTCTACCTATGGGAGGTACCCAAAGTAGTCAGATTCATAGTTATAGAAAGTAGAATGGTGGTTGCCAGGGGCTTGGAGGAGGAGGGAATGGAGAATTACTGTTTAATTGGTACCGAGTCTCAGTTTAGGATGATGAAAAAGTTCTGGAGGTGGATGGTGTTGATAGCTGTGCAATAATGTGAATGTATTTAGCACCACTGGACTAACTGTACACACACTTTAAAATGGTTAAAATGGCAAGTTTTATGTTTTGTATATCTTAGCACAATTTTTTTATATGCCCAAACGATGTAGCCTCTAAATTGTGGAGATCACCCTGGAGGTGATCAAATAACAAATTAGTGCCCAACTAAGCAGCAAATATCTTCTATCACTTATTCTAACACTACTCTCCTTTCCTTTTTCTTTTTTTTTTTTTTTTGAGATGGAGTCTTGCTCTGTCGCCCAGGCTGGAGTGCAGTGACCCGATCTCGGCTCACTGCAACCTCCGCCTCCTGGGTTCATGCCATTCTCCTGCCTCAGCCTCCAGAGTAGCTGGGACTACAGTCGCTCGCCACCATGCCCGGCTAATTTTTCATATTTTTAGTAGAGATGGGGTTTCACCGTGTTAGCCAGGATGGTCTCGATCGCCTGACCTCATGATCCGCCCGCCTTGGCCTCCCAAAGTGCTGGGATTGCAGGTGTGGGCCACCGAGCCCGGCCTCCTTTCCTTTTTCTTTTCCTACCTCCACCCATCATCTCTTTCACACTTAAGAACAACAATCAACATGTGGCTTTCTTTGTTTCAGTCCCAACTTGTCCTCTTACCCTCCCTTACCTTGGCTAATTGCCCAAATTTCTGTTATATCAGAGTTTTTTTGTTTGTTTGCCTTCTCACCCACTTTTACCTTAACTGACTTGTCACATTTTTCTTCCTACCTGCAATCTCTCAAATATGATTTAAAGCTAACCTGAAATAATTCATCTATTTTAGTTAAGACTAAAGACACACAGTCTGGAAGTAAACTACTGAAGTCAGTGACCTCTTAAATTTCCTTCTGGATCTAATGTTGAAAGAAAACCAAAGCAAAACAAAACATTCTGCCCTTAACACATTGTAAAATGCATGTCATATGGTCTGATGATAACTGACCTGACAAAAAAAAAAGTCATCAGGTCTTTTTTAGACTCTAATGCAACATTTATGATCAATATCTCAATTGTGTTTTGTTTCCATTCTGCTAGAATGTTGGCAGAGATAATCCTTGGGCTTAATTTTTGTATAACTTGTACCTGCTCATTGTAAAAGAAAAAAAATTTAGTACTGATAAATAAAGTGAAGAAAAAGAGAGGCATTGCCCATAATTCTATCCCCCAGAGGTAACCATTGCTAACACTTCAGTGTATTTTCTTCCAGTGTGTTTAATTTTTTAAAACCAAGAAGAAAGGACTTTTTGGAGTCACATTTCGTATGAAAGGGACTGCTGAGTGCCTAGGGCCTGGGCAGAGACATTTGAGAAGAGATGTAAGGCACATATGTTTTCCCTGGCTTAGAAGAGCCCAAACAAACCATGAACAGTATGATGGCTAGGGTCATGAACAGTTTATCTCCCCTTTTATTTAATTTGAGTGCCAAGGCAAGGGCATCTAAGTTCAATAGTGATAAGTTAAATTCCTACTGAGCTGAGGCATTCCTTCCTTGCTGGCCAAGGGAGGTTTCTTTAGGTACTTTTACATATTGATGGGCTTGGAAACCAAGAACTAGCATGGACCCAAAAGGTCACTGTGTCCAAATTCTCCTCCTAGGAAAACCATGTCTGAAGTGGTCAGCAGCATTGGGCATGCTTTCTATCTTAAGCTATCATTAATGTAAATTCCACAAGGTCTCTGGGTTGCATATGAAATGTCTCTTATTGTCAGAAAGTCTCAGCCTGTGTTAATAAGCCTATTTAAGCTTATTTACTCATAGATGTCTTCTGTGGAGAAGACTAATCAGAACTTTTGTTCCCTGAGGCTAGTAGGCCATCCCTCAGCCTTCTCTTCACTGGGCTATTTAGATTGAACCATATGGAATGGCCAATATCACATCATTTTTGACCTGAAAAAATAGCAAATGTACACACTTAGACCTAATAAATAACCCTAACTCTTCTTAACTTCTTTCAGAGGTTCTTTCTTTCTTTTGACAATTGAGGAGTTTTTCGTCCCCACTCTGGACCTTCTCCAATGTCCCTGTAGCCTTCTTAGAATTCAGTGATTCATAGATGCATACTAGTGCCAGAATAATTGCTAACAACACAGAGAACTGATGCAGACATAATTAACCATTCCTACTTTTTAAAATGTCAATTGGAATTTTTTAAAATTAAGGACAGTAAATGAGAGAAGACCCAGGTTAAAACATACTCCCATGGGTTTAGGGCTAGAAATAGTATGGAAAAAAAGAGATATTATCAAATAAATAAACAAAATTGTGAGATTCCCTTGATCAACGATATCACTTTCTACTAGTTTAATATTTCATGACCAAGAAGATCCAATATGCCTATTTTTTCTTCCCTTCTCACCTTTAGCTCAACTATAAATTTCCAGCAACAGTGCACATGGCGCATCAAAAACCCACACCTGCTCTGGAAAAGGTTGTTCCACTGAAAAGGATCTACATTATTCAGCAGCCTCGAAAATGTTAAGCCTGGATTTAAAACACAGCCGTCTGGCCAGCTGCCTCGAATATCTGACAGCTTAGCAAAAAGGGCCAAAGCTTTCCATAGGCGTGCTGCACTTGCTTGGTAAATTAAGCAGCTTTTGTATCTTCCCCTTTGACTTTAGGTAATAAAGCATCCAAACTTGTAAATCTGACACATCCCTGTGCCTCTTTTTGGTCCAGGTCAGAATCCCATTGATGTTTGCATATGTAATTCTGTAGATTAAGTGAAGCATCCAGAATACCTGACTGTTCCATCCACCTCCCTACATAAGCACTCTTCTTGACGCTGACCCTGAATTGTTCTACCCTCATTGAGTTCTCCTTGAAGGCAGAGGTTGGAGAGGAGTAGACTGGGCTTGGCAAAGGCCAATATCCAATGCAAACATAAGGAGTGACTCTTCTCAGTTTGTTTGTCTAAGGATGTTCAAGTTTTCACTTGAGGCGAAATGTCTTTTCCAGTTTCCCACATAAGTACATAGTTTGTTTTCAAGGCTCAGTGTGGGAAAATGAAAAATTAAATTGATTACAAACATATTATTTTCTGCCAAGCAATCAAGGACAGAAGGTAGAATTATAGCTTCAGTGGGAGAGTTGCTCAGGGCCTTCCAGAAAGCTCCAGAACAGGGCATTGTCGTTGGGCTACAGAAGTTATTTTCACTGGAGATGGTGTGGGAGAGAGAGTATTGCCATAACTAAGCATGCACTAGCTCTTCTCCCCTCTACCACACACACACACACACACACACACACACACACACACACACTTCATGAATTCACATGTAAACAGTCAAGGGCATTCTCAGGTGACAGCTGGGGACAGCCATATCATTTCCTCACAGAAGTTGGCTGTCACTCACTGCTTCACCATTCTGCACCTCCAGTTGAGAATGCTATTGGACTACCAGCCCTTCTCTTTACCCAGGGAAAGGGGCCAGCACTTCAGTCCTTCATTGAACAGGTTGACAACTCTTGGAGTATGACCTGGTGCTGAGCCTGTCTCTGATTCTTGGAAACAAGAGGCACTTGGCTAATGCCCACTTGGATGTGGGGATGCATCCACCTCCTCCCCTCTATTTTTTGGCTCTTGTTCAGGAATAAGAGAATTGCTAGAGACAATATCAGACCTTCAGGCAATGCCAGCATGAATCAGTAAGACAGTTATTACCACCTCATTTTGGCTTAGCTCAGTTTCCTGTCCTCTGGGACTGCTGTCAGATATATCCCAGGAAGATAACTGTTGCAAGGAAAATGGACAGAAGTTCAAGGTCAGCCACCATTTTCCAAGGCGACAGTAACACAGACCAGATGGTGGGTACAGGTTGGAACATTGGACAAATGTTCAGGAGACGGAGATTCTACTACTGACCCTTACTAGTTCTGCAACCTTAAGCGAGCCACTTAACCTTTCCAATCCTTGCCAAATGGGCACAATAACACCTGACTCCCCAACTGAACCCTTTCAGTGTTGCATACTGCAAAGAGGATAAAATGACTACTGAGATTGGTAAAAGCTAATTAAAGAGTAGTGTGAGAGCAAGATGGTGCCAGGATGCCTATCCTAGAAGCTGCCAGAACTAGAGTAATAGTAGAACTCTATTAAGTTGAGACTAGAACAGGAAATTCAGAGAAAAGGTGGAGATTTGGGGCTAGATGGAGGCAGGAAGGAAACACGAGGAGGGGGTGATAAGAGAACTGAGAAACACAGATGATGGCACTGCTAGATTTGCCTTTCTTTAGGGTGATATGAGGGCCAGCCACCCAAAGGAAGTGAGAAGGGAGGAAGGGTACCATTTTCTCTGTCTGGAGATGAGGGTTGTACTGTGGGGGAAGGGAGGCTGCTCGAAGGGAGCCTATGCAGTGAGGACCCACGCATTAACTTGAGTCTACAATTACAGTCATTTAAATCACCAAGTCACAGGGAGTCAGACGTTTGGTATGAGCTTCAGATCTGAAAGGAAATTGGAATTCCCTTGGCTAATGTAACAGCAGAAGAAGGTCCAGGAGAGAATTCTGTGGTGATGTGGAGGCATGTGCAAGAGGCCACAAGAGCTGCCCACTGTCCCTCCTGAGGAAGAGATCCTGGCATGGATGTGCTGTGGCTCCACTCAGGAGCCCCCAGCCATGGGTCATGGGCCCAGCAAAGGCCATGACAAGGAGGAGGGGCTGCCGTGGGCTGGGAATTCACTGGCAGATAATTTTCTTCAGTTCATTTCAGTTCTGTTCACCAGATTCTATGCTAGGCACTGGGACATGAAGATGAATAAGACACAGACCCTGTCCGCCAGGATCTCTCAGACCAAAGGGAAATGGACCCCCAACAAATTAATAACAAGAGAGAGTATAGATGCGGCTTGGTGGGGGCTGGGGTCATGCTGTGGATGAGGCTCAAGAACTCACCTGAAGGTCATGTGCAAGCCAAAAAAAACCATGGTGGCTGTGGAGACCAATAACTCACGTGTGGATCTTTAATAAACAGACTTTCCTTAAGCTTATTATGAAATCTTCAAACATACACAAAAGCCAAGTGGCTATTATATTAAACCCTCACTTACCCATCACAGGGCTTCAACAATGTGGACCGTCTTGGTTTGGCTACAGCATCCGGCCCCCTACTTCTTTGCTCTTTTCCCTCTCTCCTTCTGGATTATTTTAGAGTGAAGCCTAAACCTCATATCGTTTCATCTAGAGATACTTCAGTATGTTATCTCCAAAAGATAAGCCTTCATGTGTGCTCTCTCTCTCTCTGTATCTCTTTCTCCTTCTGTAAACTGATTTTTCACCAAGATTGAGGAGAATCTTTCCCCACAGAAGGGAGACTAGCATTGCTAGCTATGCTAGGCACAAGAGCCAAAACAAACAAGACCGCCACTGAGCCAGGGAAGCTGAGAGAGTGTGTGGAGTTCAGAGAGTAGATGATGAAGCTGGCCTTCAAGTCCAAGGAGGGAACCAGGAAACATGAAGTTGCTGAGGACAAACAAGAGGTACAGGAAGAAAATGACAGGCAAAACTAGGTCTTGCCGAGGAAAAAGATATAGAGAACACTTAGAAATAGCTATTTCTGAGGCCACTCAAAAAAACACAGAGTAAGAGAGGAACAAAGGATGATAAATTATTGGCAGGAAAAACTAAAATCAATTTATCCAACAAACACTTGCCAGGTTTCTCCTGTGTGATAGGCTTCGTTTAGATAGACCCCAAGTCCAAGGAATATATGCCTAGCATTTGACATATGTCATGTTTTATCTGATTTATTTTATTTGTTTATTTATTTATTCATTCATTCATTTTGAGACAGGGTCTTACTCGGTCGTCCAGGCTGGTGTGCAGTGGCGCGATCATGGCTCACTGTAGCCTCAATCTCCCCGGTTCAGATGATCTTCCCAAGCTGCTGGGACCACAGGTGTATGCCACCACATCCATGTCTGGCTAATTTTTTATTTTCTGTAGAGACAACGTTTCCCCGTATTGCCCAGGCTGGTCTCAAACTCCTAGGCTCAAGCGATCCTCCCACCTTGGCCTCCAAAAGTGCTGGCTTACGGGCATGAGCCACTGCACCTGACCTGGGCTATGTTTTGTTTTAAAGAACATCTAGATGTCAGGTGGTGTCACCACCCCCTTTAGAATGATAAGATTGGCTCAAATTCCCATATTATCCCCAGTGGATATTCAAAGCCCTCTCCAAGATGTCTGTAAATTCCCAGGAGGGTTACACTGGTATGGTCACCTCTGATTTTCAGTGAATTCATTAATTCCTTGCTGTCCCTGCGCCCCCACCACCCTGATCTGGACCCAGCTCTTTTCCATGATTTCCCTAAAAGTCTTCTTCAGTGGGTGGCAAAATTTACTAAAGACTTGATAGAGCATTTACATCATGGTAACCAGATGACATCCAGTAGAATGTCCGCTACCCTCATTCTATTTGTGTGTCCTTCCACGCACTTCCCACTGCCACCCCCACCCCACCCCACCCCGGGACTTCATTCACTATTCATGTCACCTGGGGCAGCCTCCATCTTGCTGGCAGTGCTCCCCTCTCCCACTCTCCCTTCCCTCACTTTTCTTCCCTTACCCTGTTCAGTTTCAAATTCGCAATTCAGCTACTTCTCTGGTTGTTGGACCCCTGGAAAACCATGTCACTTTACCCCAGAATAGTCTCCTCACCCTCAAACAGCTGTGACACCAACTGTCAGGATGTCAACATTTTTGTCCAAATATGATAGATGAACAATGAATTAATTAGAAAAAATGAAGTGATAGAGAACCTGAGACAAGAGAAATGAGAAGCCAAAGGAAAAGGAAGAGAAGTTTCAAATAAAATCTTGAAGGCCTGAAAGAAATACAAACACAAAAGTAGGGCAAGCAGAGCTTCTGCTAAAAAATATATAAGACAGAATTTTAAACATAGTTTTCCATACAGTATTTCATGGAATTGTCACAAGAATTCTGAAAGATGATAGCTGTTATTATCCTATTATACCGATGGGAAAAATGAGCCTCTGGGAAATTAAGAGATTCCTTAATGTCTTATAGTTTGTTAACTAGAGAAATTTATCTGGGGCTCTCGTAATCCCAAATCTAGAGCTGTCTCTGTTGCTGACCCGTAAGAAAATAGGTTGGAGCTGAAGCTTAGAAGTCTCCAAACAGAGAGGATCGAGATCTAATTTTGACTTAGGAAATAGAAATGAATTTGAAGAGAGAAATCTGTGTGTGAGAGAACTGATGTGGGATTCACCGAATACCTCAATAGGGAGGAGCCACACAAACACAGCTTCTCAGAGTTTTCTTTGAAAGGTGCTAAGGTTTGAATGTTTGTCTCCTCCAAAGCTCATGTGGAAATTTAATCTCCAATGTGGCAGAGTTGAGAGGTGGGGCCTTTGAGAGGTGATTGGGTCAAGAGGGCTCTGCCCTACTGCATGGATTAATGCATTCAGGGATTAGTGGATTAATGGGTTATCATGGGACTGGGCCTGGTGGCTTTATAAGGAGAAGAAGGGAGGCCTTGGCTTAGCATGCTCAGCCCCCTCCCCATGTGTGATGCTCTGCACCACCTCGGGACTCTGCAGAGAACCTCCACCAACAAGAAAGGGCCCCCAGATGTGGCTTCTCAACCTTGGATTTCTCAGCCTCCATAACTGTAAGAAATAGATTTCTTCTCTTTATAAATTACCCAGTTTCAGGTATTCTGCAACAGAAAACAGACTAAGACAGATATAATGTGAAAGCTTGAAAGATCATGGAAGTGAACTGGGTTGTGAGAAAAGATCAAATGTACAGGATGAGCCTTCGAAAGACAAATGAAAGATAAAAGGCAACTTTGCACAGGACACCTCTCCTGTGTACAGCAAGAGACATGAGGCTAGGGGACATGTCAAGTGAGGCTTCGGAAAGGAGCTAGGGCAGGGGAAAGGTGACCTTGCACTGAAGTATTCATTATCAGACTGTAAGGTGTAGTAACAGAGATCTGAATGTTTCCTACAATGGCTTTACAAATCAGTCTAAATCATTGCAGAAGCATGTTTTGAATGACCTGGATGCCTACTTTATGAGCAAGTGTATTACAGGACCTCTGACCCAAGTTCACACTGGGATTTTTAACCCATCAACAGTGCCAGTATTCTATCTCAGAGACCTATGAGAAAAGAATGGAGGAGGACTTAACAGAAATGTTCCTCGTGAACAAAATGTCATGGTAGTGTGAAAAGAGACAAATGAGAGAACTGAGTCATTGTAAACTTGCTAAAGTTATGAAACTAGCCAGAATCATATCTATATTAGAACAGCCATTGATCATAAATAAAATAACTTAGGTCAACACTGTGGATGCAGAGGAATTTTTTTTTCTTTTTTAAAAGAAGGCCTATCAGTTATTCAAATTAAAGAACCATTCGAGTGGAGAGAAGAATGTTTATTTAGCTGCCCATGCTAGCCGTTTGAATATGGCAGGATTGAAAGGATCATAAGCAAAAATGCTAGAGGTCATAAAATGTAAAGTGCAGGATTTTATCATCTCTATGTACACGATGAAGAGATTGAAATTAATTTCTAAAAACATAGGAAATTGGGTAGAAGTGAAGAAGAACAGAAGTCCTGCTCCTCTTTAAAGATTTCAGAAAAATGAAACATTTTCTTTAACAAATAAAGAGAGCTTTCCAAAGGAGTATAGCCAGAGGCTTTTAAGGATAAAATAGATATTGCTGCAGAAGTGTTTAAGAGACAGCACAGGTAAATAAAATGGAGGTGAAGACACTGGAGCAGAAATAGTGAAATTGAAGACCAGATGAAACAGAATGGGGAGGATGAGAGCAGAAAAGGTCAGGCAAGAACAAAAACACTCTCACCAGAAACCTGAGGTCTGGGAGAAGAGCGAGGACGGTCACAAGATTAAAATGGACAGAATAAGAAGGCACCAGTAGAGAGCCTTGAGATAATGGAAAGGTTTAACCAAACGTATCAAGTGCAAAGAAAGATTGAGTGGCCAGCTCGGCTGTAGGCTGACGAAGAAACAAGCAATCTGACAGCGGACATCATGGGTCAAGTGGCTGGGAGTGAGCTGGGTTTGGAAGAAAGGAAGCACCCCGGGTCTGGCAGGCGTCCTGCGTAGTTCCACCAGGCGTTTAAGAACTGAGCAAAGCACTGTTTTCCGTGACAGACACTTGAGAGGGAGGCGGAGTGTCCTGTACAGTAAAACAAGGAGCTGGGATGTTAAAAAAAAAAAAAAAAAAAAAAAAAAACAAAAAACAAAAACGGAAGGTGGATGCTGGGAAGTAGAGGTCACTATCTTTATAAACCTGTAGTTGGAGACTTTGTAGCAGAATTCTAGACAAAGTTTAAACAGAAAAAGTTGTCTGGACTGGTGTGAAATGACAAAAATGTCAGGGGCTTAGCAGGGATAATCAACAGTGTGGGTGGGGGTGGGAGAGGGGGATGGTCCCTGACCACACAAGCATTTGTAAAAAAAAAAAAAAAAAGAAAAGAAAAGAAAAGAAAAAAGAAAAAAAGCCTTTTTGCTGTGTCTCCAAGGACTAGCTATTTGGCCTCCCTTTTCTGATTCCTGAAACACACCAAACGGGCTGGAGTAGCACAAATCAGTCTATTTTTATCAGGCAAGAATGAAGGCCCAATACTGCCATATCTTTTTATTCTTCTCAAAAGCAATCTGAAATATAGGTTTTGTGTGAAATCTTCTGAATTTGATACGTTGGCTCAACTTTCTTATGTTTATTTATTTATTATTCTTTTTTTTTTTTTTTTTTTTTTTTTTTTTTTGTCTGAGACGGAGTCTCGCTCTGTCGCCCAGGCTGGAGTACAGTGGCGCGATCTCGGCTCACTGCAAGCTCCGCCTCCCGGGTTCACGCCATTCTCTGCCTCAGCCTCCCGAGTAGCTGGGACCACAGGCGCCCGCCACAACGCCCGGCTAATTTCTTGTATTTTTAGGAGAGACGGGGTTTCACCGTGTTTTCCTGACCTCGTGATCTGCCCGCCTCAACCTCCCAAAGTGCTGGGATTACAGGCGTCGGCCACTGCGCCCGGCCTTTCATGTTTATTTTTACTATACACTGTGCAGACAAATAATTGAGTCTGCATGTTCAATTTGGCCCATGGGCCACCGTTTCGTACAAGCCAAGATTTTCACACCGAGCCTGCACAACCGTCCTACGTTCCTGATGACCTGAGGGATGTAAGGGCAGGGCTTGCCTCTCTGACAGGAGGGATGCAAGGAAATAGTTAATAACCTTAGAGTTTGGCAAGAAGTAGGATGTGAAGATGAGAAGGAAATGGCCCACTTTAAGCAGAGGCCGGTTTTAGTTTCCGCAGGTGGTAGCATTCTGGCAGTTACTGAAGGGTTTACATCAGCACTGGCAAAATAAAACACAAGGTCGTAAAAATAAAAGAACCAGAGAAATCTGATAATATTGATGGTACGGATGGATGAAGAGGCTAGGCCCATGAGGATTTCTGTTTCACGGTTTGGAGGGTGTAGAATAATAGCTATCATTTGCTGAGAATTTACTGTGTGCCAGAGGCTGTCCATTATATTTAATCTCTAATATTTACAACAACCCCTTTTACAAATGCTGAAGGATTATTCAGAGGAGTTAAGGCATACAACACCCAGGCCCCTGGACCTTTATGCTTTCTCCTTTAACTGGAAATCTCTCCATTACTTTTTTTTGCCAAAATATTCATTGCAACACTACTCACGTGTTTAAAAAGCCAACAAAACGGTCAAATAATTCCTCTCCTAGATATATAGCCAGGAAATAAAACACATATCCACACAAAAACTTGTACACAAATGTCACAGCAGCTTTATTCATAATAGTCAAAAATTAAAAACAACTCAAATGTCCATCAACTGACAAACAGGTAAAAAAGATGCGGTATCTCTATACCCTGGCATATTACTTGACAATAAAAAGGAATGAAGTGCTGATTCATGCTACAACATGGATCAATCTTGAAAACATTATGCTAAGTGAAAAAAAGCCAGTCACAAAAGACCACATATTGTTCCATTTACATAAAATGTCCAGAATAGGCAAAATTATACAGGTAGTAAGTGGAAGTGGTTGCCTAAGACTCAGGGACAGAAAGAGTTGGAGGTTGCATTTTTAACCCTAAATATTAATAGTATAGGGTTTCTTTGAAGGATGCTGAAGATGTTCTCAGATTGATTATACTGATGGTGGCACAACTCTGAAAATACTAAAAACCATTGAATTATACACTTAAATAAGTGAAATTGTATGATACATCAATTATCCCAATAGAGCTGTTACAAAAAAAAAGTTATGAAGAGAACATTGATTTTGAAATATCTGTTGCATGTCATGAAACACAAATTATTACCTAATAAAGGTTGGCACCAATTTTATATTCTAACTTCTTCACCAACCCAAACTGTGGTCCAATCCCCAGGCTTGTGGCCCTCAATACTGGGGCTTGGCTACACCTTGGGCCTTAGACTATCCAGGGCGTAAGCATTTTGTGTGTGTGTGAGACAGGGTCTCACTCTGTCATCCAGGTTGGGGTGCAGTGGCGCAATCACAGCTCACTGCAGCCTCCACCTCCTGGGCTCAAGAGATCCTCCCACCTCAGCCTCCAGAATAGCTGGGGACTACAGGTGTGAGCCATCATGCCCAGCTAATTTTTTAATTTTTTATAGAGACAAGGTCTCCCCATGTTGTCCAGGCTGGTCTCGAATTCCTGGGCTCAAGTGATCCTCCCGTCTAAGCCTCCCAAATTGCTGGTATTACAGGCATGAACTACTGTGCCTGGCCCTCACATAAGCATTTCACATACAGTATCTCATTTACTTCCATGACAGCCCCAAGAGAAGGGTATTATTATTATTCCCATGGGAAGGATGAGGAAATGCTTAGTGAGACTGCATCATTTACTAAACAATGAAGTTGGTATCTGGCAGAGCCAGGGTGCAAAACCAGACAGCTGGATGTCACAGCCTGGACTTCCCACACAAAACCCCACATGCTCATACACTGTTTGTGGGATTGTAGATTGGTACGTATTAACTTTCTGGAGGGTAATTTGACAGGGTGTATCAAAAGTTATTTTAAAAACCCATACTTTTTAACCCAGCAACTCTACTTCTAAAAATTTATTCTATAAAAATTATTGGACAAGTAAATAAATATATATATACAAATATAAGGATGTTCATCAAGGTATTGTGTATATATAGCAATAGCCAATTAAAAAGACTTTTTAAAAGAAAAATTCTTATTTCTGTCCACAAAGTATTGGCTAAATTTAGCCCAGCACATCCCTCTGGCAGTGTAGCTGAGCTCAGGAAGGGTATGTTCTGTGGATTAGCATCTGGGGAGAGCAGGAGGGGTCAGAAGAAACAGGAGAATAGGAAGGAAGAACCCTTCACCAAACCAGGTCATGAGGCCCAGCCTGGGCTGACGTGTGTCACACTTGGAAAGGTCACCTCCTCACCACCATCCCAGTCTTCATGAGGATTGTAGAGCAGTGTCTATTAATGACAGAACCATTCTTCAATGTCGTTTACCCAAAACATATCATCTAGCATTAATCTATTCATAGAATGTTTCTGAAATATTTTTAAACTAGTTTTGGGGGCTGGGTGCGGTGTAATCCTAGCACTTTGGGAGGCCAAGGAGGGTGGATTGCCTGAGCTCAGGAGTTTGAGACCAGCCTGGGCAACACGGTGAAACCCCATCTCTACTAAAATACAAAAAAAAATTAGCCGGGTGTGGCGGCGTGTGCCTGTAGTCCCAGCTACTTGGAAGGCTGAGGCAGGATAATTGCTTGAACCTGGGAGATGGAGGTTGCAATGAGCCAAGAACACACCACTGCACTCCAGCCTGGGCAACAGAGCAAGACTCCATCTCCAAAAATAAAAATAAAAATAAACTGGTTTTGAGGCGCAAAATACTACCTCATAGTAGTTAAAGCAGCCGTGTAAGACTCTGGGTCTTTGCCAGAGCCACGGGGGACAAGGCCAGCCCCCTTTCCTTCCTTAGACCTTCCATGCTTACCTCCACCTCCATATTTCTCCTCTTTCTCCAACAGGAACAAGTTCAGCTGGGAGTGAGGAATGAAAGGCAGGTCCAGCCTTTTCACCATGGTTGCAGCTGGAAGGAAACAAGTGGATTTGACACAAGGTGCTCCATATATATATATATATTTTTTTTTTTTTTTTTTTTTTTGAGACAGAGTCTTGCTCTGTCACCCAGGCTGGAGTGCAGTGGCACAATCTCAGCTTACTGCAACCTCCACCTCCCAGGTTCAAGCGATTCTCCTGCCTCAGCCTCTCAAGTAGCTGGGACTACAGGCGTGTGCCACCATGCCTGGCTAAGTTTTGTATTTTTAGTAGAGATGGGGTTTCACCATGTTGGCCAGGCTGGTCTCGAACTCCTGACCTCAAGTGATCCACCCGCCTTGGCCTCCCAAAGTGCTGGGATTACAGGCGTGAGCCACTGCACCCAGCCTATATATTGTTAATTACTTTTAAACAAGGTGTAGTTGAGGAATCTTCTTCCAACTTCATGACAGAACTATAATGGCCTGTGCAACATTTTCATTAGGACTTCAGGGAAGCTGCAGACTTTTAGAAATTAATGGCTTGATTTTACCAAAAGGAAGATGAAAAAACCCTCTAGAGACTGATAAATGGATGCCATTAAGAGTGTTTGATGAGCTCCACAGTGACACACCCAATTCACTTCCTCACCTATAACAGTAGATTGCCTAATGGCCATTTTGTACAATGTAAAAGTTAAGATTGATCTTATGTTTGGGAAACATTTGTTTCTACAAGAAAACTCTCTTGTTCGTATTGCATCACCATAAATTCATGAAGTTGGTAACTGTGCAATGGTTACATTTTTAGAAAATACATTCTGAAACATTTAGAGGTAGAGGATCCAGAACCTCAGATGGTTCAGATACAGTATGAGAGAGAAAGAGAGAGAGAGAGAGCGAGAGGAAACGCATGTGGGATAAAATATTGATAACAGGGAATCTGGTTAAGGGCATAGAAATGTTTTTCGTTTTTTTTTTTTTTGAAGACAGGGTCTCACTCTCATTGATAGGCTGGAATGCAGTGGCGGCTCACTGCAGCCTTGACCTGCCAGGCTCAAGCAATCCTCTCACCTCAGCCTCTGGAGTAGCTGCGAACACTGGTATGCACCACCACATCAGGTTAATTTTTATATTTTTTCATAGAAATGGGATCTTGCCATGCTGGCCAGGCTGGTCTTGAGCTCCTGGGCCCAAGTGATCCATCTGTCTAGGCTCCCAAAGTGCTGGGATTACCGTTGTGAGCCATTGCACCCAGAGGGCATAGAGATCTTTGTGCTATGTTTATTTTTGTAATATTTTTAAAATTTTGAAATCATGTTTACTATTTGGGTGACAGAATGGACTATTTGGGCTTCCAACAGAAGCCCAAACCTCAGCATCATGCAATATGTCCATGTAACAAACCTGCACATGTACCCCAAATCTAAAATTTATTTATTTATTTATTTATTTATTTAATTTATTTGTTTATTTTGAGATGGAATCTCGCTCTATTGCCCAGGCTGGAGTGCAGTGGCGTGAACACAGCTCACTGCAGACTTGAACTCCTGGACTCAAGTGATCCTCCCACCTCAGCATCCCAAAGTGCTGGGATTACAGGCATGAGCCACCGTGCCCAACCTAAATTTTTTTTTTAAGGAAAAAAATAAAATAAAACTTACCATCATTTCTAAATCAAGTGCTAAACATTAAAAAAGACTCTCTAGGCCAAAAACTAAGAATATACTGATGCTTCTCAAATGGTAACAAGGCACACTGGGAATAGTACTGGCCTACATCCGACATTATTTTTTTATAGTTATTTTAAATAGAAAATACACTTAGACGAGTGAAAACTCTGAACACTATGAAAAGGTAGGTACTGAGAACTGTCATTCCTTCCCATCCCCATCTACTCCGTTGCCTCTCACACTCTACAGGTAACCATATTTATTCATTTCTGATTTCTCTTTCCAGTGATTACTTATGCAAATACAAACAAATATGAATATATATTATTCCCCTCCCTCCTTTTTACACAAAAGGAGGCATGCCGTACACACCATTCTGTGCTTTGGTTTGGTCACCTAGCAGTATATGCTGTAGTCTCTTCAGCCTGACATCCTTTTAGGATGTCATCCCTGCCTGTAGAAAAGTGAACATGATTGCTGCTTCTATTTATTCACACAGAGAGTGTGCCCAAGCCTGATACCTGGCTCTGGATTAAATGAACTGTGCTTTGTATTTGCACTTCACAGCTGGCTAGAAAAGTCAACTCCTACAATTGTCAAAGGTCAAGTTCAGAATGTCTAGACACTTTCTTAAATATTCCGACTTGTTTTGAACTTCAAGGAAAAATGAAACTTCAAATATTTTTCTTGAAAGAACACAGAGAAGATGGGCTGGCCACAGAGTTTACTTACATTTTCATGATTCCTTTTTTAAATGCTTCACTCGGGGAATTTTCAGACAATCTTTGTTTTGTATTCCTGCCCTTTGTTATACATGGCTGCAACCCAGAACTGTCAGAGGAGATTAAGTTTATAAAAGAAGAGTTTCTACATTTTTGAAATATTTTGACTAAGTGAAATCATTTTTTTTTCTATCTGCAATGCAATTCAGCTCAGTTCGACAGATATTTACTGGGCCTTGTGCAAACCACTGAGCTTTAATAGATGAATGAGACATTGCTCCTGGCTTCAGGTGAACACAAATAATGTCTCTTTACTGTGGAAACTGCTATGGTACACAAGCAGGCACAGGCTGCTAGAGGAGGACAAAAGAAGAATGCTGAGCTCTGCCTCATTAGAGAAAATGAGCTAAGTCATGAAGACCAGTAAAAGCTGAGCAGAAAAAGAAGGGCAGGAGCAGCAGAAGCAAAGGTCATGAAGTTTCATGAACACGCAAAGGTAACTACTATAGGTGGGAAAGTAGCAAACTGTTTGAGCATCATTAGAGTCCACAGCAGGAGACACAGCTGCAAAAGGGAGAGCCTTGTATGGCCTGCCAGGGAGTTTGGACTTGAATCTAAGCAGTGGTTAAAGAAAGGACCTTGGTCAGGTTTCCTTTTAGAAGGCTTGTCTTGGCTTTGATATGGAGGATGAATACGGGAAGGGATAAATCTATAGGCGGAGAGCCATAGAGGCCAAAAGGAGGCGTATATTAGAAAGGTTTGGGCAGCAGACACTGCAGGGCTTGATGATTGCTGGTCTGTGAGTGGGAGGAGTCCAGGAGGATCCTTGGTCCTGACTCGTGTGACTCAGGGAATGATGGTGCCATTTATTTATTTATTTATTTATTTATTTATTATTTTATATCTTTATTTATTTATTTGAGATGGAGTCTTGCTCTGTCACCCAGGCTGGAGTGCAATGGTGCGATCTCGGCTCACTGCAATCTCTGCCTCCCAGGTTCAAGTGATTCTCCTGCCTCAGCCACCCGAGCAGCTGGGATTACAGGCGCGTGCCACCATGCCCAGCTAATTTTTGTATTTTTAGTAGAGGCGGGGTTTCACCATGTTGACCAGGCTGGTCTCGAACTCCTGACCTCTGGTGATCTGCCTGCCTCAGCCTCCCAATGTGCTGGGATTACAGGCATGAGCCACCACACCCGGCCGACGGTGCCATTAAATGAATCAGGGAAACACAGCAGAAGGAGGGAGAGGATGATGGGGTCTGTTTGAGTCCTGTTGAATGTGAGGGTAGCAGGCAGATGCAGCTATGAATCTGATGATCAGAGGCGAGTTCTGGTATGAAAAATACGTATTCAAGCATTATACTAGTTTCCTGAGGCTACTGTAACAAATTACCATAAATTTAGTAGCTTAAAACAACATAAATTTACTCTGTTATGATTCTGGAAGTTAGAAGTCTAAAATTAGTCTCACTAAGCTAAAGTCAAGGTGTCAGCAGGGCTGGTTCCTTCTGGAGGCTCTAGGAGAGAATCCTTTTCCTTCTCTGCTCCGAGAGACTGCCTGCATTCCTCAGTTTCTGGCCCTTAATCCATCTTCAAAGCCAGGAGTGCAGCGTCTTGCTTCTGTTGTCGCATAGCTTTCTTCTTCTGTAGTCATGCCTCCCTCTGCCTCCCTTCTATCAGGACACGTGTGATTACATTGCACAGATAATCCAGGATAATATTCCCATCTCAAGATCACAATTGCACATTTTGCTTGATAAGGTATTATTCACAGGTTCCAGAGATTAGGACCTGGACATCTTTGGAAGCATTATTCAACCTACTATGTGTTGATAGCATAAAGTTAGTGAGAGTAGATACAACCGATGAGGTGAATGTGTATGGAGAGAAAAGCATGAGATCAAGACCAGAACACTAGAAACACCAAAGTTAAGAGAGTGAGCATTGGACTAGGCATGGTGGCTCATGCCTGTTACCCCAGCACTTTGGGAGGCCGAGGTGGGTGGATCGCTTGAGCCCAGGAGTTTGAGACCAGCCTGGGCAACACAGTGATACCCTATCTTTACAAAGAAAATAAACAAAATTAGATGGGCATGGTGGCATGTGCCTATAGTCCCAGCTACTTGGAAGGCTGAGGTGGGAGGATCACTTGAACCCCAGTGGTTGAGGCTGCAGTGAGCCAAGATCGTGCCACTACCCTCCAGTCAGGGAAACAGAACAAGACCCTGTCTCAAAAACTAATAATAATTGACTGGGCGCGGTGGCTTACGCCTGTAATCCCAGCACTTTGGAGGCCAAGGTGAGTGGATCACTTGAGGTCAGAAGTTGAAGACCAGCCTAGCCAACATGGTGAAACCCGTCTCTACTAAAAATACAAAAAATTGGCTGGGTGCAGTGGCTCATGCCTGTAATCCCAGCACTTTGGGAGGCCGAGGCGGGCAGATCGCGTGGTCAGGAGATCAAGACCATCCTAGCTAACACGGTGAAACCCTGTCTCTTCTAAAAATAGAAAAAATTAGCTGGGCATGGTGGCGGGCGCCTGTAGTCCCAGCTACTCGGGAGGCTGAGGCAGAAGAATGGCATGAACCAGGGAGGCAGAGGTTGCAGTGAGCCAAGATTGTGCTACTGCACTCCTGCCTCGGTGACAGAGCAAGACTCCGTCTCAAAAAAATAAATAAATAAATAAATAAATAAAATAAAATAAATAAAAATAAAAATACAACAAATTAGCTGGGCCTGGTGGCGCATGCTTGTAATCCCAGCTACTCGGGAGGCTGAGTCAGGAGAATTGCTTGGACCTGGGAGGCGGAGGGTGCAGTGAGCTGAGATCGTGCCATTGTACTCCAGCCTAGGTGACAAGAGCAAAACACCATCTCAAATAATAATAATAATAATAATTTTTTAATGAGTGAGCATTGGAAGAAGGAACCCAAAGAAGATGGAGAAGGAAGGCTGACCAAGGAGAGCACCAGGAAAGAACTGGTGTCATGGAGGGGAAGAATGGAGAGTTACAGGGAACAGTGGCAGGTGACATTTAGTAAACCACTTAGAGGTCCCTGGGCGTCTTTTCCATGGCGGTGTCAGTGAAGTGCAAGGGGTAGAAATCAGATGGCAGCAAATAACAGTCATGGTAATGGGGACAGATAGACAACCTTTTCAACAAGCTGGCTAAGAAGAAAAGAAAAGAGGCATGATGGCAACTAGAAAGAAATGCGGACTCAACAAGGGAAGCGATTTTGTGTTGTTCTGCTTTGTTTCTAAGAAGACGTGAGTTTGGAGCATGTTGGTAGGCTGAAAAGAAAGAGCCCATGGATTGGGAGAGGCTAAAGATTTATGCGGGAAAGACTCACTGAGAGAACAAGTTTCCAAAAGCAGCTGATGGGTAGGAATTCAAAAGCGCAGATCAGTGAAATTTAAAATATGCCTATCCTTTGATGCAGTTTCTCAGAATTTGTCTTCCAAGAAAAAAAAATTTTTTAAACTTATACAAATGTTCACATAAGGAGGAAAAATTGTATAAAATTGTTCAAAGGCAAAGAGATAGATGTACGTACAGGAGTATTCAATGCAGTATCACCAGCAAAAGGGAAAATTTGAAACAATTCACATGTCTATCAGAAAAGATTAGTTAAGCTATGGATTACAGAATCACTTTAAAGTCTTGCGGTGGAAAGATCTCCCTCATAGTATATGATTTCCAGACATAATAAAAGTTGATAACAAAAGTATACAGCCTCTATAGACTCCACAAATAAGTCTGGAAAAAAAAACAGTTCTAGTCTACCTAATATATTTAAAAACTCCTTCAAATTCTTTTTTTTTTTTTTTTTGGAGACAGAGTCGCCCTCCATCCCCCAGGCTGGAGTGCAGTGGCATGATCTCGGCTCACTGCAACCTCTGCCTCCTAGGTTCAAGTGATTCTCCTGCCTCAGCCTCCCAAGTAGCTGGGATTACAGGCACCCACCACCACACCCAACTAATTTTTTGTATTTTTAGTAGAGATCGGGTTTCACCATGATGGCCAAGATGGTCTCAAACTCCTGACCTCAAGGGATCCACCAGCCTTGGCCTCCCAAAGTGCTGGAATTACAGGCGTGAGCCACCATGCCAGCCCAAATTCATTTTTTAAAATAACAGCCTAATAGAAAATATGGGCAAAAGCTAGAAACTGGCATTTCATAGATAACAAACTTGAACAGCAAATATATATATATATTTTTTTTAATAATCAATCTCATTAAGAATGAAAGCTATGTAAATGAGATCTTTCACTTTGTCAATAAGGTTAAGAAAAATTAGAAAGATTAATATGTGTTGTTGGTAAGGCTATAGAGAAAAAAACAGTCCAATGCTGATTGATGGAGCCTAAACATATACAACATTTGTAGAGAGCAATTTGGAAGTGTTTATCAAATTCATTTTATTTGTATAAAAATAAAAATATTTATGGGGTACAAGTGTAATTTTGTTACCTACAGAGATTGTGTAGTGGTGAAATCAGGGCTTTTAGGGTATCTATCACCCAGAGTCACAATATTAAATGTACCTTTTCAGTCAGCAATTCTACTTCTAAGAATCTGTCTATACATTCACAAGAAATTATGAACCAGTATTTATTTTACCTGTTCATACTTTTTTACATGCTGGAACAGTGAAAAATTGGACATGACCTGATTGTTCATTAAGAGAAGAACAGTTAAATACATTATATAGAAAGTATGTAATGGAATACTGGGCAGCTATTAAAAAGAAAGAATTAGATCTAGATGTAGTAAGTTACAAAGAAATGGATTTACCTGAGGTCAGGAGTTCCATACCAGCCTGACCAACATGGAGAAACCCCATCTCTACTAAAAATACAAAATTAGCCAGATGTGGTGGCGCATGCCTGTAATCCCAACCACTCAGGAGGCTGAGGCAAGAGAGTCGCTTGAACCCGGGAGGCAGAGGTTGCAGTTATCCGAGATTGCGCCATTGCACTCCAGTCTGGGCAACAAGCGCAAAACTCTGACTCCAAAAAAAAAAAAAAAAAATAGGCCAAGAGCGGTGGCTCAGGCCTGTAATCCCAGCACTTTGGGAGGCCGAGGCAGGCGATCACAAGGTCAGGAGATTGAGACCATCCTGGCTAACACAGTGAAACCCCGTCTCTACTGAAAATACAAAAAATTAGCTGGGCGTGGTGGCGGGCGCCTGTAGTCCCGGCTGCTGGGGAGGCTGAGGCAGGAGAATGGCGTGAACCCGGGTGGCGGAGCTTGCAGTGAGCTGAGATCGCGCCACTGCACTCCAGCCTGGGTGACAGAGCAAGACTCCGTCTCGAAAAAAAAAAAAAAAAAAAAAAAGGATTTATAATATTTAAGTAAACAAGAAAAGAAATAGCTACATTCCAGGTATAGCATGATCCCATTTCCAGGAACAAAAACCATTTCTATGTACTAGACAAGGATTTAATAACACACATATCAACATGGATGACTCTCCAATGGATTATGCTAGGGGAAAAAAGCCACGGCTCCATGGTGGCTCAGGCCTGTAATCCCAGCACTTTGGGAGGCTGAGATGAGTGGATAACTTGAGGTCAGGAGTTCAAGACCAGCCTGGCCAACATGGTGAAACCCCGTCTCTACTAAAAACACAAAAATTAGCCGAGTGTTGGTGGCACACACCTGTAATCCCAGCTACTCAGGAGGCTGAGGCAGGAGAATCTCTTGAACCTGGGAGATGGAGGTTGCAGTGAGCCGAGATCGTGCCCCTGCACTCCAGCCTGGGCGACAGAGTGAGACTCGGCTGAAAAGGCTGCACATTGTATGATTCCATTCATATGGCCCTCTAGAAAAAGCGAAACTATAGGAACAGAAAATAGATCAATGGTTGCCAGGGCTGGGAATCAGGGAGCAGGTGACTATAAAGGGACACAAAAAAAGTTTCTTGTTGTTATGGAAATGTTCCGTAACTCAACTGTGGTTTTGGTTGCACAACTATATGTATTTTTACAAATTCGTAGAACCGTACACTACAAATGGTGAATTTTACTGTATGTGAATTACACGTCAATTAACCAGACTTTAAAAAATGTTTGTAGAGATTCCCAGTAAGCTGTTAGTAATAGTTACCCCTTGGAGAATGGGAGTGGGAGTATAAGAAAAAAAGCAGCTTTCATATTTTACACTTCTATATAATATGTATTACTTTTAGTAAGTATATACTGCTTTTTGGCAATTTTTAAAAAGGTTTTAATAAGTGTGACATACTCAATGCATGCAACACTAAATAGCCCTAGAAGACAGTAGATTTACATGTACTGATACATAAAGGCATTCACAATCACTGTTAAGTAGAAAAAGACAACTTGTACAAAAATATACAATCACTGTTATGGAAAAATACAATAAAATTATGTGTACACATATATACTTAGTTGTGTGTGTGTGTGTGTGTGGCATGTGTGTGTGTGTGTGTGTGTGTGGGTAGCCCTGGAGGATGGCTACCAAATATTTAGCAGTAATTTTACAGTATTTACTTTTGGGCAGTGATACCATTGTGGGTTTGTGGAGGAGTGACTTATTTTTAATTTTGGCTTTAGGGTTCTGAGGCTATATCATTTTCATAATCATAAAAAACAATATATTTTTAAAATAGCATAACTGAAGAAATTGATTTGACCAAAAGCAGGACTATCCCATCCTCTGAGAGTGAGGCAAGATCTGTACAGATATAGAAAAGTTAGTAGGTTGGACAGCAGATAGAAGATTCTGTACTTTTGGCCTCAATTTTCTCAACAAAATTAGTCATCTGGTGAGAGTGTAGGGGAATGGGTGTTGGGGGAGTAGGGACTTTCAGGAAGCTGCAAAGGTCTGAAAGTGTTTGTAAGAGGAAAGACAGAGAAAGGCTTTTGAGGCTAAGTGAGAAACCCTGCCTAAGGTCAAGGTTAGAAATGCCCTAGAGGGGCTGGCACAGTGGCTCACGCCTGTAACCCCAGTGCTTTGGGAGGCCAAGGTGGGCGAATCACAGGGTCAAGGGTTCGAGACCAGCCTGGCCAACATGGTGAAACACTGTCTCTACAAAAAATACAAAAAATTAGCCAGGCGTGGTGGTGGGCACCTTTAATCCCAGCTACTCGGGAGGCTGAGGCAGGAGAATCGCTTGAACCGGGAGGCGGAGGTTGCAGTGAGCCAAGACCACACCACAGGACTCCAGCCTGGGCAACACAGCAAGTCTCCATCTCAAAAAAAAAAAAAAGAAAGAAAGAAATGTCCTCAGAGGCCAATGTGTGAGGCGGCCAGGAGGGGTTTCCAGCAAACTGAAGAGGGCAGGATTAATCAAGGTGGGCCCTAGTGCCTCCACCACAGCCCAGTGTCACCATGATCCAAGAGAAGGCAGAAATACAGCTTTGTAGATGAAATTATCCAATTGAAAACATTGTGCACTCCAGCCTGGGCGAGAGCTAGACTCCGTCTCAAAAAAAAAAGAAAAGAAAAGAAAAGATTGATAATTAGTTAAACGTTGTTTCAAACACTATCCAGGCCAAACCAAACTTGGGAGCCCATGGCTGCAAGTAGGGGTGGGAAGGAAAGTGTAGTATGCATGCTTTTTTAATAGAACCCTAGGTCTTTTTTATTCCCCTATTTTTTTTTACAGTCCAACACCTTTTAACCCACTGATGCTTATTTGGGGCAGAGGGTGAGATACAGTTCAGAACAACAAAAAAAGTCATTGAGGTCAGGTACGGTGGCTCGCGCCTGTAATCTTAGCACTTTCGGAGGCTGAGGTGAGAGGATCACTTTAGCCCAGAAGTTCAAGACCAGCCTGGGCAACATAGTGAGACCCTGTCTCTATTATTTTATTTTATTTATTTATTTATTTATTTAGAGATGGAATCTTGCTGTGTTGCCCAGGCTGGAGTGCAGTGGTGCAGTCTTGGCTCTCTGCTACATCCACCTCCTGTTCAATCAATTCTCCTACCTGAACCTCCCAAGTAGCTGGGATTACAGGTGCACACCACCACGCCCAGCTAATTTTTGTATTTTTAATAGAGACGGGGGTCTCACCATGCTGGTCAGGCTGGTCTCAAACTCCTGACCTTAAGTGATCCACCCACCTCGGCCTCCCAAAGTGCTGGGATTACAGGTGTGAGCCACCGCACCCAGCCTATTATTTTAAAAAAGAATTTTATATAATATAAAAAAGAAGAAGAAAAGAGTCATTGATCAATTATGATGTTCAAAATAGACCTTTCTTAAAAGAACATAGCAGAAACATTAGGTTTGAATTCAAGCTTTCAATGGCAAGAATCAGGTTTGCTTATTCATTTGTTTGTTTTTTTGTTGTGAGATGGAGTTTCACTCTTGCTGCCCAGGATGGAGTGCAATGGCGAGATCTCGGCTCACTGCAATCTCCGCCTCCCAGGTTCAAGTGGTCCTTCTGCCTCAGCCTCCCGAGTAGCTGGGATTACAGGCATGCCCCATCACACTCAGCTAATTTTGTATTTTTAGTAGAGGCGGAGTTTCTCCATATTGGTCCGGCGGGTCTCCAACTCCCGACCTCAGGTGATCCATGGGCCTCGGCCTCCCAAAGTGCTGGGATTATAGGCGTGAACCCGGCCAAGAGTCAAGTTTTTAAGAGAAAAAAGAGTTTCCTGCATTCTAAAAATTTCTTCTTAAATATCTAGAACAGGAACCTGGCTCTTTAAGAGCCCTTAGGAGAACAAGTTCTGCAAAATATAGACCCAATTTTCCATCAAGGGAAGAATTTGACCAGTTGGGTGGAAGGGGCACTCAGAGAGGAGGAAGGGGTGTTACACAGGAGAGTGAGGCTGGGCTCAGTGGCTCACACCTGTAATCTCAGCACTTCAGGAGGTGGAGGAAGGAGGACCATCACTTGAGGCCAGGTGTCCAAGACCAGCCTGGAGAACACAGTGAGAACCTGTCTCTACAAAAAAATTTTAAAAGATAGGAGAATGACTCCTAAATCCCTTAGCTAGGTCTGAAGGCATGCAGGGAGGGGAGGGGCTTATGATCTGCTTCCCTCTTGAATCCCTGGGAGGAAGCCATCTCCTCCACACTCCTTGCCAGCCATGGGCAGCTGCACTAGAGTAGCAATCTGAGCAGGACAGGTCTAGACAGAGAGAGGGCCCGAGCTAGCCTCTCCTTTCATAAGCCTCTCTGTCTCAAGAGGCCGAGAGGGTACTGAATTTCAGGCCTTGGAGGAGGTGGAGAAGAGGAGGTGAGAGGGCTAGCCTGCAAGCCAAGGGTCACCGTGGTGAGGGATGAGAGGACCTTGTGGCTGAGGGCTTTAGGGTGGACTGTCTGGTTGGTGGCAAACTTAGGGAAGTGTGTGTGTGGCAGGTGCAAGCTGAGGTGGGCTGCAATCCTACCACATTTGGAACAAGCAATAGAAACAAGCATTTCAGGTGATTCTGAGGCATGCTAAGATAGGGCATGACCGAACTTGGTTTGCCTGGCTGTGCTGTGGGAAACAAGTGTGCAGCAGGGATGTGGATATTTGTAAAATAATGCTTCCAATTACCCAGTGAACAGACTAAACCCACACTTGGGGTACCAACGAGGGGGAACTCAAAATTGAAAAAAAAAAATTAAGAACACAGTATTCTCCCCACTCCTCCCTACCCTGCCTCTGAAGAACACTAAACTAGTCACCTTGAGAACCAAATAAGAAATTGGACTTATACTTTTGGAATTACCTCTAGAGACAAGGGGTCCAAAATTTTTCAGCACCTAGGGCATCTAGTCTAGCCCTGATTTTTTTTGAGTTTTTAGAGACAGGGTCTCACTCTGTTGCCCAGGCTGGAGTGCAATGGCATGATCATAGTTTACTGCAACTTCCAACTCTTGGGCTCAAACAGTCCTCCCACTTCAGCCTTCTTGTGTAGCTAGGACTACAGGTGCACGCCACCATGACTAGCTAATTTATTATTTATTTATTTATTTTTTTGGCAGAGATGGGGTGTCCCTATGTTGTCCGAGCTGATCTTGAGGTCCTGGCTCCTGGCCTCAAGAGATCCTCCTGCCTCAGCCTCCCAAAGTGTCTGGATTACAGGTGTGAGCCACCAGGTAATCCACCTGTGGATTACAGGTGAGCACCCAGCCTTCCTGATTTTCAAGTGAGTAACTATATACTCTCATCTGGATGAGGTACTCTTATCAGGGATGGGAAATAAAAGGAGGGGTCAACCGGTTACAGTAGGTAGCTAGTCAGGTATGAGCAGGGCAGGAGAGAGCCCCCCGACACACACACCAGGAGTGTTGGGTGACCATCAGGTGATGGTCAGGCTCTTGTTAACTCTCTCGCTAAAGTAATAATTGGTCACACCGGGCACCAGGGAAAGGCCGTCTCCTAATAGATAGAAAATACCTGAAACTGGTGATCAGCAGCTTCCCAATAAGATCTCAGGAGTTGGGCGAGTGGTGAGAAGTAACACAAGACACTGGAAGTATGCCAACATATAAAACCCCAAGTCAAAATGTCAAGCTGTCTTGGTGCTGACAAAATGTCAATGCCCTAGGTGCTGAAAAAATTTTGGACCCCTTGTCTCTAGAGGTAATTCCAAAAGTATAAGTCCAACTTCTTATTTGGACTTCTCTAAATGTCAACCTTCTCTAAATCGTTTTAATGAACTTTCACTCCTGCTCTGAAACTTGCTTTGGTCTCTCCCTCTACCTTATGCCCCTCAGTCCCATTCTTTCTTCTGAGGAGGCAAGAATTGAGGTTGCTGTAGCCCCGTATGGATATGGATACATTCTGCCAGTAACAAAGTATTGGAGGTCTCCATGGGCTCCAAGAGCCCTCAGGGCCACTGGGAGGATGTAAAACAGGGTGTGGCCAGAGCCTCTCTGAGGACAGGCTCTGGGCTATGGCCATGGAGGTGGGTAGCTATGTGGAGCAAGAAAAGGGGACAAAGTTGTTGAAAAGGTCATCAAGGATGAAGCAAGTCATAGGATGGAAAATAGAACCATGAGCCGGGTGCCAAAGTCTTCAGTGAAAGCCAGAGAACTTTCCAGTGCTGAACAGATACTGGATGTGTTCAGTTTACTGAGCCTAACCTTGGACCTTCTACTATTGGACCTTCATCCAATGTAGCCCATAGTCATGTTACATGAAGTAGTAAGTTTATATGAGGGACTAACATAACACTTCCTAACTTGATAAAACTCTGTAAAGTGTGCTAAGGCATGACACATTAGTTATTTTCCTCACATTGGTCAGATTTTAGCAAAATTGGGATTCACATGTGTGATATTAACTCTGTGCTCTACTGTTTCCTGTTAAACACACATATAAATTTCTCCTTTCCCATTTTCCAGCTAACAAAAGGCAACAAGTTATCTTTAGAAAAAAAAATTTTTTTGTTATACTTTAAGTTCTGGGATATATGTGGAGAACATGCAGTTTTGTTACATAGGTATACACGTGCCATGGAGGTTTGCTGCACCCATCAACCCGTCACCCATATTAGGTATTTATCCTAATGCTATCCCTCCCCTAGCCCCCCACCCCCCAACAGGCCCCAATGTGTGATGTTCACCTCCCTGTGTCCATGTGTTCTCATTGTTCAACTCCCACTTATGAGTGGGAACATGTGGTGTTTGGTTTTCTGTTCCTGTGTTAGTTTGCTGGGAATGATGGTTTCCAGCTTCATCCATGTCCCTGCAAAGGACATGAACTCATCTTTTTTATGGCTGCATAGTATTCCATGGTATATATGTGCCACATTTTCTTTATCCAGTCTATCATTGATGGACATTTAGGTTGGTTCCAAGATTTTGCTATTGTGAATAGCCCACAATAAACATATGTGTGCATGTGTCTTTATAATAGAATGATTTATAATCCTTTGGGTATATACCCAGTAATGGGATTGCTGGGTCAAATGGTATTTCTAGTTCTAGGTCCTTGAGGAATCACCACACTGTCTTCCACAGTGGTTGATCTAATTTACACTCCCACCAACAGTGTAAAAGCGTTCCTATTTCTCCACATCCTCTCCAGCACCTGTTGTTTCCTGACTTTTTAATGATCACCATTCTAACTGGCATGAGATCATATCTCATTGTGGTTTTGATTTGCATTTCTCTAATGACCACTGATGATGAGCTTTTTTTTCATGTTTGTTGACTGCATAAATGTCTTCTTTTGAGAAGTGTCTGTTCATATCCTTCACCCACTTTTTGATGGGGTTGATTTTTTATTTCTTGTAAATTTATTTAAGTTCTGTTTTTTTTTTTTTTGAGACAGAGTCTTGCTGTGTCACCCAGATTGGAGCACAGTGGAGCAATCTTGGCTCACTGCAACCTCCACCTGCCCGGTTCACACCATTCTCCTGCCTCAGCCTCCCAATTAGCTGGGACTACAGGCGCCCACCACCAATCCTGGCTAATTTTTTTGTATTTTTAGTAGAGACAGGATTTCACCATGTTAGCCAGGATGGTCTGGATCTCCTGACCTCGTGATCCACCTGCCTTGGCCTCCCAAAGTGCTGGGATTACAGGCGTGAGCCACCGTGCCTGGCCACTGTTTAAGTTCTTTGTAGATTCTGGATATTAGCCCTTGTCAGATGGCTAGATTGCAAAAATTTTCTCCCATTCTGTAGGTTGCCTGTTCACTCTGATGATAGTTTCTTTTGCTGTGCAGAAGCTCTTTATTTTAATTAGATCCCATTTGTCGATTTTGGCTTTTGTTGTCATTGCTTTTGGTGTTTTAGACATGAAGTTGAAGGGGCCATTCACGGTGGTTCACACCTGTAATCCCAGCAGTTTGGGACGTCAAGATGGGTGGATCACCTGAAGTCAGAAGTTCAAGACCAGCCTGGCTGATGTGGTGAAACCCCTTCCCTACTAAAAATATTAAAAAATTAGTCAGGTATGGTGGCAAATGCTTATAGTCCCAGCTACTCGGGAAGCTGAGGCAGGAGAATCACTTGAACCCAGGAGGTGGAGGTTGCAGTGAGCCGAGATCACACCACTGCACTCCAGCCTGGGTGACAGAGAGAGACTCCGTCTCAAAAAAAAAAAAAAAAAAGTTGAAAGTAGGCACAAGCTGCCAGGGGAGCCAATTCTGTGCATTTTTTATTTGACATTGCAGTAAAAGCTTGCAGAGAAAGCTTTCTACTCAACATCAGTGTCTTTTTTCTTTTAAGTCTCCAGAGAAAATGACTAACCAGGAAAGATTTTTTTTAAACTTGTTTTCATTTTCCCTGGGCCAAACTAAGTATTCCTGAGAGAAAACAAACCTTCCCAAGGAATCCAGACTTGGCTCATGATATCTAATACTGAGTGAATTAACATTTTTTTCCTACCAAGGGGAGTAGAAAACAGCCTATAAGAGAATTCATGTTGGTTCCTAGTTAATCTTTAGCTTTACAGTGAGTTAAGCTGTCTTTTCTCCTTAATGATTTAAGTATCCCATACTAAGCTTTCCTGTCAAATAAACTAAAAGTCTGGTTTTATTCTGTTTGGAAGTTTGTAACTAAATATTTATCTATGGTCTGAAGAAAGAGGGAAAAGTCAAGTCGGTTGTGATAGAAAGTGTTTCCACACCCATCAGCAGAAAGTGTTGAAAATGGTGCTATAGTTATTGCTCTAGTAAATGCTCAAGTCTGCCAATGAAGGAGGATTTATTTGTTTTTCCAACAATGCCCACTTAATTTTCTCTAATTTTTCTTCTACTTTGCTAATCAAGGCTTCAGCATGATCAGAGACTGCATTGGATCTAATCTAGAAATCTGTGGGGTGAGGGAAGCCCTTGAAAGCAAGCAGTGGCGGTCCTTGATAGAATGGAGTGAGTCCTCAATTATCTATGTAGCTAGAAAGGGAAAGGTTAGTGAAGAAAACCGCAGATAATATAGAAATCCTTTTTATTTCTTTTGGCTTCTCATACACACACACACACACACACACACACACACACACACACACACGTTTATATCACACAGCAATGTGCCATGGTTGCAGGTTGTTTACCGGGTCCGGAGGAGGATTTTGCCAGGACTGCTTTCCTTTCTCCTTGGAATCTTCAGAGAGGGGAGAGAGGGTTGTGTTGGGATTTGGGGGTTCTTCGGGTGAACTTGAGAGAACTGCTAAGTTCTCTTGAGTAGAAAGGTTTATATTACACTTTAAACCAGGTAAATTATTTTCCTATTGTTGCTGTAACCAATTGCCACAAATATAATGGCTTTTAAAAACACACATATTGGATATCTTACAGTTCTGGAGATCAGATGCCCAAAATGGGTCTTGCAGGCTAAAATCAAGGTGTTGGCAGGTCTGTGTTCCTTTCTGGAGGCTCTAGAAGAGGATCTATCTTCCTGCCTTTTCCAGCTTCTAGTGCCACATGCATGCCCCATTTTCTTTTCTTTCTTTCTTTTTTTTTTTTTTTTTTTTTTTTGAGACAGAGTCTTGCTCTGTCTCCCAGGCTGGAGTGCAGTGGTGCAATCTTGGCTCACTGCAACCTCCACCTCCCAAGTTCAAGCAATTCTCCCACCTCATCCTCCTGAGTAGCTGGGATTACAGGTGCACATCCCCATGCCCAGCTAATTTTTGTATTTTTAGTAGAGATGGGGTTTCACCATGTTGGCCAGGCTGGTCTCAAGCTCCTGACCTCAGGTGATCTGCCCGCCTCAGCCTCCCAAAGTGCAGGGATGACAGGCGTGAGCTGCCGCCCTGGCCTCATGCCCCCATTTCCAACAAGCATCACTCCAACTCCTGCTTCTGTTATCATGTGTCCTTCTTCTGACTTTGATCCCCTTGTCCCTCTTCAAAGGACACCCGTGAATAAAGCAGGCCTACTGGACAATCTGTATAATCTTGCCATGTCAACATCTTAATTTAATCATGTTAGCAAAGTCTCTTTTGCCATGGAAGGTAACATAGTCACAGATTTCAGGGCTAAGAACGTAGACATTGTTCAGGCTACCACACCAAGACCAGCCAGGTTTTCTCAAACCTGGGGCTGATCCTGGTCTTCAGTCACCAGAGCAAGTTTAACCTGGGCTAGGGCTTTTAGGGGTTCAGGCTACCGCAGCACACCATAGCACCTTCTGCTAGGTCCTTCACCCACTTCATGGCCTGCTTCTGGCTCTAATGCATCCAAGCAGCTGGAATGTAATTAAGCAGCTGTGGGAAAGAGCTCTCAAGTCACTGCAAAATACTTGTAGCCTCAGCGTAATAGATATGGTGAATAAGCATAAAGGGCAACATAATGAAAATGTATTTCTATTTTTGTCTCCCACTGTCTTTTTTTTTATTATTATTATTTTTCTCAGATATTTACTCTGAGAACCTGGTTGACCTCCAGCAGGTAAAATTCACAAAAGTAACTGGGTCCCTCTGGAGTTTTCTTCTCAGACTTGTTCACACTGAGCCTCCAGCAGGTCATCAATTACAGTTCTGGTTTCCCTGCCTGGCATAGGTTCCACTGTCTTTTTAAAACTTGTTCAGGGAAGGGGTGATCCTGCCCCTGCCTCCATGAGTGTAGGCCTCAACTGGGAGCACTGTTAATATTTCAAGCAGGAGAGTTCTTGGGTTACTGGGATATCGAGCATCTCAGGCCCTTGTCCTCTAAATGCCAAGAGTATCCTCCCTGCCAATCATTGTGTCAATCAAAACACACTCCAACATATTTCTGAATGATCTCTAGGGAGGTGGTACTGCCAGAAAACCTGGGCAGCCCCATGACTTCGTTCATTCTCAGGTCCTCAGGGAGTAATTGTTTCATGGTCCCAGCAGGTCTTTACTCAGCCATTAGAATACCTGATCCAGTGTGAAACCCAAAACTCCCAGGGGTTTAGGGCTGCTGTTGGGGAATATCCGCAGGAGGGAAGGGAACTTTCAAAGTTAGCCCACTCCCTCATCCCTGCTTACTCACCTGAGTGGGCAAAACTGGGGAAACGGAATCAGAGAAGTTTCTGAGTTTCTTATTGATGGCTTGATCACAAACCACTTTTTCTTTTGTGGAAAGTTTTGTGGGTTTTTAGAGTCCCATCACTGAGAATGCATCCACCCTCAAGGCCATGCCTGCTTGACCCCTGGTTCCGTGGTACCCCACCCCATCCCACACACAGGCCTCACCCCCCTCTAGGGTAGGGAGTTCAGAAGTCAGGACACTACTTCTTCATTCTGCGTATGGCAGCCCAGAGGCTCACTTTGGAATATCACATCTATTGCAGCTTGTTACCTAGTGGAAACTTCCATTTTAACATTCTATTGTAGTCAAGAATTAAGATAATTATTTCAAAACAAATCATTTACAGCTGATTCTTCCATGACTGAGGACCTCTGGGTGTCTGAGTTTCCACAGCATTGTCAAGTACATACAACTCACTTTTATAAGCTAATAACTTTCCAAACTGAATTTTGAAGACAATACTTGAAATGCCCTTTTGTCTGGAAGAATGTGTAAGACATTTTTTTTCTCCAGTTTTGACTCTGTTCTCATTGTGATGAATTCTGAAAGCTTTCTTAACCTTGCTGCTTTATTTTCCAGTCCCCTCAAAATGGAGGTTTGGGGACCCACAGGTAACTTCTCATTCATGTTGTTTTCTGACTTTAAAAAAGCATTTTAAAATGTTTGGAACATAGAAGAGTGAATGACTCAAATCTGATGAAAATATAATGACCTGTTTTGCTTCTACATGTAGCATTTCACTGCTTACAACACATCTACACATAGATTTTCTTTTTTGATTTTCTTTTTAGATTTTCTTTTTTGAGGTAAAGAGCAGGCAAGTCCTATTTTATAGATGAAGTGTTCACAGTGGACAAATAAGTAGGTATTATTATCATCCCCAAGAAACTAAGGCTCAGAAAAGTTAAGCAATTTACCCAAAGTCACACAGCCAGTAAGTGTGCCCTCAAGATACATGCCCTTCTTGCTGTGCCATACATCTAGCCTTCTCTCTTGAACTAGAACCTGATCAGTTGCTCATAAAACACTTTAATATTCACCCTATATGGGAAAGGAAAGGTTTGGGTCTGTCTGTTTTATTGAATGTTAATGCCAGCAGAAAGCCAGATGGCCAAAAGGAGTAGTCTTTTATGGTTCTCAATTTTGGCATTGAAGGGCAAGTGAAAAGGAACATGAATTTGAGGAAATAGCAGTGCAAGTCTTCCCACGAGGCATCACAGGTCTTTGTGAAATGAGTACTTTGGGACCAATCAAGCCAAGATAAACACTGAATCATTTCAAGTGAGACAAACACAATCCCCGTGTCTCTATTTTGCTAATTAGGAGCCCAGAGCACAAAGCTCACAGGACTGGTGGTGTCAGATTAAATTCTGGAGCATTCCCATAAACATTTCCAGAGACCTCCCCTGCCCTTTGTCAACTGCACATTAAACAGCTTTCTCAGCCCAAGGGGCCTCTTCCTTTGCAGACCTCCTGCTGGGTGAGACCTTCTACCGAGGATTTCTCTCTTTACCTTTAGTTTTTGGAAAGCCCTTAGCTCCATTTGTTACAGTTATGTTCTGCCTGAGTACTCAGACTTCCCCTAGTCCTTTGTACCTGAAGTTTTATAGCTCTTCTTCACTCTTCTACCCTGTCTAGCACTTCATAAAGCTGTGTTCTTTGTTGCCTTTATGTACATTCAAATACTACTACTATCCAGGCTTTATAAATCACTGAGTTGTGGAAACCAACTGTGTAATGCACATTCAGATGATGATGTTTTACTGGTCACAGGAGATTCTTAAGGGCAAAGTATTTAGCATTAGCACCCAAAGTGGCAAAGACTGGTTAATACTACTCAGAGGACCCTATCTAAGAGATTGAGGTGGTGATTATAATGGGGAAGAAGTAAAAAAAAGACAAGGTAAGCTTCAAATATCCACAATTCCCCACAAGGAAACCTCTCTTCTCTGAGCTCTATAACATCACTTCAAAGCAATTTTACAGCATAAATTATTCTGGTCAGTATGATAATAATAACGTCATGCCCTTCAGAGCAATTGATGATGGAGTTTTTCCCTGGGATCATGGAAAAACTCATCCCCAGTGGCTATTCACCATCAAAGTGGGTAATATACAGACTTGAGGTTTACAGAAGCAGGTCTGCATTATCCAGGGATGGAGTTCACGCCAACCTGAGTAGCGGCTCTTTCAGGTTGTCAGCGAAAAAAGCTTAAATATCCTGTTTTCAAATTCCAACAGTACCTAACCCGTCCACGTTGTTGGGGTTGCTGCCAGCTGAGGACAGCTGGTTCACCTGATTGGACCTGAAAGGTGCTTTCTTTCCTATCAGCTTAGCCCATGAGAGGCAGAAGCTGCTTGTCTTTCAGTGGGATGATCCGGAGTCAGGTGTCACTAGTCAGTACACTTGGACCGGGCTTCCCCAAGGGTTCAAGAACTCCCCCACCATCTTCGGGGAGGCGTTGGCTCGAGACCTCCAGAAGTTTCTCACCAGAGACCTAGGCTGCATGTTGCTCCACGAGGTTGATGACCTTCTGCTGGGACACCCCACTACAGTGGGGTGCGCCAAGGGAACAGATGCCCTACACCAGCCCATGGAGGACTGTGGGTATAAGGTGTCCAAGAAGAAAGCTCAGATCTGCTGACAGCAGGTACGTTACTTGGGATTTACTATCCGACGGGTCGGAACACAGCCTGGGATCAGAAAGAAAGCAGGTCATTTGCAATCTATCGGAGCCTAAGAGCAGAAGGCAGGTGAGAGAATTCTTAGGAGCTGTGGGGTTTTGTTGACTGTGGATCCCAAACTTTGCAGTAATAGCCAAGAATTTGTATGAGGTCACAAATGGGGTGGGGACTGGGAAACTTTGGAATGGGGATCCCAACAACAGCAAGATTTTCATGAGTTAAAGGAAAAACTTCTGGCAGCTCCAGCCCTGGGGCTACCTGATCTGCCAAAGCCTTTTCCATTGTATGCATCAGAGAGAGAAAAGATGGCAGCTGGACTTTGAACCCAAACTGTGGGGCCCTGGCTGAGGCCGGTGGCCTACCTCTCTAAACAACTAGACGGGGTTTCTAAAGGATGGCCCCCCTGTTTGAGGGCCTTGGCAGCAACTGCCCTGCTAGGACAAGAAGCAAATAAGCTGACTCTTGGGCAAAACCTGAACATAAAGGCCTCCCATGCTGTGGTGACTTTAATGAATACTAAAGGACATCGTTGGCTAATGAATGCCAGGCTCACCAAGTACCAAACTTTGCTCTGTGAAAATCCCCGTATAACCATTGAAGTTTGTAACACCCTACACCCTGCCACCTTCTCCCGGTATCAGAGAGCCCTGTCGAGCCTGATTGTGTAGAAGTGTTGGACTCAGTTGACTCTAGCAGACCTGACTTCCAGGACCAGCCTTGGGCATCAGTAGACTTGGAACTATACGTGGATGGGAGCAGCTTCTTCAACCCCCAAGGAGAGAGAGGTGCAGGGTGTGCCGTGGTAACCCTGGACACTGTTGTTGAAGCCAGATCGTTGCCCCAGGGCACTTCAGCCCAGAAAGCTGAACTCATTGCTTTCATTCGGGCCTTAGAACTCAGTGAGGGTGAGACTGTCAACATTTACACTGATTCTTGGTATGTCTTTTTAACCCTTCAAGTGCATGGAGCGTGATAGAAAGAAAAGGGCCTATTGAACTCTGGGGGAAAAGACAGAAAATATCAACAAGAAATCTTGCAATTATTAGAAGCAGTATGGAAACCCCACAAGGTGGCAGTTGTGCATTGCAGAGGACACCAGCGAGCTTCCACCTTGCTGCGTTTGGGGAATTCGCGCGCTGCCTCAGAGGCTCGAAAAGCAGCATCTGCCCCCTTCCGGGCATCAGTGCTCCCTCAAGCACTTGATCTTGGACCTACTTCTTCTAAAGAAGAAAAGGACTTTCTCCAGGTAGAGGGAAGGACAAGTGATGCAGGAAGGATGGATTCGGTTACCAGATGGGAGAGTAGCTGTGCCACACTTGCTAGGAGGTGCAGTTGTACTGGCTGTGCATGAAACCACCCATGTAGATCAGGAGTCACTGGAAAAGTTGTTAGGCTGGTATTTGTACATCTCGCATTTGTCAGCCCTTGCCAAAACGGTGAGGTAGTGGTGTGTTACCTGCCGACAGCATAATGCGAGGCAAGGTCCAGCCGTTCCACCCGGCATACAAGCTTACGGAGCAGCCCCCTTTGAAAATCTCCAGGTAGACTTCACAGAGATGCCAAAGTGTGGAGGTAACAAGTATTTACTAGTTCTTGGGCGTACCTACTCTGGTTGGGTGGAGGCTTATCTAACACGAACTGAGAAAGCTCATGAAGTAACCCCTGTGCTTCTTTGAGATCTGATTCCTAGATTTCGACTGGCCTTACGGATCGGCTCAGATAACGGGCCTGCGTTTTTGGCTGCCTTGGTACAGAAGACGGCAAAGGTATTGGGGATCACACGGAAACTGCATGCCGCCTCCCGGCCTCAGAGTTCCAGAAAGGTGGAGCAGATGAATCGGACTATCAAAAATAGTACTATTGTCTTCCCCGCTGGATATTTAAAACAACACCACAAGCAAGGGGCGTCAAACCATCTGCTAAATTTGAGGGAATGTTATCCTCTCCCCACTCCCCTGGCCCCAGATATTAGAGACAATAACACAGGGGTAATGTATACCCACTGCTTTATTGAGAGTAATATCATCCTCTCCCTTCTTGGATATTAGGAACAACATTACATTGTGCGTGAACGCCTGTCCCGAAAATCAATGGAATGTCATCCTGTGCCTCCATGGATATGACGAACAATATCACAGGGGATGTACAACTTCTAAGATATTGGCAGTGATATCATCCTCTCCCCTCTGGAAGTTAGGGACAATATCACAGGGGTAGTGTACAGCCTCTGGGATGTTGGAACTAATATCATCCTCCCGCCCACTGGATATTAAAAACCATATCACAAGGGGCGTGTACACACACTTTGATACTGGTATTAATACCATCGTCTCCCTCTTTGGATAATCCGTGCCATATTTCAGGTGGGGTATACACCACCTGCAATATTGGAAGTAATATGATTTTCTCCACCCCCCGGATATCAGAAACAATATCACAGGGGGGTGTCAACAACCCCTGCGATATTTGCAGTAATATCATAGTCTCCTCTTATGAATATTAAGAACAATATCGTAGGGGTGGGGGGTGTACACCCCCTTTCATATTTGATATCATCCTCTTCCCCCCTGGATATTAGGAACAATATCAGGAAGGGATGTACAGATCCTGCGAACTTTGCTGTCATATAATTGTCTCTCCCCTAGGTATTAGGACAAATGTCACTGGGGATGTGAACAGCCCTGCGATATTGGGAATAGTATCATCCTCTCCACCCTTGCATATTGGGAACAACATCACAGGTGGGGTGTACTGCCTCTGCGATATTGGGAGTAAAATTTTCCTCTCTTCCCCTGGACATTAGGAAGGGTATCAGAGGGGGAGGGTGTACATTCCCTGCGATATTCAATGTAACATTATCCTCTCCCTCCCAGGGTAATCAGAACAATAGGACAGGAGGGATGTACACCCCCTGCGATATTGAGAGTCATATCATCCTCTTTTGCTCTAGATATTAAAAACAATGTCACAGGGTTATGTACACCCCCTGCGACATTGGGAGTAATATCATCCTCTCTCCTTGTAGATATTAGGAAGAGTATCACAGGGCTGTGTAAACCCCCTGCGGTATTGGGAGTAATATCATCTTCTCTCCCTCTGGATATTAGGAAGATTTTCACAAGGGTGTGTACTCCCCCTGCGATATTGGCAGTAATATCATCCTCTCCACCCAGGAAATGACTAAAAGGTCACGGGGGTTGTACTCCCCCTGTGATATTGGGAGTAATGTCGTCCTCCCCAAACCTGGATGTTAGCAACAGGATCACAGAGGGGGTGTACACAGCCTGCGACATTGGAAATAATAATGATCCTCTCCCCACCTGGATATGGGGAAAGATATCACAGCGCGGGTATACATTTCTGACACTGTTGGAAGTAATATCATTCTTTTCATTTCTGGATATTAGGAAGAATATCACAGGGGTGCTGTACAATTACTTCGATATTGGGAGTAATATCATCCTCTATTTTCCTGGATATTGGGCCCAAAAACACAAAAAGGTGTACAAACCCTGCGATATTGGGAGTAACAGCACACTCTCCTTCCCCGGATGTTAGAAAACAATATCATCAGGGCTGAACACCCCCTGCGAAAATGGGAGTCATATTGACTCTTTCACAGGCCATTTGGAACAATAT
Organism: Homo sapiens; assembly: GCF_000001405.40. Lineage (NCBI taxonomy): Eukaryota > Metazoa > Chordata > Mammalia > Primates > Hominidae > Homo > Homo sapiens. Next base: position 158,851,041 of record NC_000002.12, read on the forward strand.
CACAGGGGGTGTTTACAAACAGGGGTGGTGTACACCCCCTGGGATATTGGGAGTAACATCATTCTCTCCACCTCCGGATATTAAGAACAATATCCCGGCAGGAGGTGATACACCCCCAGTGATATTGGGAATAATGTCATCCTCTCCTTCCTGTATTCGGAACAATATCACAAGGGGGTGTACACCTTCCATGATATTGGAAGCAATATCATCCTCTCCCTCGCTGGATATTAGAAAAAAATATCACTCACGGTGTACAACCACTGTGATATTAGGAAGAATATTACAGAGTGTACACCCACTCCGACTTTAGGAGAAATAGCTCCCTCAAATGTCACAAATAATTCCACAGGGTATACACTGATATCTCCCTAGGATATTACAAATACTATCACAGGGTGTACACCCACTGTGATAACAGGAGTGATATCTCCCTAGGATATTACGAGTAACATCACAGAATGTACACCTATGGTGTGCACCCACGGTGACATTAGGTGTAATATCAAACCAGGACATAACCAATAAGACCACAGGGAGTACATACATGATGTACACCGACAGTGATGTTACGAGAACTGTCTCCCTAGGATAATACGAATAACATCGCAGAGTGGACACACATGGTATACACCCACTGTGGCACTGGGACTAATAACTTTCTAAGATATTACAAATAGCATCACAGAATAGAAACACATGGTGTACACCCACTGTAACACAAGGTGTAATTTCTCCCTAGGATATTACGAGTGACATCTCAGTGCGTACACACATGGTAAACACCCACTGTGACATTAAGGGTAATATCCCCCTAGGATATTACCAATAACATCACAGGGTGTCCACCCATGGTGTACACGCTCTGTGATGTTAGGGATAATAACTCCCTAGGATATGATGAATAATACCACAGGGTGTACAGAAACTGTGATATTAGAGGTAATATCGCTCTAGGATATTATGAATAATATCACAGGGTGTACATCCACTGTGATACTGGGAGCAATATCTCTCTAGGATAGTACAAATAATATCACAGAGTGGACACCCACTGTGATGTTAGGAGAAATATCTCTCTGGGATATTACAAATCATATCACAGAGTGTACACACGTGGTGTACATCCACTTTGCTATTAGGAGTAATATCTTCCTAGGACATTACAAATAACATCGCAGAGTGTACACCCACTGTAATATTAGGAATCGTATTTCCCTAGGTGATTACAAATACTATCACAGGGTGTACACCCACTGTGATATTAGGAGTAATATCCTCCTAGGGTATTACAAATAATTTCACAGTCTGTACACACATGGTGTACACTCACTGTGATATTAGGAGTAATATCTACCTAGTGGATAACAAATAACATCGCAGGGTGTACACCCACTTTGATATTAGCTGTAATATTTTTCTAAGTTGTTACAAATAAGATCACAGGGTGTGCAAACATGGTGTACACTCGCTGTGATATCAGGAGTCGTATCTCCGTAATATATTATGAATCATATCACAGGTCGTACACCCACTGTATTATTAGGAGTGATATCTCTGTAGGATATTACAATTAATATCACAGGGTGTAGAGCCACCGTGATATTAGGAGCAATATCTTTCTAGGATATTACAAACAATATCACAGGGTGTACGCTCACTCTGCTGTCAGGAGCAATATCTCCCTAGGATATCAAAAATCCTATCACAGGGTGTACAATCTCTGCCTTCCAGGTTCTAAGGGATTCTCCTGCTTCAGCCTCCCGAGTAGCTAGGGTTACCCGCCAGCACGCCCGGCTAATTTTTTTTTATTTTCACTGGAGACGGGGTTTCACCACGTTGGCCAGGCTGGTCTGGAACTCCTGACCTCAGGTGATCCATCAGCCTCGGCCGCCCAAAGTGCTGGGATTACAGGTGTGAGCCATGGCGCTCGGCCAAGAGTTATATATTAAATTCATTTGGAAACACAGCTCCCATATTTGAGTGTGCATGTACTTCTATGAAGAAATGATGTCAGAAAACCTAAGGATGATAATAAATATGAAAAGTAACAGGCATGTGAAAAGGTGTTCCGATTGAGAACTCTAAGGTTCGATTTCGTTTTTAGATAATGGGGTCCTAGCTCTTGTGTCGTCCTTTTACATATTCTACGTCAAAGGAATTTGTAGCACGGTGTCAGAATAAAACAGAGTGTATTTCACGGCTTCTTAATTTCTTTCAATTAGACTGAGATCTTTTTCTTAAAGAGAGAAGGACATTTTCACTGCATTGTATTTTTTCTGAAAAGAGTAGGCCGTATTTTACTGAGATCACGGATTTGGTCTTCTAATATTCTTCAGTGGATTTTCTCTAAAGTAGTATGTACAGAAAGACTTGTATAGCAAAAAAGTAAACCACGTAATAATTCTGAGATTTTTGGATTTGTCACAACTGAGAAACATTGCTGGCGGTGTATGGTCCGCAAGTGTGAAAATGTTCCTTGTGAGTTGCTCGCATCCAGCATTAAGGGCTGGTTTTTATCTTTTATTTTTCCAATCCTCTTTCCTTCTCAAGGTGTCCAAGACACACGGAGCCACGGAATCTCACAGGTGTCTGAGAATTCCTCCTCCTGGGACTCTCAGAGGATCCAGAACTGCTGCCGGTCCTCGCTTTGCTGTCCCTGTCCCTGTCCATGTATCTGGTCATGGTGCTGAGGAACCTGCTCAGCATCCTGGCTGTCAGCTCTGACTCCCCTCCACACCCCCGTGTACTTCTTCCTCTCCAACCTGTGCTGGGCTGACATCGGTTTCACCTCGCCCACGGTTCCCAAGATGATTGTGGACATGCAGTCGCATAGCAGAGTCATCTCTCATGCGGGCTGCCTGGCACAGATGTCTTTCTTGGTCCTTTTTGCATGTATAGAAGACATGCTCCTGACTGTGATGGCCTATGACAGCTTTGTAGCCATCTGTCACCCTCTGCACTACCCAGTCATCATGAATCCTCACCTCTGTGTCTTCTTCGTTTTGGTGTCCTTTTTCCTTAGCCTGTTGGATTCCCAGCTGCACGGTTGGATTGTGTTACAATTCACCATCATCAAGAATGTGGAAATCTCTAATTTTCTCTGTGACCCCTCTCAACTTCTCAAACTTGCCTGTTCTGACAGCGTCACCAATAGCATATTCATATATTTTGATAGTACTATGTTTGGTTTTCTTCCCATTTCAGGGATCCTTTTGTCTTAGTATAAAATTGTCCCCTCCATTCTAAGGATGTCATCGTCAGATGGGAAGTATAAAGCCTTCACCACCTGTGGCTCTCACCTAGCAGTTGTTTGCTGATTTGATGGAACAGGCATTGGCATGTACCTGACTTCAGCTCTGTCACCACCCCCCAGGAATGGTGTGGCGGCGTCAGTGATGTACGCTGTGGTCACCCCCATGCTGAACCTTTTCATCTACAGCCTGAGAAACAGGGACATACAAAGTGCCCTGCGGAGGCTGCGCAGCAGAACAGTGGAATCTCATGATCTGTTCCATCCTTTTTCTTGTGTGGGTGAGAAAGGGCAACCACATTAAATCTCTGCATCTGCAAATCCCGCCCCTTAGTCACATTCTTTTTGTGGCTTGATGGCTTTTATTCCTTTCTGCATTTCCTTTGTGAATATTGCTTTCTTCGTTATGCCTTTAACTGGAATGGGTCAGTATTCTGGGATCCTCTGTTTAGCAGGAACCTCATGACAGAATCCTCTATACCTAGGCGGCCTCTTTTAGTTTCTGAGCAATAACCCTGTCATCCAGGTGGAATCACAACCATCTTTTTATATACACGAAGTCCTCTCTTCATTTTGGAATTCCCTGAAGACTGACTTTATGGAAACAATGTACAGGAGGTCCTCCAACACCACTGGTTGTTCAAAGTTGTGTAGTTATACTGTTGATGAAAAATAAGTGGTTTCACTATACATCATTTTGCTTCAAGGTGAAGTTTCCAAGAGACTTTCAAAGATGTTAAGTGAGGACATACTGTAAATCAAATTCATATCCTCTTCCAGAGTTCATGTGGAATTTCTTTATAAACTGCTTCTAGAGAATCGATTTAGGCAGGTTACGTGTAGAGATCCAGGTCGCCATTCCTCAATCTTGGCTTTGAGTCAAATCACCTGGGGAGCTTACAAATGGTGAGGCCTGGGTCTCAATACCTGAGATTCTGATTTCCTTGCACCTATGTGAGTATGTGGATTTTTTTTTTCTTTTAAACCACCGGAGGTGGTTCCAAAGACGAAGTTTTCAGAGGCATCAAGCTCCAATGAGTAAGAACAGAAATTAATTGTGATATGATTTCCTCATATATTACCTTCAAATGCGTTGTCCATCAACAGCATACAAATGTTTATTATGCTGTTTTTTCTTACCATTTCGCATTTTCTATTTCTTTCTTTTCCTTTCTTTTCTTTTTTTTTTTTTTTTCAAGTCAGAGTTTCACTCTTGTTGCCAGGGCTGGGGTTCAATGGCAAGGTCTCGGCTCACTGTATCCTCTGCCTCCCGTATTAAAGCAAGTCTCCTGTCTCAGCCTTCCAAGTAGCTGGGATTACAGGCGTGCGCTACCATGCCCGGCTAATTTCTTTTTTTTTGTATTGTTAGTAGAGACAGTGTTTCTCCGTTTTGGTCAGGCTGGCCTTGAACTTCCGACCTCAGGTGATCCGCCCGCTTCCGCCTCCCAAATTGCTGGGATTACATGTGTGAGCGACCGCGCCCAGCCACCACTTAGCATTTACATTTTACATTTGTTGAAGTTATAGATTTATACACACATTGATTGCTGCTTTGTTATACACTTGCATATACCTAAGATGGGAAATAGAAAAGAATAAAATGGGCACAGTATCCCTGAAGTTTCACATTCCGAGACATTTTAAAAATATTTGCTCTTTAGAAATTTGTTTCAGTTAAGGAACTGTGGTATACACACCCAATGAAGTATTATTCAGCCTAAAAAGGAAGAAAATCCTCTCTGCTGCAGACAAAATGGATGAGACTGCGTGTCTGTATATTAAATGAAAGAAGCCAGGCACAGAATGACAAATATTTCATGTCCTCACTTCTATGTAGAAAGAAAAAAGGAAACCTTGGCCAGGTGTGGTGGCTCAGGCCTGTAATCCCAGCACTTTGGGAGGCCGAGTCGCACGGATCACTTGAGTCCAGGAGTTCGAGACCTGCCTGGCCAACATGGTGAAACCCCGTCTCTACGGAAAACACAAACAATTAGCCGGGCGTGGTGACGCGTGCCTGTAGTCTCAGCTACTGGGAGGGCCGAGGCCCAAGAAGCGCTTGAACTCGGGAGGCGGAGGTTGCAGTGGGCCCGGATTGTGCCTGTGTACTCCAACCTGAGCAACAGAAAGAGATGCCATCACACACCTACACACAAAAGGAATCTCAGGAAGGTGGAAAGTCTAAAGGTGGTTAGCAGACGCTAGGAAGAAAAGGGGTGGGATGGGGAATGAAGAGAAGGGGATAATTGGGTCCCAAAATACAGAAAGATGGAATAAGTGAGTTCTAGTGTTTGACAGCACAGTATGAAAATTTTAGTTCACAAGAATTTCTTGCATATTTCCAGATGCTTTGGTAAGAAGCTTCCTAACTTTCTCCTTATGCTGGTTTTTCAGCTATTCTCTTTCTGCTCTTGAAATCATGCTGGTTTTTTTGTTTTTGGTTTTTTGTTTTGAGACGGAGTTTTGCGCTTGTTTCGCAGGCTGGAGTGTAATGGTGCAATCTTGGCTCACCGCAACCTCTGCCTCCTGGGTTCAAGCGATTGTCCTGCCTCCACCTCCCAAACAGCTGGGATTACAGGCATGCCCCAGCACGCCCAGCTAATGTTGTATTTGTAGTAGAGATGGAAGTTTCTTCCTGTGGGTCAGGCTGGTCTTGAACCCCTGACCTCAGGTGATCCGAACGTCTCGGCCTCCCAAAGGGCTGGGATGACAGGCGTGAGCAACCGCGCCCGGGCCATGCTGTATCCTTGTCTGTTGTCTGTTGTTGTTTGTTTGTTTTCGAGCCCAGAAATAACTTCTTCCCTATATGTTCAAATGATTTTTCACAGGAGTGCTAAGAAAGTTCATTGGTGGAAAAGCAGCCTTTTCAAGAAATGGTGTTGGAGAAACTTGATTTCCACATGCAGAAGAAGGAAGGTGGACCCTATGTCACACCAGGTGCAAAAATGAACACAAACTGGATCAAAGACCTCACCCCCAGTGCTGAAAGTATAATATGCCTCAAAGAAAACATTGGCCACACTTTCACGACATCAGATTGGGCAATGCTTTCTGGGATATGACACCAAAAGCATAGGCAACAAAAGAAAATTGGATTCCTTGGATGACATCTAAACGACAGACACTTTCGTGCATCAGCAAACACTGTGAACTCAGTGAAAAGATAACCCATGGATTAGGAAAAAGATTTGCAAATCATATCTCTGAAAAGAGGCTGATATCCATCATATATAAAGAAGAGCTAGAACTAAACAACAAGAAACCCAAAGCACCCCATTAACAATGGTCAGAAGACTCGAGTAGACGTGTCCCTAAAGAAGATAGAGCAATGGCCAATAAGCGTCTAAAATGATGTTCAAAATCACTAATCATGGGGAAGTGCAAATCAAACCAAGAATGTGATACCACATATTAGGATGGATATGATAAACGAACAAGCCTTGGTGAAACTAGAGGGAAGTAGGAATGCTCGAATCTGATTGGAGGGAATGTAAAACCGTGAAGGAATGGGGAAAATAGTATGGCCTGTCCTGGAAAAAGTAGAAACAGAATGATCAGATGTTCCCGCAGTTGCACTTGTGGGTACCCACCAAAAAGAATTAGAAGCCAGGAGTGGAAGAGAGATTTGTACACCCATATTCATAGCAGCGTTACTCAAAACAGCCAAAATGGGGAAGCAACCCAAGGGTTCGTGGGCAGATGAATGAAAAAGCACAGTGCAGTTCATTCATACAACGGAAGACTATTCAGCCATAAAAATGCAGGCACTTCTGGCCGGTGCCGTGGCTCACGCCTGTAATCTCAGCATCTTGGAAGACCGAGGTGGGCGGATCACCCGAGGTCAGGAATTCGAGACCAGCCTGGCCATCTTGGTGAAACCCTGTCTCTACTGAATATGCACAAAATTAGACGAGCGTGGTGGCGCGTGCCTATACTCCCAGCTACTCGGGAGGCTGAGCACAAGAATCGCTGGAACCCGGGAGGCGGAGGTTGCAGTGAGCCCAGATTGTGCCACTGCACTCCAGCCTGTGTGACAGAGTGAGACTCCATGTAAACACAAAACAAAACAGAACCAAAAAAATAAATAAATAAATAATAAAAAACCGAAAAAGCCAGGCAGGCACTTCTGACACAGGCTGCAACATGGATGAACCTTGAAGACATTATCGCCAGTGAAACAAATAAATCCCAAAAGGATAAACACGACCAGCCTCCGTGGCTCGCACCTGTAAACCCAGCACTTTGAGAGGCCGAGGCAGGCGTATCACTTCAGGTCAGCAGTTCGAGACCAGCCTGGCCAATATGGTGAAACCTCGTTTCTATTAAAACTACAAAAATTAGCTGGGCGTGGTGGCGCACGCCTGTAACCCCAGCTACACGGGAGACTGAGACACAAGAATCGCTTGGACCCACGATGTGGAGGTTGCAGTCAGCCGAGACCATGCCGCTGCACTCCAGCCTGGGTGACAGAGAAAGACTGTCTCCAAAACAAAGAAACAAAGAAAATTAAACACGGTATGATTCCCCTTCTATCAAGTGTCTAGAGTAGTTAAACTCATAGAGTTGCAAAATAGAACGGTGGCCCCCAGGGGTGGGCGAGAGAGAGGAATGGAGAGTTTGCTTAATGGGTGCAATTTCCATTTGGAAAGCTAAAACCGTTCTGGAGATGATGGCGGTGATGGTTGCAAAACAATGTGAATGTACCTAATGTGATTAAACTCTAAACTGAAAACTAGTGGAAATTGTAAATGTTCATACTGGCCATTCTATATGCAAGAATCTCTATTTATAATTTTTAGGATTTATACGTGGTATATTTTCCCATACTAAAAGATGAAAATTAAAGCACTTGGATCTTGAAAAAGAAAAGAAAGAAGCGAAGAATCCACACAAGCTCTCTCCTGATTAGAGGAAGAGCCCCAAAACTTCTGTGGACACTGACTTTTCCCTTCTTCTTCTTGCATGATTATGAGGAAATCCTTAGAGGTTGGGGAACTTGGGCGACTCTGGCTAATGAGGAGCTCTATGCCTTGAGACCCCCAGGCCATAGAATAGTAAATACTCAGTCTGTGCCTCCAGCCCTGCAGTGTGAGGTTGCAGTCCTGTGGGCTCCACACCCGTCACCTGTATCAGGAGGCTCATGTCTCGGCCTGTCTTCTTGCCAGCCTTGAGGACGGAGGCTGAGCCTCCCATGTGCACCACGCAGGGAGGACAGTGGACCTGTTCTCCGTGGTCATGGCCCAGCAGAGGGGAAGGGCAGTTCAGTGAGTGCTGAGGGACGGTTGGGAGCCTTGTTTGTTTCCTCATCCTCAGGACAAATGGGAGAGTGCCGTGGGCAGATGGGAGGAGACCAATGTGCAAACTGTCAGCTCAGCAGACCGTGGAGTTTCTGTTCTTGGTTGGGGTGGGGGGTCTCTCTCAGAAATCTTATTCAAAACTGTGCTTCCCTCCCCCACTGGTTGTCCTTTTCATAGACATCTCACCCACGCGAGCAGGGAAAGAGTCCCTCTAAACTATTCCCTGAGAACAACAAAAAGATGATGAAGATGATGATGAGGATAAAGAGGATGATGACAGACACCACGGCAACATGAACCCTTACTGAGGGCTTCCTAAAGGCCAGGCTCTGAGCTCTGTGGTCTATGCTACTTGTTTCATTTCATCTGCATAGTCTCCCAGTTATCAGTGCACATTTCATGATTATTTTGCAGACTAGAAAAGGAGCAACACATTTTCATGTAACTTGTACCAGATCATGAAGTCAAAAACGGTGAAGTCCAATTTGAACTAGGCAGTCTAAGGCCAGACACATGGCATTTGGCCATTCCTCTCCCTGCATCCAACCTGCCCCCTCCAATCCTTGTCACTCAGGCCGATGCCCCTGCTCACTGTGCCCTTCCCTTTGGGGGTTCCTTGTAGACCACAGCTAGACCAGTGGGTGCCATAAGCACTGTGTCAAGTATGGAAAGGGCAGCTGAGATCACATCAAAGATTCCAGAAAGAATTGGCACAGGATCATTCGGGATGCATCTCTCCCTTGCCCCTGTTCCTGGCTTTGCTTACAGCTCTCGACTTCCTCCAAGGAGTCATCAATTCGGGGTTTGGCTTCCATTCCTATTGAGGAAGCTGGAAACCATTTCAAAAATGCTCCTCAGATGTGCCTGTGGTTAAGACCTCTGAGCTCTGTTGAAAACTTTTGGAAGCTGGGCGCGGTGGCTCGCGCCTGTAATCCCAGCACTTTGGGAGGCTGAGGCAGGCGAATCACAAGGTCAGGTGTTCGAGACCAGCCTGGCCAACATGGTGAAACCCCGTCTCTCCTAAAAAGAGAAAAAAATGAGCCGGGCGTAGTGGCGGGTGCCTGTAATCTCAGCTACTCGACAGGCTGAGGCAAGAGAATAGCTTGAACCTGGGATGCGGAGGTTGCAGTGAGCCGAGATCACTCCACTGCACTCCAGCCTGGGCAAGAGAACGAGACTCCGTCTCAAAAACAAAAACAAAAACAAAAAAGAACCCACAACATTTTGAGGGTTGGGAGACCATCAGGTTTAGTGCCCGGGACTTAGAGTCTGGCCATTAATTTTCAACACCACCTTTCCTACTTATCTGTATGGCAAGGGCTGAGACGTCCATCCTCTGAGACTCAGCACTCTCATCTCAGTTGATTTCTAGTTGATCCAATGGAAGTGAGCGATGATGAAACCGATCGTGGCTGCCCGCTGCGTGATCTCTATGTGATGGATGCATAAAGTCAAGGCAAAGTGAATTTTAGATACATTCGTTAATATTTTCAGCTTAAACTCCATACGGTTCGACGGAAATATCCCCTGACCTGAAGTTCTGGTTTCCCTGCATTCCAGACCGGACATTTTCTTTTGTCCTTATCTCAGTAAGTACTGAGTATTGTGAGAGGAACAAGTGAGTCTCTTTTGTTTCTGATTCCCCAGAGCCTATATCTTGCTTGGCACATAGGAGATAGCCAGAGTAAACATCTACGTGAATTATTGAATTGACACTTCCTTGGTTCACAAAAATTGGCTGTCATCAGTGTGACGTCAGTGTGACAGAGCGTGTGTTTTTTGTTTATTGTTTTTTGAGACGGAGTTTTGCTCTTGTTGCCCAGGCTGGAGTGCAGTGGTGTGATCTCGGCTCACTGTAGCCTCTGCCTCCCAGGTTCAAGCCATTCTCCTGCCTCAGCCTCCCGAGTAGCTGGGACTACAGGCACGCGCCGCCATGCTGGGCGAAGTTTTTGTATTTTCAGTAGAGGCGGGGTTTCACCATGTTGGCCGGGATGGTCTTGATCTCCTGACCTCGTCATCCGCCCTCCTCGGCCTCCCAAAGTGCTGGGATCACAGGCGTGAGCCACCGCGTCCGGCCAAACGTTCTGATGAAAACGCTAAGTCCACCGAAGCTAAGGACAGGAGTTATAGCTTCCATGAATTTTAAAACAAGACCCACCGATTTGAGTAAGCAATTCCTCTCTTGAAGGAGAAAAGCCAGAAAACAGAATGATGAAATCACTAGGATCCAACCGGTCTGTGGAACTATTCTCTGCTTATGAACTATCAACTTTAATTTCATTTCCAGATGGCATGGGCTCAGCAGTTATACAGTGTTTACAGATGTTCTAAATCAAGGGAATTTGTATCAATCTATTCGAATAAAATAAAATATTTGAGTTCTTAATTTCCTTTAATTAGGATAACCTTTTTCTTAAAGTGAAGAGAATGGTTTTATTACATAGTTTCCTTCAGTAAAGATAGGCTGTATTTTCTAGCAATTACGAATTTGTTATATAGGATGATCTGGTTCTTGGAACATTCTTGAATCTGGTGTCTCTGAGGCAGGTGTGTACAACAAGAAGTGAATAACACAGAAATCAATGATGAAAGCATTAGAAGACAATTGAGTTTGTCAGAACTGCAAACTATTGCTGAGTGTGGATTGCTCTGAAATCTGAAAACATGACTTGTGAATTGCTTCTATCCAAAACGCAGACATGATGCTGGGGGTCAGTTTACTTGTTTCCGATTTCTCAACCCTCTTTTCTAGGCAAAAGTTGTCCAATCTCTACAGACCCACAGAATCTAACAGATGTCTCTATATTCCTCCTCCTAGAAGCTCAGAGGATCCAGAACGGCTGTTCCTGTCCATGTGCCTGGTCACGGTGCTGGGGAACCTGCTCATCATCCTGGCCGTCACCCCTGACTCCCACCTCCACATCCCCATGTACTTCTTCCTCTCCAACCTGTCCTTGCCTGACATCGGTTTCACCTCCACCACGGTCCCCAAGATGATTGTGGACATCCAGTCTCACAGCAGAGTCATCTCCTATGCAGGCTGCCTGACTCAGATGTCTCTCTTTGCCATTTTTGGAGGCATGGAAGAGAGACATGCTCCTGAGTGTGATGGCCTATGACCGGTTTGTAGCCATCTGTCACCCTCTATGTCATTCAGCCATCACGAACCCGTGTTTCTGTGGCTTTCTAGTTTTGTTGTCTTTTTTTTTTCTCAGTCTTTTAGACGCCCAGCTGCACAACTTGATTGCCTTACAAAGGACCTGCTTCAAGGATGTGGAAATTCCTAATTTCTTCTGTGACCCTTCTCAATTCCCCGTCTTGCATGTTGTGGCACCTTCACCAATAACATAATCATGTATTTCCCTGCTGCCATATTTGGTTTTCTTCCCATCTCGGGGACCCTTTTCTCTTACGATAAAATTGTTTTCTCCATTCTGAGGGTTTCATCATCAGGTGGGAAGCATAAGGCCTTCTCCACCAGGGGGTCTCACCTGTCAGTTGTTTGCTGATTTTATGGAACAGGCATTGGAGGCTACCTCAGTTCAGATGTGTCATCTTCCCCGAGAAAGGCTGCAGTGGCCTCAGTGATGTACACGGTGGCCATCCCCATGCTGAACCCCTTCATCTACAGCCTGAGAAACAGGGATATTAAAAGTGTCCTGCGGCAGCCGCACGGCAGCACGGTCTCATCTCAATATCTTCTTATCTGTTCCATTCCTTTTGTAGTGTGGGTTAAAAAAGGCAGCAAGGTCAAATAAGAATGATGTCACAGGGTGAACACCCACTGTGATATTAGGAGTAATACCTCCCTAGGATACAGAATATACTGTCACAGAGTATACACACATGGGGTACACCTGCTGTGATATTAGAAGCAATATCTCCCTAAAGTACGATGAAAAATATCACAGGGTGTGCACACTGTGTGATATGAGGAGTAATATTTACCCTGGATATTACGACTCATATCAAGGGTGTACACACCCGGGGTACACGCACTGTGATATCAGGAGTTGTATCTCCCTAGGATATTATGAATACTATCACAGGGTATACACTATGTGTGTACATCCACTGTGATATTTGAAGTAATATCTCTCTATGAGATTATAAATAACATCAAAGCTTGTACACCCCTGTGACATGTTAGGAGTAACATCCTTCCAGGGTATTGCAGATCACGCCACAACGTGTACACCTCCTGTGATGTTTTGTACACTCTTTGTGACATTAAAAGAAACATCCCCCTAGGATATTATGAATAATAAAACAGGAGGGGTACCCACATGGTGTACACCGCCTGTGTCTTCAGGAGTAACATTTCCCTAGGATATTACGAATAATATCACAGCAGGTGTACACACATGGTGTACACCCCATGTGACATTTGGAAGAGCATGCCCCTAGGATATTAGGAATAGTATCACAGGCGTTGAATACGCATTTTTAATGCGTAATGTCACCCCCGGTGACATTAAAAATAACATCCCCCTTGGATATTACGAATAATATGACAGGGAGTACACCCCGTGTGACATTTGGAGTAGCATCCCCAAAGGATATAACGGATAATATCAGAGGGTGTACATGCACTGTGACCTTAGCAGTAACATCTCTTTAGGATATTACAAATAGTATCACAGGGTGTACAGGCATTGTGACATAAGTGGTAACATCCCGCTGGGATATGACGAGTCACATCACAGGGTGTACACCCCCATGACAATAGTATCAACATTCCCCTAGAATACTATGAATAATATCACAGGAGGTACAGCCCCTGTGATTTACGAGTAACATGTCTACAGAATATTACAACTCATATCACTGTGTGACTCTGTGTACACCCCATGTGACTTTAGGAGGAACATCCCACAAAACTATGATGAAAAATATCACAGGGTGAACACCCCCTGTGACCTGAGGAATAACGTAGTTTTAGGATATTGTGAATGATGTGACAAGGTGTACACAACCTGTGACGTTAGGAGCAACATCCGTCTAGGATGTTAGGAAGAATATCACACGGAACACACCTCCTGGGACATTAGGATATGACAAATAATATCACAAAGTGTACACGCATCGTGTCATTAGTGCTAATATCCCTCTGGTACACTATGAATAATATCACAGGGTGTGCATCCCTGTGACATTAGCAGTAACATCCCCCTAGAATAGTAAGAATAATAACACGGGGTGTACACCACCTGTGACATGAGGAGTATAGACCCCAGGGAAATTACGAATACTATCACAGGGTGTACAGCCCTGTGACATTAGGAGTAACATCTTTCTAGAACATCACAAATAATATCACAATGTGTACACCCCCTGTGTCATTAAAAGTAAAATTGCCCTAGGATATTACGAAACAGAACACAGGGAGTACACCCCGTGTGACATTAGAAGTAAGATCCCCCGAGGATATAACGAATAAGATCAGAGAATGTACCCGCATTGGGACATCAGTAGTAACATCTCTTCAAGACAATACGAATAATACCAAAGGGTGTACACGCATTGTGAAATGACTAGTGAACTCCCGCTAGGATATTAGGAATTTGATAACAGGGTCTACACGCCCTGTGACATTAGCAGTAACGTTTTCCTAGAAGATGACGGAGAATATTAAAGGGTATACAGGACCTATGAATTACGAGCAACATTTCCATAGCATATTGCACGTAGCATCACTGTGTGTACACGCCGTGTGACATTAGGGGTAACAATATCACAGACTGGATGTCCAACCCCTGCGATATTGGTAGTCATATCAGCCTCTCCTCTCCATGGATATTAGGAAGAATATCCCGGGATGGGTGTACACCTCCTGCTGTATGGGGAGTCATATTGTCCTCTCCCTTCCTGGCTACTAGGAACAATATCGGAGGGTGGGTGTACACAGCCTGCGATATTGCGAGTAATATCACCCTCTCCCCCTCTGGATATTAGGAACAATGTCACAGAAGGGGTGTACACTTCCTGCCATACTGGGAGTAATAGCATTCTCTTCTTCCGTGAATATTAGGAGCAAAATCACCGGGTGCATGCACACCCAGTGCTATATTGGGAGTGACGTCATACTCCACCCCCTGGAGATGATATTCAGATCAATATCACCGGCTAGGTGTACACCTACCGCGATATTGAACGTAATATCATGCTCTCTCCCTCCCTGGACATTAGGAGCAATATCACAGGTGGGTGTACACCCACTGAGGTATTAGGCCTAATAGTAGTATGAATTATTCCTCATTTATTATTAACATGAATATGAATGACTGATATTAATATTACTATTAAGAAATAATTGCTAATAAAAAGTTTTCAGAGTATTAATATTAATATTAATTATTAGAAGTTAATATTGCTGTTTTCTAATGAATAAGATCAATATCAGTTATTAATATCAGGCGTCATTAATCATTAATATTAATCATTTATAGTTATTGTGAGTATAACTATTTAATATTAATCATCATTATTATCGGTATTGATTTTTAAAATTATATTATGAGTTATTAATATTGATAATTATTAGTGTCAATTAATAATTGAGATGATTAATTGCGGTAAGTCACATTGCGCCATTCCACCCCTCCCTCGGCAGCTCTTTTACGACCCAAAACGGGGATACAAATGCCCCTGAGAGAGCAGCGGTATACTGGGATAGAGGAGGATGGTCACGTGGTGGAGAGGAGTGTTTTTGGGTAGCAGCCCTTCACCTCCCTCGACTTCTCAACTAGAAAAACAATACACCGCCCTCTACCGAAAAGCCACAAGCCCTAATTGATTTGCTCCAAACTGTTATCCAGACCCACAACCACACCTGGGCTGATTGGCACCAGTTGCTCATGTTCCTCTTTAACAGCGAAGAAAGGCGGAGAGTCCTCCAAGCAGCAACTAAGTGGCTAGAGGAACATACAATAGCTGATTATCAAAACCCCCAAGAGTATGGAAGGACCCAGTTACCAGGAACCGACCCCCAGTTGGACCCACATGAAAGAGAGGATATGCAAAGGCTAAACCAAGACAGGGAAGCTGTCTTGGAAGGATTAATGAGGAGAGCTCAGAAGGCCACAAACGTTAACAAGCTCTCTGAGGTCATTCAGGGAAAAGAAGAAAGTCCAGCACAATTCTACTAGAGACTGTGTGAGGACTGTCGTCTGTATACTCCCTTTGATCCCGATAGCCCTGAAATCAGCGCATGATTCACATGGCTTTAGTCCATCAAAACACAGAAGACATGAGAAGAAAACTGCAGAAACAGGCTGGGCTTGCAGGGATGAATACATCACAATTACTAGAAATAGCTAGCCAGGTGTTTGTAAACAGGGATGCAGTAAGCCGTAAGGAAAACGGCAAAGAGAATGGAGGTCAGGCCCAGTGAAACACCGAACTGTGGGTTAGCTGCAGCAATCAGAGGGGCCCCCCCGCAAAGAGGCAAGGGAAGGGGGGTCCTGGGAAAGAAACTCAGCTTGGCTGTCAGAGTTTGCAGTGTAACCAGTGTGCTTATTGTAAAGAAATAGGACAGTGGAAGAACAAATGCCCTCAGCTCAAAAGAAAACAAGGTGACTCCGAGCAGGAGGCCCCGGACAAGGAGGAAGGGGCCCTGCTCAACCTGGCTGAAGAGTTATTGGACTGACGGAGACCGGGCTCAAGCGTCCCCAAAGAGCCTCTGGTCAGAATGACAGTTGGGGGAAGAGACATTGATTTTCTTGTAGATAGCGGTGCTGAACATTCGCTAGTAACTGCCGCGGTCGCCCCCTTATCCAAAAAGACTATTGACGTCATCGGAGCCACGGGGGTTTCAGCAAAGCAAGCTTCCTGCTTGCCTCGGACTTGTACTGTGGGAGGATATCAAGTCATTCATCAGTTTTGGTACATGCCTGACTGCCCCTTGCCCTTTTGGGGAAGGGACTTGCTCAGCAAGCTGAGAGCCACTATCTCTGACAGAGCATGGCTCTTTGCTGCTAAAGTTACCCGGAACAGGAGTCATTATGACCCTTATGGTCCCCTGAGAGGAGGAATGTAGACTTTTCTGAACGGAGCCGGGCCAAGAGAGAAGACCAGCTCTGGCTAAGAGGTGGCCAAGAGTACAGGCAGAACACAACCCTCCGGGATTGGCCAGTTAAGACCGGCACCCAGCCAGTTAGGCACAAACAGGAACCCGTCCCCAGAGAAGCTCTTCAAAGTATCCAGGTCCGTCTCAAGCACCTAAGAACTTTTGGAATGATTGTTCCTTGTCAGTCTCCGTGGAACACTCCCCTCCTGCCTGTTCCCAAGCCACGGACCAAGGACTACCGGCCGATACAAGATTTGCGCTTGCTTAATCAAGCTACACTGACTTTCCATCCAACAGGAGCTAACCCGTCCGCATTGTTGGGGTTGCTGCCAGCTGAGGACAGCTGCTTCACCTGCTTGGACCCGAAAGATGCTTTCTTTCCTATCAGATTAGCCCCTGAGAGGCAGAATCTGTTTCCCTTTCAGTGGGAAGATCTGGAGTCAGGTGTCTCTAGTCAGCACACTTGGACCGGGCTTCCCCAAGGGTTCAAGAACTCCCCCACCATCTTCGGGGAGGCATTGGCTCGAGACCTCCAGAAGTTTCCCACCAGAGACCTAGGCTGCGTGTTGCTCAAGTAGGTTGATGACCTTCTGCTGGGACACCCCACAGCAGTCGGGTGTGCCAAGGGAACAGATGCCCTACTCCGGCACCTGGAGGACTGTGGGTATATGGTGTCCAAGAAGAAAGCTCAGATCTGCCGACAGCAGGTACGTTACTTGGGATTTACTATCCAACAGGGGTCGGAACGCAGCCCGGGATCAGAAAGAAAGCAGGTCATTTGCAATCTAGCGGAGCCTAAGAGCAGAAGGCAAGTGAGAGAATTCTTAGGAGCTGTGGGATTTTGTAGACTCTGGGTCCCAAACTTTGCAGTATTAGCCAAGCCTTTGTATGAGGTCACAAAGGGGGCGGGGACTGGGAACCTTTGGAATGCGGATCCCAACAACAGCAAGTCTTTCATGAGTTAAAGGAAAAACTTCTGGCAGCCCCAGCCCTGGGGCTACCTGACCTGACAAAGCCTTTTCCATTGTATGCATCAGAGAGAGAAGAGATGGCAGCTGGACTTTGAACCCAAACTGTGGGGCCCTGGCTGAGGCCAGTGGCCTACTTCTCTAAACAACTAGACGGGGTTTCTAAAGGATGGCCCCCCTGTTTGAGGGCCTTGGCAGCAACTGCCCTGCTAGGACAAGAAGCAAATAAGCTGACTCTTGGGCAAAACCTGAGCATAAAGGCCTCCCATGCTGTGGTGACTTTAATGAATACTAAAGGACATCGTTGGCTAACGAATGCCAGACTCACCAAGTACCAAATTTTGCTCTGTGAAAATCCCCGTATAACCATTGAAGTTTGTAACACCCTACACCCCGCCACCTTGCTCCTGGTATCAGAGAGCCCTGTCGAGCCTGATTGTGTAGAACTGTTGGACTCAGTTGACTCTAGCAGACCTGACTTCCAGGACCAGCCTTGGGCATCAGTAGACTTGGAACTATACGTGGATGGGAGCAGCTTCTTCAACCCCCAAGGAGAGAGAGGTGCAGGGTGTGCCGTGGTAACCCTGGACACTGTTGTTGAAGCCAGATCGCTGCCCCAGGGCACTTCAGCCCAGAAAGCTGAACTCATTGCTTTCATTCGGGCCTTAGAACTCAGTGAGGGTGGGACTGTCAACATTTACACTGATTCTTGGTATGTCTTTTTAACCCTTCAAGTGCATGGAGCGTGATAGAAAGAAAAGGGCCTATTGAACTCTGGGGGAAAAGACAGAAAATATCAACAAGAAATCTTGCAATTATTAGAAGCAGTATGGAAACCCCACAAGGTGGCAGTTGTGCATTGCAGAAGACACCAGCGAGCTTCTACCTTGGTGGGTTTGGGGAATTCCCGCACTGACTCAGAGGCTCGAAAAGCAGCATCTGCCCCCTTCCAGGCATCAGTGCTCCCTCAAGCACCTGATCTTGGACTTACTTCTTCTAAAGAAGAAAAGGACTTTCTCCAGGTAGAGGGAAGGACAAGTGATGCAGGAAGGATGGATTCGGTTACCAGATGGGAGAGTAGCCGTGCCACACTTGCTAGGAGGTGCAGTTATACTGGCTGTGCATGAAACCACGCATGTAGGTCAGGAGTCACTGGAAAAGTTGTTAGGCTGGTATTTGTACATCTCGCATTTGTCAGCCCTCGCCAAAACGGTGAGGCAGCAGTGTGTTACCTGCCAACAGCATAATGCGAGGCAAGGTCCAGCCGTTCCACCCGGCATACAAGCTTACGGAGCAGCCCCCTTTGAAAATCTCCAGGTAGACTTCACAGAGATGACAAAGTGTGGAGATAACACGTATTTACTAGTTCTTGCACATACCTACTCTGGGTGGGTGGAGGCCTATCCAACATGAACTGAGAAATCTCGTGAAGTAACCCCTGTGCTTCTTCGAGATCTGATTCCGAGATTTTGACTGGCCTTATGGATTGGCTCAGATAACGGGCCTGCGTCTTTGGCTGCCTTGGTACAGAAGACGGCAAAGGTATTGGGGATCACACGGAAACTGCATGCCACCTCCCGGCCTAAGAGTTCCGGAAAGTTGGAGCGGATGAATCAGACTATCAAAAATAGTACTATTATCTTCCCCGCTGGATATTTAAAACAACACCACAAGCAAGGGGCCTCAAAGCACCTGCTAAATTTGAGGGAATGTTATCCTCTCCCCCCCCTCCCCTGACCCTGGATATTAGAGACAATAACACAGGGGTAATGTACACCCACTGCTTTATTGGGAGTACCATCATCCTCTCCCTTCTTGAATATTAGGAGCAGTATCACACTGCGCGTGTACGCCTGTCGTGAAATTCTATGGAATGTCACCCTTTGCCTCCCTGGATATGATGAACAATATCACGGGGGATGTACAACTTCCGAGATATTGGCAGTGATATCATCCTCTCCCCTCTGGAAGTTAGGGAAAATATCACAGGGGTAGTGTACACCCTCTGGGATGTTGGGATTAATATCATCCTCCCGCCCACTGGATATTAAAAACCATATCACAAGGGCATGTACACACACTTCGATATTGGTATTAATACCATCCTCTCCCTCTTTGGATATTCGGTGCCATATTTCAGGTGGGGTATATACCACCTGCAATATTGGAAGTAATATGATTTTCTCCACCCCCCACATATCAGAAACAATAACACAGGGGGGTGTCAACAACCCCTGCGATATTTGGAGGAATATCATCGTCTCTCCTCAAGAATATTAAGAACAATATCGTAGGGGTGGGGGGTGTACACCCCCTTTCATATTTGATATCATCCTCTTCCCCCCTGGATATTAGGAACAATATCAGGAAGGGATGTACAGACCCTGCGACCTTTGCTGTCATATAATTTTCTCTCCCCTAGATATTAGGACAAATGTCACTGGGGATGTGAACAGCCCTGCGATATTCGGAGTAGTGTCATCCTCTGCACCCTTGCATATTGGGAACAACATCACAGGTGGGGTGTACTGCCTCTGCGATATTGGGAGTAAAATTTTCCTCTCTTCCCCTGGACATTAGGAAGGGTATCAGAGGGGGAGGGTGTACATTCCCTGCGATATTCAACGTAACCTTATCCTCTCCCTCCCATGGTATTCAGAACAATAAGACAGGAGGGGTGTACACACCCTGCGATATTGAGAGTCATATCATCCTCTTTCGCTCTGGATATTAGGAACAATATCACAGGGTTGTGTACACCCCTTACAATAGTGGGAGTAATATCATCCTCTCTCCCTGTGGATATTAGGAAGAGTATCACAGGGCTGTGTAAACCCCCTGCGGTACTGGGAGTAATATCATCCTCTCTCCCTCTGGATATTAGGAAGATTTTCACAGGGGTGTGTACACCCCCTACGATATTGGGAGTAATATCATCCTCTCCACCCAGGAAATGACTAACAAGGTCACGGGGGAGTGTACTCCCCCTGTGATATTGGGAGTAATGTCGTCCTCCCCAAACCTGGATGTTAGCAACAGGATCACAGAGGGGGTGTACACACCCTGCGACATTGGAAATAATAATGATCCTCTCCCCACCTGGATATGGGGAAAGATATCACAGCGCGGGTATACATTTCCTACGCTGTTAGGAGTAATATCATTCTTTTCCTTTCTGGATATTAGGAAGAATATCACAGGGGTGCTGTACAATTACTTCGATATTGGGATACTCTATTTTCCTGGATATTGGGCACAAAAACACAAAAGGGTGTACAGCCCCTGCGATATTGGGAATAATAGCATACTCTCCTTCCCTGGATGTTAGAAAACAATATCATCAGGGCTGAACACCCCCGGCGATAAGGGGAGTCATAGTGACTCTTTCACAGGCCATTTGGAACAATATCACAGGGGGTGTTTACAAACAGGGGTGGTGTACACCCCCTGGGATATTGGGAGTAACATCATTCTCTCCACCTCCGGATATTAAGAACAATATCCTGGCGGGAGGTGGTACACCCCCAGTGATATTGGGAATAATGTCATCCTCTCCTTCCCTGGATATTCGGAACAATATCACAGGGGGGTGTACACCTTCTGTGATATTGGAAGCAATATCATCCTCTCCCCCGCTGGATATTAGAAAAAATATCACTCATGGTGTACATCCACTGTGATATTAGGAAGAATATTACAGGGTGTACACCCACTCTGATTTTAGGAGAAATAGCTCCCTCAAATGTCACAAATAATACCACAGGGTATACACTGATGTCTCCCTAGGATATTACAAATACTATCACAGGGTGTACACCCACTGTGATAACAGGAGTAATACGTCGCAAGGATACTACCAATAATATCCCAAGGCCGTACACCCACTATGACACAGGGAGTGATATCTCCCTAGGGTATTACGAATAATATCACAGAATGTACACCAATGATGTGCACCCACGGTGACATTAGGAGTAATATCAACCCAGGACATAACCAATAACACCACAGGGAGTACAGACATGATGTACACCGACAGTGATGTTAGGAGAACTATCTCCCTAGGATAATACGAATAACATCACAGAGTTTACACACATGGTATACACCCACTGTGGCACTGGGACTAATAACTTTCTAAGATATTATGAATAGCATCACAGAATAGAAACACATGGTGTACACCCACTGTAACACAAGGTGTAATTTCTCCCTAGGATATTACGAGTGACATCTCAGTGCGTACACACATGGTAAACACCCACTGTGACATTAAGGGTAATATCCCCCTAGGATATTACCAATAACATCACAGGGTGTCCACCCATGGTGTACACGCTCTGTGATGTTAGGGATAATAACTCCCTAGGATATGATGAATAATACCACAGGGTGTACAGAAACTGTGATATTAGAGGTAATATCGCTCTAGGATATTATGAATAATATCACAGGGTGTACATCCACTGTGATACTGGGAGCAATATCTCTCTAGGATAGTACAAATAATATCACAGAGTGGACACCCACTGTGATGTTAGGAGAAATATCTCTCTGGGATATTACAAATCATATCACAGAGTGTACACACGTGGTGTACATCCACTTTGCTATTAGGAGTAATATCTTCCTAGGACATTACAAATAACATCGCAGAGTGTACACCCACTGTAATATTAGGAATCGTATTTCCCTAGGTGATTACAAATACTATCACAGGGTGTACACCCACTGTGATATTAGGAGTAATATCCTCCTAGGGTATTACAAATAATTTCACAGTCTGTACACACATGGTGTACACTCACTGTGATATTAGGAGTAATATCTACCTAGTGGATAACAAATAACATCGCAGGGTGTACACCCACTTTGATATTAGCTGTAATATTTTCCTAAGTTGTTACAAATAATATCACAGGGTGTACGAACAGGGTGTACACTAACTGTGATATTCAGAGTCGTATCTCCATAATATATTATGAATAATATCACAGGGTGTACACCCACTGTATTATTAGGAGTGATATCTCTGTAGGATATTACAATTAATATCACAGGGTGTGCAGCCACTGTGATATTAGGAGCAATATCTTTCTAGGATATTACAAACAATATCACAGGGTGTATGCTCACTCTGCTGTCAGGAGCAATATCTCCCTAGGATATCCAAAATAATATCACAGGGTGTACAATCTCTGCCTTCCAGGTTCTAAGGGATTCTCCTGCTTCAGCCTCCCGAGTAGCTAGGGTTACCCGCCAGCACGCCCGGCTAATTTTTTTTTTATTTTCACTAGAGACGGGGTTTCACCACGTTGGCCAGGCTGGTCTGGAACTCCTGACCTCAGGTGATCCGTCGGCCTCGGCCGCCCAAAGTGCTGGGATTACAGGTGTGAGCCATGGCGCTCGGCCAAGAGTTATATATTAAATTCATTTGGAAACACAGCTCCCATATTTGAGTGTGCATGTACTTCTATGAAGAAATGATGTCAGAAAACCTAAGGATGATAATAAATATGAAAAGTAACAGGCATGTGAAAAGGTGTTCCGATTGAGAACTCTAAGGTTCGATTTCGTTTTTAGATAATGGGGTCCTAGCTCTTGTATCATCCTCTTACATATTCTACATCAAAGGAATTTGTAGCACGGTGTCAGAATAAAATAGAGCGTATTTCACTGCTTCTTAATTTCTTTCAATTAGACTGAGATCTTTTTCTTAAAGAGAGAAGGACATTTTCATTGCATTTTATTTTTTCTGAAAAGAGTAGGCCGTATTTTACTGAGATCACGGATTTGTTATATATTAAGTTTTGGTCTTCCAACATTCTTCAGTGGGTTTTCTCTAAAGTAGTATGTACAGAAGGAGTTGAATAGCAAAAAAGTAAATCACGTAATAACTCTGAGATTTTTGGGTTTGTCACAACTGAGAAATATTGCTGATGGCGTATGGTCCTCAAGTGTGAAAATGTTCCCTGTGAATTGCTTGCATCCAAAATATACACACAGCATTAAGGGCTGGTTTTTATCTTTTATTTTTCCAATCCTCTTTCCTTCTCAAGGTGTCCAAGACACACGGAGCCACGGAATCTCACAGGTGTCTGAGAATTCCTCCTCCTGGGACTCTCAGAGGATCCAGAACTGCAGCCGGTCCTCGCTTTGCTGTCCCTGTCCCTGTCCATGTCCATGTATCTGGTCACGGTGCTGAGGAACCTGCTCAGCATCCTGGCTGTCAGCTCTGACTCCCAACTCCACACCCCCATGTACTTCTTCCTCTCCAACCTGTGCTGGGCTGACATCGGTTTCACCTCGCCCATGGTTCCCAAGATGATCATGGACATGCAGTCGCATAGCAGAGTCATCTCTCATGCGGGCTGCCTGACACGGATGTCTTTCTTGGTCCTTTTTGCATGTATAGAAGACATGCTCCTGACTGTGATGGCCTATGACTGCTTTGTAGCCATCTGTCGCCCTCTGCACTACCCAGTCATCATGAATCCTCACCTCTGTGTCTTCTTCGTTTTGGTGTCCTTTTTCCTTAGCCTGTTGGATTCCCAGCTGCACAGTTAGATTGTGTTACAATTCACTTTCTTCAATAATGTGGAAATTGCTAATTTTGTCTATGAGCCATCTCAACTTCTCAACCTTGACTGTTCTGACACCGTCATCAATAGCGTATTTATATATTTCGATAGTACTGTTTGGTTTTCTTCCCATTTCAGGGATCCTTTGTCTTAGTATAAAATTGTCCCCTCCATTCTAAGGATGTCATCGTCAGATGGGAAGTATAAAGCCTTCGCCACCTGTGGCTCTCACCTAGCAGTTGTTTGCTGATTTGATGGAACAGGCATTGGCATGTACCTGACTTCAGCTGTGTCACCACCCCCCAGGAATGGTGTGGCGGCGTCAGTGATGTACGCTGTGGTCACCCCCATGCTGAACCTTTTCATCTACAGCCTGAGAAACAGGGACATTCAAAGTGCCCTGCAGAGGCTGAGTAGCAGAACAGTGGAATCTCATGATCTGTTCCATCCTTTTTCTTGTGTGGGTGAGAAAGGGCAACCACATTAAATCCCTACATCTGCAAATCCTGCCCCTTAGTCACATTCTTTTTGTGGCTTGATGGCTTTTATTCCTTTCCGCATTTCCTTTGTGAATATTGCTTTCTTCGTTATGCCTTTAACTGGAATGGGTGAGTATTCTGGGATCCTCTGTTTAGCAGGAACCTCATGACAGAATCCTCTATACCTAGGCGGCCTCTTTTAGTTTCTGAGCAATAACCCTGTCATCCAGGTGGAATCACAACCATCTTTTTATATACACGAAGTCCTCTCTTCATTTTGGAATTCCCTGAAGACTGACTTTATGGAAACAATGTACAGGAGGTCCTCCAACACCACTGGTTGTTCAAAGTTGTGTAGTTATACTGTTGGTGAGGAATAAGTGGTTTCGCTATATCTAATTTTGCTTAAAGGTGAAGTTTCCAAGAGACTTTCAAAGATGTTAAGTGAGGACATACTGTAAATCAAATTCATATCCTCTTCCAGAGTTCATGTGGAATTTCTTTATAAACTGCTTCTAGAGAATCAATTTAGGCAGGTTATGTGTAGAGATCCAAGTCACCGGTCCTCAATCTTGGCTTTGAGTCAAATCACCTGGGGAGCTTACAAATGATGAGGCCTGGGTCTCAATACCTGAGATTCTGATTTCCTTGCACCTGTGTGAGTATGTGGATTTTTTTTTGTTTATTTTTTAAAGCACCAGAGGTGGTTGCAATGACGAAGTTTTTAGAGGCATCAAGCTCCAATGAGTAAGAACGGAAGTTAATTGTAATATGATTTCTTCAAATATTATCTTCAAATGCATTGTCCATCAACACCATACCAATGTTTATTATGCAGTTGTTTCTTACCATTTAGCATTTTATATTTTTTTTCTTTTTTTTTTTTTTTTTTTTCTTTTTGAGGCAGAGTTTCACTCTTGTTGCCCAGGCTGGAGTGCAATGGCATGATTTCGGCTCACTGCAATCTCTGCCTCCCATATTCAAGCGATTCTCCTGTCTCAGCCTTCCAAGTAGCTGGGATTACAGGCATGCACTACCATGCCCGGCTGATTTTTTTTTTTTTCTTTTTTTCTTTCTTTTTTTTTTTTTTTTGGTATTTTTAGTACAGACAGTGGTTCTCCATATTGGTCAGGCTGGTCTTGAACTCCCGACCTCAGGTGATCCACCCGCTTCCGCCTCCCAATGTTCTGGGATTACAGGCGGGAGTGACCGCGCCCAGCCACCACTTAGCATTTACATTTTACATTTGTTGAAATTATAGATTTATACACACTTTGATTGCTGCTTTGTTATACACTTGCATATACATAGGATGGGAAATAGAAAAGAATAAAATCGGCAACGTATCCCTGAAGTTTCACAGTCCGAGACATGTTAAAAATATTTGCTTTTTAGAAATTTGTTTCCATTGAGAAACTGTGGTATACACACACAATGAAGTATTATTCAGCCTAAAAAGGAATAAACAAAATCCTCTCCACTGCAGACAAAATGGATGAGATTGCAGGTCTGTATATTAAGTGAAAGAAGCCAGGCACAGAATGACAAATATTTCATGTCCTCACTTCTATGTAGGAACAAAAAGAAAATCTTGGCCAGGTGTAGTGGCTCAGGCCTGTAATCCCAGCACTGTGGGAGGCCGAGTCGCACGAATCACTTGAGGCCAGGAGTTCGAGACCCGCCTGGCCAACATGGTGAAACCCCGTCTCTACTGAAAACACAAACAATTAGCCGGGCGTGGTGACACGTGCCTGTAGTCTCAGCTACTCGGAGGGCTGAGGCCCAAGAAGCACTTGAACTCGGGAAGCGGAGGTTGCAATGAGCAACCTTTAAGATTATGAAGATTATTAAAGGGTGTACAGGACCTGTGAATTACGAGTAACATTTCCATAGCATATTGCACGTAACATCACTGTGTGTACACGCCGTGTGACATTAGGGGTAACATCCCACAAAATTATAACGAACAATTTCACAAGGTGTGCACCCTCTGTGAAATTAAAAGTAACATTTCCCTAGAATATGACGACAAGATCACAGAGTGTACACCCTCTGTGATATGAGGAGTGACATCTTATGAGGATAATACGAGTAATTGGACAAGGTGTACAAACCCTGTGACATAAGGAGTGACATCCCTCTAGGATATTAAGAATAATATCAAACGGAACATACCCCGTGTGACAATAAATGCAACCTCCCCTTAGGAGAATAAGAATAACACCACAAGG
Source organism: Homo sapiens (assembly GCF_000001405.40). Taxonomy (NCBI): domain Eukaryota; kingdom Metazoa; phylum Chordata; class Mammalia; order Primates; family Hominidae; genus Homo; species Homo sapiens. Next base: position 158,877,915 of record NC_000002.12, read on the forward strand.
TGAACACACAATGTGACATTATTATTAAGGTAAAGCTAGGATATTGGGAATAACATCACAGTGTACAGAGTCCTGTGACATCAGGTTTAACTTTCCCCTACAAAATTAGGAATAGTATTGAAGGGTGTATACCCTCTGCGACTTTAGCAGCCGCATCTTGCTACAATATGGAAGATAATGTCCCAGGGTGTGAACCAAGGGTGGCAGTAGGGAAAAGATCCTAGGACAAATCGGGGAGTAATATCACCCCCCTCTCCCCCCCGGATATGACGATCCACATCGCAGCGGGGCGGGCGCCCTCCGCGATGCGTCGAGTAATATCACGCCCCCCTCCCCCCCTGGATATTATGATCCAGGGTGGTCACGTAGCCTGTTCACGTTATTCTCAGTAATATCTTCTCCACCTCTGGAAATTACCAACTATATCACAGATGGGTGTACATCCTCTGCACTATTTGCAGTAATTGCATCCTCTTCCCTCTGGATATTAAGAAAAATATCACAGGAGTGTTTCTACCCCTAGTGGCATTGGGTGTAGTATCATCCTCTCCCACGTTGAAATTAGGAAAAATATCACTGGGGGCGTGTCCACCCCATGCGATGTTGAAAGTAATATCCTCTTGTCTCATGGATCATGGGAACAATATCAGTGGCGTGGTGTACACTTTCTGCGGTATTGGTAGTAAGATCATCCTCTCCGCCTTGGAATATTAAGGACAGTATCACAGGCCGATGTACACACCCGGCCGTATTAAGAGGAATATTATCCTCTCCCGCCCTGCATATTAGGAACAATATCATAGAGTGGGTGTAAACCTCCTGCGATATGGGGAGTAATATCATCTTCTCTTCTTCTGGATAGTATCAACAATATCACACGGGTTTGTACAATTTCCGTGATATTGGGAGTAATAACCTCTCTGCCTTTGAATATTAAGAACAATATCACAGACTGGATGTACACCCCCTGCGATATTGGGAGTCATATCAGCCTCTCCTCTCCATGGATATTAGGAATAATATCCCAGGATGGGTGTACACCTTCTGCTGTATGGGGAGTCATATCGTCCTCTCCCTTCCTGGCTATTAGGAACAATATCACAAGGTGGGTGTACACAGCCTGCGATATTGGGAGTAATATCACCCTCTCCCCCTCCGGATATTAGGAACAATATCACAGAAGGGGTGTACACTTCCTGCGATACTGGGAGTAAAGCATTCTCTTCTTCTGTGAATGTTAGGAGCAATATCACCGAGTGGATGTACACCCACTGCTATATTGGGAGTAACGTCATACTCCACCCCTGGATGTTATATTCGGATCAATATCACCGAGTGGGTGTACACCTACTGCGATATTGAACGTAATATCATGCTCTCTCACTCCCTGGTCATTAGGAACAATATCACACGTGAGTGTACACCCACTGAGATATTAGGCGTAATATTAGTATTAATTATTACTCATTTATTAGTAACATGACTATGAATTACCAATATTAATATTAAGGAATAATTGCTAATAAAGTTATCAGATTATTAATGTTAGTATTAATTATTAGGAGCTACTATTACTGTTTTCTAATGAATAAGGTCAGTATCAGTTATTAATTTCAGGCATTGTTTATCATTAATATTAATCATTTATTGTTTTCTTTAGTATAACTATTTAATATTAATTATCATTATCGGTATTGATTTTAAAAATTATAGTATCAGTTTTTAATATTGATAATTATTAGTATCAATTAATAATTGATATTATTAATTGCGATACGTAATATTGCGACATTCCTCACAATATCGCAGAAAATATACACCCCCCTGTGATGTTGTTCCTGACAGCCAGGGGTAGACGATGAGATTACTCCAAATATCGAACTGAGTGTACATCCCTTCTGTGATGTTGTTGCTAATATCCAGGCGGGGAGAGGACACCTGCGCATCAGCGGGGGGTGCCCATGCCCCTGCGATGTAGCTCCTAATATCCATGGGGAAGGGGGGTAGATATTATTCCCCGCATCACTGTGGATGTCCACCCCCTGCGATGCGGCTCGTAATATCGGGGGTGGGGGGGTGATGTTTCTCCCCGCATCGCGGGGGTCGCCTGCCCCCCTGCGATGTGTATCGTAATATCCAGTGAAGGAGAGGGGGATGATATTACTACCTGCATGGTGGCGGAGTCTATCCGAGGTCGGGATACTATACACCCCCTGGGATATTGGGAGTACAACCCCTGTGATATTGGGAGTAGTATCATTCTCTTCTCCCCCTGAATATTAGGGACAGTATCATGGAGGGGGTGTTCACCCCCTGCCATATTGTGAGTCATGTCATTTTCTCTACCCGTGGACATTAGAAACAATATCACAGGGGTGGTGTACAACCCTGCGAAATTGGGAGATATATCTTCCTCTCCACTTTTAGATACTAGGGACAACATCACAGGGGAGGTCTACATCTTCTGGATAATTGGGATTGATACTGTCCTCTCCCCACCTGGATATTAGCAACAGCATCACAGAAGGGATGTACACCCAGTTCGATACTGGGAAAAATATCACAAGGGCGTGTATTCCCCCTTCCATATTGGGAGTCTTATCATACTTGCCTTCCATATATTAAGAAGAATATCAAAGGGGGGTGGACACTTTGACGATATAGGGAGTAACGTCATTCTCTCTACCCCTGGATATTAGTAGCAATATCACAGGAAGATGTACATTTCTTGTGATATTGAGAGTTGTATTATTGTCTTCCCCGCTGGATATTAAAAACAATACCACAAGGGGTGTCAAACCACCTGCCAAATTTCAGGGAATTTTATCCTCTCCCCCCTGCCCCGGATATTAGAGACAATAACACAGGGATAAAGTACACCCACTGCTTTATTGGGAGAAGTATCATCCTCTCCTCCCTTGGATATTAGGAACAATATCACAGGGGAGGCGTACTGCCTCTGCGATATTGGGAGTACAATTATACTCTCTTACCCTGGATATTAGAAAGGGTATCAGAGGGGGAGGGTGTACATTCCCTGTGATATTCAATGTAATCTTATACTCTCCCTCCCAGGGTATTAAGAACAATATTACGGGAGTGGTGTACACCCTCTGCGATATTGAGAGTCATATCATCCTCTTTCGCTCTGGATATTAGGAACAATGTCACAGGGTTGTGTACACCCCCTGTGATATTGGGAGTAATATCATCCTCTCTCCCTGTGGATATTAGGAAGAGTATCACAGGGCTGTGTACACCCCCTGGGGTACTGGGAGTAATATCATCCTCTCTCCCTCTGGATAGTAGGAAGAGTTTCACAGGGGTGTGTACACCCCCTGCGATATTGGGAGTAATATCATCCGGTCGCCCTGAGGAGAGAAGCCATTTCTCTACTGTCTTCTGTCTCTGAAGAGGAGGAGGAAGTAAAAGTTGAAAAACAACAGGAATGAAGTCAGCGGCAAGACCAGCCGGTGGCACTGAGGAGCCCACCTGAGGTGAAAATATTAACCACCCCCTCCCCCACTCTAAGCACATGTGCTCTCAATCCATCACGACCCTTTCACGTGGAACCCCTTAGAGTTGTAAGCCCTTAAACAGGCCAGGAACTCTGTCTTCCTTCAGGGAGCTTGACTCTTAAGATGCAAGTGTGCCGACGCTCCCAGCCAAATAAAAAAACCTCTTCCTTCTTTATTCCGCTATCTGAGGGGTTTTGTCCGTGGCCAGTCCTGCTCCATTTCTTGGTTCCCTGACCGGGAATTGAACGCAGGCTGCGGTGGCGAGAGTGCCAAATCCTAAGCACTAGACCACCAGGGGAACTTAGAATCTTGTGGGAAATAGATTGCCCACCATTAGAAGTGGGTTGGCCATCAGAAGGAAGCCTGGACAGGTCCCTTGTTTCCAAGGTGTCGCACAAGGTAACTGGTAAAGGATACCTAGACCAGTTCCCATACATAGACACTTGGTGACAGCTGGTGCTAGACCCCCCACAGTGGCTAAGAGGGCAGGCAGCAGCAATACTAGTAGCAAAGGGACAGATAGCTAAGGAAGGATCCCTCTCCACCCACCCAGGGAAATCAACTCCTGACGTTCTGTTTGACGCAATGTCAGAAGATCCATTGCAGGAGATGGCACCAGAGATCCCAGTGGTGCCCCCTCTTACCAGGGAAAGAGGCTCCCCACTCTTGAGCCCACAGTGCTTGCACCTCCGCAAGACAAGCATATCCCTAGGCTACCCAGAGTAGACAAGAGAGGAGGTGAAGATTCAGGAGAAACCCCTCCCTTGGCAGCTCATTTATGACTCAAAACGGGGATACAAATGCCCCTGAGAGAGCAGCGGTATACTGGGATAGATGAGGATGGTCACGTGGTGGAGAGGCGTGTTTTTAGGTACCAGCCCTTCACCTCTGCCGACCTTCTTGACTGGAAAAACAATACCCCATCCTATACCGAAAAGCCACAAGCTCTAATTGACTTGCTCCAAACTGTTATCCAGACCCACAACCCCACCTGGGCTGATTGCCACCAGTTGCTTATGTTCCTCTTTAACAGAGATGAAAGGCAGAGCGTGCTCCAAGCGGCAACTAAGTGGCTAGAGGAACATGCACCAGCTGATTATCAAAACCCGCAAGAGTATGGAAGGACCCAGTTACCAGGAACCGACCGGCAGTGGGACCCACATGAAAGAGAGGATATACAAAGGCTACACGGAGACAGGGAAGCTCTCTTGGAAGGATTAAGGAGGGGAGCTCAGAAGGCTACAAACATTAGCAAGGTCTCTGAGGTCATTCAGGGAAAAGAAGAAAGTCCAGCACAATTCTACGAGAGACTGTGTGAGGCCTATGGTATGTATACTCCCTTTGATCCCGATAGCCCTGAAATCAGCACATGATTAACATGGCTTTAGTCTGTCAAAGTGCAGAAGACATGAGAAGAAAACTGCAGAAACAGGCTGGGCTTGCAGGGATGAATACATCACAATTACTAGAAATAGCTAGCCAGGTGTTTGTAAACAGGGATGCAGTAAGCCGTAAGGAAAACGGCAAAGAGAATGGAGGTCAGGCCCGGTGAAATGCTGACCTGTTTGTTAGCTGCAGCAATCAGAGGGGCCCCCCCAAAGAGGCAAGGGAAGGGGGGCCCTGGGAAAGAAACTCAGCTTGACTGTCAGAGTTTGCAGCATAACCAGTGTGCTTATTGTAAAGAAATAGGACAGTGGAAGAACAAATGCCCTCAGCTCAAAAGAAAACAAGGTGACTCCAAGCAGGAGGCCCCAGACAAGGAAGAAGGGGCCCTACTCAACCTGGCAGAAGGGTTATTGGGCTCAAGCATCCCCAAAGAGCCTCTGGTCAGAATGACAGTTGGGGGAAGAGACATTGATTTTCTTGTAGATAGCGGTGCTGAACATTCGCTAGTAACCGCCCCGGTCGCCCCCTTATCCAAAAAGACTATTGACATCATCGGAGCCACAGGAGTTTCAGCAAAGCAAGCTTCCTGCTTGCCTCGGACTTGTACTGTAGGAGGACATAAAGTCATTCATCAGTTTTGGTACATGCCTGACTGTCCCTTGCCCTTGTTGGGAAGGGACTTGCTTAGCAAGCTGAGAGCCACTATCTCTTTGACAGAGCACGGCTCTTTCCTACTAAAGTTACCCAGAACGGGAGTCATTATGACGCTTATGGTCCCCCAAGAGAAGGAATGGAGACTTTTCTTAACTGAGCCAGGCCAAGAGAGAAGACCAGCTCTGAGTAAGCAGTGGCCAAGAGTATGGGCAGAAGACAACCCTCTGGGATTGGCAGTCAACCAAGCCCCTGTACTCATAGAAGTTAAGCCTGGGGCCCAGCTGGTTAGGCAAAAACAGGACCCGGTCCCCAGAGAAGCTCTTCAAGGTATCCAGGTCCGTCTCAAGCACCTAAGAACTTTTGGAATGATTGTTCCTTGTCAGTCTCCATGGAACACTCCCCTCCTGCCTGTTCCCAAGCCACGGACCAAGGACTACCGGCCGGTACAGGATTCGCGCTTGCTTAATCAAGCTACACTGACTTTACATCCAACAGTACCTAACCAGTCCACATTGTTGGGGTTGCTGCCAGCTGAGGACACCTTGGACCTGAAAGACGCTTTCTTTCCTATCAGATTAGCCCCTGAGAGGCAGAAGCTGTTTGCCTTTCAGTGGGAAGATCCAGAGTTAGGTGTCTCTACTCAGCACACTTGGACCGGGCTTCCCCAAGGGTTCAAGAACTCCCCCACCATCTTCGGGGAGGCATTGGCTCGAGACCTCCAGAAGTTTCCCACCAGAGACCTAGGCTGCGTGTTGCTCCAGTAGGTTGATGATCTTTTGCTGGGACACCCCACGGCAGTCGGGTGCGCCAAGGGAACAGATGCCCTACACCAGCACCTGGAGGTCTGCGGGTATAAGGTGTCCAAGAAAAAAAGCTCAGATCTGCCGACAGCAGGTACGTTACTTGGGATTTACTATCCAACAGGGGGAACACAGCCTGGGATCAGAAAGAAAGCAGGTCATTTGCAATCTAGCAGAGCCTAAGAGCAGTAGGCAGGTGAGAGAATTCTTAGGAGCTGTGGGGTTTTGTAGACTGTGGATCCCAAACTTTGCAGTATTAGCCAAGACTTTGTAAGAGGTCACAGAGGGGGTGGGGACTGGGAATCTTTAGAATGGGGATCCCAACAACAGCAAGTCTTTCATGAGTTAAAGGAAAAACTTATGTCAGCCCCAGCCCTGGGGCTACCCAATCTGACAAAGCCTTTTACATTGTATGTGTCAGAGAGAGAAAAGATGGCAGGTGGACTTTTAACCCAAACTGTGGGGCCCTGGCTGAGGCCGGTGGCCTAGCGCTCTAAACAACTAGATGGGGTTTCTAAAGGATGGCCCCCCTGTTTGAAGACCTTGGCAGCAACTGCCCTACTAGTACAAAAAGCAAATAAGCTGACTCTTGGGCAAAACCTGAACATAAAGGCTTCCCATGCTGTGGTGACTTTAATGAATACTAAAGGACATCATTGGCTAACGAATACTAGACTTACCAAGTACCAAAGTTTGCTCTGTGAAAATCCCCGTATAACCATTGAAGTTTGTAACACCCTACACCCCGCCACCTTGGTCCCGGTATCACAGAGCCCTGTTGAGCATGATTGTGTAGAAGTGTTGGACTCAATTGACTCTAGCAGACCTGACCTCCAGGACCAGCCTTGGGCATCAGTAGACTGGAAACTATACGTGGATGGGAGCAGCTTCTTCAACCCACAAGGAGAGAGATGCGCAGGGTATTCAGTGGTAACCCTGAAGCCAGATGGTTGCCCCAGGGCACTTCAGCCCAGAAAGCTGAACTCATTGCTTTCATTCGGGCCTTAGAACTCAGTGAGGCTGAGACTGTCAACATTTACACTGATTCTCGGTTTGCCTTTTTAACCCTTCAAGTGCATGGAGCATGATAGAAAGAAAAGGGCCTATTGAACTCTGGGGGAAAAGACAGAAAATATCAACAAGAAATCTTGCAATTATTAGAAGCAGTATGGAAACCCCACAAGGTGGCAGTTATGCATTGCAGAGGACACCAGCGAGCTTCCACCTTGCTGGGTTTGGGGAATTCCCGCACTGACTCAGAGGCTCAAAAAGCAGCATCTGCCCCTTTCCAGGCATCAGTCACAGCTCCTCTGCTCCCTCAAGCACCTGATCTTGGACCTACTTCTTCTAAAGAATAAAAGGACTTTCTCCAGGTAGAGGGAAGGACAAGTGATGGAGGAAGGATGGATTCGGTTACCAGATGGGAGAGTAGCTGTGCCACAGCTGCGAGGAGCTGCAGTTGTAGTGGCTGTGCATGAAACCACCCATCAATGTCAGGAGTCACTGGAAAAGTTGTTAGGCCAGTATTTCTACATCTCGCATTTGTCAGCCCTCGCCAAAACGGTGACACAGCGGTGTGTTACCTGCCGACAGCATAATGCGAGGCAAGGTCCAGCCATTCCACCCAGCATACCAGCTTATGGAGCAGCCCCCTTTGAAGATCTCCAGGTAGACTTCACAGAGATGACAAAGTGTGGAGGTAACAAGTATTTACTAGTTCTTGCACATACCTACTCTGGGTGGGTGGAGGCCTATCCAACACGAACTGAGAAAGCTCGTGAAGTAACTCCTGTGCTTCTTCGAGATCTGATTCCGAGATTTCGACTGGCCTTATGAATTGGCTCAGATAACGGGCCTGCATTTTTGGCTGCCTTGGTACAGAAGACGGCAAAGGTATTGGGGATCACACAGAAACTGCATGCCGCCTCCCGGCCTCAGAGTTCCAGAAAGGTGGAGCGGATGAATCAGACTATCAAAAAGAGTATTATTGTCTTCCCCGCTGGATATTAACAACACCACAAGGGGCGTCAAACCATCTGTTAAATTTGAGGGAATGTTATCCTCTCCCCCTGTCCCCCGGCCCCGGATATTAGAGACAATAACACAGGGGTAATGTATACCCACTGTTTTGTTGGGAGTAACATCATCCTCTCCTTTCTTGGATGTTAGGAACAATATCACACTGTGCATGTACGCCTGTCATGAAATTCAATGGAATGTCATCCTGTGCCTCCCTGGATATGATGAACAATATCACGGGGGAAGTACAACTTCTGAGATATTGGGAGTGATCTCATCCTCTCCCCTCCGGGAGTTAGGGACAATATCACAGGGGTAGTGCACACCCTCTGGGATGTTGGGACTAATATCAACCTCCCGCCCCCTGGATATTAAAAACCGTATCACAAGGGGTGTGTACACACACTTCGATATTGGTATTAATACCATCTTCTCCCTCTTTGGATATTCGGTGCCATATTTCAGGTGGGGTATACACCACCTGCAATATTGGAAGTAATATGATTTTCTCCACCCCTTGATATCAGAAACAATATCACAGGGGGTGTGAACAACCCCTGCAATATTTGGAGTAATATCATCGTCTCCCCTCGTGAATAGTAACAATATCACAGGTGGGTGGTATACACCCCCTTTGATATTTGATATCATCCTCTTCCCCCTTGGATATTAAGAACAATATCAGGGGATGTACAGACCCTGCGACATTTGCTGTCATATAATTGTCTCTCCCTTAGATATTAGGAAAAAATGTCACTGGGGATGTGAACATCCCTGCGATATTGGGAGTAGTATCATCCTCTCCCCCCTTGCATATTAGAAACAATATCACAGGTGAGGTGTACTGCCTCTGTGATATTGGGATTACAATTATCCTCTCTTCCCCTGGATATTAGGAAGCGTATCAGAGGGGGAGGGTGTACATTCCCTGCGATATTCAATGTCACCTTATCCTCTCCCTCCCAGGGTGTTCAGAACAATAGGACAGGAGGGGTGTACACACCCTGCGAAATTGAGAGTCATATCATCCTCTTTCGCTCTGGATATTAGGAACAATGTCACAGGGTTGTGTACACCCCCTGCGATATTAGGAGTAATATCATCCTCTCTCCCTGTGGATATTAGGAAGAGTATCACAGGGCTGTGTAAACCCCCTGTGGTACTGGGAGTAATATCATCCTCTCTCCCTCTGGGTATTAGGAAGATTTTAACAGGGTGTGTACACCCCCTGCGATATTGGGAGTAATATCATCCTCTCCACCCAGGAAATGACTAACAAGGTCACGGGGGAGTGTACTCCCCCTGCGATATTGGGAGTAATGTCATCCTCCCCAAACCTGGATGTTAGCAACAAGATCACAGAGGGGGTGTACACACCCTGCGACATTGGAAGTAATATGATCCTCTCCCCACCTGGATATGGGGAAAAATATCACAGTGCGGGTATACATTTCTTATGCTGTTGGGAGTAATATTCTTTTCCTTTCTGGATATTAGGAAGAACATCACAGGGTTGCTGTACAATTACTTCGATATTAGGAGTAATATCATCCTCTCCCCATTGGAACATTAGGAACAATATCCCGGGGGGTGTCCACCCTCTGTGATATTGGGGGTAATATCATCTTCTATTTCCCTGGATATTGGGCACAATATCACAAAAGGTGTACAACCCCTGCGATATTGGGAGTAATATCATACTCTCCTTCCCTGGATATTAGAAAACAGTATCGTCAGGGCTGAATCCCCCCTGCGATAATGGGAGTAATATTTTCTCTTTCACAGGCCATTAGGAACAATATCACAGCGGGTGTTTACACACTCTGCGATATTGGAGGTAACATCGTCCTCTGACAAACAGAATATTACCAACAATATCAAACAGGGGTGGTGTACACCCCCTGTGATATTGGGAGTAATATCATTCTCTCCACCTCCGGAGAGGTTTAAAAAGATAACCTCAGGCTAAAACAACTGACTGATTCAAATGTTGATGTGCCCATCCCTGAGCTGGGTGCAAATTATTTAACTTCCTTTGGCCTTTTGTTATCTGTAAAAAGGGAAGATTAATATCCAACTTTTAATTTTATGTGAGATTAAATGAAATAATGCTGGTAAAGCACTTAATGTTTTAAGTGGCTGGTACTCAAAACAATGTTAGTTCTTTCAACAAAAAACACCATGAAGAGCCAGGCACGGTGGCTCATGCCTGTAATCACGGCACTTTGGGAGGCCGAGGCAGATCACCGGAGGTCAGGAGTTCAAGACCAACCTGGCTAACACAGTGAAACCCCATTTCTATTAAAAATACAAAAAATTAGCCGGGTGTGGTGGCATGCACCTCTAATCCCAGCTACTCGGGAGTCTGAGGCAGGAGAGTCACTTGAACCCGGGAGGTGGAGGTTGCAGTGAGCTGAGATTGTGCCATTGCACTCCAACTTGGGCAACAAGAGTGAAAAAACAAAAAACAAAACAAAACAAAAAAATTAATAGGCACACCACAGATTGGAAAAAAAAAATTACAGCATATTCATCTGAAAAAGAAAAGCCAGGTGTGGTGGCTTATACCCATAATCCCAGCACTTTGGGAGACCAAGTCAGGAAGATTGAGCCCAGGAATTCAAGACCAGGACAGACAACATAGCAAGACCTCACCTCATCTCTACTGGAAAAAAAAAAAACTAGCCAGACACAGTGGCTTGTGACTGTAGTCCCAGCTACTGGGGAGGCTGAGGCATGAGGATCACTTGAGCACAGGAGGTTGAGGCTGCAGTGAGCTATAATTACACCATTGCACTCTAGCCTAAATGAACAGGGCAAGACCCTGTCTCAAAAAAAAAAAAAAAAAGTTGGAGGGAATCCATATCCTCAATATATAAAGAATTGTCACAACTCAACAATAAAAATCACCACCTCATTTAAAACATGGGCACAAAACTTGGACAGACTCTTCAGAAAAGAGGATATACAGATGGTTAAAGGCATATGAAAAGGTGCTCAACATCATTATTCATCCAGGAAATGCATATAAAGCAACAGTGAGACATCATTTCACACTCAATAGGATGACTAAAATCAAGAAAGACTGATAACACTAAACATCAGCAATGAAGCAGAGCAACTGGAACTCTCAGACCTGGGTGGTAGGAGTATAAAGAGGTGCAATTGCTTTGAAAACCAGCCTGGCACTTCCATCAGTTTAAACACACATTAAGCCTATAAACCAGAAATTACACTCCTTGTATTTATCCAAGAAAATTAAAAGTTATAACCTCAAGAACACTTGTCCATGAATGTTTGTAGCAGCCTTATTTTTAGTAGCCCCAAAGTAGAAACAACCCAAATGCCCTTCAACAGAGAAAAGATGAACAAATAGCAGCATGTTCCTACAGTGAAATACTACTTAGTCATAATAAGAAAACAACTATCGGTACTTGCAACATGATGACTCTCCAAACCATTACGTTGAGTGAAAGAAACTAGACACAAAAAGGACATTGCAGATGAAGCACAAGAAAGGCCACATTAACCTTTGGTGCTTTTGGTAACAAGAAGGATTGATTGGAAAGAGGCACGAGAGAACTTTCTGGGATCAGGAAAATGTTCTATCCTGTTTTCGTTGGTGGTTACATGGGTGTATATAATTTCCAAAATTCGTAGAACTGAACATTTAAGATCTGTGCATATTGTTGTGTTAAATGATTCATCGACGGCCAGGTGCGGTGACTCACGCCTGTAACCCCAGCACTTTGGGAGGCCGAGGTGGGCAGATCACCCGAGGTCCAGAGGTTGAGACCAGCCTGACCAACATGGAGAAACCCCACCTCTACTAAAAATACAAAATTAGCTGGGCATGGTGGTGCAGGCCTGTAATCCCAGCTACTCAGGAGGCTGAGGCAGGAGAATCGCTTGAACCCAGGAGGCGGAGGTTGTGGTGAGCTGAGATCGTGCCATTGCACTGCAACCTGGGCAACAAGCAAAACTACGTCTCAAAAAAATAAATAAATAAATAAATAATACATTGCTGTAAAATAACTTATGTTACTTATTATCTTATCATGATTACAACAAATCATCAGCAAAGCCATAGGCCTCATGGAGAATGGGAACAGGACCTGCAGCTGTTCAGGATACATCAGTAGCTCTCTGACTCCAATATTTTGTGGTCCCATCAGAACTGAGCATCTGCCGTTCCCTCATCTAGTGACTCTGTTCTCATGACTCAGATTCTCTCTCGACTCTCCAATTATTTCTCCTGCTGCCTCTCTCATTACTTCTCTTGGTTCCCATTGTAATTTTTCCTATGCTTCTCTCTCACCCCCAGAGAGAATAAGATTTGGTGAGTTAATTAGCATTCCCTGACTATTGGTCTGATGTCTCATATCCTGCCATCTCAAAAGCCTCCACTGTCCTCGCTTATAACATCTAGAGGTGCCTTTGTTAGAACTCCATTTCTGGTCCAGTCTGTATGGCCAGGGTGGCAGGGTCTCATGACACACTTCATGGCAATTTGGGTGGAAGGCAGGAACTCCAGGGGCTGTGAGGGTGGTTGAGCCCTTGAAGGTTCCTGAGTCATTGTGATGACCATGTTCAGTCATGGGGAAACAGTGCCCCTCAGCTCCCCAGTGTCTGAGTCTCCTGCCCTGGTTTTGGGGCACACATCGCTGTAGCAGGAAGGATCCAAACGTGTGTGTTTTACACCCATAATACTGCTTTAATATCTTGCCCTGATAAGGTCGCGATGTTACCAGGGCTGTCTTGTCAAATACATGCTTAACGTCAACTCTTAACTCGTCAAAGAAACCCAGAAAAACCTGTTGATCAAACAAAGCTAAGGGAGAACATCACCTTGACAAAGTCTTCATAATGTCTCATCACGGGAAAGTACAGAGAGATGTTTTCGGGTTTTTAGGACCAGCGTTGAGGATTTTCAGGCAGGTCTTGCAAGGTGGGGAACTGGTCAGAATGAGGTAGAGTTTATGACATAATAGCTTTGCGTGGTGGCTCCATGAGACGAGGGTCCTGAGGGATCTGTCGATGGGCAAGCTGCTGGTTGGTTCATACTCCTGTCTTCCGGGGCTATTAGTTTCCTGGAGCAAGCAACTCACATATTTTTGCCTGTTCCCAGCACTGGTTAATACAGGGAGAGGCAACTGTGTTTTTAGCTTTTATTGATTTGGTTGTAAAATGTTAAAGCTATTTCTCACATATTCTACTTGAATCTCCCACCTTCAAATCCATCAGTTACAAACAAGGTTTTGGTGTGCGTTGCAGTCATGGGAGACCTTGGGTAGAGAGCAGGTTGTGACAGGGTGGCTATGGTTTTTAAATTCCTACGAGACAGTAGGGGGCTTATGTTTTACCCATTGTTTTTCTTCAATTACTTTATGATCCGGAGCACTCTTCAATTTTCCTCATCTGTAAAATAAGGAAAATTAATGTATCTACTTCATGGAATTGTGGTGAGGATTAAATGACTTACCTAAGTGTGGAGAACCTGGAAAGTATTACTATTATTATTATTTCCCAATTTCTCCACCCTGGACACTGCAGCAGTCTGTCTGCCATGAAGCTGTCTTGGTAAGTCCTGCTGTGGCACTTGCCTAGGTCTTTTCCTGCCCCCTCATCTTTTGCCCTCAGTAACCACATGCACCAGTATGGCCATAGTGGTTATTTAAAATATTGAGAAACTTCTCTTTAGGTGTGCAAGCCCCTCAAGTGTCCTCTACCACTGTCACCACCACTGCTCCCTGGAACATTCCATTTTCTCTGTCAGGCAACTAAAGGTTAAACATCTCTTCTGCATTTACACAAGGGGCCTCCAAGCCCCTGCTCAGCACCATTCTCTCTCTGCTCCCTGCCTCTGTTCATGGTTCCTGCCCCCCCCACATGCTTTTTGCGCCTCCTTCTCTCAATATTCACCTGTCCAGATAATAGCGTGCAGATTTGTTGTTGTTGTTGTTGTTGTTGTTGAGACAGAGTCTCGCTCTGTCACCCAGGCTGCAGTGCAGTGGCACCATCACAGCTCACTGCAGCCTCGACTTCCTGGGCTCAAGTGACCCTCCCACCTCAGCCTTCTGAGTAGCTGGGACTACAGGCACACACTACCATGCTTGGCTAATTTTTGTATTTTTTGTAGAGATGGGGTTTCACCATGTTGCCCAGGCTGGTCTCCAACTCCTAGGCTTAAGCAATCCACCCACCTCAGGCTCCCAAAGTGCTGGGATCACAGGCTTGAGCCACTGTGTGTGGCCAATGTGCAGCTTTTAAAAAACATGTTGCTACAAGCCATGGGGCTATATACAGGTGTGTACAGTTACAAGTGAAGACTCTCAGTAGGTTCCTCACTTGAGTTTGATTCCATTTAGGAATCATTTACTGAACCCGGCATTGTGCTGAGCTGGGGGCTACCAAACAAGGAACTCTCCTCAAACCCTCAGCTAGAAAATGTCCTCAGCTGGTTCAGACTAAGGCTACATTAGCCCAAAGGCTGAGGGTCCAATATGTCAGCTCAGCCTCTGGAGTTGAGCCGACTACCTGGCCACAAACCCTCTGCCTGTTCCTACAGAAGTTGGTGACAACCTTAGGCTTGCTCTAATGTAGTTCTCCTGGTACCAGCCACTACCAGACTAAAGCCCTTTTCTCTCCCACTAGCAGTCTTCTCTGCTTTACACCCAGATGCTCAGTTTCTCCTGCTATGCTCAGTATCAGAGGCAGTTCGTTTCCATTGGAAGGAATAAAGTGACATTCCTGGTTCACCTCCTGACTGCTAGAGGTAGGTGCCACACGTGTAACCACATACATCATATCCCACATTCAGACCAAGCAAGCCCAAGGAGGGATGGGGTGGGGGGCATTCGCCACAGGCCTCCCTCTTTCAACTCCCCCACTGTTTCAAATGTCAGTGGCAGAAGTTCTGCCGGCTCAGGAGTGGGAGGAGGCACAGTGTGCGTGTGGAGGAACAGATGGCTGCAGGGGGTTGGGGCTGAGCCATTCTCCACCCCGCTGCCCGGCTTGTCCTGGCAAGTTCGTTCACTGATGGAGCACAGCCTGAGTGTTCACAGCCCCTGCCCCGTCTCCCCAACTCTGCTCTCTCTCACTGCTGTTCATCCTCCTTGGAAGCCAGAGTCCTTCTCTCCTTCCACAAGGAATCCTGTCACACTCTGCTTCACAGCCTTTGTTGACTTGCTTGGCTACAGGATAAAATGCCAACTCGGTACCTTGGCCCAGGTCAACTCCCATGTGCTACTAAAACACAGGGTGCTCCTGCCATTCCTAAAGGGATCACACTCTCTAGACCCTACCCCAGGGCACAGGCTATTATTTCCACCCGGAATTCTTAGAACCTTCCCTCACACCCTTCCCACCTGCTAAACTCCTATTCACCCTTCAAAACCCACTCCAATATTGCTTCCTCTGGAAAGCTTTCCCCAAGGCCTCTGTGGAAAAAGAGTTGTTCCCACCTCAGGGTCCCCTCAGCACTAGGTTCATACATCTAAATCAGCATATTACAGGTCTTACTATAATTTATCTGTTTACATGTCTCTCTCCCCAACTAGTTCACAAGACCCTCAAGTACATAATGCTTGTCTTAAGTTGATGCTCAATGTATTTAGTGAATAAATGAATGAAAAGTCAAATACACACTACTTATAGATTCTTCTTAAGCTTTAGTATGCTTCTCAGGGTTATCAATGTTATCGAGCCTCTGCCTTTCCCTCCCCATTCACCCCTCCTATGGCTTAGGGATTATGGGAAAAGGGAAATTATAATGACTGTGAAGTGGAGCACCCCTGTCTCTAGAACCACGTCCCTGCCCATTTTGATATTCTCTCCTCTCTTGGAGGACCCTCTTCCCTGCCAGATTCTCAGGTAGAGAGCAAAGCAAAATACCAACTAGTGTGTGCCTGTGGCTGAGTCATTTAACATTTCTAGACTGCAGTGTCTCATCTGAGAAATTGGAGATTAGAACCAGGTGACGTCAAAGGCTCTTTGTAGTTCTGACAAGCTATAAGTCATGAAGAAAGTCGTTGGAATTTTAGGCATCCCCAAAACTAGAGAATAGAAATGTGCACAGGGCCTCTTCAGTGTTCGCATAATATAAATCTGTTTATCCATGAATAAGGCCGACCCTGGCAGTGGCTTCTTTCTTTCCTGACACATCATTCCCACCACTTCTTGTTCAAAGCCACCTCCTGAATTGTCAGCTGGGCACCTTGGGAGACTTTGTTTTTGGCTTATTAATGTTGATGGAACAGCATTTTCAACAGCTACAACCAGTATAATCCAAACTTTCCATATTAAAAAAAAATTTATTTTTTATTTTTTATATTTTTATATTTTTATTTTTTCATATTTTATATTTATTTTTTTCCCACCACCAGTCACCCCAGACTATTTGCAGAGATAGAGAGGCCTGGGCACTTGTGTTTTGTTGGGGACTCTTTGAACAACCTGTGCAGGTAGTATACTGCACAACTCTAGGGGGCTCCCTTCATACTGAAGTCATTGTAGATTTGCACGTGCATTAGGATACGTTTTTTTGCAGATGGCAGCAAAGTATCTGAGGAAAAGTTGCTTTTTCTCACCTGCACAAAGGTACTTAGGAGGTTAGCTCCAGTGCTAACTTTTTTTCAAAAGGAAACTATGCCAGGCCGGGCAAGGTGGCTCACGCCTGTAATCCCAGCACTTTCAGAGGCCAAGGCGGGTGGATCACTTGAGGTCAAGAGTTCGAGACGAATACGAAATACAAAATATTAGCCCAGTGTGGCGGCATGCCCCTATAGTCCCAGCTACTTGGGAGGCTGAGGCAGGAGAATTGCTTGAACCCGGGAGGTGGAGGTTGCAGTGAGCTGAGATCGTGCCACTGCACTCCAGCATGGGCAACAGAGCAAGACTCCATCTCAAAAAAAAAAAAAAGAAAAGAAAAGAAGAAAGAAACCTATGCCAAAATAGCATTATGCAAATTGTGGTAGACATCAATGTTTCCATGTTACAAATCAATATTTTTAATATTGTGGTAAAAAAATATATCTCACATAAAATTTACCCTTTTAGGCTTTTCTTTTTTTTCTTTTTTCTTTCTTTTTTTTCTTTTTTTTTTTTTTTTGGAGACCAAATTTTGCTCTTGTTGCCCAGGCTGGAGTACAATGTCGCGATCTTGGCTCACTGCAACCTCCGCCTCCCAGGATCAAATGATTCTCCTGCCTCAGCCTCCTGAGTAGTGGGGATTACGGGCATGCACGGCCACACCTGGCTAATTTTGTATTTTTAGTAGAGACAGGGTTTCACCATGTTGGTCAGGCTGGTCTCGAACTCCTGACCTCAGATGATCCGCTGTCTTGGCCTCCCAAAGTGCTGGGATTACAGGCGTGAGCCACTGCACCCGGCCTCCTTTTAGCCATTTTTAAGTATATAGTCTAGAAACATTAAATACATTTACATTGTTGTGCAACCGATCTTTAGAACCCTTTTCATCTGTCCAAACTGAAACTCTATACACATTAAGTCATAACACCCCACTCTCCCTTCTACCCAGTCCCTGACAACCACCATTCTACTTTCTGTCTCTATGAATATGGTTCTTTTTTTTTTTTTTTTTTTTTTTTTTTTGAGACGGAGTCTCGCTCTGTCGCCCAGGCTGGAGTGCAGTGGCGGGATCTCGGCTCACTGCAAGCTCCGCCTCCCGGGTTCACGCCATTCTCCTGCCTCAGCCTCCCAAGTAGCTGGGACTACAGGCGCCCGCCACTACGCCCGGCTAATTTTTTTTGTATTTTTAGTAGAGACGGGGTTTCACCGTTTTTAGCCGGGATGGTCTTGATCTCCTGACCTCGTGATCCGCCCGCCTCGGCCTCCCAAAGTGCTGGGATTACAGGCGTGAGCCACGGCGCCCGGCCTGAATATGATTCTTGTAGGTAACTCAGATAAGTGAAATCATACAGTATTTGTCTTTTTGTGACTGGCTTATTTCACTCAGCAATGACCTCAAGGTTCACCTATGTTGCATTATGTGTCAGAATTTCCTTCCTTTTTAAGGCTGAATAATATTCCATTGTGTGTATAGACCATATTTTGTTTATCCATTCATCTGCTGATGAACACTTGAGTTGCTTCTACCCTTTGGCTCCTGTGAATAATGTTGGTATGAATGTGGGTGTACAAATAAACATTTTTAACACATCAAAAATATTTCATGATGAATATTTGGCCCTTTCAGAGTATCCCTGGGATGGCTCCTATAACTTTATTTTCTTTTGAGGGTATGAGGCCAGGGCCACGTGGGCCTGCTGCTCCCAGCCCAGACTGCCATAGGCTCTTTTTATATGATTCTTCTAGCTGGCCTTCCTAGCATAATTGGCAATCAGATAGATTTTAAGAGCCCTCCTCTGTACAACAAAATTATTTTTAGAAATAATCATGAAATGGGCCGGGCACAGTGGCTGACGCCTGTAATCCCAGCACTTTGGGAGACCGAGGTGGGTGGATCACCTGAAGTCAGGAGTTTGAGAGCAGCCTGACCAACATGGCAAAACCCCATCTCTACTAAAAATATAAAAATTAGCCAGGCATGGTGGAAGGTGCCTGTAATCCCAGCTATGTGGGAAGCTGAGGCATGAGAATCACTTGAATCCAGAAGGTGGAAGTTGCATTGAGCCGAGATCGCGCCATTGCATTCCAGCCTGGGCAACAAGAGCAAAACTCTGTCTCAAAAAAAGAAAAAAAAGAAAGAATCATGAAATGAAGTGAATAATAATGATAGTCTAAAAAGAAATGCAGACAGTGATCATTTTCTTTTATTGAACTTTGTCTATATTGAGAACTAAAACTGTCTACAGTCATACAGCTTACTGTCTGCATTAACATCACTACTCATCCAGAATATTCTTGATCAAGAAGATAAATTGAATTTCCTGAAATAGCAGTTTCTCTAAATAGGCTATCAATTTGCTCTCCGCGGGATGTCTTAGTCTGTTCCAGCTGCTATAACAAAATACCATAGACTGGGTGGCTTAAACAACAGATTTTCTTCTTCTCACAGCTCTGGATGATGAGAAGTTCAAGATCAAGGTGCTAGTAGATTTGGTTCTCTGCTGCCTTCTCATTGTGTCTTCACATGGCCTTTCTTCGGTGCGTGTACATGGAGAGAAAGCTCTGGTGTGTAGTACTCTTCTGATAAGGACACTATCCATGATGGGGGCTCCACCCACATCACCTCATCTAAACCTAATTACATCCAAGGGCCCCACCTCCAGATACACTTGACCCTTGAACAACATAGGTTTGAACTGGGCAGGTCCATATATACATAGATTTTCCTCCACCTCTACCTGAAACAGCAAGACCAACCACCCCCTTTTTCCATCTCCTGAGTTTACTTGATGTGAAGACCACAAGAATAAGACCTTTATGATGAACCACTTCCATTTATTTATTTATTTATTTATTTATTTATTTATTTATTAACACAGTCTCACTCTATCGCCCAGGCTGGAGTGCACTAGCGCCATCTCGGCTCACTGCAATCTCTGCCTCCTGGGTTCAAGCCATTCTCCTGCCTCAGCCTCCCGAGTAGCTGGGATTACAGGTGCATGCCACCACACCTGGCTAATTTTTGTATTTTTAGTACAGACGGGGTTTCACCACATTGGTCAGGCTGGCCTCCAACTCCTGACCTCGTGATTCACCCACCTCAGCTTCCCAAAGTGCTGGGATTACAGGTGTGAGCCACCGCACCTGGCCCCACTTCCATTTAATGAATGGTAAATATTTTTGTCTTCGTTATGATTTTCTTCTTCTTCTTCTTCTTTTTAATGTTTTATAGAGACAAAGCCTCACTATGTTGCCCAGGCTGGTCTTGGACTCCTGAGCTCAAGTGATCCTCCCATCTCAGTCTCCCAAAGTGTTGGGATTACAGGCATGACCGACTACACCTGGACCCTTATGATTTTCTTAATAATATTTTATTTTCTCTAGGTTACTTTATTGTTAAGAATACAGGATATGGTACACATAACACACAAAGTGTGTGTTAATTGACTATGTTATTGGTAAAGCTTCTGGTTAACAGTAGGCTACTAGTAGTTAAGTTTTCGGGGAATCGAAAGTTACACACAGTTTTTTTTTTTACTTTGTGGGGGATCAGTGCACCTAACTCTTGCATTGTTCAAGGGTCAACTGTACCATGACATTGAGGACTAGGACTCTAACATATGAAATTGGGGGGACATAAACATTCAGCACATAACACAGGTAAATAGCATCTTCTCAAAGCAATAGCAAGCTCAACTGAAATTATCAAATGATTGTTTACTGTTTGAAGACTCATTTCAAAAGCCTATCCTCTCTGTATTCACCAATACTAAACTATTATGAACTTTGTCCCATCTCAGTCAAGCCTGACATTGAAAGACCCACCTTAAACATAGACCCCAGAAACCTCATAAATATCCCCACCTCTGGCTTCCCTGCTATTAAGATTTCATCAAGATCG
The DNA here is from genome assembly GCF_000001405.40 of Homo sapiens. Taxonomy (NCBI): domain Eukaryota; kingdom Metazoa; phylum Chordata; class Mammalia; order Primates; family Hominidae; genus Homo; species Homo sapiens. The sequence goes on from NC_000002.12 coordinate 158,898,782, forward strand.
TAACCTCCACAGCAGCCAACAATATAATCGAGTCAATTTTTAAATTTTTTAATAAAAAAGTATACAGGACAAAAAGGGAAACATGTAATGGATTGATACCTTTAAAACACAATCATGTAAAAAAAAAAAAAAAAAAAAGGCAAGCCAGGCATTGTGGCTCACAGAGGTAATCCCATCACTTTAGGAGGTCGAGATGGAAGAATCACTTGAGCCCAGGAGTTGGAGAACAACCTGGGCAACATAGTGAGACCCCATCTCTAAAAAAAAAAAAAAATAGCTGGGTGTGGTGGTATGCCTCTGTAGTCCCAGCTACTCAGGAGGCTGAGGTGAAAGGATCACTTGAGCCCAGGAGGTCAAGGCTTCAGTGAGCAGTGATTACACCACTGCCTCCAGCCTGGGCAACAAAGCAAGACTCTGTCTCAAAAATAAAAAAAAAGAAGGCAAACACATACGTACATTTGGTCTGTTGCACTAATGAATAGGATTATGGTTTCTATTTTCAAGCCTTCTACAAATTTGTCAAGAACTGTGAAAATCAAACTTCTTCATTCATATTAAACAAATAATATTTTAATTACTTTAATTTTGAAAAGCACAAATAGTTAAGAAAAACACAAATAGTTAAGAAACACAAATAGTTAAGAAAAAACTTAAGCATCAAGGTGAGATTGATTCATAAAAATTCCATGTCAAAGTCAATCTGAGATTGTAATACAGTCCATGTAATTTCTTGAGGATGAATTATAGCAGTTTTCAAACATCTCTGCAGTGAAAAAAAAATTCCCTCAAGTATCCTCACCAGGAAATTCATGATAAATTTCTTCTGCATTTAGTTAAAACTTCTCAAGTTATTCTTTTGCAAAAATCAGAGAAAGTGGCTGAGTGATAGTAAATGTTCATCGTATTTGATCCTTTATTTTAGAATGAATGTCCAGTTCTTGCTGAAAATAACTCAGGCATTCAAAATTGTCTTTTTGATTTCTTCTGGCCATGTAAGGCCTGCATCTTTTGTTGTTTCTCCTGACATTTTTCTTTGAAATGTCCATTTCCTTATATTTTGTTTTTGCAGAGTTAATGGTCTTCTTGAAGTCTATGTACCCATCTGCAGTAAACAATTTCACTGTACACTGTTCTAGGTTGATTCTGGCTGTTTGTTAATATGTTTGTGAAGTCACGTAGAATGACAGAATTAAAGTTACCCAAGCTCTGTTTCTTTGTCTTTACTATCACTGTATTATCACTGATCATTTCAAATGTACACTTTAGACTCAGAAATACATGGTAGAACTGTGCCCAATCTGAGGTCTGATAGTTACAATTTATCATGAACTTACTCCTGAAACAAATGCTTGTAGCTGCATATGTCATAGGCCAACTGCGTAACTGGAAATTCTCCAAATTGACTTCCATGACGTAGAACAGAATGTTTGTGAAAGGATATATAATGAAAACGTGCTAATTGGAAGCATACATAGTTAAAAATGGAAAGAAAGCAAAGTCCTTGTTTAGAACTTAAATGAAAAATGTTCAGGGAGAATTAGTTTATCATTGCTGTTTAGAATCACTGTTTGATGGTGATAATAAAGCACAGGCCACCTTTTAGTTAGTTTTACTATTGTTTTTCAGTTTCCTTCAGGTAATGCCCACCTTAGTGCCTGCACAGGGAGGATGCTCCCATGGGCCTGCCCCCAGTCCCCCACCTCCTGAGGTCGCCCAGGAGGGAGACTCGGGTAAGACTGCAGCCACCCCTGCAGCAGGACTTCTTCCTTGTCCAGACCATCCCGGCCGGGCACGGTGGCTCGTGCCTGTAATCCCAGCACTTTGGGAGGCCGAGGTGGGCAGATCACTTGAGGTCAGAAGTTTCAGACCAGCCTGGCCTGGCCAACATGGTGAAACTGAAATACAAAAATTAGCTGGGCGTGATGGGGACAGCACCAGCCTGTAATCCCAGCTGCTCAGGAGGCTGAGGCACAAAGCTCGCTTGAACCCAGGAAGCAGAGGTTGCAGTGAGCCAAGATTGCGCCACTGCACTCCAGCCTGGGTGACACAGTGAGACTCTCTCAAAAAAAAAAAAGACAATCCCAATTATCTTCACATCTCCACCTCTCAGGCCAGGGGACTATGCCCAATTCAGGAGAATATACTAATTAATCTAAAATTTTGAGTTAATTTCTCCTTGCCTGTAATGGTTTAGGAGTGGGTATTTGTTGAAAATCTAGCCAAAGAAGTTTGAGGGAAGTCTAATTTGGGGGCTTCTAAATCCATCAATGCACTCCAGGCATTGTCTATAGCTAAACAAATAAGGTGTATGTTATATACATACATACATACATATATATGTATAAAACACATATATTGTATAACACATGTATATAGCACATATGTATATATACACACACAAAGATATATATCACCTTGTTTCTTATGTATGTGTATACTATTGAGATTAATAAAAATAAAAATACACGTTCACATAAATGAGGTACTAAATTCATAGAATCTTTTAGTCTTTATGTATTTTTCTCAATCAAAAGATACAAAAAGTACAAATACTATTACATGCAGGTTCATGTCTTACCCTTATGCTTAAAAGGAGTCCTCATTAGTGGACAGCATTCTATTTCTCTCTTTGTCATTAAATAGCCTATCATCGAATTTTTCTATCAACCACTAGAGGGTAGTATAGACCAGAAAAAAAGCCCAAGCATCCAGTTGGCGGCAGCACATTCCTGAGACTAAGTGCTGCAGTGATAAACAGCCATTTGGTTAGAATGACCAGTGTAGGCAAAACAATTTAGGCCCCACTTTATAAAAACTCAAAATAAAAATACCGTTACCGGCCAGGCGCGGTGGCTCACACCTGTAATCCCAGCACTTTGGGAGGCCGAGGCGGTTGGATCACGAGGTCAGGAAATCGAGACCATCCTGGCTAACACGGTGAAACTCCGTCTCTACTAAAAATACAAAAAAAATTACCCGGGCGAGGTGGCGGGCGCCTGTAGTTCCAGCTATTCGGGAGGCTGAAGCAGGAGAATGGCGTGAACCCGGGAGGCGGAGCTTGCAGTGAGCAGAGATTGTGCCACTGCACTCCAGCCTGGGCGACAGAGCCAGACTCCATCTCAAAAAAAAAAAAAAAATACCGTTACCAAATTCCATGAGAAATGTGTATATTTAACTGGTTAGACAAATTTAGACATGAAGTGCTCAGAGTGTAGGACTGGAGTGACTAGGTTTGAATGTTACCTCGACTCTTAACAGCCGTGTGACCATGGGAAAGTGTTTAACCTCTGTTTCAGCATCTGTAAAATAATGGTAATAACAGTATCTATGATCATTCAATTAGAACAGTGACTGCATAGCACATAGTGAGCATGCTCCAAATTTGGGCAGATTTACTTTTCTTGGCCTCAGTTTTCTCATCTGTAAAGTGGAGCTAGCAATATTAGTCCCATGGTTGAAGAGTAAATGCACATAAGCAATTAGCACAATGCTTGACACTTGGTAAAATATATGCTTTTGTTAGTACTATTTTAATATTCTTTTTATAATTACTAATGATATTATTGTTAGACTTGGAATAAAAACTTGGCACTGGTATTTTGTCATTGATTGTTTACCTTAAGGCACATTTGAGAAACAGCGGCCCTATGGGGTGGCTCATGCCTGTAATCCCAGCACTTTGGGAGGCCAGGGCAGTTGGATTACTTGAGGTCAGGAGTTCGAGACCAGCCTGGCCAACTTAGCGAAACCCTATCTCTACTAAAAATACAAAAATTAGCCGAGTGTGGTGGCGTGTGTCTATAATTCCAGCTACTTGGTAGGCTGAGGCAGGAGAATCGCTTGAATCTGGGAGGCGGAGGTTTCTATGAGCTGAGATCGCACCACTGCACTCCAGACTGGGTGACAGAGTAAGACTTTGTCTCAAAAAAAAAAAGGAGAGAGAGAGAGAAATGGCAACATGGAATTGCATTTTCTGGTTCTTCCCAAAGCTGGCAAGGCTCCTGGCCACATACTGCTCACCACAGTTTTAAAGCTTTGCCTCTACCTGAAAACCAAACTGGATATGCAGTTAAGTGGAGAATTTAATCTTCCTTTAAAGACAATGCAAACAATTGGTGCCCCTTTAAAACTCGCTTTCTTGTTGAAAGTGAATATTTCTTTTGGATCATTCAAAAACTTCAAGTTTCTTCTGTGATTGTGTACAAGGTGTCATCCCTTGTTTATTTCTGGATAGACTTCCACAGATTAAAGCTAGCATCTGTATTCTCCCTAAGCTGGTCTCTGCTGCCAGGGCCTTACTTGTTGTTGAGCAAGGATGGTTTGGCACTGACGGTCCGATTTACATCCTCCTATCTCCATGAAGAAGCTTATCCTAGCCTGGGCAATGTAGTGAGACCTCATCTGTACTCAAAATAAAATAAAATAAATTTAGCCGGACATGGTGGCTTATGCCTATAGTCCCAGCTATTTGGGAGGCTGAGACAGGAGGATTGCTTGAGCCCAGGAGGTCGAGGCTGCAGTGAGCCATGATAGCACCACTGCACTCCAGCCTGGGTAACAGAATGAGACTCTATCTCTAAAACAAAAAAAAAAACTTACCTTTAAAAAATCATACCTACTTCAAAATGATATAAAAACGTCATCAATCATTTTATGTGTTTTGCTATACCTGCCAAGAAGAGTTCGATGGTGTTGAACTGTTGCTTAGCATTTAGTCTCTTTTGGTAATAAAAAAATTAATACTGGCCACAAAACAAATTGATTTCATGAGCTTATTGACAGCCCTGGGGAATTTAGAGTTTGCCATAGTGAGCCAAGAGGGCCAAGCTGCTTCTGCTTGACCTACAAATCCTACAGTTGCCAGCCAATCTAGTCAATTCTTGGCGATGGATTGATTTCCCCATCAGTTTTCTTCAATCTCGCCTCAGACCTCAGAACTTCCTATTCCACTGGACACCATTGCTGCTCAAATAAATCCCATTATAGACAGAGCCCCAGTGTGTCATATCACCAAAAGACAGAGCAAATGGCTGGTTGGACTACTGTAAGCCCTGGATCACTTCCAGAATACAGGTTCCACCATGCGAGCCAACGAATCTGTTTTCCCAGTCATCTGTTTTCACCAAGTCAAGAGTTCAAAAGACTTGTCCAATAAGTCAGAACTTCTGTAGCTGGATGACTGGTGTTCCAGTGTGATCATCATGTCTGCCCTTTAAATGTAAAAACTGAAGCACTTTGTGAAACCTGAAAACAGTTTAAGACATTAAAAAGTCCTCCCCCCTCATCTAAAAGAAAAAGGAATTTTCATGCACTGTAGAAACCATTCAGAGGCAAAACATCACATCCCAGTGAATATAATAGGGTCTTGCAGCCCCCTCTTATTTGAACACAACCCTCATTGACTTAAAAGTGACATTTCCAAACTGGCTGCAAGAATGATTTGTCCCCCAGACAAAGCAGGCTGCATTTGTTCTGCTAGAATGGCTGCTCTTCTTTGTCTCTGGATAATTTGATACAGCATACATTCATTCATTCAAGGGTGACTCTTATTTGAAAAATTTCTCAATGAGACCATTTAAAAAATGGTTTTTAATCCAGAGCTTTCATGACTAACTCTAAGGCTTCTTTCAGCCTTCAGCCTTGTCCCTGTTAGTTTCATAGAACTGGCAAAAATTGATCTTTTGAAATAAAATTTTTTACAGTAAATATCAACCTAAAAGTGATCATTTTTTCTGAAAACTTTGGACTAAGAATGTGCAGCTTCTCTACAATTTTTAACTGGAAATTCTCTAATCACTTCAAGATTTTTTTTTCTAGTTAAAATGGCAGGTTAAGGGAAGGGAAGTGACTTAAATGAAGTCTGGTGCCTTCTACATGCCTGGGGCCATTTCAAGAGGAGTAACAAATCTTTAAGTGTTTAAAAACAGTGCAGTGGAAACCAGAGCTGCAGGTAATATTTTCTCTTCTAGGAAAAGCTCTCCATCACAGGCCAGACTCCTTGCTACCCACCTTCTCCAGTCCCATGCACTTCCTGGCCCCTTAGGTCAGAATTCCTATAAATTTCAGGGCCTGCCATTTTCCCAGGGCAGAGGTGAGGACTGGGGGAAGAGGTGACTCCAAAATCACAACTTCATTAACTAAAACAAAGCAGACATGCAGGGTTGACATTTGGGGCCTATGAATCTTCTTCATGATGGTTCCCATGTCTCTTTAAATAAACAATGTGGAAAGAAAAATATGACAGTCTCTTTTTGCAGCAGTTCTGAAAATAACTTGTGCAGGAGAGGTGAACCAGTGGCATGTGCCTGAGCAGAGCCCCCTGGCTTCACTTTCGCAGTCACCTCTTCCTAAAAAAAAAAACAAGCAACTCACAGGATACTGCAATACCTGTGTGTACATTATAAAAGCCAAAATGAAAAGGTGTCTTTAATGCTAAAGGTAAGATGGCAAGTTACATTTAGAACTGACCAGAAGGCGGTCTGATTAGTGGTTGTTTTTTTACCTCCAACTTCTGTTTTTAGTGTATAAATAGAGTTTAAAAGAATAATCAGTACTTAAAGTCAGTGTAGCCCTTTAAGACATAAATAACTGAGAAATAATGAGATTGTTAAATATCAAAGAGGTTACTACTACACCCTAAATTTCCCCTTGAGTGAGAAGTGAATGATCAAATTCAGAAACACTTCATTAGATAGAACTAAATGCTATCCTTCACCTTGCTAATCTCCTCCTGAGATTTTGCTCTTCACTTGAGCAAATTAACTGAGGGTGAACGATGATCAAAGGAAAAACTTATGAGGAGCAAACTCCATAAATTGCTGGTGAGACTGAAACATAGATCAGAAAAATCTCTCTTTAGTTAGATAAAGATGAGAAATAAAAGGCACAGATATACGCATGAGATATCCGCTATAAAACAAATAGAAGGAAAACAGAAACAGGAAGGTTTGTAGAGAGGTTAAGAACATCACAAAAAGCAGAGGGCTTTGCAGGGCTCCGCAGCTTCTTATAGCCCTCTTTGTGTTCCTTTCTTGGCAGGTAGATCCTGAATTATGAAGAGTTTCTGATTTGGAGGCTTCCATACCCACCCCTCCCTCTACACACACTCCATACCACACACATCCCAGTTTTTCTAATATTTATAAATAGAATTTGCACAAGCCCCTTGAGTGGAGTTGAAATAAACAGAGGAAGTTTACATACGAGTTCAGAAAGGCCATGGTTCCATGGTTTAAGAAACAGTCATCGGAACTGGGCTTGTGGCCCATGCCTGTAGTCCTAGATAGTCGAGAGGCTGAGGTGGAAGGATCTCTTGAGCCCCAGAGGTTGAGGCTGGTGAGCCAGGATCGTACCACTGCACTCAAGCCTGGGCAACAGAGCAAGAAACTGTCTCAAAAAAAAATAAAAGTGCACACTTCGCCAAAGAAAAGATATGAACAACAAATAAGCACATGAAAAGATTCTCAACATCATTAGTCACTGGGAAACTGCAAATTAAAATTAGAATGGCTCAAATTTAAAAACCTGATAGTACCAACTGCTCGAGAGGATGCAGGGCAACTGGAATTTGCATTGCTGGTGGGAATGCAAATGGTACAGCCACTTTGGTAACAGAAAGAGTTTCTCATAAAGTTTAACATCCATTTACCGTATCACCCAGCAATCCCATGCCTATGTAGTTAGCCAAGAGAAAGAAAGACATATGTCAACTCCACCCCCAACAAACCAGTAAACTTGTATGCTTATAGCAGCTTTAATCATGGTTGCCAAAAACTGATGATTTGGGTAGATAAACAGTTTGTTGCTGGAATACTACTTAGCAATAAAGAGGAATGAACTACTGATACATGCAACAACATGATAATTTCAAATGCATTCTGCTAAGTGAAAGAAACCAGACTACATAGTGTACGATTCCATTTATGTGACGCTGTGAATAGGGTAATACTATAGGGACAAAAGTAGACCCATGTGAGTAGAGAAATGTTTGCCTACAAAGGGACTCACACACAATGATGTGCCATTTGTTAAATATTATAGCATTGTACTCCTTCAAAGGGTGAATTTTACTGTATGTAAATTGTAACTCAACAAACTGACTTATAAAAAATTATAATACGGGCCAGGTGCGGTGGATCATGCCTGTAATCCTAGCACTGTGGGAGGCCGAGGACAGCGGATCACCTGAGGTCAGGAGTTCAAGACCAGCCTGGCCAACATGGTGAAACCCCGTCTCTACCAAAAATACAAAAATTACCCGGTGTGGTGGCACATGCCTGTAGTCCCAGCTACTCAGGAGGCTGAAGCAGGAGAATTGCTTGAACCCAGGAAGCGGAGGTTGCAGTGAGCCGAGATCATGTCACTGCACTCCAGCCTGGGCGACAGAGCAAGTCTCCGTTCCAAAAAATAAAAAATTATAATATACTGAGCTCAGTGGTGTAGTCTCAGCTACTCAAGAAGCTGAGGCAGGAGGATTGCTTGAGCCTCATGTGTTAAGGTTCAGCCTGGGCAAAATAGTGGGACCTCATCATTAAAAAAAAAAAAAAATTAATTATAATAATAAAAAGGAGGGGAACCTGGTCAAACTACTGGGTTGGAAAGTCACTCTGGTTGTTGTGTGGCAAAAGGACTGGAGCAGCAAAAGCAGGAACAGTCTTGAAGCTGTTTCAGTGGTCCTGGTCAGACATCTTTCCTGAGAGCCAGTCCCAGGGTGGTGGGGGTAAAGATGGAGAAAAGCAGGCCACCAGAAACATATTTTGGACGGATAACTGGAAGATTTGCTGATGGACTGGAGGTGAGTCAGAAAAGACCTAGAGTTGTCAAAAGAGACCCCAAGAATTTTTTTTTAATTTCCTGTGCCATTTGAGGTGGTTGTAGAGCAAAGAGCCTCAAAGGGTTCTATTCCTAACTCCACTGTGAATTACCTACAGAAACCTCCTAACCTGCAGAATTATATGCATACATTAGCAGCATCTCTAAATATGTACTAAGGACTGGAATAGTAATGTAAACGCTGGAGAACATGAGACAGAATTATCTTCTTGCTTGTACTAGAAACTGAAGAATAAAGAACTAATCTAGTCAAGATCTCAAGCAAGAAGAGCTACTCTGAAAGAAGATACTGCCCGTCAGAAGAGTAATGGCAAAAATGTGAAACTCTGTTATTTGTATTTTCTGGTTAACATAAAAAGTCCTGACAAACAAAGGGGATGAAAAATATTGGCTAAAATGTATCCAATGTATTAAATAAAATAAATAATAAGAATTTCTTTGTGTTTTTTTTAAGTCTATAAAGTCCATTTCCTATGCTCATTCATGCATTATTTACCTTGGCTGACTGTGGACTGAGAAGTGATTGCCTATTAGCCTAGCTTGGATGTTCCTGGCTCCGCCATTAACATGCTTTCCCCACCTAGGATTTAACCATCTAGAACAGGACAGTTGCCTTTGGTCACTTCAGGGTCATTTGGTCAAAGTGGTGAAACCCAATCTTGGAATGTCATGTGAAGTCTGACAGGCAATCCTTCCGGGCTTGTGCTTGTGAAATTCTCTTGTGATGGAGCTGAAGTAGGGCTGGGCATGGTGGCCCACACCTGTAATCCCAGCACTTTGGGAGGCCAAGGTGGGCAGATTGCTTGAGCCCAGGAGTTCAAGACCAGTGTGGGCAACATAGCTAAACCCTGTCTCTACAAAAAAACACAAAAATTAGCCAGGCACAGTGGCACATGCCTGTAGTCCCAACTACTCAGGAGGCTGAGGTGGGAGGATTGCTTGAGCTTGAGCCAGTGGGATCAAGACTGCAGTGAGCCATGATCACGCCGCTGCACTCTAGCCTGGGTAACACAGCAACACCCTGTCTCAATCAATCAATCAATGCAATCATAGAGCCCAAACCTACTATATACAACTCTTTCTTTTATTTTACATATATACAAATATATTCAGATTACAAAAGTAACACTCAAAGGCTATAAAACACTTTTAAAAAATACCTCCCCAATTCCATTTCCCAAATATCCAGTTAGCTTTTTGTCATATATTCCTCCAGATTGTTTTCTGCATAACTACATGTTTAAGAGTATTACTTATATCAAGATAATTTACAGAAATTCAAACTAAGATATATACACTGGATATTAATACTTCAACCCTGATTAGGAAGAGAAAATTATCAAAGAAGATATATCTAAGTATCTCTAAAGGATATGTCTAAATAATTCATTAACCTTTAAAGTATTAACCTAGGATTGTTTCCTTGATAGCTATTAAGACAGTGTAATAGGCCAAGCGCAGTGGCTCATACCTGTAATCCCAGCATTTTGGGAAGCCAAGGCAGGCAGATCACTTGAGGTCATGAGTTCGAGACCAGCCTGGCCAACAGGGTGAAACCTTGTCTCTACTAAAAATATAAAAATTTAGCCGAGTATGGTGGCATGTGCCTGTAATCCCAGCTACTTGGGAGGCTGAGGCAGGAGAATTGCTTGAACTCGGGAGGCAGAGGTTGCAGTGAGCCAAGGTTGTGTCACTGCACTCCAACCTGGGCAACAAACCGAGACTCTGTCTCCAAAAAAAAAGACAGTGTAATAGAAAAGTCATATAAAAGAGTAAAATTAAATTACAGAATTATCTGATTCTATATAAACATTATTAGCAACAATATTTCAAAAAGTTAATACATTTAAAACATTTAGAAATGTTTTGATCTGATAGAAATGCTTTCTAAATAATATAATAAAACATATGCCTTAATGTAAGTAGGTATTTGAATTGTTTGAGTATTTGAATTAAGGGAAAATCATGATTAATAACTAGTAGGTGGGCTGGGCTCAGTGGCTCACACTTGTAATACTAGCACTTTGGGAGGTCAAGGCAGGAGGATCACTTGAGCCCAGAAGTTTGAGACCAGCCTGGGCAACATAGAAATACCTTATCACTAAAAAAAAAATTTTAAATTCGTCAGGTATGGCAGCATGGACCTGTAGTCCTAGCTACTTGGGAGGCTGAGGTGGGTGGATCACTTGAGCCCAGGAATTTGAGGCTGCAGTAAACTATGATTGTGCCACTGCACTCTAACCTGGGCAACACTGTCTAAATAAATAAATAAAACCAGCAGGCAATTCACTCCTGGGCATGGTGGCTCATGCCTGTAATCCCAGCACTTTGGGAGGCTGAAGTGGGCGGATCACCTGAGGTCAGGAGTTCAAGACCAGCCTGACTAACATGGAGAAAACTGTTTCTACTAAAAACACAAAATTAGCCGGGCATCGTGGTGCATGCTTGTAATCCCAGATACTCAAGAGGCTGAGGCAGGAGAATTGCTTGAACCCAGGAGGTGGAGGTTGCAGTGAGCTGAGATCACGCCATTCCACTCCAGCCTGGGCAACAAGAGTGAAACTCCGTCTCAAAACAAACAAACAAAAACTAGAAGGCAATTAACATCAAGATATCTAGTTTGTTTAGGTCCAACCTTATTCAAGAAAGATTAAGGAAACCTTCAACCTAGAAAACATAAGGAGACCCTGTCTCTACAAATAATTTAAAAATTGGCCAGGTGTGGTGGCATGTGCCTGTGGTCCCAGCTACTCATGAGGCTGACGCAGGAGGATCACCTGAGCTCCAGAGGTTGAGACTGCAGTGAGCCATGATCACACCACTGTACTCCAGCCTGGGTGACAGCGAGATCCTGTCTCCAAAAATAAAGAAAGAAAGAAAGAAAGAAAGAAAAGAAACCATTACTCTTAATGTGTTTTCTATCACCTTATACACAACTTCTTCTGGTCATAAAAATATTTTGGGCAGTCAAAAAATACCCAGACATGGTTTGAAAGATCAATTAATACTACAACACTTATAATAAACAAAAAACTATGACAGCAATAGAAAAAAAACAGCAATATTTGACCCCAGAATTAGACTCCCCAAAGGCAGAGACAACTTTTAACTCAGCTGTTTTTCCCTTTACATTTAACTCTTTATTTTTAGTAATAAGTTTATGCTACTATTTATTGTATTTATTGATTAAACGATTTTAGACATTGCAGTGGACTGACTGTGTGTGTCCCCCACAAAGTTTATATGTTGAAAACCTAACCCTCAATGTGATGGTAATCAGGTCACAAGGGTAAGCCCTCATGAATAAAATTACGGCCCTTGTAAAAGGGACCCCAGAGAGCTCTTAACCCACTTCCACCATGTGAAGACACAAGAAACTGCCAGTCTGCAACCCAGAAGAGGACCTTCACCAGAACCCAACCATGCTGGCACGCTAATCTCAGACTTCCAGCCTCCAGAACTGTGAGAAATAAATGTTAGTTGTTTAAGCCATCTTTTTTTTTTTTGGGAAGTGGGGACAGCCTCACTCTGTCACCCAGGAGTCTGGAGTGCAATGGCATGATCACGGCCCACTATATCCTTGACTTCCCAGGCTCAAGCGATCCTCCTGCCTCAGCCTCTTACGCAGCTGTGCACCACCACACCCGGCTAATTTTTTAAAATATTTTGTAGAGACAGGGTCTCCCTTGCCCAAGCTGGTCTCGAAATCGTGGGCTCAAGCGATCCTCCCACCTTGGCCTCCCAAACTGCTAGGATTACAAGCCTAAACCACTGTGCCCGTCCCGCTCTGTCTATGGTACTCTATTGCTTTTTCATAGTCTTCTAGAACAACCATATGGTATTCTATTACAGCAGCCTGAACAACAGATTCAGACAGACCTTATTAACTTACTTCCTACTACAGAAGATAAGGATTTAGCACCCTCTCACTACCACTCCTCCTACCCAACCCTCCACACATATTTCTCCCACCCTGTGTGTTTTAATCACAATTTTGTATTAATTGAATATCCAAGGTTTAAATATAAGGATGCTGCAAATATTGCTCATAAATAAGCAATATCATTTTTACATTTTCTTTTCTAGACAAATTGTTTTTTTGTTTTTCCTGGAATTAAATACTGCTTACTTATTCGTCTTGTTTTGTTTTTTTTTTGTATGTGTGAGTGGACTTTCAAAAATATATATACATTTTCTTATGCTTCCCCAATTCTCTTCCAGACAACATGGTCAAGCACCTCAAGTATTCTAGCAGGTTTTGGTTTTTTGTTTCTTCTTTTTGATGGAGACAACTCTCCTAGATTCTTCTGTCCTTCTGTTGCTGTTTGTAGTGACTGATCTCTAGAGTTGCAACATTTTGTCATCCTAGGATATCTCTTCACCATCACTATAGAAATTTAATTTGCCTCTTTCTTTTGTTGTAATTCCTGTTTCCAAACTCAGAGCTTCCTCTTTCTTCATTTATTCCCCTCTTTTAGTGACACACATTCCTGAAGCTTCGTGGGGAAAAAAAGAAAAAAAAAGATGCAAAGCAAAGTTTTTGAGATTTTACCCGTCTGAAAACAACTTTTTTGCTATGCTCATATTTGGTAGTTTGGCTGGCAAAGAATTGGATTGGAAAGATTTTTTTCTCAGACCTTTTTTTTTTTTTGAGACAGAGTCTCACTCTAACTCAGGCTGGAGGGCAGTGGCGCAATTTTGGCTCACCACAACTTCTGCCGTCTGGGTTCAAGCTATTCTCATGCCTCACCCACCTGAGTAGCTGGGATTACAGGCATGCACCAGCACACCCAGATAAATTTTGTATTTTTAGTAGAGACTGGGTTTTACCATGTTGGCCAGGCTGGTCTTGGACTCCTGGCCTCAAGTGATCCACCCACCTTGGCCTCACAAAGTGCTGGAATTACAGCTGTGAGCCACCGGGCCTGGCTTTTTCTCAGAAGTTTGAAGGCATTGCAATATTATCTCTTAGCTCCCCGCATTGTTGTTGAGAGTCCTGTGCCATTCTATTCCCTGGTAACCTCTGTTTTTCTCTCTGGATGCTTTTGAATTCTTTTTATCCCCAGTAGAAATTTTATAGTGATGTGCCCTGGTATAGGTCATTTTTATTTCTCATTCTCACTGGGGCCCTTCACCAGGGACTCACATCCTTCATTCTGGAACATGTTTCTATTTCGTATATGTGATGGTTAGTTTTATTTGTCAACTTGACTGGGCCATGGGGTGCCCAAATATTTGGTTAAACATTATTGTGGCTTTGTCTGTAAGGGTGTTTCTGGATGAGATTAACATTTGAATTGGTAGTCTGGGTAAAGTAGATTGCCCTCCCCAATGTGGGTGGCCTTCATCTAATCCATTTCAAGCTTCACTAGAACAAAAAAGACTGAGAAAGAATTCACTCTTTCAGCCAGGTGCAGTGGCTCACATATGTAATCCTAACACTTTGGGAGGCCAAGGCAGGTGGATCACTTGAGTTCAGGAGTTCAAGACCAGCCTAAGCAAATGGTGAAACTGTCTCTACAAAAAATACAAAAATTAGCCAGGATGCCTGTAGTCTCAGCTACTTGGGGGACTGAGGCAGGAAGGTCGCTTGAACCTCAGAGGTCAAGGATGCCGTGTGCAGAGATCATGCCACTGCACTCCAGCCTGGGTGACAAAGTGAGACCCTGTCTCAAAAAAAAAAAAAAAAAAAAATTCACTCTTTGACTGTCTAGGAGCTGGGACATAGATTTTGTTCTGCCTTCAGACTTGGACTCAGATTGGAACTTACGCTGTCATCTGTCTGGCTTCTCAGGCCTTTGGACTCAGACTGGAACTCCACCATCAGCTCTCCTTGGTCACCAGCTTATTGACTGGAGATCTTGGGGCTTCTCAGCTTCTCTATTCGCATGAACCAATGCCTTATAACGTGTACATATTCCTATTGGTTCTCTTTCTCTGGAGAACTCAGACTAACACGGTATTTTTGACAATGTCTGCCTCTCTTTTTTGCCTTCTCTCTGAAATCCTTGTTAATTAGAAGTTGGCCCTCTTGAACTACCCTAATTTTCCTATCTTTCTTCTTTCTTTTTTCCAGCTTTTTTGTTCTACTTTTGAGAAATTCTTCAACTTTGCCTTTCAACCCCTATATTGCATTTTTTACTGAAAATATTTTTAATTTCTAAAACTCTTTCTTGTTCCTTGGTTATTCTATTGTCTTAGCATTCTATTATTTTATGGATGCAATATCATCACTTATCTTTCTGAGATTATTAATAGTTTGTTTGAAGTTTTCTTCTGCTCTTTGCACTGTCTTTGATTCTTCTGAGTTTCTTTTTTTCTTTTTGTTCTTGTTTCTATTTTTGCACATCAGAGGTTTTCCTAAAAAATCTGCCAATTCGTATTTTAAAGTGAGGCACTAGATTGGAAGCTCTGAGTACATGAATGGGGCTTATCAACTGGTGGGTTTCATTGTAGGTTGATCAAGTGGGACCTTGATGGTTTGTTGGATGATCTTAAAGGTGACCAGGTCCACTGGGGAGAACTTTTCCAAAACAGAATTATCCAGACTCCTGACTGAGGGGTCTGGGCCTTCCTGCCAGCATTCTTGTGGCTGAGAAGGGGAGAAGGCCTGGGGAGTCACCACAGGGTATGTAGCCTTTCACTCAATCCAGCTGTTTCCTGTCCAGTGCCTCAAGGTCTCACTTGATCACCATGTGCCCTCAGTTGTTTCTGCCATCCCTGAATTCAGAGTCTCTAGAATAATTTTTTCAGGAATCAAACCTCCCATTTCCTGCTGGTGTTGGGAGAGTGTAATTACTGGACTTCTGGGAGTGGGGTAGAAGTTCAAGGAATGGAATTCCTTCTAATAAAAACTCTCAATTAATTTTCCTGTTTTTATCCCCCTCCTTATCCTTCCTTCGAAGGCAAATGGTGTCTCTAACTTCTGAGTTTCTCAGGTGTTCTGGGCCATGAGTCAGTTTGATTCTCATTGGCAACCACCTCCGCAGAACTATAAGCTTCAGTTTTTGTTATTCTGTGAATCCAGTTATCACTTATCCTCTGCCCTTAACTTTCCGAAATTTTGTTGGTGTCTCTAAGCCACTGTTGTCATCTCTCAGTTCTGCTTGTCCTTTGTTGTCTCTTCACTGTCATTTTGGTGAGGTTTTAGGAGAAAGCATAGATGAACACAAAACGTGTTGTTAAAGATATGTAAGAATCCCTTACAATACATAAGCATAGAGAGCAAAATGTGAGAGCATGTTTCACACCCTTTCCCTCCATTCCCCCAAGGGGAATCACTGTCAGTGATCTGGAACTCTCCCCAGTTCACTCTTGACGATGATACATACACAAATCATCTGATTCTGTTTTTTTCTTCTGGCCTTGGTTTTGTTAAGTGACACATTGTCTTGGAGTGATTTCCATATTGACACACATAGGACTATCTCATTCTTTTTTATTTTATTGTATTTATTTATTTATTTTTTAGATGGAGTCTCACTCTATTGCCCAGGCTGGAGTGCAATGGTAGAATCTTGGCTCACTGCAACCTCTGCCTCCCGAGTTCAAATGATTCTCCTGCCTCAGGCCCCCAAGTAGCTGGGATTACAGGCAAGCACCACCATGCCCAGCTAGTTTTTGTATTTTTAGTAGAGACAGTGTTTCACTATGTTGGCTAGGCTGGTCTTGAACTCCTGACTTCAGGTGATCCTCCTGCCTCAGGCTCCCAAAGTGCTGGGATTACAGGTGTGAGCCACTGCGCCAGCCAATTTTATTTTCTTTTATTTTATCTTAAGTTCCGGGGTACATTTGCAGGATGTGCCGGTTTGTTACATAGGTAAACATGTGCCATGGTGGTTTGCTGCACCTATCAACCCATCACCTAGGTATTAAGCTCAGCATGCATTAGCTATTCATCTTAATGCTCTCCCTCCTCTTGACCCCTCAATGGGCCCGAGTGTGTGTCGTTCCCCTGTCTGTGTCCATGTGTTCTCATTCTTTTTAATACCTCTATAGTATTCAGTAGTATGAATTTATCATGACTGATGTAATTATTTAATCTTTTTTAAAATTTTACACACACACACACACCTACACATACATACACTTTCATATACACACATGTATCTTTTTGAAAGGTCAGTAAATTAAGTGACTTGAATTTTAGAAATATCAAACAATTGTATATGTGCAAAGAAGAAAGTAAAACAGGACCATGTTATATGCATGGAAATCTTCATTGTAGAGTTATGTCTAATAGTGAACGGATAGAACCATTTCCAAGGCCTCCAAAACCAGAGCTATCAGGATTCACCTCCAGTTGAAGATGTGTCATAAATTAAGCTAAAGCACTTTTGAAATTATAGAAGCCCATCACCATAGAGTTATGTAAGTCAATGGCTCTATGGTTTAATCTGCAATTCATATTTTTACAAAATGTGCTGTGCTCTTCACCAGTCAGAACCGCTTCGTGTCAGAGTCCTGACAGGAAATAGGCAACACTTTCAAATGGGGTACTGAGGAAAAAGGAATAATGGGACCATTTTCAGTGGTGTGGCAAAGTTAAAGGAAACCAGAAAAAAATGGTGAAGCACCTTGGGAGTAGCAACAGGGAGAGACATTATCACCCCAAGACCTGAGAGTGAAGAGAACAAAGCAGTTACTGGGCACGGAGAGTAACTCTAGCTGTAAAAGAGGCCACCTGCATGGTCCTCATTCAGCAAGGAAAGGAGCAGGAGGTGGTGGGTGACCTCACTCTTAATCTGGTGTTTTCATTTGCTAAATCTGGCAACCCTAGGTGGGCAAGGGTAGAGAGCCAATCTGAAGGGGTACATCAGTGTCCTTCTTTGCTCATTAATAGCAATGCATGTGGACCTCAGGACAAAGCCACTCACCAAAACCACAGGCAACACATTTATCCAATTATGGTAGTGAATTGGTTATATCTGCTCTGAAAATTGTTCAACTATTTAGGAATAGCTGTGGATACCTTGGCTTATAATTCCAATTATATATATTTAAAAAGAGGCTGCACATAAAAAGAGACAATAAAAAGGTAAACTTTAGAGGGAAAAATGTCCCCTACTTGCCTCTGCCCATTAGTATTTAGTTTCTTCATCATTCCCAGTATGGGAATCTGTAAGATATGCCACAGGAGCTGAATGGAATATCTTTATCCAGGCTTTAGGAGAAAAATTCCATCACGAGTGGAGGCTAAGTTGACCAGAGAATGCAAGAGGAATAACTTGAGCAAAGGCTGGAAACTACTATCCTCATGCTTACAATAAATGTTAACCTAAGACAGAAACAATGTACAAAGGAGAATGTGAATGGGGTCGATAAGAAGTCAGAGTTCTCCACAAATCAATATGATTAAACAATATTCTGGTAATTTCAAAACAGCAATCTGCTTTAAGAATAAAGTTTATCTTAATTTATAAGCAAATAGACAAAAATTGGAGACAACATGTCTACAGCTATTCTTAGATTAAAATAATAAATCTGATTGGTTGGCAAAAGAAGAGTCCAGAGGAAGCACTGTGATTTTATAGTTTTGGCAAGTACTTTTCCCCTAAGAAAGCTTTCTTAATTTACAAATAAACGTCATTTATCCCATTTCCACAGTTCATCTATTTATTACCAAAACATTACATTTTTAGAGATTTAGCATGTCATACTTTTATTATAAAATGTGTGTTTTTAAAAAGTACTGAAGAGGAAAAATGATTAAAGTTCTGCCATTTGGCTCAACAGCTGTAAGAGAGTTTGAACTCATCTTAAGCGGTGGGCTACTGTTCACTCTTTGATGTCTGGTGAAGTCCAAGCATCTGGTTTCCAAATAGTGGTCTACATAGCTCATCTGACACCTGGGATAGATCATTTTTTAACACACCCCTTTATGTGTGACAAAATTATCCTCAGTAATAATCCTGAAATTAAATAATAATGTAGCCAAAAGCATAATTTTTCTTTTATTGAACTTCCTACATATAATCATCCCAGGAAAAAAATAAAATAAATATTACAGTACCAAAAAAGCAATGGTCTGATTCTGTTTAATTACATTAGAGTAGTTTTTTTTTTTTTTTTTTAGGGGGTGGTAAAACACATAAAGAAAGGCTTCCAAAAAATTTAACTTCACAAGATGTGACTATAAAAGGGTAGCACAAGGAGTTTTGCAGTGATAGAACAGCCTGTATCTTGTCGTGGTGATTACATGAATTCACACATGATAAAATTGTATAGAACTGGCTGGGCATGGTGGTTCATGCCTGTAATCCCAGCACTTTAGGAGGTAGAGACAGGATGATCACTCGAGCCCAGCAGTTCGAGAACAGCCTGGGCAACATAGGGAGACCCTGTCCCTCAATAAATAAATAAATATTAGCTGGGTATGGTGGCGTATGCTTGTGTTCCCAGGTACTCAGGAGGCTGAGGTGGGAGGATCACTTAAGCCCCAGGGGTTGAGGCTTCCGTGAGCGGTAATCCTGCCACTGCACTCCAGCCCGGGCAACAGAGTGAGACCCTGTCTCAAAAAATAAAAAAATAAAAATAACAGTTGTATAGAACCACACACACCCCCACAAATGAGTGCATATAAATCTGAAGAAATCTGAATGAGGTATTTGAATCCTGGTTTTGTTATGTATTATAGTTATGTCACATGTCATCATTGGGGGTAACTGGTGAAGAGTACCAGAATCTCTCTGTATTATTTCTGCAACTTTCTGTGAATCTATAATTATTTCTAAGTAATAAGTTTTTGTTAAAATTTATATGCTGTGTGATTTCATGTATTTGATATTCTTGAAAACACCAAAATATAGCAACATTTGCCAGGGATGGGAGAATGTATGACTACTGAAGCTGAGGGAAACCTATCTAGGCTTGTCAAATTTTAACCTGCTTTGCTTGCTTTTAGCTGGTTTTTTTTAAAAAGAAACTCCCATCAGCCATCCTATAGATAACATCTCTGACATACAGGTCACAATGGTAAAACAGCTGCCTAAGTTGTTTTTCAGGAACTTAAAGACAGCTCTCAACCAGTCCAAACTGGGTAAGACCACACTGACCCTTTGGGCCTGAGCAAATGTCTGATGGGTGATCTTTTGATGTCAGAGGCCATGAGCTTCACCCACTGATCATGCTAAAGCTACCATTTTTGGAACATGTGTCCCACAAAGAGCCATGAAGCTTAGCTATGCTTGCACAGAACACCAATTACCTCACTTTTCCTTACCCCCACTCACCTTTCCTTGTACCTCAGACCACCCTGCTCCCCTATCCCATAAATATCTCTAAACCCCATCTTTGGGGAGATGAATTTGAGACCTGTTCTCTCATCTTCTCACTTAGCTGCCATGTGACTAAATCCCTTCTTTGCTGCAAAGCTCATTGTCTCAGTGATTGGCATACTGTGTGGCAGGCAAAACGGGCCTGGCTCCATAACACAACAAAGGATCCACACAAGGAGAGTTGTTGGGTGATGGAATAGTTCTATATCCAGATTGTGATTGTGGTTAGAAAAATCTACACATGCATTAAAATTCACGGAATAAAAATGTCAAGTTTACTGTATGTTAAATTTTTAGAAAATTTTGTCATTATCTTATTTTTAAGACATTAAAAGCTTTGGAATCAGTCAGACTTGTATTTAAATATTGGAATATTAGGCAAGTCAATCTGTTTTCTTATCTGTAAAATAGTAACAATGCCATCCATCTAATGATAATGTATGTAAAGGCCTTACTTAGCACATTGCCCAGCACTAAGAAAGCACTGAGCAAATGGTCTTATTTATTTGTTTCTATTTTTTATTTAGAGGATTCACTCTGTAAATAAATTTAGAATAAGCAAAGAGATTACTAGGTATCTCCAGTGAAAAACTGTATGTCTAGAACACACTGTTTATCTAATTGTTGACTTTGAGTTATTTTATGACTGTAATTTGTAGGTAATTGATAGCAATCCAAAATAATTCTTATCCATTGTCATGCAAATAAAATCTGCAGTGAATTGTGGTGTGGTGGTTTCATTTTACTCCTCCCAAAGCCCACAAACTCCCCACTCTAGTGAAAAAAGCCAGTTTTGTTTCCCTTTGTAAATTCATTTTAACATTCCCTTACTCCATATAAAATTGTGGTGCTTTTGACTTCTCCTTTGAATCAGTTGTAATATGTCTACAGTTTATTCATTAAATAATGAATTGAGTAAAATCTTTGACACGTGTTTATTTTATAGCTGCAAGAGAATCATGATTTTACCTCTTTTTGAAAGCTATCCTTTAACAATTTTGTTTTTCTTTTTTGAGACGGATTCTTGCTCTGTCACTCAGGCTGAAGTGCAGTGATGCACTCCAGTGGCACGATCTCGGCTCACTGCAGCCTCTGCCTCCCAGGTTCAAGCAATTCACCATATTGGTCAGGCTGGTCTCGAACTCCTGACCTCAGGTGATCTGCCCACCTCAGCCTCCCAAAGTGATGGGATTATAGGCATGAGCCACTGTGCCCAGCCCCCTTTAACAATTTTATAATTGAAAAATGCTCGCAGACAATGTAAAATTGGGAATAAAGCACTCTGTACAGAATCTTAGATACCTAGTCATTTTGGCTGTTTTGAACTATCTGGAATTTTGGTGTTTTATTTAAAAAATAGTCAAAATAGTCCTACCAATCAAATACAGTTTTGGGTTTGTTTTGTTTTGTTTTGTTATTTTTTGTTGTTGTTTTTTTGAGATGGAGTCTTGCTCTGTCACCCAGGCTGGAGTGCAGTGCTGCAATCTCGGCTTATTGCAACTTTTGCCTTCCGGGTTCAAGCAATTCTCCTGCCTCAGACTCCCAAGTAGCTGGCATTACAGGTGCCCACCACTACACCCAGCTAATTTTTGTATTTTTAGTAGAGACGGGGTTTCACCATGTTGGCCAGGCTGGTCTCAAACTCCTGACTTCAAGTGATCCGCCCACCTTGGCCTCCCAAAGTGCTGAGATTACAGGCATGAGTCCCATTGCACCCAGCCAAATACAGATTTTTTTACCCTTCATGTAGTGCTTTGTACACAGAAGCTCCTCAGTAGATACTTGCTAAGTGAATAAATTGAATTGATATTTCATCTGAGATTGCTCAATCAGATGTAAAGGCAGACTTTAATTTTTGTACTCATGGGCTGAGACAAACATCCATCGATGCTCTTCAATATTTATTTGTGATTGTTCTGGAATTTTATCAGCCAGGAAGGGCTAGATAGTAACAAACATCTCCCAAACCTCAGCAGCTTAACACAACAAAAGTAATTTTTCACTGTCCATTGCAGATTGCAAGGGAGCTCTTCTAGTCACTGTTACTCCAGGATGAAGACCATGGAGTCTCCATCTCAACATTTACTCCTACAACCACTGCAGCACTGGGAAGCAGACCTGAGGAATCATAGGATTTGAAATTTTCACCTAGATATGACACATATCACTTCTCATATTCCACTGGCCGAAGCAAATCACATGGTCTCACCTCTAAAGGAACAATGAAGTACAGACCTACTACGTGCCTGGAAAAATGACCAAAACAGCATTAAGGATTTCCATATCAATACAGTCAGTGATAAAATGAGTGCAGAAGGATGAGATGCCCAGCAATGGACTTATCATATATATATGATTATATATTTTATATATTATGCATTATAAATATTTACAACTTATATGTATATATAATTTCAACTTTTATTTTGATTCATGGGGTATACATGTGCAGGTTTGTTACATGGGTATATTGCGTAGCACTGAGCTTTCGGGTACCAATGGTCCTATCACCCAGGCAGTAAGCATAGTACCCAATAGGTAGTTTTCCAGTCCTTGCCCCACTCCCTCTCCTTCCCCTATTGCAGTCCCCCATGTCTATTGTTCCCGTCTTTATGGAAACCCAATGTGTACCCAATGCTTAGCTCTGACTTAGAAGTGAGAACACCAGCAATGGACTTCAAATGAAATTATTACTAAAAACTGTAGGGCTGCTAGAAATTTACTATACACCTTCTTCCCTCATAAATGTTCCCTGTAGAAATGACGCAGGATTTTTTGGTGCCAGTTCGCCAGCCAGAGACCTCTGCAGCTGGTGACACCCTTGCCCAGGGCCTCACTCGGCTTCAGACTCACCACTGGAGGCACCCTGCCTACTTGGCCCCGCAGGCTGTGCTTGGCTTGTGCCCTGGCCAGGATCCCATGACCACTGCAACTGCGTACTCAGCCTGCAGCGAGAGGGGGTGCATGAGCAAGCAAGCACAGGGCCTGGCCACAGCACACAGTCAGGTGTGTCAGCTGCTGCAGCGGGCGGGCTGCTGCTATGGTGGGTGGGCTGCTCCAAGCAGCCCACAGGCTCTGCACGGGGTATGTGTCTGAACCAGGTGTGTCACAAGTGACTCCCTCAGTGGGTTCCAGTGACCAGACAAGGGGGATGCGTTGGTACTTGAAAACTTGGAGATGCCAAAAAAACACAGAGCCCCAAGGGGTGTCATTCCCGCCGTCCATAGCTTGGAGTGGATGGGGGCATGCTAATAGCTCTTTCAGTCCCTCTGCCCTGCTCCGGCCCATGCCCCCTGGGCTGGCCTGGCCCCACCACTGCTTCCCATCACATGGGGCAGCCACCTGGCACTGGCAGAGTGCAGAGGGCTACAGTGTTACAGGGTTACTTGGGACCTGCGTTAGGCAGGTCCCAAGTTCTTGTCCTACACCCAAGAAGAATTATGTCAGCATAACCCAGCAAGGTTATGCTGACAACTGAAGAGTGAGTCGGGTGGAGAGTTTTATTGAGCACAGAACAGTTCTCTATGAAGAGGGGACCCAAAAGGGGCAGTCCCCCACCCAAAGTCATGTAGTCCCAAAGTGCAGCTGAGTCCGAGGCTTTTATGCACTCTGAATTGGGTAGTGTGTGCTGATTGGTTTGTGAGTATGCAAAACAGCCTAAAAAAAGGCACCACTCAGAGATGGGCATGACCGTGTACAAAATCAATTAGGGAAGGGTAGGTATACGAAAAATAAGTGAAGGGTAGGGATCAATCAGAGGAAAGTGCACCAAACAGGAAGAGAGGTTCCAAGATTTATCCAAGATTTGTAGCTTGGTTTTCAGGCTTTAAATTGTCTTTGATTTGAAGGTGAGGTTTCACTAGGGATTCATCCCTGTCTGCCTAGGATTTGCCTGCCTCCTACTGCTATCACCACTGCCCCACAAGTAGAAAACATTCTTTGCATATTTTTCTTTTTAGTTAGGGTTTACAGAAAGAGAAGGAAACTCTTTCCTTGCCATTATCATCATCATAAAACCATTAAGGCACCCTAGTAGAGGTGAGGAGAGCCTGTGGGCACTAATCTAAAATAAGGAATAATCTGAATGTCTGAGGGAAAATGAATACTTAGGAACAATCAAAATAAAACTTCAAGTGAGGAAAAATAAGAGGAATGAAAAATAGTTCTAATTGGATGAAGGTAAAAGATTCTTCCAAAAGTAGATGGATAGGTCTAATGGAGTGTTTATCTGATTATCTACCATGGGGGTGGCCACAGAGCCCCAGCTGATTTTTGTGTACTCCTTGGTGAAGACAGAATGTTATGCCCTGGCACAGTCTCAAAACAGGAAGAATGAAGGTTTTTAAATCACTGTTTTATTGAAGGAAAACACTAGTCTGCATCAGAGGACTCAAAAAACCCAGGAAGTGAAGTGTAGCCAACTACTGCCTGGGGCTATGGGGGAGTGGGGAATCTGTACCTGGATCCAGACCAAGTCTGTTTCAAATTTATGTGATTGAGAATTTCTCTTTGAAAAGAGCACTTCATGGGACCCTTGGGAGCTGTCAAACTCTGCCCGGGGGCAGAAGATTAACTGCTCTGTGGACCAGCAGGGAGAAGCCTAGTAAATCAGAAGCCCCTTGTTTGTGGGTCTGTGGACTTACAGGTGGCGATGTAACAGGCAGTGCCTCTCTGCAGGCGACTGGGGGACTTCAGAGTTTGTGGCTCAGAACTAGCTGTGTGAATGGAAAGGAGCATTTGAATCCATTCTCCAAACTGCTTATTGAAAAACACACTTGAATGAATCTGCAAAAGAAGTTTCCTTGAATTATCAATCTTCTGGAAGAATCTCCAGGAAATGGTGTCTTCAGGAGAGGAGAACATTCTTTTTGTTTCTTATTGAGGGAGTGGTCAAGTTAAGAGCATGACTTTGGAAACAGCTCTGCTGCCCTTTAGTGGTTGTGTGTTTGTGACCCTAAATTGTCTCAGTGGTAAAATGAGGATTATAATGAGGATTAAATGAGTCAACTACATGGAAAGCAGAACAATGAACATAGTGTGTGCTATTGGCTTTTATTATTCCATATATTCGGGTGTATTACCTCTTAAAAATATTTTAAATGTTTTTATAAAATATTGAAATATTTCTATAAAGCAAGTAATTGCCTGATAATCTCTCTCTTTTCTGGAATTTAATTTTTATAAAGTTTGGTTACAGTTAGACTAAACTATTATGCCCCTTCCTCCCTCCTCCCTTCTTTGCATTTCTTTTCTGTGATCTGCTCTGGCAAGTGCAGAGCTCCCTGTAGCTATATGGTAGCCCAGGAACATGAAAGGCCATTTGCATCAGAAGCCTTCCATATGCCATTCTCCACTTATCATCTGACTGCTCCCAGAGAGCTTATCAATAGAAATGAAATGACTACTACTCCAAGGACAGTCCCTACATTGTAGGTGCACCCCAAAAGAGAGGAGGGTGCTCTCTTCCTTCGTTTCAACTTGTAATTAGTAAAGGCAAGAAAATACCTTCTCAAATGTAGGTTTAAGAATATGGATGTTAAACTGGAATTTCCACTCTCTTTTTTTTTTTAATTAATAAACTTTATTTTTTAGAGCAGTTTTAGTTTCACAGCAAAGTTAAGCAGGAAGAATAGAGAGTTTTCATATACCCCTTGTTCCCACACAAGCACAACCTCCCCAAATATGAACATCCCCCACAAGTGATGCATTTGTTACAATTCATGAACCTACATTAGCACATTGCAGCCTCGAACTCCCCAAGCTCAAGTGACCTTCCCACCTCAGCCTCCTGAGTAGCTGGGGGCTACAGACACATGCCACCATGTCCAGCTAAATTTTTTATTTTTTGTAGAGAAAGGTTCTCACAATATCCCCAGGTAGGTCTTGAATTTCCTGAGCTCAAGCAATCCCCTCACCTCAGCCTTCAAAAGTGTTGGAATTACAGGTGTAAGCCACCACACCTGGCCTGGGTTTTTCTGTAGATATAAGTTTTCAATTTATCTGGACAAGTATCAAATATTTTAATTGTTTAAAAAACTGCCAAACTGTCTTCCAAAGTGGCTGTACCATTTTGAAATCCTACCAGCAATGAATGAGAATTCTTGTTGTTCCACATCAGCACCAGCATCTGGCATTGTCAGTGTTCTGAATTTTGGCTATTCTAATAGGTGTATAGTGGTATCTCACTGGTGTTTTAATTTGCAATTTTCTAATGATGTATGTTGAACGTCTTTTCACATGCTTACTTACCATCTGTATATGTTCTTTGGTGATATGTCTGTTCAGATCTTGTCTTATTTTGTTTTGTGTTGCTATAACAGAATACTTAAGACTGGGTAATTTACAAAGAAAAGAGGTTTATTTAGCTCACTGGTCTGCAGGCTGGGAAGTTCAAAATTGGGTGGTCACATCTGGTGGCTTCTGGTGAAGCCTCAGGCTGCATCGAAACATGGCAGAGAAATGAAAGAGGAGCTAGGCTAATGTGACAAAGGGCAAAATACAAGAGGCAACCTCCCTATACCAACCAGCTCTGCAAGGAACTAATCCATTCCTGGGAGAACTAACAGTCTCTCAAGAAAGACATTAATCTATCTTAACAACCTAATTACCTCTTAAATTCGCCATCTCCCAACACCATCCCATTGAGGTCTAAGCCTCAACATGAGTTTTGGTGGGGACAAACTGCACTCTAACCATAACGGATCTTTTGTCCATTTTTTAATCAAGTTATTCATTTTCTTCTGGTTTAGTTTTAAGAATTCTTTGTATATTTTGGATAATAGTCCCTTATCAGATGTGTCCTTTGCAAATATTTTCTCCAAATCTGTGGTTTGTCTTTTCTTTTCTCTTGACATTGTCTTTTGCAGAGCAAAAAAAAAAAGTTTTTCATTTTGATGAAGTCCAGCTTAAAAATTATTTCTTTTGTGGATTGTGCCTTTGGTGTTTTACCTAAAAAGTCACCACTATATTCAAGGTCATCTAGTTTTCTTCCTAAGTTATTTTCTAGGAGTTTTATAGTTTTGAACTTTATATCTACATCCATGATCCATTTTGAGTTAATTTTTGTGAAGGTGTAAGGTGTACATCTAGATTATTATTATTTTATTTTATTTTATTTTGCTTGTGGATGTCCAGTCATTCCAGTACCATTTGTTGAAAAGATTATCTTTGAGGCTGGGTGCAGTGGTTCACGCCTGTAATCCCAGCACTTTGGGAGGCCAAGGCAGGTGGATCACGAGGTCAGGAGATCCAGACCATCCTGATTAACATGGTGAAACCCCATCTATACTAAAAAAATTACAAAAAAAATTAGCCAGGCGTGGTGGCGGGCACCTGTAGTCCCAGCTACTCGGGAGGCTGAGGCAGGAGAATGACGTGAACCCGGGAAGCGGAGCTTGCAGTGAGCCAAGATTGCTTCACTGTACTCCAGCCTGGATGACAGAGCGAGACTCTGTCTCAAAAAAAAGAAAAGATTATCTTTGCTCCATTATGTTGTCTTTGCTCTTTTGTCAAAGATCAGCTGACTATTTTTATGTGGATCTATTTCTGGGCTTTCTATTCTGTTCCATTGATCTCTTTATCTATTCTTTCATCAGTACTGCACTATCTTAATTACTGTAGCTTTATAGTAAGTCTTGAAGTTAGGGAATGTCAGTTCTCTGACTTTGTTCTTTTTCTTCTTCTTTTTTTTTTTTTTTTTTGAGATGGAGTTTCACTATTGTTACACAGGCTATAGTGCAGTGGCATGCTCTCACCTCACTGCAACTTCTGCCTCCCAGATTCAAGGAATTCTCCTGCCTCAGCCTCCTAAGTGTCTGGGATTACAGGCATGTGCCGCCACGCCCGGCTAATTTTTGTATTTTTATTAGAGATGAGGTTTCACATCGCTTCTCGGCCTTTTGGCTAAGATCAAGTGTGAGATGAGGTTTCACTCTGTTGACCAGGCTGGTTTTAAACTTCTGACCTCAGGTGACTCACCACCCTCGGTCTCCCAAAGTGTTGAGATTACAGGCATGAACCACCGTACCCAGCCTGTTCTTCTCTTTTAATATTACGTTTGCTATTCTGGTTTCGTGTTTTGTTTTGTTTTGTTTTGTTTTGTTTTGCCTCTCTATGTAAACTTTAGAATTAATTTGTCAATATCCACAAAATAACTTGCTGTGATTTTTATTGGAATTGTATTGAATCTATGAAGTTGAGAAGAACTGACATCCTGAAAATATTTAATCAACCTTAATTCTTAATTGCATGATCATGAATAATCTTACTAAGTTAAGACTAAGATGATCATGGAATATCGCTCCATTTATTTAGTTATTCTATTTACTTATTCTTTGATATCTTTCAGTAGAATTTTATAGTTTTTCTTATATAGATCTTGCTCATATTTTATTAGATTTATACCTAAATATTTCATTTTGGGGGGTGCTAATGTAAATGGTAATATATTTTAGTTCCACAGTATCATTTTGATATATAGGAAAGTGGTTAGCTTTTGCATATTAACCTTGCTGTATACAGGATACCTCGTATCCTGTATCCTGTAACCTTGCTATAATTGCTTACTAGTTCCAGGAGGTTTTGTTGTTATTGTTGTCAATTCTTCTGGATTTTCTACACAGACAATTATGTCATCTGCAAACAAAGACAGTTTTATTTATTCTTTTCTTTTCTTTCTTTCTTTCTTTTTTTTTTTTTTTTTTTTTTTTTGAGATGGAGTTTCGCTCTTGTTGCCCAGGCTGGAGTGCAATGGTGTGATCTTGGCTCACCGAAACCTCCACCTCCCGGTTTCAAGTGATTCTCCTGTCTCAGCCTCCCGAGTAGCTGGCATTACAGGCATGCACCCCCACACCCAGCTAATTTTGTATTTTTTGTAGACATGGAGTTTCTCCATGTTGGTCAGGCTGGTCTGGAACTCCTGACCTCAGGTGATCTGCCCGCCTTGGCCTCTCAAAGTGCTGGGATTATAGGCATGAGCCACCGCGCCCGGCCTTATTTACTCTTTTCTAATCTATATTTCTTTTACTGCCTTTTCTTGTCTCACTGAATTAGCTAGGACTTCCATTAAAAAGCAGTGGTTAGAAGGGACATCCTTGTCTTGTTCCTGATCTTAGTGGGAAAGCATCAAGTTTCTCACCATTAAATATATTAGTTTCAGGTTTTTTGTAGATGTTATTTATTAAGTCGAGAATGTTCCTCTCTATTCTTAGTATGCTGAGAGTTTTTATTATAAATGGGTGTTGGGTTTTTGCCAAATGCTTCTCCACATCTATTGATAAGATCATGTGATCCTTTTCTTCTTTAGCCATTGATGTAATAGGCAATATTAATTTATTTTCAAATGTTGAACAAACTTTACATACCTGGGATAAATCCCACTTGGTTATAGTGTATAATTCCTTTTATACATTGTTGAATTTGACTTGCTAATATTTTGTTGAGGATTTTTGCATGTATGTTTATGAGAAGTATTGGTCTGTAGATTTCTTTTATTGTAACATATTTGTCTGGTTTTGGTATTAGGGTGATGCCGCCTCATAGAATGAGTTAGAAACTATTCCCTCTGCATCTATTTTCTGGAACAGATTGTGAATAACTGGTATAATTTCTTCCTTAAATGTTTGGTAGAATCCACCAGTGAACCCATCAAGTCCTGGTTTTGAAAGGTTATTAATTATTGATTCAATTTCTTTAATAGATATAGACCTATTCAGATGGCCTATTTCCTCTTGTGTGCATTTTGGCAGATTGTATATTTCAGGGAATTGGTCTGTTTCATCTAGATTATCAATTTTGTGGGCATACCGTTGTTCATAATATTTTTTATTATCTTTTTAATGTCTATGGGATCTGTAGTGATGTCCCTCTTTCATTTTCGATATTAGTAATTTATATCTTCTCTCTCTTTTTCTTAGTTAGCTTGGGTAGAAGTTTATCCATTGCTTTTGGTTCTGTTGATTTTCACTACTGACTTATTTTTAATTCATTGGTTTTTGCTCTAGTTTTTATGGTTTATTTTTTCTGCTTACTTAAAATTTAATTTGCTCTTCTTTTACTAGTTTCCTAAGGTGGAAGCTTAGATTATTGATTTTAGAGCTTTCTCCTTTTCTAATATATACATTCAATGCTATAAATTTCTCTCTAAGCATTGATTTCACTGCACCCACAAAATTTGATGGTGTCCAAGTCTCCAGGGGCTTACAGAGTGTAAATGTGTATGAACAGGTGAGTCATGGGCCCCTGGATTTCCAGGGAGCCTACATTTCCTGCTTTCTGTAGCATGTGGTCCAGAGTCCTACTGAGAAACCTGCTGCAGACACACCCTTCCCAGTAACCAGCTAACTAACCAACCAAAACCCAAGAAACTAGGAAATCCTAACCAGTGTTTCCTAATCATCAGATTTCTGAGGGGTAGGGTCTGAGTATCTGTACTTTTTAGGCCCTCTATGTGATTCTGATAGACTGGTGCCTTAACTACAACCACACTCTTCCATTTGCATTTACCTGAATGTGATTCACTTTCAGGCTTCAGTATATGATGTTCCTTTGGTCTAGATTTCCCTTCCTCCTCCTGCTCATCCTTAAAGTCCAGCTCAGAGGTGGTCTCCTCCATAAAACCTTCACAGAGGCTCTCTTCTACCCCCCTCTATCTTCCTACCCCACCCACAAATTAGAATTAGTCATTTAAATGTCTATGTCTGCAGACTGGGCCATGAGCTACTTGAAAGCAAATGTAGTGACTATATTCATTATCTATTCCTGAGTAACAAATTACCCCCCAAAACCTGCTGGCTTAAACAACAATAAACGTTTATTAACTCACAGCTGCTGTGGTTCAAGAACTCAGAAGCAGCTTAGTTGGGTGTTTTAGGGCCTAAGCCTCTTATGAAGTTGCAGCCAACATGTAGGCCAGGGTTGCAGTCATCTGAAGGTTTGCCTAGGGCTGGAAAATCCACTTTCAAGATGGCTCACTCAAATTTCTAGCAAGCTGGTACAAGAGGTTAGCAGAAGTTCTCAGTTCCTTTTTGATACAGTGTGGATGATTGTGGCCTCTAAATCTCATGTTGAAATGTGATTCCCAATGCTGGAGGTGGAGCCTGGTGGGAGGCTCCCAGGTGTGGATCCTTCATGAATGACTTGGTGCCCTCCCCACAGTAATGAGCTCATGTGAGATCTGCTTGTTTAAAAAGGAGCCTAGCACCTCCTTCTCTCTTGGTCCCTCTCTCGCCATGTGACACACTGGCTCCTAGGCCTTTTGCCATGATTATAAGTTTCCTGAGGCCCTCTCCAGAAGCAAATGCTAGCACCACACTTCCTATACAGTCTGCAGAACTATGAGCCAAAATAAACCTCTTTTCCTCATAAATTATCGAGTCTTGGGTACTCCTTTATAGCAAGGCAAATGGACTAATACACTCTTCACATGGATCGCTTCACAGGGCTGCTTGGGTATCCTCACAACATGGTGGCTGACTTCCTTCAGAGCCAGTAATATAAGACAGAGCACAGTGAAAGCGTCAATGTGTTTTATGACCTAGCCGTGAAGGTCACACACCACCACTTCTGCATATTCTATTGGTCATGCAGGCCAGCCGTGATTCCATGTAGGAGAAGATTATGGAAGAATGTGTAAATATGGTCATGTACCGCATAACAATATTTCTGTTAGCAACGGGCCAAAAATAAGATGGTAATCCCATAAGATCAAAATACCATAGTTTTACTGTACCTTTTCTATGTTTTGATATGTTTAGATACATAAACATTCACCATTATGTTACAATTGCCTACAATACAGTAGCATGCTGTACAGATTCGTAGCCTAGGAGCAATAGGTTATACCATATAGCCTTGGTGTGTAGTGAGCAATACCATCTAGCTTTGTGTAAGTATATTCTATGACATTCACACAATGACAAAATCATCTATGGACACATTTATCAGAATGTATCCCCGTTGTTAAGTGACACATGACTGTATGAAGAGGTGGAGATCATTTGGGGCCATCTTGGGGGCTGACTACCACAGTGAATATCTGTTCTTTTTGTCCATCGTTTGCTCCTTTCCCTGTGTGGAAAACATATTTCATGTTGTACAACTGCTAGTAAACCCTCCTCATCCAAAGGAGAAGCAGGTAATCAAAGTGTGGCCAATCTGAGGACTTCATTTCCCTAACCAGATTGGTCAGTCAGATGGGCATGTGATCAAGTAGAGCCAATCAATATCTTTCTAGATTTTTGATAAGTGGATTCTTATTGAGAGATGATCTCTATTCCTGTACTTCTTTGAGCTCCAAAAATGATCTAAGCTGGAGCTTCTTATAGCCATTCATTCAGGTTATAGTGGAGGAAGCTATCTTTGGTAAGAGAAAATGAGGCCAGCACACAAACAGGCAAAGATGAGCAGAGATGAAAACAGAAAAAGGAGTCCTAATGAGATCATTTGAGTCCTCTTGATCCAGTGATGCCTGAAATTTACACCCAGACTTTTCAGTTACATGAGTCAATACATTTCCTTTTTTTTTTTAAGCTATTTTAAGTTACTATCACCTGCAACCAAAACAGCCCAACAGATCAGCAGGGTCTATATCTTTTTCCTCTTAAATTTCTTGCATTGGGATTAATTCCTAATACTCAATTCAAATTTGATGAATACATTATTTAACTATTATACTTTTACATAAAAACAATCTGGTACATGCAAACACTGGGGATTTTTTTAAAAAATACTTGACAACTTTCTAAGTAACAGTTACAAGAACCCTAAATATCTTAGAACCTCTAAAAGTTTTGGAATCTGGCAGCCCCCAAAACCATTGTTAGTCTGCTATGCTCAGGGTCAGTTTTCTATAGCTCTGTGTAATGTGGTTGAATGAGTCATTCACCAGGATCCTGAATATACACGGAGCTAGTTGGGGAGACAGGGCTGCTGCTGATGAGTACCACGTTGCCTTAGTGACAGGAAAATGGGAAGGGGCCCTGAGTGGACCTCCAAACACTCACTTATTTAATATGTGGATAAAATTCTGTTGCAGAAATTAAGGTGAGTAAATGGGTTTTTAAAAAAATCCATAGAATGATGGTTGTGGCTGGCGGTTTATGTCCCCTCTAAGAGCCATGGCCAGAGAGGAACTTGCAAAGGAAAGATGCAAGATCAGGTTTACAGCTGCTGGTGAAGAGTCCACTAAATAACCATGCTAGTAATCAGATTATCCCAACTTTTGCCCTCACTGAGAGGCTGAAAGGAACATAGAAAAACATGAATGTTTTGCTGTGACTTAGATCAGTAACTTCATGTGTGAATGGTTGTTCTGGTATAAGATATTATAGGGAGATATAAAAAGAAAGGAAGTCAAATACGGAAAAGAGAGAGGCAAGTTGTCTGCCTTTTTCTTCAAAGCCTTCTAAAATTCCACAGTTTTGTTGCGTCTAGGAAAACTGTTATACACATCATCAACCAAGCGACAGATCTTTATTTTTAATTCATCACAGAAGTCTGCTGCTGAAATGATGCTTGAGAGAAAAAAAATCTCTTGTTGGTAAGAGCCTTTCCTGAAGTCAAGGAAAACCTCAGAATTCCTTAGTTTTCCCCTGGGCTTTTATAGCAAGTCCAGTTTTCTTTAACCCTATAAATTCCTATTGTGGCTTCTAGTCACATACCAACTGTTATTCTTCAGAAAGGAAACTACGGTATCTAAATCAGGTACAAGCCTGGATTCCAGAGTCAGACTGCCTGAATTCAAATCATTGCTCCCCCACTTACCTGATCTGTAGAACCTAGGACAAGTCACATTTTGTGCTTCAGTTTCCTCATCAGTAAGATGGGAATAATAATGTGATGAGCTGGGCACAGTGGTGCATACCTGTAGTCCCTTGGTTTCTGAATACAAGAAGCTGAGACAGAAGGATCACTTGAGCCCTGGAGTTCAAGGCCAGCCTGGGCAACACAGAAAACTCTGCCTCCAAAATAATAATAATACTAAGATAATAGTATGTCTTTACTAAGGTATGGCTTAGAATAGTTACTGGCACATAGTAAGCCCCATATAATTCTATTATTATAATTATATAGACAAAGCCACATGTTTTTCTATAAATCTTCCTTGAAGTTTGACCATCACATGTAGATTTTTTTTTCCTATTTGGCCCTCTTTTAAAAATTATTATTAAATACATCTCATGGTAACTACTTGCGGATAGTTAAATGTTGTTAACTTGTTCAAATCAGTTTGGTGGTACACTGTTGTTAGTGCCTTGCTGGGGCCTTCACCCCTTTGAGTCACGGGAGCTTGGATCTTCTGCCCCTGCACAGGGTCACTGGGTGATGAGGTCCATGAAAGTGAGTCTTGGGCCTATCAGCAAACAAGCCTGAGTCAGGCAAATCAGCCTCATAAGCTTGGTGAGCTCCAGACTCTCTGGCCATAGTCTTCCATGAAGTATTCACTTGAACCAGACGCCACAATGCCCCAGAGCAGAATCCAGTGGATCAAACTACTGGGTGCTGCCTTCAGTGGCAGGCACAATACTAAACAAACACCTAAGCCTGGAGTACCATTCTGGGCTCACCCAAAACTGAGTAGCTGGGACCACAGGGACACACTACCACACTGGACTAACTTTTTCTATTTTTTGTAGAGATGGGGTTCCACTACGTTGCCCAGGCTGGTCTCAAACACCTGGCCTCAAGTGATCCTCCTGCCTCGGCCTCCCAAAGTGCTGGGATTACAGGCATGAGCCACCACGCCCAGCCTAAGAAGTTATTTCTAACATCTCTTATGCTAAACAATAAATTCACTAGTGTAGATTCAGAAAGGAATAGTTGAAGGAGCTATAGTAGCTATAGATTCCAAGTCCAAGGTGCTGATTAGGGCCCTTAAATGCTAACAAACCACCCCCTGGAGGGTTATTCCCCATCAGACTACTTCAAATGTTAATTAGCAACTGCTAGGGTGAATATTAGAACTCACTTTGAAAGCACAAACATATATCTTGCTGTTTAAGCTGAAGTATTTAAATTATTACAATAATTGTCTAATGTCGGTAAAACCCTCAAACCACAACTTGACTTTTTTTTTAGGTGACAGCCTGCCTTTGACTCTGATTTTTAAAGATATTCATAGGTGTCTCATTAAAAGTGAATGATTAAAATAACATCGGCTGATACAATGCTGTGTTTGCAAGGAAGCTTCACAGCTCTTGATATTATAATTGCTGGAAAATGTATTTTCAGATGTGTGGGCAGATTGGAAGTGATTCTACATGTGACTTGGGCACATCAGAGGTAGCACTAACTAGAGCTCTTTAATACCAGAATTATCAGTGGGAAACGGTCCTCAAAGAAATAGATTTTTGATGAAGCAAGTGGAATTTTATAATTTAAATATCAACATATCAACACAGGAAATCTTTTAAATTTTTGCTCTGTATAGAAAACAAGTATTTGGTTATGGTACAAAAACTATGCAGCCAACACCACAGCAGAGTTCATAGGCATGTTTATTTAGGACACATCTCACTCGTTTGCTTTTGAAATTTAACTGAAAGTAGGTCACAGTAGGCAAAATATTAGAAGAAAATATAGATACTTATTTTTAGTGTCCTTGATGGTACATAAGTTTGGCTCTTGTTAATTGCAAGGAGGGTAGCAGGAGGGCATGGATTTATTGCAGGATGAGGGAGAGAAGGCAGAAGGGAAGAAAGATTCAGAGGGCAATTGCCAAAGAAAGGCTTTGTCTACTTTGAAGTGGATCTTAACCAAAGGTTTTGTTTTTGTTTTTTGTTGTATTGATAGGGGAAGTGAAGAAACCCTATAATCATTGAGGAGCAACAACTCATTGGGGTGTAAGCATGAAACTATTTGACTGCTCTCAGCTTATTCTTGTGGAATCCCTGCTTTACTCTGGGCATTAGGCTCTCTTGATGTCTTAATGATGTCTCCATTCAATTCCATAACTTCCCAGTCCCATTTCTAAATGCTCTGTTTCATTATTATTTTTTTTTTTTGAGACAGTCTTACTCTATCCCCCAGGCTGGTGTGCAGTGGCACTATCTCGACTCACTGTAACCTCTGCCTCCCTGTTCAAGCAATTCTCATGCCTCAGCCTCCCGAGTAGCTGGGATTACAGGCATGCACCACAACACCTAGCTAATTTTTTGTATTTTAATAGTGACAGGGTTTCACCATGTTGCCCAGGCTGGTCTCAAACCCCTGAGCTGAGGTCTTCCACCCACCTTGGCCTCCCAAAGTGCTAGGATTACAGGCGTGAGCCACCACACATGGCATCCCATTCATTTTGAAATTCAATCACAAAAACAAAATGTCAAAAGCAGGGAATTTCAAGTTCTCTGTTCTCCTGCCCCACTGTCCCAGTACCTGCCAGTCCAGCAAGGGCAAGGATGGGAGCTATATCTGCTCTTGCATACCCATCTTCTCCTCCTTTCTCAGAGAGGACCACCCTAGGTTTGGAAGACAGAATGAGAGGCACGGTCATTTTACTTGACTCCTCTAGATAAGGGATGGAGGGGGTGGGCACTGGGTGCTGTCACCGAGGTTGCTGCTGCCTCTGTAACTCCAAGAGAACTTCTTCCCCCTCTGTAGCTGCCCATGTTGTTGCTCCCTGGGGACACATGTCCCGGCACACAGTCCCTTGACGTGGGATTTCTAGCTCAGCCTGTTCTCCCCCTCACCCCAGGCTGCCCCTCACTCAAGTGATCTTCTTGTCCAACACTCTCTTGGATGTGGTACTGGCAAGATAGCTCAAGCCCACTGCTTTGTCAACTTCACTTATGGGAAACTCTATTTTTTGCAGCACAAATGGTGGAAATGCAGTCTGGAGCCTCATTAACAGTGAATTAGAGCACTTTGTAGAACACTAGGGGAACAAAAGAAAACAATCTGTCATTAACTCAAAAGGAATGCACCACTCCTGAAAGCATTGCAATTACATGCTGAGGCATGGAGAGGATAGAGCAAGCTCCCAAACCATCTCCCAATTCCAAATATTAATTTAATTCCCTGAACTTAGAGACCACATTTGATGCTTTAACTGATAGGAACAGATACTACATTTGTTTTTAGCCAATAGGCGGATAATGCGTCTACTTACGCCACACCTCTCCTATTTCTCAGTTGAGGTGGAGGCTGACACCTCAGCTCCCTACAGCTCTCCAGTGCTCTCAAACTTTCCCTGATACTGCTCTGACCTGATGTAATGCTCCCAAGGAAACATCTTTCTCACTGAACATAATCAGTCTCAGTATCTTATTCCTGAGGCCTGACCCAAACATCTATTTTGTGTATTCACACTCATAAACCTAAGTGGTCAGCTCAATCCTTCCAGCTCCCATATTTTCTGAACCCCTTTGGGAGTCAAGGGACAACTCTGGGAATCATGTCAACAAACCCTTTCTTTTAAACTTTTTATTATGGGCTGCACATGGTGGCTCATACCTGTAATCGCAGCACTTTGGGAGGCCGAGGTGGGTGGATCATTTGAGGTTAGGAGTTCAAGACCAGCCTGGCCAACATGGCGAAACCCCATCTCTACTAAAAATACAAAAATTAGTCGGGCGTGGTGGCAGACGCCTGTAATCCCAGCTACTCAGGAGGCTGAGGCAGGAGAATCACTTGAATCCGGGAGGCAGAGGTTGCAGTGAGCCGAGATAGTGCCACTGCACTCAAGCCTAGGCGACACAGCGAGACTCTGTCTAAAAAAAAATAAAAGTTTTTATTATGGAAATTTCTGAACATCTACAAAAGTAGGGAGAATAGTATGATAAATTGACATGTATCTACCACACGGCTCAACAGTTGTCCACTCATGGCCAACCTTGTTTCAAATATTCCCTCACCTACTCTCCCTTTCCTCTGAAACATGTATCCAAAATATAGGAATTCTTTTTGTTCTCTATTTTTTAAATAGAGATGGGGTCTCATTATGTTGTCCAGGCTGTACTCGAACTCCTGGACTCAAACAATCCTCTTGCCTCGGCCTCCAAAGTACTGGGATTACAGGCATGAGCGGCCTCTTTTTGTTCTTTTAAACCTAACTGCAATACCATCCACACACCTAAAAAATTAATAGCAATTTCTTAATTATCATCAAAAATATCTAGTACGTACTCAAATTTCTTCAATTGTCCCATAAGTCAAGATCCTAACAAGGTTTACATATTGTATTTGAAACATTACTTATATGAGTCAGAGTACATTATGTTATGCTGTTATGTTTAGCAGACAACTTCAAAATTGGAGTGGCTTACAACAACCCAGATTTATTTCCTGCTCACGTGAGTTTCCACTGTGAGTCAGCCCTGCATCCTCTTCACTCCTGGCTACAAGCTAAAGAAACAATCTGTGTTTGGGATATGCCCAGTTCCTGGCAGATGGAAATGAGGAATGGCTGAAACACACAATGTCTTTTAAAGTTTCTGCTCAGAAGTAGCAATCAACCATCACATTTGCTCACATTTCACTGGTCAAAGCAAACCGCATGGTCAAAGCTGATGTCAGCAGAGAGACGGGAAGTGTAATTTTCCCTATAGGAGACAGCATCTGTTATTGGGAAGAATACAACCTATTCTTACGCCTCTTTTAATTTACAGGTTCCCCTCCTCATCTTGTTTTTTCAGTTTATTGATTGAAGAAAATGAGTAATTTGTGCTTTAGAATTTCCTATATTCTCTGCAGTGTGTTTGTTTAACATATCTCCATGTCACTTCTAGTTCTTCTAAACTTGTAATTAAATCTAGAGGCATAATTGGACTCAGAAAAAAAATTAAGGCCTAAATAGAAGTACTAGATCTTTATATTGCTGTGTGAAGTCATTCAAAAATCCAAATTTTTGGCCAATTTTTGACCTTCCTTGATGGTCATGTGAGTTGTATCAGTTATATCTTGCTGTGTAACAAATTATCCCCAAACCTGGGGGCTAAAATCAAAAATAATCATATATTATCTCATGGTTTCTGTGAATCAGGAATTCAGACAGGGCAGAAGGGCATGGCTTGTTTCTGCTTTATGATTTCTGTGATCTCAGCTGGAAAACTCAAGGACTGGGGGACTGAAATCATCTGGAGGCTTGACTGAGGCTGAAGGCTCTGTGTTCAAGGGGCTCATTCACTTCATTCACAAGTTGGCGTTGGTAAATTGGTTCTCTTCCATATGGGCCTACTCATCTCGCTGCTTGAGCATCCTCACATGGTGGCTGACTCCCTGCAGAGTGATTGATCCAAATGTTGAAGCAATTGCTCCAATGTTGAAGCAGCAATGTCTTTTATGACCTAGTTTGGGGAACTCATTCACTGACACTTCTATTGTTTGCAAAACCAGCCCTTACCTAATATGTGGGAATAGTCTGCACAAAGGCATGAATACCAAGAAAGGAGGTGCACTGCAGACCATCTTGGAGGCTGACTACTATATACATTAAGTGGTTTTTGATGTTAAAAAACAAAAAAGAGCCAGGCACGGTGGCTCATGCCTGTAATCCCAGCACTTTGGGAGGCCGAGGTGGGTGGATCATGAGATCAGGAGTTCGAGACCAGCCTGACCAACATGAAACCCCGTCTCTACTAAAAATACAAAAATTAGCCAGCCGTGGTGGCACGTGCCTGTAATCCCAGCTACTCAGGAGGCTGAGGCAGGAGAATTGCTTGAAGCCAGGAGGTGGAGGTTGCAGTGAGCTGAGATGGCGCCACTGTACTCCAGCCTCGGCAACAAGAGTGAGACTCCGTCTCAAGAAAAAAAAAAAAAAAAAATCTACACTGTGTATGTTCTGTGCAACAATGGTTTACAGCATTTGAGATGTCATGATCCAATAGAATTTCAGAGGAAAAGCTTAGAAGTTCCTAAATGGAACTAGTAGATCTTTATTTTGGCATGTAAAAAGAGCAACCTGTTAACCATCATTATTTTTTATTTTTTATAAAAGTATTTTTCATACAGAAGGATATTATCTCAAAATGAAGAATCATTTTTTGGATGTGGAACAGGGAGAACTCTTCTAAATTGCTAGTGAGGATGTACATGGAGAACCCACTTGGAAAATATTCTGTAGTCAAGGTGAGGATTTACGTACTCTGTCACCCAACGTTTCCGTTTTTTTTTTTTCCTTTTGAGACAGGTCTCCTATGGTGCCCAGGCTGCTGTCAAACTCCTGGCTCCAGCAAGCTTCCTGAAGAGCTGGGAATACAGGTACATGTCATCATGCCCAGCTTTATCACCCAATATTTCTACTCCTAGCCATATATTTACGCTAAAGAAATGCATATACACTCATGCCAGGAGTCATGTACAAGAATGTTCATAGCAGCTTGGTAATAATAGCCCCAGACTGGCAACAAACCAAATGTCCATCACCAGTGGCATAGACAGGTAAACCGGTGTGGAGTCATCCCTCAGTATCCGTGGGAGATTGGTTTCAGGCCCTCGCAGATACCAAAATCCGCAGATGCTCAAGTCTCTTCTATAAACTGGTGTAGTGTTTGCATATAACCTACACACATCCTCCTGTATAATTTAAAGTCTCTCTACATTACTTATAATACCTAATACAATGTAAATGCTATGCTATACCATATTTTTAAATTTGTATTGTTATTGTCATATTGGGTTTTTAAATATGTTTTTGATCTATGGTTGGCTGTATTAGTGGATGCAGAACCAGCAGATATGGAAGGTCAACTGTATATTTATACTATATGCTTCCATCTTTATAAAGTCTCCAAATAAGCAATACACGCATACCTCATTTTACCGCATTTCACTTTACTGGACTTCACAGATACTGCATTTTTTACAAATTGAAGATTTGCTGCAACCCTGGCATCAAGCAAGCCTACTGGCACCATTTTTCCAACAGCATGTGCTCACTCGTGTCTATGTGTTACATTTTGGTAATTCTCACAATATTTCACACTTTTTCATTATTATTATATCTGTTTTGGTGATC
Organism: Homo sapiens; assembly: GCF_000001405.40. Lineage (NCBI taxonomy): Eukaryota > Metazoa > Chordata > Mammalia > Primates > Hominidae > Homo > Homo sapiens. The sequence goes on from NC_000002.12 coordinate 158,939,840, forward strand.
TGTGATCAGCGATCTTTGATGTTACCATGTAATTGTTTTGGTGCACCATAAACCGCATCCATAGAGGATGATTAACTTAATCCATAAAATGTGTGTGTTCTGACTTCTTCAACAACCAATCTCCTATCTTTCTCCCTCTTGTTGGGCCTCCCCATTCTCTGAAACACAAAAATGTTGAAATTAGGCCAATTAATAACTCTACACTGACTTCTAAGTGTTCAAGTGAAAGAAAGAGTCACATGTCTCTCACCTTAAATTAAAAGCTAGCAACAATTAAGCTTAGTGTGGAAGGCATGTCAAAAGCCAAGATAGAATCCCAGCACTTTGGGAGGCTGAGGTGGGCAGATCACGAGGTCAAGAGATTGAGACCATCCTGGCCAACATGGTGAAACCCTGTCTCTACTAAAAATACAAAAATTAGCTGGGTGTGGTGGCACATACCTGTAGTCCCAGCTACTCGGGAGGCTGAGGCAGGAGAATCGCTTGAACCCGGGAGGCGGAGGTTGCAGTGAACCAAGATTGCGCCACTGCACTCCAGCCTGGTGAAAGAGCGAGACTGCATCTCAAGAAAAAAAAAAAAAAAAAGCCAAGATAGGCCAAAAGCTAGACCTCTTGTGCCAAACAGCCAAGTTATGTATAGAAAGGAAAAGTTCTTGAAGGAAATGAAAAGTGCTACTTCATTAAGCACATGGATGATAAGAAAGCAAAACAAACATTGCTGAGATGGAGCAAGTTTGAGTGATCTGGACTGATCAAACCAGTCAAAATATTCTCTTGAGTCAAAGCCTAATCCAGAGCAAGGCCCTAACTCACTTCAATTTTATGAAGGCTAAGAATGGTGAAAAAGCTGCAGAAGAAAAATTCAAAGCTAGCAGAAGTTGGCTCATGAGGTTTAAAGAAAGCCATCTCCATAATATAAAAATGCAACGTGAAACAGCAAGTGCTGATATAGAAGCTGCAGCAAGTTATCCAGAAGATCTAGCAAGATCATCGATGAGGGTGCCTACACTAAACAACACATTCTCAGTGTAGATGAAACAGGCTTATACTGGAAGAAGGTGCCCTCTAGATCTTTCATAGCTAGAGAAAAGAAGTCAATGCTTCGGTTCAAAGCTTCAAAGGACATGCTGACCCCTTTTGCGGGGGCCAATGCAGCTGGTGACTTTAAACCAAAGCAAATGCTTATTTACCATTCTGAAAATCCTAGGGCCCTTAAGAATTACGCTTCATATATTCTGCCTGTGCTCTATAAATGGAAATACAAAGCCTTGGTGACAGCACATCTATTTATAGCATGATTACCACTTTTTTTTTTTTTGAGACGCAGTTTTGCTCTTGTCACCCAGACTGGAGTGCAATGGCACGATCTCGGCTCACTGCAACCTCTGCCTCCCAGGTTCAAGTGATCCTCCTGCCTCAGCCTCCCAAGTAGCTGGAATTACAGGCATGTGCCACCAGGCCCAGCTAATTTTGCTATTTTTAGTAGAGGCAGGGTTTCACCATATCGACCAGGCTGGTCTCAAACTCCAGACCTCAGGTGATCCACCCGCCTTGGCCTCCCAAAGTGCTGGGATTACGTGTGAGCCACTGCACCCGGTGGGGTGTCACAAATGTTTTAAGCCTTCTATTGAGACCTACTGCTTACAAGAAAGGATTTCTTTCAAAATATTACTGCTTATTGACAATTCACCTTGTCACCCAAGAGCTCTAAGGGAGATGTACAAGGAGATTAATATTGTTTACATGTGCACTAACACAACATCCATTCTGTATTCCATGGATCAAAGAGTCAGTTTACCTTTCATGTTTTAACATTTAGGAAATATATTTTGTGAGGCCATAGCTGCCATAGATAGTGATTCCTCTGATATATCTGGGGGAAAAAATTGGAAACCTTCTGGAAAGGATTCCCCATTAAGAACATTTGTGGTTCATGGGAGGAAGTCAAAATATCACCATTAACAGGAATTTGGAAGAAGTTGATTCCAACCCTCATGGATCACTTTAAGGGGTTCAAGATTCACAGAAGTAAGTAACTGCAGATGTGATGGAAATAGCAAGAACTAGAATTAGAAGTAGAGCCTGAAGATGTGACTGAATTGCTGCAATCTCAGGATAAAACATGAACAGATTAAGAGTTGCTTCTTAAAGTGGTTTCCTGAGATAGAATCTACTCTTGATGAAGATGCTATGAACATTGTTGAAATGACAGCAAAGAATCTAGAATATTATATAAACTCAGTAAAGCTGCAGCGTGGTATGAGCGGATTGACCCCAACTTTGAAAGGTCTTCTATGGTAAAATGCTATCAAACAGCATCACATGCTATAGAGAAATCTGTCATGAAGGAAAGAATCCATCAGTGCAACAAACATCATTGTTGTCTTTTTTTCCCCGAGACAGAGTCTCACTATGTTGCCCAGGCTAGTCTTGAACTCATGGCCTCAAGCAGTCCTCCGGGCTCGACTTCCCAAAGTGCTGGAATTACAGACGTGAGACACCAAGTCCATTGTTGTCTTATTTTTTAAAATTTCCACAGCCCAGCCTGGGCAACATAGTGAAACCCCCTCTCTACAAAAACTGCAAGAAATTAGCCAGGCATGGTGCCATGTGCCTGTAGTTCCAGCTACCTGGGAGGCTGAGGTGGGAGAATCACTTGAGCCCAGTAGGTCAAGGCTGCGGTGAGCTGAGATCACACCACTGCACTCCAGTGGTGTGCAGTAAGACCCTGTCTCAAAAAAAAAAATTTTTTTTTTCACAGTCACTTCAGCCTTCAGCAACCACCATTTTAATCGGTCAGCAGGCATCACTATTGTGGCAAAACCCTCCACCAGCAAAAAGATTACAAGTCACTAAAGTCTCATGATGGTTTATGGTTTTTAGCAATAAAGTATTTTTAAATTACAGTATTTTTAAATAATGGTATGGTATTGATTCCTTTTTTTTTTTTTTTTTTGAGATGGAGTCTCACTCTATCACCCAGGCTGGAGTGCAGTGGCGTGATCTCGGCTCACTGCAAACTCCGACTCCCAGGTTCACACCATTCTGCTGCCTCAGCCTCCCGAGTAGCTGGGACTACAGGCTCCCACCATTGTGCTGCCGGCTAATTTTTTTGTATTTTTAGTAGAGACGGGGTTTCACCGTGTTAGCCAGGATGGTCTCAATCTCCTGACCTCGTGATCCACCCACCTTGGCCTCCCAAAGTGCAGGGATTACAGGCGTGAGCCACCATGCCCGGCTGGTATTGATTCTTTTAGACATAATGCTATTGCACACTTAAACTACAGTATAGTGTAAACATAACTTTTATGTGCATTGGAAAACCAAAAAATCTGTGTGACTTGCTTTACTGTGAGGTGCTCCATCAACAGTAGTGTAACAAAATGCTGCTAGGTGTCCAGTACTAAAATGAGCTATTAGCCAGGTGCAGTGGTGTATACCTGTAGTCCCTCCTACTGGGCGTCAGAGGTGGAAGGGTTGCTTGGTCCCAGGAATTTAAGTCCAGCCTGGGTAACATAGCAAGATCCTATCTCTGGAAAAAAAAAGCATCTCAAAACAGTAGACTTTAGTGCAGTCATTGAAAGGATATTACAATCCTTTGGAGATATTACAGATTTGGTTACCTCCTGAGTAGCTGGGATTACAGGTGCACACCACCATGCCCGGTTAATTTTTGTATTTTTCGTAGAGATGGGGTTTCATTATATTGGCCAGGCTGGTCTCGAACTCCTGACCTCAGGTGATCTGCCCACCTCGGCCTCCAAAAGTGCTGGGATTACAGGCTTCAGCCACCACGCCTGGACCATGTTTTATAGTTTATAATATTTTATTTCATTCTCACAACAGGCTGAGCATGGTGGCTCATGCCCGTAATCCCAACATTTTGGGAGGCCAAGGTGAGAGGATCACTTGATCCCAGAAGTTCAACACTAGGCTGGGTACCATAGCAAGACCTCATCACTACAAAAAAAAAAAATTAGCCAGCCATGGTGGCACACACCTGTAGTCCCAACTACTCGGGAGGCTAAGGTGGGAGCATTGCTTGAGCCCAGGAGTTTAAGGATGCAGCTAGCTACAATCATACTACTGCATTCCAGCCTGGGCAACAGAATGAGACCCTATCTCTTAAAAAAATAAAAAAAAAATACATAAATACATAAATAAAATAATAAAGACAAAAAATAGAGTCATGTTCATAACAATCCAATGAAATAGATGAGAGACCTTTAGTTATTTCCGCTTTTCCAAGAGGCCATTGAGGTTCCTAATGTTAAGTGTCCTGCCTAAAGTGATCATTAAGAGCTGGTCACACCTTGCCACGCCCACAGCCACTTGGCAGCTAGGTAGGTAGCCCTGAATGGTCCTCGGACAGGATTTGCTTTGATGGTATCTCCTGGTCCCTTCCCTATTCCACAGCTGATTTTGCCAGAGGTGGTAACTGACTCAAGGGCAGCCAAGCTACAAGGCTGAGGTATAAGAGGTTACCTAGAGCAAAAGCTCTGCCCAAACAGGAATGATGGTGATTAGGTACGTAATTAGATTATCTAGAAAACATTTTGTGAGAAATACAGGGAGGATGTTGTCATTAGTCGCAAAAACTGAAAGCTACCAAAGATGAGAAAATCATTGTCTTTGTCTGTCTTGTCTTGCTATAACAGAATACCACAGACTGTGTCATTAACAAAGAATAGAAATTTAGGCCTGGCACAGTGCCTCATGCCTCTAATCCCAGCACTTTGGGAGGCCGAGGCAGGTGGATCATTTGAGGCCAGGAGTTTGAGACCAGCCCAGCCAACATGGCAAAACCCTATCTCTACAAAAAACACAAAAATTAGCTGGGCGTGATGGCACACATCTGTAATTCCAGCTGGGCTGAGGCATGAGGACTGTTTGAACCCAGGGGACAGAGGTTGCAGTGAGCTGAGATTGCGCCACTGCACTCCAGCCTGGAAGACAGAGTGACAACTCCTGTCTCAAAAAAAAAAAAAAAAAAAAAAAAAAAGAATAGAAATTTGTTTCTTACAATTCTGGAGGCTGGGAAGTTCAAGGTTGAGGACTCTGCATCTGGTGAGGTCCTTCTTGCTGTGTCATCCAGAGAGCATGAGAAAGCCAGAAAGGAAGGAAGCCAAATTTATCTTTTATCAGTAACCAACTCCCAAGATAACTAACCCACTCCTGCAATAACAACATTAATCCATTCATGAGAGCAGAGCCCTCGTGACCTAATTACCTCTTAAAGGTTCCACCTCTCAACACCATTGCATTGGGATTTAAGTTTTCAACGCATGAACACTTTAAGATTCTTAAAGTGGTTTCTTGAGATAGAATGTACTGCTATGGCTTGAATGTGTCTCTCACATTCAAGCCATAGCAGTTGTGCACATATACTATAAGGCAACAGGAATCATCCATAAACAGGGGGTATGAGTAAGAGTAAGGTAACTATAAATAGAAAACATATGTACTGTGTACAAATAGAAGGTAAGCTTTTAAAATGGCATTGGCAGGAGCACTGAAGCAGAGATTTCAGGGGACAAGTTATCATAATGGTGGGGGAACAGCATTCCTGCTGCTGAGTGGGCTTAGACCAGCCTCCTCTGACTTTTTAAAAAAAGTTTCATCCCATGGCCAGACTATAAGGACAGTGATCAAGAAAGACTGAGCCATCAGGTACAGTGGCTCATGCCTATAATCTCAGCACTTTGAGAGGCCAAGGTGGGAGGATCACCTGAGCCCAGGAGTTCAAGACCACCCTGGGCAACATAGTGAAACCTTATCTCTACAAAAAAATAAAAATAAAAAAATGAGGTGGGAGGATCGCTTGCGCCCAGGAGGTCGAGGCTGCAGTGAGCTGTGATCGTGTGAGTGCACACTGCATTCTCACCTGGGTGACAGAGAAAGACCCTGCCTCCAAAAAAAAAAAAAAAAAAAAGCAAGACTGAACCTAGAGGCAATGCGATGACTATCATATCTCATCTGATTATAAGAGTAAAGCCTTTTTTCCCAAAGTACTGATGAAAAGTAACAGAGAGAAGGCTGGGCGTGGTGGCTTATGCTCATAATCCCAGCACTTTGGGAGGCCAAGGCAGGCAGATCACCTGAGGTTAGGAGTTCGAGACCAGCCTGGCCACATGGTGAAACCCCGTCTCTACTAAAAATACAGAAAAGTTAACCAGGTGTGATGGTGGACACCTATAATCCCAGCTACTCAGGAGGCTAAGGCAGGAGAATCGCTTGAACCTGGGAGGCAGAAGTTGCATAGAGCCGAGACTGTGCACTGCACTCCAGCCTGGGCAAGAAGAGCAAAACTCCATCTCAAAAAAAAAAAAAAGAAAGAAAGAAAAGAAAAGTAGCAGACGGAAAATAAGAAAGTTAGAGAATCAATCCAGAAGACTATCATCTGATCAACAGGATAGAGAGATTTTTTTTAAAAAAGAAGGAATAGGAAAAAATGGAGTGGAGGAAATTATCAAAGAAATAATAGAAGAAAAATTTCTACCACCAATTGATGTAAATCTTCAGAAGATAAGTCCCACTGAGTGCTCAGTGTAACAAATCAAACAAATCAACAACAACAATAAAGCCATGACATACCTTCATATAATCCCAGAACATCAGGAAAAAAGAACAAATCCGAAAAGCTTCAATAAAGTAAAAACAGGTGACACACAAAGGAGTAGGTAGCAGAATGGTACTGCACTTTCTCATTCATTTTCTAAGAGTTTTGTAAAATAATTATAAATATTTATAAAACATATCATATATATTTATTTGTATGTACATAGGAAAAGGTCTAGAAAGTTACATATCAAAATATTAATAGTGGTTACCTTTAAGAAATAGCAGCACTATGGCAGGTTTTTTGTTTTTTTTTTTTAGAGATAGGGGTCTCACTATGTTGCCCAGGCTGGTCTCAAACTCCTGGCCTCAAGTGGTCCGCTCACCTCAGCCTCCCAAAGTGCTGGGATTACAGGTGTGAGCCACCGTGCCCAGCCCCATTATGGTGATTTTAAAATACGTCCACAAATATGTTCCTACTTCTCTCTCCAAAAGGTGGGGCTTGATTTCACTTCCCTAAATATGAACTGGACTGAGTGGTGTGTGTGTGTGTGTGTGTGTGTGTGTGTGTGTGTGATTTATTAGATTCAACCATAAAAGTCATTTGGCCTCTTTCTTGCTCTATCTTTTGGATTGCTCACCCTGGGGAAAGCTAGCTTCCATGTTATGAAGACATCCACACATCCACACAGTGCTATGTCATGGCCCATGTGGTGAAGAAGTGAGGCCTCCTGCCCACAACCAGCATCACTCAGCAGGCTTACTTTGGCAGTGGGTCTTGCAGCCACAGCCAAGCCTTCAGATGACTACAGCCCTTGCAAGCATCATGGCTACAACCTGTGAGAGATGCTGGACCAAGAGCCACTCAGCTAAGCTACCCCGGATTCCTGATCCACAGAAACTATGTGAGCCATTAAGTTTCAGGGATAATTTCTTACATGGCAATAGATAACCAAAATAAGTATAAACATGAGAAAGGTAAGGGAGAACATTTTACTTTTTAGATTTTTTTTTTTTTTGAGACGGAGTCTTGCTCTGTTGCCCAGGCTGGAGTGCAGTGGCACGATCTTGGCTCACTGTAACCTCCATCTCCCAGGTACAAGTGATTCTCCTGCCTCAGCCTCCCCGAGTCGTTGGGACTATAGGCACGCACCACCATGCCCGGCTAATTTTTGTATTTTTCGTAAAGGCGCTATGATGGCCAGGCAGGTCTCAAACTCCTGATCTCGTGATCCACCGGCCTTGGCCTCCCAAAGTGCTGGGATTACAGGCGTGAGCCACTGCACCCAGCCTAGATTGTTATATTCATATTCATTGTTTACATTTTTACAATCAGTGTTTCTAATTAAACTTTTAAAAAAGGCGGGGCAGGGGCAGGCATGGTGGTTCACATCTGTTATCCCAGGACTTTGGGAGGCCAAAGCAGGAAGGATCGCTTGCATCCAGGAGTTCAAGACCAACCGGGGAACATAGCAAGACCCTGTCTCTATAAAAATCAAAAATTAGCTGGATGTGGTAGCAGTGCACACCTGTAATCCCGGCTACCCAGGAGGCTGAAGTAGGAGGATCGCTCGAGCCTGGAGGTTCAGGCTGCGCTGAACCATGATCTTACCACTGTGCACTTCAGCCTGGGTGACAGAGTAAGACCTGTCAAAAAAAAAAAAAGGGAGAGGCAGGCAGCCTTTAAGGAAAAATAGTATATTTGCTGGATCTATAAATAATAATACGTATTTTGAAAAATATGTAAGAAACTCTTTCAGTGACTAGTAGTGGTGACTGCATATATAAGGAAACAGGCAAAGAATGTATTAAATATCTGTTCCTGGTGATATAAAACATAAAACATTGCCAGTCATTGATCGTTATTATGTTGTTCTAATTGAATATTTCCCAGTCATCCCTAGTGTGCTGAGGAAGAGACCACAGAGGGGCATTTCTCTCATTGCACAAACATTTATGTTTGTGTTAACAAAGGACAAAGAACACCTTTCTGATTTTTTTCCTTAAAGAACCAGTAGTTCAACTTGCAGTATTGATTATTGTGATGTCACTAGTTAAGATATCAGTGAAATAAGTTAAGTAAGCATTCAATATCTGCTTCTTTCTTATCACCTCCATAGTCTTCCTTGGTGTTGCACCCATTAGAACTTCAGTATTCTCTTTTGCTCACATTATTTCTTCTCTTCCCAATTATTTTATGTCTGCACTACTTGGGCAAACCCAACAAATCAGTCTAGCCAGGTTGCAGAGTAAGGACTTCCTAGAAAAAGACCACTGGCTTAATGACTTCCCCTGCTCATAGTTACATTTAACTCCTGTTGAGCTAATGGTACCAGGGGACTGATGTCTGCATCCTGTAGCAAATATTCCCATCATTTCTTCCTCTCCACTTAAAAACATTCTTTAGCTCTTACTGAAGTTAAGGGCCCCAGAGTTCTTTGTGTGAGTGTTGTATGTGCTGTTATATGGATTTTATCCATGTACCAGATTTGGTTTAAAGTGAACATTAGTCTTGCCTGTTATATAAACTAAACATCTGCAATTTTCCATGTGTAATGATACCATCAAGGGAGGAAGGAGTGTAAGAGAAGAAGGGGGAAAATCATTAAAAAGAGAATATCAGGCTAAGACAAAGGAACCTAGACCTAGACTGTCTGAAAAGTTAAACTAATTGTTTTCCTTAAATTACATCATCAACCCAATGTGGCGGGTTCAGGGCCATTCCAGTCATGGTCATTGCAACTACCACCCAAGTAGTATAAAAACTGCTGTCAACCTGTTCTTGTTCATTTTTAGCATCCAGATTTAATTAGTGTTCAGGCAGGAACTTGACACCTATTTGACACACTTCAAATGTGTTAGTAAAACAATTCTCCCCAACATCCTCCCCTAGTCCCCTTTGCTAACAGAGAGCAGCCACTGTAACTTTCCCAAAAGAGGGTCAAGATCTAACCCTGTTTTGACTACGGAAAGCAGGGCTTTTGGGTACTGACTGTTTTACGGTCTCATTTGGATTATAGTGGGCAAACAAGGTGAGATAAAGTCCAAATAAACGCCTCTGAAATTCCCATGCTTGTGTGGATTTATTTGGCCCTTTGATGTCTTTTTTGTTTCTCTGTTGGAATGTTTCAAATATGCACTTAAGTCACCCATAGAAAAGGCTGCTAATGTAAACGGATGTGTGTTTAGAATGGGTTGTCATCTTAACCTTCCCAGAGATGCAAAACCCATAAAAACACAGAGGGTCGATTGGAATTACCTCTTCTGTTTCTTCTTTTAAATATGAGAGGTTGCAGAGTTCAAATTGCCCTTTCCTTCTCCTCTCATTATTTATTCAGGTGATTCAAATTTTGGCTGTTATATGAAGGGGTTGACCCTCAACTCTATGACATTCCTCTTAAAATTAAGTTTTGACTTCCATGCTTAACTGATTATTTTAAGAATACTATTTGAGTCTTTGATACTCTATCTCACAGTGATTTCCATTAAAAAAAATCTACATGAACACAAAAGTATGTAACCAGAAGTATTTGAATTCATATTGTAAATGCTGTTTTTGAGTTTAGAAAATATTTTGTCATAAAAGTATTATACAAAAAAAATTAAGGCCGGGTGCAGTGGCTCATGCCTGTAATCCCAGCACTTTGGGAGGCCAAGGCAGGTAGATCACTTGAGGTCAGGAGTTTGAGACCAGCCTGGCCAACATGGTGAAACCCTGTCTCTACTAAAAATACAAAAATTAGCTGGGCATGGTGGCATGTGCCTGCAGTCCCAGCTATTCGGGAGTCTGAGGCAGGAGAATCACTTGAACCCAGGAAGTGGAGGCTATAGTGAGTCGAGGTGGCGCCACTGCATTCCAGGCTGAGCAATAGAGTAAGACTCTGTCTCAAAAAAAAAAAAAAATTGAGGAACAAAGGGGAAAATTCATCCATAATCTATAATGCACCAACAAATACTGCTAAAACAGACCTAATAGGGGTGAGATGGGAAATTGGCCCATCCACACACATCCAGATTAGTGTGTTGAAGGTAGTATGTACTGGAACCAATGGAACTGTAAATGTTTACAGACTGCTTTTCCATGTAACATTATATCACAAGGCCGGGCGTGGTGGCTCACACCTGTAATCCCAGCACTTTGAGAGGCTGAGGTGGGTGGATCGCCTGAGGTCAGGAGTTCGAGACTGGTCTGGCCAACATGGTGAAACCCTGTTTCTACTAAAAATACAAAAATTAGCCGGGCGTGGTGGTGGGCACCTGTAATCCCAGCTACTCGGGAGGCTGAGGCAGGAGAATCACTTGAACCTGGGAGGCAGAGGTTGCAGTCAGCCGAGATCGTGCCATTGTACTCCAGCCCTGGGTGAGAAGAGTGAGACTTCATCTCAAAACAAAAACAAAAACGAAAACAAAAAAAATTATATCACAAGCATTTTATAAAAGATAAAATTATATTTAGGTTTATATTTTTTTAAGAATGTGCTTAGAGAAATAAAAATCTAGCTATGTTATATTAATATCAACTCTGGTTGAATACTTAAGGCCTTACCATTAGCTATGTAGGATAAATAAATTACAGTGCAAAAACTATTTTAAAAGCTTAAAGGATCATCCTTTTCTTGCTAAAAATTACATCTCTTCTAGAAGCAGGTCAATGGTACACAACCATGCTCTGTTTGAGACCTCTAGAGAGAATCAGTGTCTCTGCTGTGCTTGAGTGCATACTTTTCTTTGAAATGTGAATCCCTGTCAGCATTATTATAGTCAGAGCAATATTATATATATATAAAATGCTGTTAATGAACTTCTGAAAATCATAAACGCTCTTCAGGTATTAAAGGTGAGAATTATTCAATAGTGAAGAGAGCCCTTAAAGCAATTGGTTATCATCTGGGGTAATAGGAAACATTCTGAAGTTATCACTTGTTAGGTATCAAGCTATCAAGTTACTACTTGATAGCATAATGCTGCCTCTCAATTTGATGGTATTGTCTGTCCAACTCACTCAGCATACCGAGTATCTCCTTGTCCACAATCTTATTGTAGTCATTTTTGTTTCGGGGCTTGTGGTGATCAGTTTTAAGTCCTTAGGTAAGTTAGTTCAGTTGGCCACCTCATTATACTAATGAGGCCAAGGAAGTATGGCCCCATTGGTTACCATACTTCAGCTTTGTCGAGAGAATTATTTCTTACATAAACCATTTCCTCTACTCTGTTTTTCTCCACTTCTCCCAACCCCCAAAATTGTGAGGTTGTAAGCAGCTCAACGTGTTATACTAGGAGGCAAGGGAAAAAGCATAGGTTTTGGAATCTGGTGAAACTAAAATCAAATCTACACATTAGATGGGTCTCTTGGACAAATAACTTGGCCTGTCTAAGCCTCCAATTTCTCATCCAAAAATTGGAGTTAAACAATATCCAAATGTATGGTAAGAATTAGATAACATAAGTGACATCACACACAGTAGCACATAATACGCACTCAGTGATACTATTTCTTTGATAGGCATTGGTGCGGTTCGCCAACATTTTCTGGTGCTACCGTTTCTGGCACATGGTAGAAGTGCACTTTATGGCTCACTTTTGGTTACCTGAGGCCATGGGACTGGTTCCAGATAGTGGGTTGTGAGCAAAAAGTGACATATACTTGAAACTGCCAAAGCAGGGCCCATTTTCCTTTCAACATGGTGGCTGGCAATGTTCAAGATGATGGTTGCTCTCTCAGCTTGAGTTCCATGGCTATAATGAGGAGTGTGTCCCAGCTACCCCAGGAAGGATGAGTGGAATGAATAAGAAACAAGTTTTGTTATTTTCAGCCACTGGGATTTTGGTGGAGGTGTTCTTGCAGCGTAATTCAACCTTTCCTGCTGCTCCTGCTGCTTTCCTCTACTTAAACAACCAACAGTTCAAACTGAGAAAAAAGGAACATCATTTAATTGGTGGCTTGAGGGATGTCTGATTGGTTCTCTGATCTCACCCTGGTCATATGGGGAAGTCGCTTGTCCAGACTGAAGCTAGAATGAACTTTTCTCGTGTTGGGGATGGATCCACATGGTCTCACTCTGTCACCCAGGCTGGAGTGCAGTGATGCAGTCATAGCTCACTGCAACCTTAGGTCCTGGGCTCAAGGGGTCCTCAGCCTCCCAAGTAGCTAGGACTACAAATGTGAGCCACTGAGCAGGCCTTTATCAGTTAAAATATGTAAATGTTCTATTCCCCCACCTCCCATGAGTTTACTAGATTTATTAATAAAATAATCCCTTTAAAGAGCTAGTTGAGTATAACCTAGCAGCAATAAAACACTATCCTAGTATGTCAAATTCTATTTCAACAAATGTTATTACTACCAGTGTCTCTGAATAATAAGAATGTTTACCAACTCTAGTTGACAACTGATAATTTTATATAATATTTGCCATAGCTAAATTTCATGACAATAATTGTGAACCTCTCTCAGTGTTCAGCAGAGAGATAGCTGACTTATGGTACTTCATAGAAAAATAAAAGGTAACTGTTCTTTTTTTTTTTTTTTTTTTTTTTTTTGAGGAGTTTTGCTCTTGTTGCCCAGGCTGGAGTACAATGGCATGATCTTGGCTCACCACATCCTCTGCCTCCCGGGTTCAAGCGGATTCTCCTGCCCCAGTCTCCCGAGTAGCTGGGATTACAGGCATGCGCCACCACACCCAGCTAATTTTGTATTTTAATAGAGACGGGGTTTCTCTATGTTGGTCAGGCTGGCCTCGAACTCCCAACCTCAGGTGGTCTGCCCACCTTGGCCTCCCAAAGTGTTGGGATTACAGGCATGAGCCACCGTGCCCGGCCTAAGGTAACCGTTCTTAAGGTGTTATTGGCAGGCGGTATGAGTTTAGATCAGGATTGCATTCAGCTGCATATAAGAGAAACTACCATGGTGGCTTAGCCAAATGGAGTTCATTCTTCTCATGTAACATGAAGTCTGGAGATAGGTGGCTCGCTACTGGCACAGCTGCTTCAGGACATCATCAGGGGCCCAGGTTCCTTCTAGCTTTCTGCTCTACCATCCTTAGCATGTGGCTCTTGTCCTCTTAGTTGCAAGGTGGCTGCCTTTCTTGCAGGTATCCTCATTCCAGACAGAATGAAAAAGGAAGGGCAAAGAGCAAAATATACACGCCAGCTGGGTCTGTCCTTTTTTCATCAGAATCTGCTGCTTTCCAGGAAACCTCTCCCTGTAGAATCATACGATCACCGTAGCTGTAAGGGAGTCTGTGGGAGTATTTTAGCTGGGCTCACTGCCACCCCAAACAAAATCATATTTCTGTTAACAAAAAAAGAAGAATAGAAAGGATCTTGGGTAGAGAACGAGTCATATCTTCCATTGAGCCTTAAGTGCATTATCTCATATCTTTGCAACAAAACTATGAAGTATTTACTATTATTTCCTGGTTTTCCTCCCATGTTTTACATTAGGAAACTGAGGCACAGAGGGCTTAACTAACTGACCTAGGGTCACCCAGATGATGGGTAGGAAAACTGGGATCTGAAGCTAGGCAGTCTTTGGAAGATGATTTTCAAATAATCACAAAAGGCAAAAGTGGAAAGTCTGTCAAGTTTAGAGATTGGTTCTGGGCACGGCCAAGGTCTCTTGGGCAAACTGCCAGCAGGTCCCTGTGGGAGGCAATTATGATGTCATGTCTTTCCTGCTGTAACCACATACTCTCAGACTCCAGATAGTCCTAAGGCAGCTGTGACAAGCATCTGTATTAGCTTACTAGTGAGGCAGGGTTCATGGGTCCAAAAAACTTGGCACATCAGTGCTTCTGGGCAGCAAAATGGATTGGGGGAGGGGTGAGGCAAAGGTGTGGCCTTTCTGCCCTCTTAGCTTAGGGTGTGTGTTTCAGACATGCTATAAAGTACTTCAGGTTCAAGGAGAAAACAAAATCTTTTGAAGCAATAAATACTGACAAAAACTTACATAATTATTAAAATGCTGGGCTTTTTTGGGGGGGGGGGGCGCTCACTCTGTTATCTTTATTCATTGTTTTACTTAACTTTAACAGCTCCTGGCCTGTAGTAGAAAACATGAAGTGTAGCAACAAGAAGAAAGGCTCTGCTCAGGGCAGGAGAGCAGAGGCACTGGGAGCCAGCCAGTGTTCTCAGGTTGTAAAATAAAATCTCTAGACCAATTGGACACTGGCCTCAGGCCATGGCAGTGATTAATGCCAGAGTTGTAAAAAGTGCCGTGGTAGGAACGGTTAGCCAGGTTGTACTGTGTGCGTGTGTGTTTGTGTGTGTGTGTGTGCTGGTTTTTTCCTTAAAGTAGCTTAATATGAAACACATAATTCTCAGTTGTTTTGGAATCTAAAAATAAAATTAAAGACTCATTTACTTTTCTCTGTCTCTCTTTTTTTTTTAAGGAGACAGGCTCTTGCTTTGTTGCCCAGGCTGGAGTGCAGTGGCATGATCATAGCTCACTGTAACCTCAAACTCCTAAGCTCAAGCAATCCTCCCACCTCAGCCTCCCAAGTAGGATGATAGGCATGTGCCACCAAGGCTGGCTAATTTAAAATTTTTTTTTGTAGAGACACGGTCTCATTATGTTGCCCAGGCTGGTCTCAAACTCCTAGCCTCAAGCAATCTTCCCCCATCTGCCTCCCAAAGTGCTGGGATTATAGGCATGAACCACTGCACCCAGCCTCCCTCTTTTTTTTTTATTTTATTTTTTATTTTTTTGAGACGGAGTTTCGCTCTTGTTGCCCAGGCTGGAGTGCAGTGGCACGATCTCAGCTCACCACAAACTCTGCCTCCCGTGTTCAACCGATTCTCCTGCCTCAGCCTCCTGAGTAGCTGGGATTACAGGCATGCACCACCACGCCCGGCTAATTTTGTATTTTTAGTAGAGATGGGGTTTCTCCATGTTGGTCAGGCTGGTCTCGAACTCCCAACTTCAGGTGATCCACTCGCTTTGGCTTCCCAGAGTGCTGGGATTACAGGCATGAGCCACCGTGCCCGGCCAGGCTCTCTTTTTATTAAGAACTTAGCCAACTTTACAGAAGAAGCCTAAGTAACATTAAGCTCCAAACCAGTTATATCACTCCAAGTCTCCCCTGATCTTTGTTAATATACATTACTACATTTTTACACAGATGTAATTAGTGTAGTAGACATATAATTCTGCATTCTACTTTTTTCACTTAACTTTATTTCATATGAATATGTTCATACTGCCTTGAAACATATGTTTTGGGTTTTTTTCTAAGCTTTAGAGTATTCTGATACATCGATCAGTCACTGCTTTCTTAATCATCCCCTTATTGCTGGGTATATGGGCTGTTTTCATGGTTTTGCTGTTATAAATGATGCTACTTCAAACATTTTTGTACAAATTCTTTCTTTTTTGCACGTAGGTTATTTCTCAGGATGATGTTCCCCAGAGTGGCCTTATTTAGTCAATGTGTATAAAGAGTTACTTATCTCTAATTGTTCTCTGACTTACAGTATCATCAGCAATGTAGAAATACACCTGCTTTTCCACATCACTTGATGTGCCAATTATTTACTTATTGTCTCATAGCTCTGCACCGACCCCACTCTACTCTGCTTCACAATGCTGGGGCTAGAAGCCTGCAAAGCACATTTCCCAGGCTTCATTTCTAGCTGGCTTCTTGTTAGGTTCTGTCAATAGAAGAGGCCAGCAGAAAATTAGAAAGTGTAAGGGAGGGAGAAGCCATAGTTTTCTTTCTTTCTGCTTCTGGCAGTATTTCTAGAAGTGACTTCATTTCTGGACGTCCTCTCTCTGGTGTTCCCAGAATCCTATTTGGCATTCCCAATGACACAATAAGACATGCAGTCTTGTGCTGTGGTAGTGCTACCTCCTCCTTCTTATTCTGCCAGCTTCTTTCTTTCTATCTTTATTAATCTCAGGGTTACCTACCTTTCCCTTTTGACCTTTCAGTTCTCCCAACAATATAGTTTCCTGTATTAAATACCCTCTCTTTGAAATACCTAGCTTGATTGCTAATTTCCTGACTAGATCCTGGTTTAGAAACTGGGTCTTCTAATTCTAATATATATTTTATTAGGTTAATGTGAGTATAATGGCACCCAAAGTCCTATTTTGCATTTTAAAAAATTGGTAGTGGAAATAGGTTTTTTTTTTAAAAAAAAAAACTGTAAACATTTCATTAACAAATATAATTTATTTGTAAATTTAAATCTAGTCTTAGGGTCTTTATTCCATTTTTGTTAGATTATTTTTCTGTTTTAATAAATATTGTAGTGGTTGAGCGGTGGTTCCTAAAACATAGGTCCATGTCTAAATACCTGGAACTTGTGAATGTTATTTGGAAATGTTATTTGGAAAAAGGGTCTCCGTGGAAGTAATAGTTAAGGGTTTTAGGATTAGCTCATCCTGGTTATCTGGATAGGGGCCCAAAATCCAATGACAGGTGTTGGATTGGATAAGAGAAAGGCAGAAACTGGGCATGGTGGCACACGTCTGAAGTCCCAGCTACTCAAGGATCACTTGAGCCCAGGAATTCAAGACTGCACTGTGTTATAATCATCCCTGGGAATAGCCACTGCACTCCAGCTTGGGCAATCTAGCAACACCTCATCTCTTAAAGAGAGAGAGAGAGAGAGAGAAAGACCAAGAGACAAAGGTAGAGCGAGAGAGAGAAAGAGAGAGATTTGAGACATACAGAAGAGGAGAAGACACAGACCATATGAAGATGAGGGCAGAAACTAGAGTTTTGCAGCCATAAGCCAAGAAATGCCTGGAGCCACTAGAAGCTGAAAGAGGCAAGGAAGGATTCACCCCCAGAGCCTCTGGAGGGAGGATGGAGCATTGCCAACACCTTGATTTTGGACTTTTGGCCTCCGTAACTGTGAGAAAATAAATTTCTGCTGTTTTAAGCTACTCGGTTTGTGGCAGTTTGTTGCAGCAGCCACATGAAATGAAGACAAATATTAAACAATTTCAGTATTGTTAAAAACTATTTTTTCTTTATTTCATTTGTAGTATTCAAAGTCCTATACATTAAAGGGGGAAAAGGTCACACAAATATTGCCATTAAATAATTGGGTTTCAGATCCTTCTCTACTTGTAGCCATCTCTTATTTAGTATTTGTCCCTACCTTTTCTTAGGTGAGATTTATTACAAGTTGTTCTTGTTCTGTTCTGTTCTGTTCTGTTTCATTTTGCTGACGGCTCTAATAAACCTTATAATTAGGTCTCTATGACATTCATGTTCAGAGAAAAAGACTATCAGCTTCTTATTGAGACAAGACTCTTAAAATTAATTTATCTTTGCCTATCTCTTTTTTCTCTCAATCTTTCTTTTAAAATTTTCAATTCATCAATTATCCTGTTTTCTTCCCATTCTTTTACTTCCTTTTATATCAGCGATTCCCAACCTTTTTGTTTTGTTTTTGTTTTTTGAGACAAGGTCTCACTCTGTCACCCAGGCTGCAGTGCAGTGGTGCAGTCACAGCTCACTGCAGCCTCAACCTCCTGGGCTCAAGTGATCCTCCCACCTCAGCCTCCCGAGAAGCTGGGACTATGGCGTCACCATGTCTGACTAATTTTTGTATTTTTATGAGAAACAAGGTTTCACCATGCTGCCCAGGATGGTCTCGAACTCCTGGGCTCTAGTGATCTGCCGTCTTGGCCTCCCAAAGTGTTGGGATTACAGGCGTGAGCCACCGCGTCTGGCTCCAACTTTTAAAAAAATTGTGGCTACAGCCCCTCCACCGCCTGGGAAGTGAAGAGCTCCTCTGCCCGGCCCCCACCGTCTGGGAAGTGAGGAGTGCCTCTGCCTGGCTGCTGTGCAACCCTCCAAGTGTGAAGTGATAGCCTTGTGTGTGATCTTTCTGCCCTCCCTTGCATTTTCATCATTAAGATTTACTTTTTAATTAAAAGTTTTTAAAAATATATGGCTAAAAAAACCCGTAATTTGTTTTTTTAAACCATCAAAGAGCCCCTTAATTAATTTCCCCCCAATATTTCACAATTTGAAGAATTTTGTCTGTAATCCATATTTGCCAGTTGTGGTGGATATTAGTTGGTTTGCTTCTACCTAACAGGGTATTTATTTGGGAACTTGCATTTTCCTGGTGTAGCCTACATGCTTCAAGGAAAACTAACTACCTTTTCCACCAATGACAGGGATAGGCCATGATTGACAGGCCAATCAGCATGGTTCCCCCTCCTCACCACCAACTACTGTCATTGATTTCAAAGTGGACATTGGAACTCAAATGATACAATCAAGGTGAATTTCAGGACTCTTGCTTAGAATGTTGGGACAGAAATGTGTGTTTTCTCCTACTGGATGTAAATCTGGAAGCGCATAGCCCAGTTGCAGTTCCCAGCCACATTACATTCACAAGGGGAATTGGCATTAGGATGAAGGATGAAGCTAACATTGCACATAGCTAAGCAGAGAATGGAAAGGAAATGAATCCTTGATGATCTTGAGTTGCTGGATCACCCAAATTTTGAAGCTTACTTTATTTGTGATCTTGCCACTTAAGTGAGCCAATAACCCCTCTGTTGGTTAAGCCCATTTAAGCTGAGTTTTCTTTCTCTGATTGTAACCTTAACTGGTATATCATGCAATATTTAATTAGTCGTTTTTATTAAGATATGTAAATTTGATCTTTTGATCAATAATTATAATACTTGTTGCCATTTATTATCTATAATATGCTGTTACATTGCAAAGTGGTTAAAATCATTATTATTGAAAGTATGTCAGTGGCTGAGGGAGAATGGCATGGAAGGAGACACAGAAGCAGCACATTACCACCAATGACTTTAAATTTAATAACGAGCACTTATTCTTAAAATGTCCTTTAGCCACCCTACTGCAGGGATCTTCTTGTGGGAGGGAAAGTTCCTTCATATACATAGCATGCTACCTTCTACTGTCTGCAGTTTCCTCTTACTGCCTTTCCTCAGAAGCAAACACAAAGTTCTCTCCTTGTCACACTTTAAGGCAGTTTGGCTCTTGTCTCTGATGCCTCGCCACTTAACCTATACTGAGGATTATACACTCTCACCTTCTACTCCAATAAATGTTTTCCCAGTAAAGACAGTTACCTTCCAGAGGGGAAGTCTTGGTGCCAATTATTAAGATAAGGGTTTCACCTTGGGTGGCAAAGAGATTAAATCATTTTGTCAAGGACTCATACCTAGGAAAGGAAGAACTGGGCTGTGAATGTAAGTGTATCTGTCTCTATAGCAAAAAGTCTTCAGTTCCAGGAGCCAGAATTTTTTATTTATTTATTTATTTATTTATTTTGAGACGGAGTCTCACTCTGTCGCCCAGGCTGGAGTGCAGTGGCGCGATCTTGGCTCACTGCAAGGTACTACAGGCACCTGCCACCATGCCCGGCTAATTTCTTATTTTGTATTTTTAGTAGAGACGGGATTTCACTGTGTTAGCCAGGATGATCTTGATCTCCTGACCTCGTGATCCACCCACCTCGGCCTCCCAAAGTGCTGGGATTACAGGCGTGAGCCACCACGCCCTGCCCCAGGAGCCAGAAAATTTAAAACAAACAAACAAAAAAATAGGCCAGGCGTGGTGGCTGACGCCTGTAATCCCAACACTTTGGGAAGCCCAGGCGAGTGTATCACTTGAGGTCAGGAGTTCGAGACCAGCCTGGCCAACATGGTGAAACCCCATCTCTACCAAAAAATACAAAAATTAGCCGGGTGTGGTGACACGTGCCTGTAGTCCCAGCTATTTGGAAGGCTGAGGTGGGAGAATCGCTTGAACCTGGGTGGTGGAGGTTGCAGTGAGTCGAGGTCATGCCATTGCACTCCAGCCTGGGCAACAGAGTGAGACCCTGTCTCAAAAATCAATACATAAAATAATAATAATAATAAAGCACAGGGTCTTAATAGTATACCACGGCAACTCTCAGCAAGAGGATTAAAGGATGCTATGCGACTTCTGAGTCTAGGCTAGAAAAGGCCATTCAGCCTTTGTTGCTGTACTTGGGAACTCACTCTGGGAGCCTTCCAGCTGCCACATTAGAGATTTGGCTGTGCTGAGACTGCCATGTGGAGAAATCACATGAAGACATATAGATGCTTAAGGAGCCCCAGCTCCTCCAGCTTCTAGCTGTTTAAATCTTTCCAGCCCAGGCTCCAGATCCCACCCCAGGCATATTCTAACTGCAGCTTCATGAGGGACATTGAGTGAGAACTGCTTAGCAGAGCTCAGTCAAACCCTAGATTTGTAAGCAAAATAAATGATCATTATTGTATGAAGTCCCTGAATTTGGGATGGTTCATTACACAGCAACAGATAACTGGGGAAAAATGCACAATATGTATTCATTCAGTCATGCAACATGTTGCTTGTCCTCATGGAGCTCACATTCTAGTGAAAAAGCTGTCTCACTCATTGTGATTCTCTTATAAGCCACTCTGCCATTTGGTTATCAGCATTATTTATTATACAGACCATTCTTCTCAAGGGCCTTTGGATGTTACATTTTAATCAACATCTGGAGACAATCTTGCTTTTGATATATTTGTCATACTAAGTGATGATACACATGACATTTTTTTTTCTTTTTTTTTTTTTTTTTGAGACGGAGTCTCGCTCTGTCGCCCAGGCTGGAGTGCAGTGGCGCGATCTCGGTTAACTGCCAGGTCCGCCTCCCGGGTTCACACCATTCTCCTGCCTCAGCCTCCCGAGTAGCTGGGACTACAGGCACCCGCCACCACACCCAGCTAATTTTTTAATATTTTTAGTAGAGACGGGGTTTCACCGTGTTAGCCAGGATGGTCTCGATCTCCTGACCTCGTGATCTGCCCGCCTCGGCCTCCCAAAGTGCTGGGATTACAGGATTGAGCCACTGCACCCGGCCCAATATTTTTTTTCAAGTCAAATATTTCTATTATTATTTTGGTTTTCAGCTTCTTGCGTATTTTTTTGCCATTTGATTTTTTAATTAAACTTTTAATTTAAGATTATTATCAATACACATGCAGTTGTAAGAAATAATATGGAAATCTCCCGTACCTTTCATCCAGTTTATCCAAAATGGTAACATCTTGCAAAAGTATTATAGTATACTATCACAAGGACATTGACAGTCATACTGTCAAGAAAAAACATTTCCATCACTACACAGATCCTTCCTGTTGCCCTTTTACAGCCAAGCCTCCCTCCTCCAGCACACAGTCCCTGACTCCTGGCAACCATAATCTATTTGACACTTCCATAATATTATTATTTCAAGAAGGTTATTTAGGCCAGGCGTGGTGGCTCATGGTCGTAATCCCAACACTTTGTGAGGCTGAGGTGGGCGGATCGCTTGAGCTGGGAGGTGGGAGGTTGCAATGAGCCATGACGGCTCCAGCCTGAGCAATAGAGCTAGACCTTGTCAAAAAAAAAAAAAAAAAAAAAAAAAAAAAAGGCCGGGCGCGGTGGCTCACGCCTGTAATCCCAGCACTTTGGGAGGCCAAGGCGGGCACATACAAGGTCAGGAGATCAAGACCATCCTGGCTAACACGGTGAAACACCGTCTCTACTAAAAATACAAAAAATTAGCCGGGCGTTGTGGCGGGTGACTGTAGTCCCAGCTACTCGGGAGGCTGAGGCAGGAGAATGGCGTGAACTCGGGAGGCGGAGCTTGCAGTGAGCCAAGACAGCGCCACTGCACTCCAGCCTGGGCGACATAGCAAGACTCCATCTCAAAAAAAAAAAAATTAAATAAAAAATAAAAAATAAATAAATAAAAATAATTTAAAAAAGATTATTTAAATGGATCATATGTAGCCTTTTGGAATTTTTGTTGTTGTTGTTCAGCATAATTGCCTGGGATTCATGCAAGCTGTGTATATAATAGCTCATTCCTTTTCATTGCTGAGTAGTATTCCATGGTATGGCTGTATCCCAGTTTGACCGCTCATCTGCTGAAGGGCATCTGGATTGTTTCAAGTTTTTAGCTGTCATGAATAAAGCTAGTATAAGCATTTTGTGTATAGGTTTTCATGTGAACACAAGTCTTCATTTCCCTGGGATAAATGCCCAGGGGTGCAATTGCTGGGTCATATGGTAATTTCATGTTTAGTTTGTTGTTGTTGTTGTTGTTGTCGTTTTAAGAAACTCCCAGGCTAGCAAGGTGACTCATGCCTATAATCCCAGCACTTGGGGAGGCTGAGGCAGCAGGATTGCTTGAGGCCAGGATGTCAAGACCAGCCCAGGCAACATAGTGAGCCTCTGTCTCTACTAAAAATTAAAAACCAATAAAAATTAGCTGGGCGTGGTAGCTGGGTAGTCCAGCTACTTGGAAGGCTGATGTGGAGTATTGCTTGAGCCCCGGAGCTCACTGAGCCTCAGCCTGGGTGACAGAGCAAGACTCTGTCTCTAAACAAACAAACCAACCAACCCCCCGCCCCCCGGCCAAAGACTTTCAAACCATTTCTCAGAAAGGCTGTATCATTTTATATTACCACTAGCAATGTATAAGTGATCTAATTTCTCTGCATGTCACCTGATTTTTAATAAGTTAAATACAGCTTCCCAGGTAAATAGTAGGTTTTTGTTTTTTTTAAACCGATTGTGGGAACCTGTTCTTTGTCCAATAAGATTGAGGCCTCTAACATTCTGGTTGACTCCTGGGGGTAGAAAAGGGGCATGGCAAATTAGAAAAAAGATGAATGGATTTATTCCTGAGCCCAAGAAAAAAAAGAAAAAAAGAAAAAAGACAGTCAAAGAAGACAGCATCTAATTTTAACCCCCAGCGACTGCTGTCTTATTTTGGGTTCCTGACATCTTGTTTTAACCTGTTTCTATTGTAATCGTATCAGTAATCTCTTTCCCTTCAGGTGGTCTTTTCAAAGGCACTGAAAACCTTGAAGAGTGAGAAGCAATAGATTAGCTGTGAAATCAAAAGGAGGTTTAAGAAGAGCTTTGAAATCACTGAAAGGTAACAGGGCTTTAGCTACAGCTCACTAAGTAGTCAAATCAATCTTTACTAAGTAGCTGGTTTTTAGAGCAAACGCTCTAGGTAAGGGGTGACTTCTCTAATGAAGCCCAGTAGTTTAATTTCTCCTGATAATTACATAGTGCCCTATTTTCTCTTAGGCAGACACGACTGCTGCTAAAACCATTGAGACATTTAGACATGACACACACAAGAAAGATAGAGGAGCAAAAGTTTATATTTAATCAGTTTCTGCTCCAAATCAAAAATGTTCAGATCTTTAATAGTTAGACAGATAGGACTTCTAATTGTTGTATTAAAAACTTCTAAATGCACGAATCTTGTTTTATGCACCCTTAGGCTTGGAAGTTACTGCTGTCTCTTATATGTGGCCCTTTAGTGGACAAACCTCTTCAATTTTATCAAGTTGATTTTCTTCATCATCCACAATATCAACATTCCTCATCTCTTTCTGGATTAAGTTGTCTGATCATCCAGAGACAAACAGCAAACTGATTTTTAAACAAAACCAAAATTGCTATTTTGGCTAGGTTTTCCATATTTTTGTCCCCCCATCTCCCACATCTCATCCCCTTTAAACCAAATCTTTTAGTAGGTGCTATTTTCTGATTTGCATTTCTTCAAATAAATATGCAACTACAAAGTAGTTTTGATTAGTGCTTGGTCTTACGAAAGTATTTCAGGGGTTCAAGTTCGTAATCCCATTGGTATTTATCAGTGTTATTTCACAGAATTGAAAAGATTGTCACTAATTAATAATATAAATAAGATTGTACTGGCAGTTGCAAAGAATCTCAGCGAGAATTTTTTTAAAGAAAATATTTCCTTTACATTAATATATTATGTAAGAATTTTCACATGTTGATTTGCATAGAGTTGTGCCTGTGTTAGACATACACTACACTTTTTCCTCTACAGTAACACAGGAGAAAATATATCTCTGTAAATGACTCCTGACTGCGACAAGACCTGCCAATTTACCCTCGGATAAGTCTCTGAGAGCTTAATTGGAGTTATTACCTACTACTAAATCATCTTTAAGTCACTCTTCCTTAAGAGCACAAATATAGGCATTCTGGACTGCTCTGATCAAACCTTTAGGTTGTTATTCAAGCCAAAGTGGCCCCAGGTAACAGGGAGAGGAAAACATCTAACTGTCTACTAAATAAAAACTAACTTTGGTAGAGCATTTTCTAATTAATTGTTTTCAACCTTTTTAAAATTTAATCTTCCCAACACATCTGTGAGGCTGGGATCCTATACCATTCTCCTTTTTTCATAGATTAGGAACCTGGGGCTCAAAAAGGCTAAACGAATTGCCAGTCACCACAAACAGTAAGTACCAGTCAGAATTGGCATTTAGATATTATGACTCCATTTCCAGTGCCTTTTCTAGCACAACTTGCTGAAAAGAGGGAAGGTGGAGAACATTAAAATGCATCTGTTATACTCAAAGTTAAGAACACATTTCTTTTTAAACTGTCTTAGCCAGACTCAATGACATTTCTCAGAGGGGTTACTATCTGATTGCCTTACCTACCTTTCCTGAACAAGGGAATTTCCTGTTTCCCCCTATAGGGTATTTCACTATCAGAAGATTAATGAAAGTCTATATTTAAAATCTGAATCTAAATTTATAAATGTAGATTTCTAAATCTAAATTTATATTTAAAATACTACTCAGATGGCATGCCGTCTTAAAGCAGGTTCTCCCAGGACTTTATTTATTCTCATATTCTTATAAGGAAATATGAACCTCTGACTCTATCTCTCTGTTTCTTCTCTCAGTGGATTACATATCGGTTTAAACAATTCACTGCCTCACCCATATTGGATGAGTTTCTATAATGTTGGCAGGCCATGTGTTAGACCTGTGGAGGGGTTTATATGTCCCATGACTCCTTAACTTTAACTGTCTGGCTAACTGTGCACAGCTACGGCTTTCTATATTCCTGGATGAATGTCTGCCATTAGCTTGCAGCTGACCATGGTGTTGGCATCCGTGTATGGCCATGGATCGTTACACACGCTGGGACTGTGGTGTAGGGGTATGTAATTTCATTGCTTTTCCCACCTGATTTCTAACTACACCCAATTTATTTTATTATTTTCAATGTCTTTAATAAAAATTATTTTCTTCCCCAAAATGTTAAAAGGGAGAGGAAGAATGAGTGGACCAAAGGAGAATGGATTTTGTAAACATTAAAAGATGCCCCAAAGAAGAAGTGTTTGTGTGCTGAATTATTTTGAGTCTAGATTTCCTTAAATTTTGCCTTAAAAATTGACTTAAAATTTTTTTTAGCCCTGTTACAGTTTTTGGATGTAATTAACTACAGTGTTTTAAACATTTTACTTCTCACTATGTATTCTATACTACACATACCATAATAAACACTGGCCATGATCCCAACTTAGACTTGATTTAAAATAGAAGTACTTACGAATCCAAGCAGGAAAAAAAAGCATTCTAACACTCACAAGGCACATTCTTTTCTCACGCTTTCCTCAGCCTATTCCCCTGGGCAGTAAATTGTATAGTAAAATGACCAGTTTATTATTTGCTGTTTTCTTTCACTCTGCTGAGAAAAGCTACATTGCTGGCAAACTGACAGAAAATTTAAAAATGGAATCCAGTATTTTGTATGTCTGTTTAGGGAATGTGTGCAGCATAGACTATTCACGTGATCTATATTTCTCTTTTTTTGTCCTAACTGGTATCAACAGAAATGTAATGAATGAGCTTCTTAAAGTAGATGGGATAAGCAGAGATATCCTCAGAAAAGCAAGAGATGATTCTTGCTTTCCTTTTCCTAAAAATTCAAACAAACCATTAACTAACAACTAACTAAAAACGCTTTTATTTTTTAAGGGAAAAGCAGATTTTAAAAAAATTAAAATTCATTTTTTAATATGTGCTCAGCTAATACTTCACTTATTAAGATATTTAGAAAATGTTCACATTTTTTTCTTACAAAACGGATCTTAATGGAAGCCCCCTGTTTGCCTCACCCATGAATTTTCATTTTTTTTTTTTTACTCTTTTTGGCCTTGTCTTTTATAAATGTACTATTTTCACCCACAGCTTAAGAGAGCTTCTTTGATGTTCTTAGTACAACATAGTGTATGTAATGTCAGCTGTTTAAAGCTGGAGATCAGATTGTGCATAATAACATATGTAGTTTGGATTATATAAACACTACAGGAAGAAGGGGAGACAGGGCCTTTCTGTGTGCACATTTCAGATTGCTAGCTGTATGCCTGTTTAGAATGTTAAATACTCCTAACTAGGCAGTGATGAAGTTACTTCTTTAGTGACTGTGACTTCTGAAACTATAAAGACAAAACTTTTTCAACTAAAAATAATTTAAAGATGATGTCAGTAATGAACATATTTATGTGATTTTCTACTTGCTACTTAAGGAGCTTTGAGAGTAGAGGGAAAAAAATTGCACTGCCTTCAAAGCCCTATTTAACTAAGCAATTTCATCAAAAATTTGGAAATACAGCTGAGAAGAGCCAAAACCAGAAAAATGTGGTACAAATGATAAATTTCATCCATTATACCTTTCTCCCATTATAAAGAAGTCTGGAGCAGGAAATCTTACCAGTCTATTTTCTTAGGATTGTTTCTCTTATATTTTAATATTTCAGATTAGTTAGACTGCTTGGAGTTTTTGTCTTTTGTTTGCATCATTCTTTTATCATTAAGGTTGCTGTCTGGCTTTTTTGTCTGTTGAAAGATTTCGTTTCAAGATAAATTAAATAAAACATTACCATATTTTTCAGCAATGAAACATTTCAGATGGAGAAAGAAGTCAATAGTTTTCTGGTTTAAGTTTGTATTTTTATTTTCAATATTCTATCCTGCCTTGTTTCGGGAATACTTCAAGGCCGCTGATGTGTTTACTGCTCAAATATCAACACAGCAGTAATCAGGCCTTTGAAACTATGGGTGAAAAATCCAGTCCATTTCAGTCTTTTTAATTTATGAAAAGAGATTGTGTGGCATTTTGCTTCCTGTCCCTTTTCATAAGAACTTTAAATATGGACACCCCTCCTGCTGGTGTCTTTATATAGGGAAGCTCTGCGTGAGGTTGAAGTTTTTATGAGGAAACTTGTTTAAAACACAATCGTATTTTAAGGCGGGTTTGCCACAGCAAGGTTAGGGGTTACCAATAAATCGGTTTACAGCAACTTCTCTATTCTCTGCTCCAGACACACCAATGGGGTGACCCGTGCACAATTCCCGCTGGCCACACAAGGCAGCGGCAGTTCTAGTTGATCCTTCCTTCGTCAACTAGATCAACGAAGGCTGTCTTAGAGAGCTTCGGGTATTAAGTGAGCAGAGTCCCTTAGGCCAATTTGGCTGCCTGGGATTCCTGGGAGGATCTTGGAGAACCCAGGACACCCGAATCCCTAGTCCCTATCCTGGTTTTTGCTCTGCTGGAGAATAACAAAACATTTTGGGAACTCAGGAGTTTAATTTACTGCCACCAACCGACAAAATAATAGCATCTTTGTGTGTTCTCTCCCCTCCGTCCCTCCCACCTCCTTCCGACAGAAGCACGACGCTGGCCCTCTGTGAATGTAGCGCAGACAGCACGGGCCAGCCCGGAGCGGTCGCAGGAGGCTCCAGACCCGCGGCCCCAGGGACGCCCGGGAAATCACCGGCCCCAGAACGTCCCCCATTCCTTTTGGGAAATAAAAAGACGCAGCCGGTGAGATGCCTTCTTAGACCTTCCAGCTCATTTAGCTGATTCTGGCCCCAGAAAGTGTGTTTGTGTTTGTGTGTAGTTAAGTGAGGCAGAGAAAATCCAAGAAAGCCGCACAAGCCACCCCAAAGCGTCCACGGAAACTCCAGCTCGGTTAATTGCTCCCATATGTCCTCCTCGGCTGTGGTAAAAAAGCAGCGAGGAGGGAAGGCCGGGTCGCTTTATTGATTTTGAAGAGGCTGTAAAAAAGACTATGGCCCATCTCATTTTGGTCCCAGAGGGGCCTAGGCGCAGCCCCGGGGGACCCGGTGCCCAGAGGGATGGTAGGGTGCTTCAGGCCCGGACCTGGCGCCGAGAGGCGGGACAAGGGGACCTCGCGCCCAAGCCCCGCGGAAAGTTCGCGCTCCGCGCTCCAGCCGGTCCCTGGATCCGCCGCAGCCCGGGGCGGGGAGGGGCGCGGGAGGCGCGGCCGGGGCGGGCGCGCGAGAGGAAGGTGCCTTCGGGAACACGCGCAAGGGCGGGGATTCGCGCTGCCAATGAGGCCCCGGTGTGGGCCGAGCAAGGCGGGGGGACGGGCCGGAGCGGAGGCTTTGCTGTGGCAGCTGCTGGAGCGGCGGCCGCCTCGGGAGCCGGAGGAGAGGCAGCCGCGGAGCGCCGAGCTGGCCTCGCCCCGAGGCCCGGCCCTGGGTGTGGGGAACCGCGCTGAGGAGCTGGAAACTTTCCCGGCAGGTAACTCCCGCAGCCCGGACTCCGCCGCGGGCCTGCGAGCGCCCCGGGCATGGCCAGCTGCCAGTGTGCGGAGAGGTCGAGAGGGACCCGGGGTGGAGAGGGTGATGGGAGAAGGGAAAGGCGTGTGGGAAAGTTTCTGGAGCGCCCCCTCCTCCGCCGGGCACACCCGGGAGCTTTCCGGGAATAGGCACAGACATGTTGGGCGCCCCGGGCCTTGGTCTCTCGGCGGCTTTGGGGAGTCCGCACCTTCCTTGCGCGGTTCCCCCGCGCCGGACCGAGCCGGCCTCCCCTGGAACCGGTGTGGTGGGAACCGGGAACGCTTGGGGCACGCTCGAGTTCTGGGACCACCCCCGCCCGGCGCGCCCGCTCGCCCCCTTTCCCGCCTTCTCTGTAGCCCTCGGGCTTGGCAAGGGCCTGGGCTACGCCTGGTACCTGGCGCGGGGGAGGCGGGGGGAGGCGCGCCTGGCACCGCGGGGTCCTGGGCGCCCCCCGGAGTGTTGGGGTGCGCGGGTCGCGAAGTTGCCGAGAGAACTTAAGCCGGAGGCATGGTATTGCCCCAGTCTGGGCTGAAA
The DNA here is from genome assembly GCF_000001405.40 of Homo sapiens. Taxonomy (NCBI): domain Eukaryota; kingdom Metazoa; phylum Chordata; class Mammalia; order Primates; family Hominidae; genus Homo; species Homo sapiens. Next base: position 158,969,355 of record NC_000002.12, read on the forward strand.
GTCTATTGCTTTGCTTCCAAGAACACTGCGATTAGCATATCCACACTCCTTTATTGGGGGTGGGGGTGAGTTAGGATTAGACGTTGGGGGTTTTTCTTTAGGGGTGGGGCGCTGAGAAGAGCGGTAATTGTCAAGATTGTGAGCCCCCTTGTTCTTGGATGCAGAGTGGTCATTTTCGGGGGACGATATCAGGGCACTGGCTTCCTGGAGGACTTTGGGGTGCGGGCGCGCAGCGCTGTGGGTGTGCGGGGCTCCCGGCTTTGGCGCGGCGGCTTTCCGGAACGCCTGGCTGGGAAGGAAGCTCTAGGCATTGTGTGGTGTGTTTGCAGACAGAAAGGTCCCTGGACCGGTGTTCTCAAAACTTACTGGACTTATTGTGTAAAGCTCCGGGAGGAAATGTGGCGTTGGCCAGGTAGAAACGCGGCGCTGCGGCCAAGGGGCGGAGGACGCCAGGCTCGGCAACGGCCTTCTCCCAGCCCCCTCCTGCCAGCTCCAGATCCGCGTGCCTCCAGTGTTGGGACCGTTCTCAGTGGCGTTGTTCCCTGCTGGAGTTAACTTGGGAGGTGAGGAGGGAACTTTCATCTTGAACTTGACCCCAGAAGCAGCGTCGTCCGTACAGGTTACAAGGTAAATGGAAGCTGAGTCTTAACGTGGGTTGGACCGCAAACTCTGGCTGGCGCGGAAAGGAAGTTCCTGGTTCAGAATCTTTGAGGAAAGGGCTCAAGATTGCTGAGATCGCTCGCTCTGGAAATGCCAGACACACCAGACTGCAGAAGTTAATGCGTGTTTGGAGGGGTGGGGGTGGGAGAGGAAAGGAGAAACCTGGTTAGTTGGCACAGAGGGCTGGTATTTCTCTGTAGTGGAAATGAAGGGAGTCTGCGTCTCTGCTTTCACCAGATCCGCTACCCTCTTTTTTCCTTCCTTGGTCATCTTTATTCCTGCCAGGCTGGCACTCCTGAGGCAGGGGAGGGGAAGGAGAGGAAAGCAGTTGTGAAGCTTCCTGGGTCAGCCTGGAGGTATTTCAGATCTGCTACTAGGAAGATTCCAGGATTTTAACAGCTGCTTCTTGATTGCTGGGAATGAAGGAGTTTATGAGCGGCTGAGACTACTTCATTATAGAAGTAGTCTGAGTGTTTTACTCATCTAAGCTACTTAAAGACCTCACAAGGGACCTTCCCTAGAGTATGCCAGTTTCTGCAGTTTGTGTCAGCCAGAATGCTTGGTGAGTGTTAGTCAAAAAGCATCATAAATATATCCTGGTGGTTCTGAAATGAAAAGTATGTGGCAGTAAAGGAAGTATGGTATCTGATATCCTTCAGGACTTCCTCCTAGGGTTGTTCCTGTTACCTGCCAAGTGAACTTGGTTCAGGCTTCCGGACTGTTGTGATTTGACAATAAGAGATGGGAAATAGTGTCATCGATTTTAGTGGAAGCAGGAAAAGTCCACAAATAAATTTAAGGTGAGTTTTTATGACCCTGTCTTGCACATGTGGTGCCCCAAACTTAACTTTTTGGCACCAAGCCTTTTGGTTTGAAGTGTTGCTGGAACTTGGAAGCAATGGTTTTCCTGCTTTCTTGGTTTAACCACCAGAATGCCCAAATTATTATAATTTATATCCATCCTTGATCTAAGATATAACTGATTCATAGTCAGCCTTTTTCTGCTTCCCATAACAGCCTGTAGAAAAAAGAACATTTTGTCTCTTTAACCACACACGATTTATTTGGTGCCATAGTAGGTTTTGACACTGGGTGATTGAGGGCATAATTTTAGAGACAATGGAGTTGTCTGGATTAAATCGTCCATTTTTAGGCAACGTTCTCTTCTGAGTTGCTGATTAATTCTTTATTTCTCTGGGAACATTAAAACCAGCATCCCTGAGCCAGTGGAACTATAATCCATATTATAATGACTCCTGCCAGCATAGCTGGAGGTTAACTTTATGTCGTTGTTTCCATTAGACATTTCTAACCTAATTGTAAAGATTTTGTCTCAGTTGGGTTGAGAGTAGGGTTGAGAGTCTCATAGAAAAAGAAATGGCTTTATTTTTATCTTTATGATAAAATAAAGTTTGTGTTACAGGAATACATTTACAGAAGCAAAATAAAGAAGAGTGTTTATATATTTGTGGGGAGGATTTGTTTTAGTGTTTAAAATAGTTTGGTTTTCAACTGTCTCTTAAATGCATATTTCAGTGGTGGAAAAACCAGAACCTCTCCCTGCCCCCTTTCTCCCCACGTTATGAAAGTGTTCACTGTACAAAGAACTCTTAAGCCTTTCTGGGTCTTGGTTTTCTCATTTTTTTCATCCCTAAAATGGGATTACCTTGCATCCCTAAAGTTCTGTGACTCTCCAAAAGTTTGAGAAATGTAGGAATTCTGAAGCCAGTGCTGTAATGTTAGAACACTGCTATGGGGTTTATAAGGGCTTGATTTACACATTTTATCCCTAACCCTTTATTTGAATAAACCAAGGCCTAGAAAGTTAAATTAGACCTGTATCATCTATAAATAGTTGAGTTGAACTTGAACCAGAGTCTTCTGATTCTCCCTAGTCTCTTCTCCTCTGTTTATTCAAACCTGCCAAACAGACTAAAGTTAATATGTGGCAATTTCTCACAATACATTTTTAGGGTTATATATGAGTTATTTTGATTTCAGAACCCCAGGGTTAACATCTATGCTTTGATGTCAGGGATTAAAAACAGTTCACCAATAATGGTAATAAAACTTTCTCCTCAAGAGAGTTTCAGAAAGTCACATGCTTCAAACTAATCATTTGTTTATTTTCAACTTCTTTTTTATTAAGTAGGCTTCAGGGTGTAATGTGATTTATAATCCGGACTAGTAACCCAGACAGCATTCTTAAGGAAATCACTTCTCAAATCTGTACCTCTTTTTAAAAATAAAAAATGAACATATCATTTGCCTTTGATCTTGGTATCTCTCAGCCTAATTGCAAAGCCTGGGTGAGTATTCCTTTTTTTGGTGTCATCATTCTTGGACTGTTCCTACTGATGGCTGGATAAGTCTGATTTTGCAGCACTTTCCATGCTAAATACATCCTTCCCTTATGCTGTTGGGTTGATGGTAAAGAGGTAGTAGGTTGCAGGTGACCCATTTTTGCTGTGTCTCTAAATGTTTGTGCTTTGTCCTGCTTGCCTAGTTAGCAGCACTCACTGCAGCTTGACACTCATCTGGAGGCTGGTATTGATTTTCTTTAACAGGTTCTAAAATGCAATTATGTGTTAAGCTGTAGGCTCTTTTATGTCTGAGCAGCTTGTCCATCTTCAGCTTTTTAAACTTATTCTCAGAGGAATGTCTTTTCAAAATATTAAGCAATGGGGTTTAAACCTCAATAAGAAGATGTATCAGTGCTCATTGGCTGGGAAGGAGGTGTAGTATATCTGAAATTGCCGCCATTTCCATGAGTGAGAGAAGAGAACATTATGAAGTGCTATTAGCTAGAGAAGTTGGGACACTTTGTACCAGGAGGGCACAAGAGCAGCAAAGGAGAAGAATGATTCTTGGTTTTTAATAATATTATCAGGAGCATGGATTTGGAATGATAGAGGACTTTGAAGAAGGCTTTCAGAGGACATTATCTTGTGGAGAGTGAAAGGAGTTCTCCTGGTTTGGTTTAGCTGTGTTGCTGATGGAACTTGCCCTTCTAGGGTCGGTGTTGTCTTTAGGTTCCCCTGCAGGTGGGTGTGATCAAGGAGAATGTTCTAGAAAGAAGAGTTCCATAGACAGAATGTCAAGGACAAAAGTGTTGCAGAGGGATGACATAGTTCCTGGATTTTAGCACAGATTTTTTCGCTAACATGAGGGAATTTATTAGGGGAAACCTTCCAGTTGTAGAGGTAGACAGATGCGAACCCATCATGTTCAGTTCACATAGCCCAGAGCCACAGTGACTCAACCTCTTCCCTGCCCCACCTCAGCACACCTAGGGTTACGTGCCAGTCATGAACAGTGGCTTATTACCTCTTTGGGTAGGAGATGGGGGTGGAGAGTAGGGAAGTCTCTCAGAAGCACTCAGCTGTGACCTTTTCATGCATGTATACCCATGCAAAAATGGGATCCTCTGTTGCATGAGCTTTTGAAGAAATATGAAAAAGATCATACGTATACGGCTGCTGGTATTATAGCTCTCAAGCCTCACATCCAGAATTGGCCTTTTTGATGTTAGTTCCAATTTGGGAAAGCCCTGGAGGGAACCCGAATTGGCTTGATGCCAGCCAAAGGAGAGTTACGGTTAGACCCATAAAATGGGGCTGTGGGGAGACAAAGTATCCCACAAAGAAGAGGGTTATTGTTAATGGAAGAGGGAGGGAGCTGGATCAACAAAAGAGCTAGCCAGGGCAGTGTACATTTCCACAAGTGGTACTGCTGATCATAACAACATACCAAAGGATATGAAGATTCTTAATGTTGTTGTGATGTACACCCCTGTAGTCTTGAGGGCAGTGGACTTGTCCACATTCTGTGGGACTCTGAATTGCTATGTACACAGACATGAGGGGGTATTGAATTACTGCTAAAAACGTAAGAGTTGGTCATTATTCCCATGTAACCCATTACACTCCCCTCTCTCTGCCATGCTTTGTTCTAAATTACTTGGGATAAGTAACATTAATTATTAATGTTTATTGAGTGCCGGCTGACTCTGAACTACATGTTTGAATTTTAAAAGTCTGTGGATGAAACAGTTTGGTTCTTTCTTCTCCTGTTGTCCTACATACGTAGAATACTATGGCAGGGATGGTCACCATACAACAGCATTCTGTGTTCTGGTCCTCCTTGCTTCTTGTGGCTTAACAACAACTGTTTATTTGCTTGGGATTCAGAAATGGGGGCCAGGTTCCCTGTGCCTAGGCTCACTGGTGCCGTGGTGGTTACATGATTCATTGAGGGCCATTGCTGCAATAGTTTACAACATTATAACCATCCTTGATACCTATGGAAGATTGGTTCCAGGATTCCCACGGATACTAAAATCCTCAAATGCTTAAGTCCCTTATTAAAAATCATGTATTATTTGCATATAGCTTATGCATACCCTCATATATATATATTTTTTAATTTTATTATTTCGAGACAGAGTCTCACTCTGTTACCCAGGCTGGAGCACAGTGGTACAATCTCAGCTACTGCAACCTTTGCCTCCCGGGTTCAAGTGATTCTCCTGCCTCGGCCTCCCGAGTAGCTGGGATTACAGGCATGTGCCACCACGCCTGGCTAATTTTTGTGTTTTTAGTAAAGATGGGGTTTCACCATGTTGGCCAGGCTGGTCTTGAACTCCTGACCTCAGGTGATCCACCTGCCTCAGCCTCCCAAAGTGCTGGGATTACAGGCGTGAGCCACCTTGCCTGGCCTCCTTTGTATTTTATTTTGAGAAAGGGTTTCCATTTGTTGCCCAGGCTGGACTGCACTGGTGTGATCATGGCTCACTGCATCCTCAACCTCCTGGACTCATGCAATCCTTCCACCTCAGCCTCCTAAGTAGCTGGGAGTACAGGTGCACACCACCACACCCAGCTAATTTTTGTATTTTTTTTTTTTTTTTTTTTTTGTAGAGACAGGGTCTTACTATGAGACCAGACCAGGCTGGTCTCAACTCTTGGTTCAAGTGATCCTCCTGCCTTGGCCTCTCAAAGTGCTGGGATTACAGGCATGAGCCAACCCCCCAGTCCTCCTTCATACTTTAAATCATCTCTAGATTATTTATAATACCTAATATAATGTAAATGCTAGATAAATAGTTGTTATTCTGTATTGTTTTAAAATTTATATTTTTATTGTATTTATTGTATTTTATTGTGTTTATTGTATTGTTATCTTTTTTCCAGTGGTCAGTTACTAGAATATTTTTTGAATATTTTCTAACCTAGGTTTGTTGAATCTGTGGCCATGGAACCTGAGATATGGAGGGTTGGGTGTGGAGGGGGGTGACTGTGCTTACTACTATAATCCTGCTTTTGATTAGTTTTCCACTGGCCATGTACTTAAGGGTAAGGTGGATGCGTCCCCTGCCCCAGGGAGTGAATTTTGATTAAGCCATCAATTTTAGTAATGCCATACCTTTTGCCAGTGACTCATTAATGAATATGTATGTGACGCCTGTTAGGTCCTGGCATATTTGAAGCATAAGGTTGTCAGCACAAGAGAACAAGTAGCACCGAGTGCAGACTAAAGGTGGCCTAAGACCACAATTACTTTTTTTTTTTTTGTCGGTGTCAGGGGTGTAGGAGGCGGGCGGGTAGAGACAGGGTCTCACCATGTTGCCCAGGCTCGTCTCGAACTCCTGGCCTCAAGCAATCCTTCCACCTCAGTTTCCCAAAGTGCTGGATTACAGAGTGAACCACCATCCCCAGCCCACAATGACTTATTTTAGCTGCTGATTAGCCAGCCCTAGAACCACTGTGACTCAGAACTTCTGTGAGAAAAAACATTTTCGTTATTGTTTCTTTCTTATCTTTTTTTTTTTTTTTTTTAAGCTAGGGTCTCACTCTATCACCCAGGCTGGACTGCAGTGGCATGATCATGGCTCACTGTAGCCTCTGCCTCCTGGGCTCAAGTGATCCTCCCACCTCAGCCTCCCAAATAGCTGGGACTACAGGTGTGCACCACCACACCTGGCTAATTTTTGTATTTTTTGTAGAGATGGGGTTTCCCCATGTTGCCCAGGCTGGTCCCGAACTCCTGGGCTCAAGGGATCCTCCCACCTTGGCCTCCCAAAGTGCTGGGATTACAGGTGTGAGCCACTGTGCCCAGCCTCATTATTGTTTAAGATCAGTGGTCCCCAGAGTGGAGTGTGCTAGATCATCCAATATGGGAGGGAAGAAAATATTCAAGAATGTTAGAAAAAATTAAGCTTTTAAAATATTTAATGTATGAGTTGACACTGGTTGGTATATCTGGTAGTCTTTTATCAACTTACATTATATGAGGTTGCCTGAGGGAAGACTGGGCCTTTTACAACCTGGTGGAATTGACAGTGGTACCCTCATTCTTATTCTTGCCTTTGGTGAACTCTATCCATCTAAATACATTTATGGCTAGATTATCTGGTTTTAACTAAACTGACCCCCAGAAAATGGGCGAGTGGTTTAAAAAGATTCTTGCAAAGAAAGTGTAATGATAATGATATAAGTATAAAGGAACAAGAAAATGTTCTTATGAGTTTAGAACATGACTTTTAAAACAAATTTGACAAGAAGGTGGCTCAAAAATTATGTATGGGCTGAGCGCGGTGACTCATGCCTGTAATCCCAGCACTTTGGGAGGCCAAGGCGGGCAGATCACCTGAGGTCAGGAGTTTAAGACCAGCCTGGCCAACATGGTGAAACCCCGTCTCTACTAAAAATACAAAAATTAGCCAGGTGTGGTAGTGTACACCTGTAATCTCAGCTACTCGAGAGGCTGAGGCAGGAGAATCACTTGAACCTGGGAGGTGGAGGTTGCCGTGAGCCAAGATTGTGCCACTGAACTCTAGCCTCGGCGGCAGAATGAGACTCCGTCTTGAAAAACAACAACAACAACAACAAAATTATGTTTGGATTTGTATTATTAATAAAAATGAACTTAAAAATACTGTTTGACTCCCATCCTTTAAAAGTTTTAAATGTTGTATAATGTATATACTACATTCATGTGTGTGTATACATACCATTCATAACTAGTTTTAATTACACATAAATTAATACAATTTATAATATGTTAGTATATATGTTATAAATTTTTTCCCCTGAAATTCCTGAGCTTCAATACGTTTTTAAAATTTTTTACTTTTTATTTTTTTAGAGGGAGTCTTGCTCTGTTGCCCAAGCTGGAGTACAGTGGTGTGATGATAGTTCACTGCAGCCTCCAACTCCTGGGCTCAAGTGATCCTGTCCCCTCAGACTCCCAAGTATCTGGGACTACAGGTGTGCACCATCACACCTGGCTTAATTAAAAAAAAATTTTTTTTTTGAGATGGAAACTTTCTCTGTTGCCCAGGTTGGAGTGCAGTGGTGCTGTCTCAGCTCACCATAGCCTCTGCCTCCTGGGTTCGAGTGATTGTCCTGCCTCAGCCTCCTGAATAGCTGGGATTACAGGTGTGCACCACCACACCTGGCTAATTTTTGTATTTTTCATAGACATGGGGTTTCACCATGTTGGCCAGGCTGGTCTCAAACTCCTGAGCTCAAGTGATCTGCCCGCCTCGGCCTCCCAAAGTGCTGGGATTACAGGCATGAGCCACCGTGCCTGGCTAATTTTTTTTTTTTTTTTTAACTGATAGTCCTGCGTGATCAAAAAAGCTTTGATACCACAATTTAAGTCACTTAGAGTTAGGTATTTTTGTTACTTGCAGCTGAAAGCATCATACCTGATATAAGGACAGATAAGAGTAGTAGCTGTCCCTGTTTTATTCTTAGCTTTCAAGAATCTCTGTGATCTGGACCCTAACTTGTTTGCAGGCCCAGCTGTCCTCTCCTTGTCTCTGCTAATACCACTGAACTCCTGCCCGTCCCTGATACTTTGTTTCAATTTTGCCTCTTCCCTCACCCTACCACCACCACTGAAATTTTGACTTTCAAGGGCTAGCTTAAATAAATATTGCTTTCTTATGAACATTTTTTCTGATTTACTCCCGCTTCCACATTTCAGTTTTTCTTTCCTTTTAGTCTCCCTAGTACATTGTACATTCATTATAATGTCTTTCTCTGTTTGCTTTTTATTATTAAGTTGTTCGCCTATTGGCTTTGCAGATGGGTTGTAGGCTTTTTGATGGTAGGGGGTCCTGTCTTACCTTTCTCATTTAAAAAGAAAACAATCTGTTTCTCCTTTGGGAGAAAGGGAGACAGAGAATCCACAGTTGTTAAACATCACTCTGGACTTGTTACTCTGGGGTGGGTCTCGCCTCCAGCCTTCTGGCAGCCTTAGGAAGGCAGGGAGCTCCATGTACATGAAAGGAGATTGAGGGCAGGGAGCTCACAGAACCAAGACAGCAGGACCCAGGATTCAGACCTGGAAAATTTTTATTTCCTGGCTGGTTTGTGTGCCCTCATGCATGTTATTTACAGTGCCATGTTCTTTCACATGGGAACACTGACACAGGTGAAATGGGAGGTTCCATAGGATGATAGTGCAAAAACATTAAAGACAATCCTAGCAGATGCAGTGAGTTCAAGGGAGAGTCCTTGTGGAGTAACACGAAAGGCCTGGTGGATGAGATGTATGAAGATCTAAATGCCTGCAGATAGTGAGCTGTCTGCAACTACCACAAAGCAAAATCATGGGCGATAACTCCCCAGGGTAGGATCTGGCCTGAGCATCCCCACTGGGAGATGGGAGGTGATGGGCTCTGTAGTGCTTAGCTGAATAGAGTTATCTATGTCAGTATTCCCTCTATGCAAAGATAGTTGAGAGTTCACAAGTTGTAGGCTTTCAAGTTGAGCTATGTTAGATATATGCTCCCCTGATGGAAGACAGACATGTCTCCAGGGTTTTGAGGGTCAAATGACAGAATGTATATAAAGTGTTTTGAACATTATAAATTGCCTCCTTAGAGGCAAGGGAACATCAAATTTGGTTGTTTTCTTGCATCAGAGACTTCTAGCTCAGATTTCTTTGTTGGCCATTTTTAAGGGCATTTCCAATGAGTTTTTAAGTGTAATGAGTTTTTAAGTGTTGGGGTTCTTAAATGGAATATGATATAATTTTTTTCAGATGAACTGCAGATATTACTTAAAATCTTGCTGTGAAACTTTCACCTGTGGAGTAAGTAGAATTCATGATTAAGGTGAATCTCTTTTGGGATCCAGTTCAGTTTTTCCAAAGGATCTGTTTATAAGCATAGGACCACTTAGCTGAGTGTGGTTGCTCATGCCTATAATTCTAGTACTTTGGGAGGCTGAGGTAGGAGGATCTCTTGAGCCAAGGAATTTCAGACCAGCCTGGGCAACATAGGAAGTCTCTGTCTCTACAAAATTTTTTTTTAAAAATTAGCCAGGCATGGTGGTACCATGCCTGTGGTCTCAGCTACGTGGGAGACTGAGGTGGGAGGGTCGCTTGAGCCTGGGAGGTTGAGGCTGCAGTTAGCTGTGATTACAGCACTGCATTCTAGCCTTGGCGACAGAGCAAGTCCTTATCTCAAAAAAAAAAGAAAAAAGAAAAAAAAAAACTTACCGTTTTCATAAAGATGGGAATCTGTGGGGCTTTTATTTCTGGTCCTGGAAACCCTAAGTACCAACTGAAAGACTCAAAAGAGCTTTGATTTCAAGGTTTTTTGTTGTTGTTGTTCTTGGCTACTGTAAATCCAGTAATTTATTTTCATGAGTCTTTGGAAAGGGTTAGGGAAAGCTTTGAAATATCTTAAGGTAGTTTTGAAAGTAAAAAGTAGGTATGGTTTGACAATTTGAAATTTGTTTCATTGTAGATTCCCAAGGCAATGGGTTTGAATAAATTAAGTTAATTCCATTTCAAAGAACTTTTGCAGTGGGATTTCATATTGTAGAAAGAGTCTGACTTATAAATCAAAACATGTTAAAGAGTAAACATATTTATAGATGCAAAAGACATCAAAACAGTGAGTGGCTCCTAAATTGCAAATAGATGCAATTGTGAAATTCTTATTCAGGGGTTGGTGAATCATCCATGTAACTTAAGAGGGCCTTATTTTTCTTAGGATTTATTTAAGTAAAGCAAGAATTCCCAAAATGCATTCTGGGGGAAACTGAGTCTTAGGAAGTTAACAGGTGTTACGCAGGGAAAAAAGTCCTGTGGTCAAATAAGTGGGAAAATCTGGGTTAACCAAAGTAAACCAGGTATTTTTGTTTTTAACTACAGGACTTTTGAGCACCCTTAGATCTAGTGTTCATTATAAATATCCTGGAAGGGAAATAGAGTAGTCAGTGTTTTCCAAACACATTGAATTGTAGAAACTTTTTTTTTTTTCCAGAACATTTTTTGGCCAGAGAACAATGTTTGTTGGGTTATCTAATTTGTTGAAATACTTAAAAATCAAATCGCAGACATCATGTAATTTTGCCTGACTAACTTTGCTATGCATTTCTAACTTAGGACTTAAAAAAATCACCACCCCATTATCACTTTTAATACAATTAACAATAATTTAAAAATATTATCTAATTTGGGCTGGGCGCGGTGGCTCACACCTGTAATCCCAGCACTTTGGGAGGCCGAAGTGGGCAGATCACGAGGTCAGGAGATTGAGACCATCCTGGCTAACACGGTGAAACCCCGTCTCTACTAAAAATACAAAAAATAGCCGGGCATGGTGGCGGGCACCTGTAGTCCCAGCTACTCAGGAGGCTGAGGCAGGAGAATGGCGTGAACCCAGAAGACGGAGCTTGCAGTGAGCCGAGATCATGCCACTGCACTCCAGCCTGGGCAACAGAGCAAGACTCCATCTCAAAAAAAAAAAAAAAAATTCTCCCTTAAATAGCATTTGTCACCATTTTTGTTTTTTGGAAACCAAGATTCAATCAAGGTTCACATTGCACTGTGGGCTGTTGTTGTTGTTTGTCTCTTTCGTCTTTTTAAATGTAGAAAAATAATATCTCATTACTTCCCTCCCTCCCATTCCTGACTTTTCTGGGTTGTCCCATATTCTGAATTTGTTTCCTGTGGCGGTGTTTACCTTGTCCCATTGTTTCCTGTATTTCCTATAAACTGGAGGCTAGGTCTAAAAGCAAGATTAGAGTCAAGTAAAATATTTTTGGCAAAAATAGGTCCTAGACTAAGATTCCCCTCTGCACTTCCGACCCCCTCTATGATTTGAGAACAGACATTTAAGTTTAGCAATTCAGAGCAGCATGGTGAGTCAGACACACCTGTAATCCTGGCACTTTGGGAGGTGGAGGCAGGAGGATTGCTTGAACTCAGGAGTTCGGGACCCTGGGCAACACGGTGAGACCTTATCTCTATTGAAAGTGAAAAAAAAATCATCTGGGTATGGTGGTTCAAGCCTGTATGTAGTCCTTGCCACTAGGGAGCCTGAGGCGGGAGGATTGCTTGAGCCTGGGAGATGATTAAAGCTGCTGCAAGCTATGATTGAACCACTGCACTCCAGCCTGGGTGACAGAGTGAGACCCTATCTTTAAAAAGTTTAGCAATTAATATATAGCTTTTATATATATATATATATATATATATATATATATATATATATATATATATATAAAGAAGTAACAGCTTAGAGTTTAAAAATTAGGTTTATTAGTATATCAAAGGGATGCAAGTTGAATTGATTCCAGGTGTGTTTGGAAAGGTATTCTGAATAGTTGGCGTGGTTAAATGGATATGTTTTCAGTATATCTTGAGACTATAAACCATGTGTCTCTTGGGTAAAGTGGCCTGGGTGTTAAACGTTTTTGGTGGTTGAATTTTATTCCGAATGACAAGTATCTGAGTTGTGATGGTAAAATAATACTCCATAGACACTTATTTTTAAAACACATTTAGGAATGTGCATTCTTTCTACCTCTGCTTGATAAATTTTTAACAGAATATTTTCATGATAAATGCTTATGCTAATCTAAAATACAGCCATAAATTCAAGGACACCCTCGGGGTGATAATTTTCTATGTACATTGTCTTAGAAACCCAGACAAGCAAATAAAAGTTCCTATCATAGCTAACTTTGCTAACTTAATTTGCTATTTACATTTTTTTTTCCCTTGATATCCTTCCAAGTGCTAGTTGTATGTCTGGGAAAAGTTAAAGGATTTTGTGAATCTTAATGAAGAATAGCTTAGTATATATAAAGAAGCTTTGCATGATGAATGGTAGCTGTCATAAGCAGCTCCCAGCGCATTCTTATATTTAATCCTTTAACCAGCAGGGACACTGTTTTCTGCATTAAAATTTGCCTGTTGTGAATAATAAGGTGACTTGGACAGAGTAGGTACTTTGTAACTATATTTAGTCCATTAAAAATATACATATACACTCCTTTTTTCTCCCCTCTTTAAAAAAACACAAACATATAGGATATGGTAAAAAGGATGATCTTTGAAACCAGATAGACTTTGGTTTTGTGTTTGGCTCTGGCAATTTACTTGACCTGTTTCTATGTCTGTAGAATGGGGACAATAATTCCTGTTTCATAGAGGTTATGCCAAGGCCAAAGGCGAAGCCCTGTATGAAAGGCTTAGCACCGTGCATGGATCAGAGCTATCAAAACCAGATCATCTTCCACCTTCTCCTCCTCTTACCATATTTTATTTTATTCTGTTTTACTTCATTTGTTTATTTAGTTTTTGAGACAGGGTTTTGCTCTGTTGCCCAGGCTGAAGTGCAGTGGCACAGTCTTGGCTCACTGCAGCTTCAACCTCCTGGGCTCAAATGATGCTCCTGCCTTAGCCTCCCCAAGAGCTGGGACCACAGGTGTGCACCATCATGCCTGACTAATTTTTTTATTTTTTTATTTTTATTTTTTTCTGTAGAGATAGGATCTGCTATGTCACCCAGGCTGGTCTCGAATGCCTGGGCTCAAGCAGTCTTCCTGCCTTGACCTCCCAAAGTGTGGGGATTATAGGCTGAACCACCACATCCAGTCCTTACCATATTTTATTCAGCATTCTGGATCAGTTGTTAAATTGAAGTTTTTAATTGTTCTGAGTGTTTTAAAAATTGTGAATTTTAAGGTACTTGTTACAGAAGTCGAGATAAGTTCTTGATTTCAAGATAATCTGTATGGGAGTTGGTTGCTTATATTAAAACAATTATATGCCTATATGAAATGTTTTGAGCTAACAAGTAGGACAGTTTTAGATGGTGATTTATAGAGGAGAAGGAGTAAGAGTCAAAAGTGGTGTTTTAGCCAGGCACGGTGGCTCACGCCTGTAATCCCAGCACTTTGGGAGGCCGAGGTGGGTTGGATCACGAGGTCAGGAGATCGAGACCATCTTGGCTAACACAGTGAAACCCCGTCTCTACTAAAAATACAAAAAATTAGCCGGGCGTGGTGGCGGGTGCCTGTAGTCCCAGCTACTCGGGAGGCTGAGGCAGGAGAATAGCGTGAACCCGGGAGGCGGAGCTTGCAATGAGCCGAGATCGCGCCACTGCACTCCAGCCTGGGAGACAGAGCAAGACTCCGTCTCCCAAAAAAAAAAAAAAAAAAACACCAAACAAACAACAAAAAAGTAGTATTTTATTATTGGCACAAAAATATTGCTAACAAACTCTGGTTTTTATGAAAATCAGTATTTAAAAAATCAATTTTTTTACTGAGACTGACAACATGTGAAGCTCCTCAGACTTTTGTAATGTTTTGCTTGAGTATGGTTTAGAACAATACACTTTATTTAGGTGGAATAAGTCTATTGTACTGTGCTCAAGTCATACATGCATATTCATTTATGAAATAAATATTACCGACAGGAGAGCAGGCTTTTCTAGAGAAGAGGATGGTCAGTGCTTCATTCAAGATCCTCACAGTGGAGAAATGGGGATTCTCCTTATTGCCTTTGTGCCTATTAAAGATGCACGCGAAGGTGGAATTAATATATCCTAAGTTTTGAACAGAAGTGGAGGAACAGTTTGGAGAATGCCTGGATATCTATGGTCCTTGCATTCTTGCCATTTATGGGTAAACCAAAAAGTGTTGTCTTCTGTCATCAGCTGTTTCCAAGTCTTGGGACTTTGGCTTTGAATCTGGCTTGGACAAGAAAAGATCTCAGCCAGGCAAGGACTGACACTGCTCCTTCCCAGATAGTGCCTGTTCTCTCAGAATGAACTTGATTCCCTACAGACTTCAAGTCAAGTGGTACTTGAGCTTTTTACACTTTTCCTCTACCATTACAAAGTTTTGTTTAATCTCTTCCTTTCTGAAATGTTTTGCTTCAACAAAAAGGACCCTTTTAACTGTCCCAACTCTACATACCAAAAGTTAAGCCAGGAGGAATCAAAGGGTGTTAGTTCCCCCTTCCATCTGGAAAAAAGAGATGCCATTTCTAGGACAGTGATTGAGACCTAAGCCAGTGGAAAATGTAAAGAGACTTTACCTTCTTCACAAGGCTTTTTTGCTTCCTTCATAAGAGTGGTGTTAGCCAACTCAACAAATAGAATTTCCTTATGAGTTTTTTAAAGATAAAAAGTTACCATGAAGGTGGTAACTATTTGACAAATTAGAAACCATTTTCATTTGTCAGCGGGTGGTGGAGGTCTTGTATTCATTTTTCCAAAAAATGTTTCTTGAGAGCTGGTCATTGTGCACTTCAGGGTTTGAGGCCCAGTGCTGTGTCTCAATCTGAGGAGACAAGTGCACACACAGTACCACTGCAAGGTGTTAGGGAGTGCAGGAGGAGGAGGAGTAGGGGGAGGAGGAGGAGTTGACAGTGGCTGGGGAAAGCTTCAGGGAGGAGGGGGAGGAGGTGAAGGTGACTTTGCCAGGTGGGAAAGAGGGTGAGAGGCTTTCTAGAGAAAAGGAGCGTAAGAAGCAGAGGCTGGGAGGCATGAAAACACAAGTTGTGTTTGGGGTGTTGTTACTAGAACGGACGGTGCTTGGCATTTGGGTACAGTGGCAGGGAGAAGAGAGCCAGATTGCAAAGGCCTTGCATGCCAGGCTAAGAAGTGTGGACTTGATCCTGTAAGCAAGTGATAGCTGTCAAAGGTTTTTCAGCAGGGAGATGATGTAATCAGATCTGTGTGTTGGAGAAAAGCTTTGGCAGCGGTGGTGTGGAGGAGAGACTGGCGTGGGGACAGATGGGCTGCAGAGCTCTCTGTTAGGAGGCTTTTGAAGTAGGTCAGGTGAGAGATGATGTTTGAGGCCTGAGTTAGTGGGAGGAAGAGAACTAATGCCAGTTGAATACCTTTGAGTGTGCACTTAAGGTGAAGGTGCATTAGCTCATGTAATCTTCACAGAAAAACTTTTCATAGGGTGCTGTTGTCATCCTCATTTTGCAGAAAAGGAAGCAAGCTCAAAGTAACCTAGTTCAGCCAGGATTGAACTTGGGTTTACTGTCCTGTGCCACCATGGTTTTTAGAACAAGATGTCAAAGAACAAAATTTCAACAAATGAAGCTTTAAAGATCTAATTGTTGTTTTTTAGGGGTCCATGAACTAGGCAGCACCCAGACTACAAAATAGGCAGGCGCTCTGCAGGGCATGGCTGAACAGCGGGTTTTGTAAGGCAGCTTGAGCAGGAGCACAGAGATTGCATAGTGCCAAAGGTGGACTGGTTAACCTCAGATTATTACTTCAGGTTACTTTCCTTGTGTGGGTTAAAGCAGAGGGGATTTCCTTATTTTTGCCAGCTCTGGTTGACTGGGCCCACCTTTTTTTTCCCTTTTCTTCCAAGACAGAGTCTCGCTTTGTTGCCCAGGCTGGAGTGCAGTGGCGTGATCTCGGTTCACTACAGCCTCCACCTCCCGGGTTCAAGCAATTCTCCTGCCTCAGCCTCCCAAGTAGCTGGGATTACAGGCATGTGCCACCACGCCCAGCTAATTTTTGTATTTTTAGTAGAGACTGGGTTTCACCACGTGGCCAGGCTGGTCTGAAACTCCTGACCTTGCGATCTGCCTGCCTTGGCCTCTCAAAGTGCTGCGATTATAAGCATGAGCGACCGCACCCAGCTGACTGGGCCCCCTTTGATTGGTTGTCGTGAATCTTGTGCTTTTTGAAAACTGGCCTGTTTGGAGATTTGACTATCATTTCTCTCCTGTTTGCTTGGAGGGTCCGATCTTACAAGTAAACAGCTTAGGTTTTGGTTTGGTGACGTGGAACTTTTGCATGAATGACTCCATTTGGGTTGGTCTGTTGGATCCTAGTGCAAGAGCTCAGTCCAAATCAGTGGCTCCCTATCAATTTCACTTAACAAGACGGAATGAGAACATGAAGAAGGAGTGCACATGGTGTATGATTTTTGGACTGGGATGAAAAGGAATACTTAGCAGCTTACTGAAGGTAGAGAGTTTCCAGGTGTGGCAACAAGGTATGGATGATGAACAATACTATAACAGCACTCTCTCAGGAGGGGAGGGGCAGAGTTTGGGGGCCATCTGGGATACCCAGTTGGAAATGCCCAGTCGGTGGTTGGAAATTTGGCATTCCTGTGGAAACTCTTTTAAGCTAATGATATACCTCCAGGTAGGCATGGACTTAGAATTTGTAGGAGGGCATGGTTAATGCCTAAGCATCATCTGGGGCACTTAATTTGGAATGCAGATTTCCAGGCCCTGCCCCCAGGAGGTGCTTCAGTAGGCCTGTGGTGGGTTTTGGGGATCTGCACTCATGTCAAGCTCCTGGGTTGAGAGTGAGACAGGTTCTCACATTTGAGAAATGTTTGGCTTTCCCAATGGCCTAGGCTGTCTTGTAATTTCACTTCCTTCAGGGAGCTTTTGATAACTCCTCAAAGAATAGGATGTTGATCTCTGGTAAAAAGCAACATCTGAGAAAATTGCTTGTTTTTAGGAACCTGTGTACATTCATACTTAATTCTGCCAATGATGCTTTTTAGTTTTTTGGATTAACACTCAAAAGTAACAAGTCCTCAAAATTAGGTTTGTTCTGTTGTTTTAAGTGGACCTTTGGCAAGAGATTTCTAGTGAAGCTTGATTCTGAGTACTTTTCTCATGTATTAAAAAGAGGCTGGAGGAGGGAACCTGGGACGTGGAGAGTGAGGAGTGATAGCCTGAGGTTCTTGGTTTGCCAACCTGGGGAAACCCTGTCTCTACTTAAAAAAAAAAAAAAATACAAAAATTGGTCAGGCGTCATTGTGGG
The DNA here is from genome assembly GCF_000001405.40 of Homo sapiens. Lineage (NCBI taxonomy): Eukaryota > Metazoa > Chordata > Mammalia > Primates > Hominidae > Homo > Homo sapiens. The sequence goes on from NC_000002.12 coordinate 158,987,086, forward strand.
TGCCTGTGATACTAGTTACTCAGGAGGCTGAGGCAGGAGAATCGCTTGAACCCAAGAGTCGGAGGCTGCAGTGAGCCGAGATTGCGCCACTGCACTCCAGCCTGGGTGACAGAGCAAGACTCATCTCCAAAAAAAAAAAAAAAAAAAGAGTCACTGAAGGCTGGGTATGGTGGCTCATGCCTGTGATCCCAGCAGTTTGGGAGGCTGAGGTGGGTGGATCACTTGAGCTTAGGAGTTCAAGACCAGCCTGGGCAACATGGCAAAACCCCATCTCTACAAAAAATACAAAAATTAGCCGGCTGTGGTGGTGCACACCTGTAGTTCCAGCTACTTGGGTGGCTGGGGGGTAGGAGGATCGCTTGAGCCCAGAAGGTCAAGGCTACAGTGAGCTATGATCACGCCACTGCACTCCAGCCTGTACAACAGAGCGAGACCCTGTCTCAAAAAAAGTACTCAATTCCTTGAAATCTGGGTTGTAAACCTGATCACTCATTCATTAGACCATTTGCTTATAATTAGTCCTAACCAGCCTAGGTTCCCCTTCCCCTCTGTCATGCATGTCTTTTTCTCAGGAGTAGAAGCTTTGAAGCCAGACAGACTGGGATAAGGTCCCAGTTTAGTCCCTTTGCCCCACTATGACCCTGGACAGGTTACACAGCCTCCCTGAGCTGTTTTCTGTGAATTTGGAATGTGGGAAGGTAGTTTTGGGAATGGAGTGGATAAAGTCAGAACACCTGGACTTGAGCTAGTACCACTCTGAATCTTGGGCGGGAAGGTGAAGGCTGGGCACCTGCCTGGTTCATTCAGCACACATTAAGTGCCTACTTATTCAGCTAGAGAGTGTATTTAGGGTTGACCGTGTGCATTGCTTTACATTACCTACCTTACTCTAATTTTCCTCCACAGTTGGAGGGGATTTTTGTGTGGTTGTGGTTGATGGTTATCAAGAAAAAGTGGCCGGGCGTGGTGGCTCACAAGTGTAATCCCAGCACTTTGGGAGGCTGTGGTGGGCAGATCACCTGAGGTCAGGAGTTCAAGACCAGCCTGGCCAACATGGTGAAACCCCCGTCTCTATTAAAAAGTACAAAAATTAGCCGGTCGTGGTGGTGGGCGCCTGTAATCCCAGCTACTCAGGAGGCTGAGGCCGAGAGACTTGCTTGAACCCCGGGAGGTGGAGGTTGCAGTGAGCTGAGATCGGGCCACTGTACTCCAGCCTGGGTGACAGGCAAGACCCTGTCCCAAAAAAAAAAAAAAAAAAGAAAAAGTGTTTTCGTTTTGTTTTCAGCTTGTGTGTCTTTTTTGTTGGTATCTTGTTACCCTTGGGATAATTTTTACTTTCTCTCCCGGGAGCAAGATTTGGGTTCATTAACTGCTTGCTGCTGATTAGTTCATTTTTCCGATGTGTGGGAGAGAGGAGCATCTTCCTTTATTTTCCCCTCCACCTTTGCTAAATGCCGTTACTACTTCCTGTTGCAATGACAGGGCTTCCCAGCTCCCAGCTTCTTTTCCTTAGTCCCCATCGTGTTGGGGAGGACACAGGAGAAAGTTGGCTTGCTCACTGGTTGGTTTACTCAGTCACTTAACAGGAGCCAATTGAGCCCCCACTCTATGCCAGGCTCTGTGCTAAGTGCTAGTCTAATTCAGCCCTCTTGAAGGCCTTAAGAGAGAGCAGGCATTCTTTCTTCCTACCTCATGGGGTTTTTGCAGGTGAGGCTCTGTACCTACCTCCAGGTCTCATGGCAGGTCGACTGGACCCCTGCCACCTCCTGCGGTGCTGCCCTCCTCACCCACTCCTTGCCCACTCTCACTATCGGCTTCCTAATAGGCATTTCCTGGGGCGACTGTATCTGACTAAAATTGGTCATTTTGTAGATCCTTTAGGGGTCCTGGTCCAAAGGTCAGTTTTAATGAGTGATATGGGGACTGTGGAGTTGCAGGGTGGGGAGAGAAATGTGGACCATAACTGACAGTGTTCACAGGGAGAGCACACTGGGGGAAATAAGCCTCACTATTGCAGCTGCTGAGACTGCACGTCTAGTTCATTTTGAATGGCCCCTCAAAGATACCCCCTGAGGATGCTAAATGCAGATTTGTGGATGCTGTTGGCAGAATTTGCTTGTTTATAATACTTTTTTGGGGGGTGCTGGGCAAGGTCGCTCATGCCTATAATTTCAGTACTTTGGGATCTCACCTGGCTCCACCATGATTTGGGAACAGGCATTTAAGTTTAGCAATTCAGGCCAGGCACAGTGGCTCACGCCTGCAGTCCCAGCACTGTGGGAGGCTGAGGTGGGAGGATTGCTTGAGCTCAGGAGTTTGAGAGCAGCCTGGCAACGTAGTGAGACCTCATCTCTACTAAAAGTTAAAAAAAAAAATCAGCTGAACGTGGTGGCTCATGCCTATAGTCCCAGCCACTTGGAAGGCTGAGGTGGGAGAATCACTTGAGCCTGCAAGATCGAGGCTGCACTGAGCTATGATTGTGCCACTGCATTCCAGCTTAGGCAACAGAGCAAGACTCAGTCTCAAAAAAAAAAAAAAAAAAAGAATCTTTTTTGTTTTCGGCCAGTTTGGTTCTACATTTTAGATTGCTTTTGACTGACTTTTTGGGAGACTGTCGTGCCCTTAGAGTATCCATAATAATTATGAAGATGTCAAGTCCCTTAGGACTGCATGTTTGACTTAGCTTTCAGCATCAAAACATGCATCAGAATAGCATAATGGAAAGATCAGTGATTCTGGAGTAAAGTAGACTTGGTTTCAAATTCCAGCCCTCCTCTAATGCCCTTGGATAAATTTCTTCACGGCCTTAGTTTCTTCATCTGTAAAATGGGGATTTTTTTTTTTTTTGGAGACGGATTCTCGCACTGTCACAGGGGCTGGTGTGCAGTGATACAATCTCGGTTCACTGCAACCTCCACCTCCCGGGTTCAAGCGATTCTCCTGCCTCAGCCTCCTGAGTAGCTGGGGTTACAGGCCCCTGCCACCACGCCTGGCTAATTTTTTGTATTTTTAGTAGAGATGGGGTTTCACTATGTTGGCCAGGCTGGTCTTGCACTCCTGACCTCGTGATCTGCCCGCCTGACCTCGTGATCTGCCCGCCTCAGCCTCCCAAAGTGCTGGGATTACAGGCGTGAGCCACAGCACCCGGCCAAAATGGGGATCATTTTACAAGGTGAGAAATAATGTTTGTACAGTACTTTTAGAGTAGCTCCTAGCACATAATAGATGTTCAGAAGTTCCCTTCTTGTTTGATTCAGCAGGAACTAAATTGTATCAAACTGTAGGCAGTTTGATGAATAAGATGTGGTTTCTATCCTGGAGGAACTTAAAATCTAATGGGCTAGGCTGACACATGAATTCATCCTGAGGAGGTTAAGTGCCAAGACCCAGGTTGAGGCTGGAGCAGAGCACAGGAGCATTTCCTCTGCCTGGAGGGTTGGGAGAGCCTTCTGGGAGGAGGTTATGCCTAAGCCCTGTCTTGAGGGATTGAGTAAGAATTCACTTAAGCAAGCAAGGTGGGATGGGTTGTAGCCAAAGCAACAGCATGAGCAATGGATGGAGTATTTAGGAGGACTACATGCAGTTGGGGGTTGGCTGGATGGAACAGTGTGAAGTAGGAATTCCTAGGAAATGAGCCTAGAGAGCCTGGTGAGTGTGAACTTGCTGGTGGGCCTTGTGTACCTTGCTGAAGAATTCAGGGTTATGGGCTGAGTGCTGTGGCTCACACCTGTAATCCCAGCTCTTTGGGAGGCCAGGGTGGGCGGATTGCTTGAGCTCAGGAGTTTGAGAACAGCCTGGGCAACATGGCAAACCCTCGTCTCTACAAAAAATACAAAAATTATATGGGCATGGTGGCGGGCGGCTCCAGTCCCAGCTAGTGAGGAGGCTGAGGTGGGAGGATTGCTTGAGCCTGGGAGGATTGCTTGAGCCAGCGAGGTGGAGGTTGTGGTGAGCTGAGATTGCGCCACTGCACTCCAACCTGGGTGACAGAGCCAGATCCTGTGTCAAAAAAAAAAAAAAAAAAAAAAAAGTAGAAAAAACAGCAGGGCTAGAGATCAGAGGTAGTTTAGGGATTAAAATACACTGTTACTGATTAATAATACTTACATGTAAATTTCCTGTTTTGATAGGAAGATGTAGAATTTGCTAGGAAAGAAAATAAAAATACAAGGAAAAATAATATATAAATAGTGTTAATAACATACTCATGCATTTTTACAGTGCACGGTCTGATTAAGTAAATTTTGGTACATCCATACGATAGAGTGGAATGCAGATGTTAAAAGAATGAGGTAGGTTTATGTGTGCTCTTAAGGAAAATTTTCCAAGAATATTATTTAACAAAAAATATATATGCATAGAGTATCTTTAGAAGTATATATAAGAGGCTGGGGAGGGTGGCTCACGTCTGTAATCCCAGCACTTTGGGAGGCCGAGGTGGGTGGATCACGAGGTCAGGAGATTGAGACCATCCTGGCTAACATGATGAAACCCCATCTCTACTAAAAATACAAAAAAATTAGCCAGGCGTGGTGGCGGGGGCCTGTAGTCCTGGGAGGCTGAGGCGGGAGAATGGCGTGAACCTGGGAGGCGGAGCTTGCAGTGAGCTGATATCGCACCACTGCACTCCAGCCTGGGCGACAGAGTGAGACTCTGTCTCAAAAAAGAAAGAAAGAAAGAAAATATTGTAAAGAAATGACTAACACTATACATTTTCAGGTGAGCTGGAAACCAAGTGGCAGAACATAAAAATAACCTGTGCTACTACAGTGTCATAGTATTATGCATAATGCTAGATTATTTCATGCTCTGACAATAACAGCATTCATTCATGGGGGTTTTTAGAGTTTTCACCTTTCACATACATTATTTCAGTCAAAATTAATCACTCTTCCATCTGTGCTCTCACATCAATTAAAATATTTTAAGAATTATAAATGTTAAGTGATGTTATGTAAAGTTTGGAAAGCGAGAGAAAAGAGTAATACACGTTTAGGCTGGGTGTGGTGGCTCATGTCTGTAATCCCAGCACTTTGGGAGGCTGAGACAGGCAGATCGCTTGAACCCAGGAGTTTGAGACCAGCCTGGGCAACACAGGTGAGACCTCATCTCTAGAAAAAATACAAAAATTAGATGGGCATGGTGGTGTGCACCTGCAATCTCATCTACTCCGGAGGCTGAGGTGGGTGGATCGCTTGAGCCCAGGGAGGTAGAGGCTGCAGTGAGCTGTGATCACACCACTGCACTCCATCCTGGGCTACAGACTGATACCCTGTCTCAAAAAAAAAAAAAAGAAAGTGTTTAAGTGCAGCAGCCATGATTTTATTCTCTTCCTTCCTTCCCTTCTGTTCTTTGCCTATGCCTTAAAAATGTATAGCTGTAGCTAAGGTATACATGTACTTATAGGCTTTTCTGTGTAATATATTTCTTTTTTTGAGACGGAGTCTTGCCCTGTCGCCCAGGCTGGAGTGTAGTGGCGCGATCTTGGCTCACTACAAGTTCTGCCTCCAGGGTTCATGCCATTCTCCTGCCTCAGCCTCCTGAGTAGCTGGGACTACAGGCGCCCACCACCATGCCCAGCTAATTTTTTTTTTTTTTTTTTTTTTTTGTATTTTTAGTAGAGACAGGGTTTCACCGTGTTAGCCAGGATGGTCTCGATCTCCTGACCTCGTGATCCACCCGCCTCGGCTTCCCAAAGTGCTGGGATTACAGGCATGAGCCACCGCTCCCGGACTGTGTAATATATTTCATGCATTTCCCCAGGTGTTGTGTGGTTCTCCTCCTTGGCTTTTTAAATAGCTGCTGTTTTGTGGAACATTGTGATTACTTCACTGTGCTTCACTTGCACCTTTACTCGTGTGTTCTCCATCACAGCCGCGTTAGTTTACTGCCTTCATGCTCATCTCTTCCTAGACTCTTGGGGCTGGTATGACCTCTTTGTCATTAGAATCAGGGCAGAGAGAAAATATTTAGCAAGTATGTCTGAAGGAATAGATGTTCCTTCTGGGCTTTATAACAGCGTTTTAAGGTGTAGGTAAATATGAGCAGTTTTCAGCCAAGGAAAGGAGTCAGATTAAACGGTCACACAGCAGCTATGTGGAAGTGGGTGAACTCAAACTTTGGTTCAGTTCTCCTAACCCCAGCAAAGCACTTGGCAGTGTTTTGTTTTGTTTTTTGTTCTGTTTTGTTTGTTTTGGAGGTGGGATCTCGTTCTGTCAGGCAGGAGTGCAATGGCACGATCAGCTTACTTGAGCCTCCTAGGCTCAAGCGATCCTTCCACCTCAGCCTCCTGAGTTGCTGAGATTATAGATGCATGCCAGCACACCTGGCTAATTTTTGTATTTTTTGTAGAGACAGGGTTTCACCATGTTGCCCAGGCTGGTTTTGAACTTGTGTGCTCAAGTGATCTGGCATGAAATACCGTGCCCGCCTTTATTTTTTATTTTTTTTAAGGCTAGTCAAGTGAAGCAGTGGGAATGGGAAATCCTCTGTTCTTAAGAAATAAAACATGGGGGTCGGCTTTCTCTCCCTTGAACTTTCAACTCTTAAATTTTTTTGTTAAATTTTTTAAAAGTTAATTTCTAAAGCCATCTTCTGGTTTGTCTCAAGAGAAGACATTACCTTTTGTCCTGAATTCTCTCCCCTGAACTTTCTCTTCTTCGAACTTTCAACCCTTAAATTTTCTTGTTAAATTTTTAAAAAGTTAATTTCTAAAGTCATCTCCTGGTTTGTCTGAAGAGAAGACATTACCTTTTGTCCTGAATTGCCTTTATTCCATAACAAATAGCATTTGAATGCCTTCTGTATGAATGTATGTTCTGAGGTTTGGCCAATATCTACAGTGTTCATTTGACACTATCACTCTGGTCATTTAAAGAGTACTTAAAAATTTAAATCATTTTAATATGAAAAACCTTTCTCATTGTTTGGACCATGCACTAGTGCCCTAGTATCTCTAGTGCACTACACATATCTGATTTTCACTTTCCAGGGGGGGATTTCTATCTCAGGGTAATGGAGATTATAACTATCAACGGATCCTAATCTTTTTTATTTCCTGGTTTCTGAATCATAGAATTGTTTTGCAATTAACCATAGAAGCAAGAATCTCTTTTTGGGGTGAGAGGTGGTGCGTAGGAGCAGAGAAGGGATATATAGGAATAGAGTGATCTATTTTATTTTACTATTTTTTCTTTATATTTTTTAGAGACAAGGTCTTGCACTGTTGCCCAGGCTGTAGTGCAGTGGTGCATAGCTCACTGCAGCCTCCAACTCCTGGGGTCAAGCAATTTTCCAGCCTCTGCCTCCTGAGTAGCTAGGACTACAGGCAAGTGCTACCAAACCCTGCTAATCTTTTATTTATTTTTTGTAGATATGGGATGTCTACTTGCCTAGGCTGGTCTACAGTGCTTAGGCTCAAGCCATCCTTCCTCCCTTGGCTTCCCCAAGTGCTGGGATTACAGATGTGAGCCACCGCACCTGCCTAGGGTGATATATTTTAAGAGTACAAAGTAGATTAGTTGTCATTGAGAATGAAAAGAATCAAATCTAGATGTTCGTGTCTCAATTTGAGATCTTCATGTTGCAAAAGGTTATTTTTGATTTGTAACTTTTTAAAACTTTGTAATCAAGTTGATTTATTTGTGGTTATTGTAATACTATTTTGCCAAGTCATAAATGGTTAACTTTACTGCATTCAGATTTGAGAATATGCTTTAGGTTTTAAAGTTGCAATCTTGACATCATGTATGAATTATCTCACAAAATAACTACTGTTTGGAGAAAGAACTGATCTGATTTCTTCTTTTTAAACCAGTGATACTAAAGGTGTATTTAAGCCTGTTTTGAGTTTGTTGAAACATCACTCCAAAGTGGAAACATGGAAGGCTTCGAGCTGGACAGAGCTGAGTATAAATTTAAATTTTTGCCATTTCCAGACTAGCCATTTATGGGGCTGATCTTTGCCTTGTTTGTTTTGAGGGTTAAAGGAGATAATGGGTGTAAGATACCTATGCCTTGTCTAGTTAAGTGTTCAGCAAATACTAATTCTCCCCCACCTGTTACAGTGAGCTGGGGATTCCCTGTGTTTGCATAAGGTTGTCCTGTAGCTCTTTCTGTATTTACATATGTGATCTAGTCTTGAAGGTGGCTGGCTGGGGGGGCGCTCAGTTTTGTGTATTGAAAATTGCTAGAAACTGAGAGTTGGTTATTATATTGCCATTGAACTTCCTGTGTAATGGATGGTTACCATGTGTTTGTGTTATTCTCTGGTAAAAGGCACTTTTTATACCAGTGGAGTGTAAATTCCAATGTGAAAACGTTAATCTTTGAAAACCCTGAGCTAGGCTCCTGTTAACAGCCACTTGAGGTTATCTGGTGCTAGAGGCTAACCAGATCCCATTAGGCAATCCTTTCCCTCCCTGTAGCACATTACCCGAGGGCGGGACTCTTGGAAACTTCAAACTGAGGCTCCCCATGGCTGTCATTGCTTAAGATCTCCCCTGGGTTTTTACAGAATGGGATAATGAGAAACCTTCCAGACAGAGGGGCAGTCTTATACCTGTCTCCATTCATTTTGCCTCCCTTCCTCCTCCCTGCCTCTATTTAAATCTTTCCTGTTCTTTAAACCCTACATTTCTCAGGATGCTTCCCCAGACAGCTCTCAATTCCACCCTTCTGTCTGTATTAAACATATTAGCACTGACACCCACTGCCTTACCTACTGCCTTGGCCTTTTTGATGCTCATCTCGGATTACAGCCGACCCGAGGGCATCCACCAGCCAGCCTGCCGTGCCCTGTGCATCTCTGGCCTGGCTCAGCCGTGGGTGCACTCTGCCTGGTCCACAGAAACTGATTCTGTTTCTTCTTTGTCAGATCCAACACTCTGTCTTGGAAGAATTCTCTGTAAGGTTTTCCACACAGCAGTCTTCTGTCTGTTACTTTTAGAAAGAAATGAAAAAAGTAATTTAAAAATAACTTGATGGCTGGACATGGTGACCCACACCTAAAATCCCAGCACTTTGGGAGGCCAAGGTGGGAGGACTGTTTGAGCCCAGGAGTTCGAGACCAGCCTGGGCAACATAGTAAGACCCCCCAAGTCTGCAAAAAATACTAAAATTATTTGATAGCTGGGTGTGGTGGCATGTGCCTGTAGTCCCAGCCACTCGTGAGGCTGAGGTGGAAGGATCACTTGAGCCTAGGAGGTTGAGGCTGCAGTGAGCCGAGATCTCACCACTGTACTTCAGCCTGGGTGACAGTGACAGCCTGTCTCAAAACAAAAACAAAACTTGGTATATGCCTTCCTTAACTGTTTTTCTTTTCACAGACATATGTTAAATAAATGCCATACTTTTTGCTGTATAACTTGATATTTTTGTACACACGCAGTGTGTATTATATCAATATGCATTCTTCTAGAAATGATTTCTAGTGATTGCATGTAATTCATTTTCCAGCCTGTAGGTGTAACATAATTTTTTCAACTATTTACTTATTACTGAATTTTAAATAACACTGCAGTGAACATTATTCTAGTTTTATTGAATGACTTCCAGCAATTAACTGTGTTGAATTACTAAACATAGTAGTTTCTTTCAATAAATTTGTGGAATATGTTCATCTTATTAGTATCTGAGTAATTTACTTCGTGGTCCAGAACTGAGCTAGGTGTCAGGGATACACGTAGACATAAGTATTGTAGTACTAAGGATAAAACAATGCGTATACCAATAGGAAGGGATGTCAGCTACTTAAGTAAATAGACTTTAATTATTTAGATAAAATAGACATGAAAGAACTTTAGTGTATGCAAATTTATAAAACATCAACCAGCAGCTGTTCATACCTCTCCATGTGTGGGGTGTTGGGAGTGGGGCACTGAGATGCAGACTGTGGCAAAAAAAAAAAAAAAATCTACCTGCTTTACAGACTGTGGGAAAAGAATCTACCTGCTTTACAGTTGCATGACATGGTCACTTAAGAGAGTGGGGACAGAAAGACATGGACCTGGGTAGCTTTGGAAAATGGTGTTTTGACTATAATCTATAAAAACTACAAAAAGAACTGCATAAACGCTGTACTCTAGTGGGTAAAGTTTCTCATGGGACACAGGTTGACAGTTCCAACGCTGCTTTATATATGTACAAGGGTTAAACAAATAGTGAAGGGGTGGTGGATGGAGAGAGCCAAGTTTCCCACAGCTGGAGAGGAAAGTCAAAGGTATGCAAGGAAGGAAAGCTAGAACGAACCTTGTGGGACTGTATTAAAGTCAGAAACCTCAATGTGAACTTAGGTTTAGCTTGACATAGATACAGAAATAATTATATTTTAGTGTGTATTCATGGATTAGGACACACATGTATTTCCTAGATCTGTTCACTGAAAGAGCTTAGAAACAATAACACCCCAGTATCTTGGTTCCTAAATTCCATTCTCTAATCACAGTAACCAGGACTCCTTGAAGAAATGGATAATTATAGGTCTGGGGCATCTTGCATTGTCAGAAAATAAGGAAGTGCTCACGAAACAAAGGATGTGGGCATGTCTGAAGGCCATACCAGCCAACCTCAAAGAGCTCCTAATAGCCAAAGCTGGAATAATTTGAGCAACAAAATAAATAATATGATGTACTGCATTATAGTCCAAGATATAAAATAAATATACCTGCACATAACTGTATACTGGGAGAAGAGACATCTTCCTTATAGAAGAATTTCGAGTAATGTTTGCAGATACCTCCCCGTTCACTAGCTAGGCCTTAGCCCTCCCTACACCTTGAGTGTGGACTGAATTTAGTGACTCACTTCTAAGAGACAGAGTATGGAAAGGTGGGGAAAAAGTAAATTTACAGTGGAGAAACCTGCCAGCACTACCTTGACCAAGTAATCAAAGTTTAACACAACCAGCAGTAAACCATGTTCAAACATGAAGAAAAGTTTCACTTTGGGAGAATTGCTTGAGGCCAGGAGTTTGAGACCAACCTGTGCAACGTAGCAAGACCCCATGTCTACGAAAAATAAAATTTAAAACTTAGCTGGGTGTGGTGGTGTGCGCCTGTAGTTCCAGCTACTTGGGAGGCTGAGGTGGGCACATCGAGGTTCCAGTGAGTCATGATTGTGCCACTGCACTCCAGCCTGGGGGACAGAGTGAGACCCTGTCTCAAAAAAAAAAAGAAAAAAGTTAAAAGAAATGTACAGTGAATACTGACATACCCCCCACCTAGATTCTATAATTAAGATCATGCAATCTGGGCTTTATTACATATCTACCCATCACACCATCTTATTTCAAAAAGTATTTCAAAGTAAATTGCAAACATCAGTACATGCGATCCCCAGCCCCTACCCCCAACAAAAATTTGTTTAAAATGTAATTTCTACATTCTCTGCCAAGGTTGTTGTGCAGCACCTACCAGCCACAGCACAGTTGACGCTATGTGATTGTGCCCTGTTGAGCCTCGAGGCGTGTGGGAAATTGGAGAGGATGTAGGTGATGTAGGCATGCTCCGAGGTGAGCACAGATGTGTGTGATTGGGTGACCCACTGGACTGACGTGGATCTGTACTTGTGGGTGCTGGGGCATCATGGGATCTGTGAAGATCCAGAAAATAGCAGCTGTTTCCTGGCACAAGGGCGGCTTTAAGGATGGCGAGAAGGGATGGTGAGTCAGCTCTGGGACAGAACTGAGCTACTAAAGTTGTAATAATGTAGAGTGCCTGAGCATTTATTTGGGGAGAGCCAAAGGCCTGCCTCACCATGCCATTCCCCCCTCCCCTCTGATCTCTTGGGAAAATAAATAGAGCGGGAAGAGAGGGTTTAGCTCAGGAAGGGGTAGGAACACTGATCAGCTCATCAATCAGGAGAGTGCAATTATGCAGAAAGGACAGAAATCACTCCCTGAAGGCCACAGACTTGGGGATTTGCCCAGAAGAAGACCTTACAGCTGCTAACAGTAGCCCTATTCAGTTGGGGTGCATAATGATTTTAAAACTAATCAGGAACCAAAGCCTGAGGCTGGGGACAAGCACAAATATCTTGTTGACAGAGCAAACATCTAGATTTTGTCAGATAGGAAGTTTCTGAGGAGGTCAGAGTGATGTAATGGTGTGCACAAAGCTTTCATCCTTAAACAGATGGGCCCCCGAGGTACCATCTGCAGCTCCCTGGGGCCCTTCAAAATGACTTCCTATAAATTAAATAGTCCTAAATTGGTATCGAGAAATTAGTGTGGTAGCCATATACCAGAAGCAAAACTAGACAAAGGAAGGAAATTTCCATGGAGTTACCCATTTCCTTTTCTTCCCTTGCTTTATAAATAGCAAGGGAGGTTTATTATTTTGATCAACTTTCTTGGTTAACATGTGAATATTATTGCCTCCCTCAAATAGCCATCCAAGGTAAACTTCCCTTTCTCCTCTTAAGCTGGGACAACTGCATTGATCCCTACCTAAGCCAGTGTCAGCTGGATATTTTTCATAAACTGCCTTGCTATTTTGGGCGTTCTGTTTTTGTTGAGGAGGAAGTAGTGGTTTTGTTTCTGGTTTTTTTCTTTCATCAAAGGGATATTTGTTCTGGAAGGGCAAGGGAAGGGGATGCTTCACAGTCTAGATCGAGGGAGAAAATGTCCGACATCATATGTAAGTGGCTGATGATGAGTCAATTGGTGAAACATTTCAGAACAGAAAGTAGGTCCACTGTACTCATCCTTTTATTTATTCAACACTTACTGGCACTTTGATTCGCAATGGACAATATAGCCTCTGTTCTCAGGGAGACAGACAATCAAAAATTAGCGAAGTAAAGTTTACATAGGTATGAGTGGAGTATTAGAGAAGCTGGGGCAGGGGGTTCAAGGAGGAGGTAATTTTCCTTTCTTGAGATGGAATCTCACTGTGTTGCCCAGGCTGGTCTCTAACTCCTGGGCTCAAGCGATCCTCCCTCAGCCTCTGAAATCACTAGGATTACAGGCAAGGGCCTCCATGCCCAGCAGGAGGTGATTCTTGAGCTGCGTTTCAAGGGAGTAGCCAGGTGAGGTGGGAGTTGGGTTGGGGTAGGGGGGACCACCCTAGCCAAGGATGAAAGGTGAACCGGGTGGTGTGTGTGGGTAAGTGGATGGAGCGTGGGGTGTGGAAGGGAGCTGTGAAGAAGGTTGGCTTGGAACAGGAGTGAAGAGGAAAAGCCGAGGCAGGTGCATGTGGGTAAGTGGGTAGGCGAGGCACCAGGGCGGGAAGCTGGGGTGTTAGCACGTCAAGCCTGCTGGCTTCTGTTACCTGAGTAAAATGGGAAGAAAGGGCATTTGCTAGAGTAGGAGGGAGGAGAATGACAAAAGTTTGAAACAGTGGTTGCGGGGAGTGGGAGGAGGGCCTTTTAGAATATTCAGGGTCTTTTGGATCAGAGAATTCAAGTGCAGTGGCGTCTTTCTGCACAGTGATGTGATTTCTGTGGTCTTTCGGGCCCAGGGTATAGGTGAGGACAAGCTGAGTTGTGTTATTAGTTCCCTTGGGTTTGGCTAAAGAGGAGGGTTGCAGAAAATTGAGGGTGCGGCAAGGGGGTGATTGGTGGTGGAGTCCACACTGTGGGAATGAAGAAGGGGACATACTCAAGGGACATCCGAGAGCAAGGACCTCAGGAGGGAGGGGGTGTGCGAGCCGGAAGGATAGGAGGCTGTGGTCATGAAGCAAGAGTATGGAAATACGGCTTCTGACTGAGGTGTGACCCTGGAAATGGCTGGCCAGAGTCAAGAGCCAGGGATCAGAGCTTAAGTGCAGGCGTAATGAGAACATCTGCCATCACTGACCCTGCGCTGGACACTGCCCTAAGTGCTTTGGACTATTCATTCAACCCAGCCCCACAAATAGGTACTCTTATTTATTGCCATTTACAGGTGAGGCAGCTGAGGCCCAGAGAGGTGAAGTAATTGCTCAGGGTCATGGAGTTAATAAATGGTGGAGCGGAGCTTCTAACCCAGGTTGTCTCCTCTGCTCTTGTTCCTTTAGGAGCTGACTGCTGGGCAGGAACGTCTCTCAGGAGAAAGAGTGGAAGAGAAAATTGTGAACTAAGGCCCCCTGCCCCCTTTTCCTGGTGCATGTGAAGTTATCAAAAACAGGTAGGTGATGGCTGAGGATTGGGGTAGAGTGTGGTATGACTGTGAGTAGTGACTCAAAGAGGGATGAATCTTTACATGAGGTTAGAAGAGAGATGGCCTGTAGAACGTCCAGTCTTTCCACCTGCCCAGAGCCACTGGTGAGCCAGCGCCTCCAGGGGAGAGAAGCCCTGTCAAAAGCAGAGATAGGGGAGTTAGTGTTTAATGAGTACAGAGTTTCAGTTGGGGAAGACAAAAAACTTGTATAGGTGGATGGTGCTGATGGTTGCAGAAGGACGTGCTTAGTGCTACTGAACTATATACTTAAAAATGGTTAAAACGGTAAATTTTATGTCTATTTTATCACAATGAAAAATAAAAACGTGGTGGAGGGAGGGAGTAATAATCACTACCATTTATGAAACCCTTTCCTGGTTCATTGTCACTTATTAAATATTTGAATGTGTGCTGGGGATTTTGTTAAGTGCTTTATGTGTATTTTCATTTAATCCTCACTTTCAGAGATGAGGTAAACTCTGCTGTACAGATGAGGAATCTCAGGTTTAACCAGATTAGGCAACTTGCCCAAGGTCATACATCCAGAAATGGTAGGGGCTGGGCTCAACCAGATCCTCACACTCCAAAGCCCTTGCTTGTAATTGTTAGGGAATTGAACAGTGGACAGAAGGTTCCAGAGGCTGTGGGGGAAGGGAGAGGGGGTTGTTGATGGAGGGAGGACCTGGGATAGGGAAATGCTGGGTGAAAAGAGGAGGGTTGGGGATAGAGGAGCAGCTAGACCAAAGGAATGAGAAGTCGGATGGACAGGACCATCCTCCAGTGTCCAGACTGGGCATGTGCTGTCATGGAACTGGCAAAAAGTCCAAGTGACACCAACTTGTTCTCAGAAAGGGGCTGGAGGTTATGGAGAAGTGGGAGAGCCCAGCGTGGGGTGTGCCAGTGTGATCCAAAGAAAGTCTTGTCAGCAGAGGATTCTTCCCAGACTGGGACCTGCGGCCGGAGGGGCTGGCGGTATGGACAGTGTGGACATGAGTTCAGCCTGGGTGCCTCTTCTCATCTTCCTCCTGAATGCCCTTTCTTCCTGCTGGCCTGCCCGAGGGGACCCAGGCTGCCCATTGAGCCTGAAGTCAGCAAGCTGATCGTGAATTTAGGTGCATGAACGTAGGGAGGGGGTGGCAGTGAGGAGGACTGAATATCTTTCTAATGCTGACAGACCAAATGCCAAGGGTGAGGGTAAATCATGACCAATTACCTGGCTTTGTAGATGATCAGCAAACTGCAAATATTTTGCCACAGATTTTCTTTGTTTTTAGCAGAATGGTATGAAATGCATACATGAGGAAATAAATTTTATCTGACTCCTTCACAGAGATTTTGAGGTTGTAACCTGTAACTTCTAAGGCGTGGCCAGTGGTATTTGTGATCCTCTGGGTGCAGATGTGGGTTTGTCTCAGATATTTGGGTTTAGTGAGGCGTTTGTGAGCTGCTGAGGAGGGAAATGCCCTCTCGAGAGTTTCTGTTACCTTCATGTGTTTACTTTAGATTCAGCAGGATTCTTTTACTGTCTTGCTGGTGGTTCTACAATCTGTGCTAAAAGCAGGCTGCCTGAGCAGTGCTTTCTGTGTAATAGAGGTGACCATGGAGAGCGTGGTTCTGTGATTATATAATAATTTTGAATAAATAAAAAGATGTCTCATGGCAGGTCCTATAAGGGCAGCCTGGAAGTGACATCATGAGGGATTAAGTTGCACTGCAGCTGAATCTTGCAGCTATCAGACATGCAGCAGTATGTCAGCTGTAACCTCCAGGTGTAAATAGACCTTCATCAGCATCGCTGGAAAGTGCTAGGAGGATCCAGAGTGCTGCGGGATGCTATCCATCAAAAGTCGTTTGCAGAACTTTGTTCCTGGCTGTGATAGGTTTTTAACCCCTGTAGCTGACTGGATCTGTGGAGCTTTTCATAGTTTATTTCAAGGAAAGGTAGCGGGTATATGTGCTCACTGGTGCCAAATTCAGATTGATTGTTTTACTGTCCCCTTTTCTGCCCCTTTTCACCAGCTAAGAAACAGGAGCTAGGTAGAATTTGCCTTAAAATCAAAACAGGACTAAGGTAATGTTAAGAGAGGTAGCGAAGTAGCCCTTTGTTTTGGGAAATAGTAATGGCTAACCTTATGACTAGTTACCTTCTGTGCTTTCTTGGAATTACCTAACAGGATGCTTAGGAACAGGATTGTGTCTTTTATTCACTGCCATATCCCTCAGCCAGAAACAGTGCCTGGCTTTTACTAGGCACTCTAATAAAGGAACTTCATGCAGATTAGGATTCTAAAGCACAGAGAGGTTAAATTGCCTGCCCGAGGCTACACAGTTAATGGGTTGGATTCCTTAACAACTGGTAGAGGCATAAAGTGGAAGTCACAGAAAATAATGTTTTCCCTTCAGAAGCTCTTCATTAACAATATTTGGGTTGGAGTTCAGATGTGCGCTCCCGGGATAGGCTGCCTCGGAGAGGGAGAGGCGGGGTCAGCTGTATCACGTTGGATCTGCTCCAGCTGCCGCTGCCGCAGTCGTCGTCTTTCTCTGTCTCGGCTGAGGCAGCCATCTTGCTCTTGCCGCGTGCTGGTGTTGGAGGACCCTCCCTGCTTCAGATTTACCAACAGCATGAATCAAGAAAAGTTAGCCAAACTTCAGGCTCAGGTCCAGATAGGGGGCAAGGATACAGCTCGCAGAAAGAAGAAGGTGGTACATAGAACAGCCACAGCTGATGACAAAAAGCTTCAGAGTTCTCTAAAAAAAACTGGCTGTGAATAATATAGCTGGTATTGAAGAGGTGAACATGATTAAAGATGATGGGACAGTTATTCATTTCAACAATCCCAAAGTCCAAGCTTCCCTTTCTGCTAATA
The DNA here is from genome assembly GCF_000001405.40 of Homo sapiens. Taxonomy (NCBI): domain Eukaryota; kingdom Metazoa; phylum Chordata; class Mammalia; order Primates; family Hominidae; genus Homo; species Homo sapiens. Next base: position 159,004,090 of record NC_000002.12, read on the forward strand.
CCTTTGCAATTACTGGTCATGCAGAAGCCAAACCAATCACAGAAATGCTTCCTGGAATATTAAGTCAGCTTGGTGCTGACAGTTTAACAAGCCTTAGGAAGTTAGCTGAACAGTTCCCACGGCAAGTCTTGGACAGTAAAGCACCAAAACCAGAAGACATTGATGAGGAAGATGATGATGTTCCAGATCTTGTAGAAAATTTTGATGAGGCATCAAAGAATGAAGCTAACTAAAAGTTTGGTTTTTGGAAGCTGGCATGGACTAGATTGAACAAATCAGCTATGTGGTTCCAAAGTTTTACAGACACAGAGAACATCACCTGTTACTAGTTCAGTAATATAAATATTTTCTATATTAATAATGCTGTTTGTTCAGCATTTTTCAGTCATTTGATTTTGCATTTTGCACTTCCTCCCAGGATTTTTTTTTGGTCAAAATATGAAGTATTGGTGCAGTTTGAGGGTGTTTTGGTTTTTAATTCCTGGTTTTTTTGTTTTTTGTTTGGGGTATTTTTGGTGTATGTATGTTTATGTATGTGTGTGGGTATGTGTGTATATAGTGGAGAGCAAATTGGAAAACAGTTCTATTTATCCTCCTCCCTCCCCAGTAGAAATAAAAAAAACTTTACAAAACAAACAAACAAACAAAAAAAACCAATATTTGCCGAGACCAGCTCAGTTGTGGAGACCCTAACCCAGGGGTGCTAGAGGAATTAAAGACAGACAGACAGACACACACACAAATATAGGGTGTGGAGTGGGAAATCAGGGGTCTCACAGCCTTCAGAGCTGAGAGCCCTGAACAGTGATTTACCCACATATTTATTGACAGCAAGCCAGTCATAAGCATTGTTTCTATAGATTATAGATTAACTAAATGCATTTCTTACGAGAAATAAAGCGATGGGCCGAAACAAAGGGATGGGTCTGGCTAGTTATCTGCAGCAGGAACATGTCCTTAAGGCGCAGATCACTCATGCTATTGTTTGTGGTTCAGGAACAGCTTTAAGTGGTTTTCTGCCCTGGGTGGGCCAGTTGTTCCTTGCCCTCATTCCGATAAACCCACAACCTTCAGCATGGGTGTCATGGCCATCACACACGTTACAGTGCTGCAGAGATTTTGTTTATGGTCAGTTTTGGGGCCAGTTTATGGTCAGATTTGGGGGCCTGTTCCCAACAATATTGACCATGGTTTTAGAGGAGGCTTGAATAAAACTAAAGGCCAGGTGTGGTGGCTTATGCCTATAATCCGCGCACTTTGGGAGGCTGAGGCAGGTGGATTGCTTGACCTCTGGAGTTTGAGACCAGCCTGGGCAACATGGCGAAACCCCATCTCTACAAAAAATACAAAAATTAGCTGGACATGGTGGCTTGCGCCTATAGTGCAAGCTACTGAGGCTGAGGTGGGAGGATCACCTGAGCCCAGGAGGCGGAGATTGCAGTGAGCTGAGATCACACCACTGCACTCCAACCTGGGTGAAAGAGTAAGACCTTGTCTCAAAAAAAAGTAAAATTTCTGTATCTATTAATGCTAGTTTTTATAATTCATTTTATTAAAAATAAATATAATTTTATGATATAATTTTATAATTTTGTTATGAGGATTAAATGAGAAAGAACTTAGAACAGTGTACAGCACTTAGAACCATGTAAGTGCTATACATGTTTGAAAATTTGCCTGGTCTATTCTGAGACCACTACAAAAACAAAATTGAAAAAGAAAAAAAAAGAAAATTGTCCTTGAATGTCATTTATTTTTTAGGATATTTGATGGCTTACTTGGTTTTAATTTTTAAGTAAAGGCCAAAAAATTTTTTTTTAAACTATGGAGATGTCTTTAAGACTAGACCTGAATAAGAAAATGTAATTCAAGATACAACAGGAAGGCCAAATGAGGTCTGATTTTTAGTAATTAGAATGTTATGGCCGGGCGCAGTGACTTACACCTGTAATCCCAACACCTTGGGAGGCCGAGGCCCATGGATTGCTTGAGTCCAGGAGTTCGAGACTGGCCCTGGCTAACATGGTAAAACCCCCGTCTCTACTGAAAATACAAAAATTAGCCAGGAGTGGTGGTGCACACCTGTAGTCCCAGCTACTCCGGAGGCTGAGGCAGAAGATCGCTTGAAACTGGGAGGCGGAGGTTGCAGTGAGCCAAGATGGTGCTGCTGCACTCCAGCCTGGGTGACAGAGTGAGACTTAGTCTCAAAAAAAAAAAAAAAAAAAAGAATGTCACATTACAATCTGAACACTACATTAATACAAAATATTTTATAAACCAAACAACTAGAATACAAACTTTTAGTAGGAATTATCCACACAGGACCAAGAAAAGTATATTAGGAGAAAGTGTTATTGTTTGGTACAGTAGTCTTTAAACATTTTTCACTTTACAATCCTTTAAGTAAAATACTTTTTGCTCATACCTGCAACATTTGTAAATTTATAATTACACATTGTTTACTAAAGCTATTTCCATTATAAAATATAGAAAAACAAATAATGAGACAAGTAAACACGACTACAAATTTCAGTATTTTCTTTCTATACCCCTAGAGATCATCTTTTACTCTCTTTTAAGACATCTGGTTTAGAAAGGGTAATCTAGAAGAGGAGACCCACAGCATTTTTTGAAGGAGAGTTTATTATTTCTTTGGAGTTATATGTAGATGAGATATTGACAGAAAGTTATATTGTTAGACAGATTGAATATAGGATGTTTGGAGAGTAAACCGAAAAGCTATCCCTGGCCATCTGTCTAAAAATATTGGTGAGGTATCACAAACTCCTAAGGATTAAAGTGTCCCATTAGAATTTCTAAATCATTTCCTCATAACTGACAATAATAATGCTGTGCACTCTGGAATAGGGGAAAAATATAGTTCTTACACAGGTATGCAAAATTGCTTTTAAATTTGAAAGGTATTTCAACAACAGTCATGCACCATATAAGGTTTAGGTGAATGACAGACCACATATACAATGGTGGTCCCATAAGTTTATATTGGAGCTGCCCTATACAGGTGTACTGTTTTTTATCTTTAATACTGTTTTTTTTTTTTTTTTTTTTTTTTTGAGACAGAGTTTTGCTCTTGTTGCCCAGGCTACATTGCAATGGTGCGATCTTGGCTCACCGCAACCACCGCCTCCCTGGTTCAAGCGATTCTTCTGCCTCAGCCTCCCTAGTAGCTGGGATTACAGGCTTGCGCCACCACAACCAACTAATTTTGTATCTTTAATAGAGACAGGGTTTTTCCATGTTGGTCAGGCTGGTCTTGAACTCCTGACCTCAGGTGATCCGCCCTCCTTGGCCTCCCAAAGTGCTGGGATTGCAGGCATGAGCCACCGCACCTGGCCATATGCTGTGTTTTTACTGTCCCCTTTCTATGTTTAGATGTATAAGTACTTACTATTGTTTTACAGTTGCCTACAGTATTCACTACAGTAGCATGCTGTATGGTTTTGTATCCTAGGAGCAATAGTCTCTACCACAGAGCCTAGGTATATAGTAGGCTGTCCCATCTAGATTTGTGTAAGTACACTCTGTGATGTTCATACGGCAAAATCTCCTGACACATTTCTCAGAACGTATCCTCGTTGATAAGTGATGCGTAACTGTATTCCTGAACGGAATGGTAAGGAGGCCAGGTTAATCTTTCAGAAGTGAAGAAGTGGAGAGGAGATGAAATCCCTGGACTTAATATGGACAAGAGCTGTGGGATAGATAGCTGAGTAGTGAGGAGGTGACTTGGCTCAAGGGCCCCCAAACAGACCAGGGTGGAGGTGGCCGAAAACTGTGACAGGGCAGGTGCAGAGCCTAAAGTGGGGCGCTCACCCTTATTGTGGAATATTTGCTGGTACATTAATCTTAGTTTCTTCACAAATTAACATTTTCTAAGATTGTCAATCCTTTACGTGTTTCTGGACCTAAAATATCACTTGAAGAGAGATTATCAAGTTAAACTGGATCAATTGAAAAATTTGCCCCTGTGGATCAAAATCAAATTTTTTGAGTGGTTTTATTTTTGAGAAAATTTTTATTTCAAGAGAAAGTAGCAACTATTGTTACTGGAATTTCAGCTTATGCTGTGATTAATATCTGTTATACAATTGCTGTTGCAAACTATGCAAGCATTACTTTGAACTGCATCTGATACAGCTTGGTAGTCCAGGTCATTACTTGCAAATTGATGAGTCCTGTAGCCATAAAATCAAGTATCACAGCTGTGCCCTATTGAGGGAAATATGGGCTTTTGGTGTAAGCCATCAACAAGCTGTTGATTATTTGGAAATTGTTGGTGACAGTTCTGCCCAAACTTTGCTGCCTACTTTGCAGGCATAGGTTTGCTGCTATTCATGGGCTGCATAAAATAACATTCAGCCTTTCCTTGGTTTCCAGCATGCTCAGGTTAACCATAATGATTCAACGTTCACTTCGTGTTGGCTTTTGGTTTGCATACCCAAAACGTCGAATCTTACTGGAAAAACAAATGTAAAGCAAAGTGCGAGACCATGAGAGGATTTTTTCTTGATATGCTAGACTCATAGTTGTCTGAATGTATGTGGTATGATTGATTTGGAAATAATGCTTTCAATTCTCTTTTACTGCATATATCAAATAATTTCATGTTTAATATGATGTTCTGGCTTTTGGTTTTAGTATGTCTTAGTACAAAATTCAGCGATAAATTCTTTAATTGAATACATCTTAGAGACAAAGTATTCGGTTGATCTATTAAACTACCCTCTGCTCAACTGGGGAGAGTCCTGTAGTAGGACTCCCAGGGCAGAATTCATTGGCCTTGCAACATCAGTAACCACCTAGACCAACAAATGGTAATAAATATGAATTTAAATTTATTTGGGATGATGGTTGGGGTAAGCTGATCATTCTTAGTTTCCTATTGATCTTGGGGACTGGGCTTAACTACTGAAGAAGGCAGCAATTTCAGACATTTAGAATTAAAACTATCCTTTCTTGAATAACTAAGAGCAGGTTGGAAAATAAATTATAGATTGCCCAAAGCTTTATTTTCACTTGAGAGTGTTTAAAACTATGTACGTTAATTAGATGTGAGCCCATAAAAAAATAAAAATAATTGAAAACAGGTGAAGGTGCCTCAAAAAAGCTAAAAACACAGCTACCATATGGTCTACCAACCCCACTACTGAGTATATATCCCAAGGAGAGGAAATCAGTATGTTGAAGACATATCTGCATTCCCATGTTTATTGCAGCCCTGTTCGCAGTAGTCAAGATATGGAATCAACTTAAGTGTCCATCAGCAGATGAATAGAATGTAATATACAATGGAATACTATTTAGCCATAAAAAAGACATTCTATCATTTGAGGTAACATGGATGAGGTTGGAGGACACTATGTCAAGTGAAATAAGCCAGGCACAGAAAGATAAATACCGCATGGTCTCACTCATATGTGAAAACTAAAAATGTTGATCTCATGGAAGTAGAGAGTAGAATAGTGGTTACTAGAGGCTGGGAAGTTTTGGAGGAGGGATGGAGCTAGCTAGAGGTTGGTTAACAGATACAAAATCACAGCTAGATAGGGGGAATAAGTCCTAGTGTCCTATAGCAATCTCAGGTGATGATAATTAACTGGAATTCATTGTATATTTTCAGATAGCTAGAAGAGTGGATTTTGAATGTCCCCAACACAAAGAAATGATAAATGTTTGAGGTGTTACATGTTAATTATCCTGATTTGATCACTATACATTGTATACATGTATCAACATATCCCACTGTACCCTCTCAAAAAGTTAGCAATAATTTACAAATTAAAAAAAAAAAATCTGTGTACCTAGTACTGGAAAGAAGGTAGAAATTGACAACATTTCAGCAATGATGGCATTCTGTGAATTAACAATTAAAATATTTAAGTGTTATTGGAGTATTTCCAGCAGAAAGATTTCACAACAAGAGAGAAAAGATCTGGAAATAGGTGGGCAGATATTAAAGAACCAGAGGAAATAGCAAATATGGACCACTGGTGCGTGCCTTTCATTCCTCAGTAACTTCCTTGAAAGATGAGCTATGTAGGGAGCTAGTCTGGCAGTATTCAGCCCTGGAGTTTTCTTAAATGATAGTTATGCTATCATTCAGAGAACATTAGTAGTAAGATTCTTATCCTTAATTTTACATAAAAAAGACTTAGTCACTTTCATAACTAATTAGTTGCATTTGTGGCTTAGATGGGGGAAAACTGAGAAAATGATAGTTGGCAAATACTTAGAAGTGACAGGAATAAAATAAGAAACTGATAAAATAAGAATCTGGGGTTGCTAGGAGTCCTTGAGAAAAGTAGCCTCACTAAAAGAGTGAATCAGGGAAAAGTTGTGCTGATTCTAGATGCATTACTCATTAGGAGAATGCAAACTTGCCCTCCTCACTCTTGAAGTGGAGGCCGTGGGTGCGTCGGGGGAGGGCCTGGCTGTGGCAGGCATGCTGGCAAACCCTGGGGTCTGCCTCACATTGTTTGTACAGTAAAGAAAGATTTAATACTGACACGTGGCTCTAGTTTACAGATTCTAATCTGCCAAATCCTATTTCAAGGATGTGGACGGACAGGAGACTACATTCAGAACTATGTGCTTATAGAAATGAATGAAAGGCTTTTTTTTTTTTTTTTAATGAAAGCCTTTAAAATTTTTTCTCTGAATGACCTTAGACAGATCACTCATTCACACTGGATCTTAATTTCTTATCTAAAAATGAAGGAAAGGTTTATTGGAATAATCTCCTAAAGACCATTCTGCTTTTGAATCTGTCCATTTTGGTTTTTTTCTTTCTTTTGGTTTTTGTTTTGAGACAGGGTCTTGCTTTGTCGCCCAAGCTGGGGTTGAATGAGTCCGTTGTGAAGAGCTGAGGATGGAAGGTGATGTTATTTAATACTATCCCCATGAGTGTTCTGGGGCTTTACATACAATAGTTGCTTTAATCCTGCATTATTCATTCACTCTATAAATCACACCTATGAGTTTAGGATATCACCATCCCCATTTTACAGATGAGAGTGAGTAACAGGGACAAGTTCATTTAAGTACTACTAGTTAGTGCTTGAGGTGGAATACATTGACCAATGGCTGTAATAATGATATCAGTGAGTCATTGTAAGGTTTACATGAAATGAAAAAAGTCATTGTTTTGGGTATTAGAATTGTTCTGGTTTTTCTCTTTCTTTCTGTTTTCTCACAGATTACTTGGAAGTAAAACAACAACAACAACAAAAAAAAACCTTTTTTAAAGATAGTAAGATCTCAAATCTACTCCTCAAAGAGGAAACACTCAGTGTTTGGATTCTTTGGATCTGATGGGGGCAGGCAATAAATGGTAGGTCAGTTTTCCCTGTCTGAATTCTGAACCAGTTCTGAGAGACAAGGAGAAAGAAAACATGTGGAATTCAAATTACACCTTAAATTTTTTTTTTTTTTTTTTTTTTTGCCAAGACAAGGTCTCACTCTGTTGCCCAAGCTGGAGTACAGTAGCAGGATCATAGCTCACTGCATCCTCAAGGTCCTGGCCTCAAGCCATCTTCCCTCCTTAGCCTCCTGAGTAATTGGGACCACAGGTGCACACCACCATGCCTGGTCAAATTGCACCTTTTTAAGATGATAGAACTAATATCAGAGACTTTGACTTACATTTTTAAAAAAATGATTTTTATATGTGCCAAAAGTGTACATCCCACTCCCGAATTCCACAGTAGAGACAGCCTGCCCTCCTGCTTCCTGGCAGTGTTGGGCCATCAAGGCTTCCCATGTGGGGCCAGAAGGCTGACCAGACTTAAACCTGTGCTTCCAGAGAGCAGCTCAGTCCCCAAGAAGAAGGAGGAGGGAAGGGCTGGGACCCATCCCCAGTCTCTATTCCTAAACTTCCTGGGTTAGGAAAGTCACTAGAGCTTCTAGGAAGGGGGCTAGTGACAGGCCAGAAGAGGAGCCCAGATGGTAAGCTAGAGGGGTGCTGTCCTCATAGAAGGAAACAGGAACCAGGCAGACCCATCCCACCCCTGGACCCCAATCATAAATGCTCTGTGTTTCCTAAAGCCAGCATCATTCAGAATAAATTATTTTCTTTTACTTGAGATACCAGCTTTTCTAAAAGTGAAATTGGATTAAAAACAAACAACAACAAAAAACCCTAACCTTGTTGCTGAGGCCAGTGCTGCTGCTGTTTCTATTTTAGTAGAAGTCAAAGTAAAATATTCTGGCATGTATTATTCACTCCGTGCTCTAAGAAAGTCCCTGTACATGATTGTGCCGATAGCAATGTCTTTCAGAACCCAAATTCAAACACGTGCCTCTGGAACCTTAAAATACCTTGGCACTCTATTTTTTTTTTTTTGAGATGGTGGATAGATGGAAGACTTCATGTAAACAGAAACTGCCCCTCTCTATTGTGGCGGTTGAAGTCTCTGCCACACAAGAGACCCAGTTTTAAAGTTGTGCTTTCCCTCACACAGTTTTTTCCTAATAGGAATGGAAGATACTGAGACTGAAAATTTCTGTGGGCAACTGACTTGTCAATTTCTGAAGTAACATTTTTATTTAACAAGGAGTAAAACAAATTTGCCCAACTAAATTATTCAGAGGAATTACAAAACTTGTCACTTAGAGTGGATGTTGGGATATTCAGGTCATTTAGGAGGCTGTGGTTAAAAATAAAATGACCTAAATATAAAGCTCTACTTTTTTTAAAAAAGGGAATTTTGAGCTTTTAATTTTTGTTTGACATTGTTCCTAATTCTGTTTCTGTGGGGGGATGTAGGAGGCTACTCTTTCGGTGTTCCAAATAAAGAAAAATTCTTCTCTTCTTGTTGGTAGTTTTGCATGGTATTTATGTAGCTCTATTTTTTAGCCAGGGTATATAAATTCTGTATTCTTTTTGATATATTAGGGGGATGTATGTGTGTGATGGAGAAATTGGAGAAGGTCATAAACAAATGACTCTCTTCCAAGAAAAATTGAAGACAATTCATTAATTGTTCTGGTCATTCTTTTTGTACTTTTAAGCAAGGAGCATTTGAAATATGAACTTGCCCCAATCTGCTTTTGGGCAATAATTGGAGCATAAAATGTTGAAAATCAATTATGTATTTAGGGAGGATGAAACAGGCTGACATATTGAAGGCATATTGTATTATGTTTGGTGCACTAACCAGGACAGTTACGTCATATTCCTGCAGTCAAATTGTGTCTCGAGAGGGTGAGACACAGAGGATCACACATCCTGATGTACTCAAACTTCACAGAACATGAGAGTATTTATAATAGGCCTGCCATCTGTCCTGGGAACGAGTCCTATCTTAAAAATTGGCTATGCATTTGTTGTTATTGTTGACTGATAAGCACAGAGTTTGATATTTTTGTATTATACATGCTTATACCTGATTTATAGCAGTGTGATAATTTCACAATGCATTATGAGTTCCCCATGCTGGCTAGGGGGTAAGATCTTTGCAGGAGAGGGTAGACAGAGTTTTAGATTTCTCCCGTAACCCCAATGTGCCTGACACAGTACCGACGGTCTATATCCCCAGTTGTAGATTTGCAGGAGATTTGCAGAATATTGTCTTGTGTCCTCCTGATAGGAGAGGCACCCGAGGACTGGGTTGTGTTGTCTGAGGTCACATAATTGGTAAGCAGCTGTATTAGTTGCTAGGGTGGCTATAACCAGGTACCAGAAAGTAGATGGCTTGAATAACAGAAATGTATTGTCTCAGAGTTATACAGAGGCTGGAAGTCCCAGATCAAGCTGTTGGCAGAGCTGGTTCTTTCCTAGGCTCCGGGAGGGATCTGTCCTGGGCCTCGCTCCTTGACTTGTAGAGGGCCATCTTCTCCCTGTATCTCTTCATGCCATCTTCTGTCTGTGCCTATGTCCAAATTTCTCCTTTTTAAAAAGACACCAGTTAAATTGGATTAGGGCCCACCCTAATGACTTCATTTTAACTTGATTACCTCTGTATAAAGAATCTATCTCTAAATAAGGTCACATTCTGAGGTATTGGGTGTTAAAACTTTGTATTAGTCCATTTTCACACTGCTGATAAAGACATACCTGAGACTGGGCAATTTACAAAAGAAAGAGGTTTAATTGGGCTTACAGTTCCACATGGCTGGGGAAGCCTCACAATCATGGCAGAAGGCAAGGAGAAGCAAGTCACGTCTTATGTGAATGGCAGAGAATGAGGAAGACACAAAAGTGGAAACCCCTAATAAAATGATAAGATTCTGTGAGACTTACTCAGTACCATGAGAACAGTATGGGGGAAACTGCCCCCATGATTCAGTTATCTCCCACTGGGTCCCTCCCACAACATGTGGGAATTATGGGAGTACAATTCAAGATGAGATTTGGGTGGGGACACAGAGCCAAACCATATCATTCCACCACCAGCCCCTCCAAAGCTCATGTCCTCACATTTCAAACCAATCATTGCCTTCCCAATAGTCCCCCACAGTCTTAACTCATTTCAGCATTAACTCAGAAGTCCATAGTCCAAAGTCTTATCTGAGACAAGGCAAGTCCCTTCCACCTATGAGCCTATAAAATCAAAAGCAAGCTAGTTATTTCTTAGATACAAAGGGGGTACTGACATTGGGTAAATACAACCATTCCAAATGGGAGAAATTGGCCAAAACCAAGAGGCTACAGGGCCCATGCAAGACTGAAATCCAAATCTTAAAGCTCCAAACTGATCTCCTTTGTCTCCATGTCTCACATCCAGGTCATACTGATGCAAGAGTTGGGTTTCTGTGGTCTTGGGCAGCTCCACCCCTATGGCTTTGCAGGGTACAGCCTCCTTCCTGGCTGCATTCACAGGCTGGCATGAGTGTCTGTGGATTTTCCACGCGCACAGTGCAAGCTGTTAGTGGATCTACAATTCTGGGGTCTGGAGGATGATGGCCCTCTTCTCACAGCTCTACTAGGTGGTGCCCCCTTAGGGACTTTGTGTGGGGGCTCTGACCCCACATTTCCTTTCCACACTGCTGTAGCAGAGGTTCTCCGTGAGGGGTCTACCCCTACAGCAAACTTCTGCCAGGGCATCCAGGCATTCCCGTGCATCTTCTGAAATCTAGGCAGAGATTCTCAAACCTCAGTTCTTGACTTCTGTGCACTGGCAGGCTTAACACCATGTGGAAGCTGCCAAGGCTTGGGGCTTATACCCTCTGAGGCCACAGTCCAAGCTCTACGTTGGCCCCTTTCATTCATGGCTGGAGTGGCTTGGACACAGGGCAACAACTCCCTAGGCTGCCCACAGCATGAAAACCCTTGGCTCAACCTACAAAACCACTTTTTCCTCCTAGGCCTCTGGGCCTGTGATGGGAGGGGCTGCCATGAAGACCTCTGATATGCACTGGAGACATTTTCCCCATTGTCTTGGGGATTAACATTGGCTCTTCATTACTTACGCAAATTTCTACAGCTGGCTTGGATTTCTCCTCAGAAAATAGAATTTTCTTTTCTATTGCATTGTCAGGTTGCAAATTTTCTGAACTTAGATGCTCTGCTTCCCTTATAAAACTGGATGCCTTTAATAGCACCCAGGTAACCTTTTGAATGCTTTGCTGCTTAGAAATTTTTTCTGTCAGATACCCTAAATCATCTCTTTCAAGTTCAGAGTTCCACAGATCTCTAGGGCAGGGGCAAAATGCTGCCAGTCTCTTTGCTAAAACATAACAGGAGTCACCTTTGCTCCAGTTCCTGATGAGTTCTTCATCTCCTTCTGAGTCCATGCCAGCCTGGATTTCATTGTCCATATCATTATCAGTGTATTTTGGTCAAAGCCATTCAACAAGTCTCTAGGGAGTTCCAAACTTTCCCACATTCTTCTGTCTTCTTCTGAGCCCTTCAAACTGTTCCAGCCTCTGTATGTTACCCAGTTCCAAAGCCGCTTCCACATTTTTGGGTACCTTTTCAGTAGCACCCCACTCCTGGTACCAATTTACTGAATTAGTCCATTTTCACACTGCTGATAAAGACATACCCAAGACTGAGCAGTTTACAAAAGAAAGAGATTTAATTGGACTTTTCCATGTGACTGAGGAACTCTCACAATCATGGCGGAAGGTAAGAAGGAACAAGTCCCATCTTATATGGATTGCAGCAGGCAAAGAGAAAATGAGGAAGATGCAAAAGCAGAAACCCCTAATAAAACAATCAGATCTCATGAGACTTATTCACTACCACAAGAACAGTATGGGGGAACGACCCCCATGATTCAATTATCTCCCACTGAGTCTCTCCCACAACACGTGGGAATTATGGGAGTACAATTCAAGGTGAGATTTGGGTGGGGACACAGAGCCAAACCATATTAGACTTTGACATGAATTTTGGGGACACACAATTCAACCCTAACAGCAAAGATCTGGGGTCACAGTCTCTTTCTGTCTCCTAATTCAGTACCTTCCTCTGCCCTGTTTAATAAGTATTTTTTTTTAGTTTATATGCAGCTTGGTCAAAATTTTTTGTTTTTTTTTTTGAGATGGAGTCTCGCTCTGTCACCCAGGGTGGAGTGCAGTGGTGTGATCTTGGCTCACTGCATGCTCTGCCTCCCGGGTTCATGCCATTTTCCTGCCTCAGCCTCCCAAGTAGCTGGGACTACAGGTGCCCCCCACCACGCCTGGCTAATTTTTTGTATTTTTAGTAGAGACAGGGTTTCACTGTGTTAGCCAGGATGGTCTCGATCTCCTGACCTTGTGATCTGCCCGCCTTGGCCTCCCAAAGTGCTGGGATTACAGGTGTGAGCCACTGCACCCAGCCTAGCTAGGCCAAATTTTCTAGTCAAAGAAATATCTACTCCTCTTCTTATATTTCCTTCCATTGCTGGTTTATGGATTGAAATATTTTTCTTAGATGGTGACAGTTTTGCTTGAGGCTGTTTTTCAGTGATTTTAAAAAAATTTATCTCCGCCCTGTTTGATCCTAGGAGTATAAAAGTAATTGCTATTTGATGTACACATTGTTTTTAAAGAGGCATAAACTGCATACCTTGCCTATGATCTTTTCCCTTTTAGTCTTTTTGGAACACTTCTTTGGCGCCCTAACAGGGGAAAATGATCAGTGTTTGAGGGTTTATTATATGGGACATACAGCCACCTGGGGAGTTGGGACCTTAACTGTTAGGCAACGGTGGAAATCAAGCTGCCAGGTAGTTCTTGAGTTTGGGTTGGTACTCAGAATGTAATATTTATAAGATAAAAGATATTATATTCTCTCACTTTGAATTACCAATAGTATTTTAAGGAACCTTTTATGCCAAACAGCATTTGTGCCAAAAAGACATCAGTTTATTTAAGAAATTCCCAAATGCAGTGGAGTTTCTCCTTAGAGCTAGGTGTCTTCTGCCTGACTCAAGATTGTAAACTCACAGGGGATGGCCCTGTAAATGTTAGGAAATAAGTATTTGCAGTGGTCCTGAGTTTGGAAGACTGTGAATGCAGACTGGATATACCTGTTTTGTGTGTGTGTCTCAGGTTAATTGCAGTTTTCAAAGTAACTTTAAATTTGCTTATATTTCACATATTTTTTTAATGAAAGAGAGATGCCTTGCAGATGAGCAGTCTGGGTAACAACAACAACAAAATATATATATATATATATGAAAGAAAGGGGAAGGAGAGCATTAGGACAAATACCTAATGCACGCGGGACTTCAAACCTAGATGACGGGTTAATAGGTGCAGCAAACCACCATGGCCCATGTATACCTATGTAACAAACCTGCATATTCTGCACATGTATCCCAGAACTTAAAGTAAAATAAATAAAAAAGAAAGAAAGATGCCTTAGAAAGTGGCAGCATGTAGAAATGTAAAAATAGTACCCTGATTGGGATGTTCTCCTATGTGTGTTGATTTATAGCCTGGTGGAACTCTTAGTGTATGTGTGCGTTTTGAATACTGTTATAGAACAGGCGTGAATCAAACCTCGTCAGTGTTGTGCAGCATCCCGCAGTTCAAAGGCAGCCAGTTACATAGTGCTTGGCAGGAAGGCTTCCATTTTTAATACTGGTTGAGAGAAAAGAGAGAATGAGGAGTCTGTTTGGAGCATTTTATTATGAAGGAAGCACAGCCCAACTGCTCGAGACAGGTATTAAAAGCCTATCCCTCTGGCCTCATACTGTATTTGCTACAGATGCATTCCCACAAGGCTTCCAGATCGAAAAGGAAGCCCACTGTTCTGCTGCACAGCTGTTAAAATAGTTAATACTGCGCTTCCCAACCATTATGGGATGTGCCATATGTGGCCTTTGAGAACATGAACTTATAGTGCATTGGGGGTCTTTGGGATTATTAACAGTATAATTCTAGCAAACAGTAGCAGACAAAATTATGCAGGCTACAGTAATTCTTTTTTTAAAAAACTGTAGTAAAATATATGTAACATAGAATTTACATTTTAGTCCAAAATGTAAGTGTACGGTTCAGTGGCATTAAGTACATTCACATTGTTGTGTAGCCATTACCACCATCCATCTCCAGAACTTTTTTATCACCCCAAAGAGAAATTCTGTACCCATTAAACAATAACTTTCCATTTCTCCTTCCCTCAGCCCCTCTAACCTCTATTCTACTTTGTCTTTATGAATTTGTGTATCCTAGGTATTGCGTACAGTAGAATCTCATATTCGTCCCTTTGTGTCTGATGGCTCTAGTAATTCTTAAGTTGTATCTGTATAGCTTCTACTATGTGCCATTTTGTTTTTGATCATAAAGTAATTTAGTAGATGACTTCAGAATATTAAAACTTGAGGACAAAAAATAAAAGAAAGAATAAAACTCAAGGACAGAAATTTGAAACTCTTATTATGCCTTCTCGGGCATGAAGGTAGTAACATCTAATATTTATAGAGCATTTATTTCCTATATGTGTATCAGGCACAGCTCTGAGCACTTTGCAGATAATAACACATTGACACTCATGCTAGCTCTGTGAGGTAGATACCATTAATAATACCCTAGTTTTGCAGATGGGAAACTGAGGCCCAGAGAGATGAATTCCTTGCTTAAGATACAGGCATGGCTGGTGTGCAGCAGAGCCGGGATTGCAGGTCAGCAGTCTGCTCCAGAGCCCAAGCTCCTTCGAGCACCTTAGGTGCAAGGTGCACTGGGCTGGGGGAGGGAAACTGAAGCCCAGCAGCCACGCAGTGAGCTGAAGGAAGCAGCCAGCGATCTTCAGCCCGTGTTAGGAGTGATGGGAATAGAGATTCTGCACCGGTAGTTGCTGAGTGGGAATACAGGCATGATACTGCTGGCACTTGCAAATTTTCAAGAGAAACTAGAAATCCTTATTTATGTGTAACCTCCTGCTTTCTAAGTGTTGGCAACCTAATTCAGTTAAAGACAAAAACAAAGCATATGGGCCACACAATATCTGTGGCCCACTACCTTCAGACCTTTGCTCTGGAGGTTTCAGGACAATCTTTTTCTTATCCAGACCCCTCAGCAGTTGGTACTTCTGGGCAGTTGTCCACTTGTTTGGACCTGGAGGCAGGGTCTTGATGATCTTTGCTTCCCTAACTGCAGCTTGCTTTCTTTCTGTTTTTTTTTTTTTTTTTTTTTTTTTTTTTTTTTGAGGCAGAGTCTTGCTCTGTCACCCAGTCTGGAGTGCAGTGGCATGATCTCTGCTCACAAAGTAGCTGGGACTACAGGTGCGTGCCACCATGTCTGGCTGAGTTTTGTATTTTTTGATAGAGACGGGGTTTCGACATGTTGGCCAGGCTGGTCCCAAACTCCTGGCTTCAGCCTCCCGAAGTGTTGGGATTTCAGGGGTGCAGCTGCAGCTTTCATATAGCAATGGTCAGTAAATGCATGCTGAGCAAAAGTCTTGAAAGCACTCATGACTTCTTTCCAAGCGCTGCCAAGAGTTCACAGAAAATCTAATTTAACACAAAATAAAACTAGTCGATTTTGAGAGGATTGTATCTTTTCATGTAGAACTTCGTAATTTATTGTTTCATTACGGACTCCTTTGAATTAACAATTCTGACTAGAATAGGACTTTATTTTTTATTTTTATTTTTGAGATGGAGTCTCGTTCTATCGGCTAGGCTGGAGTGCAGTGGCACGATCTCAGCTCACTGCAACCTCTGCCTCCCGGGTTCAAGTCTCCTGCCTCAGCCTCCTGAGTAGGTGGGATTACAGGCACATGCCACCACACCCAGCCAATTTTTGTATTTTTCGTAGAGACAGGGTTTCGCCTTGTTGGCCAGGCTGGTCTTGAACTCCTGGCCTCAAGTAATCCACCTGCCTTGGCCTCCCGAAGTGCTGGGATTACAGGTATGATTATAGGTGTGAGCCACTGCACCTGGCCTTAGAATAGGACTTTAAAGTGATTTTTTTTTTCCTTCAGAAAAAGTCCCACCAAAGAAATTTAAATATATGCTGTGTGTAACACATACAAACCTAAACTTCTTTTTTTTCAATAACAGCCGCAGCATTTATGACATACTTACTGCATGGTAGCCACTGTGTGAAGAGTTTTACATGCCTTATTTTTTTAGTGTGAAGTCAACTAAGAATTTGTGAATTTGAACTGAATTTAGATTCAGAAAGGCTTGAACATATCTAATACAATGTACTGGCTTTGCCTATGAAGCTGCTCAGGGGCAATGAATTTAAGAGACTTTAAGAAAATTTAAGAGTCCAAGGTCATACATCCGTTGTGTGGTACAGCCAGAACCCTCTGGACACACACATCTGTTGAGTTATATAGACAATCTTCTTGGACACACCTGTGGTGTGGGGCAGTCAGTCTCTTTTTTTTTTTTTCCTGGCCTCGGGTCCAGTTGTGTCTTTTTAGATACCGTGGTGCTTCTACTTTTATCTTTCCATCATCTGTGGAAAGGTAGGGTTAAAGTGTAATATAATGTGTCACTCATATACATCTTCTGAGCTACCAGTCATTACCAGGGTATTCGAAGTGGTTTGCTAGTACTGGTGTGGATTTGGATTGTCTTTTTGCCTCTGTGAGATGCCTGGAGTTAACAGTTACCTGTGGCCAAGAAAAGACCGTACTTCATTAGAACAGAACCCTAAACCAAATGATCTGATCATCTTATAGATAATACAGTAAATGAGAATGTAAGGAGAATTTTAAACTTTTTTTTTAATGGGTAGTTTACACATAATGATATAGTAATCATCACATTCATCTCCTTGACTTTTGTCCTCTTAATTTGGTAGGTAGACATCAGTGGTTTTAAGATCAGTTTCTAGTGAGGAGGGCAGGGTTTGTATCCTTCTCTCATTCAACTGAAAATCATTTAGGCTTTTCTTTTAAAAAGATAACCAAAGTAATCTAAGCTTCTGGTAGAACTTATTAAAAATAGGGAAGTAGCTGGGCAAGGTGGCATGCACCTGTAGTCCTAGCTACTCAGGAGGCTGAGGCAGGAGTAGCAGTAGAGCTTGAGCCCAGGGATTTGAGGTGGTAGTGAGTTAGGATCATGTCTGTGAATAGCCATTGCACTCCAGCCTGGGCAATGTAACGAGACCCTATCTCTTTAAAAAAGAAAGAAAGAAAGAAAGAAAGAAAAAGTAATTTTGCATTCAGAAATTTGCTGTAGACATTTAAAAATAAAATAGTAACAATTTAAATTTAACAGAATACAACTGAAATTAAAATTAAATGAATTGCTGAACTTTGGTTAAATTTTTTTCTCAAACTTTCAGTCTTTTCTGCTTTACTATACTGTCCACATGCAAGAGAAGTATAAATAGTATAGACTGGCATGTAATTAAGGACTAGAGTCTGCTATATAGGTCGTAAGGCCAAGTTTGAGGAAGAATGGAGAAATCTCAGGGACATGTAAAGTCCCATTTAAAAAATTAAAAACCTTAAAGCCTGTCTTAAATTAAGACAGCTGAAAAATTTTCAAGATAAATTAATGGAGAGATCAATGTCTTTTTCAGTGTTTCAGAACTGTGGAAAAAAAGAGCTCTGCTACTTAGAAGTTGCTTTGAAATCCTGGTATACGTAACTTTACTCGTTCCCAACAACCTTTGGTGGTATTCATGTTTTTATCATTGCACGCTGTTGAAGGCTGATGGAGTAATGTCACTCTGGAGGTGACACTACTTATCAGAGGAGTGGCCAGAATGCCACTCTTTCTCAACTATCACTCTTGTTATCCCATTCACAGTTGCAACTTGGGAGTTAAGCAAGGAAGCCCTCTGAGCAGTTCAGAATATGTAATACATGTATGGGGTACACACCAGCGTGTATGCACCTTTTTCCTAAGTGTGTGCCCAGGACCTCTTGTTTTTGATCTGGAGACCACTTGAATTCAGGATGTTTGTTCCGGGGTTCTATTCATAAGAAATGACAAGCTGGAAATTAGAAGTGGAGGTGGGGCAAGGCACGGTGGTTCACGCCTGTAATCCCAGCACTTTGGGAAGCTGAGGTGGGCGATTGCTTCAGGTCAGGAGTTTGAGACCAGCCTGGCTAACATGGTGAAACCCCATCTCTACTAAAAATACAAAAATTAGCTGGGCATGGTGGCGCATGCCTGTTGTCCTCGGGAGGCTGAGGCAGGAGAATCGCTTGAACCCAGGAGGTGAAGGTTGCAGTGAGCTGAGATCACACCACTGCACTCCAGCCTGGGCAATAGAGCAAGACCCTGTTTTTGAAAAATAACATAAAAAATAGAAGTGGAGGTGGCCTGGAGAAGCTGGCATTCCTGACTGGGTAAGGTCATCAGCTTGGGAAGCACACAGGCTTTGTAGCTCGACAGACCTTCCTAAGATCTCTTGGCAGGACAACAACTGGGTTTTTGATGACTTTGGGCTAGGTCTTGTTCATGACCCAAATATTCATCAGGAGCATACTATACCAGGTGCTGGGTGTGTGATGATAAACAAATTAGGTCCCTTCCTTGTTCACAGCCTAAGAGGGCACATGGTTTCATATATAAATATAAGATAGTATACTAAGGATTACATAATGGGATGAGTGGCATATAGTGGGAGCATAGGGAAAATTGAGACTTCTGCTTCCAAGTGAAAGGAAGTCACAAATATCAACACTTTGTCAGTCTTATTTCAGTAACCCTACATTGCTTTTTTTGTGTGTGGTCTTGGGGAGTGACTAGGAGTTGTCCAGGTGGAATAAAAGGACATTCTAGGTAGAATTCTCTCTCATTCTAGAAAGAGAGAGATCTGTGTATGTAAAGTGGACAGAATCTGACAAATTTTTAGAGAAAAGTTTATACCAAATGGGTAACCCATGGCCTTTTTTTTTCTTTTTTTTTGAGGCAGAGTCTCGCTCTGTCACCCAGGCTGGAGTGCAGTGGTACGATCTTGGCTCACTGCAACCTCCACCCTCCCAGCTCAAGTGATCTTCCCATCAGCTTCCTGAGTAGCTGGGACCACAGGCACATACAACCACGCCTGGGTACTTTTTTGTATTTTTGGAAGAGACAGGATCTCGCCATTCTGCCCAGGCTGTTCTCAAACTCCTGAGCTCAAGCAATCCTCCCACCTTGGCTTCCCAAAGTGCTGGAATTACAGGCATGTGCCATGGCCCCTGGCCACCCATGGCTTTTAAAAGTCATTATAGAAATTGTCAAAAATAAGGCCAAGTGCAGTGGCTCACGCCTGTAATCCCAGCACTTTGTGAGGCCGAGGTGGGTGGATCACCTGAGGTCAGGAGTTTGAGACCAGCCTGACCAACATGGTGAAACTCCATCTCTACTAAAAATACAAAAAATTAACTGGGTATTATGGCACATGCCTGTAGTCCCAGCTACTCGAGAGGCTGAGGCAGGAGAATCACTTGAACCCAGGAGGTGGAAGTTGCAATGAGCCAAGATCGTGCCACTGCACTCCAGCCTGGGTGACAGAGTAAGACTCCATCTCAAAAAAAAAAAAAAAATTGTCAAAAATATACAAGTAATGAGGCATATAACAAACCATCATGTATCTACCAACCAGCTTCACAAATATTAACACTTTGTCAGTCGTGTTTCAGTAACCCTACATTGCTTTTTTGTGGTTGGAGCAGTTTATTTATTTTTTATTGTATATATTTAAGGTCTACAACATGATGTTTTTGTATATAGTCATGTGCCACAACATGGCATGTGTATGCAATGGCAGTCCCGTAAGATTATAATAGGAACTGGAAAATCCCTATTGCCTAGTGACATGGTAGCCATTATAATGTTATAGTGCAGTTACCTTATTTTTAAAATAAATTTAGTGTAGCCTAAGTGTACAGTGTTCATAAAGTCTACAGTATTGTACGGTAATGTCCCAGGCCTTTACAGTCACTCACTGACCCACCCAGAGCAACTTGCAGTCCTGCAAACTCCATTTGTGGTAGGTACTCTATGCCGCACTGTTTAAAAAATCCTATAGGCATGGGCGCAGTGGCTCATGCCTATAATCCCAGCACTTTGGGAGGCTGAGGCAGGCGGATCACTTGAGATCAGGAGTTCAACACCAGCCTGGCCAATATGGTGAAACCCCGTCTCTACTAAAAATATAAAAATTAGCTGGGCATGGTGGCATGTGTCTGTAACCCCAGCTACTCAGGAGGCTGAGGCAGGAGAATCGCTTGAATCCGGGAGGCAGAGGCTGTAGTGATCCAAGATTGCACCACTGCACTCCAGCCTGGGTGACAGAACAAGACTTCATCTCAAAAAAAAAAAAAAATCTTTTAGATCATATTTAGATTATATTTTTACTGTGCCTTTTCTATGTTTAGATATGTTTAGATAACACAAATACTTCCCATTGTGCTACATTTGCCTACAATATTCAGGACAGTAACATGCTGTTCTGGTTTGTAGCCTAGGAGCAATAGGCTCTAGCATATAGCCCAGGCTTGTGGATTTGTGTAAGTACACTCTGTTACATTCGCACAGCAATGCTGATGCTGAATCCCCCACCTTCCATCCTCTATCCCCATCATTAAGCCACCTATGACTGTACTTATTGATACACATATGCATAGTGAAGTGATAACTATGGTCAAGAAAATTAACATTCCCATTATCTCATATAGTTAACTTCCTTTCTTGCTTTCTTTTTCTTTCTTTCTCTTTCTCTTTTTCTTTCTTTCTTTCTTTTTCTTTCTTTTCTTTCTTTCTTTCTTTCTTTCTTTCTTTCTTTCTTTCTTTCTTTCTTTTCTCCTTCCTTCTCCTTCCTTCCTTTTTTCCTTTTCTTTTCTTTTCTTTCTTTTCTTGTGGTAAGTGTACCTAAAACCTACTCTCTTAACAAAGTACCACTAAGCAATACAATGTTGTTAACTATAGCCTTCATACCATACATTAGATCTCTAGACTTACTCATTCTGCGTAACTGCAACCTTGGAACCTTTGACCTATATTTTATCCCCAGCAATTTAAAGCAAATCCCAGACACTATGTAATTCCCTTTGTAAATAGTATGTATCTGTTACTCAGTAAAGATCCCCGATGACATTAACACAAAACAAAATGAGGATAATTCCCTAATACTTGTCAATACCTAGTCCATACATAGATTTTTCCTGTTAACACAGGTTTCAGTATCTAAGGGATTCCTTTTTTTTAGCACAGTAAGTTTTTCAGGGATGTTGGATACATGGGGCTTTACTATAATACCATATTTTTATTTATTTCTTTGAAATGGTATACAATTTATCTGGTCTTATTTCTGATCATTTAACTAATCAGGTTGGCCCCAATGGATGGCTGTGCCTTAAAACTTTCTTGATTGCTTGTTTGTCATATAGGAAGGCCTTTTCAGGGATTCAGTGAACATTCAAATTCTGAGAGCTAGATTATAAATGGCTTAGGGAACTCCGACCAATTCCTTTGATTTTGCTTCAGTGTTTTTTGCTATTTTTATTTTTTGTAGAGACAGGGTCTCACTCTATCGCCCAGGCTGGAGTGCAGTGGCATGATCATAGCTCACTGAAGCCTCCAGTCCTGGGCTCAAGCGATCATCTTGCCTCAGCTTCCCAATGGCTAGGACTACAGGGGTACCCACAATTCCTGGCTAATTTTTAAATTTTTTGTAGAGATAGGGTGTTGCTGTTGTTGCCCAGCATGGTCTTGAACACCTGGCCTCAAGCAGTCCTCCTGTCTTGGCTTCCCAAAGTGCTGGGATTACAGATGTGAGCCACTGTGTCTGGCCTTGCTTCAGTTTTTAGCTTCTAGTGTTTAGTTCATGTCCTCCTCAGCCTTTAAAAGCTGTTGCCTAGCATGCCTTCTTGGCGTGGACCAGCTCAGTGTCCTTACTCAGATGCTTGTAGCAGTCCCTGCAGCCTCAGCTGATCCTTCAGGGTTGGGCCTATGTTGCCCTTTTTTTTGAGGCTTTCCTCGATGACCTCAGCTTCTTTGGCTTCCTGTTCCTCTCAATTTCTCCTACCCTGCACTCTAGCCTTTAATTATGTGCTGTTTTCCATTGCTATAACTGAATACCTGAGACTCAGCAATTTATAAAGAAAATTTATTTCTTACAGTTTTGGAGACTATGAAGTCCAGTGTCTTGAGGCTGCATCTGGGAGGGCCTTCTTGCTGGTAGGGACTCTCTATAGAGTCCTAAGGTGGCTCAGAGTATCCTGAGCCTGGTACATGCTGCTAGTCCTTGCTGCTTGTACCTTCTGGAGTGCTGGGTTGAGCTGCACTTGGGGTCGCTTGAGCCACAGCTGGGGTGGCTGAGGAGTGCTGCACTGGGATGCAGAAAGCAGAGACCCAAGGGGGCCCTGGGCAGCAACCCCATGAAGGGTGCCTGGGTCCTTCTGAAACCATTCCGCCCTTCTAGAGCTCTGGGCCAGGGATGGGAGGGACAGCCTCAAAGATCTCTGAAATGGCAGGGGTCTTTTTCCTATTCTCTTGATAATTTCATCTATCAATAGTAATCTCCTTAACAAATGATCACCTACCCACAGCCTTGGTTTCCTCTCCTGAACACACTTTTTCACTCATTTTTTTTTTTTAAACATGGAATGCTTCATGAATTTGCGTGTTATCCTTGTGCAGGGACCATGCTAATCTTCTCTGTATCAGTCCAGTTTTAGTATATGTGCTGCTGAGGGAAGCGTCTTTTTCACTCTTTATGTGGCCAGGCTGCAGAGTTTTGAAGTCTTCCCATTCTGTTTTCCTTTTAATTATACATTTTGTCTTTAAGTCATTTCTTTGCTCTCATATATCACTGAATGTGGTCAAAAGTAACCATGCAATATCCTGAATGCTTTGCTGCTTAAATATTTCTTCTGCCAGATATTTTAGTTTATTGCCCTCAAGCTCTGCATTTCACAAAGACCTAGGACATGGACACAATTTAGCCAAGCTTGTTGCTACTTTGTGACAAGGATGGCCTTTACTCTAGTTTCCAGTACTTTGTTCCTCATTTCCGTCTGAGACCTTGTCGGAATGGCCTTTACTGTTCAAATTTCTACCAACATTTTGGCCACCACCACTTAAGCAAATCTTGAAGAAGATTCAGACTTTTCCCTAGCTCTCGTCTTCTGAACCCTCATCAGAATCTCCCCTAATGCTCCACTTATAGCAATTACAGGCTTTTTCTAGCTTGCTCCCTCAAACCCTTCCAGCCTCTACTCATTGCCCAGTTTCAAAGCCACTTCCACATTTTCAGCTATCTGTTATAGCAATGACCCCATTCTTGGTACCAATTTTCAGTCTTAGTCCGTCTCTTGCTATAACTGAATGCCACCTTCTGCATAATTTATAAAAAAGGGAAAATTATTTCTCACAGTTCTGGAGGCTGTGAAGTCCAGGAGCATGGTGCTGGCATCTGCTTAGCTTCAAATGAGGGTCTTCTTCCTGCTTCATAACGTGGTAGAAGGTATCACGCAGCGAGAGGGCAAGAGCGTGCATGTCAGTTCAAGTCTCTCCTCTTTTTTCAAGCCGCCAGTACTATCATGGGAGCCCCATCCCGATGACCTCATCTCATCCTTATTTCCTCCCAAAGGCCTCACCTCCACTCCACATATGAATTTGGGGATTACGTTGCCAACACATGAAAGTTGGGGGACACATTCAAACCATAGTATATGCTAATTGCTTTTTTTTTCTTGATACGGAGTCTCACTCTTGTTGCCTAGGCTGGAGTGCAATGGTGCAATCTCACCTCACTGCAACCTCTATCTCCTAGATTCCAGGGATTCTCCTGCCTTAGCATCCCAAGTAGCTGGGATTATAGGCACACACCACCACACTTGGCTAATTTTTGTGTTTTTAGTAGAGACGGGGTTTCACCATGTTGGCCAAGCTGGTCTCGAACTTCTGACCTCAAGTGATTTGCCCGCCTTGGCCTCCCAAAGTGCTGGGATTACAGGTGTGAGCCATCATGTCGGGCCTATTCTTTACTGTTTATACTTCTCTTGTGTGTAGACAAAATGAAACAGTAGAAAGGACAAGAACTTTGAAGCTAATGTAATCTGAATCCTTGAGTTTGTATCCTCATATTTTAAAAAATTGTGGTTACAAAACAAAACACATGAGATCTAACTCCTAACAAAATTTTAAGTGTACAGTGTTGTTAACTTATAAACACAATGTTATACAGCTGATTTCTAGAAGTATTTCATCCTCTGTGACTGAAACTTTATATTCTTTCAACAATTCTCCATTTTCCTCTCTCCCCAAGCTCCTGGCATTCACCATTCTGCTCTGCTTCTATGAGTTTGATTATTAATTAATTAATTATGATTATTATTGTTGAGATAGGGTCTCTCACTCTGTTGCCCAGTCTAGATGCAGTGGCTTGAGTGTAGCTCACTGTAAGTTCAAACTCCTGTGCTCAAGTGATCCTCTCAAGCAGCTGAGACTATAGGCATGTGCTGCTATACACAGCTAATTTGTAGATTTTTTTATAGAGATGAGGATCTTGCTATGTTGCCCAGGCTGGTCTTGAACTCATGGCCTCAAGTGGTCCTCCCAAGTCAGACTCCCAAAGTGTTGGGATTACAGGTGTGAGCCACAGTGCCTAGCAGAGTTTGACTACTTTATATACCTCATAAGAGTGGAATCGTGTGCTGTTTATCCTTCTGTGACTGTTTTATTTCTCTTGTGTGATGTCTTCAAGTTTCATTCATGTGGTAGCATGTATCAGGATTTCCTTTTTTTATGGCGGAATGATCCATTATGTGTATATATCACATTTTGTTTATCCATTTATCTGTTAGTGAATATTTAGGATGCTTCTACACTTTGGTTATTGTGAATAATGCTGCAATGAACATGGGAGTGAAAATAGCTCTTTGGGATCCTGACTTCAGTTCTTTTGGATAAATACCCAGAAATGAGATTGTTGGATCGTATGCCTCACTTTTTAAGTAAAGGTTTGTAATATGGAACATGTGCATTGTTCCATGTAATGCATGGCATACAGAGTGGGTTCTTTCCTGTCTAGGCACCCTCTTTTGAAACCAAGTGTCCATATAGTTTGAGTATTTTCACTGTGGTTTATCATAAGTACTTAGTATTTCTTGCTTAACTAATGCCTTATAATTATTTTTTAGAGACAGTCTTGCTCTGTCAACCAGGCTGGAGTGCAGTGGCACAATCATAGTTCACTATAATCTTGGACTCCTGGGCTCAAGCAGTCCTCCCACGTCAGTCTCCTGAGTAGCTAAGACTATAGGTGCTTGCCACCACACCCAGTTAATTTTAAAAATTTTGTGTAGAGGTGAGGTCTGTGTTGCCCAGGCTAGTTTTGAACTCCTAGTCTCAAGTGATCCTCCTGCCTCAGCTTCCCAAGTAGCTAGGTCTACACGTATGTGCCACCATGCCTGTATTTTTAACATAGCGATATGGGGTCTTGCCATCTTGTCCAGGCTGGTCTTGAACTCCTGTTCTCAAGCAGTCCTCCTGCTTTGACCTCCCAAAGTGCTGGGATTATAGGTGTGAGCCACTGTACCCAGCCTCTACTATTTTTGATCATGTCTTCAATAACACTGAGAATTATTTTGGAGAGAAGTCAACATTTCCCCACAAAAACCCTTTTATTCACTGGTCACTCACAGCAGCTGTGTCATTGAGAAGTGTTGACACTGCTTTTGGTTTTTAAGTGACTGTGTGTTATTCCTTCCCGGGGTGAAAAAAAAAATTGCAAGGTTGGAATTTTCTGGATTGTTAACAAGATCAAAAAGCAAAGATATAAAGCCAAGGGGGGAATGTCTTTCTACGGAATGGTGGTAGAAAGCAAAAAATGCTAGAATTTTGTAGAAATTACTAGGTATTACAAAAATAATCTTTGACCAGAAAATGAAGGTTGCTGTTTTTTATGTTATTCTAAAGTGTAGTACACTTTAACCAGCTAGGGTTTTTGTCTGGATCTTTAAAGTATATTGATAAAAATGCACATACACATTTATTTTTCTTTTAGAAGATGACTTGATTTCCTAGGACAGAAGTTATTTCATAGTTGTAATTTCAATAATCATGGATGTTAGCTTTGAAGTGGTTGATAAGAAGCTCTCTGATTCTCCTCTATTCAGAGAAGACACAGTTGTAGCCATTTCTCTGATTTTCCTCAGTTTTCGCCTTAGAACTAGTAAAAGAGGATTCAGTGGCTTCAGCATACTCAAAGCCAACATAGGGGTGTTGAATTCTCCAGGAAAAGAGAGATCCTGTTTTCTCAGTTTGTTGTTGGGGTTTTGTTTTTGACATTTTTTGACAGCTAAGATCAAGATCTCATGACTTGTGTTCTGGCCAGAGGACCCTCAGCTTTTTGTGATGAGTCATTTCCTAATGCATCCGGAGGCACTGGGCTTGGAACCCCCATCTCAGAGTTGGGGGCAGCAGATCCAGCCACTGCAGCTGGGAGGGAGTCCAGGTGTCAGGAGGAAGGGGCTGAGGTCTTCAGGGCTGGTGGCTCAGGGTATATGAGTAGCCTGACACAGGCACCCATGTCCCCAGACCTTCTCTGGCCATATGGAGTCAGAGTGACCTCCAGTCCCCTGGAAGATTGCCAAGAGCAAGGCAGCTCCTCAGCCCCTGAGGAGTTAGCAGCAGATTATCCAGAGAGGGTCTCAGGCTCCTTATCAGAACTGAGCTAGAGGGTGATTTAGGCCTGTGGAATGCAGGAGCAAGAAAGCCAAGTTACTGGATACAAGGTCAGGGCCTGCCTGTTAAGCAGCAAGAGCAACTTAGCCAGAGCTATTTAAATCTCTATCTTAGAAATTCCCGCTGGGTTGAGCCAGCAAGGGGAGTGTGGGGGCAAGGGTTAAGAGGCTTCAGCTGTGGGGAAGGAAGGGCCATGGACACTGAAAACAACAGGCCAGGCCTGGATGTCCTGACAGCCTAGACCTAAATAGAGAGGTTTTTAGTGTCCTGGTAGGTCATTTCAGCCTGCTTGCAAGTGAATGGGTCTTAGGGTGTAAGGTACATATTCAATCATGAGCTTGAAAACTGAGAATTACTTATGTGAATCTGGAAGTGGATGTAGTTTTAAATTCAATTTAGACAAAACAAATTCCTCAATTTTTCCCAAGTGTAAATTATAACCCTATATTACAGAACTGTCAGTTAAATTCATGAAAGTACTCTTTACCAAGCCTGAAGCAAATTGGTGCTTTTGAGTGCTATTACTTATCGAGAAATAAATATATAAATCAGAAAGCTGAGCTTTGGAAAAAAGAAATAAATATGAAGTCACCCAATAATCCATTCTGAGTAGATGAATGATTAAAGATATGTGAGGTGAGGTTGCTTTAGAGCAAGGGAAAACTCACCCTAGCCTCTGTGGTTCACATGGGCATGCATAACAGTACAGAATTTATTCCTTGGCTCTGTATGTCATACAGATTAGATTCCAAAGTCAACTGAAGCTTGCCTTATTGATCACAGAATCCTAACATTTAAACCAATTTTATCATCTTTAAGAAAGTTGAAAACTTAATACCTTTAGAGACTACAGAAACGCTTAGGCTGTTTAAAAACACTCTCATTCAAATACCTTCTTCCCTAAGGTCATATGGCCCTGGGGTATCTGGGGCAGATTGAACTGGCAAAGATTCAGAAGGCTTCATTGGTGACTTAGGAGGAGATAGGGGGCGTGTCATTAATACAAAGGCATAGTCCATCTGCTCAAAGAAGTTTATAATCTGGTGAGGAGCTTTACTCACAGATACCGTAAGAAAAGATGGATGAGAATAATGAATGGGAGAGTACTCAGATGGAATATTCCAGATCAGAATGGCAGTGCTTTTGAGAAAGCCTGTCCTGGTTTCCGTTGGTGTTAGAGACCACACAGAGACAGCACATTGCAGTTGGATACAGTCCCCATTCCTATTTTTGAGGACATTTGGATCTTGTGGACTGAGGTTAGCCATGTGGATATCTCTCCTGGATATAGTGGCAGAGACACACTGTGAGCAAAGTAACCTTTTCTTGGTGCCCAGGGTCACCTTTCAGAGCCAAGAATTGTGCTGCTTTAAAATGCTTTTTTTTTGGCGTCCTTGCATGCATTTGGGGATTGAAAGGCTGTTAAAATATAACAGCCTGTAATCTACTGTTTCGAATTTTACAGATTCTCTCCTGTCAGTCGCAGCTTCTCAGGGCTGTCATTGTGCCCAGATCTAACACTGTCCCTCCATTCTCTTAACTTACAACAGTCTGGGAAACCACATATTCTCTCCTGTTAGAATTGAATCTGAAAGACAGTGGGAGGGCTCTGAGGGAGAGCCTGTGAAGAGGTGTTGGGGGTTGGTGTGGGGGTTAGGAGTTCCCTTCTGCATTGTGCATGAACTGAGCCCCAGATTTTGGCAGCTTTGAAGACTTATTTGCATCTTGGTTCTTGGTGTTTTCTGGATAAGTTGAGGTTGCAGCATATGACTTCTGTCTTTGATAGGCCTCCCCCTTTTTTCCTCCTACTCTTGCCTGAATCAATTTTGTTATGGAAAGAGTGAAAGTTTTCTCAGGGAAAATGAGAAGAAGCTCAACGGAGGAAGACCCAGGGCTGAGCAAGCCTTGGCCGGTCCGTCAGCCACTGTTTGTACAGCCTAAATATACTGAGCCCTGCAAAAGGTTCAGTGGGATGTCATGGAGCCTGCCATCAAGAAGCCTAGTCTGTGGTTGGGAGAGAGAACAAACAGACCTGAAACTCCCGATTAAAAGCAGTGGTTTTGCATCTTGTGTGAGTTCAGAGAAGAGTGATTTAAGTCAGGGGCTTGGTGTCGGGAGGGTGGGATCCAAGTGGGATTCAAGTAAGTGGCCATGGATGAATTTGTGAATCACCAGTTAGGAAGTGGCAGAGGTTAGGGACAGATGTAGCAGCACAACTGAGGAACTCATTTCAAAGGAAGAATCGTAAATGTATGACCGGTTCACAGACTGTTGAGTTGTGTGGCTGATGAAAATGCAGTCTCTTGGGCTCCAGGTGTGATTGCCCATGGGCTGCGGGAGAGGGGAAGTGCCCAGGAGCAGCCCAGGTTGCTCTAGTACAGATGGGATACACTTTGGGAAACATTGGTAAAGGATGGGTAAGGCAAAGCAGATGAATTTCCTTCCCATGAGAGACAGAAATTGGGGAAGCCATCCAGACTCAACAGCCTGGTGGTTGTCCCTCTATTACAGAAGAGCAGGTAGCAAGCAGGTATTCCTAAGAATGACGGGACATGGGAGTGACAATAGGGTTAGCACCTCAGATGGAGCCGGTGTTCCCGCAGGCTTCACCCCAGGTTCTTTCTTATCCAGCCTCTGTCACATCTGAAAACATCATGATGCTCATGAAATCAAGGTCACATTCAACCTGCATGTGCGCCAGCTGGTTTTATACCAAGGAAAGCTCTGTTCTTCAGGCACTGTGGCTCTTAGTAGTTATCCTTGAATGCGTTGTGCTTTGTCAAACTTGGTGAGCAAGAAAATATGGATCCTCAGTAAAAAACAAAAACAAAAACAAAAACCCTATCAGGACTATTAGAAGAACAGGTGAAATCATAGTGGCAAATACAGTGGTGCAGTAAATTCCTCACATCTGAAAACCATCATATCACTTCTCATATAGTTAACACTTAATGGAAATATTCTTTACAGATGAGCTTTGAATTGCTGCCTCTTGGCCCTGCCTCTACCTGCCAAAGCAGCCGGACTCAATGCAGATGCCATGCAGGGCTCACTTAGTGAATGGCCTAATCTGTCCCTCCTCCTGCCTTCTCCCTTGGGCCACACCTTGCACCCACTCCAGCGATCATCACCTACAAATCGTTATTCACTCCAACTTTCTTCAGCTCTCTTCCCTGGTCCATTTGCTTTTCCCTCTCTCCCCTGTTTTTGAGGCATAAATATTTCCCACCTGACCCCATCAGGAGGACAAAAGAAACAGCTGGGAGTTGGTCAGGTGTAGTGACTCTCAATCCTGGCTACACATTAAAATCAACTGGTCGGGTTTGAAAAGCGCCAGTGGGCCCTATTCCCAGAGATCCCGTTTCACTTTTTCTAGGCCTCAGAATTTTTAAAGCTACCTAGGAGATTCTCATGGGCCATGGGATGGAAAACCACCTCAGGGCGGTTGATAGTGTAACAGTACTAGCAGGACACCTGTCTCATGGAAATGGAAGCTGAAAGATTTGGGATGGAAATTGGTATGTTTTAATGCCTTTTGCTACTCAAGCCCCAAATGTAGGACAGATCCCCATGAAGTTCTCCTCCTCCCATCTTCCTCTGTTATGTAAGCTTGCTTTCTATTAAATAGCAGCATTCAACATGAAAGAAGAGCTTTCTTTTATTTGCTTTAGGATTTCTGTGGTATTGTTTCCACTGTGCTGTGGTTGAGTGTGACTTGAACGTCCTCACGAACTCACCGACGCTGGCTTTGCCTGAGTGGTCTTTGTCACGTTGTTTAGCCTCTCTGGGCCTCACATTGTAGTCAAAGCAGTGTTCAATGCTGCAGAACCCTTTACAGCTGGAGGATTTGGACCGTCACATGGAATCGATGGAGACATGCTTTGGTCCATGAACACATACAGTAGCCTTTGTCTTGTGGTCTGAGGAGGCCCAGTGCTAGGCTTTAGAAGGGTACTTGGGAGAAAAAAAATTTTTTTGATGAATACTTCTATTGGATAAACAAATTTGAAGTGTGTCTGTTCATCCTTGCAAGAAAGTGATGACCACGAGGTAAACTGTAATAATTCTCTATGAAGTTTTTTTTTGAAGGAGTCAGTGGGAAATTAGATCTGAAAAGAAAAAGCTATTGATGGGCATTTGAAATTCTCATTCAGCTAGTCTCTAACCTCCTGTGTTTTAGGTTTCAGAAAAATTCCCACAATAAGTATATTTTGTCATCTTTTACATGAGAATATTTTGTGGTGTAATGCTCATTTTTTCAAAACTATCATGGGCCCAAATGCTGGGTTGTGCATTGAAAAAGGCCTTTGAACACAGGAATGCCAAAACAGTAAAAGTTCATAATTTTTTTGCTAATCTAAAATTTATTCTGAAGAACAACAACAAAAATCTCAAGGCATAGTTTCTTTTCTGCGTCTGATAGGTGATCTCGCTGTAGTTATAAGTAACCTCTCAAACACCACTCAGTTTCTCTGGTCTCATTGACCTTCCTTTTTCCTTTCTGTAATTACTAAAGAAGGCCCTTAAAACCCATGTAGGACCAAATACAGAATCTAAACTCTGTGATCTCATCACCACAAAAACAGGCTGGAGGGACAGTCTTCCTCCTCTCAGGAAGCTGCCTTCCTTGAGATCTCTGCGACTCTGTAATTTATAGTGGTGCCTTTGTAGCTTTAAACTCAGAAAGGACTTTTCCCCTGCTGCCCTTACAGAAGTTTTATAAATGGGTTGCTGTAGGTGGGGAAGAGGCCAAAGAGAAAGTGCATGTCTATGTGTACATGACCTGTTAGATTTAATTTTAAGGGTGCACACGCATCTGTGGGTCCTCCGGACAGAGGGTCTGAGAGCGGGCATGCTGTGAGAGTGGGCGTGCTGTGGGCTGTGATGGGTATTCTTTTATACTTGTCTGTCGGTTGTGGTTAGGACAGATGAGGAGTCTCCCTTTTCTGCTGAGGTGTGCTTTATGAAAGGAGACTTGGCTGAAGGACATGCAGCAGCTGGGAGACGATTCCCTTCCTGGCTGCCAGGGCCCTCTCCCTTTTATGAGCCTGTCCTGGGAAACCTCAGGTATTTGAGCTACGACTGTTCACCAGGTGGTGCTGTCCTGCAGTGAATGCTTAGATACTATGCCAGTGAGGTCATCAACCTTATGTAGGAAAAACCTAGGGTGCTTAGAAGCTCTTGCAGCATTTGCAAGCTGTCGCTGAACGTGAGTTGAGGCTTTTTGTAAAAAATTATTATTATTATACTTTAAGTTCTAGGGTACGTGTGCACAATGTGCAGGTTTCTTACATATGTATACATGTGCCATGTTGGTTTGCTGCACCCATTAAGTCATCATTTACATTAGGTATCTCTCCTAATGCCATCCCTCCCCCATCCTCCCACCCCATGACAGGCCCTCGTGTGTGATGTTTCCCGCCCTGTGTCCAAATGTTTTCATTGTTCAATTCCCGCCTATGAGTGAGAACATGCAGTGTTTGGTTTTCTGTCCTTGTGATAGTTTGCTGAGAATGATAGTTTCCAGCTTCATCCATGTTCCTACAAAGGACATGAACTCATCCTTTTTTATGGCTGCATAGTATTCCATGGTGTATATGTGGCACATTTTCTTAATCCAGTCTATCATTGATGGACATTTGGGTTGGTTCCAAGTCTTTACTATTGTGAATAGTTCCACAATAAACATACATGTGCATGTGTCTTTATAGTATAATGATTTATAGTCCTTTGAGTATATACCCAGTAATGGGATGGCTGGGTCAAATGGTATTTCTAGTTCTAGATCCTTGAGGAATCACCACACTGTCTTCCACAATGGTTGAACTAGTTTACAATCCCACCAACAGTGTAAAAGTGTTCCTGTTTCTCCACATCCTCTCCAGCACCTGTTGTTTCCTGACTTTTTAATGATCGCCGTTCTAACTGGTGTGAGATGGTATCTCATTGTGGTTTTGATTTGCATTTCTCTGATGACCAGTGGATGATGAGCATTTTTTCATGTGTCTGTTGGCTGCATAAATGTCTTCTTTTGAGAAGTGTCTGTTCATTTCCTTTGCCCACTTTTTGATGGGGTTGTTTGATTTTTTCTTGAAAATTTGCTTAAGTTCTTTGTAGATTCTGGGTATTAGCTCTTTGTCAGATGGGTAGATTGCAAAAATTTTCTCCCATTCTGTAGGTTGCCAGTTCACTCTGATGGTAGTTTCTTTTGCTGTGCAGAAGCTCTTTAGTTTAATTAGATCCCATTTGTCAATTTTGGCTTTTGTTGCCAAAATTGTTTTAGTCATGAAGTCTTTGCCCGTGCCTATGTCCGGAATGGTATTGCCTAGGTTTTCTTCTAGGGCTTTCATGGTTTTAGGTCTAACATTTAAGTCTTTAATCCATCTTGAATTAATTTTTGTATAGGTATAAGGAAGGGATCCAGTTTCAGCTTTCTACATATGGCTAGCCAGTTTTCCCAGCACGATTTATCAAATAGGGAATCCTTTCCGTGTTCCTTGTTTTTGTCAGGTTTGTCAAAGATCAGATGGTTGTAGATGTGTGATGTCATTTCTGAGGCCTCTGTTCTGTTCCATTGGTCTATCTCTCTGTTTTGGTACCAGTACCATGCTGTTTTGGTTACTGTAGCCTTGTAGTATAGTTTGAAGTCGGGTAGCATGATTCCTCCAGCTTTGTTCTTTTTGCTTAGGATTGCCTTGGCAATGGAGGCTCTTTTTTAGTTCCATATGGACTTTAAGGGAGTTTTTTCCAATTCTGTGAAGAAAGTCATTGGTAGCTTGATGGAGATGGCATTGAATCTATAAATTACCTTGGGCAGTATGGCCATTTTCACAATATTGATTCTTCCTATCCATGAGCATGGAATGTTCTTCCATTTGTTTGTGTCCTCTTTTATTTCGTTGAACAGTGGTTTGTAGTTCTCCTTGAAGAAGTCCTTCACATCCCTTGTAAGTTGTATTCCTAGGTATTTTATTCTCTTTGTAGCAATTGTGAATGGGAGTTCACTCATGATTTGGCTCTCTGTGTCTGTTATTGGCGTATAGGAATGCTTGTGATTTTTGCCCATTGATTTTGTATCCTGAAACTTTGCTGAAGTTGCTTATCAGCTTAAGGAGATTTTGGGCTGAGACGATGGGGTTTTCTAAATATACACTCATGTCATCTGCAAACAGGGACAATCTGACTTCCTCTTTTCCTAATCAAATACCCTTTATTTCTTTATCTTGTCTGATTGCCCTGGCCAGAACTTCCAACACTCTTGAATAGGAGTGGTGAGAGAGGGCATCCCTGTCTTGTGGGAGTTTTCAAAGGGAATGCTTCCAGTTTTTGCCCATTCAGTATGATATTGGCTGTGAGTTTGTCATAAATAGCTCTTATTATTTTGAGATACATCCCATCAATACCTAATTTATTGAGAGTTTTTAGCATGAAGGGCTGTTGAATTTTGTTGAAGACCTTTCTGCATCTATTGAGATAATCATGTGGTTTTTGTCTTTGGTTCTGTTTATGTGATGGATTACATTTATTGATTTGTGTATGTTGAACCAGCCTTGCATCCCAGGGATGAAGCCCACTTGATCTTGGTGGATAAGCTTTTTGATGTGCTGCTGGATTCAGTTTGCCAGTATTTCATTGAGGATTTTTGCATCGATGTTCATCAGGGATATTGGTCTAAAATTCTCTTTTTGTTGTGTCTCTGCCCAGCTTTGGTATCAGGATGATGCTGGCCTCATAAAATGAGTTAGGGAAGATTCCCTCTTTTTCTATTGATTGGAATTAGTTTCAGAAGGAATGGTACCAGCTCCTCTTTGTACCTCTGGTAGAATTTGACTGTGAATCCGTCTGGTCCTGGACTTTTTTTGATTGGTAGGCTATTAATTATTGCCTCAATTTCATAGTCTGTTATTGGTCTATTCAGGGACTCAACTTCTTCCTGGTTTAGTCTTGGGAGAGTGTGTGCGTCCAGGAACTTACCCATTTCTTCTAGATTTTCTAGTTTATTTGCATAGAGGTGTTTATAGTATTCTCTGATTGTAGTTTGTATTTCTGTGTGATCATTGGTGATATCCCCTTTATCATTTTTTATTGCATCTGTTTGATTCTTCTCTTCTTTATTAGTCTTGCTAGCGGTCTATCAATTTCATTGATCTTTTCAAAAAACAGCTCCTGGATTCATTATTATTATTTTATTTTTGAAGGGTTTTTTATGTCTCTATCTCCTTCAGTTCTGCTCTGATCTTAGTTATTTCTTGCCTTCTGCTAGCTTTTGAATGTGTTTGCTCTTGCTACTCTAGTTCTTTTAATTGTGATGTTAGGGTGTCAATTTTAGATCTTTCCTGCTTTCTCCTGTGGGCATTTAGTGCTATAAATTTCCCTCTACACACTGCTCTAAATGTGTCCCAGAGACTCTGGTACGTTGTGTCTTTGTTCTCATTGGTTTCAAAAAACGTCTTTATTTCTGCCTTCATTCGTTATTTACCCGGTACTCATTCAGGAGCAGGTTGTTCAGTTTCCATGTAGTTGTGCAGTTTTGAGTGAGTTTCTTAGTCCTGAGTTCTAATTTGATTGCACTATGGTCTGAGAGACGGTTTGTTGTGATTTCTGTTCTTTTACATTTGCTGAGGAGTGCTTTATTTCCGGCTATGTGGTCAATTTTGGAATAAGTGTGATGTGGTGCTGAGAAGAATGTATATTCTGTTGATTTGGGGTGGAGAGTTCTGTAGATGTCTATTAGGTCCACTTGGTGCAGAGCTGAGTTCAAGTCCTGGCTATCCTTGTTAACCTTCTGTCTCATTGTTCTGTCTAATATTGACAGTGGGGTGTTAAAGTCTCCCATTATTATTGTGTGGGAGTCTAAGTCTCTTTGTAGGTCTCTAAGGACTTGCTTTATGAATCTGGGTGCTCCTGCATTGGGTGCATATATATTTAGGATAGTTAGCTCTTCTTGTTGTATTGATCCCTTTACCATTATGTAATGGCCTTCGTTGTCTCTTTTGATCTCTGTTGGTTTAAAGTCTGTTTTATCAGAGACTAGGATTGCAACCCCTGCTTTTTTTTGCTTTCCATTTGCTTGGTAGATCTTCCTCCATCCCTTTATTTTTGAGCCTGGGGGTTGCTCTTCTCAAGGAGTATCTTTGTGGTGTTCTCTGTATTTCCTGAATTTGAATGTTGGCGTGCCTTGCTAGGTTGGGGAAGTTCTCCTGGATAATATCCTGAAGAGTGTTTTTCAGCTTGGTTACATTGTCCCCATCACTTTCAGGTATACCAATCAAATGTAGATTTGGTCTTTTCACATAGTCCCATATTTCTTGGAGGCTTTGTTCGTTTCTTTTTACTCTTCTTTCTCTAAACTTCTCTTCTCGCTTCATTTCATTCATTTGATCTTCAATCACTGATTCCCTTTCTTCCACTTGATCAAATTGGCTACTGAAGCTTGTGCATGCATCATGTAGTTCTCGTGCCATGATTTTCAGCTCCATCAGGTCATTTAAGGTCTTCTCTATACTGGTTATTCTAGTTAGCCATTCGTCTAATCTTTTTTGAAGGTTTTTAGCTTCCTTGCAATGGGTTTGAACATCCTCCTTTAGCTTGGAGAAGTTTGTTATTACTGACTTTCTGAAGCCTACTTCTGTCAACTAGTCAAAGTCATTCTCCGTCCAGCTTTTTTCCATTTCTGGTAAGGAGCTGCATTCCTTTGGAGGAGAAGAGGCATTCTGGTTTTTAGAATTTTCAGCTTTTCTGCTCTGGTTTCTTACCATCTTTGTGGTTTATCTACCTTCAGTCTTTGATGATGGTGACCTACAGATGGGGTTTTGGTGTGGATGTCCTTTTTGTTGATGTTGATGCTATTCCTTTCTGTTTTTTAGTTTTCCTTCTAAGAGTCAGGTCCCTCAGCTGCAGGTCTGTTGGAGTTTGCTGGAGGTTCACTACAGACCCTGTTTGCCTGGGTATCACCAGCAGAGGCTGCAGAACAGCAAATATTGCAGAACAGCAAATATTGCTGCCTGATCCTTCTTCTGGAAGCTTCATCTCGGAGGAGCACCCAGCTGTATGAGGTGTCAGTTGGCCCCTACTGGGAGGTGTCTGCCAGTAAGGCTACATGGGGGTCAGGGACCCACTTGAGGAGGCAATCTGTCCATTCTCAGAGCTCAAACACTGTACTGGGAGAACCACTGCTCTCTTCAGAGCTGTCAGACAGGGACGTTTAAGTCTGCAGAAGTTTCTGCTGCCTTTTTTTCAGCTGTGCCCTTCCCCCAGAGGAGGAGTCTACAGAGGCAGGCAGGCCTCCTTGAGCTGCGGTGGACTCCACACAGTTCGAGCTTCCCGGCTGCTTTGTTTACCTACTCAAGCCTCAGCAATGGTGGATGCCCCTCCCCCAGCTAGGCTGCCACCTTGCAGCTCGATCTCGGACTGCTGTGCTAGCAGTGAGCAAGGCTCTGTGGGAGCGGGACCCGCTGAGCCAGGTGCAGGATATAATCTCCTGGTGTGCCGTTTGCTAAGACAGTTGGAAAAGTGCAGTGTTAGGGTGGTAGTGTCCCGATTTTCCAGGTACAGTCTGCCACGGCTTCCCTTGGCTAGGAAAGGGAATTCCCCTACCCCTTGTACTTCCTGGGTGAGGTGATGACCTGCCCTGCTTTGGCTTGCCCTCTGTGGGCTGCATCCACTGTCCACCCAGTCCCAGCTGAGATGAACCAGGCACCTCAGTTGGAAATGCAGAAATCACCTGTCTTCTGTGTCAGTCACGCTGCGGGCTGAAGACTGGAGCTGTTCCTATTCAGCCATCTTGGAACCCTACCCCATGTTCGAGTTGAGACTTTTTTTGAGGAAACATTAGGCATTTGACATGGGGGTGACCACCTGGTTCATGTAGGGTTCTCCTCTGTGCTTGGCTCAAATGAGATCTCAGCTGACCCTGAAGTCAGGGAAAGGCTGAACCCATCCCCTGTATTACTCCCTGGTTTCCTTCCAGAGAAACCTCCTATTCTCCGTTCTCATCTTTGAAGTCCTGGTGGGGAAGGCAGCAGGTCTTCTGGAGCTCCTCATTAAACAGACTTAGGAGGAGGAGAGGCCTCCACCCAGCCTCGGCACGCACAAACCTGTTAGCACCCTGGTGCCCTGCCAAGGTGGTTTTTTTGGCCCAAACGTGACTGCACATGATCCCGTTCTTTCTGGCAGTGAAGCCCGGCAGGATTGACTTGGGCAGGAGCCTAGTTGGTGGTGTGTTTGAACATGGAGAGCACCCTTGAAAACGAATGTTCTCCAGGACGTGTAGCAGTGAAAAGGACACTTCCCAGGGAGATAGGCTCTGGGTCAGTCACAGGAGCTCCTTGTTGGAATCTTTCAATGAGCAAGCGTGCATGGAGCATCTGCTTCTGCTTGTGATGAGAGTGAGAGCGGGAGGGTGGTGGATGACACCAGGGAAGACCAGCCCTGGAGAGACTGGTAGGAGGGGAGCTCAGGCAGAACGAAGCCAGTGCTGCAACTCAGAGGCCAACCAGGTGTTCTGAGCACAGAGAAAGGGCTGGCAAGATTCCGTGGGGGGTGGTGTGGGCATGCAGGTGATATTTGAGCTGTACCTGGAGGATGACTAATTTCCAGAGAGAGAGGGGGTTTCAGGTTGAGGGAAGAGAAAGAGCAAAGGTGTGAAGTTGAGTGGTGTGTTTGGGAATGGTGAATTTCGTAGAAACCTGGGACTCCTGAGGGGTGAGGCAGGAGATAGGGGAAGGAGGTGCTTAGGAGGACTTCAGCATGCTAAGGGTTTGAGAGAGGTTCTTGGCATGTTATCTTAAACCTTTAAAACATTTCGTTGTGGACTGGGCTGTAAACCTATTAGCATCACATAAACAGAAAACCTGAGATAGTGGTGGTAAACCGGATGCATCTAGTACCTTGCTTAAGAGCAGGTGCTTCTCAGTTGATGTCCTGACTCAGCTTGGATAGTGAGCATCTGAGGAAGGAATGGATTCTCTTGGTTTTGCCAATCCCCGGTCACTCTGCTTTTACTGGGCTTGACAGTATGTCCATGTGATGTCTTTTTCTCCATTACTGCTGCTTTGGGATTTTTGGGGAGGTCAGAGCTGGTGTTGATAAACTCTGTGCCTCTCGTCTCATAGGGAAGAGTGCTGACGGGTTTTCTTTTTTCCAGTTCTTTTGCCAGCTTTCTATGGTCATCTTCTTGGGAGGAACTTACGGGCATCCCTGAGTGAGGGAGACAACCACTCTCTGTTGCAAGCAAGTGGCATGTGGGGTGAGGAGAGTTGAGACCAGGGACGTGCTCATAGGGAATCCATGCTTTGACAGGCCAGGTATTCAAGGTATGCTATTCTTGGTAAATTTTGAGGGCTCTGAAAGTAAATCAGATTTCTTCAAAGAAACTTAAAGTAAATCATTATCTTACTGTGTTAAAGCACTCTTACTAATAACATGCGTGCTTTAGTGCACTCTTTTGAAGCTTTCCTAATTTTATTGACTTGTGCCCATTTTAGAATTTTGGATCCCTTTTTTATGGTGTCTAGCACAGTACTTTTCCATTGAAAACATTTAATATATGTTGATTGAATGGCTTAGTATCTTTGTTTACAGTTTAAGTACAGTTGTCAGAAGTATAACTGATAAAATTTTCACATTTTTAATAAGGTCAGACTGGCTGTCTCATCCGTATCATTTTCATTCTTCTACTCCTTATTCCCCGTGAAAAACTTCTTAAAGTTTAATGACAAGGCTCCTTATCGCTCCTGGAAGACAAATAAGGAAACATTTACAGGTTGCCTTACCTCAAATGCTCTTCATAGATTGGCTTTTTGGGGTCATGTCAGTTAAAGCTGACATAGGTTCTGCCTCTTGCCCGTTCTACAGACTGTCCTGTTAACTTACTCTGAGTTGTCATCCCTCTTCTTCCCCTGGGTTTCAAGGAGGATTTTCTAGTTGTGTGGCTTTAGGAACTTGGGGAAACTTGCTAACCGTGTGCTGAGATCTCCCTGTATTGTAGTCTTATATGTAAGTTATGAAACAGAAATACCTATTTTAATGCCAGGAACAATGGCTCTCGCCTGTAATCCCAGCACTTTGGGAGGTTGAGGTGGGAGGATCACTTGAGACCAGCCTGGGCAACGCAGCGAGACCTCATCTCTACCAAACCAAACAGAACAAAACAAAAATGGCTGGGTTATGGTGGCATGCACCTGTAGTCCCAAGCTACTCGGGAGGCTGAGGTGGGAGGATCGCTTGAGCCCAGGAGATTGAGGCTGCAGTGAGCTCTGATGGCGCCACTGTACTCCAGCCTGGGTGACAGCATGAAACCCTGTCTTAAAACTATTTCAAGAGGTTTGGCGAGGCTGGAGGCTCCTAATGTATATGATCTATGTTCTAGTCATCTTTTTATTTGCATTCTGTCTCCAATGCCTAGCATCTAGTAGGACTCAGATACTCCCTCTTTTAAGAAAGAGACCTGGCTGAGAATGGTGCCTCCAATCCCATCTTAAGTGAGCACAGCTTGGAAGACTGGCTATTTATGCCTAGCTGTGCACAGTGGAGGCAGCAAGCAGGAGTCCCCAAGACATCCAGGACCAAATGGCTGACTGGGGGCATTGGAGACACCGGCTCGCTTCTCCATGGGTGTTGGAAATACTGCCCCAAGGGGATGGGGGTCAAG
Organism: Homo sapiens; assembly: GCF_000001405.40. Taxonomy (NCBI): domain Eukaryota; kingdom Metazoa; phylum Chordata; class Mammalia; order Primates; family Hominidae; genus Homo; species Homo sapiens. The sequence continues at coordinate 159,044,782 of NC_000002.12, forward strand.
ATAAAAGGAGCTTCCAAATTGCTGTGAGTTCTTGAAATGTCTATGAGATGTGCCCATGTACTCTGCCATCTGTTTTGTGTGACTTGCCAGCAGGATTTCATTTTCTGCATTCAGTTCTCCTGCCACACCCTGCTATCCATGAGGAATGCAGTGGCCTTGTTGCTCCCCAGAACTTTGCGGGATCCTGCCAAAAGGCGGAGCTTCTCCACAGGGGCAGGGCAGCAGAGTACATATCACAATTCCTGTGAAGCTTTAAAAATTAGGATACTGGGACTCACTTGAGGAGTGCTGAACTAGAATTAGGGGGAGGAGGAGTCCCTGCTGTGTTGTTGTTGTTGTTTTAAAGTTCCACAAGAGGTGATAGTGTATATCATGAAGTAAGATAGCCACATATGGGCCGGGCGCAGTGGCTCACTCCTGTAATCCTAGCACTTTGAGAGGCTGAGGTGAGCAGATTGCCTGAGCTCAGGAGTGCCTGTCTGTACTAAAAATACAAAAAAATTACCCGGGCATGGTGGCACATGCCTGTAGTCCCAGCTACTCGGGAGGCTGAGGCATGAGAATTGCTTGAACTCGGGAGGCGGAGGTTGCAGTGAGCCGAGATTGCACCACTGCACAACAGCCTGGGTGACAGAGCAAGACTGTCTCATAAATAAATAAAATTAAGATAGCCAGATATGATAAAGAGTTTAAAGGATACATAAAATTAGTTACCAGAAGATCCGAAGAAATTGTCTGCTTAAATTCAGTGATGCATACAAAGAGTGAGTAGTATTTTTGGAGGAATATATTTCAGAAGCCTCAGATCTTCAAATTTTTTTGCTTTATATTAATGACAATTCTATAATAGTCATTAATATTTGAGATATGTAACTTTTGAAAAATATTTGTATGGGGAGTAAACTTATAAACCTCTTTCTTAGCCTGAGCCGACGTTTAGGGGAACTTTTTTGAATTCCACTGACCTGTTTAACCAGTTGACACTGCCAACCCAAACATTCCCTTGTGCCATAATTCATATCGTAAAACTATTTTATAATTTTCACTTAAAATTGCATGCGATAGCATTTTCTATGATGCTAACATGACAAAGAACAAGAAAAATGACATGGAAGAGGAATTTACTAAATTCAACCAGAGTTTAGGCTTACTGAGAAATCCAGGTGGAAATCTGCTTAAATGGCATTTTACAATAGATTTGCGTATTGAAACCAAGCCTTTCTTCCTGTGGTAACACGTTTCTCAAAGTAACATTGAAATAGCAATTTAAGTGTATTGCCCATAGAGATTTATCAGAAAGGAAATTTATTTAGAAAGTTGTGGGTTTTTTTTTTCCCCCTTCAGTTTTCGTTTGGCAGAGAATTCACTAATTTTTCTCCTTCCCTGGGACCAACTTTAGAAAATAGATAGGAACTTAATAGCAAAAATCATGTTAAATGGTTTTGTGGTTTTAGACTGCGTCTCTCTTTTGCAAATTCCTTTTCTGTGAAAGAAAACCTTGCAACACATTGCTATTTGACATTTTATTAATTTGGTGGGTTTGAGGGAGAAGGGTGAGTTTCAGTTTTGAAGTTAAAGAATTTTACAATTTAGGAGGGACTGACCCTACAGATGGCCTGTCTCCTGGTTTCCTTCGCCTCAATAGAAACTGCCCTTGTCGACGTCCCAAATGGCCTCTGATCATTGAAGCCTGTTGTCACTTGTTAGTCCTTGACATGACTTTTCCTGTAGTATTTGATTCTGCTGATCATTCCTCATCAAAGCTGTCTCTTCTGGGTTCCTATGCACCATTCTTTTCTTTTCTTTACTTTTTTTTTTTTTTTTTTTTTTTTTTTTGAGGCAGGGTCTAGCTTTGTCACCCAGGCTAGAGTGCAGCGGCACAATCTCGGCTCATTGCAACCTCTGCCTCCTTGGGCTCAAGCGATCCTCCCACCTCAGACCCTCAAATAGCTAGGAGTACAGGCGCGAGGCACCAGGCCTGGCTAATTTTTTTTGTATTTTTTGTGGAGACGGGTTTTCACCATGTTACCCAGGCTGGTCTCAAACTTCTGAGTTCTAGCGATCCACTTGCCTCGGCCTCCCCAAAATGCTGGGATTACAGGCATGAACCATGGTGCCCCGCCCCTTTGCACCATACTCGACTGCTTTGTTTTTGCTTCTTTAATTTCCTCTTAGGTCCTGCTGTATCTGCCCTTATGTTCCTGGTTCATCCTTGGTGGTTTTCTTTTAGTCTGCTCAGCCTTTTTGGGGGAGACCTCAATAATTCTGTGGCTTCAGCCACCATCCACACTTCATGGACCCCCCAGGTCTCTCTGAATTCATCCTCCTCTTAGACAATCTTTTGGACATTTCTGCTTGGATGACTCATAGGTACTTTTAAATCAGGATATCCAAACTGAACTCATTTCCCCCCCCCAGTTATTGCCTGCTTCCTGCTCCCCACTCCAAACCACTCACCCCACGCTTGTCTGCTTTTCCCATTTTGGTCATTGGCACTACTTTCTACCCTGTCACTCAAGCCAGAAATTTGTGATTCATCCTTCAGCCCTCCCTCAGCCCCATTTTAAAATTGCTGATTACATTTTATCTTAATTTCCTAAATAAAGAAGGAAAACGCAAACTTAAGTCATTCCACCGTGAAAGAAAAATATCTTGGGCCCCCAAATCGCTAAAGCTAAAAGAAAATTCAAGCTGGGAACTACTTAGGGCAAAGCTGCCTCTGATTCTATTCAAAGCCATCCCTCTGCTCACTGAGATAAATGCATATCTCATTGCCTCCTTTGGAAAGGCTAATCAGAAACTCAAAAGAATGCAACAGTTGGTCTCCCACCTGTGACCTGGAAGCCCCCTCCCCATTTCCAGTTGTCCTGCCTTTCCAGACAGAACCAATGTTCATTTTACATATATTGATTGATGTCTCATGTTTCCCTAAAATGTATAAAACCAAGCTGTGCTCTGACCACTTTGGGCACATGTCATCAGGACCTCCTGAGGCTGTCTGAAGGGCATGCATCCTCAACCTTGGCAGAATAAACTTTCTAAATTGAGACCTGTCTCAAATTTTGGGACTTCACACCACTAACATTTAATTATAAATGTTTAAAACTCATCACTGGGCCTATATAAACAAGTGTAATAATACAACACATTAGTGACCATTTCTATAATATATGTTTCATGCTAGGTATAGTCCTACAAACTTGTCATGTTTTATTTCTGATTTTTTTTCACAGCTATTCTGAGGGATGTCATGCTCTGTTACAAGTGAGGAATCTAGGGTCAGAGAGCTTGTGTCCAGGCCCAGGGGCACAGGGCAAGGAAAGCACAGTATAGTTGGGGTTTAGACCACATGGGCTGGTGTTGGTTGACCTGACCCCAACACCTTTGCCTTTGGTATCATGCCACCTTGTTTTGAGTTGTTTCTATAATGCCACAGCACTGTTGTAGATATCTGGCAAGTAGATTGGCTTTGGGGGGCAGTAACTGGTCTTGTTCGTATTTGAATCTGTTAACGTATATTTTTTCTTACAATTAGTGGTAAAGACATGACTCTTGATGGTCCATGTTGTCTGTGGCTTCGTCTGGATACCAGCCCTGGCTCTTCCGTGAACTGTCTATTAGCTGGGTGGCCTGAGACAAGGACAGTAGGATCATGCTGCTCGCCCTCAGAGGGTTTTTATGAGGAGGAAATGGAATGCCGTACAGGAAAGTGCTTTCAAATTCAGGGCATTTTTGAAAAGTTGTGTTCAATTGTGGGAATTGATCATTTGCTGGCTTACATGAGCCCTCTTTTTTTATAAACGACAATGTGAACATAGAAATTTTCCTGGATTTCTGATGTTAATGCTGATCATTCTTGCACAGGCAGAAAAGGCAAGAAACGACCTTGTTTATAGCACATATAGACCTAAATTTTGTTAGTCCTTAGTAAAACTAGTTTAGAACAGGTAAGGATATGATCTACAAAAATCATACAGAACCTTTTTGGGTATAGGCGGGTGAACAAAAGCAGAGTCTACTGAAGTTTTTTGTAGAGATGGGCTCTTGCTATGTTGCCCAGGCTGGTCTTGAACTCTTGGCCTCAAGCCATTCTCCCACCTTGGCCTCCCAAAGTGCTGGGATTACAGGCATGAGCCACCACAATTGGCCCTCTTTATTCTGTTAAATTGCTCTTGGGAGCATGGATGGACTTTTGTGCTGTACCACAATGAACTGTAAATTGAGACCTGGCTGTTTTATATTTTGTTTCCTCATAGGTCCCTCCTTTTGCCCTGTTCTGAAAAGGAAATGCTCCTTTTTCTTCATAGGTCTCCCTCTTCCATCATATTTGGTTTTTAGAGTGTGTCTAAGGAGAGGGCCCTTTTAATACATAGATAAACTCAATCTATTATTGTGGAATTTAGAAATTGTTTAATTTTCAAAGTCTTGGTTTCTTATAAAATTGTCCTGTAAATTTAGGGGCAGTGCTGTGTATTTTGCAGTTGTTTTGACTGAACTTGACAGACTGTGACTCACAGTAGGTCCTTGGCAGTTGGTAGCCATTACCATCCAAACTTAGTTCAGATTTTACAAGGGTTACATTGGTTTATGTTAGGATTCAAGAAGAATTTATGTAAGTGTTGTAGAAAGGGAGGGAGGAGAGTGTATAATAACAGTGGTTCCTGGGAGTGTGGACCATGAGGGACTGCTTCATCATCAGCAGGGTAGCTGTACCCCAGACCTAAAGAACCGTCCAGGGTGGGGTCCAGCAGCCTGCCTCTTAACAAGTCCCCCAGGTAACTCTGATGCACTTAACTGGCCTAACGTTACAGGTTTCAGCCTGAAGTCCACCCAAGAGATAGTGAGGACCTCCCCAGAGTGGTGGAAGCGAATGGAGGGGAGTCAGGACTGGTGAGACGGAGACCTGTTTGGCTGTTTACCAGACATGGAAGGGAGGCCATGAGAAAGAGGAGGGGCTTTGAGTCTCGTGAACTAAAAAGGATGGTGCTTTATCAGCAGGAACCTGGACCCAGACTAGTGAGTGGGTTTTGGAAGTGGGGAGAGGAAGATGGGTTTAGTTTTGGACATGTTGAGGTATGTGAGCCAGGGCTGATGACGGCAAGTTGGAAATAAAGTAGTGTAACTGTAGCACAGATAAAGAATGGAGAAACAGATTTGTGACTTGCCTGCATACAGGCAGCAGTTGAAGTGGGTATTCTGGTCATTTTTCCAAGGATGATAGCACAGAGAAAGAGACCCAAGAATAGACTGATATGGGATTGGGTGCTTGGGAGTGCAGCATTTGTTTCTCTTTCAGAAGAGTAAGTCAAAATGCTTAGGAATACATAGTGACATAATTTTTTTTGTTTAAGAGCCTCACTCTGTTATCTAGGCTCAAGTGCAATGGCATGATTAGAGCTCATTGCAGCCTCGAACACCTGGGCTCAAATGAGCCCACCTCAGCCCCGCAAAGTACTGTGACTACAGGCATGTGCCACCACTCCCAGCTAATTAAAAAAAAATTTTTTTTGTAGAAACAAAGACTCACACTCCTGGACTCAAGTGATTCTCCTACCTTGGCCTCCCAAAGTGTTGATTACAGGTGTGAGCCACCACACCCAGCCTGTGATATAGTTTTAAATTAAACCAGGTTATCAGAACAGCGTTGCAGTTTTGCCATTTAGCTTTAGGCCCCATGCTGTGTAACAGAGACTTGTTCTTGAATGTCATTTTATCTGGAAATCCAAGGCTTAGGGTGCCAAGGCATGGTTTTAGTGCATGTTTTTCTTGCAAAGGAAGAAGTGGAATGAGGTGTTAAGAGCTAAGGTGTGACCTAGAGCAGGCTGCTGAGATTCTCTAAGTCTCAGTTTCCTTATCTGTCAAAAGAGGATAATTATAGTTCCCACCTGGTGGTTGTGAGGACTAAACAGGAGGTTGTCTGTGAAATAAGTTTCTCTACCTCTGCCATTGCTTTTGTGGTTGGTTGCTGGATTTGTGAAGTAAAGGTCTTCCATTTGTATCGATAAATCTTGCATTTGTATTGATTTATGATATGAGGATTATAAAAAGTGATGTCAATTGGAGATGAATGCAGTTTTATAGTTTTTAGTGAATTATCAGTACATTGAAATATGGGCTTTGTTAGGTTTGTGAGAAGGCAAAAGAGAGTTGGCTTGAGAAGTTTTACTGCATAAAAACAAGAATCAGATATTTTAAAAATTATTTTATATCCAGCTTTGTTGCAGACTGACATATTTTGCTGTACCAGGAAGATGTTTTGCTGAGACCATGAAAACTTAGTACATCTGTGCAACATCTTCATTATATCTACAACAATTTTACATCCACCGTCTCTAATTCAAAGCCATTCAAGAAACATGTGTCTTGTTTTCCACTGGGTTCTAATTGGGCTGTTTTTCCTTAGTGGGAGACATTTGGACCACACACTTACATTTAGGAAATAACTTGGTAACTGGGCTACATGTACAAGAGTGTATAAAGAATGTTCTCATTGTGGAAAAAGTAGCTTCTGCAACTCCCTATTCCTCCCCAAGAAAAGAAAGCTGTGTGTATGTATGTGTGCATGTGTTTTCTGTGCTGCGTCACAATAGTGACTTTTGTTCTTTAGGTCTGAGATGTTTCATACTAAGAGAAATGATGACAGAATCAGTGATCAAAGGTTTCACTGCAGAGTTACTAAGAGCTTTAATTGAATCTTTCACTGGGTTTTAGAGGAAAAACATCTGATGTTCATACATGGCGCGTAACATACCTTCAAGTATAAGGCTTAAACTTCATAGGTTTGATTAGTTTTATGGGACCCCTACAAATAACATGTCATATCCACCCATAGGAATTAGCTCTAATTCAAAATTTAGTTGAAGTGGTGTTTGTGTGTGTGTGTGTGTGTGTGTGTGTGTGTGTGTGTGTTTGCTGTTGGGTTGGGTTTGGATGCCTTCAGTTTAGTTCAGAACTACCACCCCAGCTCTTCCAGAACTGCACGAGGCTTGCACCATTCTGGGAAATTTGGCTGCTGCCACAGCTGAAATACTGAGCCAGACTTAGGTTATTTTATTAGTCTAGAAAGAGTATTGCGCTCTTGCAGCTGTTCCTAACCATGAAAACAAAAACCATCTCGGTTACCCAGGATCCATGAGAAATTGGCAATGGCTCAGTTTAAGTCCGTGTATTTTGGACTCTGAATTATATTTATCTTCCTATGGGCATCCCCTGATTTAGGGCATACAGCTGGGGAATGGCCTGTGACTGTATGAGGCAGTGGGGGCGGGAGAGGCCAAGCCTTGGGTACCACATTCATTAGGAAGCCTGATCCAGTTAACTGAAACACGGCAGTTTCCAGAGCACAAATACTTTCAAAAAGAGTGAGGAGAGCACCAAGAAAACAATACAACCAACAGCGTGTATTAAAAACACCTGTCTCAAATATGAAATGTGGCATTTTGTTTTTGTACATTGTCTGTCACAGTAAATATCTAGAGTCTGTCTCCTGTCATGCCAGGCCTGGTTTTTGTAGATAGTAATTTGGTGGTGATGGACATTCTTGATAAATAGGGCTTTTACAGACTATTCTGAAAATGAATCATGGGACTTGCCTTTAATTGCTAGCAGTGGCGTGTATGTGACATACTCGCTCCTGCTAATGTGTGCCAATCAGTAAGTTACTGTTTAATTTTCTGAATTTTATGGGATGATGCGGTAAGAAGGCACTCCCCAGAAGTGGGCCCCTCGATCTTGGACTTCCCAGCTTCCAGAACTGTGAGCCAAATAGAAGTTTATAAACAAACTTCTATTGTTTATAAATTACCATCTCCATGATATTCTGTGACAAAAGTACAAAATGGACTAAGACAAGGGATCTGTGAACTTGAATGGGTGGAGAAAAACTCAACTGTATTTTCACTAACCTCTAGCCAAAATATAGCCATTGCTTCAATCATGAAAGTGGGCAACCAACCATGTAAGATCAACAGGACATGTAACTTTGTCACATGGAAATTAACTGATTTTTGTATCATATTGTGGAAATAGTTTAAAATACATTTATGCCCATCGCTGCTTTAAAAACTGCAGTAGTTATAAAACCTGCTGCTGTGTCTTATTTATGCGTTAAGCATACTTTAGTGTATCAGGTTTGCTTTTTGAACATTTTGCTATCTGTGTTTCAATATAATTAGTTTTCTTTGTAATAAGACTGTCTACTTAAAAATCATTCAAAAACACTCTGAGGGTACAGATTGCTGAAGCCATCCATGGAACTTAAAAGGTTACAGATTCATGCCTTGGATATGGCACCCTTGTGTCTTTCTCATCCTCATTTGAGACTAGATTTGTTAACATTAAACCTGAATTTTTTTTTTTTAAGTCTTAACATATTTGGCCTTTGTTTTCTAGCATGCCTTGTCTGTGACTTTTATCATCTGGAGCTCTGGTATTCCCCTTTTGGGGCTGTTGGAGTTAATTAAAAAATTAAGCCTTCAAGTCCAACAGAGCTTAAGGGAAAAAAAAAAAAGAGAAAAAAATAAAGCTATTGTCCTTGCCCATATGCCCTTTCTCACAGGCTTCTGTGAGACTGCTTACTGCAACCAAATGTTTATGGCCAAGAATGATTTCCTTTACAAATTCCAGAGGAGAGCGCAGTGATGCATATGCTGATGTCATTGCTTTAGCTATGGGAAGAGATGATGCTGTGTGGCTTGTATGAATTTGATTCAGCTCTCCACTGCAGTATCACTGCAGGCATATCTTGGTTTAATTTAGAACTTGATATCCAAGGTTAAAACCTCACTAAATTTATTAGACTGTATAAAATTGCCCAGAGAAAGACATTGAGATCATCAGGCCATTTCTCACTGCATCCTGTCACCGTGTAACAAGCTTTATACAATTTATTCACAAGAAATGAGGCAGTTTTCTGGGTTTTTCATGAATACCATAGTTGCTAACTTCTGGGTAAGTGTTAGGAATAGGGGCAGCATTGTTTGTATGACACAAAGGTGTCTGTCTCCCCAAATCCTCCATATTGGCATTGTAGCCCACCTCCCAGGGTTCTCCCCCTGTGGGCTAATGAACTCAAGAGCTTGCTCATTTTGGCATGTGTTCTGTTGCATGGTGCCTCCAGGTCACACATGGACAGCACTGTAGTTTGAAATAACTGATAACTCGAGGGACTGTACTGTAGATGTCTCTCAGTGGAGGCAGGTGTTTTTGTTTTTTTCAGGATAGATTTGCAGCATGGGATGCTGCTCTAGGAGTGAAGTGTGTGTGAGCCGTGTGTATGTTTGGCCAAAGCCGATTTATCTTTTCCACCTGTTGAGCAGCTTTGCCTTTGACTCTCACCACTCCCTGGGGGCTGGTCTCTCTTCTTTTCAACTGAAAGGAGGCCTGGTAGACTGACTGCATGGTCAGGCTGGGGATCAAGACTGCCTGGATGCACACTGAGTTGTGTGACCCTGGGCAAGTCACTAGCTTGTCTGTGCCTTTGTGGAATGGAGATTAACAGTACCTTCCTCAGACGGTGGTTGTGAGGATTTAATCAGTATATGCATGGTAAGTGCTTAGAACAGGGCCAGGCATATGGATAGTGGTAAATAAGGGGTGCTGGCTGCACATTAGAATCACCTGGTGGGTGATTCTAATCACCCTGCGTGGGTATTGAGAACTCCAATCCTAATGAAATTAGGGCCTGGGGAGGTTATAACCTTGTTCAGCAAGTGGAGGAGCGTTTTTGATGTCTTATATTCTGGGCATTAAGTGAAAGATCCATCTGTCAGCTACATAAGCAAGAGATCATTCTGTGATGAATAGCTGCCTTTCACAGGCATCTTTGAGGCTGTCTGACCCTTCACTTTGAGGCCAGATCCAGTGCAATTTAAAAATTTTAATTTCCTTAGGTTTATAATACCAAATTTCATTCAGCTGGCATTGATTGAGTGCCTTTTAACACTTTTTGAAAATGTCCTCAAGGTCTCTTTTCATAGTAAAAGCTTATCACGCATACAGTGGCCTCCTCTGAGGGGTTCCTTTTTCATCTGTGATGATGGTTTATTGTGTACTGTGCTTACAGTGGTCTTAGGAACAAGAAAGTTTCCCCCTTAAAAATTATAATGCCTACAGGTGGAAGAGACCTGAAATTATCCAGTCCAGCAGGAAAGGGAACAGTATTCTTGGTGAAATAACAACTTGTCCAGAATCACTTTGTATACATAATGCCTCTACCTGTATTCTGGGAGTTGCGATTGCACATCAGGAAGGTGGGCAGTGTAAGTTGGGGATTGTAGCTCTGTTGTATGACACAAGTGGGAAACAACAGGAAGGAGAAAGGAAAAGAGAATGTAATTCTGAGTGTGGTTGTTGTGGAGCTAACTGTCATAAGGAGGATTGGGACTTGGGTTTCCGGTTGCCCTAAACCTTACACAAAGAAAGACTCTATGGCCCTAGCCACGCCTTCTACTGAGTTATGTGAGAGGAGGAGACCACGATCAGACTGTGGTTCATACTCAAACCCTAGGTGGTTCTCCAGGAGCTTTTTAGCTGCATGGCTACTGGGTCCCTGAGGTGATGCTGGTATCCATAACTGCTACACTTTCATCCTCATGCAAAGCCTCCCTTTCTTTGAGGCGTGTATTCTGTGCTGTCCTGATCACCTCCCTATTCCCCCTACCCTCAGTTCATTGAGGACTTTGGAGGCAGCTATTCAGTGCCTGAGCTTTCAAGTCAGGCCTGGGTTCACATCACAGATTTGCCTTTACTAATCCTGTGGGCTTTATCATTGTCTGGAATTGTTCCACATCCAAATTTTAAAAATTCTTTAAAAAGAACCAGACTCTTTCAACTTCCTCATTCATTTATTCCGACTGTGTTTGTTCTTTGATCTCTTTGAGACACCATACTTTTTCTCTCTGGCTATCCTACCTCTCAGGGCTTCATTCCCTTCCTGACCAGCCTTGATTTCACAGCACACCACTCTGAGCACTCCTGTACTGGCCCCTGCACTGTGAACTCCTGATCATTGATCAGATCCTGCATTCTCTGGACCATCCCTGGATGGTTCTTGGGGCTGAGAGTCAGAGAAGGGAATTGCACAGCATAGCTTATTTATTTATTTATTTATTTATTTTAGCCCAAGTGCTGTTTATTTAAAAGAACAAAAAAGAGTGGAGGCCCCCTAGGGACGGATGAAACAAAACTAGCAGTGCAAGTCTGCCTCTAGCTCAGCATAAAAGCTTGTTGCCCCACTGGGCCATCTTGTTGTTGATAGGCATCTTCAAGAAGCAGTCAGACTGCATGTAGGCAGCAATTTTCTCCAAAGCCTCAACGGCACATGAAAGCCTTAAGATGTGGGAACTCATCCAGGCACTTGGGCTCAAACATGCACTTTTGATCCAGGACGTCATAGATGGGAAAATCCACAAAGGTGAGCTTTCCCCTGCAAACCATGAGAATTTCTCCCAGGAACATGGAGAATTGTTTCAGTTGTTCAGGTAGCTGTTCCAAGTACTGAGGTTTCAGGGTTGGTTTTTATTTATTTTATTTATTTATTTTTTTTTTTGAGATGGAGTCTTGCTCTGTCGCCCAGGCTGGAGTGCAATGGTGCGATCTCGGCTCACTGCAACCTCCGCCTCCCGGGTTCAAGCTATTCTCCTGCCTCAGCCTCCTGAGTAGCTGAGACTACAGGCGCCCGCCACCACGCCCAGCTAACTTTTTGTATTTTCAGTAGAGACGGGGTTTCGCCGTATTAGCCAGGATGGTCTTGATCCCCTGAACTTGTGATCCACGAGAAAAGAGAAGCCTCCCAAAGTGCTGGGATTAGAGGCGTGAGCCACTGCGCCTGGCCAGGTTTCAGTTTTTCATGGTCAGAGTTGTAACAGCACTGTATCAGTTGTGTGCAGAAACTGGTTGCTTGGTTCTCTAAAATGTCCACTTGAATCTTTTCAGTCTTACCACACATGTGCTTGCCAGCAGTGTAGCACAAGATGGCATTGCTCTGGGTGACCTTGTTCTTCCCGTCCATGAAGTTGGGCAGATTAGGAAAGTCCAGGTCTAGCTTGAATATCACATCCAGCCATTGGCTTCAATCATAGGAGTTTCCTGGCATGTGTACCATTTCTCCTCATAGGACATATCCGTGAACTACAGGAGCAGGCAAATGGTGTGTGCCAGCCCGCAAATATTCCACTAACCCAGAACCATAGATGAGTTGCACGATATGATGATGCTACTTGTGAGCCTTTGAGGATAGGAGCAGTTTCATAATCGGGTGTTATGGCCTGGTCTGCAGCCTAGTTTGGATGATCAGAGCTGTTCAGCTGTCCGTTTTATTGTTTTTGGTTTTTCTGAGAATCTCCTTCTGTTGCCCAGGCTGGTCTCAAAGGCCTGGGCTCAAACGATCCTCCCAAAGTGCTGGGATTACAGGCGTGAGCCACCATGCCCAGCCAGCTGTCCTTTTAATCTCTTACTTGCCTTCCTCTCATCTACAGGGCTATCCTGAACCTTCACTGCACCTCTTACCTTGTTTTTACCTTGTAGACAAAATGGAGGCATGAATGTTTTTAGCTTCCTGCTCATGTTTGTCCACATGTTGTCTTCCTCCTCTGTCAGTTGTACTTGCCTTTGTGTCCCTTGTTGTTTGGCACAGGGTAGCAACGTACAGATGTATGTCGAATGAAAACCTGCAATTGCTAACCCAACACTCATTCCTTAATTGGAAAATTAGGTTGTAACCCAATTTCTGCCACTTGCTGGTCCAGGAGAGCCAGGGCAAGTTTCTCCATTGCTCATAGCCTGTAGAAGGATATTAATTTTACTTAAAGTTATTAAAGGATAACAGTCTGTTTTTAGGTACAATAATTCCCTTTGAAAATTATAGATTAAAATTATGTTTCTCCACAACCATTCATTGATGTTGAAATTGGAAAACAAATACTTTGCTGGGGTGGGGAGCAAGGCAGGGTCTGACCATTCAGAGGCCCAAAGCCTGGTGAAGGAAGCAGGTGTATAAACAATTAAAATAAGATGAAGAAGGCTTCGAAGATGAGGTGATTCTGTGGTGTGTTTTGAAGTGGGTGGGCTTATGAAATTCTTTTGCTTTCTCTAATATATCTAAACATCTATGTAAATACCTGGATGATATACAGTACTAGTGACAATATTGGAGTTTTGTCTTCTAGTTAGCCGTGTTTTGCTGCTGTGGTAGGGAGGTAAGTCTCAGCTAGGGAGCACTCAGGTGACAGGGAAATGAAGACAGGGAACTCCTGCCTGTAAGTGAGCAGGAGCTCTCTGCAAGACTGAGCTCTGCCTTGCACAGTAGCCATTGGCCTGGGAGACATCATGATTATTGCTGGAAATGCTGCCCTTTCTGAACCCTTCCTTTTTTTGAAGGAGAGTGTATTGATTTCAGATTTTTGGCTACTGTCTTTGCACTTATCCCTTCTGTGTGCCTATTTGAAATACCCAAATAAAACCTACCTGCAGCCAGTGCTTCTGAAAGCCTGTTATTTGAACAGATCTTACTGTGTTAAATGTGCACTTCTTCATGTATACACCAAATTATTTTGACCATAAAGTTGGGAATTAGTACTTGGTACCAGAATTCTTAAATTATTAGTCCAAACTCCTTGTTGGAAGAGAATTGCCGTTGATTTTGATTTCCCTTCCATAATAACCCTGCCACTCATTTAAAGACTTTTTTTTTAGTGTTTGTTGTGTGTAAGGTACATTGCTAGATGCCATGGGGGATTTGTGGAGTTCAACATTTTTCACCATAATTTTGATCTATCATCATATTAGAACAAGGCAGGATGTAGAATTAGAGAAAACATATCTTTTGACCATTGTGGCCTGAGAAGGCTTTATGGAAGAAATGGTGTTAGAATTTGGATTGAACAAATCCCTTTACAGGTATATGAAGATGGCTCTTGTACTTAGAAGGAAGCAACTTCTTTATCGTCTCCTCCAAAAGTGAAATTTTCTTTCTGCCAAGTACTTATCAAAATACTAATTTTCTAGTAACTTGAAATACTGGCTAAGGTAAGGTGTTTTGTTTGTTTGTTTGTTTGTTTGTTTTGGTAGAAACTCTTCCTGAAACAACCTGTATGAATGTACAGAATATTTTAAATATAGGTGGAAGGTGATTTCACCACAATAGTTTCCACTTAATTTTGGTGCATCAGAACTTAAGCATTTGATTTCCAATTTCATGCCCAGAACTCTTTTAAATTCATATTACTTGTGACTGTAAATTTACTATGCTTTTTAATAACTTATACTTAAATCTGAAGTGTTTTTGCTTAGGACAAAACTATAAAGAATAGAATAGTAGAATAGAGTTCAGCTTGTAGAATGGGTTGTTGAATAAAGAATGAATGACTGGATCTATGTGTCTTAGAGAATAAATTATAGTTTAATGTCATATTTTCCAGCTATGCAAATTAAGAAAAACCAGACTAGGTGCTGTACTTCATGCCTATAATCCCTGTGCTTTGGGAGGCCGAAGTAAGAGAATTACTTGAGCCCAGGAGTTTAGAGACCAGCCTGGGCAACCTAATGAGACCTCCATCTCTATGAAAAAATAAGCAGCTGGGCTTGGTGGTACATGCCTGTAGTCCCAGCTACTCTGGAGGCTGAGATGGGAAGATAGCCTGAGCCTGAGAAGACAAGACTGCAGTGAACTGTCACTGTCATGGTGCCATTGCATTCCAGCCTGGGCAACAGAGTAAGACTCTCTTAAAAAAAACCAAATATATAAAAAAAAAAGAAGAACCAAAGGCCAATTCTTTACTTATCACAATTATTTACGGGTTGTTCTAGCCATCCCCCGCACCCTGACACACTTTTCTGGATGAAGCATCTGGATCCTGGAGAAGTTCCGTTAGTTGTTTCCAGTCATATTGGCAAGGTCTCTGTCAATTCCTAGGATTTCTCTACTAAAGTGAGGGAAAGTGTGAGAGAAATCTTGGAATGTCAAAAACTCATCAAGGGCTGGTTTTTCCCAGCCTCCTAGGATCTCCTAGGAGTGATGAGACATGGCTCTTGCTTTCAGGAAATTTCTGTGTACAGGGTTTTCCATGAGTTTCTAGATAACAGCCAGTGTACCATCTAGCAGACCTCTTTGTGTGTGTGTGTGTGTGTGTGTGTGTGTGTGTGTGTGTGTGGTTTTTTGTTGTTGTTGTTTTTTTTTTTTGGTCTCTTACGCTTTGTTTTTTCTTATTTGCTTTAGTCTGTATTATTTATTTTGTAGGCTGCTTCAGACTCCCTGCTACCACCACCACTTTCTTGTTGCTAATATGAAGAACAGTTCTAAAGGTGTTATACAGAAGGCATGACTGTTAGTTACGTGAGTCAGACTAACTACGTTTTAAGAACTTTTCAAGCTTCTAACACAGAGGATGTTTTTGATGCTTCTTTGAAGCAAAGAAGAAAAATGTCTTAATTAAGTGTACCTTAGTTTACAGTGTTTCACTTGTAAATGTTGCTACTCTGGCTTTATTATTTTTGACAAAAGCAGCATCTTCAGAGAATTTTGCTTTGAGGCCAGGTGGATAGTTTGATGGGAGAAGCCCCTTCATTAGAGCGTGCACAGAGTATGTGTGTTTAGGTATTTGGGGTAACTGGACTGAGGTTTTAAGGTTAATTCAGATGTGGATATGAAGAGATATTGCTAAATGCAGCATTTTCCTCCCTAATATCTCATTGTCTGATGTCACATGGATTTAACTGAATTTTCTTGCATTCCTTGCAAGTGTGAATATATAGGAATATTCTTTGTCAATTATAAACTGCTATAAATGTTTGTTAATTGCTTGATTTGGAGGAAATCTTACATCTGTATTCATTGCAGCCTGTCAACAAATACTGAGAACAGGGTGGGTGCGAAGCCTGTGTTCTGGCTTCTGTTTGTATCTGTTAAAGAATAAACATAGTCCCTGCCCTCAGCTCTCAGATTCGACTTGAAATTGTGTAAATAGGCAGTATGGCACTCCAGAAGAGAAACGTTTTACTGCTAGTACTCTTCTATGATCTCAGACAAGGTGGTCATGGTTCTGATATTGCCATTGTGATTACAGACTGAAATAGATTTTGTCTTGTTTTGGAATCATCTTACTATTTTGTCTAGGGTGTTTTTTGTTATATTTTATATGCCAACACAACATGCTGTGCAGAATTCAAATACATAATGTAGAGAGGTTGTGCCTGTCCCCAAAGACTTGGTGTGCTGAAGGAGAAATACCAGAAGTAAAAGTAAGCTTTTGATAGTCTATTTAACTTCTGGGGGGCTTAAAAGAAGAATATGTGACATTTGGAAAACTTACATGTTGAATGATAGTAGAAATTTAGGTGACTTCAGGCCATTGGCCCTCTCAGAGTAATGTTACCTATTCACCTTTTCTCCTCAATGAACGTTACAGGAAATTTACTTCTATTATTCAGTTTTAGTTGTAGTAACTTTTAGTTGTAGTAACAAAGAGGCTGGTCTTTCCTTTTGTTGGGGCTCAGGACAGGATACCCCCCAATATGGCACCTTGGCATATAAGAGAAACTGCAGAAGAAAGGAGGTCCCTCTGACCTCCCCTTGCCTTTCTCCCCTGAAGCATGGTCATCAAGGAATTCTCTGACCTATCTCACCTGACAGTGAGTTATAAGACTCTCATTCCAGAGAGGTCCTGCCCTGTACCCAGAGGACAAGAAGAATCTGGACAAGCAGGCCTTGCTAAGGGCCCCCACCCCAATTATTAGGCCTCATTCCCTTTTTGTTCAATCATGCTTCTACGTGGCTGTCCATTCTTCATTGTACTTAAGCGTAAAAATTCAAGTTTCCTAAGTCTCTGGATCCTCATTTCTGAAGGCTCTTGTGTCATGCAAAACTTTGGTTGAATAAATTTGTTATGCCTTTCTCTTGTTAATCTTTTTGTTATAGGGGTGTCAGCCATGAACTTTGCCATGGGTGAGGAAAAGATACCTTTTCTCCCCTACACTCTCTTCCTCAAAAATATATAATGGAAAGAAATGACATCTGACGTTCTTCACATTTTCAAAGACTTATTCTTAAGTATTTGAGTTCAACAGTACCTTTGTTCTACTTGCTGTCATAGAGGCTAAGGTTTTATGGGGCAGAACTTGAGGGATTGTTTGGTCAGTATTTGAGTTATACCTGTGCCTTTGGTCTATAATATAAAGTAGGCCGGGCGTGGTAGTTCACACCTGTAATCCCAGCACTTTGGGAGGCCAAGGCAGGCAGATCACCTGAGGTCAGGAGTTTGAGACCAGCCTGGCCAACATGGTGAAACCCCGTCTCTACTAAAAATACAAAAATTAGCTGGGTGTGGTGGTGGGTGCCTGTAATCACAGCTACTCAGGAGGCTGAGGCAAGAAAATTGCTTGAACCCAGGAGGTGGAGGTTGCAGTGAGCTGAGATTGTGCCACTGCATTCCAGCCTGGGCAATAAAGTGAGACTCCTTCTCAAAACAAACAAACAAAAAACAAAACAAAAACCACACACATACACATATAGTAAAAAAGAACATTATTTCTTATGTTTTATCCTATGATACTTATCCATAAGTACTTCCTTACCATACAGTATGTTGGGCTTGTCATTTAATCTGCTGAGTCTGAATTACTGTGTCAGAAAGGCTGGTTTGCATCATTTCTATTTGGTTCAAGTGCATGACAGCTCAGTGTTCACCCTTTTAGGGGAAAAATGACAGTAGTTGAAGTTGCTACTGGAAGGGAAGTGTGATGATGCAGAAGAGGAGAGCCTGCTGGCTGCCTACACAGGTGGGCTTCAAGGTGCCATTTCCATTGAGGAATTTACCACTGCCTTCTCTTTGGTCCTCAGAAACTCAATATTCTCCATGTCTTAAATGGATGAGACTGGGCAAAGTGACTCCCTTTAAGAAAGCAAAGCTCGGCCGGGCGCGGTGGCTCACGCCTGTAATCCCAGCACTTTGGGAGGCCGAGGCGGGTGGATCATGAGGTCAGGAGATCGAGACCATCCTGGCTAACAAGGTGAAACCCCGTCTCTACTAAAAATACAAAAAATTAGCCGGGCGCGGTGGTGGGTGCCTGTAGTCCCAGCTACTCAGGAGGCTGAGGCAGGAGAATGGCGTGAACCCGGGAAGCGGAGCTTGCAGTGAGCCGAGATTGCACCACTGCAGTCCGCAGTCCGGCCTGGGCGACAGAGCGAGACTCCGTCTCAAAAAAAAAAAAAAAAAAAAAAGAAAGCAAAGCTCATGAGAGCTTTTGTTTAAAGCTGGAGTACCGATTTGTTAATTTATTCTCAGAATTGTCTGTCAGCAAGCCAGACAGTTGTGTGAACTGGACCAGCACACTCTCTCCCTACTATTTGCAGACTAAGAAAGGAGCCAAATTACGAGGTGTCTCTCAGTGTGAACAGAACCAGAACAAGAAGTAGTTGTATCATGCCAATGTGTGACAGCACCTAGCTCCAACAGCCCAATGTGTCCATTTCCAGAATTGGATATAGGGGTATGTGTTTATAAGTGTGCAGATACCAGATAGTCTTCTCTGGAGTGTACTGTCATTATTGGCCCCTAGGGTCTATTCCTATAAATGCTATTTGTGACCATCCCCCTTTCAGTGGGCATAGCCTGTATGTCCATTGGTGACTGTTAAGTTCCAGTTATGGGTTTAAGGCCAGAGACGATTGAAACTTCCAGGTGACTTTGTATAGCTCCACTCTGATCTGTGTTAGTTTCAGAATTTAACTTGCTGGGAAGACTTACTTTTTTCCTTTCCAGTCTGGGGGAGGGGAGGATGGTTCCTTATTTTTGCACTCAGGTATAATCAGTTAAAGTTGCTCCAGGTCGCAGTTTGAATAGCTTTTTTAAGAATATAAAATTTAAGCTATTTACCTCGAGTTGCTATTTATGGAGGAAAACAGGAACTGGAAGAAATACTATAGCAGATATTTGATAGCCTCTTTCACTTAAGACCACTGATGTGGAAGGTATGTCTATCCTGAAAATAGCTGAGTGC
The DNA here is from genome assembly GCF_000001405.40 of Homo sapiens. NCBI lineage: Eukaryota > Metazoa > Chordata > Mammalia > Primates > Hominidae > Homo > Homo sapiens. Next base: position 159,063,775 of record NC_000002.12, read on the forward strand.
CCCAAAATAGGAAAACAGGGTGTCTGGGATGAGATACCAGAGTCAGTGTCACCTAGTCCTTGCCCCGTGTGATGCCTATTCTGAGTGGCCTGGTAGGTGTACTGCCAACTGGTGATGACCTGGGTGATTAATCGGGAGCAGCTCATGGATGTGGTGGGGCCTGAGCTTGGTCAATGATCCAGGTAAACACACGGCTCTGGAAGAGTTCACCAAGGCTTGGTGCAAGGGACCTTGCATGAGCTTCGGTGGCATGGCTCTGTCAGTATTTTTCTCTTATTTTTTAGGTAGTTTTTGCTAAATTATAAACCCCAAAGTTGGTTGGTTGAAGAATATGTCTGTGTTTACCTATCTATTTATTATTAACTTTTACTACCATTTTTTTATACTACAGTGTTTTTCATTGTTTCTCTGAAGTGTGCTTGTTAAGAGAAGTTTGTGTTTTCCATCGGTTCCATATGGAAACTATTGCTGCCTTCCAACTTTAGTGTTTGCCCTTTAGGTGAAACCTAAATTTTTTCACCAGGGTTTATTCAAGCAGCATTTTCAAAAACAGAATTAGGCTCTAAGCCATGCCCCTTCAGTATGTAAAACTTGTGTGTAAGATGATTTTACTCCGATAACCTTCAGTATGGCTTTTTCCAAATTCTGCCTAAGATACTATCTTTCTAGTATCACTCAGTTTTGTTTGATTGTTGTTGCCCAAAGCTTTCATTGATCTGTGAGGAGAGACCGGCCTGGTGGAGGGGAGGAAGGTGGTCCTGCTGGGCTGCTGCAGATTTGGATTCTGGCCCTGCTGTTAATTAGCTTCGTGACCCCTGGCAAGCCAGCCTCCCTGGGTCTCTGTTTCTTCATCAGTAAAACAAAAGGCTTGGGAAAACAAATACAGGCTTGGACCAAATGATAAGAAAGGTCACCCTGCCTTTTTATGTTGTGTGATTCTATGAATGGCAACACATTGGGATTCCTTACCCTTCTCAACGGGTGCCACAAAACTTCTGCTTACTCTGGGGGCTGAGAGGTGGTGTGTGGTGTGTTACACTGAGGCCATTTGAGGCATTTGTGCTAACTAGGCAGATGTGGGAGCCCTCCTACATAGGAGTTTCTCCCTCCTTGCCTCCCTTCCTCTGCTCCCTTCCCCGTCCTCATTCCTCCCCTCCCCACCCCTTTTCTTGCCTGTTCAATAGAGACCTGCTTGCCTTCTACTTCCCTTAGTGCATTAATAAAGGTGTGATGGTAACACAACCCACTAAGATTGGTTACCATCTGGGGTTGTTCAGCCATCTCATCTGAGTTAGCAGTGGGGAGAGAGAGCTTAAAGGAGACTGGCTTCATGATGAAATAATGGTCCTTTTGTCTGTCTCTTGCTGTAGAGATGGTTTCATGTTTCATCTTAGACCTGGGCCATTGTGTTTTTACAAGCTCAGTACAACCCTGCTTAAAGATACAGCCTTTTCTTTAAAGGATCTGGCCGTAGTGCCACAGGCCTGTTCTACTTACTTCCCTTCCCCACCCCAAAGTTATAACTTCCTATATATTGTAAAAACCCACTGTGGTGTGTGCTGTTTAATTGGGTTCTCTGATCAGGGTTAAAATGTGTTCCCACTGTATTTATTTTGCAAATGTTTATAAGATATGCCTCATTTCATAACCTTCCAAAATGTTTTCCTTGTGATTATATAATTAGTAACACCTGTAAAACATTGCCTTTAACCATGTAGCTTCTTTCATTATCTTTTTGATTTCATGTTCTAGTGCCGCCTTTTGATGAACTGGGATTGGGAAACTGTGCCAAATATCTTGCAGTACTGTACCCAGGTTTAGCCTCATAACCTTAATTAGATGTGGAATGCTGAGAATGCACTATTGTTTTTTTTTTTTTTTAGCTTTTCTAACAACAGTGAACTTCTGAGCACTTCATTAAAAGTTATAGAACATTCCTTGTGTCTTCAGCATTTAGTTTCCCACCATAGTTTATTCAAAGAAAATTAATGTAAGGCTTAGGGTACCTTAATATTAAGCGGTCTGTTTGTTTGAACACAAGTTACCTCTTTTGTCAAGACACAAGTTATATTCCAACTTTCAATGTTTAATTCCTCTTCTCTCTGTTTCTTTTCTCCTTAGAAACAAGTGTTGAAAATGTTAAAGGCTGTGCTGAAGAAGAGCCGAGAGGGAGGAAAGGGAGGCAAGAAGGAAGCAGGTATGTGTGCAAGAATGAGAAGCTCAGCCATGGACAGCGGGCAGCAAGCTGCTCCTCACCCCAGGCCGGATGGATTTGTTGCTTTGGGAGTGGGTCAGAGAGGGTTACCTGGGTTAGAACAAACAGTGTGCTGGAGGCTATGAGAAATGAAATAGGCCAGACATGGTGACCCACACCTGTAATCCCAGCATTTTGAGAGGCCAAGGCAGGAGGATTGCTTGAGGCTAGGAGTTCCAGGACCAGCCTGGGCAACATAAAGAGACACTTTCCTCTACAAAAAAATTTTAAAAAATTATCCGGGTATGGTGGCACATACTTGTAAATCCTAGCTACTTGGGAGGCTCTGGCAGGAGGATCTCTTGAGCCCAGGAGTTCAAGGCTGCAGTGAGCTATGATAAAGCCACTGTACTCCAGCCTGGGCAACAGAGCCAGACCCTGTCTCTTAAAAAAGAAAAAGGACAGGAAACATAATTTTGAACTTTATTATAAGAAGTGACTTTGAGAATTGAGTTTGGGTTATAACCAAATCCTTTCCCAGAAACTTTAAAGGTTCATAATTTTAATAGGTCATTCAGATCTGGAGGGAGTCAAAGTTAAAGACATTGAGGGATAGCAGGTGTGTTCAGGAATTTAGTTTCTAGAAATCCCATTCCCTTTCCCACATGATTACATTTTATGTGTTTGACCAACTGCTGGCTGACTGGTCCTCATCTTTTGGAGTATCAAATTTTACTCCTAACAGGTGGAGCCCCACTTAATGCCAGACTGCTTGTTTTCATTATAATGAGAACTACTTAATTTGGCTTGAATTTCATTCTTGTTTGTAGAGTTCTGGTGCATATTGTCACTGTGACTTTAATAGCATTACATTCCTTGTGCTAACCTATTCTAGGATTATTTTGGTGAATACTCACTGGTACACCATTTTTCTCTCGCTAGAAAAACTATATATTGTCTACCTGTATTGCACAATAAAAATATGTTAGCATGAATTGACTTGCCTGAAATGTTACATTTCACTCTGTAAACCCATGTTAATCCAGTCTCCTTGGAGAATGACTGGTTTTCTGAGTTACTATGTCAAATAATGTTTCAGTTTTAATTTCTGTTTTAAGAAGTATGTTTATTACTAAAGCATCATAAAATTATGGTTAACTCTTTAATTCAAAAGATCTTGCAATGCCTTGTGATAATATTAATGTCTGTTGTTTCCATACTTATATAAGAGAATAAGTGGATTTCTAACGTTTTTGGTTATATAGAACCTAGACAAAATTTATTTTTATTGCTAATTATCCCTTAAACCAAGTCTGCAAAATGACAAACTCACCTTAAAAGTAGAGCCTTTATTGCAAGGCTGCTGTTAAAGCTTCTCATCAATGCCTGGGTGAGCAGACACCAAAGAAAAGGAGAAACCAGTTTTTAATGACCTAAACAGGAGACCATAGTTAACCTTAGAAAATCAACCCCTGGCTTTGAATAATTGATTAGAATTGTTACTCTGGAGAAATTTCGTTCACAGAATTTCCATCCAGGGGGACATTCACCCTCTGCTGGGTCAAGACCAAAATGTCTTTCTTGTTAGTTTTCTGAAAGCTGTTTAAAAATAATAACAACAAAAAACTTTTTCAGTTTTGGCTCATCTGTCACCAATCATGGGAACTTTATTTGCTTCTTTAGAAGCCTTTGTAATTTCCAGCATAAAGTTACCTCCTAAGCTGTCTGTTGGGGTGGAACTGCCAACCAGTGGGTTATTTTTCTCAGGACCAGGGTCCCCAAGCCTAAACTCACCAGTCGGTAACAGTTCTTCAAAACAGGCCTACCATCCTCTTTGACCAGTGCCATACTTAGAAGAAATAGCAATATATTAATAATCTTCAGCACCCATGTCTTTCAGACACACCAGACAGGAACATAATTTGCATTTGAAACTTTTCCAGTTTCAGAGCATGTGATTTTGGGTTTATTTCTCCCTTTGGTCTTTAAAAGCAACTATTGCTTTTTCTGAATCATTTCTTCATAATAATTTCCACACTGGCTTTTTCACTAATACAAACCAACTTGAAAGACCAATGGGAACGTTTCCCATAAAATATCTGCATGGTATGTGCCTTTTTGCTCTTAACTATAACCTGGTTGTATTAGGCTAGCAACAAAGCAGATGGAATTTTAAATCCTGATGAAGTTATATCACAGGATTGTTGGGGGAAATACTTGGAATTTGACCACTCATATGTTGAGTCCATGCCAGTCCTCATTATATAAGTAAATCATAGCTAAGATTTTCTATAAATTAAAGCTGGCTAGTCTACCAAGACTGCTCTGAAACTTAGGTAATATCTCCTGCAATATGGAAAAATTTTGCTGTACTGTTTCCAATTAAAACCAATCTTTGTTGCAAAGACATAAGAAAATTCATTCCCATGTACTTGAACTCATAATCATAGAAATTTAGGAGACATGTCTAAAAACTTGAGTTCAGCTTTTCATGTCCTTTATAGGTTGTTTTTGCAGGCAATCTTTTACTACACTTTTATGTTAAACCTATTTTGAGAATTTGGAAAAATGCAGTAACTGAGATAAACTTAGTATCCTTCAATGGAAACCAAATATTTTTCAGAAGCGTTGAACAGTTGTTATTCCCTCATTTATCCCTAAAAAAAAGTTATCACCTATATCTATAGGTAAAACTTTAGCAGGTATTGAATTCAAACTATATGTATATAAGGATATTTGCAATATTATGTTTGTTGGTTCTTATTCTTTTGAGACAGCCTGTGTCTTTTGAGACAGACAGACTCTGTTACCCAGGCTGGAGTGCAGTTGTGCACCATCTCCACTCACTGCAACCTCCGCCTCCTGGGTTCAAGCAATTCTCCTGCCTCAGCCTCCCGAGTAGTTGGGATTATAGGCCCGTGCCACCACGCCTGGCTAATTTTTGTATTTTTGGTAGACATGGGGGTTTCTCCATGTTGGCCAGGCTGGTCTTGAACTCCTGACCTCAAGTGATCCACTCGCCTCGGCCTCGCAAAGTGCTAGGATTACAAATATGAGCCACTGCGCCCAGCGGATATTTGCAATATTATGTACAGTGAAACTTAAACTATTGAAAATCATCGAGTAAACTCAAAATAGCAGAATTCCTCTCTTTTTTGTGATTATGCATTTTTACCTAGGAAATGCTTATAGCTGGGCAAAAAGTGTTTTCAGAAGGCAATAGAGGCACGGTGGAGAATGTAATTTTTAAAACTTTACCATGTTTTTTTAGAGAGCATATTCACCTTGTTCCTGCTGTTCCATCAGTGCAAATGAGCACTATATTTTTCTTGACCTTGAGTTTGGCCTAAGGGAGCAAAAATCAGTATTAAACCATAATACAGGGAGAAGGCCAGATGAGGGCATCTTATTTTTTTTCCTCTCCCTGCTTTATGTTAGGACCTTGATCTAAAATAAGCAAACGAGGCACTGTGTTTATTTTTGAAGCTCTCCAGAGAGGCCTACAACCTTTACCACGTTTCTTAATTTTAAGTGACCTTTACTATCAGAAAACATTCATATTACTACTATTAAACAGTTACTTAGTTTTAAAAATTAAATAATTACTAGACTCTTAAGATTAAGAGTATTGTGATATTAAATCTGGACCTAGTAGGAGTTTACAGTAGATATAAGAGCCACACTGGAAGTTAGTATCTTTTTGTACAGCAACACTGTTTGGAAAATGAATAGGAAAAAAAGTCCCATTTTACAATAGAACAAAAACTTTATCAACCTAAGAAGAAATATGTGCAAGCTTTTTTTTTTTTTTTTTTTTTGAGACAGGGTTTTGCTGAGTCACCCAGGCTGGAGTGCAGTGGCGTGATCTCGGCTCACTGCATCCTTGACCTCTCAGGCTCAAGTAATTCTCCCACCTCAGCCTCCTGAGTAGCCACCACGCTACCATGCCTGGCTAATTTTTGTGGGGTTTTGTTGCTGTTGTTGTTTTTTTTAATAGAGATGGGGTTTCCGCCATGTTGCCCAGGCTGGTTTCAAACTCCTGGGCCTACACAATGCACCCACTTTGGCCTCCCAAAGTGCTGGGATTACAAGCGTGAACCACTGTGACTGGCTATGCAGCCTCACATTAAAGAAAATAAAACTTTATTGAAGGACTTAAAGGAAGACCTGAATAAGTAGAAGGAAATACTGTTTTTCTGAATAACCTGATTCATTATTTTAAACCATCTAGCTCCTCCATAATTATGTAGACATTCCATTTAATCCCTAATGAAATCCCCAATTTTTAAAGAAGACTTTTTTTTTTTTGAGTGGTTTTAGGTTCACAGCCAAAATTGGGAGGAAGGTTCAGAGATTTTCCCCCACACACGCATAGCTTCCACCATTATCAACATTTTCCACCAGAGTTGTGCATTTGTTACAACTGATGAACCTACATTGACACATTATTATCACCCAAAGTCCATAGGTTACATCAGGTTCACTCTTGATATTGTGTATTCTGTGGGTTTGAACAAACGTGTAATGACATATCTACCATTGTTGTATCACAGAGTAGTTTCATGGCTCTAAAAATCCTGTGTGTTTTTTTAAAACACTACAAAATTGATTCAAAAATCCATCTGGAAGAGAAAGTGCTTAAAGGAAAATCAAGGACAATTTGAAAATGTGAGGCAGGTGCATATAAATGGCCGAACCTGGTTCACGTGCCTCGGATCTAGCTGCATGAGAGAGCCCGGAAGAGTGTGTTTGGACTTCTTGGCTAAGATTTGTACAAGATGGACTTTACTATCCACCACCATATGCATTGTGGAGGATTCTTCAGTCATAGACATTGGGCAGGTTCCCTCCCCTTCAAAAACTAAGGAAGCACAGATATCTAATTGCAGCTCATTATGGTAGCTGTTACTACCACATAGCGAGTAAATGGCTCAGCTAATATTTTTTTTTCTACTGGTCTCCAAGAAATGAAACATAATTTGATCTAACATCTATGATGTAATTAAAGCTCACAGTTGGTAGTGTTTCTGTTCTTTCTTTAAACCCTGGAGATTTTGTCCTTACTCTGGAAGCATTAGGTGGTCAAGGCCTCTTGCTCTCTAGAGAAGGCTGGTCCCTGTCTACTTCTGTCCCTTCTGCCTTCCACCAGTCTTCAATCTGTAGTGTTTTGCCCGCTGTAATTCTCCTAGTTGTTCAGTATTGGTGAGGAAGTAGGTTCAAGCTGAGGCAGAACAGCAAAGTTCAGTGAACTTTTAATTGCAGTACTGCCTCAATTAAAATACAGAAAAAATATAGACTGATTAAGGAATAGTTCCTTAATGTGCCAAAATAAAAACTGTTTATGTTAAGTCTTTTATTTGTAGTTAAATTATTTGTGCTTTATTTTTCCCCAGTAGGGGGACTTAGTTTGAAGCAACTTGTTAAAAAAAAATTTTTTTTTGACCTTTACCTTTCTCTCATTAAAACCCAGGTGGTTGGCTAAATACACTTGTAATGATGTTAATTAAGGCATTGGATAGTCTCTAAGCCTGTGTGTGTACTGAATTAATCTATTAGCTTTGCATCTAATTCTTCACTTTGAATTTCAAGTAGAAGGAAGCTGTTTGCCTCTAAAGTTTAAAAGCCATTGATGTGATTGTTAAACTTGGTATTTTAAGCCATTCCAGGCTGCAGCCTGGCTTTCAGTGGTACCTTCTAAACATGCCTCAATACAAATGATGCTTTGTTTTATGTAGAAAATACGAAGCTGCTTTTGATTATTCTGTGCTGCCACTGCCCGTTTTCTGTGGTTGTGGACTATTTAGGAATTTAGTGCAGTGACTCTCTTGCTGAGCTATGGATATTTGGTATCTTCTTGTTAACATTCTCCAAAAGTGTTTCCCAAGCAACAAAACAAGCAGAAATAATTCAGTATAAAGGTATTGTATTTTTCTTTACTGGGGCATTTAAACAAATTCTGCAAAATGTTAGAACATGATTTAAACATAGAATGGGACTTCTGTGTTTTTTTGTTTTGTTTTTTGTTTTTTGAGATGAAGTCTCGGCTCTGTTGCCTGGGCTGGAGTGCAGTGGGTGCCATCTTGGATCATTGCAACCTCAGCCTCCTAGGTTCAAGCGATTTTCCTGCCCAAGCCTCCCAAGTACCTGGGATTACAGGCATGTGCCACCACACCCAGCTAATTTTCGTATTTTTAGTAGAGGTGGGGTTTTGCCATGTTGGCCGGGCTGGTCTCAAAATCCTAACCTCAGGTGATCTGCCCACCTCAGCCTCACAGAGTGCTGGGATTACAGGCGTGAGCCACTGTGCCCAGCCTGATTTTTAATAGGAGCAGGAATGCTGGTTGTTCCCTCTGGTTTGATAGGTTCCTTCATCAGATTTTCTTTGTTGTCCCTCATGTATGTCACAAAGTCAAGAAAAAGCATGGACTTTGAAATTAGAGGACACAGACTCACATCCCTGCTCGATCACCTCCTATTTAACTTGAATTTGGACATATTTTCTTAACCTTGATTAAACTACCTTATAGTTGTATTGTCAGGGTTGAATACGAATACCTTTCTGCAAAAGTGTTTTAGCTTGACATTTGGCCTCTGCTAGATATCCAGTACATCTTTTCTTTCTTGAGAAAACTGTGTGATACCTTAAAGAACTAACAAAACCCTTAAAAATATATAAATAAAAGATATACCTAATGTTAAAGGACGAGTTAATGGGTGCAGCACACCAACATGGCACATGGATACATATGTAACTAACCTGCACGTTGTGCACATGTACCCTAAAACTTAAAGTATAATAATTAAAAAAAAAAAAGCTTCTTGTTCCTTTTCTGTTATGGAGAAGACAGGACTGATCTCAGATGAAGAGTGATGTTCTAGAAGCTTCTTTCCATGACTTCCTATTCCCAAATATTCTGGCATCTCCTCTGGATACTAAAGGCTCTTCTCCCAGCTTCAGCCTTTCCCCTATAACAAAACTGGGGAAGCTCTGAGTCATTTGTCTGCCCTGTGGTGGTTTATGCTTTCAAAATAATGTATTTTACCTTTTAACCTCTATGAAGTACTTGCATTTTATGGTTTTCTCTTTATGAAGTTAAACTGAAAGGCTTTTCTCCTTGCTTAAAGGGATTTCGGGAGTTGGCAAGCAGTTTCGAGAATAGATTTCTAAGTACAGTTTATAAAATGTTATCTCAACACATCCTTTGTGAATGAAGGTCTTTATATATGGAGGGCCCTTGTCCCCCGACCTCTTCATAGCTTTTCCATGTGTTTTAGGGAAATATAAAGGATGAAAGAGTTAGGGGAAGTAGGGAACAGATATCTACCGTTTATCATTAGGCACCTACATGTAAGGCCCAAGCTGGTTTCATGCTGAACTGCCTGTTTTCCTGGTGGGGGGCATACTTGGAGAAAGCTCTGGACCCCAGAGGAAAGGGAAGTCAGTCACCCTGGACTAATAAGACCTTTTTGTGGCATAAGATCTCCAGCAAGGCACCACCTATCTGAATCATCATAAAGCATGTGATAAAACTCTCAAACAATGCTTCTTTACTTGAGCTGCTTTTTGTATGTGTATGTATAAATGCCATAGGAAGCTAGATCAGTAGTAGGCAAATGAGCAATTCCGAGTTCATTTTTAAATTATCAAATCTAATTTTATTTCACAAATTTTTATTAAAACTCCTCTGTAAAACACAAAGGTCTTATTTTGTACAGACTTAGTTTTCAGAAAGTTCCATGTATATGTAACTTAATTCCCATAAAAAGTTTCATCTTTGCTTTTCCATGTTTTCTATTTGCACTTCCTAGAAGGGGAATTCTAAGGTTTTATTTCTATCCTACAGGAATGTAAAAAACTTGATTTCATATAATCTACTGGCAAGTGTAGTTCCTGAGTGGGGAGACGGGCTACAAAGGATTCTGAAGTAGATTGGCTTTTATTTCGTGGCTGGTGATCCAAACTGAGTATTCCTCATAAGAGTCTTAAGGGGATGGTGTGTTTACCAACCAGTTGTCTTGCAGTTAATGAGGGTGGCCATCAGGTGACCAGCTGGGTAGCCCTAGCTCTGGATCAGCATCAAATTGAGAAACCTTATTCACATCCAGAATCAGAGTTAGAACGCAGCATCTGTGTGTCTTCTCTCTCCCACTCCCCTCTGTCCTTTTAGGGGCAGGCTAGTTATACCTCATCAGCCATGAAAATACCATTGTTCTTGTCCTATGTTCTGGTGACCACAGTGCAGTGGGTAAAGGTAAAACGAGCAACTGAGCAGCTGGTTTTAATTCTTCACACTCTTAAAGTTTGTCAGGGAGTTGCCCATTTTTAAGGGAGTTTGGAGCCTTCAACTGCTAGATTTGGTACATGGTGATGATCTTTATGCCCTGGGATGTCATCAGGAATGATGTCTCTGATGTGAGACATGCATGGAGGTGGCTGTAGTGGTTTGAGATCTTGTCTGGGTTTTTGTAGATCACGAAACTGGCTGATAGCAGAGGCTAAGAGCCTGGAGGTAGACTCCAGGTTAAGGATGGAAGAGAGCCACCTGCACACAGGGTCTTCCTGATGATTGTGTTTTTATTTCACTTGCCAAAATTAAGGAATTTATGTTAATGCATTGTTTCTTTGTGAGGGCTTGCTCTTCACGCCCCACTAAGCAAATTTTCTATATGACTTATCTAGAAAGCTTCTTTCCAAGTACGAGATGTTAAAAATATTTTGATTTTTGATAGTACATCTTCGTGTTGTCTTAGTCTGCTTGAGCTGCCGTAACAAAGCACCATTGACTGGGTGGCTTTAACAATAGAAACTTATTTCCCCTCGCCATGCTGCACGCTTGAAAGTCTGAGATGAGGGTGCCAGCATGGTTGGGTGCTTGTAGGGGTTGCCCTCTCCCTGTGTTCTCACATGGTAGAGACAGGGATAGCAAGTTTTCTGGTATCTCTTCTTATAAGAGCGCTAATCTCATCATGTGCTCATGTAACCCAATCATCTAATCTGACCTCATCCAACCTAATTGTCTCCCAAAGGCCCCATCTCCCAAATACTGTCACATTGGGAGTTAGAGCTTCAACATAGGAATTTTGGGAACACAATTCATCTATAGCACTTTAATGTTGTTATTATAAACACGATACCCTGGAGAATTGGTCATGAAACACCATTATTTTATGTACTAAGGAAGAAAAAAAGTCAATCAATTAGAATGTTTATTACACTTAAGATTTTCTTTAAACTACTAGAGAAGTAAAAATGAGAATATCAGTATTTGAATCCATGCCTAATATTTATATACTCAATGTACAAAATTCGAAAAATACGCTGGGCCCAGTGGTTCATGCCTGTAATCCCAACACTTTGGGAGGCTGAGGCGGGAGGATTGCTTGAGCCTAGGCGTTCAAGACCAGCCTGAGCAACATAGTGAGACCTTGTCTATTAAAAAAAAAAAACAAAAAAAAAACTGGCCAGGTGTTGTGGAACATGCCTATAGTCTCAGCTACTTAGGAGGCTGATGTGGGAGGATTGCTTGAGCCTGGAAAGTCGAGGTTGCAGTGAGCTGTGATCACACCATCACACTCCAGCCCAAGTGACAGAGTAGTAAGACCTTGTCTCCACAAAAAAAAGAAAATAGAAAACACTCATAATACTTACAAGCAAATAACCCAAGATATTCTGTATTTTTTGCTTTATCTTTTTTAAATACAATGTCATTTTTTTGTATAAAAAAAAGCCTAAGATTTTATTGTACCAATGTACCATGGTTTTATTTGGGCCCATTTTGTTTCCATATTTTTTTCATTTAAAAAACCGTCTGGAAAATACATACCTTTGTATGAATTTTATTTTAGAATATGTTTTCAAGCATGGAGTTAATAGGGAAAGGAAATGAACTTTTTATAAGCTGTTAGTGCCTCTTGCCAAATTGTTTTCTAGAAAGCTCATGTTGGTTGCCACCTGTGTAAGCAGTATGTGAATGTGCCTGCTTGCACAATTCCTATTACTAGGGGGTATTTGTGGGTTTTAGTAATCTTTGTCACTTTTATAGGTTAAAACTTGCACTTCATTGTTTTTAATTAGCATTTCTTTGAGATTGGTAGACCTCTTCCAGTATTTATTGCTCTGTTACATTTCTTCTTCAATGATTGTCTTTTTCATGCCCTTGTACTTGTTTTTTTCTGTTGGGATTGTGAGGGGCTTGTTAGTCTTGTTCTTCCCTTTTCCTAATCTGGCTGTTGTGTATAGTAATGCAAATTTTCTATATGACTTATCCAGAAAGCTTCTTGGGGAATTTTTACTGAAGTCGCTGATGGTGAAACTGCCTATGTTCTATAGGTAAAAGTTTCTCTGCGTTGTTAACATTTCATGTTTGTGCTGAGGCTAGAGATCCACTAGTCTGATTGGCTTATATTCAAGAATTTATAAAGAAACCAAAATAAAAGCATAAAAGCAACCCCATTGAGTCATCAAGCCATCCACAGTACTTGATAACATTCTGTCTTTGTGCACAGCCAAAGATGTCAAAGTTCCTCCTCTACCCAGATGTGCTGGAAGCCTGACTCCTGGTAAGTTCCCAACAGTAGATGGGGATAGTTCCAGCAACATTTCCTTAATAAATTGCTATAATCATAAGTGCAAACTTCTATCCATGGCTGCATGCTCTTAGATTATTATGTGTAGAGATTCTTTTTTAAACTATGATAAAGTAATGACATTTTGAAGTTTTAGATCTAGGAGGATCTTAGAAATTGAGTTCAATTTCTTGCTTGAGGAAGACCTGGAAAAAGAGGCATTGAGCAACTACCCAAAGTCGTATAGCTAGTTAAAGCAAAGATGGACTCAGAGTGTAGTGTTTGTACGTTAGTGGTTTATACTATGTCTCCGGCTGTCTTCCTTTATTATCTCACACCGAGTAAACATAAAGGAAAACATATCTCTATGTTATATCTCTATATCTCTATCCCTGAGATAGAAGATAGAAAATTTTCTTTATAATTTCTTCCTTCAGGGACGTTCATTTTGTTTTTTTTTTTCCTTTAGATTTTTTTTTCTTTTCCTAGAAGGATTATTTGTGAGATTCTTACATGGTCTTGATCTAGACTGAATCACTGAGTAGACAGGGTCTTGCTTTGTCACCCAGGCTAAAGTGCAGTGGTGCGATCATAGCTCACTGTAGCCTCTAACTTCTGGATTACGCAGTCCTCCCACCTCAGGCTCCCTAGTTGCTGCGCTACAGGCGTGCAGCTCTACACCTGGCTAACTTTTAAATTTTTTGTAGAGGTGGGGTCTCAGTATTTTAAAGCAAAGTTTTGCTTGGTATCCTTGAGACTGTCCTAATTCCATCCTATTCTAAAATCACTTGTTTTTGTAAAGCCATTCAAACTCCATAAATGTAATAGTGTACACAATTATAAAAACAAAACCTATATGATGGTATTAAAACAGACACTATTCCTATTTCTTCTCTGCTTCTCTTTTCGCTCCCCAAAGGCAATTAATGTTAACAATTTCTTAGATGATCATTCAAGATATTTTCTGTGCTTCTGTGCATATATGTATGTGCATATGGACACACATCAATACATATATCGATCCTTAAGAAACCCCACATGGACTTTATAATACATCTTATTCTGTAAACTACTATGATGATTGCATTTTATACATTTTTTTCATATTGGCACATATCGATATATAGCCTTCTAAAAAGTAGCTCAGTGTTGCATTGGGTAGTTATAATTTATCTCATTCTTCTGTTGATGGACACTTAAGTTATATATATTTTTTTTATTACAAGTCAGTTCTAGAGTGAATCTCCTTGTACATAACTGCCTGTGCTTTCATAAGAATAGTTGTAAGAAATTCTGTTGGGTAACAGGTTTGTTCATTTAAAACTTTTCTAGGTTTTGTCAAATTGTCCCTTTGAAAGGTGGTAAGTTTACAATTCCACCAGTAATATAAGAGAATACTTGTTTTTTCATATCCTTAGGTTATGATCAAACTATTTCATCTTTGCCAGCATGAGAGGCAAAAATTGTGTCTGTTTTTAATTATGCAGTTCTTTAGAATGAACTCAAACACATTTTTATATGTTTATGGGCTATTTGAAACCATACTTCCTGGGTTTGTATCCTGGCTCCACAGTTTATCAGCTATGTGAACTTGGGCAAATTACTTAACCTTTCTGTGCCCTGTGATTCACTTGTGAGGATTAAATGAATTACTATTTATAAAGGGCTCAAGCCCATGCTTGGCATATAGTATATGTTATGTCAGTATTTGTCAAAAATTAAAATTTAAATTTCTTACTCTCTCCTACCTGTTTGTTTACCTATTTTTGTCTTGGGTTCAATAGCTATTTTAATATTTTGGTAAGTGGTTAATCATCTGATAGCTTACTAGCTAAAGTTCTAAGCAAGGCAAATGTGTGTCTTGTTTAATTTTGAATTATAAAGCCTGAAAAGATATATGTAAGTCATCCTTTATTTTTTATAGGATCAAGTGAAGGATTTTGTATCAGTTCTGTAAATTCACTGTTGAAAACTAAGAGGTTACAAAGCAATATTTCATGGAGGTCAGCTCTCTTTATTTCCCTGCTTTGTCTGTGAGTTTTGATTCTACTAATCTGATTAAACCTCTTAGAGCTACATCCTTAGCTCCAAGATTCTGAAGATTAGAGATTCTGGAGGATTTTTTCCCCCTCCATCCATTAAATTGTTACCATGGTTATTGGACTCCTCCAACAGTACCTCTAATCCTTCTGATTTCTGGAAGCAGCATCTTAAGGGTGAATAACTCTGCTGGTTTGGTTTCAAAAAACTTAAGTAACGTAAGAGTCTGTTTGAATATGCCTACAGTTTTCTTTGAATAATTTTTTCTGAACCTGTTTTCTTGCCTACAAAATGAAGTTAGTATTGCTCTGTATCATTAAGTAATTATGAGGGTTAAATATTTTTTTAAAAAACTTCAGGCATGATAGTGTTGAAGATATAGGGTTGTTTTGTTTTTGTATTTTTTTTAAACCTATGGTATACCTGCTTTTGGGAAATGCCCATTAAGCAAGGAACAATAAAATATATTTGTAGAGATATTTAGATTTATATTGGGGGTTTTTGGTACTTAAATGTTTGGGGGAGGGATGAGATAATGCTCAAGATATTAGAAACCAGAAGGTGAATCTCAGTTCAGCAAAAAGTGAATCTTTTGGAGAAAATATGATAGCACTATGAGAAGTTGTTGTTGTTTTTTAAAGAGATGGGGTCTCACTATATTGTCCAGGCTGATCTTGAATTCCCGAACTCAAGCGATCCTCCTGCCTTAGCATCCCTAGTAACTGGGATTACAGGTGTGAGCAACCTCACTTGGCTGAAAAGTGTGTGTGTCTTTTTTTTTTTTTTTTTTTTTGAGTGTTTGCTGTGTTTCAGACAGTGTGCTGCATGTTTATAAACAGTTACATCATCAATAGCTTATTAATAGAGGTCAAAGTACTAGCTTAAGACTACATAGTTACTGAGTGTCAGAGCCATGGTTTGAACCTAGTTTGTCTCCAAAGCCTATGTTTTGGGCAGTATAGCAGCCAGGCTGCTTGGGTTCACCTGCATCTATACAATGGGGATAATAACAGTATCTATGTCCTCTCCATTGTGAAGATTAAATAAATTACAGTGCTTTGTTGACAAGGGCTGTCCCAAATCAATAGAAAGGGAAAGGGTGGGCGGAGTTAGTGGAAGGTTGAGGGAACCCATCACGGACTCAGACAGTGCCACTTAGGGTAAAGCCAGTGCCCGCAATAACAGTTTATCATGCTCATTAATTTGGGATTTCAAAACACAAATGAGAACTCACACCTACCCACCCCCAAGTGCATGTCTTCATCATGTAAAAAGTAAGTTTCCTTTGAAAATATCCTTTTGCCCCTATTTTTGTTTGTTTAGACAAATATCTAATTTATAAGAAGTGCATGGGAGGGGTTTTAGAAGTTTAACGAATTTTTAAATGAGAAAGGGTAGTTTGGTAGTCTACTTGAAAATGTTTCTGGGAAATTCCCTAAAAACATAGGATTTTGGTGACCTTAGCTTCTGTGTTCCTACTGCCACCCAGAAAAGGGGCAGGGCTCTGCAACCCCCGGGACAAATGGGCACCCCATGCCTATACCTCCCTCCCCGAGCTAAGTCCCAGGGCATCTGGGCCTTGCCTGGAGACTGGGCTAGCTCTGTAGGCTCGGAGAGCCTGGGGAGGGTGTTACCCCACCTCTTGTATTTTGGGAGACAGGGAAAGTGAACAGACTTCCCCTTCCCATACCCCTCAGGGTGGTTTCCCTACCAGTCAGGCTTACTGCTTCTAGAAGAGAGCAGAGAGTGTCAGGGAGTGAGACTGCATTTCTGGGCTTAGAAGTAAAGGATGTGAGACTTGTTCAGTATTTGCCATCAGCACAGGGAAAACCAGGAGAAAGCCTGGCTCCAGGACCTGGAGGCTTCTGCCCCGTACGATCAGAAGGTGGATAGATCTTCCCACTCTAGCATGGCTAGAACTCTTAAGAGTCTGTGGTGCTCCATCTCTATTGATGACCCCAGCTCAGTAACTATACCTGGTATATTTCCTATGTAAAATCTGTACCTTGAAGGCAGAGCATTCTGAATAAAGTTGGAAAAAGAATAGCTTTGCAAAGATTGATGATAGACTGGTTCCCCAAAGGCCTAGGCTACGCATCACCCCTTTTTCCAGAGCGAGGGCCTGGAATGAAGACAGTTCCTCCTCTGCCCCTGGAGCCTGAGATTTGCTTTGGCTCCTTGAGGTGGAAGAGGCTAAGAGTGCAGCTGCCCAGAGCAGCTCTGTGTACAGCCCGGCTCCTCTTGGGTTTCTGATGCCTTCCGTGGCACTGTGCCCTATCCCTCAGCCAGCCAGACGGCCTCCCAACTCCTGACCAGCAGGTAGGTTTTGGAGTGGTTGGTTGGTATGGTATTGTGATTAGAGCAGCTTATGGTGCCAAGGTGGCAAGCTAATTTTCACAGGCTCACTCCACCTCGGGCTCCCTGTGGGAATGGTAGGCCAGGCCCAGCAAGCCATGTCCCACCACATCCTCCTCTCAGGAGGAAGGGCCAGCTGTCGAGCCAGCAGCTAGTCCATAGCATGGCCTTATAACTGTATAAAGCCAGGCATTGCCCGTGAGCAGAGCTGGAACCAGAGCTTCAGTCAGTAAGAGGGAGGATTATCTTCAGGAGAAGACAAGGAAGAAAATTGGCTATCTTTATAGTTGCACTGTCATAACCAAGTGTCCACATTCAAAATGTATAGTGTCCATCCCTCATGTAATGGTGGTTTCTGGCCCAAAGTGAGACTGTCCTTTCAATTAGAGAAGGGTACAGAGATAGTCTAGGTGGGAAGGCCAGAAGTGCTGGCTGCTTAGCCACTGGGACCACCTGTTCTTGCCCCACTGCCATCTAGTAGGGCCAAAGTAAAGGCTGGCTGTGGGTGTCTGTGGATTGAGAATGTGGCAGGGACTGGTGCTCCTACCTCCCTCTGGCCGAAGATGGGGTCTACCCTCTGTGTGCATGTCACCACCAGCAGTCATAGCTTCCCAAATGGAGATGTGGCAGGAAAAAGTTTAAAAAAGAAAACGGGCAACTGTATTGTGTTGGGGAGAAATTGATGGGAGATGAGAAAACAGTTTGGATTTTGTGTATGGGAGTATAGTTGTCTGTAACTTTGCTTATATGCTTTTTTTTCCTTTTGTATTTTAAAGTAAGTGAAAGGCTTTGGCTTGGAAAACCCTAGAGAGATTGGAGGGGCGGGGCAGAAACCTGAGGCTGCTGCCCCTTTATCTGCCTTCACGGTACTGTCCCCTTCCCCCAGCTCCTCCCTGGCCCCATGGGCCAGGCCTCAGACCTTCCAGCTAACCGCTTCCCAAGAGCCACTTCTCTGATGTTAGCCTATAACCAAAGGAGCTGGGGGATCCAGGTCCAGTGACCAGCCCTTCTCAGCCCACTCGATCAGGGTGCTCCCCACCTGCAGGCAGGAGGCAACACCCTATATGCTACCATCAGACCCTTCCAGAGCCCACCTGCTGCCCAGCCCTGCCCTGCCCAGCCAAGCCATACCCTGCTCTGCCCCATCTGGGGGTGCCCTGCTCAGAGATGGGCCAGCAGGGCTATACTCAGCCTCCCTAGTAAACAGAGACTAAAGAAACCTCTGGGGTCCTGTTTTCTGGTCGTGTGATCCCAGGGGTGCACACAGGCCCCTTGGGTGTCTGAACAGAAGGGCATGGGAGAGAGGGCCACACCCCTGCAGTCTTGCTCTGCTGGTGTAGCGGGCAGCTGCCCACTGCCACCCAACCCTGTACCGAGGGCTCCTGAGTCAGCAGATTAAGTATTTTGTAAATTGTATTTAAAATACATGTTTTAAACTTGTTAAAAAAAAAAAAAAGACGGTGCTTAGAACAGTGCCTGAACCACAGTAAGCATCTTACAAATGTTTGCTTTTATTATAATTTAGGTAATTTCTATACCATTTTGGCTTGCTTTTCTGCTCCTTTACACTCTCCTTTTGACCTTGGTAAGTGGTGGCATCTAGGATATTTTTGTTTCCTAGCTCACTTGTCTGTGTGGCAAACATGACCCTCGCCTTTCCATCTGGAGCAGATGGGGGAAAAAGCCATGGTAATAGGCATGTCCTTAGCAGAGTGCTGTAGGGACCGTTGCTGTAAACAGGCTTGGGGTATATGTGTTCACTAGGAGACAGAAGGGGGCAGGGATATGAGGCCTGAATGCAGGGACCTAAAACCAGAAACCTGTGTGTCTTCAAAGATGCATGCACATTCAAAGAGTCAGTGTTCACCTTTGGCTTTACAAGAATGGGCTCTACTGTAATTGTGTAGTGCAGTGATTCCTAAACCTGGCTGGTTCACCTAGGCCCTTGTGACTCAAATTCCCTTAAGACCTACCGAATTTAGTGTTGGGGTCCAAGCATCTATTTTTATTTATATTTTTATTCTTTATTTATTTAAGACAGAGTCTTGCTTTGTCTCCCAGGCTGGAGTACATTGGCACAATCTCAGCTCACTGCAACCTCCACCACCTGGGTTCAAGTGATTCTCCTGCTTCATCTTCCTGAGTAGCTGGGACTACAGGCACCCACCATATGTCCAGCTAATTTTTGTATTTTTAGTAGGGATGGGGTTTCACCATGTTGGTTCAAGACCGCCAGGCTGGTCTTGAACTCCTGGCCTCAAGTGATCTGCCGGCCTTGGCCTCCCAAAGTGCTGGGATTACAGGCATGAGCCACCATACCTGGCCTATTTTTTTTTTTTTAAATAACAATTTTTGAATGGTTAGCCATGTTTGGGAGTCACTGGTATGCTGTTTGTTCCTGTGTCTCCACAGGGCCTGCCCCCACCAGCCATGTTGTATGTGACTTTAAAAACTCTTAGAAGATCCCTCATTATCTAGTAAACTCTGTTTTTGGCAGTTACTGTAAAGATAAACTTGGAATACAAATATACAAGCAGATGAGTGAAAGGGTTCCATTAGAGAAATAACAAAGGAAGAGTATTTGATCAAAGTAATTTGTCAGTGTATTTTGTTTGGTTCTTATACTTATGTTGATTTCCTTGTCAACATTTGCTTATTTTCATACTGATACTTGCAAGTTAGATACACAAAAAGTAATAGCTATTGAACGTAATTTTGATGCTTAATTTACATGCCAATTTATAGAATTGTTAGAGGGCTCTTTTCCCAGAGTAACACTCAAAAAATGAATGAAGTAAGTAATTCACATTCCATTTTATATTTGAGAATTCATGATTAGAATGGAATGTTAATATGGTTAGCTGTAGTCAGACAATATTGACATTGTTGCTAAGATATTTTACGAGACATGTCATTGAGACTGCTGTTTGGAAAACTGAGCAGTGAATTTTTTTTTTTTTGGTGCTGATGGTGGAATAGGGATAAAGTAAACAAAATATACAAGATGCATACAAATAAGATATAGAAAAATGCAGTCATCAGCTGGGCATGGTGGCTTACGCCTGTAATCCAAATGCTTTGGGAGGCCGAGGCGGGCGGATCATGAGGTCAGGAGTTCGAGACCATCCTGGCCAACATGGCGAAACCCCCTCTCCACTAAAAATACAAAAATTAGCCGGGGGTGGTGGTGAATGCCTGTAATCCCAGCTACTCAGAAGGCTGAGGCAGGGGAATGGCTTGAACCTGGGAGGTGGAGGGTGCAGTGAGCCGAGATCGTGCCACTGCACTCCAGCCTGGGTGACAGAGCAAGACTCCATCTCAAAAAAAAAAAAAAATTCGGTCATTTCATTTTCTTCGTCACTCCTAGCTCCCCCCCCAATACAGGCCTGGGAAAGACCTTGTTATATAGCCACATGTACACGGCAGATTTAGTCTGCTTTTTTCTAGAATGTGAGCTAAGTTGGTAGTATTTTTGAACATGTTTTTGTGGGGAAGAAACTTTAAATACTGCCTAGAAACATTGAGGCATTTTTTCCCCCAAAATGATCCCGTTTTCCTTGTAAGGAGTTGAAGTAAGATAAATGGTAGCAGCTCCCTTTTATTCTCTCCCTTCTCTTGTAAGGAGGCCTTTTGGCAGACAGCTTTGCTGACGGGACTGCCAGAGTTTGGATTTGAGTAGTTAGTGAGGGGGTGGTGTACTGCTTAGAGTATTGTTCTAAAAGTCTTTTTCCCTTCCACTTATTTTTCCACCCCCAAAATGTCAGCATGTCCAACATGACAGAATGTTCCTGACAATTATCACTCAGGGAAACATGACTTGCTAAATTATCTGGGGCTAAGTCAGACTTTCTTTAGCACCAAGCAATGCTCCATGCTCAGTATACACCTTGGTTAGGGAATATGCTATCTGGGACAGTCCAGTGTGGTACTGTGGTTAAGAGTTCTGACTCCGGAGTCAAACTGGCTGGGTTCAATTCCGGATCTGCCACTTTCAGGGTAGGGGATCCTAGGCAACTTAGCCCTCCTCCAAGCCTTGATTTCCTCATCTGCAGCAAGGGGGCAATGACAGTGTCATTTTAAATGGAATGGGGTGAATAATTAGTGTATTCAAGTTAATGTATTGCTGTGGTTTGTTCTCACCAAAACCTCATGAATGGCTTGGTGCTGTTCTCCTGCAACAAGTCAGAGTTCTTGCTCTGGGAAGACTGGGTGAGTCCTCATGGGAATGGATTAGTTCCAGAGAGAGTGGGTTGTAACAAAGCCAGGATACTTCTCAGCTTTTCCCCTTTGCTTGTGTCCACTTCCCGTTTGACTGTCTCTGCCGTGTTGTGATGCATGGGGAAGCCATGGCCTTGCCCTTGAACTTCTCAGCCTGCAGAACGATGAGCTAAAGAACTCTCTTTTCTTTATTAATTGCCTAGTCTCAGGTATTCTTTTATAGCAACTCAAAATGGACTTGATATATAGATGTAAAGTGCTTAGCAAGATGTCTGGCACACAAAGGAAGGGCTTAAGAACTGCCAGCTTGATCATCATTATTAGGGCCGATATACACAATGGGCATTGTGTTAGTCCATTTTGCATTGCTATAAAGGAATACCTGAGGCTGGGTAATTTATAAAGAAAGGGGGGTTATTTTGTCTCACAGTTCTGCAGGCTGTAGTGCCAGCATCTGCTTTGGTGAGGCCTCAGGAAGCCTTTATTCCTGGTAGAAAGCCAAGGGGAGCAGGCATGTCACATGGCAAGGGAGGAGGTGCCAGGCTCTTTTTAATAATCAGATCTCTAGTGAACTAATAGAGTGAGAACTCACTCATTACTGCTGGGAGGGCACCGAGCCATTCATGAAGGATCCACCCCCGTGACCCAACACCTCTCACTAGGCCCCACCTAGTGCGGATTACATTTCCACATGAAATTTCAAAGGGGCAGATGTTCAAACTCTATCAGGCATACACACATAGGTGAAACAGTACTCAATGTAAATCCTGTCATGTTACTCAGGAATGAAACAGTATGTGAAGTTCGAGGATAAGTGGCCTCTGGCAGTAATCTCAGGGCTTGGTGAGTAATTGGGATGGAGAATGGCTTTAGCAGTGGGGTATCCTGTGGTTAGTTGTTGTCCCTGGGTTGGCCTCATTGCACAGCTCCGGGGGCACTATTAACATAGACGTGACAGGTGCAGCATGGTGGTCCACTACTGTTGTCATTTCTCATGTCACCTTCAAGAAAGTGCTGTGAAAAAAATGTGGAGTTCTCTGTTATTATAAATTAAGAGGGTGTATTTGGATTTTTTTTTTTTGAGAAAGTTTAATGTTAAAGCATTAACTGGTTGAGATTGCAGATAGCTGGGGCAGTGAGGCTCCTTTTAAGTGCTTTGAAGCACCTAGGGTGAGGCACTAGATCTTGGACCCTGCAGTGTCTGTAGGGTGAAGCTGATCCAGAACTTCATTGTGAGAACAATCAATAGGAAAGACCATCTGACATTAGAGAGATCTGGGATATGGTCAGTTGGAGCTACATGGACAAGGGCAAGTGTGTGGCAGGCAGACTGAGCAACAACAGTGGGCATAGCTCGAGGTGCCTGAATAGGGGAAAAGTGAGACCTTCCTGGAAGAGGACTCATGACAGCAGGAGCCTCAAGAACTTGGCAGGTGTCCAATGTGGCAGCTTGCAGGGGAACCTCTGGAAATAAAGGGAGATGGATACAAATTTGAGTTTCAAATAAATGTTCACTGGAAAATAAAGTATATTTTATTTTATAAAACATGTCAGAATATATGTCAAACTGAAAATGTAAAAGGAAGGGGAAAAAACCGTTCATACTTCCACTCCCTTCAAAATAACCACCATCATCTTACTGACTGCCTTCGAACTTTTGGGTCATGTATCTTACTTATTTTTCCATTATAAAAGATTGTGTATACTAGCTTAAATGTTTTTTCTACATGTTTTTGAAAATGTTCATATGGTAAACTGATTTTTTTTTTTTAATTTGAGTTCCTTGGCAATGAAAACAGTCATTGTGGTGTTCCGTGCTACTCTGCTTGTTTAGAGGGGTGGGTGGGGGTAAAGAGAGCTTTCCTTGCCCAGCATCCCAATCGTGAAAAATGTAAGCTATTGTTAGCGAGTTCTGGCAGGCAGCATCAGTTATTGCTTTAAGGGTCTCCAGATAAAGTAAGAGATTCTTTCTGCACTGTGGGGTGAAGGATGTGGTTCAAAAAGCCCGTTCCTGAAAGAGAAGGCTGTGGAAGAGGGGCAGTTGAGTGAAGTGCTGGAAGGCCAGGATTGGTTTATACAGTTTCTTATATTTTTTAAAAACCATAATGTCCCCACTGTTGAGTAGTGGATTCTGTTTTTTCTCTGAAGGAACTTGTTTCTTTCAGAAGGATAAATGGGTTGTACATTTTCTGAGCTTTTGAGTATCTGAGAATGTTTTCTGGTTGATATCATGTATAATAGCCTGGTGCAGTTTTAGAAGATTTGGCCGTGCTTTTTTTCTCCCTCAAGTTTTGTAGATGTTGCTTTTTTTGTTTTTCCGTTTTTTTTTTTTTTTGTCGTTGTTTGTTGTTTGTTTGTTTTGTTTTTGTTTTTTTTTTGACACAGGGTCTCCTTTTGTTGCCCAGGCTGCTGTACAGTGGCACAATCACAGTTCACTTCAGCCTCAACCTCCTGGGCTCAAGTGGTCCTCCTACCTTTGCCTCCCACAGGGTTGGGATTACAGGTGTGAGCCACCACACCTGGCCAATGTTGCTTTTTTGATTTCAGGCTTTCGGTGTTGGACGGGAGGGGACAAGGGTTGTGGGTGAAATTGTGTTCACCAAAAAGGTACATTGAAGTCTCAACCCTTGATACCTGTTAAAGTGATCCTGTTTGGAAATTTGCTCGTTGCAGATGTCAGGAAGTTCAGATGAAGTCACGCTAGGTTAGGGTGGGTCCTAATCTAGTATGACTGTTGTCCTTAGGAGACACAGACACAGAGGGAGAATGTGATGTGATGACGTAGGCAGAGATTTGAGGCATGAATCTATAATCCAAGGAATATCAAGGATTGCTGACCACACCAGAAAGGAAGAGAAAGGCATGAACTAGATTCTCCCCGAGAGCCTTCAGAGAGATCATGGCCTTGCCTGATACCTTGATGTTGGACTTGGAGCCTCCAGAAATGTGAGAAAGTAAACTTCTGTTGTTTAGGCCACCCTATTTATGGAACTTTGTTACAGCAGCCCCAGGAAACTAACACAAGGGTTCTGAGTGCAGTCGGGCTCTGGTGCCTTTCAGAGGCTCCGAGGTTTTGTTTGTATCCTAGTAAAACACCTTTTTAATGCTTACCTGGAAACCTGTGATAATTTTTCTTAGGTTTTTAGAAAAATTACTTTATCTTGTCCTTATTTCTTCTCAGAAAGGTTTTTGTTTCCCATATCTATAATATTTTCTCACATTGTTAAAATTTTAGCTCCTTCCCTCTGCTTCTTGGGGAAACCTTCCCGAGCTTATTCTCTTTATCATGGACTAAGTTTTCTATAGTATCAGTTTTCCTTGACTACCTGAAATGTGGATCATGCTTTTTAAATTTCCTGCTTTTCTTTCCTTATCTTTAATAGTCTATAGTATAGATATATAGTATAGAATGCCTTAGTCTGTAGTATAGCTCAAGCTTGTCCAACCCACGGCCTGTGGGTCACATGAGGCCCAGGACGGCTTTGAATGCGGCCCAACAAAAATTTGTAAACTTTCTTAAAACATTATGAGACTTTTTTTGTGACTTTTTTAAAAAACTCATCGGCTATCATTAGTGTATTTTACGTGTGGCCCAAGACAATTCTTCTTCCAATGTGGCCCAAGGAAGCCAAAAGATTAGACACCCCCGGTATGGATTGTCATCAGGAAAGAAACACTCTATGAAGGGTCTGGAGGCCAGGCCATCTTATATTCTATTGATGGTACCAAGCGGTTCACAGAATTTTGTTCTCAGTCGTCTTTGAGTGTTCAAGCAGATGTTCTCTTTCCTTTCACTAATAAGCTATGTTTTCTCAGTCCTGTCATTGATTATTTTGGGTGGTGGTTGGGGGAGGCTTATCAAAAGAGAAAAGATGCAATCAGCCAGGTTTTACTGATCTGGAGCTGTTGTTCCTGCTGGTGGGCACAGGGTGGAGATACAGAGGCCGACTCCAGGGTCAGGGGTTTGCTATCCTCCCCCTTCCACAGTGGGCTGGGCTCTGATGTTTTATAGACTGGAGTGTGGTTAGGCCACCAATTGTTTATTGCAACAACAAAGGATCCCCTTTTGTCATCTTTAAAATTACTGGAAATTCTTTCCTTTTCTGGCAGTCTCTTCCTTTTAGTATGGTTTTTTTGCACTTGTGAGTTTTCTTACTTTGTAGTTAGATATTTTACTAGGGTATTGGGAGAGGCCTTGCCAGGACTGCTAGCCAGATGCAGTTTTAAAAAGAAACAGGAATTCATGCATTTATCGCCTGCACCCCACCTCCACCCCTCCCTGCTCCTTGAGCGGCTGTTCCCCCTCTTCTCTTTACTTCTCAATTCCTTGGTCCTGTCCTGCCTCATTTCCTTCCTTTTTAGCATCTGTTTTCTTCCCTGTCCTCCCATTACACTCCAACCCTCATGTCTCTCTTTCCCTCTTTCCTCCCTGGCAGACTGGATGTTTTCCTAGTGCTTTGGATTATCCATGTCCCATGTGAGCAGGCATCTGCAAGTGTGCCCACACCCAACCACCAACAGCAGAGATGACCAGGACCTGGAAGAGAAACAGAAGGGTGGGAAGAGAAGAAATGCCAGCTGACCCAGAGCCCATCAATGACAGGACTGTGGCAGGCTCAGCACTGCTGGCATCCAACCTTCAGAGCAGGGCACTGGCACTCTTCTTCCTGTTATGCCCGTGTCCACTGTAGTCAGCTGCAAACAAGCTTGCCTCCGAGCAGTGCCTACACACATGTCACTTCGAGCACATGCTTTGTGGAATAGAGCTTCATTTCACCCACTTGCCAAGTTAGGCCTTAGTAGGTGGCCCATTTATCCTAAAGATCTTAAAATTGACACATGGCTCAATCCTTGGGAATGTACATTTAAATATTTACAGGAAATGTGCACATAGGAAAAAATATAAACCATCTAAACGTGTGTATCTTAACACCCATGCTTCAGTTGATCAGTTCCCATTCCCAGAGGCAGCCACTGCTACTGGTTCGATGTGTATCCTTCTCGAGACCCTCCATGCATGTACAAGTGTCCATGTTTGTATAGATGTAAACATAATGTGTGTGCCTACATACATATGTAGATACACATATATATACACATATACCCTCAAGGAATGTACATTTGGAATGGAAACTTTTATTTTAATCATCTGCATTACTTAGTACAGTAGGCCTTGTAGTTCCTTTTCTCCCGACCTCTTTGTCTTGGGAAGTGGCATAAGCATTCCAGATCTTTTTGACCACCTTCTTGCTTCTGTGGCTCTCGGTCCTGGCTGCACAGTAAAATCACTTGGTGAGCTTTAAGGACCATCACCTGTGCCATTTTCCCAACCAGTTAAAACAGCCTCGCTCGGCAGGGATCGGGGGTCCCTCTGTGTGGAGGGTGTTGGAAACTGAATCAGGTGTAGCATCAGTAGGCCTGGCAGAGCCACGGAATTCAAGCTGCAGTGTGTTCCACAGGACTGGTAGACCTGGACAAGTCTGTGCTGGCAAGGAAATGTAGAATCCCAAATTCCATGCAGATTGACGGTGAATCCTGCCAGGTTGCCTTCCACCACAGCTAGCTCGTGACTTCACCCTTCATTGGGCCAGGCAGAATGACCGGAGCCAGCGCCACTGTGCTGCAGAAGCAGCAGGCCCAAATGCTGCAAGAGTTAATAAATGTCCAGTACCCACGGAGAGGAGAGGAAACTAGGGTGCTTGATGACTAAACACCTATCCTGGATCCACTTCGCTTGTATGGTGACAGCATGAGGTGTGACTGAGAGAAGATTAATGATCACTGGGCCTGGGTACCTCCCAAAAGGAGTGCTGCAGGAGTGCTGTGGAGCTAATTAACCAGCCGGCATGAAAAGTGAAAATAGACGAGGGAACAGGGTGTTTTTTTGTTTTTTTTTTCTTCCCCTCTGTGGTGGCCCAGTACTGTGCGTAGACCTACATATACTATTTTTGGTTTTCCTTCTTAAGTATGCAAAATGACATAATGTTGAAAGCCTTTCTCAGTAGCCTTCTCCAAGGGGAGCAATACTGAGACAGTGGACTCTGGATCCCGCTGCCTGGGTTCAGACTCAGCTCTGATATATGCCAGAGTGGCCTTGGGCAAGATACTTGATCCTTTCTGTGCCTCAGTTTCTTCATCTGAAAAGGGGGCTAATAGCAATGCCTAATTTGTGGCGTGGCTGTGAAGATTAAGTTTAAATAATATATGTATAATGCACCCAGAACCCTGTCCTGGCACCTAATACATCTAAAAAATAAAAAGAGCATTTATTTTAAATTGCACCCCTCTGGGAGTTTGGGGGTGGGAGTTTTTCTGAGGTCATTTATTTTTAAAGCACAGAAACTCTTGCATGCTGATATGTCTTAAAAGGAAAACTTTGACAATTAGAGAGGAAATGCCAGTCTGTTTACTCATCTGTTTCAGGATAAGGCACATTTGTACGTTTGGTTCTATAACCATTGAGTATTAAGAATAAAACCATGCGGACAGTATTTACTGATCTCTGTTTAGATCCCACTGGGTGGATTTTTGAAGACAAGGATATGCTGTCCTGTTGGCTAGGTTTCTTGTACCCTAGGGGTTAGCTGCTTTCTTGCCTCTTAGTGGTATTGTTTGAGAATTAATCATGATTGTCTGAATAAAGTTTTTGAAAATTGTTTTCTTGGATGCATTTATTTTCAAAATGTTCTGCCTGAATGTTAGGAGATTCTATAAGACATAAAATGGCTTCAAGTGCTTTTAGTTGTAGTCTTCTGAAGGGTCCAAAAATGATACTGGATCTTGTGGAAGAAATCTTTCAGTTTTCTGTAAATATAGGGGGGGGTGTGTGTGTGTATGTATGTAGAGTTATGTGGTTATACAACCTTTAAGAAACATTAGTGCACTGTAAGGCGGGGACTGCACAAAAGGTGCCCTAACACATTTAATGCCCTAGTTAAATGCATTGCACAAGTTCCGTTTTCTGGAGCTGGATAAACAGAACATCTTTCTTTTTCTATTCTAAGCTTCTATCGCCCCACCCCACCTCAGCCACTTCAGTGGCACAATAAATGGAAATCTTATTTCCTGCCTCTGCAGACCTATTTACCTGAGTGTCTAAGTGCACCCTTGCCTTTCTCAGGCCTTCCCTTCCTGAAATATGCTTTTACTTTCATCTCCTTGCCTTCGTTGCCCTCATTTTTTAAAGCTGTCTCTAATGCTGCACTCTATGTACTTTAATCTGTGATGTTGGATGTTGCCATTCTGCATAGCTGCCTTTAAACATTCATCTCCCAGATTGACATTTTCTTCCATTATGAATTGAAATCCCTTTTCACAGCCTGTAATGGTAAAAACATTTTAAAATAAAGAACTGTTATCAAAAGCCATTTCTGCCAATTTAAAACGCCTTATTGGATGGCTTTATTCCCTTTGATAATTTTGTTATCTTTGCAAACTATGACTTTGACTTACTTGTATGCGTATATATTTTTATTTATTACGAACAGAGAGGTTCTTATAGATGTCTGTGTGTCCCCTTGCCCTTTCTGGACTTTTATTTTTGGACTTAAGGGAATTGATGATTTTAAAAGAAGCAAAGGAGTGTGTGTGTATGAGTGACAGAGGCTATATGTAACCTGCAAAGTCTGAAATATTTACTGTCATACCCTTTGTAGCAAAGTGTGCTGACGCCTTATGTATTTAAAATACTCACTAAAAATGTGTCGTTTTGGGGATCTCTATCTTTTTCCCCAAATTAAAGCTCTTAAACGTGTGAAGTGGTGAGAATGTTAGAGCCTGAGCTGACCGGTTGTGGGGAGGTTCTAGCTGTGATCCCTGTTCCTCAGGGTTACCTTCCAGGCCCCAGTCTCCCATCTGAGACAGTGTGATTGCATTTGATGCTGTGCGATGGAAAGCATTTTGGGGTAGGTGGGACTGTCTGTGGTGTGTAAATGTTCCAATGGAAACACCTGCCAGTGAAGCTGGAGGAGGTAAATTACTAGTCATTGATAACATAGTTTTCATACCCTGGAGAGGTTGCATCGTCCTACCTGGCATTTCTGCCTGCAGTAACAGGAAGGGTGATTGAAATGTGCTTCCCATCACTTAATCAAGGTGGGGAATAAAATAGGTCATAGTTAAAAGAAAACAGTATCTATTCAAGGGTTAAGAAATATGCCAGCTGTGCTGGTTGTTGCAGTGAAACATCTTTAATTCCTCTTAAATGTCTTTAAGCTTCTGCTGAGGAATGTTACATCTACTGGAGAATCTCTGGTGTCTTGTTGCCCAGAACCAATATTGTATTGTTCACGTGGATGCCCCTAAGAGATTTTCACTTTCTGCCCGTGGCATCATCGTGATGCTTTCTTTGTTTGACCGTATTCCCCTTGCCCTTGTGCAGTTAAAGCTCCTGGCTCCAGAGTGCTAGATCCACCCAGCTTTGTGCTTCCTGTTCATACATAAAACTTCTCTCCCTACTTTGTGCCTTTCTAATGAAAGGATACTGGAAGTTAGAGATCTTTTATTGCCTCTGAAAAACAAACCAAACAGAACAACATGTTTGAGAGTGATTATAGTGAGATGGTAAAGTAAACTTGAAATGGAAACCCCCCTCCCCCTCCCTCTTCTCTTAAGCCTCGTTTTATTGCAGCCTGCATAAAATCATAGTGCTGGAGCCCAGCTGCTCCAAAGGCTGAAGGTCCTCATGCTTACAGCATGCTTTGGAAACTCATCTGCACCACATTTGCAATTAATGAAAATATTTGCTTTGCTTGTTATAAACAAAGTTTATGGGCAGAATTTATAATTAGGAAACTTTTTAATTCTTTTTCCCTTCAATGCCTAATTTCTCTTGTGTCATGTTGGAGAATTATAAGTATTTAAGAAAATAAACCTTTTCTCAATGCTGTTTATTTCTGGTGGTGGTACATGTATTTCTCCCTTCTTTTGTGTCCTCATGCAAATTAAAGGACTTGAAATCTGGGTTTTTATTTGTTTTTGTATAGGTCAGTAATACTCATGTGTGAGTAGGGGAGACAGTGCCTTTGTGGCCTGTCAGGCCATCCCACAGCCATTTGACTAGCTGGGTCTGTGATTTAGCCTATGTGAGAACAGCCACAGGGCAATGTAGCTCTCTTCAAACCACATGGAAAACCAGTGTCACCTCTTCAAGGTCCCCCACACGTCTTTTGTATGTAATGTTCTGGGGCTGTGGCCTCAGTGCTTTCCAAGTTCTGATCTGTCTCTTGGTGATTCTTGCCTGTACACCCATGAATTAGGTGACGTGATGTGGTTCTTGTAGGCACAGCACCTGCTTGCATTCTCAGTGTGAGAGTGAGGTGGTGATGAGAAAACAACCATCCCTCAGCTTTTACAAGTTTGTCGGGTCAGAGGGCATCCGGCTCCACTGCGCGCTGGCATCATGGTGCAGCCTAGCTCTGCCTTAAGATCTGTTTCCTCGCCAGACAGTTGAAGGGAAAGCAGCTGGGAAAACTCGTGACCTGGCCGAAAGCCTCGAGGTGGTTTCTCAAAGATTCCAGACTCATGCACAGTGCTATAAGACTGGCCCCTGTGGTTCTGGGGATTGGTGACAATGGTATCTTACAGTGCTAGCTAGCAAAAGAGGGTGGATGAAGCTTGTGTGTGTGTGGGGGGGGGGTGGGGGCCAGCCTGGGGGCCACTGCTGTCCACACAGCCTCTAGGAGGAAAGGCCTCTAACTCCTGTCTGCTTCTCTCCCTTGAGGACAGAACTTTGTCCTGGGCATTTGCATGAATGTCCTTATTTTTGTAACGCCAGTGAGAGGTGTTTTTTTATTGTTTGTTTTTTGTTTTTTTTTTGAGATGGAGTCTCGCACTGTTGCCCGAGCTAGAGTGCAGTGGTGTGATCTCGGCTCACTGCAACCTCTGCTTCCTGGGTTCAAGTGATACTCCTGCCTCAGCCTCCCAAGTAGCTGGGATTACCGGTGCCCACCACCATGCCCAGCTATTTTTTTTGTATTTTTAGTAGAGACAGGGTTTCACCGTGTTGGCCAGGCTGGTCTCGAACTCCTGACCTCGTGATTCGCTTGCTTCGGCCTCCCAAAATGTTGGGATTATGGGCATGAGCCACTGCACCCAGCCCTAGTGAGTTTTCTGATCTGTCTTGTTTCTTCAAATGCCAGTCATTTGGGCAGTGAGTGATAAATCTTTAGTTTCCCAGGTTTATAAAAACCGTCCATGCATAGGTAACCCAGGAGAGACTAAAATTATCTGACTTTGCTGACATGCCCATTGTGGGGCTTTTCTGTTCACTGCTCTGCTGTGAGTTCCCTTTAAAAGTAAGGCATGTGCTGGCCAGGCGCTGTGGCTCATGCCTGTAATCCCAGCACTTTGGGGGCCAAGGCAGGTAGATCACGAGGTCAGAAGTTCAAGACCAGCCTGACCAACATGGTGAAACCCTGTCTCTACTAAAAATACAAAGATTAGCCGGGTGTGGTGGCGGGCGCCTGTAATCCCAGCTACTCAGGAGGCTGAAGCAGGAGAATCGCTTGAACCCAGGAGGTGGACGTTGCAGTGAGTCGAGATCGTGCCACTGCACTCCAGCCTGGGCAACACAGCAAGACTGTCTCAAAAAAAAAAAAAAAAAAAAAAAGTAAGGCATGTACCTGTCCTATATGTCTCATATAAGGCATATGTCCTATATGGAGGGGGTGACTCTACTTCCTCTTGACTCCTAACACAAAAAACAAGCACAGTGATACCACTTGAAACTTGATGGTCTGGTTTGTATCCCCTTTGAGCCTTGTACACAAAAATCTGCAGAATTTAGTTCCTGCCTAGCTAGGCAGCTTTCATTGTTTCTTTTTTTAAAATCTGGTCTTTGATTGTGTGTGTGTATGTGTGGTTTTTTTGGTTTGTTTTTGGAGCCAGGAAGGCGTGGCAAGGACTGGTTGGATAGCTTTTGTCATAGAGACTGGTGTGCTTGTGGGAAAGTTTATACATCTTTCAAATTCTGCTCTCTGTGACTTAGAGTTTGAAGATGCTTTTTAAGAAGCAGGTAATGATTTACATTCTTTCCCTGCACATCCTCAGTTCCATCTTAGTACATACTAACGAGCGGGGAAGGTGATTGGTGGGAAGAAGCAGTCAGAGGAAAATGTGTTATCTGAATACATGAGGACTGGCTGTATTTTTTTTTTTTTTTTTTGGGAGACTAGTTCCAGCCAAGATACTCTTTCTTGTATATATTTTTTAACATTGTGATTACATCCTTTCTGCTTCTTAAGGTTCTGTCTACCCTAGAATGTTGTTAGAAATGCTTGTTCCCTGGTGCCACAAAGAAATAGCACTCAAACATAAATTTAATTATCTCAGCAAGGCAGTTTTTACTTTCTGCAGAAAGGGTGCTCATCACAGATGGAACAATGGCGAGAGCACACCTGGACAGGGGAGGGGCAGGAGTTCTTATTCCTGACGCAGGTAGCCCCTGCTGCTGTGTTGTTCCCCTATTGGCTAGGGTTGGACCACACAGTCTAAGCTAGTTCTGACTGACTGTTTTAAAGAGGGCAGGGGCATGAGCCAGAATGGCGGGGTTTGGTGGGAAGGACGGTGAGGAACAGGTAACTAAAGGTGACTTAGGTCAGAGCAGGTGACCGGGATGAGTCAGGACAGAGCAGGTAACCAGGGAACAGACGTGAACTACTAATTAGGATTGGCGGGAAAGTTGTTGACTGAAACTAGAAGCGAGAAGCCAAAGAGAACCAGGAAGTTAAACTTTAAAATGGAGAATCAAAGAATAAGAGCTGAACATACTGACATACTGGTTTTTTTGAGGAGAAACTTGGGGTTTACCATATTTAACAATGTTTAATTTCCTAATAGTAAGCTTGTTTGTTCCCAAGCTTGTTTAGGGGTGGAGTGTCAAGCGGAAGCTGCCTAATAAGTGAGCAATGTTTCCAGTCCCATGACTGGTTTGGGGCTGTTTGAGTTTTAGGAGGGTGGCCCTGTGTCATGGGGAGTGTTGAGTAGATGGGATGGGAGCCAAGGGATGGTGCTGGGGAGGAATGTGGATGTAGACTACACTCTCACTTAGTCTTTTCTTATTAGAGAGGAGCAGTGGAGGCCTGGGAGTTCTGGAAGGGTTGGTATCTGAATCTGTTTTACTGATACTCATGTAAGGCTAGTAAGCCCTCTCCTTTTCCTTTTCTGAGATCAAAGCTTCTTGTGGATCATTCATACTTGACCTTGATCTAATCCCAGATCAGTGGCTTCCTGGATCCTTTGTTAGGGATTGAAACCAGATCAGTTAGGGTAGTGCAGAAAGGCACATGGAGCAGAGTTCACTGATGCTTGAGTTTTCCCTCACAGGGTAAAAAGTTTCAAGAGTAGTGGGGGAAAAGTCATTTAAAAAAATTCAATACACACATCTGATATGTGGGAATTATATTCTGAGAATATAGTTTATAGGAGTTAAATTTGCATCAACTTATAATGAATGGATGGTTTAACCTAAGTATTCTCTCTCTACTCTAGGAAGTGACTTTGGTCCAGAGACTTCTCCAGTCCTGCACCTTGACCACAGTGCTGACTCTCCTGTGAGCAGTCTTCCCACAGCAGAGGACACCTATAGGGTGAGCTTGGCCAAAGGTGTCTCGATGTCTCTGCCTTCCTCACCTTTGCTGCCTCGACAGTCTCACTTGGTGCAATCAAGAGTGAACAAAAAATCCCCAGGTAAACAGGCAATGAAGGAGCTGCCTTGGTTATATATGTAGTACCTGCATTGAAAATAAGCAAAACTAGTGCCCATGAGAAATCTTCTGGGACAATGTTTTTTCTTTGTCGCAGTATCTTCTAGAAGAAATAAATCTTTTTTTTTTTTTAATTTAAGGAAAAAGTATGGTTTTAATAGATTCATCCTGTTTGGACTACCAGGCTAGATTTTTATAAAGATTAAAGATTTTGTTATCAGTACTGATGTTAACCAGCAATTTTGTTGTTTTCTTGCTGATGAATTAAGGAGCACTATACAGTTATGGCACCGACTAATGATGTTTCTTTTGATCAATGACAAACTGCATGTATGATGGTGGTCCCATGAGGTTATAATACTGTGTTTTTACTGTACCTTTTCTATGTTTAGATATGCAGATACTTGCCACTACATTAATAGTTGCCTACTGCATTCAGTATAGTAACGTGCTGTACAGGTTTGTAGCCTAGGAGCAATAGGCTATGCCATATAGCCTAGGTATATAGTAGGCTATGCCACCTTGATTTGTGAAGTACACTTGAGGATGTTCGCACAATGACAAAATCACCTAATGACGCCTGTCTCAGAATGTATCCTCATCATTAAGTGACACATGACTGTAATCCAAACTCATACGTGGTGTGTTTAAAGGTTATGGATGTAGGCAAATGTCATCTGACAATAGTCTATTTATTACTACCTAGTATATACTGATGTATTTCATTTGATTACATCATCTAGCATTTGAACAGCTATAAAGTTTGTTTGTGAAAACTCAGACTTGTAAAGGGGGGTGGGGGAAACAGACTTTGGATTATTCCTATTATACTTTGGAAGTATTTTGGCTTCCCTCTATCAATGTGTTTTACACTTAACATTACCCAAAAAAAACAAAACAGAACTTTGAGAGGTTATGATTCACATGTGAGGAAAGCCTTTCTAAAATGCTGATACCTTGAGTTTTAAAAATTCTTGGATTTTTTTTTTTTAAGGTTTGTGGAGTGTTTACAAAAGGCGGATAATTTGGGGCCCAGTTGATCATATGCCAGTGTAAGGATTCTTCTCAATTACATGTAAACATATTCAGAATCTATCAAAAATGTGCCTAGGGCTGTGAAATGGTATCTGTTTCTCTGATTTCCTGGTAATATTTGTATTACTTGAGATCACCTATGCTGACTCATTTAGTAGATCTTTGAGGTTTATGTGCGGGTAAAATTAGGAGGGCACCCTTAAAGGCTCTGAATGTTAGAAACGGTGCTATGAATTTGTGAGTGTCCAAAATCTTTTATTGTTGCAGAATTTTCTGGTTTAGGACAACATTGTTTACAATCCATTAATTAGCTGGAACTCAGGAACCTTTTTGGTATGAAGTAATTTCCTGTGCCAAGGAATTTGACCTGTTTATCAGTATTTGGGGAAGTTCCTGGAATGTCCGTCCTTCCTTCTTTGCCCTCCCTCACTGCTGTATCTCTTTGTCACATTTCTTCTCTTCCTTCAAATCATAGTTCCCACACTGCCTGTCATACTGGGTTATCCTGATTGGAATTACTCTTCCCAAAAAGTATGCACAGTGTTTTACTTTTTCTTTATTATCAGGTACGTCATTTGTCCTTTTCCCCTGAATTAGTGGGTATATTGACCAAAAAAAAAAACAAAACAAAACAAAACAAAAAAACTTTGCTTGGCTACACTGTAGTCATGCTCCTGAACTTTCTCCTAGGTCTGTGTGTGTGTGTGCGCACACATTTTCTTGTAAAATCCAGGTTTAGCTAAGAAGCATGCTACTAAGTTTAGCAAGAACGCCTCCCCACCCCCACCCAAATCTGATTAGATTCCTCATCCTCCACCATCTTCCAGGTGACATCTGGTCACCCTGACCTGTCTTTAACAAGAATTGCCTTCCTACCCCTGATGTTGCCTCTTAGTAATTTTTCATGCACCGATACCTACCCTGTTCCTTGGCTATAAATTCCCACTTCCCCATGCGGTATTTGGAGTTGAGCTCAATCAACTCTTTCCCTAACTGCAAAATCCTACTGCATTGGTCCCTATATGTGTTAAGATGGTCCTGAATAAAGTCTGCCCTACTATGCTTTTAAAAGTATCACTGAGTAGTTTTTTCTTCTTAAAAACATTATGTGCTTCCTCTGTCTGATGCTTGAGGACAAACAAGATGTCTTATACCTCATCTCTATATAATAGATAATAGAGATAATTCAGAAACTATCGATATTTTTAAGGGATCTCTGTTGAAGGTAATGCCAAGTGCAGAGATTTGACCTTTTGTACAATTTGCCTACCTATAGTCTGTGCTACTGCAAATGAATTAATGTTGCTTGGGCCTTAGGACTGGGGAAAACCTGAGAGACTTCAGGGAAGACTGCATGTCAGATATAATTTTATTCACAAATTCAGTGTTTTAGTGGGACTTTAGGTGGGATTGAATGGCATGGCAAGCCTGGAGAGTGTGGCTACCCAGAAAGGTTTCATGGAGGTTACAGGCATGGAGGCAGAAGAATCCCTGATGAAGCCATGTCTCCTTATATGTGTGTGGACCACATTAGTTTTTGTCTTTTTTCAAGAAAATATCCTCAAGTTTTTCTCCATAGGAATGAAATTTATTTTTGCTAAATTCTTTGCAAGGCCTTAGAATAGAAGGTTAATAGTTCTGAAACATACAAGCTTCTGGTGGATTTGGGATGTTCTCTCTATTAGATGTTTTTGGTCCAAATGATAATTAAATAAACTAAGCAGATACATCTCTAACGGAGCAGTGCTTGTTCACTGCCCAAATTTGTACAGCAAATTAGTGTCTCACAGTGGTAATTTGGCTTCATTATCTTGGTAATTTTAATTGGAAAAGTTTAGGGCAGAGATGCTGTTTAAAAATGGCAGTGACTCAATACATCAAATGATGAACAGTATTTTTTTTCAGTGTCTAACACAGATTTCTGCTTAAACCATTTTGTTGGTAAAAGTATCCAGAGCTCTAATGTTCTACCTGCCTGGTTTTAATAATTTAAAAAAAAAACTGACATATGGTTGTGAATGTGTACTGGATTTAAAAAGACTCATCTATTTTAAAAGCTAGCACTGTTGCTGCTAATGATAGAGTCAATACAGTGTGTCTGCAGCACCCAGAGGTATGGAGCCACTCCCCTCCTCTCCTTCCACGCTGGCCCCACAGTGGGTCATGCTCCAGGGTCGTGCCATCATTCAGACATGTGCTCCGAAACTACCTTGATGACTTTTGTTCTGATTTGTAAGATGCCCCCCACCCCTGCCAATTCCTCTCTTGTTCAAGGTTAAAAAACAAAAACAAAAAAACCAAACTTGTTTCAGTTGTTTGTATAGAAACTCTTCACTAATTGATGCTAATCCAGAAACTGTTAGGGACTGGAACAATTATTCTTGCAAGGATCAAATACTACAAACCCCTGTAAGAAGACACTCTGAACAACACAGCCTGTAATAATAAAAATATGTATGTTAATACAATTGATGATTACTTCCTGGATCTTGGGAACTGTGGGCCAGAGATAATTTAATTAACCTTGCAATAATGTGACCCTGCATGTTACATGATTGAGTTTCTTACTTTCCACTCATATTGAGGTTATTATTTTTATTTACTCTTCTGCCACCTTCCTCCATTTATTTGGTTTTTTTTTTCATTGTTAGAAGATTGTTTTCTGAGTATTGTTTCAAAACTTTTGTTTTTAATGGTAAATATATTTTCTGTTAATGAAAACAAGGACCAGCATCCATTAAAGTAGTTCTGTGGCAGTTGCAAGTCTTTTTGGATTAAGAATTCATCAATATTTGTAATGTGTGCTGCTGTTTTCCAGAGAAGAGAAAAGCTCATTTCCTGTGATTTATTAGTAATATCATTAGATACTTTATAAAGTATCTGCATTTATTTTCCCAGATCACTCTGGGCCCATTATCAAACAATCAAAACATCATGAATGAATGAGAAGCAACCCTTTGAAATGCTGTGATGGAGTAAGACAGCAGATGGTGACAAGTGGGCGATACTGCCCTACTCCTTGTATGGAGACACTGGAGAGTGCCGGCCACTTCCGCTTCTGCCGATTCCAGTTCCAGTTCTGTCTCACAGTGGACATAGCTGATGTAGCAGTTTTGAAAACTTCTCTGCCTGTTTTGTTAAGGGAAAAACCACTAAATTGACAGGCTGTGGAGTAGAAGCCATATTGTCTCTTTGATTCTTGGACCATGAGTTAATGTCTGCGAAGGCACTCCCTCCCCCAACCCGCAAGTATTTCTTGTAGAAAATCTGGAAATCCCATCGAAAAAGAACTACTGTGAACATCTTTTCTTCTAGTCTTTTGAAAAAAATCTGCTCCACCTAAACCTGAGACCACATTATGTAACCCTCTTGTGTGCTGCTTGTGTCACTTAAGTTTTTTTTATTTGTTTTGAGACAAGGTCTTGCTGTGTCACCCAGGCTGGAGTGCAGTGGTGCTATCAAGGCTCACTGTAGCCTCAACCTCCTGGGCTCAAGCGATCCTTCCACCTCAGCCTCAAGTAGCTGGGACCACAGGCATGCACCACCATGCCCAGCTAATTTAATTCTTTGCTTTTTTCTTTTTTTTCCTAGAGATGAGGTTTTTGCCATGTTGCCTAGTTTGGTCTTGAACTCCTGGCCTCAAGTGATTCTCCCAACTTGGCCTCCCAAAGTGCTGGGATTACAGGCATGAGCCACTGCACCCAGCTCTTGCTTAATATTTTATCACGAGCAATTTCCAGTTTACTTGAAGAGTTTGATATTTGTTGTCCATTGTTTCATTATTTTATAATTGATTTTTAAACATTTCTGATTGTTGGATATTTGCTTTTTTTTTTTTTTTTTTTTTTTTGAGATGGAGTCTCGCTCTATTGCCCAGGCTGGAGTGCAGTGGTGTGATCTGGGCTCACTGCAAGCTCCGCCTCCCAGGTTCACGCCATTCTCCTGCTTCAGCCTTCCGAGTAGCTGGGACTACAGGCACCCACCACCACGCCTGGCTAATTTTTTGTATTTTTAGTAGAGACAGGGTTTCACCGTGTTAGCCAGGATGGTCTCGATCTCCTGATCCCACGATCCGCCCACCTTGGCCTCCCAGAGTGCTGGGATTACAGGCATGAGCCACCCCTCCCAGCCAGATACTTACTTTTTAAAAAAATTTTTAGCATGTTATAATGTTTTCGCTATTCCTGGTGTGAATATTTTTTAATTATGGTGAAATACATATAACAAAATTGACCATCTTAACCATTTAAGTGTACAGTTCAGTGGTAATTACACTCACGTTGTTGTACAACCCATCTTTAGAACTTCCAACAGGAATACTTTTGTCCAGTGATATTTACAAACATCTCTGATATCTCCTTGGGGTAGCAGGTTCCCAGCAGTGGAATTATTGAACTAAATGGCCTGCATTTATAAAGAGTCTTGATACATAGTGCCCACTTCCTTTCCAGAAAGGCTGTATTGATTTCATATTCCCCCCAGCATTCTTTGAGTGGCTGCTTTTTGAAATTCACATCTTCTGGGAACAGCTTAAATGGATGGTGCTTTGTGCGGCCTAACTGTGGACTACTGACAATTTTAAGAGGCTGAGACGTCATTCTGTAGCTGCCTTCTTTAGAACTTCCCTTCTGTCTGCACTTCTCAGGCAATTTTCATTTTCTTTCTTTGCATGAGACTGTGTCGGGAATTATGACAGCTGAGTCAGATCAAGTTCATGGTCAGAAAAACATTCAGTTGGCTCCCAGTTTCAGCCGCCTGGTGCGGATCCTAGAGATCATGGAGGTTCACAGGCATGTTGGAGTTGGAGAGGCCTCCAGAGCACATCCTGTCCAGGCCTCTTTGCAGATGTGCAAGCAAAGACCCCTTGGTCATTAGGGAACTTGTCCAAAATTCATACAAGTTATTGGTAGACCCTGATCCTCCATGCTGTCCCCAGCGTCTTCTCTTATGTCAGCCAGCCTGTGCCGATGTTCTGCCTGTACGTTGTTGGCTTGTGAGCTGTAAATAATGTGAGTGTGTTCTGATTTCATAGAAGGTGTGGGCAGGAGGAGGGCATGGGCTTAAAGCCTCACATGGATCCATGAGGCTGCTTCTTGGAGGGTGAAGAATAACACAGGACATGCACAGCCCCATTTCTCCTTGTAGAGCCAGCTGGTTCTAGTCCTTGCTTCCACTGCTGAGTGGTTGGGACCACAGTTGACATCTAACCTTCAGAAAGGATAGTTCCTCCTGCTGAGGTGAATAGGAGAGCATTCTTTGTTTCCTCCTGGAAACTTGTTATATGATGGCCTCCTTACTGCGTGCCCAGCTGTGAACGTGACGCACAGATTTTCTGTTGTACTTGAACATGTGTTCATACATAGAACCAGTGTGCATGCATTTGCTCCACTTCAAGTCCATTTATTCCCCTGCCAATGAGTCCTGGTTCACCTGTATACAATTTGGCTATACTCTGGAGTCAGACCAGGAATTTTAAAGGGTACTGATGATGCCCAGCTCCTACGTTCAGAGACTCAGATTAAATGCATATGAAGTATGGTCTGGACATTGGGATTTTTAAAAAGGCTTCCTCGGTGATTCTAATATGTAACAAAGTTTGAGAATTACTGATAAAGAATATGTGATTATCTCATATAATTGCTTTTTCATGAGGACAAATATATGTGTATATATTTGTTTTGAGACAAGGTCTTGCTGTGTCACCCAGGCTGGAGTGCAGTGGTGCTATCAAGGCTCACTGTAGCCTCAACCTCCTGGGCTCAAGCGATCCTTCCACCTCAGCCTCAAGTAGCTGGGACCACAGGCATGCACCACCATGCCCAGCTAATTTAATTCTTTGCTTTTTTCTTTTTTTTCCTAGAGATGAGGTTTTTGCCATGTTGCCTAGTTTGGTCTTGAACTCCTGGCCTCAAGTGATTCTCCCAACTTGGCCTCCCAAAGTGCTGGGATTACAGGCATGAGCCACTGCACCCAGCTCTTGCTTAATATTTTATCACGAGCAATTTCCAGTTTACTTGAAGAGTTTGATATTTGTTGTCCATTGTTTCAGTATCTTATAATTGATTTTTAAACATTTCTGATTGTTGGATATTTGCTTTTTTTTTTTTTTTTTTTTTTTTTTTTTTTGAGATGGAGTCTCGCTCTATTGCCCAGGCTGGAGTGCAGTGGTGTGATCTGGGCTCACTGCAAGCTCCGCCTCCCAGGTTCACGCCATTCTCCTGCTTCAGCCTTCCGAGTAGCTGGGACTACAGGCGCCCACCACCACGCCTGGCTAATTTTTTGTATTTTTAGTAGAGACGGGGTTTCACCGTGTTAGCCAGGATGGTCTCGATCTCCTGATCCCATGATCCGCCCACCTCGGCCTCCCAGAGTGCTGGGATTACAGGCATGAGCCACCCCGCCCGGCCAGATACTTACTTTTTAAAAAAATTAGCATGTTATAATTTGTTTTCGCTATTCCTGGTGTGAATATTTTTAATTATGGTGAAATACATATAACAAAATTGACCATCTTAACCATTTAAGTGTACAGTTCAGTGGTAATTACACTCACGTTGTTGTACAACCCATCTTTAGAACTTCCAACAGGAATACTTTTGTCCAGTGATATTTACAAACATCTCTGATATCTCCTTGGGGTAGCAGGTTCCCAGCAGTGGAATTACAAAAAGAAGTACAAAATAATGAAAGTATTGAGTCCCTCTATACCCCGCAAAAGACAACCACTTTTGATGGTCGCTCCTGCTTTGTTTCTATAGTACGTAACCAACAGTAACACATTTGCCCATTCCCCCAGCATTGGACAGGTAAGAGGTCCCCTGTTTTCTGCTAAAAAATAACATTCTTGTATATTAAGATTTAAAGGCATCTCTGATATTTTTATCAGACTATGAAAGTGAGTTTACTGGGCCAAAACTTACTTGTTTAACATTGTAGATGAATTATTATATTCTTAATGGCCATTGGTAACTTTTTCTTTTGGAAATTCTTTGTGATAGTTGTCCTTTATTCTACTAGGACAATATGTGTTTCTTATTGATTTAGCACAGCTTCATTGTTTTAAGGGTATCAGTCATGTATGTTTAAAAAAAAAAAACTGTTTCTGGTTCGTTTTCCATCTAATTAGGTTACAGTGTTTTATGACGCACAGAAGTTTTTCATTTTCTCCAGTCAAATTTATGTATTTTTCCATTGTGATTTATTCCATTGCATTTTTTTAAAAAACAGCTTTATTGAGATATAATTTACATACCACATAATTCACCCATTTAAAGTTTACAGTTCGATGTTCTTTTTGTAGCATTTTCACAGGGTTGTGCAACCATCCCCACAGTCTTAATTTTAGAACATTGTTATCTCCTCCTCAAAGAAACCAAAGCAAAAAAACCCCATACCCGTTACTAGTCATTTCACATTCCGCCCTGCCCTTACTCTTCACTCCCTACTTCCTAGCCCCTGGTAACCACGAGTCTACTTTATGTCTCTTGATTTGCTTATTCTGGTCATTCCATTAAAATGGAATCATAATATGTGGTATTTTGTGACTGGCTTCTTTTATGGAGCATCGTGTTGTCTAGGTTCATCCAAGTTGTGGCATGTATCAGTACTGCATTCAGTAAAATATTGTTTGGTAATAAAATAGAATGAAGTACTCCTACATGCCACTCGTTTTGTTTATCCAGTCTTCCATTGGTGGGTATTTTGTTGTTTCCACATTGGCTATTTATTATATATAAAGCTGCAATCAGCTTTTGTGTCTGCATTTTTATATGGACATATATTTTTCCCTTGGGTATATACCTAGTGAAATTGTTGAATCATATGGTAGTTCCGTAAAACCTTCTTAAGTTGCCGCCAAATTATTTTTTAAGTGGCTGTACTATTTTATATCACTACCAGCTGAGTATGAGGTTTCCAATTGCTTCATATCCTTGCCAATGCTTGTATTGTCTTTTTTATTATAGCCATTCTAGAGAATGTGAACTGATATCTCATTGTAGGTTTATTAAGTTGTGAAAATTGTTTTTATATTCTGAATACAGATTCCTTATGAGATAAATGATTTACAAGTATTTTCTTCCATTCTGAGGATTGTCTTTTTTACTTTGATTTTATTGGTGGCTTTTTTGTTTTTTGTTTGTTTGTTTGTTTGTTTTTGAGACGGAGTCTCGCTCTGTCTCGCCCAGGCTGGTGTGCAATGGTGCTATCTCGGCTCATTGCAGCTTCCACCTCCTGGGTTCAAGCGATTCTCCTGTCTCAGCCTCCTGAGTAGCTGGGACTAAATGCATGTGCCACCATGCCCAGCTAATTTTGTATTTTTAGTAGAGAGGGCATTTCACCATGTTTGCCAGGCTGGTCTCGAACTCCAGACATCAGGTGATTCACCTGCCTCAGCTTTCCAAAGTGCTGGGATTACAGGCGTGAGCCACCATGCCCAGCCGCTTACAGTGTTTCAAGTACAGCAGTTCTAAATTTTGACAAGGTTTTAAATTTATTATTAGTCTGTCTTTTTGATGTCATGTCCTAGTAACCGTTGCCTAATCCAAGGTCATAAAGATACATATCCCTGTTTTCCCCTAACAGTTTTGACTCTTACATTTAGTCCTGTGATCCATTTTGAGTTCATTTTCTTGTGTGATGTGAAGTAGGGACCAACTTCATTCTCTTTCACGTGGATACCAGTTGTCCTGGCACCATTTACTGAAAAGACTGTTCTTTCCCCACTGAATTGTCTTCTCTTGACCAAATCATTGTTGTGCCTTCACCCAGCCCTATTGTTCCTCTTCCCCCATTGCTCATCCTCTGGAAATTCCTATGCCTAGGTCAGAACCTTCTCCTTAGGAGTTGACCGTGGGTATGGCTTGCATCTCTTGCTTGGTCCAGCCTTTCTCTGTGCCTCTCCTTTTCTCTAGGTGAGAAGTAATATCCTTTTGCTCCGAGCATCTGTAGCACTGTGTCTCCTTTTTGCTCTGCATAACCCTTTATTTCGCGTCTCTGCCCTGACATTCTGTGACATTCTCTGTAAGGACTGCTGTCTTGTCTTTGTTGACATCTTGTCATTCCCCCTTGGGAGCACTGAAAACAGGATCCAATTGTATCTTCAGA
This sequence comes from Homo sapiens, assembly GCF_000001405.40. Lineage (NCBI taxonomy): Eukaryota > Metazoa > Chordata > Mammalia > Primates > Hominidae > Homo > Homo sapiens. Next base: position 159,107,992 of record NC_000002.12, read on the forward strand.
ATCCAATCACTTTCTTTATCCTGGTGATGGAGCATAGGTAAGTAACTGTTAAAACCAATAGGATTTTAGTATTTCCATGCCCATCAGTTCCATGTGATTGGTTGAAAATACTAATGGACGCATAGGCAATTTTAAATGTAACAGTCCTTTACATTTAGAAAGCTGGGAATGTACCTTTCCCCATATCCAGAGAAAAGTGACGCTTTAGGTCCAGCCTCCCTCTTAGGGCTTTTCTGTCCAGGCGCTGAGCAAAAGGGAGTGTGTCTTCAACTGGGTTTGTCAGTAGCCACTCAGCCTTGCTTTCCTCCACTCCTGTCTCTCTCCCATTTTCACGCTTTGGCATTTTTTGCTGCCCGTTTCCCGCCGCCTGCAGTTAATGATGACTGGGTTTTATCCAGTCACACTTTACAGCAGTGTCAGCTGCACCCTGTGGTGGTGTCAGATGGCGGCTGGAACAAACCCAGTACCATGCTCAGAAATGAATGTTTTCACCTCAGAGAAAATAGATGAGGGCAGGGGCCTTGGTGGTGGAGATCTTTTTCATCATTTCTGATTTACAGAGAAACAGAAGTCACAGGAGCCCATGCAGGTGATTATATCTAGTGCTAATGAGCACTAGTGTAAAGCAGAAATAAACAGGAAAGAAAACCTGATATTCCAGCTCGACTCATCAGGTTTGCTGTGACAGGACTGCGCGTGCGTCTGCGTCTGTTGGCAGGGGTGGCTGGCTGCCTCCAGGCAGAGGGGCAGCCAGGGTTGTGCCAAGTGGAGGTGGGAAACTAAGATGAACACAGAGTGGTGATTTCTAGAAGGGAGAGCCCAGTGGGAACCAGAGTGCCTTACAAAAGGGAAACTGGTACCTTTGGGAAAAACTTCATTATTAGGGTCTGGAGCACTGAAACCAGAAAGCCTTGCCTGGGGTGGGGCCTATCGAGATAGTTAACTGTGCCATGCAGGGAGCCCCTTTTCTGGACAAGGGCTCTGAGAAGTATAATTTAGGAAACACTCTTCAAAGGAGATGTGATTTTCTTGTTACTTCCACCACCAACAAAGTCCTCTTTATTGGTCACAGGTCCTGAGTACAGCTAATGAGCTGACCTTTCGAAGAGGCTAGGAGAGTAAGTTCACCACCCTAAATCCAGAACTGGTGAGACTGCAGTTCAGCTAATGAGATGTGAAGGGTCCTGACAGATGCAGGCTGTCTCTGTCTGCCCCAGTCATGAGTGTGTCTGTCTGCCCCAGTCATGGGCAGGTGGACGCAGCTGGATTCATGTCCCGGCTCTGTAGGCTTGAGCAGGCCATAGGTGTTTCTTCCTCTGAAACATGGGGTAATAATGGGGCTTCTAAGATGTTATGGACTGCATGTTTATGTCCCCCCAAAATTGATGTTGAAACTGTAACCTCTAATTAGGATGCTATGAAGAGATGGGGCCTTTGGGAGGTGATTAAGTTTTGAAATCAGGAGGGTGGAACCTCCATGATGGGATTAATGCCCTTATATAAGAAGAGGAAGGTACTAGAGCTCTTTCTGTTAGCCATGTGAGAATACGGTAGTTCTTCCTTATCTGTGGTTTCAGTTACCTGCAGTCAACTGTGGTTCAAAAATATTACATGAGAAATTCTTGAAATAATTGATAAGTCATAAATTGCATGCCATTCTGAGTAGCATGCTGAAATCCAGCTCTTTCCAGCCCAGGACAGGAATCTTCCCTTGGCCCAGTGTCCATGTGCTGCACACGCTACCCTCCTGTTAATCACTCAGTAGCCCTCTCAGTTGTCAGGCTGACTGTCACAGTATCACACCACATGTATTCAAGTCAACCTTATTTTACTTAACTGTGGCCCCAAAGCACAAGAGTGGTGACGCTGGCAATTTGGAAATGCCAAGGAGAAGCTGTAAAGTGCTTCCTTTAAGTGGAAAGGCAAAAGTTCTTGACTTAATAAAGAAAAAACATTGTATGCTGAGGTTGCTAAGATCTATAGTAAGAATGAATCTTCCATGAAATTATGACAAAGGAAAAAGAAATTCATGGTAGTTTTGCTGTCATACCTCAAACTGCATAAGTTACTGCCACTGTGTGTGATAAATTCTTAGTTAAGATGAAAAAGGCATTCCATTTATGGGTTGAAGACAAGAACAGAAAATGAGTTCCATTTGTTGGCAACATGTTGCCAAGAGAAAGCGTTGAGACTATGGAGAAAATTCTGCAAGAGAGGTCCCCTGAAATGAGTGACACAAAGCCATTTAGTGCAAGCGAAGGATATATGTATAGGAAAAAGCATAGTGTGTATACAGGGTTCAGTACTATCCTCAGTTTCCACTGGAGGCCTTGGTATATATCCTCTGCAGATAAGGAGGCACTGCTGTACAGTGAGTAGGCACTGTCCTCAGACACTGGTTCTGCTGGTTCCTTGATCTGGGACTTCCCAGCCTCCAAACTGAGAAATAAATTGTTGTTTAAGCCACCCAATCTATGTTTGGTTTTGTTTCTTTAAATTTTTTGAAAAAGATGGGGTTTCACCATGTTGCACAGGCTGGTCTTGAACTCCTGGGCTAAAGCAATCCTTCTGCCTCAGCCTCCCAAAGTGCTGGGATTACAGGTGTGTGCCATGGCACCCAGCCTTCTGTGGTATGTGAAAAGTAGCAGCCTGAACTAAGACATAGGACAAGTGAAATTTAAACAAGATGTAGACTGTAAAGTGTAGGGTCGTGGTGGTTGCAATTTCCATGTCACCATCTTCCCTGGAGCCCATCTTCAGCTTCCCTCGTGTGACTTGGTCGCCATGAATGGATTCCCATAGTATCTGTCCCCTTGATTGTTTATCCTCAGTCAAATGCCCTCCAGTGGGATTCCACCCTCTGGTCTGTGTTTTCTGGCAAGCATGTGTCGTCTTGACATGCAGCACAGCCCTCCTTCGGGGCTTTGTTCCCTGGGAATAGGACATGAAAGTGGAACACAGTGGGTTCCACTTCTAGCCCTGCTGCCAGCTTCTTGGATTATTCATCTTTTCCTGGTTTGCACATGATTTGTGTGAAGTGATTAAAATGTTATGTATGTAGAATTACCCTATACAGGAAGCCAGCTCTTAGAACTGGTGATGTGAGTATAAAGGTCTAAGAAAGCAATGGTTCTTGGCAGAAAAGAGAAACACAGGTAAAGCAAAAAGGCAGGATGCCTGGTGGTGCCCTGCCTGGGTAATTTGTGAAGCTGCCATGTGCACACTATGGAAATGAGAGCCTGTGATTCATGAAGCTGATGGAGAGTATAAATGCTGCAAGGTGGTCCAGGTTTGCTCTCCAAGCAATGAGAACAAAACTCCGGTTGAAACTGAGCACATAGCTACATACTGTTCAAAGCTGTGCAACACAGCAGAGAAACACAGGTGCTCCTTACACAGGTAAGTGATAAAGTCAGCACTTGAGGCAGAAGCCTTTGTGTCAGGTTACCCTTGAACATCCCTCAGATGGCTTAAATGCCATCTGCAGACATGCTGTCTCTTGATGGCACAGCCGTTGTTCTGCCATTTAAACAGATTGTTGTTTATTTGGACGAGCACCAGATGAAGTAGATAGCTTGTACTCAGGATTACACTGTACCAGAAACACATACCTGGTACACCAGAATCCCGTATAGGAGGGGCACGTGGGGCTGAGACGGGCTGAGGGACCAGCAGATGAGTCTGCACCACAGTTGGCAGTGCTGCCTCCTCCTCTTAGAGTGCACACAATGGAATGCAAGTGAGGTCATTGTGCCCTGGTCACAACTGCACCATGATGCCAGATGGAGGCGTCCTCTGAGAACACAGCGAGTATTATGGAGGCTTCTATCTTGGGCTGTTTGAAGTTTGTTTGATGTTTCACCAGGACTTTGGATGTAACACTTGGATATTGAAGGTCTTTGGTAATCACAGAAAAATATATGCCCATTGTACGCCTTGTAGAGTCTAGTGTTAACATTTGATACAGAAATTGTATGTCTTGAAGTGAGACGTACAAACTAGAATCTCCTGTTGTGTCAGTCAGAAAGAGATTGTGGACTACAGCTCTTCAGTGAAAATTCAGTAGGGATTTCTTTTCTTGAAAGTATTTTTACAAAATAATTCACTTTTTTCAGTTATACAGTTGCTATTAGAGCAGATATGTGCACTCAGAGTTGAATGAATGTGTATGCACTCATATGTACATTAAAATTTGAATGTAGGCATGCAAAATATTCTCAGTAAGTTTTTTGGGTTTTTTTGTTGGTTTGTTTTTTGTTTTTGTTTTGTTTTTGAGACAGAGTCTCACTCTGCTGCCCAGGCTGGAGTGCCGTGGTGTGATCTCATCTTGCTCGGCTCACTGCAACCTCCCCCTCACAGGTGCAAGTGATTCTCCTGCTTCACCCTCCCAAGTAGCTGGGACTATGGGCAGATTCCACCACATGCAGCTAATTTTCGTATTTTTAGGAGAGACAGGATTTCACCATGTTGCCCAGGCTGGTGTCAAACTCCTGACCTCAGGTGATCTGCACGCCTCGGCCTCACAAAGTGCTGAGATTACAGGCGTGAGCCACTGCACCCAGCCTTTTTTTTTTTTTTTTTTCTCGTTTTCCTAAGAGACAGGTTCTTGCTTTGTCGCTCAGCTGGAGTGCAATGGCACAATCACAGCTCACTGCATCCTTGAACTCCTGGGCTCCTGGGTGTAAGCAGTCCTCCCACCTGGGTCTCCTGAGTAGCTAGGACTACAGGCACATGCCACCATGGCCGGGTAATTTTTTTATCTTGCATTTTTATAGAGATAGGGTTCTGCTGTGTTGCCAGGCTGCTCTCAAACTCCTAGCCTCAAGCTATCCCCCAGCCTTGGCCTCCCAAAGGGCTGGGATTACAGGTGTAAGCCACCACACCCAGCCAGTATTTTTTTTTTTTAAGGTTGTGAAGTTTAAGCAGATTTTTTTCTTTTTAAACTTATGGCATTTTTTAAAAAAATTTTTTTGAGACAGGGTCTTGCTGTGTCACCCAGGCTGGGGAATCTCGGCTCATTGCAACCTCTTCCTCCTGGGCTTAATCGATCCTCCCACCTCAGCCTCCCAAGTAGCTGGGACTACAAGCATGTGTCACTACGCGTGGCTAATTTTTGTATTTTTAGTAGAGAAGGGTTTTCTCTGCCTCACCCTGTTGCCTTCAGCCATATTGCCCAGGCTGGTCTTGAACTCCTGGACTTGAGCAATCTTCCCTCCTTGGCCTCCCAAAGTGCTGGGATTATGGGCATGAGAAGTTTAAGCAAATCTTAGCTGCATTAGATGATTTTAGTATATTGTCCCTTTTACTGCCTCCTAAACAGAAAAATTCTACCCAGGATATTGTATTGTAGGAGGACAGACAGACCTGGGGTCAATCCCAAGTCCTTGTTCTTAGTGGCTCTGTTTCCTTAGAAGAGTACTAAATTAATGTCTCTAATAGTTGGTTTCCTCATTGAGAAAGGAGAATAACCTACCTACCATATGGGTCTTTGAGAGGATTGGAAGGAATGTAAAGTGCCTGGCTCCTAGAATATGTTGGAAGAATGCTGCCCTTGCCATGTTCCATCAAACTGGTCCTGACATCTGAGATTGGGGTAAATCGCCCCTTCTGCCTTTTATTGTCCTCTCTCCTGTATCATCCTCTTTTGCCTTTAGTCTGTTTCTCTCACCTGGAGAATAGAGAAGGCACCACTCCTTCAGTGGAGGACTCTTGAAATCTAATTGCTTGCCAGGCACAGCAGTGCACTTGTAATCCCGATTACTGGGGAAGCAGAGGCTGGAGTATAACTTGAGCCAAGGAGTTTGTGATAAGCCTGGGCAGCATAGTGAGACTCCAGTCTCTTAAAAATTTTTTGAACAAAAAAATCTAATTGCTGACATTTGGACTTGGGTTAGCAAATATTGTTGAAACCATGAAAACCAAATTATTCATCATTGGGATCTGAGTTTTTGAATTGTGGGCACGGCTCTGTGGATGAGCTGACCCATCTACAGCTTCTGTGGGAAGGGTCTTGCCAGATACTTAATTGGTTTTCATTTCCTGAAGTGTGTGTTGCTTCCAGCCAAATGCTTTATGCTTATTTATTCTTAGTCCTATTGTAGCTTTTATTAAAAGTGATAAAGATCAGTGAGAGCACAAGGAACCAAGTTTTAGAGGAGTGTGAAAAGCAGTTCACAAGACAACGAGCTGATACCAAAGATTATGGGGACTGAAGGTAGGGAGCCAACCAAGCACCCAACTGTCCTCCTGAGGGGAGGACAGATGTGGCCTGGCTGTAAAGAGATGCCTTGCAGGGGCCACCTGAGTCCCATAAGATTGTCAGGAAGAAATGATATCAGTGGCCAGGTCAAGGAGCTATCCATTAGTTTCTGAGGATGTAATATTTACTAATATTTACTTGGTTTTAGGTTTTACTGTACAGTTAATTTTTTCTTATAGTTTGTGGTATTTTAACAGGCAAGCAGGTGCTTTTAAGGTGGGGGGAAACATCTTAACTGTAGCCTGAAATCTTGACTTACTGACAGTGTTGCTAGTAGAGTAGTGTGTGATACCCAGAAAGGAAAAAATAAACCTGTTGAGTTCAACATGTTTCCCCGAAATGAGCAAGAAACATATATCAGACTGCTTAAGAGAATCCCATTTTTATTTGCATTTTGACACTCTTTTATTATTTTTATGGTATACTTTTCCTGTTTCTTCCTTTCAACCTGGAAATTATTAGTTTGTGTGCCCTTTGGGCTTTAAAATAAAGTTCATTTTATTCTGTGGTCATCTCAAGAGCTCTTACTCCCCCAGTTCTCCTGGACTTGTTTTGGTGAGAGCCTGTTCCAGGATCCCTTTCATTGTAAGAGGACATTGTATGGGTGGATATGATGACTTTTGGTGGTGATCTTTATTTTTGCAAATGGCCTCAGAGGCACTCTGAGTTATTCAGTCTTTCACGCAGTGATTTCATGAGCTTCCATAAACATTTGTTTTATACCAGTTTATTGAGCACCAGCCATGTGTTGGGCTCTGGACTAGAGATGTGGTGGATATAAAGGTAAATAAATACTTGGCTCTAAGCTCTGGGGACCTCCCAGTTTGGCAAGAGATGACAACAGTGAAGACATTGAGGTGTCTACAAAGTGTTGTGACCTCACGGAGAAGAGCGAGACTCTCCTTTCGGAAGCTGGTAAGGGTGTGTGTGTGTGTGTGTGTGTGTGTATGTGTGTCCGTGTGTGTGTGTGTCATTGGAGGAGCCAGGTGTTTTATTTTGGCAGTGATGTCCTATGACAGAGTTAAGCAGAAGAGGGATGAAATAAATAGATTTGGTTTCTAGGACGGTAACTGTTTCACACAGGCCTCCTTGGGGTTGAGACTGGGACTCCTTGAGTCAAATGCAGTATAGTGGCTTAACTCTGCAGGGGAATGTGCAGTGTGGTGGAGGTTGATTTGAAAAAGTTTTAGGAAAAAGAATCTTTAGGTTGTGGTGACCTGTTTGTACATGAGAATTAGGGAAGGAAGAAAGTGCAGAAGGAAAGTACTCAAGGCAGGGGCTTCCTAGTCCTTTTAATCTCATGGCACATATAGGAGATTTTTGTACAGCAAATGGAATCAATGAACTGTCCCTCGGGCACTGCCCCAGACTCTGCCCAACGGTCCGGAGAGCTGAGAGAATCCATATCCTGGCATACCCTTAACTCATTTTTTGCATGCCATTGGGAAGCTTGCCGAGCTCTAGCTTGGTTTTCTTGATAGGTCAAGATTCAAAATATTCTGTTGTGCCTCATGACTTTGTTTTTCTCCCCAGTTTAATTTTCATAGTATTTCCAAGGTGGGCATTATTCCTGTGTTTTGGGTAGGAATTCTAAGGTTCTGAAAGGTAGAATTTCAGCCCTCGTTGGTCCTGGGATTCCAAGTAATGCTGTTTCTGCCCTACCACAGGTGTAGGTGCTGGTGTAATTAACTACAGTGTGGAGTGGTTTGACTTTGCCTATCTTGAACTTTGAGTGCTCCACGAAGCCATGCTTGTGAAGAGCACCAAGGAGTTGAGTGCAGAGTCTGAGCTAAGGTTGCTGGCCTCAAGAGAGAAAAGAGGATTTTGAAACAGGGCATCTGACGCAGAGGCTGTGAAGGTCAAGTATGATAAGGAATGAAAAGTACCTGTTAGTGGCTGGGCGCGGTGGCTCACACTTGTAATCCCAGCACTTTGGGAGGCCGAGGCAGACAGATCATCAGGTCAGGAGTTTGAGAACAGCCTGACCAACATGGTGAAACCCCGTCTCTACTAAAAATACAAAAAAATTAGCTGGGTGTGGTGGCAGATGCCTGTAATCCCAGCTACTCAGGAGGCTGAAGCAGGAGAATCGCTTGAACCCAGGAGGCAGATGTTGCAGTTAGCCGAGATTGTACCACTGTATTACAGCCTGGGTGACAGAGCAAGACTCAGTCTCAAAAAACAACAACAACAACAACAACAACAAAAAAAAAAAAACAAAGGACCTGTTAGCTTTTGGAAATATGGCAATTGATGACCTTTGAGCAGAATAGGCAAACTTTTTCTGTCAAGGGCCAGATAGTAAATATCTCAGGCTTTGAGGGCCACACAGTCCCTGTTGCGACTATGTAACTCTGCCATCGTAGTACAGAGCAGCCTTAGACAATACGTAAATGAGTGGTCATGGCTGTGTTCCAGTGATATTTTATGTATAAAAACACTCAGTGGTCCAATTTGGCCCCTGGGCTGTAGTTGGCCAATGTTAACTTTTGTCTCAGGAAAGGAAAGGAGAAATGGAAACTTAGCATTTATTCAACCATGTGCTAGACACTGCATGAACATTTTCAAGCCTGCAGCTTAGGTATGAACCCCACTTACAGTGAGTTGATGGAGCGCCCCAAGAGCTTAGTTATAACTTTGCTGAAGGTTAGACTGCTCGTTGATAACCAGTTGGGATTTGAACTTCAGTCTAATTCCAAAGCCTGGGTCATTTTCACTTTACTTCATTGCCACCCGGAATAGTGGCCTTCGATCACTCTCGAAAGGTGCAGATGGCACAGGAGCCCTCACACTCTGCCTTTCCACCATATCCTTCACATGACCTTCAGTGAAGCAGTGTTTGCTGCTTTACCCTCCTCTATGCTGAGGGTGAAAGGACTGTCAGGAACACAACCTAAATACAACATAGAAAGTAAAAGGACTCTCCTGTATGTGACGAGACCTCTTAGTTACCATTAAAGCTTGGGTGAACTTCTATTTTTAATAAAATTTAAATTCAGAATAGCGTTAGATTTATAGAGAAGTTGCAAAGAATGCAGAGTTCCCGTGCACTCCATACCAAGTCTCCTCTTATTAACATAGGACATTAGTATGACACACTTGTCAGAGTTAATGAACTGATATTGATACCTACTAAAGTCTGTACTTTATTCCTTTTTTTTTTGAGATGGGGTCTTGCTCTGTTGCCCAGGCTGGAGTGCAGTGGTGCAATCTCGGCTCACTGCAAGCTCCGCCTCCTGGGTTCACGCCATTCTCCTGCCTCAGCCTCCCGAGTAGCTGTGACTACAGGTGCCCGCCACCACGCCCGGCTAATTTTTTGTATTTTTTAATAGAGACGGGGTTTCACCGTGTTGGCCAGGATGGTCTCAATCTCCTGACCTCGTGACCCGCCTGCCTCGGCCTCCCAAAGTGCTGGGATTACAGGCGTGAGCCACCGTGCCCGGCCTATTCCTTTTTTTTTTTTTTTTTTTTTTTTTTTTTTAAAGCTTATTCCCAATGTCCTTTTTCTATTCCAGTATCCGAGAGGACACCATATTGCATTTAGTTGTCAGGTCTTAGACTCTTCTTGGCTGTGGTGGTTGCTCAGACTTTCCTTGTTTTGATGACCTTGGCAGTTTTGGGGAGTGCTGGGCTGGTGTTTTGCAGGTTGCCCCTCTACTGGAGTTTTTCTGTACTGGAGTTTTTCTGTACTGGAGTTTTTCTCTACTGGAGTTTTTCTCTACTGGAATTTTTCTGTACTGGAGTTTTTCTCTACTGGTGTTTTTCTCTACTGGTGTTTTTCTCATGATTAGACTGGAGTTACAGGTTTTGGGGCAGAAACCACAGAAGTGAAGTGCCTTCTGCTCCCATCTTTTGATGTACACAGTAGCTACCTGGCTTATCACTGTCTTGACTTCGATCACCTGGCCAACGTAGTGGGTGCCAGGTTGCTCCAAGGTGAAGTTATTCGTTTCCTTCCCTCCCCCTTCCATATATTAACATGAACGCATTTGTATGCATGCATAGATGCTGTATGTGGAGTGTGCTGTACTCTCCAGAAGGCAGGAAGTCGCTGTGTGCAGCCCACACTTAGGGGTATGGTGGTGTACACCACCACCATGAGAGTGGAGGATCTATGTAAATTGTTTGGAATTTTTCTGCATAGGAGATTTGTCTTGTTTCCCATTTATTTTCATCAGTATGGATTCCCGGGAAGATGAACTCCCAGTGTTGTACTTGGGTGTGATTCAGGAGTATGCAAGCCTTTCTGCCCCACTTTGTTGCCTTGTTAACTAAGGGAGGCTGAGATAAGTCCTCTCAGGTGCAGTCAGAGTCTGTCCTAAGATGGGGGTAGGGAGTTGCTGTGCCTCAGTGGTTTACTTTCTCAATATAGACTGTTAGCCATATGTGTGTTACCTGAAACCTTAAGGAGAAAGCATTTTTGGCCGGCCTGGAAAGGACACAAGCAAATGTAGCCTTGATGGTGGAGAAACGTCTCTAGCAGGGCTGTGCATCTGAATCAGCATTGAAGCAGCGCCACCTTGTGGTTGATGCTGAATGAGCTGTGTATTCGGCCAGGTTCTGTGATTCTTACCCTGTCTGCATGCTGTTCGAGTAGCTAAAGTACTTTAGAAAAGAAGAAACACTTTAAACTCTTAAAGAAAAAGAGAAGCTACCTCCTAACTTTGCCTTTGTACATGACTGGGTACACAAACAGCAGACATCTTAAAGTAAAAAATCTCTGTAGTTACTTTGTTTGACATACTGTTAATCATGTATTTTCTGGTAAGCCTTTTTGTCTCTGATTGTTCAAAATTGTTCAATAGCTGAGGCGTAAAAGTAGAATAGGTTATAACCCCAAGCCTCTGTCATATTTTTCTTTGGTATAGGCAGATTGGGCAGTTATTTTAATATTCATTCTTCTTTGCCCCCAAATGTCTTCAGATGTTTTTGTACACATGCGTAAGAGGTTTGAGCCTATGTAGGAAGTAGCCAGGGAGTCTACTGAAGTCCACTGTAATGTGTGGGAATGTGGAGCCAGTTATGATTAACAGCTGTCTGCATCCTGGATTGTTTAACCCATTGTTTACACCCACTCTTCAGAACCAGTGGAGGTGGGGGAGTTGGGAAGATGGTTTCATATGACCTGTGGTTGACCTGATTGACTGTTAGCAGGTGCTAAGATGGAGATCAGTTTCAGTTGGTTTTAAAAAAAATCAAGAAGCAGCCACTCTGTTGTAATAAATCATTGTATATTCAGGAATTCTAACTGTAATGTAAAATCTTGATCACCTGTTTTAGAGTAAGGTAAGCAATGACTGTAGTTGCTTTAACCAATAAAAATTCGACATCAACCTGAGCTGTAGCATGTTTAATGTGGAAACCCTGTTCTCTGTTTTGTCCTGAATGCTGAACACTGATAGGAAGTCAGATGCGGTAGCTGAGAGGTCACGATGGCCTGGGTTGCTGCAGGGGACGGCAGCAGGCACTCTTAGGAGGTGAGCTGCGGTCGTGGCTTATCTGGCCCCTCTCACTGATGTCACAGGTTACCTATGCAATCTGTGAGTGCAATTTGTCCTTTTTAGACTCTAAACAGATAATGGCTGAGCCCCCAAATATGGCTTTGCTGCTGCGCTTGATGTTTGCAAGAGGGAAGAGGTGTTTCAGATAATGGAAAGCATGTGCTTGCCAGTGTGAGCTCATCAACAATGAGGTCAGAGGAGGACAGTGCCTCTTGCTCGCAAGCCCAGCCTTCATACTGCCTTTTCTTTCAGTCTCAGGTGCAGCCTGTTGTGGGATTGTTAGAGGCCCCTTGCATGTGGTCTGACATGCCAGCCTTCTGACCATGTGCAACAGGACTGTGGGCTACTCCTGACTTCAGAGATAGCATCTTTGTACAGATGCCAGAGATGCCAGAGACACCCAGGAGTTGAGTCTGCTGGGGGACATGGACAAGGACGTAGGTGACAATAGTGTATGTGCTGTGGGGAAAGGATGACTGTGATAGCATGTGGAAGGTTCTAGAATTCAGAGGGTAACAGAAATGAGATGGCAGTCCTTACCAGCAGGGTGGGCACTGTGGGATAGGGAGTAGACAATGGTGGACTTGGACTTGAGGGAGTAGTTTGTTTATTTTTTTTTAATTTTTTTTTAGAATCTTGAACTTCCATTGAGTATTCTGAAAGGGAGAGATTGACTTTACATGGTGGAGGGACTATTTTGAGCCTTTTGATGTTGAGAGAAGCATTTTATGTACAAATGATATGAATTTTGCATTGCTATTCAGTGCATTATGGTTAAAAATTTTAAATATGGCTTCTCACAAGACTTAAAATTCAATGTGTCAATCTTGTGTTTAAAAAAATTTTAATTATTTTTAGAATGAATTTCACTTAAAGCTAAAAATTATGTATTTCAGGATAGGGTGTGGTGGCACAATGGATCATCACTCACTGCAGCCTCAACCTCCCAAGCTCAAGTGATCCTCCCACCTCAGCCTCCCAAGTAGCTGGGACTACAGGCACACACCACAACTAATTTTTGTATTTTTTTGTAGAGATGGGGTTTCACTGTGTTGCCTAAGCTGGTCTTGAACTCCTGAACTTAAGCGATCCTCCTGCCTCTGCCTCCCAAAGTGCTGAGATTACAGGCATGAGCCACCGTGTCTGGCCTCTCCTTTCTCTTTTACTTACGGCAGTTGAGGCCCACCTAGATAAGCCCCTCATCTCAGGATCCTTAACTTAGTCACATCTACACAGATGATTTTTCCAAATCAAGTAGCAAATACCATAGGTTCCAGGGAGTATGTCTTTGGGAACCATTATCAGTTTACCACACCTTCCTAACACAAGGTAACCTGATGGTCTAATAACATGTTTGCTGGAGTACTAGCTAGCATGTCCACATGTCCTGCCAGAAGAAGGAAAGAGAAGAGCAAAATGGGGTTTCTCCCAGCTGGCTCATCTTTGTAAACAGTCTTCCTTGAAATCCTACCTGATGCTGGCTCACCTCTCATTGGCTCTGTGGACCTAGCTGCCAAGGAGGCTGGGAAATGCAATTATTTATGCACTTAATTGCACTAGGGTGCTAAAGCATAATTTTCTCCGCTATTGTTGTTGTTTGAGACGGACTCCCACCCTTATCGCCCAGGCTGGAGTGCAATGGTGCAATCTTCGCTTACTGCAACCTCTGCCTCCTGGGTTCAAGTGATTCTTCTGCCTCAACCTCCTGAGTAGCTGGGGTTACAGGTGCCCACCACGATGCCTGGCTAATTTTTGTATTTTTAGTGGAGACGGGGTTTCGCCATGTTGGCCATGTCTCAAACTCCTGACCTCTGGTGATCCACCTGCCTTGGCCTCCCAAAGTGCTAGGATTGTGAGCCACTACGCCCAGCAGTTACGAGAAAGGCAATAGCATAATTCATTAATTAGGGAATCCAAAAAGATGTTAATGGTTTAGGAATTTGGGTTATAGAGATTTATATTGTCTGCCAGAGAATTGGTATGGACAAACATTGCTAGGGACAGGAATCATTTGCACTGCCAAGTTTTCTGCAATTTACAGACCTGTAAACTAGTCAATAGAAAGTCAAGAGTGTACACAGCTATGGAAAGATACTGTCGGAGGGTCTGCTTTACATAAGCAACATCCAGGCCCACTGAAGGTACACCCTGTTATCTCTTTTGTCCCTTTCCAAGTGTTTGAAACTTTTTATTTATTTATTTTTGAGAGATGCTCTCGTTCTGTTGCCCAGGCTGGAGTGCAGTGGCAGGATCACGGCTCACTGCAGCCTTAACCTCCCAGGTTGAAGTAATCCTCCCACCTCAGCCTCCCAAGTACATGGGACTACAGGCACACGCCACCACACCCACCTAATTTTTGTATTTTCTGTAGAGACAGGGTTTCACCATATTACCCAGGCTGGTCTGGAACTCCTGGGCTCAAGCCATCTGCCCGCCTTGGTCTTCCAAAATGCTGGAATTACAGGTGTGAGCCACTGTTCCTGGCCTATTTTTTAAAATAGTGAAAAATTAGGGCTTTCTTACAGAGGTGGAAGGAGATGATAGATGCTGGGGCTGGCCTTTAGCTGTTGCTCTCTATACATGGGTCAGAGATGTTTACCCAGGATTTGAGACTTGGGGACTTCCTATAACTGGGTATCACTATTATCATTGAAGTGGCCAGACCCTCTTTTCTAACTAAAAAAAAAATTTAATGTGTTTTTTTAAAATTAACATAGAGCAAAAATGAACTTTTTTTTCTCATTGTACAGATCTGTGACTGTCAAATGCACAGTTGTGTAACTACCACAAAGATACCAGTTCTTTCACCCCAAAATATTCCCTCATGCTGCTCCTTTGTAGTCAACACCCAACTCCTGACAACCCCTGAACTGTCCTCCAAACCTATAGTTTTGCCTTTTCAGATGTCGTGTTTAGAATTGTGTATAACCTTTTGAGTCTGGCTTCTTTCGCTTAGCCTAATGCAGTTGATTCATTCATGTTGTAGTGGGTATCAATTCTTTTTCTTTTTTCTTCTTTTTTTTTTTTTGCAGAGTAATACTGTTTTCCAAAGTGGTTCTACCATTTTGCATTTTCACCAACAGTATGAGGGTTTCAGTTACTTTGCATCTTCACCAGCAGTTTTTATATTTTGTTTTTTAAGTTTTAGCCATCCTAAAAGGTGTGCAGTGGTAGCTCATTGTCCAAGCTGGCCCTTTTAATGGTCTCAGTGCAACCTAGTCAGGTTGAAACTATGATCCATAGCTAATCTTTGGACCTAATCTGATTAAACTCATAAATCCTATTAAGAGCAACAGTGCTTACAGGTATTTCTCTAGAGACAATTGCGTTCTGCATCTCTGTTCCCTGTTCTTGCCCTTGATCTCTGCACCCTGATCTTGGCCCATGAGTGCAGGTAGAGGATTCGCTGTGTGTGGATGTATGCAGATGCATGCCAGAGCAGGTAGGTGTGAGGATGGGGCTGAAGAATTTCCTTCAGGTGCTCCCTTCCGATGGTGATTTTTTTCTGTATAGGGCGAAGGGTGGAGTGTGTATGTGCGTGTATTAGATTTGTTGGAGAAGGCTGGGATAGTCTTGACCTGGTCACTGTGGAGGATGGAAAGAGAGAGTGCTATTGAGTGAGACATAGGACTGCTCTGCCTTCACCCTCTCCTGGCTGGTTAGGGAGGGGTCGTGGAGCACCTTCTAATCAGTGGAAGCTTTCAAGGGACTGGGCTGGGACCCACGCTCCCCTCACCCCACCTCAACCCCTCCAACACCTCCCCATATCTCCCTTCTCACATTCCTCCCCTTACTTCTGAATCTCCTGCCCTGACAGAAATGAAATGGAATTCTGTGGTAGCCACTGTACTGAGTAAATATTGGAGAAGACATTCCCAAATTACAGGATTTCTTAGAAGTTACTAATTTATAGCAAATGAGTATAATTTACTTAAAAAGCAGAAATAAACTTTTTCTTATTGAAATATATATTTGTGCCCCACCTGAGTACATAGCTCTGTGCTAAACACTGTAAAGAAGCTAAACAGAGACAAAGTTCTCTTCCTCCAACTGCTTTTACTTCGTTTAGGAAATGGAAAGAGTAAAACCCCCTGCCTCCCACCTCTGTGGTCCCATTCAGTGACGCCAGTCTCCCCTCGTGCCCCCAGCCTCAGGTACAGCTCAATCGCTGCCTTCCTCCCTCCCGCTGCTGTTTTTCCCAAGTCATTTAACATCATACTGTTTTGTCTTCATACTTGAATTTTGAGCTTTCTTGGGCTGTGGGCAAGGTCTTGCATAGCTACTCCAGACAGGCCGTGCCAGTGGGTTTCAAACTTGAGTGGGAGGCCAGGTGAGGTGGCTCACACCTATAATCCCAGCACTTTGGGAAGCTGAGGCGGGCGGATCATTTGAGGTCTGGTGTTCGAGACCAGCCTGGCCAACATAGTGAAACCCTGTCTCTACTAAAAATACAAAAATTAGCCGGGTGTGGTGGTGCCTGTCTGTAGGAGGCTGAGGCATAAGAATCACTTGAACCTGGGAGGCAGAGGTTGCAGTGAGCTGAGATCGCACCACTGCACTCCATCCTGGGCGACGGAACGAGATTTTGTCTCAAAAACAAAAAACAAGCCTGAGTGGGGCATCGGAATCACTCTGTGGTCTGGGGAGGGGCTGAGAATTTGCATGTCTAATAAGTTCGCAGGTGATGCTGTTGCTGTTGGTCCAGGGGCTGGTCTGAACCCACAGGGAAAGAAAATTCTCAAGGATCCTGCCTTCCTTTTGGAGTCAGTTACTTCAGGCAGTGGAGGGCTCACTTCCTCCTTGTGCAAACAACAGAAGAGCCCTGTGGCTTAAGGCCTACTTCCTGAGTTCCTTAGACAAACTCTGAAATTAGCCATTCTAGGAAGATCGATCTTTCCTCCAGGGATATCTTTAAATCAAAGTTTGTGGTTGTTCAATTGTTTGTAGCTATTTTCTTAACCATTCCTACAAAGCTAAGGAAATCAGCTGCATTTTTTTTTTTTCCAGAGACAGGGCCTCATTTTATCACCCAGACTGGAGTACAGTAGCATGAGCATGACTCACTGCAGCCTCGACTTGTGTGATCCTCCCGCCTCAGCTCTCCCCACCCCCCGCCCTCCTCACCAAGTACAGGCACGCACCACCATGCCCAGCTAATTTTTGTATTTTTTTGTAGAGATGGAGTTTCACCATGTTTCCCAGGCTGGTCCTGAACTCCTGGGCTCAAGTGATCCTCCCACCTCAGCCTCACAAAGTGCTGGGATTTCAGGCGTGAGCCACCATGCCCAGCTGGTATTAGATTCTTTATGGCACATTGTAATTACTACCAAAAGTCAGAGGAAGTAAGAGCTAGAGATTTCCTCCTTGTGAGCTCACAACCAGGCATGAATGAAAATAAGGCTTAGGTGGAGTTCTGCCCATACAGATTTATTAGTAGGCTGTCACAGCACAGCCACACAACCTGCTTTATACGCCTGGTGAGGCTCCAGCTTTGTCCTTTTCAGGAGTCTGCTCTGACAGCAGCTTGCATTTGGTGTTTACCTGTAGCACATGAGACAGTGTTTCATAGACATTATGTCAGTGTTTTATTGCTGCCCTGAGAAATTACTACAAGCTTATCTTAAATCTATTATCTCACAATTCTTTAGGACAGAAGTCCAGGCACATCTGGCTCTCTTCTCTAGGTTTCCTTAGGCCAAAATCAAGACGGTAGCAGGGTGGTGTTCTGTTAAGGCTCAGGGGATGAACCACTTCCAGGCTCATTCAGGAGGGCAGAATTCAGTTCCATGTGACTGTAGGACTGAGGTCCCCATTCCTTCCTTCCTCCCTCCCTCCCTTCCTTCCTTCCTTCCTTTTTTGACAGAGTCTTACTCTGTTGCCCAGGCTGGAGTGCAGTGTCGTGATCTCGGCTCACTGCAACCTCCGACTCCCGGGTTCAAGCAATTCTCCTGCCTCAGCCTCCTGAGTAGCTGGGAATACAGGTGCCTACCACGCCCAGCTAATTTTTTGTATTTTTAGTAGAGATGGGGTTTCACCATGTTGGTCAGGCTGGTCTCGAACTCCTGACCTCAGGTGATCCACCCGCCTCGGTCTCCCAAAGTGCTGGGATTACAGGCGTGAGCTGTTGAGCCCGGCCTAGGTCCCCATTTCTTTACTGGCTGTCAGCTGAGGATTCTTCTCAACTTTAGAGGCTGCCTGCATTCCTGTTTGTGGTTCCCTTCCTTCATCTTCAATGCCAGAAAGGTGGCTTCCTTCTCACACTTTAGTGTCTGACCCTTCCTCCTGCCTTTTCTCACTTCTGCTTTCGAGGGTCTGTGTGATTATAGCAAGCTTACCCAGATAATCCAGGATAATCTATTTGAAGGTCATCTAATTAGTATTCTTAATTCCATCTGCAGAGTCCCTACATGGTCGTACCCAGATTGTGTTTGATTCAGTAATGAGGGGATGGGATCTTGGAATGATATCTTTAGAATTTGGCCCACCAAAGGCAGAATTCAGGTTTTCCTGCCATTTTACATCAGGGACTTAACAATTCCTGGGAATCAGCAGCTGGACCTGGGGCCATTTACTTATCAAACCTAGGGCACCATTCTTAACCTTGAGCCTTACATTTCTGAGGCTTATTACAATCTGGCCTGCTAGATTTTTATATTTGGGTCACACACAGGCAGAGTGTTTCTGACATTTCCAGTCAACTCCCTTACCTCAAATATCATCAATTTCACCACTGAAAATGTTCCAACAGCTGTAATACTAATTAACAAAGTCAGTAATTTAACCAATATGAAAGCCCATTTCTGACCCAAAGTATACTAGTTAACATAACCTGCTCTTGGTTGGTGATAAGGATAGCTAGCAGACTGGCTTGCAGTAGTGTCTCTTGAGTGTGGCTTTTTGATTAAAAGCTGGTTAACTACTCTTGGAGCCTGTCTTCCAGATTAAGACAATTCATTGCTTTTAGGCAGTTGGCTTACAGCCACTGGACATATCCCAGCTTATGTTGAAGTGTTTTGAAATAAAATTCAAATGATATAGTAGACTCTTGCCATCTTAACCGAGAGCATCGAGAGTTCAGTCATGTCTGTGGTTCTCACCCTTGTGCCTGGTATGCAGTGGATGTGTCACAGATATTTGTTGAGTAAATAAAATGAATTAATGCATTTCCATGCTTTCATATATAACAATTTTAGTACAGTGTGAGAACAGCATGACAGATTGCACTGGAAGAAAGCAGAAATGTTACTCAAGTTACTTTGTTGTACTAGGAGCTTATTGTACTCATGATGCTATAAACATGTAGACTACAAACTGGAACTTGAAAGTGTTAACATTTATTTTAATGATACCTTATTGAAAGGAGCATGGCTACAAAAAAATCCCATCAAAAAGTGGGCGAAGGACATGAACAGACAATTTTGAAAAGAAGACATTTACATGGCCAACAAACATAAGAAAAAAAGCTCAACATCACTGATCATTTGAGAAATGCAAATCAGAACCACAATGAGATACCATCTCATGTCAGTCGGAATGGCGGTTATTAAAAAGCCAAGAAACAGATGCTCGTGAGGCTGTGGAGGAACAGGACCTCTTTTACACTGTTCCTGGGAATGTAAATTAGTTGAACTATCATGGAAGACAGTGTGGCGATTCCTCAAGGATCTAGAACCAGAAATACCATTTGACCTAGCAATCCCATTACGAGGTATATACCCAAAAGAACACAAATCTTTCTGTAAAGACGTGCACACGTATGTTTATTGTGGCACTATTCACAATAGTAAAGATGTGGAATCAACCCAAATGCCCATCAATGATAAACTAAAGGAAGTGTAGTACATATACACCATAGAATACTATGCAGCCACAAAAAGGAACAAGATCATGTCCTTTGCAGGGACATGGATGAAGTAATGAGAACACATGGAGAAGAACAACACATACCGGGGCCCGTCAGGGCACGGGGGGAGGGAGAGCATCAGGATAAGTAGCTAATGTATGTGGGGCTTAATACCTAGGTGATGGGTTGATAGGTGCAGCAAACCACCATTGCCATGTTTACCTATGTAACAGACCTGCACATTTTGCACATGTATCCTGGAACTTAAGATACAATTTGGAAAAAAGGAGCATGGCTCCAGTTTGATATACTGTTTTCCTACCAGATTGTGAACATTTACATCCTCACAATGTCTTAGGCGTTGCACCAATGAATAAAGGCTGTCTGCCCTTTCCCAGTGGATCTTCGCAAACAAGGTATTTGAAATAAATAAAAGGAGGCTTATTAAGAGTGGTGTTAGGTGACTTTTGTGTTTTCTTCACTATCAGCAGGTGACACACTTTTTTGTCTTCTGTTTTTTTCTTCCCTAGAATTGCAGTCTGAATTTCCCTAGATCTCACTTGTCTTTGGATTAGGATGAGGTCCCAGTAGTAGTGACTCAAATCACACTGATCTTTTGCCACTACCTTTTCATACAAGGCCCCAGGCCCTTGTAAAAGTGTTCCTGAATGCTTCTGGAAGTACCCAGAGGGTGTCTGCTGGGACAGCTGGTGCACTTCTGTTTCCAGGTGCCTTGTCCTTCATCCATACCCTGTATCCCAGGAGTTGTGGGGGGCCTGGTGCTGCGTTTTGTCATTCCCTGGAGGAGAGCTGTCAGCAGTTTAGTTACTTAATCCCCTTCTGCCTCTCATGGGAGATATCCAAGGGATGGATGCCAGGCTGTGTTTGAAATTGCCCTCCTCTTTGGCCAAGGTTTTCCAGCTTGGTCAGTTCATTTTCTGTCTCCTTCCCCCAAGGTGAATCTTCCCAAGAGGCTCTTACCCTGTAAGATGGTGTCTTTGGACGGTGCCTTCTGTCCCCCGAGCCGTGCCTCAACTCAGGCAAGAGACAAAAGCACAGGGAGCCAGCCCATGTTCCTGTTATAAAGACTCCCTTTATCCCACAGGCTTGGGTAGGCCAAGTCATCATCTTTTTTCAGTCCCTAATTGCATGTCACCTCATTCTCCTCCCTGACCAAGCACTCTTTTGTTGGGGGGGCAGGGGAAGAGGGGTCAAACTTTAGAAGCTCTGTCTGGATGTCTTGCTCCTTAAAATCCAAGACTTATCTGGTAGTTTACCACGGTTTGCCATTAGGAATTGGCTATTTAATGCAATTTGCCTTAGTGATAAAGGTTCCCCCTGCCCCCAAAATATTATCTTACTCATCTCTTTATTTTCCTCATCTTGTGAAATTTCCCACTGTGGAATGAAAACCTAGATCAGATAAAATTGGCAGGAACCTTTACTGTGAAAGTTCAGGATGCAAAAAAATCCCTAAAATGATTGATAACATACAGTGTCACTTTTCACAGCCTCCAGATATCATGAAAAATGTAAGATCCACTTTAAATGCAATAAGTAGCCTCAGGTGTTCTGTGTCCCAAATATTGCTTTCATATAAATATATAATTATCTTTAACCGAAACACTCAGAAATGAAAGGTAATCCCTGCCCTTCTCCCTTTCACTGCCTCGAGATAAAGCTGGGTTTGGTTTATTTCTACCATCTCTTTTAAAAAATACTCCTTATGTGGCAGTTTCTAAGCAGCAAAATAGTCAGCTGTGTGATTAAAATGTCAAAAAGCAGGAAAACTGGCCGCTGGGAAAGTCTATTTGGAGATTTATGTAAAGGCAGAATTCTGAATGGGGAGAGTGCTGTACCTTCTGGGCTGCAGAGTGGAGTAATTAAGGGAGGGTTCTGGCCACATCCTTCCAGACTGACACAGGCCCTGCTACACAGTTAAAGAAGCTGACAGGTGCTTGGGTTTTGTTTTGTTGTTTTTTTTTTCTTTTGCAAGCTGCATACTTGATATCTTTGGGTTTATGGCTGTGTAACTTACTTTTGGCACTTTGTTGTTTTTAATTTTAAGGGTCCTTTATAACTTTGAGATCCACCTTCTCCTGTATCACATAGTGGAGATTGTGAGGGGAGGGGCAGTGGCCTGGGGAAATTGGAATGAGGAGAAGGATCTAGAGTTCAGATGAAGTAGCTTTAATTTATGATGGAGGGTAATGCCCATTTATCTTAAATCTTGTAAACTGAACACGTTGGTGCTCCACTCACAGCCACTGCACTTCACTTGAACCTGACTGGAGTGGGTGGTAAACAGCGGTCTTCCCTAGAGACCCCGTTCGTGCTACCAAAGTGTCATCTGTGGTCCCAGCCCACACCTTGAACATCAGAATCTACATTTGAAGCCTGTGCACGTTACAGCTGGAAAAGCGGCGGCAGCAGGATACCAGTACCGGGGGCGGCGGGGGACTGGGAGCCCAGCCCTGGAGACATGCCAGCTCCTAGAGGAGCTGGTTGTCAGCTAATACCAGACGGTCTTTCCTTGTTCTCGTTGTTGTTGTTGTTGTTTATTTCATGTTTTTATCCACAGACAAGTCTTGTTTTGTTTTTAAGAGCCTCCTGCGTTAAAACATACCCAGTAGCTGGAATATCATGCTTTCTGGGTAATTATTATGTAGTATTACATTCTGGTTAATTTGGGGGGATTAATCTCATAACACTTGGTTTAAGTAAAAGGGGGAAGTTAAAAGTAGCTTATGCTTGAATATTTCGTTTTAAACAAAAAGTTGTGAGGGGAAGGTGCTGGGCAGTAGTTTTCCCTGAGTGAGGGCTTGGGGAGATGGATTTTTCAGTCTGGATCTCTGTTGATAAGGACTGTGGCTGCTTTATGTGGGGGAGTGTTCCGTATAGATGGCACAGCGATTAGTGTCATTGTGGTTTAATAGGTGGTCATGTGTGATTGGCGCTTGGTGACTGTGATGGCTCCTGACTGTGTGGCCTGCAGTTGTTCTGTAGCCGCAGCCTGCTTAGCTGCCCACATCATGGGCTCCAGATGTCCCTTGTGCCAGTATCCTTTTGTGTAATAGAAACAGTATTGCTTTTCTTTCTATAGGGCGTTTCTTCTTTTCTCTCATTCCTTAGTTTATTTTTTTAAAGAGACAGGGTTGGCACAATCATAGCTCATTGCAGCCTCGAACTCCTGGGCTTAGGCAGTCCTCCCAAGTAGCTGGGACTACAGGCGTGCACCACCGTGCCCAACTCAGAGTTCCTTTCTTAATCTGTGTCAGTTGCTGTCTTTCAGGGTAGGTCTTTCCTCACCTGCCTGGTGGTCCTTGGCTCCTTATTTGTATATAAGGTGCTAAAAGCTGATTGAAAGGGGTACGTTGAGGGCAAGCTGTGCTGCAGCATGATGGTCAGGGATCTACCTTTCTTGGGGTGGGGGGTCCCCAACTATGATTATCTTTAGGCCTTCTTCTCTTGATGAGCTTCCCCAGAGAGGAATCCTCCCATCTCTTCCTGCCGTGGCCTATAAGCTTGGCTGTCAGATCTCATAGCTGGGGGCTGGGGGTGGGAGATACGTCTCTGGCCCATCAGTCTGCATGTAGAATATTTCTTAATCTACTTTTTCCTTAGCAGTTACAAGTTTAAAAAAAACATGAAAAGAAAACGGCACTCATGAGTTTAGCTCTTGAATCTCTCTCCATGGTCTTAGAATTGAGCCTTTCCAGAGAATAAACTTGGCCTCCAGGATGAGGGAGGGGAAGGGATGTTCCAGGCTTAAGAAATTTCTGGGATTGGGGGGTCTCACTTTTCCTTCAGTAGTTTTCAACCAGCCACACTACTGGATGTCACCCGCGCCCCTGCCTTCCGATGGGCCTGCTGTCACCGAGGCTCTGGCCCGGGCTGAGCCCTCATCACTCCCCCTCCCCCCGCCCCTTCCCCTGCCCCCACCCAACACTAACCTTTCTGCTCCACCTGCTCCACTGCTCCTTGGCAATCTGTTTCCTACCTTCAGAGGCTTGGTTTCTGGCCAGTGGCTCTTTCTCCTTTCCCCACTGGTCTTTCTTTAATCTTTTTGCTACAACTTTAATGGTGTTTTGAGAGGGAGTGGAGGCAAACACGTATCATCTGCTCTGCTTAATGCAAAGTATGCACAAATTCTCTAATGAGTGATTGTGGGGGACAATAAAACCTATGGTTATAAATTTATCTTGTTTTACAGCACTTTATGTTCAGCTGTTTGTGAAAAGCAATTTAAATACAAGGATCATGCAGGAGAACAGTTGTTTATATTCACTTAATATTTCCTCTAGTAAAAGGGAAGATCAGAGACAAGTAGGATGCATAAACGATTTGCTGCCTCTGCAGCCAGCGTCCATGGATGTTGATGACTGGGTGGTGGAAGTTCCCAGTGCCTGGGCTTTTTCTAGAATTGCATATTTAATCCAGATTTGATAGTTGTATAAGTGCTCAATGGTGATTCAGTGCCTGGGCTTCAAAACTGCATAGACCAGGGTGTGAATTCCTTCCTGCTTTGTCATGTGTGGGCCGAGTTCAGATAAGAACAACTTATTTGAACCTCAGTTTCCTGACCTAAAAATGAGGGAAATTGTACTTTTCTCCCAGAGTTATTAGGAATGAGTGAATTAATGTATGTGCGTGCTTTGCCTTGTGTGACCACTGAATATATATTTTACTTACTTTGTTATATTCTAGGTCTCCTTTCGTATGTGACATTACTGTGATTTAGTGTGCCTGGGAACCAGGTGGGCCTGGTCTTTGTGCGTGGATTTTCCCCTTGTAGCAAGAGGTTCATTTGCTCACCTTTAGGGTCTGGGACATATTAAGGCCCGAGTTAGGGGACATGAGGAGGGAGGGGTACAGTTTTGTTTTGTTTTGTTTTGTTTTTCTTTTGTTTTGTTTGAGACAGTCTCACTCTGTTGCCCAGGCTGGAGTGCAGTGGTGTGATCTCAGCTCACTGCACCCTCCATCTCCTGGGTTCAAGTGATTCTCGTACTTCAGCCTCCAAAGTAGCTGGGACTACAGGCACATGCCACCACACCCAGCTAATTTTTTTTTTTTTTTTTTTTTTAAGTAGAGATGGGGTTTCACTATGTTACCCAGGCTGGTCTGGAACTCATGAGGCAATCCACCCACCTCGGCCTCCCAAAGTGCTGGGATTACAGGCATGAACCACCGTGCCAGGCCTGGGTACAGTATTTGAACCTAGGTCTGCCCAACTCATGAGTCCCTGCGTTGAGTATCCTGGCTCCTCAGGGTTGAGTCTATGAGTTAGGGGTTGGATCTGAATAGAACCGTTCTAAGACAGTTAAACAGGCAGGCACGTGGATGCTTTCTGAAGGCTCTGGGTGATACTGGGTTCCAGGATCCAGACATTTACAATAACCATCATACATTAATGAAATAGCCCACATTTTAAGAAAGTGCTTACTATTAGAGAATAGTTTTGAAGACTCTCTTGGGTAGGTAGATTGGAGCTTGGAAATAGATCTCTTTAGATTTGCTGTTACTGTACCCTGAAGAGTTAAGGGGAGCAGAAATACAGGCACTTCTTGAGCAGTGGCCATGCCTGCTCATTGGGCAAATTATCAGGCAATAATAACAAAGAGCTTTACCTCCCCAGGTCCTTCAAATGGATGAGGGCAGATGAAGGGAAAATATGTCAGCAGTTCATTTTACCTTAGAGAGTAGGTGGCAAACCAAAAGTGTATATGGGTTCTTGTCTTTGTTCTGGTTCCTTTTTTTTTTTTTTCTCTTTTTTTGTCTGAGACAGGGTCTTGCTCTGTCACCTTGGCTGGAGCACAGTGGTGCAATCACGGCTTACTGTAGCCTCCAACTCCTGGGCTTACAAGACCCTCCTACCTCAGCCTCCTGAGTAGCTGGGACTACAGGCAAACGCCACCACACCCAGCTAATTGATTCCATTTGTATCTGTCCTATTCAGGCCCTTCTTTCTAGTTTATGTCTCTTACACAGCAAATAGTTTAGCTCCACCCCCAAACCCCCACAAGTCTTTTTCCCTACGCATATTTATGTGTGGATATATATATATGTTGTAGATAAAGTCTGGATACTGTTGAATAGCCTACATCCCGCACTTAGATTGCAATTGTGTGTCCCCTGTAACCATTCTATTTTAATCTTTGTAAAAGTTCCCTTTATGACAGGGTTAAATTATGAAGACCGCCAAGTGATTAAATACTACATGAATCATTTAAAAACGATGGTTCCTGAAGTTTGAAATACCGTCCTTATTTGTAAAGTATTATTAGCTTATTTGATAACAGTCTAGTTTAAGATGTAGTACACCCATGTAGCTGGCTAGGAATTGGATTATTTTTATAGTAGTATAAATGCTTTTGTAGTATGCCTTTAGATGGCAGCATCTCTCGCCATAAACCATCTTTTGAACAGAATTTCTTAGATGCAGAAGACGTTTGAGACAGAAGGATGGTCTATCTGCATCACCCCATCATGACACAGTGGTGGAACTGGGCCCCTGGGACTGTCAGGGCTATGGCCCAGGGCTAAGAAGAGGGGATAGTTGTAGATTCCTGCCTGCATGTCTTCTACTACCCCTTCTCTTACTGATGTAAAATGTTTCCTATCTTTGTGGTCTTGCTAAAAGCCACTTTAAGGCAACCAAGGAACACTAGAATCAAGGAAGTGATTTTGGACCAAAATGTAACAGAATAGGCAGTATTTTCTTTATTTTTGAGACAGGGTTTCACCCTGTCGCCCAGGCTAGAATGCAGTGGTGTGATCTTGGCTCACTGCAACCTTTACCTCCTGGGCTCAAGTGATCCTCCCACCTCAGCCTCCTGAGTAGCTTGGACTTCAGGCGCACATCACTGCACCCAGCTAACTTTGTTTATTTTTATTTATTTATTTTTTGAGATGGAGTCTTGCTCTGTCGCCCAGGCTAGAGTGCAGTGGCGTGATCTCAGCTCACTGCAGACTCCACCTCCTGGGTTCAAGCGATTCTCCTGCCTCAGCCTCCTGAGTAGCTGGGATTACAGGCGCCCACTACCGCGCCTGGCTAATTTTTGTATTTTTTTTAGTTGAGACGGGGTTTCACCATCTTGGCCAGGCTGGTCTCGAACTCCTGACCTCATGATCCACCCGCCTCGGCCTCCAATGTGCTGGGATTACAGGCATGAGCCACCGCGCCTGGCCTCTTTGTTATTATTTTTGTATAGAGACCAGGTCTTCACTGTGTTGCCCAGGCTTGTCTCAAACTCCTGGGCTCAAGTGATCCTTCTGTGTTGGCCTAAGTGCAAGAATTACAGGTGTGAGCCACCGTGCCTAGCCTTTTAATTTTTTTTAAGCAGTTTTGTTTAGGTATAATACACATCCATACAGTTCACCCATTTAAAGCATACAATAGACTAATTTTAAATATATTCATAGAGTTGTACAACCATCCCTACAACCTAATTTTAGAACATTTGGTCACTCTAGAAAGAAGTCACATATCCCTTACCATTACCCCACAGGCCTGCATAGCCTGCATAACCCCCAGCCCCTGGCAACCATTTATACTTTCTGAAAGATTTGGCTATTCTGGGCATGACATATGAATGGAATCATGTAGATCCTTTGTGACTGGCTTCTTTCACTTAGCAGAATGTTTTCAAGCTTCATCCATGTTGTAGCATGAATCGATACTTCATTCCTTTCTACTGCCCAATAATCCATTGTGTGGGCAAAGAACATTTTGTTGTTGTCATTTGACGTACCTTTAGCTAGTACAAATGGCGTTACTGTGAGCATTCGTGTACAAGTTTTTGTGTGAACATACATTCCCATAGGAGTAGAACTGCAGGGCCATGTAGTAACTCTGCACTTAACCTTTTGAACGACTGCCAAACTGTTTTCCAAAACGGCTGCATCATTGTATGTGAGGGTTCCATCCAGTCTTACGAAGAATTCCGGATTTTCTGATAATAAGCAGGGGCTGTGGGAACAGGAGGTAGGAGATAAGCCTGTTGGTCTCTCCTATGTCTGACCCGCTTGCTGGCTGCTGTGCCCCGCACAGTTACTGTGCGTCACCAGCCAGATAAGATGCCTGTGTTCTTGTGGCTGGTGCGCAGACTGTGTTGCTGTTACAGGCCGGCTGTTTGTAATCCTTGCCTCCTGACTTTAGAGATACCAAGCTACCAAATTGTCTTTGTCCCATCCTTGTCCTAGTTAGAGGAAAATCAAACCCTTCATCACAAAGCAGTCCAGGTTTGAACATGTCAAAATCACCCACTTGACCAGTGAAGACAGCTGTAGCGACTTCACAGCAAGAGAGCAGCTTTTGTTTTTGTTAGGGTTTACATTCTCAAATCTGAGCTTACTCTTTTCTTCTTTGGCAGGCCAGACTGGACGTTCCCTCGTCTGTACTGAAATTTTGTGTGTGTGTGTGTGTGTGTGTGTGTGTGTGTGTGTGTGTGTGTGTGCGCGCGCGCGCGTTTAAGGGAGGGGAAGGCACTGGCTCTTCCTCTAGGCATATTTGGGTCCTGGTAAGGACACACACTGTACATTCCAAGGCTTTGTTTGCATCTGGAAAAAATTAGCCACACTCAGATCTTTCCCACTACAGGTCCCGTCAGGAAGCCCAAGTATGTGGAAAGCCCCAGAGTGCCTGGAGATGCAGTTATAATGCCATTCAGAGAAGTAGCCAAGCCAACAGAGCCTGATGAGCATGGTAAGAATTTCAGTGATTTCCTTCCCCCTCTACCAAAGATTTTATACAATGACACTTCATTTCTGAATGAAACTTGAGTGTCCTTGCAGTACTGCTTTGCTGAGAATGTATTTGGGAGGTATTTTCCCCTCCAGCAGTTACAGAGATCTGTTTGGCTAACGCAAATTCTTGGAAATTGTATACCTGGCGTATAAATAGTTAAGTGGGTACATATGCATTATTTAAGGATTGAGTCCTATTTCCTCTGAATTTTGACCTACCAGGTCTTGGAGGATAGGAAGCGTCACCCAGTAGATTGCTTCCAAGATTTTGTTTTGTTTTTAATATTCTACTGCTTGAGAAAATTCAACAACAGGCTTTGGCTGAAAAGCTGAAACCTTAACTGGACAAAGCATGTAATTGCTAGCTTTAAAAAAAGCATTTGGTGTCTTTTGAAGGCTGCTTTTTTTAACATCTGAAGTTTTTCTTTAGGGGATGTTGAAGTAGGAGCAAAAAAAAAAAAAAAAAAACCAAATTGATGGAAATATTTTTAAAGACATTTTATATGTATATGTATTTTATACCTGGAAATATGTGTGACATTACAAATTTGCAGCATTTAACAGATATATTCATAGTTGTTTATTTTAAAAAATCAATTCAAGAATTTTCCTGTTTGTTCCTTTCTGGGGAGTCCCCAACTCACATCTCTCTTGCCTTTAATTTGGGTGTTTTGAATTTCCACCCTGTTTTTCTGCAGAAACATGGGACTAGGAATCTTGCTGTATGTAAAGGGGCTTGCTTTATCCTCAGTGTGGACAAAAGTTTATGTAGCAATGCTGAAAGAGAACTCAACCATATTTTTACTTTGGCATATCTGGCACCTTCCTCTGCCTAATTGTGGGTGGTGGGAGATACAGACCCTTTATGTCCTAACCTGTGTGTGCCTTTTGTGTTGCTGGTGCTGTATGGCAGGGAGTGGGTAATAAGTAGGACATGGGAAGACAATATACTGGAGTGGTGGTAAAAATATAGCTAAAAATGAGCTGTGAGGAAGGATCAGCAAAAGCTGAAAACTGGGAAGGGAAGGGGAGTTTGGGACATGGGGAAAAGATGGGGCCAGGCACTGGGCACTCTGGGCAGGCAAGAGGTGCTATTGCAGGTGTCTTGGCATGAGAAATGCCACCCTTTTCCTTTCTGTCCAGGCACTCATTGTGTGGTTGAGGGAAGAGGATTTGAGCTGAGGATTTGTGCACACCGAATGTTGCTGGTGAAGGTGGAGATTCCACTGTGGTGTCTGGTTAGGATAGCCAACTGCTGGTACATGAGGCCTCTCTTGATTGTGCGTTCACGTGGGCAGGCAGTCTGTTCTCTCTCTCCTCGGTGTCCTGAAAGGAAAGTAAAATCTCTCTCTCTGTAGTGAATATCAGTCATCAAATGTCTAAGCTGTCTGCCTGGCTCAGATTAAGCCTGCTACCTACCTCTTCCCTTCTTCCCCACCCACCAAAGCCTTTGTAGCCCTGGTCAATTATGCCCCTGGCATTTTGGCTGGCCTAGGCTCCATTATGTAACCTCTTCCTCCCTGGCTGGGAGTATCGTTAAGGTTCTGTACAGGGATTGGGACCTCCTCCTCCTGGTGTGGGAGTGGGGGTAGAAAATTTGGATTTTTATTAGGCAATAAAAGGTTATAAATAGTTCCTATTGTTAACTTTTCTCCCTTGCTCAAAGCAGAATTGGCCACCTTTCTTGACGAATGGAAGTGTTCTTATGCTTGGCTGTGGGCTGAGCTAAATTTCAAATGCAGCAATTGGTCTTGCTGGAGTGGCCTGAAGTTTGCATGTGTGCTCACTCCTGAGACCTGAGCTTTCTGATTCGGCATCTTTAGTCTTCATGGGGACCAAAGTTATGAGATCTATGGGCTACAAATACAGGACCAGACATTTCGGTTTCGCCTGAAATTAAGAAGCAGGGTATGTTTTCATTTTTGTTAAGTGTCTCGGGAGCAGGTGTAGTTCACGTCTGTGGGTGCATGGTCTTGCCTGAAGATAGCCATGATGTTGGTGGATGCCGCAGCAGGGTGAGCTTTCTCTTGGTTGATGAGGAGAGGTGGCTGCCTAACAAAGTCGAACAGGACAATTAGTATAGAATGGTATGTTTTGTAATCCCCATGGAGTCCCTTAAATTTCAATGGGGTTAATTAAGTCTGCCATGTCAAAGTGTAAATTTTATCCAGATCACTGAACCCAAAGGAAATGATAGAGCCGACTAAAACTAATTGAGTTTGAGTGTTAACCCAGGTGTGTACAGATACATGATGGGCAAACCCTCATTTTTAGGGTTTAATATCAGCATCATCACTTAAGTTTTACTTTAAAATGTGGTCTTCTGTTATCTATATTTCCCTTGGACATTCTTGTTTAAGTTTCTAAGACGCTTTTCTGGGTGCTGTCAATAATAGCATGCCAGTATTCACCAGACTAACAGACTCCACTGAAAACAGCTCTTTGTGAAGTGCTTTTGAAATTTCCCATGGACTCGTGAAATAGCAGGTTATTCCTAAATGCTTGAAATACTTTCCTGCCTCACTTTTGCTTTGGTCATGTAGCTCCATCAACTCTTGATTCTTAGCTCTCTGTTTGGATTTTAAATCAAAGGAAAACAAACCAAAGAACATTTTGAATTTGCTTATTTATAAGTAATTGCATTTATGTGTGATGCACGTTTTAGCCTTCTGGGAAGTGTGGGTTCGATGATGTAAGAAGATGAATTTTTTTTTGTAAGCAAATAACTTGTTTCTTAAAGCTTGCAAGCTGGGGACTGTAGCTCACACCTGTAATTCCAGTGATTCAGGGGGCCGAGGTGGGAGGATTGCTTGAGACTGGGAGTTTGAGAACAGCCTGAGCAGCATAGTGAGACCTTGTCTCTTTAAAAAAGAAAGGAAGGAAAGGAAGGAGTTTGCACTCACCTGGAAACATCTTTAGGAAAAAACATTCTATCTTAGTATGTTTAAATATATTTGAAACACAGCATTTTCTACTCTAGGAAAAACGGATGACTTAATAAAATCATCAAACAAAATACAAAGCCCATTTTCATGTCAAATGGTCCTAATAAGCTGTGTGTCAGGTAGAATAAGTTCTTAATGAGTAAGCTTCCTATTGCTAAATCAACATATCGTTTAGGGGAAAGCTCATTTACCCACAAACAATATCTGCGTTAAGGGAAAAAAAACCTTCAGATAAATTAGAGATGATTGTTATAACAGGATCCACGCTTTATTTCTTTGATTTAGGGGTAACCATAATTTATTTAGGTTTGCATTAATATATTTCTAGCTACTAGGGCAAGTTTTGAGGAGGGGCTAGAAAGTTTTTAGTCTCATAAGTCATTGCTCTGTGAAGATCAATCTCAAAATATGATGAAACTTTTTTTAAATGATATCTTCATGTCAGTCAGTGACGAAACTTTTTTCCTGGCAGTCTGACTAAGCAAATAAAGCTAACACATATGAAAGAGCAGAATAATTCAATGTGAAACTATCTTCTGGGAGGAGAGGGTCTTTAGTTATATGCTTAAGTAAATATTTTGATACCTTATGTTTTTTATTACCATTTTAGATGGTCAGACAGGTATAGAGGATTAAAGAGGTATAAAGCATAAAGGGGCTGGGTGTGGTGGCTCGCCCTTATAATCCCAGCACTTTGGGAGGCCAAGGCAGGAGAATTGCTTGAGCCTAGGAGTTTGATACCAGCCTGGACAATGTAGCAAGGCCTCATATCAACAAAAAGTCAAAAAATTAGCCAGATATAGCAGTGCACCTCTCTGGTCCCAGCTACTCAGGATGCTGAGGTGGGAGGATTCTTTAGCCAGGGAGGTGGAAGCTGCAGTGAGCCATGATCACACCATTACACTGCAGCCTGGGAGACAGAGTGAGACCCTGTCTCAAAAAAAAAAAAGTGAAAAAAAGAATATGATTGAAAAAAATGCATAGTCATGTTTTATTTCTTAAAACCCTTTCTTTCCCAAGAGGTAACCTTGATCCTGCTTTAATTTTCAGCTTCTTAGAATGGCAGTGCAACATTCAACCAATGGTTGAATGAGGTTTTATTTGATGGAAGTATAGAAAAGGGGCATACCTGGTATGTGTGCACAGAAGAGAGACTCTTGGAAGTAGAGTATCCATTCATTCTGCATTTCCTTGAATAAGTATTCAGTTTCTATGCTGTGAAAAAACACTATGCTAAATGCTATTTGAGATGGGTTATCAAGCATGGGTCCTGTCTTTATGGAGCCTTAGAGTCTGGCAGGGGATTAGAGACCTGTATATGGCGTGACTGTAATAAAGGAGGAAGTAATGACTAATCCAAGCTGTGTGATGAACTAGGAGTTCAGCAGATGGAGATTCTCTATTTTTTTTTTTTTTTTTTTTTGAGATGGAGCTTCATTCTTGTTGCCCAGACTGGAGTGCAGTGGCACAGTCTCGGCTCACTGCAACCTCTGCCTCCTGGGTTCAAGCGATTCTTTTGCCTCAGCCTCCCGAGTAGCTGGGATTACAGGCACCCACCGCCACACCCGGCTAATTTTTGTATTTTTAGTAGAGACAGAGTTTTGCCATGTTAGCCAAGCTGGTCTCAAACTCCTGACCTCAGGTGACCCACCCGCCTTGGCCTCCCAAAGTGCCAGGATTACAAGTGCGAACCACTATGCTTGGCCAGCAGATGGAGATTCTGAGCATGGAAAGACTTAATTGTAGCTATGCCTTAAGATTTACCTGTTGTCTTAGTTCAGGCTGCTATAACAAAAATACCATAAACTGAGTGGTTGATAAACAACAGTAATTTATTTCTTAGATTTGTGCAGGATGGAAAGTCCAAGATCAAGGTAGTCTGCAGATTTGGGGTCTGGCAAAGGCCTACTTGCTGGTTCATAGACAGCCATCTTTTTGCTGTAACCTCATGTAGTGGAAGGGACAAACAAGCTCCCTCATTTATAAGGTCACTAATCCCATTCTGAGACACAGACATTCAGACTATAGTACGTGGCAACAGAGTAGGATGGAGTGGGACTGGAAAGAGACTACGGTTAAGAATGATTAAAAAATTGTTTTAGTAATTAAGTGAGAGGATAAAGTCTCAAATTAGTTCAGGTTCAGTGAAGAAGAGGTGGTGAATGGAAGATTCTTGAGGAATTGCAAGGACCTGGGAACTGAAAAAGACAGAGACAACAACTTCACGCCTTTGAGACCACATTAAGGGACACTGGAGGAGCAGGGACTGTGTTTTGGTTTGAGTTCAGTTTCAGGCATGGAGACTTCAAAGTGCTGGTGGAACATCTTCGCAAGTGTCCAGCCACCAGTTGGAAAATCAAACTGGGTATCAAGAAAGAGCTCAGGATATAAACTGGTCAGCCATTTGCTTGGAAGTAATGCTGTGAGACTAGGCAAGTTACAGTAGGGAAACAGGTCGTTGACAAAAGAGGGCTGAGAAACTGGTATTTCATTTATGAGCTGGGACTAAGGTGCAAGGAGCACCAGCAAGAGGGACAGGAAAAGACCACACAAGACCACAGTATTCTGGTAATCATGGATTTTTCCCTCTGTGTGTCTCTTACAACAATTGCCACTTTATACCTTGCAGGACAGAGTGCTTGCAAGGCCGTAGATCTACAGGAAAATCAAAAGAGAAGGTGTACTACAAAAAAGGAAAAAGAAAAATTAATGTGCTTAACAGGGCTGTTTCAGGAGACTTGTGAAGGTCTGTGACTTGAAGTTATAGGTATGTGATAAGGAAATGGAATTGGTGAGAATAGAGAGCCCTCTTTTACCCCCAAATTAAACAGATAAAGATGGGAGATCAGTTACTAGGATGAGAGATGTGTGCAGCTGTGGTTTTTATTTAACACAGTTGTAGACTTAATTCAGAGGTTCTGACAGTGTAGGCTGTGGACTTCTAGTCCCCAAGACACTTTCAGGGGTTTGTGATGTCAAAACTCTTTATAATAGTACAAAACCCTTTTGTAATAATACGGAGAAGGTATTTACATTTCCCTTTGTTGACATTTGCACTGATGCTGCAAAAGCAATTGTTGGTAAAACTTCTGATACCTTAGTATATGTCAAGGCACTGGCTACACTGGTAGTCCTGGTGTTCTTCACTGCCAAGTGCTGGCTTCACAAATAATTCACTGAAGAATGTCCTTGATGAAGCACTAAAAGTAATGTTATTAAATCTTGACCCTTGGAGACCCATCTTTTTAATATTCTGTGTGATGAAGTGGGAAGTCTGAGTAAAGCCCTTCTGCATGCTCGGAAGTCTGATGGTTTTCTTGAGGCAGAGCACTTGTATGATTGAATTGCAAGCTGAACTCGCTACTTTTAAAATGGAATATTGTTTTTATTTGAAAGAATGACTGACAACCCATGGTTATTCTGAAGTAGGTATTTGGCACATTTTTTCTTCAACAGGAATGAAATTAGCCTGGCACTTCAATAGAAAAAAAAAAAAAGGCCAGGCACGATGGCTGACACCTGTAATCCTAGCAATTTGGGAGGCCAAGGCGGGCGGATTGCCTGAGGTCAGGAGTTTGAGACCAGCCTGGCCAACATGGTGAAACCTTGTCTCTACTAAAAATACAAAACTAACTGGGCATGGTGGTGGGCACCTGTAATCCCAGCTACTCGGGAGGCTGAGGCAGGAGAATTGCTTGAACCCAGGAGTTGGTGGTTGCTGTGAGCCAAGATTGCACCACTGCACTCCAGCCTGGGCCACAGAGCGAGACTCTGTCTCAAAAAAAAAAAAAAAACAACAAAACAAAACAAAAAAAAACAAAAAACCAACTCTGACAGGATTAGTTGCCCATAATAAAACTTGACATTTCAAATGAAAATTAGGTTTTTTGGGAAATTTTACACCTGTCACATTGAGCTTGATGGTTTCCCAAGACTTTTCAATTGAGATCTCTCGTAATGTGATGTTTTGATATTATGTGATAACATTTGTCAACATTTGCAAAATCTGTAAAACCATTATTTTCCAAATGACCCAATGCATAATGTTACACAGTCTTGCATGGGTAAAAGATCCATTTACAGTATAAAACAGACCATTGGATCTTACTGTAACAGTACAAAAAATTCATCGATGCAGATTGAGTCAACAGTGGAACTTACCTTTAAGAAATTGCTGTTTCCAGCACTTGGGGAGGCTGAGGCAGGAGGACTGCTTGAGCCCCAGGAGTTCATAACCAGCCTGAGTAACATAGCAAGACCCCATCTCAAAAAAAAAAAAAAAAAAAAAAAAAAAAAAAAATGGAAATTGCTGATTGTCAAGTTTTGGCTGGGTATCAGAGAAGAATTTCTATAATTAACTAAAAAGACTCCTGTCTTTCCCAATTATGTATCTGTCTGAGGCTGCAGTTCTTCACATGCTTCAACCAAAAGAACTGATCCCCACAGATTGAATGCAGAAGAAGTTATACAAATCCAGCTGTCCTCTATTTAATTGCACATTAAAGTTTGTAAAATTGTAAAAACAATGCCATTCTTCTTAACTAATCTTTAAAATCAAAAGTACAGCTTTTTACCTATGTACCCATAAGTTAAAATTTAGTTTTTTAATTAAAATATTAATTGTTAACATGAAGTTTTATAACATTAAAATGAACTAACATACAGTTTAAAAATTCTTAGTTTTAATATCTAGTATGATAAATGTCAATAGACATAACCCTCCTAAGCCTGCAGTCCTCAGTTTTTAAGAGTGAATTCTGAGACCAAAAAGCTTAAGAACCTACTGGCTCTAGAGGAAGGAAAAGAGGGAGAAAATAAAAATAGAGATGAGAAAATTGATCCAAACTCTGATAGTCCTCTAGACTTAAGAGGATGAAGACTTTAAGTTGAGTGATGGATGACTGAAGAAGAAAAGGCTAATTCAGGAGGCATTTTGAATGGAGAAATAGTAAGTTTGGTGATAATTTCAATATGGGGTGGATGACATGAAAATTTTGAAGGTAACCTGCATGATAACTATGTTTTGGTATTGCAGACCAGAAACAACAAATTATTGACAGAAACAGAGCAGGTCCATGGATGGATGTTCCTTTTTATTTTTATTTTTCTGAGACGGAGTCTCGCTCTGTCTCTCAGGCTGGAGTACAGTGGCACAATCTTGGCTCACTGTGACCTCCGCCTCCTGGGTTCAGGTGATTCTCCTGCCTCAACCTCTGGAGTAGCTGGGATTACAGGCACGTGCTACCATGCCCAGTTAGTTTTTTTGTATTTTTAGTAGAGACAGGGTTTCACCATGTTGGCCAGGCTGCTCTCGAACTCCTGATCCACTCGAACATCTGATCACTCAGGTGATCCATCTGCCTCGGCCTCCGAAAGTGCTGGGATTACAGGTGTAAGCCACCGCATCCGGCCAATGTTCCTTTTTAAATACTGTTTTTGGAACTCTAAGGAGGGAGGGAATGGTAATGGCTGAGAAGGAGCAGACAGAAACAGGGAAAATACTTGTAAGTAGGAGTCATGGAAGGCAAGAGGATAAGTGAGAAGCAGGTCATGGATAGATAGAGGCAGAGGATTAATGTCAAACCAAGGGCCTGTCTCATTTAGCAGACTAGATTCACAAGTGCTATCTTGGACACTTGGTATTAAGTCAACTTCGAGGTCACATGGTGATAGGTCACATGATAGTGAACTGACGAATGTCGTCAGCAATACTCAGTGTTCTTTAGAGTCTGAGGAGGACGAGAATGGAGGAAAGACTTCTCTATGGAGTGATAATACTTGGTGATCACTAGGGACCTGCGCTCCTCCCCTGGCTTTAAACAAGAGAGAATGATTGGAATGGAAAATGAAAGCAGTAAGGTGCAGGCCAAATTGGGATGGTTTGGTAAGCAGAAAAAGGAAGGGGGTTTGTTGTCATGGAATAGTGAGTTTACAAAAACCTATTTGAGGCAGAAAAATTATGAACAGAAAGTTATGTAAGACATACAAGCACACTTGAAAATAGATATGAACTTGTGAAACCAGAAAATAATCGCAAGGAAGTGCGGGCTCTTGGTGTTAAAGTTGGTAGAGAGAATGACCAATTCTATAGCATCTTGTGGTTTATAAGCTGTTTCTCACACACATTGGTTTTGAGCCTCACAACCTGTAGGAGGTGGGTATGGCCACTTCCCTCACTAAGAAAGTGCAGTTGAGAGAGGTTCAGTACCCAAAAGGATCTGGATGGTGGTTAGCACTGAGAACACCCTGGATTCCCAGACAGTGGCGGAAGATGAGAAGATGGTTGTAGAGGGCACTGATGGTTTAAAGTTATGATGGCAGTCGGGAGCTGGTCAGTTTGTGGACTGCTCCTTAGCATTTGTGCCCCCATATGTGGTCCACAAGGGGGTGAGAAGCTGAATAGAGGCAGTCAGAAGTGATTCAAGAACTTCCCTTTACCTTTCTCCATGCAGTCAGCCTTTCACGCTATGTAATACTGAGGGTTCCATGAATGTGCTGCTGGGGGGAGTATTGTTCTCCACTTGCCTAATGGATTCCCAGGGCATTCTCTCATCTCCAAATAAAGCCATCATACAGCCGTCAGATATTTAAATCTGTGAAATGAAAAGTGAAGTCTTCTCTCCAGCCCTCATCCCACTGGTATTGGG
This sequence comes from Homo sapiens, assembly GCF_000001405.40. NCBI lineage: Eukaryota > Metazoa > Chordata > Mammalia > Primates > Hominidae > Homo > Homo sapiens. Next base: position 159,145,932 of record NC_000002.12, read on the forward strand.
TAATGTACACCCATTATTGATCAGCGATTTAATATTAACTACATGAATGAAAATAGACTTGCTATTTAGAGTGGTCTGTTTGAATTTGACTTGGAGGTGCTTTTGTAGTAACTAGCCTAAAACCATCTGGCTGTTCAGATCTCAGTATTTAGTGAACAGCTATGCAAGTAGACATGTATTTCCATTTCACAGCGTGTCCATGTGAGTTCCTAAGCAACTCATCACTCCCAAGATGGCTCAGTGACACTTCTCCCAGGCGGTCCTTCTGCCAGAGTGAGAAGTTCAGTGAGAGAGGGCTCTGTGCATTAGGGAAGGGAGAGATTCAGACAGCTTCATTGGATTAAGGAATTCAGACTGAAGGGGACCTTTTAAGGGGATGATCACTGGGATGACATTTTAGAAGACAGAATAATATGAAAAGACAGGTGGGAAGCCTTTGGAAGAATACAGTTGCAGTGCCTTAATGGATATAAACATGAAGTAAATAAAATAACGTCTGTCCATTCATCCCAACCCCGGGTAAGGGTTTAGAACTTGGGTAGCAGCAAAGTCCAGGTTGTGCAGTTAAGAGAACAGTTGATCATGAATTTGGGTGTCCCTTTTCCTTTTTTTTTTTTTTTTTTTTTGGAGACAGAATGTTGCTCTGTTGCCAAGGCTGGAGTGCAGTGGCACAATCTCGGCTCACTGCAACCTCTGCCTCCCGGATTCAAGTGATTCCCCTGCCTCAGCCTCCCGAGTAGCTGGGATTACAGGCATCTGCCACTACGCCCAGCTAATTTTTGTATTTTTAATAGAGATGGGGTTTCACCATGTTGGCCAGGCTGCTCTCAAACTTCTGACCTCAGATGATCCACCCGCCTCGGCCTCCCAAAGTGCTGGGATTACAGGCGTGAGCCACCGCACCCGGCTTAGGTGTCCCTTTTCAACTCAACCATTAAAGCTGGAATCGCCACTGCTCCCCAACTTATCTGAAATGGGTTGGATGGTAAGTTGTTTTTGGATTAAAAAAAAAAAATGAAACACTTGAGATCCTGGAGTATCTGTTTGCAGACACAGTGTGGAGGCAGCAGCCACTGTGCTGGGGTGTTGCGGTCCCCCTGCTGCACATAGGACCTACATAGGATCAGGGTCCTCCTGCCAGTCCCAAGTGAGCCACAGGCATGGCCCTGTTTGTTGTGGAGGTGAATTCTGTGGAGCCAAGCTCCTGCAGCTGCTCTCTCTGCCTCCACGGCAGCTGCCAAATGGGAGTCATTTCTGGCTCTCTACACAGAGTGTTTCAGGTTGAACCAGAAGCTAGACATTCTGGGGCATAATCACAATCGGGAGCAGTGTGGAGATTGTTTCGAAAGGGAAGGGGGGTGTGGAGTGGAGAAACTGCGGAGATCTGCCCCCTCACCCACTTCTTCCCTTTCCATCTGCGTCCTGTTCCCTCCCTCCAGCCCAGCTGCCACCTGAGATAAAGTAGCTGCCCTGCCTGGGCCCGGGGCAGAGGCGGAGGGAGGGCGGTGCCATCCTGTTCTGAGGGCCTCACCCCTTGGGTGTGCCTCTGTCTGCTGATCTGGTTTGGTTCCCGCCCTCCTTTCCCAAACGCCCAGCTACCTTGAGAATCAAAATGTGCTTTGAGGTAGGAAGGGACCTCCTGTAGAGCGGCTTTGGCATGAGGTCGACCCGCCCTGGGGTGGCTCCTTTTCCCTGTGTTGGCTTGGGGCCACTGCCCCTTCATGTTTGGCTCACATGGTCCAGAAGCATCAGGGCTCTTTTAACCCAGAATAGTCAAGCCTTGGTTTCCTTACCCCTGCAGTTTTCCAGAGCAGCTAAAAAACATCCAAGCTGGCAAACCATTCTTCCTACTCCAAACATTAGGAGCTTTTACCAGTAAGCAAGGGGTGGGAAGCTTTTCCTTTCTTGAAGATGCTGCCAGCGTAGTTTCCCTTGTAGCTGCCATCCTGGGTGCATGACTTGCAAAACTGATATGTGAGTGACAATAAGCCAGATGGCCTTTGCAAAAGCTCTGCTTATTTTGATTTTTGTGGTTCCTTACAAAAGGCGAAGTGAGCATTGATCTTTGTTGGTGCTGTTGTAGCTCAACGGCAACATCACTGTGTTGTTTCCTCATTTTATTTTTCCTAAAACCTTTACCCATTATCTGCAGATTTTCACATCTAAGCAAAATAGGTTCATATGAGTCCAGTTACCTAGACAATTAATAAAAAAGAGCAAAATGTTGAGTGACTATGTCATAGGTTACTTATTGTTAAGTTACAGCTTTGTAAGCAGCTTGCTTTGTAAATTTTTCATCCCCTGATGGATGCTGATTTTAGAAGGTGAGAGACGTGTTAGAAGGATGTGAATATCGTTTTATTTATTGGCCATAATTAAGTGCCTTTGGGCTTTTTGGGTACAGGGTTAAACTACAGCTCAACATTTAAATCAAATCCAACCATAAAATTCTCTTAAGTACAAAAAAACCAGATGACCAACCTCAGGGAGAACCCAAGAAAAGGTGGGCTTTCCCAGCATTGCTGTGCAGCATTCTGAGAATACAGCTTGATTTTTCTACATCTTTGCATGGGCAACAGTGGTACTGGGTCCTGTCTCTTGGGACAAGTTTCACTGTGATTTTAAATTTTTGTTTCAACTTGGATTCTTCACGATTGACCGTCAAGTTGAAATCCTGGTTTTGACTTTCACTACTGTGGGATGTGCACAGGAAGTTTTCCACCAAATTTTCCACGTCGTTCCCCTGGCTTGTTTAATGAGAGCTTGGATTTCAGTTTTACTCCAACACCTAAATAGCCTGGGTCTCTACCAGCATGCCACTAGGGTTTTACTTCATTTCAGCCTCCTGTGGGCATTGGACACCCGGCACTCTGTGAGGGTAACATGAAAGATAGGCCCTTTTCTTACCCAAGCTGATGTCTGAAGTACCCGTTTTCACATGACTCGGAATTAGGAATTGCCGTCAGATAACACTGGGCTCTTCTCACTCACCCTTTGCACTTGGAGTTTTTGTTTTACTGTTTCCTTAACCTGTCACAGTCCCTTAATTAGAATGTATTGCTAGAGGACAGGGTGCGTTGTCCAACTTTGTGCGCATTTTATAGAAACACACAAAATCACCAGACAAAGCAGCTGTAGTGTGAACTCATCCAGATGCGATACTGAAATTCCCCAGAGGGGCATCTTCATTGTTTTCTTTCTTTGTTCCAGAAGCAAAGGCCGATAATGAACCGAGCTGTTCGCCGGCAGCTCAAGAACTGTTGACAAGGCTGGGATTTTTACTGGGAGAAGGGATCCCAAGTGCCACACACATAACCATTGAAGACAAAAATGAAACCATGGTAATGCCCGAGGAAGACACTACATTGCATACCTCTTCAGAGGATGAACGAAGCAATAACCATCTTCTCCCTTTCCTTGAGCAGGGAAGCCATTGTTCAGTTAAATGAGTTCTGGGCTGTTGTGTATTGAAATTTATTTCAACAGTTTGGTTCTGGGTTTTTGCAGTGGGGAGGTAGGGAAAAGCAGAAAGAAGCAGAACGTAAGAAAATGTCCACATTAACCTTCTAGTCACCACCCAGAGAATAATGGCCACATGAATTAAAGAGGCTAAAAGAATGCCTTCATAATGCTACCAGTACTTTTACCTTTATAGCACCGTTCTTCTCATCTGGTTGCTTTGGTATACGCTTTCCTGTGCCTTTTTAGCTGTTGAGATTTTGGAGGGTCAGTGGGGTGAGGAAAAGATTTATAGGAGATGAGGCAGAGACAAAATAAGATGAGATCAAATGGTCCATCTATCAGGAAAGCACTTCCCCTCCAAGGGAGCAGCAGCATGCACCCTGCCACCTCCCAGATGTGATGTGTGCATCTGAATAGCAATGCAGGATGGAGCTTCTACCCTGGTGAAGGTCTCTGCACTGCAAGGGAGGGTGTCATGCATTGATTGAGACTGAGTGGTCACCAGTCTCCTTCCCCTGATTGCAGAGCCCATAAATCTTGAGGAATTGAATCAGGTTGCAGTGTTCGTGAAACATCACAAAAACAGAGCTCCCAGGTCTTCCGTACAGAGGTCAAATAACCCATTTGTCTTCTGCAGACTTCAAATGAAAGGAAGTCTGCCTGTTTGCCATTTCTGTTGTACAAATGTGCATCCTCACTAAATTATTGCTAAGACTGACCTTTTAATAAAAAGGAAAATCACAAAGGAGGGGAACCGAACAAAGATACTGCTTTCTCAAAATTTGGAAGACCACATATACATTTATATAGATAAAGCTCCATGAATCCATATCTATACACACATATCTCTTTAGATTTTTTTTTTAAAACTTCCGTTTTCCTGTTCTTAGTTTTATTGTTTTAGCACAAAAACAAAAGCATGTGTCGAAGCATCCTGTGTAAGCCGTGCTAACTCCTCCTTCCATTCATCTTGCAGTGCACAGCTCTGAGTCAAGGCATCAGTCCTTGCTCCACACTAACAAGCAGCACCGCATCTCCTAGCACCGATAGCCCCTGCTCAACCTTGAATAGCTGTGTCAGCAAGACGGCAGCCAACAAAAGTCCCTGTGAGACCATTAGCAGCCCTAGTTCCACCCTGGAAAGCAAGGACAGTGGAATTATAGGTAAGAAGCACACTGCTCGGTAACATAATGGCTCGAATCTCATCAACCAGAGCATTCACCAGGCACTTCCTCAGAGGGTTTTAGCATGGTCTGTGAAGGTCAGTCTGCCAGCGCCTGCTCTGTTCTTTGCAGGCAGCACTGACTCCATGTGTAGCTGAGAGAGTGGAGCATTGGCTTTTACATTCCTTGATGTTTACTTTATAACAGTCAGCTCATTTGTTAAAAAAAAAAAAAAAAGGAATTCCAGATCAGATCTGGCCTGTGAAACAAAAATCATTGCTCTTCTATATTCAGTTCCATTTGTTGGGCATCAGGTCCCACTGGGGCACACAGCAGAGCAATGAAATTCCTGCATATTAAGACGTCGTCTTATCCCAATCTCAAGGTCACTTATTTTCCTGATGATAGCTCAGGCGTATGTTTTCTAGGGTTTCTTATCATGGGATCTGACTGCGTTTTGAGGCCAGAATTTTCTAAGGATGACCTCCCTGAGCCCCTACACCCACGTAATAAGTGTGGTTGTCCTGAAGCCTAGGAGTCAGGAGACTTGGGTTCCAGTCCGGACTCTTACGCCGATTTGCCCGGTGACTTGAGCAACATTGAATTTACCTTTTTGCACACTTTCTTTCTCTAGATCATTAAGGATTTTGATTAATCCAGTAGTTTTCAGTCCCAGGTTTGTATTAGAATCATCCATGGAATTTAAGAGTCTTTATTTTTATATGCCATCCCAGACAGACTGCATTTATGTTTCTGCAGCTGGGCTCCAGTGTCTGTGTGACTCAGGTCTCCAGCTTGGTGCCTTTCAGGTAACAGATGGGTGGGACCCCTGGAGGGGATTGTTCAGACCTTCCTCTGTTCCAAGATTATATTGCAGTTTCACGCAGAGCTCTTCTGAAAGATTTAACTCCCCTTTTGCTGAGTTATGCACGTGTCTTTGAGGGATAGTTTATGCTTTATTGTGGACTGAGTGCCACTTCCACATTAATATGTAATCAAATGGAATGAACGACCTTTGAGCTCCTTATTTTCTTTAGTCACCTGCAGTTTATTTCAAGTGTAATTTGGAAAACCAGGCAGCAGGTTCATCCAGTTTTCACTTTGGAGATTGCCCCAGAAGGTCTGTGAGATTCCTGGGATTGGGTTGTGGGCTCTTTGGTGTAGACCTCACTATAGCTTCTAGAGGGGCCCCTCAGCTTAAGGAAGGCGGCTTCTTGCCATAATTTTCAATTGAATCAGAATCTTTAATGGATTTTTGTTTTATTTTACCTTCATTCTTTATTAAGATGAAATTCACATACCATAGTATTCACTCATTTGAACCATTTGACGGTTTTTAGTATATTTTAAAAGTTGTGCAACTGTCACCACTATCTGATTTTAGAACATTTTCATTATCCCCAAAAGAAACCTTGTGACCATTAGAAGGCACACTCTATTTCCTACTCCAAGCTCCCCAGTCCTAGTCAACCAGTAATCTATTAATCTTTCTGTCTCTGTAGCTTATTCTGAACATTTCATATAAATGGTGGGCTGAGTTTTGTGTAGCAAATTTATATTCTTTTCACTCAGCTTGAAGGCCTTCCAGTGAGCTTGTTCTGCTAATTCCCCATTCTCATCTTACCCTGCTTCCCCAGCTGCTGTTTAGTCTAGTTCAGCTAATTTTTCCCAGCGTTACTTCTGTTCTTATGCCCTATCTCTTCTGAGCTGTCCACCATAGATGGATCTTTGGTATTTATTCTGAGATAAGCAGATGACTTTCTTCACAGTATTCTCGGTTCTTCTGAAATTTTGTCTCCTGCAGATAGTTTATCTTCAAGGATGTGGCCAGTGCAGCACTGTTTTGACAGGCTTTTTCTTTTGAACATCCTGGCCATTGGCATTACATGCCTTTGATTATAACCAAATTTTTTTTTTTTTTTTTTTTTGCTTTGACAGTTACAAACTTTTCTTGAGACAGGGTTTTGCTCTGTTGCCCAGGCTGGAGTGCAGTGGTGCAATTGTAGCTCACTGCAGCCAAACTTCTGGGCTAATGCAATCCTCCCACCTCAGGTTCCCGGGTAGTTGGGACTACAGGCATGTGCCACCACACTTAGCTCATTAAAAAATTTTTTAACATATTTCACTGTGTTACCCAGGCTGGTCTCAAATTTGTGGCCTCAAGAATTCCTCCCACCTTGGCCTCCCAAAGTACTGTGATTACAGGCATGAGCCGCTGTGCCCGGCCCAAACTTTTAATAACTGAGAGCCACCCATTCGTTTATTTCTCTTTCTCTCTCATTGAGATACAGTGCCACAATTTTTAAGGTATTCTAAGCAGAGGAAAGAAATGGTGCTGGTTTGGTTTTTTGTGTTGTCAATGAAATATTAAACTGCAGGAGGTTCTTAATACTTAATCTCATACAGCCCTACCCAGTAGCTGACTGATTAGACCCCTCTTACATGTTCCCCATAGTGTCTCAATATTCCCCTTCAGTGTATTTGTTCTTGTTTTGTTATTTAATTTTCTCTCCAGATGTAAACAGGGGTCTCATTAATCCAGCTATCTACTAGGTTCCTAGCATGGTGCTGGAAATGAGAAATTAAGGAAAGAGAAGTGTTGCCAGTGTCGAGTTGCATCGGGAGAGGGAACGTTCAGTTTATAAAGAAGCTATGCAGGATCCCCATTCCACATGGGCTTTGTCAAACCTTTCAATGTCTGTGTTGTAACCTCTGCCATGATGACAGAGTTAGCACATTTCATGACATTGAAGCTGTGTTTTTCCTCTGCTCAAGCCAACATTTTCCCATAACTCGGCTGAGCATGAAAAGTGGCAACTGTAGGTGAAAGCAGAAGGAATTAGGAAGTGGCTGGTAAGTCCCTCTCATCCAGAAGACCTCAGCTCTGGAGACCATGCCTCCCACTGTGTTTTCCTGCAGGTTGCAAGGGCTGTAGAGGGATGAGAGGGAGGCACTGCTGTTGACAGCGTTCCTCTGTTCTCCTTCCGTGACATGCAGAATTAGAACCTGTTGCCAAGGGACACGCTGGAGGTGTGGTAGGGAGGAGAAGGAAAAGACGCAAGAATTTCCTCTCCAGGCAGACTGTAGCCACAGGTCTTTGAAGAGGCAGGAGTGGTGGGGACAGAAAGGGGAAGAGCTTCCTTTTAAATCAATACAGGGTGTGCAGGTTCCACTGCCTCTTCACAGAGCAGGTTATCTATGACTCAGTTGTGGTTCTGTGATTGCTGGAGTAGGGGTGTGCCTTTTCCATCTGAAGAGCATGCCTGTTTTTATAAGGTGTAGCCTGGGAATGGCAGCTTTTGGGCATTGTAAGTGTTTCACAGAGTAAAGTATTCAAGAGCACCATGACCCTAGTTGGGCGGAGATGAAGATGAGATACCTTGGCTTCCTGCTTTGGAAGACCTAACAGTGGCTTGTAAAACAGGCTGGTGAGGACCCATGCTCCCAATTACACAGGGCCTGGAGAAGGCAGGAAGAGGCTTTCCATTTAATTTTCCATTTTAAGTAGTTTAATATTTGTCAGCCAGTAGAGCTGGGTTTGGAATGGCAGAGGCTTTGGGGGTGGACTGTTACAAAGTGCACACAGCTGCCGAGGCCTTGCAAGCTTTGGGCAGCTGTGGGCTCAAAGCAGGGTTCCACATACAGTATTCACATGGTTTATTCAGAGCAGTTTGGGGAAATTTCAGACAATGCTAAACCATCCTTTAAAATTCCTGGACCTTTCTTTACTCTTTAAGCTGATTCGCATCATGTTGGTTATATTTAATCTAAATATTTTTGTCCAGCAGATGCAGGGACAGGAAGCTTGTGTTCCCACATGCCCAGGCACCCAGTTTAGAAAGAAATATAAAGTATGTGGTTTCATCAGGACTGCCACAGGGTGCCCTGCATGTGTTCTGTTTCCACTGCTTAGGAGGAGAAAGGGCAGGCTAGTAACCAGTACAAGAATTTACTGGGCCCCTCCAGTCTTCCTCTCTGGAGGCCAGGGCTTAGCAAACCCCTCCTGCCCCTTGTTTCAACTGTATTATGTTATCCAGAGGGGAGTCCCGCTTTATCCTCTTTCAGGAGGTCCAAGTTCTTCTGACATAAATGTCTTTAGAAGTATAATAATTCTGTCATGTAGAAATACTGTCTAAGCTGAATGGGATTAACTGAATTCCCTATGATTATCTTTTTTATTTTTTTAAGTGAACTTCTTTACTCTTTACATGTTAAAATCATTGGCATTACCTAGAAGTTGGTGTCTGATTTTCAAATTTGCAATGTGAAAATCTTCTCAAGGTGAAACCCAACTGTACCCAATCACCATAAAATAGCTTTCAGTTACTTACTGTGAAAAGAAAAACTTTACAGAGTATGCTTTTAAAGGTGTTTCCTCCTTGTCTGAGAAAACATTTTTTCTCAGTGACATTCCTTTGAATATGTCTTGCTTCCAACTGTTACAAATGGAAACTGTAAGCTGTATTAATCCCAGTTTAGAAAGAAATATAAAGTATGTTTTCATTAGAATGTGTGAAAACCAATCTGATTTTCAAACAAAGCATCACTGAAAATGTGTTTTAAAGTGCTTTGAGATAAATTTAATTTGTGTTTATGTACATATCGTGATAAAATTTTAAGTGTGTATATTAGTTTCAAGAAAATAGGCTATTTCTGCATTTAGGAAGAAAGAGGATAGAGCCTGGATGAGAAGAAACAAAGAAAACCCAGCTTTCCTATCAAAATAAAAAGAAATCCTTCCTATCCATTAATGATAGATGTGCAGAGGGGAAGGACTTATTCTGGCTGAGGGAGGGGCCGTTAAGTCAGTCACTCTCTCCATTCGTCTTTTTAATCTGCCTTTCTTTACCTGTTGAGATGTGTAATCTCCGGAGCATTTTTGTAGTGTCCTGAATCGGCCTCCTTTGGAGAAACGGTGCTAGGACAGTTCCATGAAGGGAGGGGACCCTGAGGGAACAGTGGCTGCCTCTCCCCAGCTGGGTGTGTCTGCCACACAGAGCAGGTATGTAATCTACCTGCCCAGCTCTCAGCACCTGAGCTGGCAGGCATGAGCCGCCACATTCCACCTGGCTAGGTGGCTTTCTGGGTGATTAAGTGCTCAGAATTCAAGCTCTTCTGAATGCCTTTCCTTTGCTTTCCTCATGCTTACATTTGTTTTCTTCTTGCTCAGTTTGAAGCAGAGAGGCAGGTATGCATTTAGACAGGGGAATACCTTCGTAGAAACACTTCTGCAGAAGTAGCTTGCAGTAAAATATTAGACACCTGGTTAGTATCCTGCTAGAGTATCTTGCTAGAGTTTGATAATATTTATTTTTCTGCCTAGTTGCTTAGGATGTTTAAAAAAAAATTATCATGGGCTGACTTTTATCTTCCTTTGACTCTCTCCTACCTCCTGCTAGGCTTATAAAATGAAAGTGATTCCAGAGGTAGCTTTAGACCTTTTATTTCCTGGACTTTGTGCCCCAAGGGAGATAATCAGATGCAGAGGCACACAAAGATGAATTAATTGTACTTTATTTTCCTTTTTGACTTGTTGTAAATCCTGCCCTTTTGATTTTATGCTAATACTGCTTTGTTGCCACCTGTATCGCCCTGCTCACTACTAAATTGAAATGCTTTGAAATTGATTTGGTAATAACTATTTAGACTGTTTCAAGTCTGGGTTAATATTCATTTTGCTACGTTGCCTGCAATTTTTAAAATCATCCTTAATTATAGAAGCCTTTTTTTTAAAATCTCTTGGGTGAAGAGAAGAATTTTTCTTTATGTATATAATTTGGTAATATGCTTAATGTGGGAAAGAAATTCTTGGCAATGATTTGAGTCAGCAAAGAGCCTGCTGTACTTTTATTCAGACTGTAGTTGGATTCTTCAGGCTGTTCTATTGGTGTAGCAAGCATTTATTGGCGCCTACTGTGTACCAGGAGCAAGCATGTTCAGTACTGGGACAATAAAGATAAGGCACAGCATCTATTGTCAAAACTTGTCCACTTGTGGGACTACAAAATGGTCTTCTGTTCTGTGGAGAGTCTGAGCAAGTTGTGAATTACTGAGAAGAATTTAAGACATGACAGTGATTGATACCTCTGACGGAAGATGTATGCTGTGGGCGCATAATGATACCACTAATCGAACTCTTTTCCAAAGTCTGGAAAAGGGTCATTAGACTGTGTGAGAAGCTCCAGTGTCTGTGCACAGGTTATGTGAGGCTTTATCAAAACACTGTGCTTTTTCTGGAAAATGTCATGTTATTTAAGTCCTTAGACTTGTCTCTGGAGACTTCTCAGTTGGGCAGTGTGGTGGGTCCCATCCTCCCCGCCCAGCACCACCTGCTCCCAGCCATTCCTTTAGGTGTTTCCTTAGTTGAAGAGCCTGATGAATGTGGCTGGGAATGTGCGGCTCGGGCCCCTGGCCTTGCTGCATGTCATAGCAGAGCATGCCTTGCGCAACACAGGTGAGCACTGAGCTAGAAATTTCGTACAGAGATCTGGCTGTCACAAGCCAGCATACGGGGCTCCCAGAGCAAGGCCAGAGAGGGAGCAGGGCCCTGTGGCGCATTGGATGGGGCTGGGCAGTTGCAGAAGGAGAAGCCAGAAGTCTCCTGAAGCTGAAGGTTACCATGCAGGGTTGGGGCGGGGGTCCCACCTGGGACATTCTGTTGGCATTCCAGGCAAGGTGGCTTAAGTGCCTTCACTAGACCCCTCAGGTTAAAAGCTGTGGCCGCAGGTGAACCAGGGACTTTGTTCTCTGTGGTTGGTTAGTTTGCAGGTGGCCGGGCCTAGGTAGGGGTGGAAATAAAAGTACAGTCTGGCAATTCTGGCCAGAAAGGTTTAAGTCAGGCCGGTTTCATTGTGCAGGCTTTCCCTTACACACTTGGGAAAATCCAAAATGTGGCCTGGTGGCTTGAATGCCTGCTGGGTGTGAGGTGTGGGTGCACAAGAGAGGGACGCCACCTGTCAGCCAAGAGGCCTACAGACTTCTGCGCGCGTTGCCTTGACTTGTCTCTGATCTTTTCCTGATCGGACTTCCTCTGCAGCAGTGAAACCTAATTTGGAAAGTTCTTAGTCACAGGAGGCAGTCTCGCTACAGTAGTGGGCTTTTCCTTTTCTATTCACTTCTTCCTTTCATCCACTTTTATGAGCGGCCATTATGTTCCTTTCTTGTTTGATCCTTAATTCATTGGTCCAGTGTTTTAACTTTAAATTCTTCCTGTCAACCACTAAGCTAAATACAGAGGTTAAAAAATGTTTGCTTTTTAAGTGCTACTTTATTTTTCTTCAGTTGTGTGGGGAGGAAAACATTCCTGAGCATTCATGATGCCTGAGGCACTTGACATATGCCCTTATGTCTAATTTTCTCTGCAACCCAGGGAAGGACAAATCACTCTCTTCAGAGAGTCCTCTCAAAATGCGTATTTTCTATTATAATAGTATATGTACATAATTTATAGTACATGTATTTGGGATGTATGCCAAGTCTTGTCTTAATAGTATGGTATGATCAGAGCAGTGTAGAGAGGCCGGGCATGGTGGGTCACGCCTGTTATCCCATCACCATGTGAGGCTGAGGTGGGAGGATCGCTTGAGCCCATTAGTTCAAAACCAGCCTGGGCAACATAGGGAGATTTTGTTTCTACAAAAAAACTTAAAAATGAGCCAGGGGTGCTGGTGGTGCATGCCTGTGGTCCCAGCTACTCAGGAGGCTGAGGTGGAAAGATCGTTTGAGCCCGTGAGGTCGAGGCTGCAGTGAGCTGTCATTGCACCACTGTACTCCAGCCTGGGCAACAGAGCGAGACCCTGTCTCGAAACAAAAAAAAACCATGTAGAGCCCCATTCTAGGATAGAGTGGGACTTAGGGCATTCTGGGGCTTTCCTGTCCATAGGGCTGTTAATGAGAGTCAGTGAGTTGAAGTGCAAAAAGAACTTAGAATGAAGCCTGGCATATAGTAAACAGTATTCCAATATTCATCTTAGCCACTGTTGTGATTTCTTAAGGATCATTACTTAATTCCTCACCAGTGAATTTGAAATGCTCAAAACAGACATGTAATAAACCAAGATTTTTCCTTTTCCATGAAGGTATGAGTTGGGGAAAGTATGAAATAGGGCAAGAGAAAAGATGCATTGAGGAGTCACATTCATAAGACTGTATTCTTCTTATAAGTGGGCAGAAAGCTTTACTCCTAAGTTTCCTGATAGCTAGTGGAAAGAGAGAAAACACATGTGGAAGGTGGTGTTTATAAAGACAAAAATGTCCATTGCCCAAAATGGTACCGGGTCTGGAGACGCATACCTCCTTGTGGACCCCCTAGAGGGGAGAAGCCAAGGTTGCAGCAAGCCCCTTGCTCTTTTCACCCTTGTCTTCTCTGTAGCTCAAAGAGAAGGTTCTGATGAATTGTTTGTGGCATATGTTTGGTATCTCTGGTCCTTAGTTCCTGAACAATTCTGGGCTAATGCTGTAGTCAGGTTACAGTTAGCTTTCTTCTTGATGTTCATTTAAGCCTATAACTTGATTTGGATCCCACCAAACTACCTATAGGGCCCTGGACCGACACTGATTTTATTTTTCTTTTGCTGATTCTATTTTAAGTGTCCATTCAACATAGAACCTTCAGAAGGCAAGGGGTAAAGTTGGATCCTAGCACTTTAGGAGGCCAAGGTGGGTGGATTGCTTGAGCTCAGGAGTTCAAGACCAGTGTGGGCAACATGGCGGCACCCTGTCTCTACAAAAATATAAAAAATTAGCAAGGTGTGGTACCTGTAGTCCCAGCTACTTAGGGGGCTGAGGTGGGAGGATCGCTTGAGCCTTGGAAGTTCGAGGCTGCAGTGAGCCGAGATAGCACCACTGCACTCCAGCCTGGGCAAGAGAGTGAGACCCTGTCTCAAAAAAAAAAAAAAAAAACTTTGGGAAGGTGAAGAAAGAGTGCAGTCGTATTTCAGAGCCTTGCAGAGCAAAGCATTTGATGACTGAGTGGATGACTTTTTAACAAGGCAGACTTCATGAACTTTTAGCCACAGATAATTAACTCCTTTTATGTAATGAGCACCATGCAAGCAAATGGTGTTTTAAAAATACGCTGTATGTATAATCAGAAGAATTGGTATTAGCTATACCACTAATTGTGCATACACATACGTGTGTGTGTGTGTGTGTGTGTGTGTGAGAGAGAGAGAGAGAGAGAGAGAGAGAGAGAGAGAGAGAGAGATCAGGTTCTCTGGAGCCTTTTATCTCTATAAGGTGGGGTTGATGGTTCTCAGCCTATCTGCCTCCTCTCATGGGATGTGATCAGGTATACGCCCTGTTATATTAAGAAAGTGAGCCAGGTGCAATGATGTGTGCCTATAGTCCCAGCTACTTGGGAGGCTGATGCAGGAGGACTGATTGAGGCCAGGAGTTTGAGACCAGCCTGGGCAGCATAGTGAAATCCCATATTATTCAAAAAAAAGAAAAGTGTTTTGGAAGTATTCTACCCCTGTACACTAGTACAAAGGAAGATAAGACACTGTCCTTGAGACTAAACGGAATGTAACACTAAATTGTGAGGCACAGCCTAACCTCACAGCCTTATAAAATTTAAGGCCTGATAAGTCGCTCAGTTTCAGAATGCCCTGTGTCTCGAGGGTGGCTGAGACCCAGTTTGGGTGATGATAGCAAGCTGTAATTGACAAAAGCTGCCATCTATACTAGTCCAAAGAACAAAATGCTAGAATTTTTAAATTATTAAGGCAACTATAAACATTAGCCAGTCTCTGGGAAATGTCAAATAGCACTTTTTAGAGATTTTTTTTTTTTAAGTCATCACAGTTAAGATGCTGCCCTTGATGTGTACGTGTACCCACAAGCATTTTTGAGAGTGATTGACTGGGTTAACCTGATTAGGAGTTTGAATTTCTGTAAGGTTGGAAGAAAGAAAGATGTCGTTTATTGGAAGAACCAGCTTTCTCTTCTTGGGGACTCCGGGGCTGCCATGTTTGGTGTTGTTCTTAGGTTATGCAGGGAAGCCAGACTGATTTGGCCTTCATCTGCTCAGCTGGATCTGCCTCAGGGCTCGGATGGAGCTGAGCCAAGATGAGAGTGTCTGGGCTTCCACCTGTGTAGGCTACATCTGATATTGAATCCCAGGAAGGAGTGTCAATGGAGTGGCTTCAGATTTTCCAGCCTCCCTGCCTCTGAGAACCCTGGGACATGTGGACCGTGGAATGCCTCTCTCACAGGAACTTTGTGAGGGCAGCAGAAGGGCTGCCTCTTCTTCCTCACTAGTCTCCTTCATATAAACACTGACCTTACAATATGTTCATTTCTAAATGGTTACCCCATCTGGGACTTCTCTTCGCAGTGACTGCTCCTGCAGCTGAGCCCTTCCTCCCCCACCCCTTTTCCTTCCTCTCCCTGCCAGGACCTGAGTGTTACCCCTCCGCCCCCTCTCCCCCTCCACGAGATGCTGGGCACAGTGTAGGGCACATGTCTGCCAGTGAGAGCCACACCTTCCACCTGTCCTGCCATCAGGAGCTCTGACCTGGCCTTCCCAGCCATCCTCAGCTGCTCCATGGGTCCCTGAGGTCCTGATTGCAGTGCTGTCACTTGTAACAGGAAGTGAGCTAAGTCCTTATTTCCCCTGCTTGAGGTCCTAGTTAGGACTCAGATCTTTGGGGTTTGATTCAGAAGTGCTTGGCACTTAGGGAGAGCACTTTGACTTTTGGTTTAATTTTTCAATTTACAAATACGTGCTTTCCAATGTAACAGCCACAAAAATAAAACCAAACAAATCCCCTATCTCCCTAGCCTGGAACTCTTCCTGTCACTTGGATGTTGGAGTAGCCTGTGAACCTAACTTATTACAATATGTCTGAGAAAAGCATTTTGAGTTGCAAATGCTGGATTTAAATGTGAAGGTTTGTAACACCACAATCTGTGTTATGGGATGGCCCCCATTTTTATGCTTCAAGCTTATTAACAGGATTACCATTAATAAGCAATAATCTTATCAATAAATTAGACCACTCCTGAAAAACATTAGCACACTTCTAGCATATAGCAAACCTTCAGTAAATGCTAGCTTCTGCTGTCAACACCACCATTGGCATTTTTATGATAGAAAGAGTCATACTTGCTATGCCTATGTTCATATAAATGGTCTATTTAAAAACACAAGGAAGGCTGTGATTGATTCCAAAGAGGTGGAGGTATGGTTTAATACTGCTGATGGAACACTGGCAAATGCTGGGAATCATAACGATGGGCACCCAAAATCAGATCCTGAACTCTGGTAAGTGAGATTAAGTGTAGTGTCTCTGACCACAAATGGAATTGAAGTTTATTCATTTGCTCATTCATTCAATTAGCAAGCATTTATTGAGCACTTACTATGTGCTGTGCTGTGCTATTCAGAAAAGGAAAAGATAGCCATGGATACTCTAGGGAAGGCTTCAGCATTTATGTGGGATTTTTTAAAATAGGCAACCAGAGAGGGTGATAAGTCCAGGCTGCAGCAGCAGGAGGAGTAAAGACAGTCAGAATTGTGACAGGATGTCCTGGGCCACTGCAAGGAAATAGTTTTGTCTTTACTTCTAAACCGTAAAGAATATAAACAAAGCTAAACCCTTCAGACCCTTTGATCCTAAATAACTGACCCTGAGCTAATTTACCAGCCTTCTGATACAGTGTGTATCATCTTGGTGTGTGGCTAAAGCAGCCTGATCCAGGAGCTGGGTTCTGAATGCACTTTGGCCCTGTGCACTCCCATTTAACAGGCGTGGAGTTGAGGGCCTAGGTGACTGGAATCCAGATAGGGAAAGAGGCATCGGTGGACATGGCCCCTGTTCTCAAGGACGCAGCCAGCGTTAGTTCTAACAGTGGGGCAGTGTGAGTGGCCCAGGTGATGATGACCTGTGGTTGCAAGGGGATCCCATATGGCTCAGCATCTTTAAATTAGAAGTGACTCTTTGTAGAAGCTATGTAGGGTGAGTATTGCTTCGCTTTTTGACCATGTTCTTTCTGCTCTTTTGCCAAGATGTTTACAAAAGGTTTTTTGTACCTTTTTTCTGTGCTGGTTTTCTTTCTTGGAGATTAAATGTGAATTCTGCAGTCATAGTATACCTTCTCCTGCTGGTACTTCACCTGCGCTGGATATGGGAAGGTTTTCCATTTCGTGTTGCTGAGGAAATAATAAGTCAGTCTCTCTGGATCATCTTGAATAGATGTTATAAGCTTTAAGGGTCAAATTCTCTGTTTGACTTTATAATTGTATTTTTGTTTCTAAAGATTTTCTCCTGCACCGTTTCTGCATTAACCATTCTGTTGTTTGTTCCCACTCCCCCACCCCCAGCAAATGTTTTTAATTTGGAAAGTATATTTAAAGGTTCAAAGGAATTTAATGAGAAATGAATTCTTTTGTGAGTAATCTTTGTTAAAAAGAGGATACATTATCTCCAGGTTACATAATTTTACTCTTAACTCTGATACTTTTTAGACAATTTTTTTCATTATCTTCCTATCAGAGTTTCTCCCTCGCTCCTCTTCTCTGTAGAGTGATTTAGCAGCTTATTTCCCCTGGTAAGCCACATTCTTCTAATTTACCAAAATACATTGTATGGAACATACTTTGATAAAAATCTGTGTGGACTGGAAAACTTTCCATTGATCCTGGGGAGGGCAGTGTGCATGTTTTAATTCTTCAGCCCCAGCTGTGCCTGGCCTCCTTCAAAGTATTTTGGTCTTTCATTTCAGCCACAATTACAAGTTCATCCGAAAATGATGACCGGAGTGGCTCCAGTTTGGAATGGAATAAAGATGGAAACCTAAGATTAGGGGTTCAGAAGGGAGTGCTTCATGACCGCAGGGCAGATAACTGCTCCCCAGTGGCAGAAGAGGAGACCACCGGGTCAGCAGAGAGCACGCTGCCCAAAGCAGAATCCTCAGCTGGAGATGGTCCAGTCCCTTATTCTCAGGGCTCCAGCTCACTAATAATGCCACGGCCCAACTCAGTTGCAGGTAAGGCCACACCTTTCCCTGGAAGGATTATCTCAGGGATACCAAGGTGCCCTGTGTTCACTGTCTTCACATGGGAAGACACTCCAGATACAAGCCAGCTTCGTGGCCGTGGGTCAGGCACTTACCTTTTCTAAGCCTCAGTTTACTAATCTGTAAACACAATAAGGCTGTACTTAATGGTCTTTAAGTGATCCTTCTGCTCTGGAATTCTTTAAATCGATTATTTGGACTGTCAGGCTCTTTGTATATAAGAGAAGAAAGTATAAAAACTCTCCTCTCGGTTTTTGTTTTAAGCCTTAGAAAATTCATTACTGTTTATTACCTCCTGGTAAATGGGAATTGTTGAGTGAGTTTGTTAATATCAGCTCGAGGATCTTCTTACCAAACTTACAAACTTATTTTTGTCTAATTGAGGCCGATTGTACAGGCAAGAGGGCCGAATTTCTGTACAATTTAGTTAAAATGGAGCTCACGGCTTAAAATGTAAGCAGTGGAAGTAGGAGCTCTCAATCAAGGAAATGAAAATATTCGAGATAGACATGCTTTACCGAGATATGCAGCAGCTGGAACAAAGAAGAAACCACAAAGGCTGGCAACTGTCAGTAGTCAGACTGGTCACCAGGTGTGTGTCAAGCAAGGAGAATACAGTCAGTCCCCTGTATCTATAGTTCTACATCTATGGATTCATCCAGCCATGGAGCAGAAATACCCAAGGAAAAAAATCGATAAAAAATAATAAGAATTTAAAAATACAGTCTCACAACTATTTACATTGTATTAGGTATTATAAGTAATCTAGAGATTATTTAAAATATATAGGAGGATGTTTGTAGGTTATGTGCAAATATTATACCATTTTATAGTAGGAACTTGAGCATCTGAGGATTTCGGTATCCTCAGGGGGCCCTGGAAGTGATCTCCAGTGCATAGTGAAGGATGACTATAGCTCCAGGTGGGTGGGGAAAGGAGCTCTCTGCATCTGAGCTGTGGGGCCTGTTTTTAAGGTTTCTAGTTTCTAAACTCCATGCCCTGTGCTGAGTTTAGAAGAGGAACTTGTTACAGTCATTCTTTGTTATCAGTGTAGCACTTAACATTTCTCTTCTACTACTGCAGGGACCCAGATTCTCCGCTCCTACGTCAGAGAATTTCTCTGTGATTTATACTGTGCTTTCAGGATGCGGTGGGTCACTCTGGTGGTTGTTGGGTGTTCTTTTACAATGGGACTCTGAAGTAGCTGATAAATAAGTGGCCCTAATGGAAAAGTGCTGAGGCACAACTCTAATTCACTTTCAAAGGAAGTGAAATGGCCTTGTTCCAGAAGAGGGATTTGGCATGTCTGCTGGAGAGAAATACTAGAGAACATTATACGAGTTGACTGATAGTCCTTCCACAAGCTTTCCTGTCCTCCCACCACTGTCCCACCACTTTAACAGAGTATGTGGCACCCAAGGCGCTTTAGACCGTATTTACCTAGTTATGATGAATGGGTCATTTGTATTATCCCAGAACTTGATCACTTTATTAACTTCAACAAAAATAGTGAACTTGTGCTCAATTTAGTCAAGCTGTTTTAAAATTAGGAAACATTACTGTGTTAATTTTAACAGTGTTAAAAGCATCCCATTTGGGGTTGTTTTCTGCTCGATGTTCTTTATGGGTCTCCTGCCATGTGAAGTGACAGTGGGTGTGAGCTGAGCTTTTCCAGGAGGCTGCCGTGATTATAGAGCAGAGCTTTCTGATTTCTGCTGTGCGCATTCATTAGCTTCTGCGTGTGCCCTTGAGCTAGACCTCCTGTGGAATGGGAGGGTTTCACCTCTAGATTTGAGCAAAGTCTACCTGGCCTAATGGGTTTGCTCATTTCTTGTGTGCTACATGTTTTTTAAACTAAATGCATATTTTGAAAGGACGTGAGCAAAGGCCTATTTCATGATATCTGTTAACAAGCTAGGAGTCTGGTAGATTCTTCATTGCCTCCCTTCCTGCCCCTGAAGTTGAATCTCAGTTAAGAGGAAATGGCAAGATTTTTCAAGTACCATTGAAGAGTAAGATTCAGGTTGTATAGACTCTATGCAGCACTATTTAGTGATTAGAAGGCAGGCTGCTACAAACAGGGCAGCAGAGAACACTCAGTGTTAGAAGAATCAGAATAATATGTGAAGGACCGTATACAGAAATCTCTTAGAAGTATTTGCATGTTATGATCCAGGTAAACAAATTGCCTTTTGGTGGGAAAGGTGTTTTGGCATATGAGGATTGGCAGGTAAAGGAAGGGTGATGCCAGACCTCTGTTCACAGCCTCCTCATGGGGCTGGCCCCTAGGGGATTGGGTGCAGAAGTTCTTCCTAAGGTCCTTTATTGAGCTTGCTACAGAGAATGAAATTGTCTGTTAACCATGTAGTACAGTGACAGGTTTTTTTATTTTTATTTTTTGACAAAGATTATAAAAATAAGTTGGCTAGGTTTAAAGATTATTTCACTATACAGATTTTCTTTGTAAAGATATTTATTAGAGTGGGATTGGTTTGGACAACTATATATCACATCAAAATGCATGACATGGACACCTCTTTCCTTTATTAAAAACAGACCTAGAAGCCTTTAAAGGTATGTTTTAAATCAGAAAGAAGTTGGGTAATGGGTTCTATTTTTTACCTTTCAAAATACTTTCTGAGTGGATTATAGAACACTGTGTTTAATTTTCCAGGAAACAAGCATGATTGCTATCCAGTTTTCCTAAAACTGGTCATTGCCCTGGACTTATTGGCATGGACTTTCCATAGGTTAGACCACAACTTTAGCAAATGTTCTTCTTTGTTCAGCTTAGAGATGTCTCCCTCTGCCTTGCCCCACCAAGCCCACCCTCACCAAAAAACGGACTTTCCTCCACATCTTGAAATGTGCTTCTTATCCAGATGTTAGATATGGTGTGTGTGTGTGTGTGTGCACAACAAGTGTATAATTAATTTCGCTGTAGAGATTCTAGCAGTGGGTTTATTGTAGCATGAAATTATTGCTTTACCTTTGGGTTTTTGGGGCCCTGAGTAGTGTCTAGGATTTTGAAAGCGTTTATGGGTAAATACTGAATGTGAGTCTGACTTTTGCATAGGTAACAACTGAGAATCTACTGTAGGCATGCCTGAGAGGGCAGAGTGGCCCAAGTTACCTGCTCAGAGGGTGGGGAGCACCTGGGCACATAGCTAAGCCACTGAAATCTTCCTGCCCTATTCACTGGCACCTCTATTGGTGGCTTCGAAAATGCCTCAGAAAGCTGAGATAGCTGGCAGGTGGTGGCTTATGGCCCTGCTGCAGCTTTCAGCTCGGCTTAATCGTATTTGAAATTGAGAATCAGCCAAGAGCTGTGGAAGTGCTGAGGCTGCTCTGTTGCAGATTTTGGTGCCGAAGCTCTAGTGGCTGGGAATCTGAAAACAGGCCTGTGGAATCTTAACATCTCCTGTACCTGTTTAGATACAATCTAGGGCATTTTTGCAATCCTTTATTTGGAATGTCTTTTATGGTCACATATTTTTAATCCTTTCAGTTGTTATAAATTTATAAACTGTTCTAAGGAGTCAGGGGAAGAAGGGAAATAGGCAACACTTTTGAGGCTCTAAAGCATCTTTTTATTCTCTAGGGCTGCAGCATTATGTCAGATGTTCATGACTGTTCTGGCTCTGAAATGAATTACGGGTTATGAATATGGCTGCCTGCCCCTTCTACCTGTGCCTTGGTGGGTGCATTCACCATGAGGCATGTGAGGAGAAGGGTCTCAGTGCTCAGGCAGGAGCCTAGAAAATGTTCCAAGCTGTGTTACTGTAGGGAGGTAAGAAGGTTTGGGGAAGACAGTGTAGTCCTGTTAGCCCTCCGGGAGATTTTATACACCCTACTTATGAAGGGCCTAGAGAGAAGCTAGACGCTGTCCTTGGATTACCGTACATTCGATCCATTTAAAATCCCCAACAAGTAATTAGCTGAGTCTTTCTAATGGGAAAGATTTGTGTGGTAGCTGGCAAAGTGCATAGAATATTCACTTAAATGTGTATACACTGTGGATATGCACCAGGAGGATACAGAGGCATAGGTGCATGCTGTCGTGAAGTCAAGGTTTCAGGTGTTTCTTGCTCGCTGGGAGGATGAGTAGGCAGGGCACGTGTTGGATTGCCCTTTGGAGGATGCAGCGAGAGGGGATATGCCAACACAGTCAGGCCTGGAGCCACCCAGGTGGCTGTTGAATGAAGGAATGAGAGAGGATGATATGGATAGTGAGGAAGAGAAGGACTGAGATCTTAGTAGGGGGAAATGGAAGGGTGCAGGTAGGACGGATGGCACTGGTCGGCAGCTGGATGCTGGGTCAGAGCCTGTTGGGCAGCCAGAGGGTTTTCAGAAGACAGATGGCCCAACTCGACTTCTGTCCCCTGCACCTTGGTCCCACTGAAGATGTCCCCAGTGCTAAGAAGGCTTTACCCAGGCACTATGTCTCCCTCTAGGCTCTCATTTGCCCTCAAGTCACTGTATATTTTCTTGTCCTGAAAGATAATAATCTGACTAAGATCAACAGTACTTCATGTTGGGCTTAACCCATAAACCAAATTAGGTTAATTTTAGATTTTCCTCAATGTAATAACAGGAGGGGTTTTTAAAAGGCAAAAACGTGTACTATGTACTTGCTTCTAAGATTTCTTGAGAATTAGCAAAATTATTTTGCGGTAGTTGTTTTTGTAATCTAACTCGTATGAATGTTTGAATAGATCTTTAATTTTTTTTTTTTTTTTTTGAGACAGAGTTTTGCTCTGTCACCCAGGCTGGAGTGTAGTGGCACGATCCTGGCTCACTGCAACCTCTGCCTCCCAGGTTTAAGCGATTCTCCTGCCTTAGCCTCCCAAGTAGCTGGGATTTCAGAGACCCGCCTCCATGCCCAGCTAATTTTTTTTGTTTTTTAGTAGAAATGGGGTTTCACCATGTTGGCCAGGCTGGTCTTGAACTCCTGACCTCAAGCGATCCACCCGCCCCAGCCTCCCAAAGTCCTGTGATTACAGGCGTGAGCCACTGCACCCTGCTCTTTAATGCTTTATAACAAATACTTAGGTGATATGAGTCTTACTGACTTGGTCAGAGGTAAACATAACTTATTTTTATAATAAAAAACACCAAAAAATGCGGTATGATATAGAATGTGTATATAAGTCTACACATATATTTGAAGCTTAGGAATATGATTATACTATTACTACTGAGCCAACTTTTAGTGTTCTCGGTGCTGTGGAATTGTACACATAGAATCTGCCCATTTAATTAATAAGTTGGGAATTCCAAACAGCAGAAAGCTCCCCAGAGCTGCAGAGAAGAATCTAGCAGCATGCCACCTGCTTGTGGTGTTAAGTACTGAAGCTTTGCTGTGTGCCACATGATTGTCAGATTTCCTCATCAAACACTTTATGGTGAATTCTGTCTCTTTCCAGGAATAATGGAGAATTCTGACAACTCAGTCAACATAACTTTAAGAAAAAGAAGCATTTGGTTTTTACCACTTTTCAACTAATGATACTGCCAGAAAAATAAACTGGGGCAAACAATATCAAAATGAAGTTTAAGTAAATTTTGTTGAAAGCCTGAACTGAATTGCTTAGTGATTTATAAGTTATAGTCACTTAGGTATGAAATTTAAAGTCACCTTTGAAGATACTAAACTTCAGTTTAATATTACAGCAACAAGCTCAACCAAATTGGAAGATCTGAGTTATTTAGACGGGCAGAGAAATGCTCCTCTACGGACGTCAATTAGATTACCATGGCACAATACGGCCGGAGGTAGGGCACAGGAAGTTAAAGGTATTTATCCTGGCATCAGCTGCGATAATGGTTATGACTAACTCAGTCAGTAACTTTGAAAGTCTGTGATAACCAGCATTGAAGCCAACTGTGTTTATAACATGATGGAAAGTGTGTTTGTGCTAAAAGCATATCTGTGAGGTGTGCTAAGAGGTCATCCTCAACAGTTTGGGGCTTCTTCCTTTAAAATATGTGATTAACTTGCTTCTGGAATTGAAAAAGTAATTCTGCAGTAAGTTATTTTGAAGTGAGGGGTAGTTTTGAAGTGAGGGGTAGTTTAACACTCATTAGGTGTTTATTACTAATAAAGTATAAGCTTTGTTTCAATTCTTGGACTAGGCCAGGCGCGGTGGCTCATGCCTGTAATCCCAGCACTTTGAGAGGCCGAGGCAGGTGGATCACCTGAGGTCAGGAGTTTGAGACCAGCCTGGCCAATGTGGTGAAACCTTATCTCTGTTAAAAATATAAAAATTAGCTGGGCATGGTGGCAGGTACCTGTAATCACAGCTACTTGGGAGGCTGAGGTAGGAGAATTATTTGAACCCAAGAGGCGGAGGTTGCAGTGAGCTGAGATCGTGCCATTGCACTCCAGCCTGGGCAACAAGAGTGAAACTATCTCAAAAAAAAAAAAAAACACTTGGACTGTATTGGCCATGTTCTCTGTCTACCTGTAACACAGTTGTGTGAGGTACACAGCAGCCTCACTGTACAGGCAGAGTCATCACACCTGGATGAGAGCAGAGCCCTATTTCTAGGGAAAACATGTTTCTGTTTTATTCATACAGCAGGGAAGAAGCACGTCTTAAATGCAGTTCCAGATGAACCAATGAGACATGATTTGGCCCCTCACATGGCTTTCTCTAATCCTCTGTGTGTCTGCCTTGAGTCCTGAGAATAATTCAAAGCCATGACAAGACTAGAGAGTAATTTCAATAGGACACTCTAGTTTCCTATTGGTCCAATAGGTCCAATAGGGTATGGTAATTGAGGTATTACAGAAGTATTAATAGAACGAGATTGGAAATGCTTACAGACAGATCCTAGTGGGGGTAAAGCTAAGGATTTAGTGTAACACACAAGCAATAATATTTGAGTTTCTTAGTTTATAAAATTATGACATTTTTCTAAAATTTTTTTTTCTTCTTTTGAAGCACGATTTGCTCCCTACAAGCCACAAGACATTTTGTTGAAACCCTTGTTGTTTGAAGTACCAAGCATAACAACAGACTCTGTGTTTGTGGGAAGGGATTGGCTCTTTCACCAGATAGAAGAAAACTTGAGGAACACAGAACTGGCAGAAAACAGAGGCGCGGTGGTGGTTGGCAATGTGGGATTTGGGAAGACGGCAATCATTTCCAAGTTGGTGGCCCTGAGCTGCCACGGAAGCCGCATGAGGCAGATTGCTTCCAACAGCCCGGGTTCATCACCTAAAAGTACGTGCATGTTTAATTACTTGTCTAGTTTATTAACATAAGATAGATGGAGGAAATTGCTGTTCACATAGACATAAAATACCAATTTTCCTCAAGTTGTTGCAGCTACTATATCAGGTTTGCCATCATGTGTGAAGTGAACTGTTTCAATATGTCCCTCCATCATGATGTGTATTCAGCTGTAAGCTGGGGCGAGGCCAGTGTTCCCTGATGTCCTCCTGAACTGTAACCCCCTCTTCCTTTAGATACAGGCAGAGATGGGCCAGTGAGGCTGATCAAGTGTCCTGGAGAATTTGGGGCCCTAAGAGCAAGGGGTTGGGCTCCTGGTAGAACAAGCTCAGATGGACTCTAATGTGGAGTTCTTTTGTACCCTGTTTGGCACAGCCTTCGTCTTCTGTATTGGATTTTCCAAAATTATAAAGACATAGGATAGAGTAGCCAAATGTTTGACTATTTACTGTTTATTTCATATGCAATAAACCCACTCTAAACATGGTGAACAAGTGAATCATGCGAGATTTTTAAGACACAAAAGAATTTAATAGGCCAGGCGCTGTGACTCACATCTGTAATACCAACACTTTGGAAGGCCGAGGTGGGAGGATCGCTTGAGCCCAGGAGTTTGAGACCAGCTTGGACAACATAGGGAGACCTCGTCTCTACAAAAAATTCACCAGTCATAGTGGTGCCTGCCTTTTGTCCCAGCTACTCAGGAGGCTGAGGTGGGAGGATCGCTTGAGCCCAGTAAATGAAGGCTGCAGTGAGCTGGGATTGTGCCACTGCCCTCATGCCTGTAATCCCAGCACTTTGGTAGGCCAAGATGGGCAGATCACCTAAGGTCAGGAGATTGAGACCAGCCTGACCAACATGGTAAAACCCCGTCTCTACTGAAAATACAAAAATTAGCTGGGTGTGGTGGCGGGTGCCTGTAATCCCAGCTACTTGGGAGGCTGAGGCAGGAGAATCACCTGAACCCAGGAGGTCGAGGTTGCAGTGAGCCGAGATGGCACCACTGTACTCTAGCCTGGGCCACAGAGTGAGACTCCGCCTTAAAAAAAAAAAAAAAAAAAGAAAAAGAAAAAAAAAATTTAATAGAGGAAACTGGAAACAGTACACTGATGGCTGTTCTCCAGGGAGGGGAACCAGTTGGGTGGCAGACAGATGGGAACCTGTGCTCTCATGTGGACCTCTGAATTTTGGACCATGTTCACTCCTTGCTTATTAAAATATGCCCTGGCACAAATCAAGAAATATATTCAATACCACACCCTGCTCCTACTGTGATGTACATAATGAAATGGGTCTTTCTCTGCAGCCTCTGACCCCACTCAGGATCTTCATTTCACTCCGTTGCTTTCACCGAGTTCTTCCACAAGTGCTTCCAGCACAGCTAAAACACCTCTTGGGTCTATCAGTGCTGAAAACCAGAGACCAAGAGAGGATGCAGTGAAATATCTTGCTTCTAAGGTAATCTTTCTTGTTTTATTGGAGCCTTCCACATAGAGAGATTTGCTGGTTTGGTTTCTGAGAAGTAGATTGGAAAAGGGAGCTTAAAACAGAGACAACTGCTTAATGATAAAGTATAGCTTTTAATGAAATAGTGATACAGTTCTCCAAGTAAAAGTGTGAATGACAGTAAGTATCTGTTTTAAGACATTGGCAGTGGACCTGATCCATCTTAAACAATGGATTGAAAGAGTTCCTCAAGGCAGCAGAAGGTAGCATGTGCACTCGCCACAAATCCATGCTTATCTGCATGTGCTCTTCCTAATTTGGTATGTGAGCAGGAAATTGGGAGCTTTTGACTTGACCCAGACCTCTTCCCCTGCACTCTGTTGTCTGAGGCCTTTGGTTTCCTTGGCTTTCTGACAGAGGTTTCTCGTGAAGTTGTAATAGAGCCTTCCTTGGCTAACTTTCCCTTCTTAAATTTGTGATCATCAAGGTCTTTCTGAAGTTTTTCTTCTGCTTAGCACCCATCACTGGCTCACCAACCGCACTCCTGCATTAAAGCAGTTACATCCCTTGCTCCTAGTGAGCTACTTAAGTTTCCCTGGGCAGCAGTGGTGTGAGTCGGTGGAGCTGGAGAGCTGCTGGAGCCAGCAGCCATGGGGACACCTTGTGAGGAGGCCCTGTGGGGAGGTTGGTGAGGGGAGCTGAACCGAATCTTGCCCTGCACCAGATCCCCGTCCCTTCTGCTTTCCGGATGATGACTGCTCTTGGCGCCATCACCCCTGATGGTTCTGACCACTGGTTCAGAACAGTCCTCTAGTCATGAGTGGGTGATTTGAGATGAGTGATGTAGTGCAGACTTCAAAGCCATCCCTGCTTATGGTGATTTTCAAACTCCATTGACTGTGACCCACATAAGAGATACATCTTACACTAGAGATCACTCACACATAATCACCCACATAACTAAAGCATTTTAGAACTATGTTTATTCTTATATCCTATAATACACTCTAGTGTTCCTAAGTTTATTTTTTAAAAAATTGTGGCTCTAAATTGATTTCAAGGCCGGGCCTGGCGGCTCATGCTTGTAATCCCAGCACTTTGGGAGGCCGAGGCGTACAGATCACTCCAGTGGTCAGGAGTTGGAGACCAGCCTGGCCAACATATTGAAACCTCGTCTCTACTAAAAATACAAAAATTAGCCAGGCATGGTGCCAGGCACCTATAATCCCAGCTACTCGGGAGGCTGAGGCGGGAGAATCACTTGAACTCAGGAGGCGGAGGCTGCAGTGAGCCAAGATTGTGCAACTGCACTCCAACCTGGGTGACAGAGCAAGACTTCATCTCAAAAAAATAAAATAAATAAATAAATAGATTTCATGACCCACTGTTGGGTTGCCAAGCTGTTTTTGTCAAATGCCATGTGAGACTGTGGTACTGGACATCTCATGATGGTTTGCACAAGCTTACAGGATCCTCACATGTATCCCTGCTAATTTCTGTCCAGGTGAGAGTTGGAGAGCAGCCAGCTTTCCTCTGTTGATGATAAATTTAATCTAAACCAAAAGTCTCATGGCAACTCCAGGTTGGCCAGAGAAAAGCTGTTGCACATTTACTTTTGCCACTTGCCTTTTAAAGAGTCTGCAGACTTGGGATCTAATCCCACATCCCTGACTATCTGTGTCAGGTTGGCAAGGCATCTAACCTCAGTGTCTGGTGCCCTCAGTGATGAACTGTGGCTAGTGGTTCTTGTCCTACTTCCTGCAGGCGCTTGCCGCACCCAGTGGGACAGCAGCAAGGCAGATACTCCCAAAAAACAGGTAGCTCTTGGCACGAGTGTTTTGCTCTTCTTTTCCTTCCTTACCTTCTACTTGTGTTTCTCCTATCATCCTCCTTTGGAAAAGTATTGGATTTTTCTTCTATCTATAGCACGCCTCCCATTCCCAACACTTCAGCGTCTGGCCCTTTCGTGGGGTCCCTCTCACAAACAGCCTGCTGACACTGCAGGTCCCTTGGAACAGGGACCATTCCTTTTCCTCTCAGTACCTGGGCAGCTCCCTCTCAACTCCAACTTATCTCTCCACACGATGGGCAGAGATTTGGTGATTTCGGGTTTCATTCTTCAGACAGTGCCCCTGTAGAACTCCTCCACAGTGTCCCTTGATGCAGTGTGGGTGTGGGGAGGGGCCAAGATCTTGACCCTCCTGACCAGGAGAAGGAGCTGCTGTGACTCTACAGCCCCGGTCTCACAGCCACTGGGTTTATCATCTGCCTTTTGGGATCAGCAAAAGGGTTTCCTAAAGAGGTGCCGCTGCTCTTGAGAACAGAAACCTAGTGAAGATGGCACTTTTTGATGTTGAGAATATTAGGATGGCTTGGAGCTGCTGTAAGCCAGGGTAGGTTTTAGGTTTTATGAATGCTGTTTGTTTATATTAAATACAAAAATAAAAAAATAACTTGTGCTGATTTTTATGCTAATCAAGATGGCTTTGTGGATGCAGTTAAAGGTCTGCAAACCACATAAGTGAAGGAAGGAATAAATGGAACAATTATGCTAACAAATGACCCAGTCTTGGGGAATAGATGCTATGTATCTTGTTACCAGCGAATGGGCAGAGTTGTGTTCCTGTTTGAGATTGCAGAAGGAGCTGTGTGAAGAGGGTGAGGTGATGCTGACGGTTCTGCTTCCCCCTAGGTGGTGGCCTACCACTACTGCCAGGCTGACAACACGTACACTTGCCTGGTGCCCGAGTTTGTGCACAGCATCGCAGCTTTGCTCTGCCGGTCCCATCAGCTGGCCGCCTACAGAGACCTTCTGATAAAGGAGCCCCAACTACAGAGCATGCTGAGCCTCCGATCCTGTGTGCAGGACCCGGTGGCAGCTTTCAAGAGGGGAGTGCTGGAGCCACTCACAAACCTGAGAAATGGTACTTCGCAGCAGCTACCCACAGCCCCATCTCAGTAGTGGTACAGCAGACACAGGTGGTCCCCAGAAGGCAGGTGGTCAGCCGGGCTGGGGTAGAAGTGAGGTGGAGCATGGAGAGGATGTCGAAGCCTCCGTGCCCATCCACTCCTCTTTCTCAGAACCAGCCCCATGAGGTCGCTCCTACACCACCCCTATGGTATAGTGTTAAAAGAAGCACCCTGATAAGAATGAATGTGATGACTGAGCAGTTCCAAAGTAGTCAGCTTGTAAGTGTGGGCTGTTTAGGTGACTTGCACCACAGAAGACTGTTGCGTATTTTGCACTCCTAAGTATCTGAGGGAATAAGTGGATTATTTGGAGGAATTTTCCAGCATATATATTTGTCAGGGCCTCTGCTCAGTTGAATTGAAACCTTAAAGTGACTTCTAAAGGTTTCCATTTTAATTGTTTGTCCCCGACAAGGTAATGGACATCAGTGACCTGATGGGCCCTTCAGTTTCCCATCCTCTCTGCCCTGGACTCCTCACCTTTTGAGCTTGTTTACTTGCCCACATGGCACCTCTGCTGGAAGGTGCTAGAGGGATAGAAAACAGATATGTCATCATTTCTTCTCTATTGCCTGGGCAGAAAATCAGCACTAATAAATAGAAAACCAGATTCAGGCTCGCAGAGAAGAGCCCTGTTGGAGGAGTCGGTAGCGTGGAGCTCTCACGCTGTGTTGGTTGTATGGCTTGGCCAGGGCAGTTTGCCCTGGGCTGGGGGCAGCGAGGGGGTCAGTTTCCCTTCCCTGGAATCCACTGGGGAGCTCTCATGGGGGGACCTAGTGACCTTTCCGGATTGGGCCTCTGTATGTGTTCATTATCTTTGTGTAGCCCACCCCAATGACAGTGGTTTATGAAGAGCTAACTGTGTTATATACACGAGTGAGATTCTGCTAACATGTGTCATGCAATATGTTTGTTTTGTGAGAATTGGTTTTCTTTTGGCTCTGTGCTCCAGTTTTCATTATAAATTTAATAGAAAATATGCTTCTGTGAAAACTGTTTCTTGTGCCATATGTAAACCTTTTTAGTTTCTAACACTAAACTGGGCACTAAAATACACTGGGTGTTGCTGTCTTAGAGAAATGTATAATTTCTTAATTTGAAAAAATTATTTTATCCTGTAGAGCAGAAAATTCCTGAAGAAGAATACATTATTTTGATAGATGGCTTAAATGAAGCTGAGTTTCATAAACCTGATTATGGAGATACGCTTTCTTCATTTATTACCAAAATTATTTCTAAATTTCCTGCCTGGTTGAAGTTGATTGTGACTGTAAGAGCAAATTTTCAGGTAACAAAGAATTCTCAAATCTTTCTCCAAGTCCCCATTCCAATTTTACAGTGATAAATGTTAATAACGTAAAACTGTTGTAAACCATTCAGCTGCTTGAATTGGAAACTATGTTAAGAATTTGAAAAACTAGTCCAGAGAGCCAGACTTGGGTGAAACTCTGACCTTTTTAGCCCCAGGTATATTTATCAAGATGTCAGGTAAGTTTCCTGTTGGCATCGAATTGCACGTTCACTTTTCAAATGGTGGCATCTAGCCCTGGTTACCGTCATGGAGTGTGTGGGGCCAAGAGGCCTGCCAGAGTTTAAAGCTACTCCTGCTGGTAGTTATTTGCAAGGGTTTACTGTGGGGCTTTGTGTTTTTTTGAAGGGAAAAATGAAGGTGAAAGATTTTTTTTTTTTTTTTTTTTGAGATAGAGTCTCGCTCTGTCACCCAGGATGGAGTGCAGTGGCATGATCTCGGCTCAATGCAGCCTCCGCCTCCCTGGTTCCAGTGATTCTCCTGCCTTGGCCTCCGGAGTAGCTGGGATTACAGGCATCTGCCACCATGCCCAGCTAATTTTTGTATTTTTAGTAGAGACGGATTTTCACCATGTTGGCCAGGCTGGTCTCCAACTCCTGACCTCAGGTGATCCACCCACCTTGGCCTCCCAAAGTGCTGGGATTACAGGCATGAGCCACTGTGCCTGGCTGAAGGTGAAACATTTTTAAGGCCTATTCCCAGAGGTCTATTTTTTCACAAAACTTAAGCATGAGGTAACATTTGCAGCGAGGGGTAGGGTGATTTTTTTTTTCTCCTCCATCTTCTTCCTCACTTAAACCCTGAAATTGTGTCTTAACCATTGACTCCTTCTATACCTATCCTTTTTCAGTGAAGACTTTTAGACATTAGGTTTTGATTTTTGCCCTTTTATGATATTTATTTAAAAACAGCATTTGGAATTTTTTCATTATAAAAACTGAAATTAGACCTCAGTTGAACTTGATGCGTGTTTTTTGGACATTCAGTTTGTATATTTTTCAGTCATTTTTTACATAGTAAGCACAATTTGTCCATCAGTAGATCATAGGAACCAGGAATCTTACGTTCTTCTTCCCAGCTGTGTAAGTTTTCAGAGCTTCAGATAGCATCCATGTAAAATGGGAATAATTGTATTCTGCCCTCTTTATCTACATTGTTATATTAAATGAGCACGTGCATTTAAATACTTCAGAAACAATAGTGGGAAGTCTTTTTAAAAAGGCAAAACTCTTCTTTGCTTTTAGGTGTCAGATGTGCTTAATCTTTGGAATGGGGAAGAGATGGGAAGGGCACATGAGGCTTCTGGGAGCTGAGGATGTTTTGTTTCTGGGTGCTGGTTACATAGGTATATTTGACTTAGTGAAAATTAGTGACACTGTGCAATTGTCATTTGTACACAAATCATATGTTCATTGTTAGACTTCAATTTAAAAGTTTACTTTAAAAAAGCAATTCATAAAATAACGTGCTATACCAAAGTAGGCAGCTTTGTTAAGATGCGCTGTCGTTGAGACACAGCCCAGGGGCAGACTCAGATTTCCTGATTGGGTTACACAGCCCCAGTGTTTGCTGCATAAAGAAGGATGTCTTTTATCTTGGCGTCTGGCCGTGTTCTTAGATGTGCAGTGTTGGTTGGTGTTTGTCCTTGTTATATAAGCAGTTTCACAGTGTAAGGATTATGGGTATCAGGTCACCTGCAGAGTCTCACTGCCCTTACTGGCCCTGGCCTCGTTGCCGCTGTCTGCACAGGGCTCTTACTCTGCTTGCTAGGCTCAGGGTCCTTGGATGAGGGCCTCAGGATAGCACTTACTGATTCCATCTCCCATCAGGATTTCTTTCACATAAGCTTTTTATCTTCACCTTATCCTATTACACGTTTTAATACAAAACAATGAGTCCCTGTAATCCATGAAAATCCTCCTTGAAACAAAACTAGTGAATCTGGTTTAAAATGCTGTTAAAATAAAAAAGGAATCTCTTTAGAGTGACACTGTGGGTTTTTGTTTTCTCCCCCAGGAAATCATAAGTGCGCTGCCATTTGTCAAGCTTTCCTTAGATGACTTCCCAGACAACAAAGACATCCACAGTGACCTGCACGCCTACGTCCAGCACAGGGTGCACAGCAGCCAGGACATCCTCAGCAACATCTCCCTGAATGGCAAGGCCGATGCCACACTCATTGGAAAAGTGAGCAGCCACCTGGTGCTGCGGAGCCTCGGCTCCTACCTGTACCTCAAGCTCACCCTGGACCTTTTCCAGAGGGGCCACTTGGTCATTAAGAGTGCCAGCTACAAGGTGGTGCCCGTGTCTCTCTCTGAGCTCTATTTGCTTCAGTGCAACATGAAGTTCATGACCCAGTCCGCCTTTGAGAGGGCACTTCCGATTCTCAACGTGGCCCTCGCATCCCTCCACCCCATGACAGACGAGCAGATCTTTCAGGCTATTAATGCTGGCCACATCCAGGGGGAGCAGGGATGGGAAGACTTTCAGCAGAGGATGGACGCCCTCTCCTGCTTCCTCATTAAGAGGCGAGACAAAACCCGCATGTTCTGCCACCCGTCCTTCAGGGAGTGGCTTGTATGGAGAGCAGACGGGGAAAACACGGCCTTCCTGTGTGAGCCCAGGTACGGCAGGCGCTTTCTTTCAGCTCTTTGCAGGGAATCTCGTGTGCAGTTGGGGAAAGGATTTAAATGTGATGCACGTGTCTCAATGGAAGGGCAATCCAGAATGACTAATTCAGTGTTACTGCTTTGTTTTATTATTTTTCTTCCTTTTTGGCAGAAGGATGGGCAATGGGGAATTCTCTATACAGAAGCTGCCTTCTAATTGCTAGGACTCCCTTATGGATGGTACATGTGGATAAAAGAGAAGCTGGGTGGTGCCTGTGTGGTCCTTCCTTACTGTCCATTGTCTCATGGAGCCCCGTCTCCTCCCCCACCCAGCTTCTGCAGGATCATGCATGGGAATGTGTGAGATCAGCCCCTGGGAACAGGGGGCTTCTCTAGAGGGAGTTCCCTGTGTGTCTGCAGACTGTCATGGGTCCTCAGCACCTCCACTCCCCTGCCACCCCTTGAACATGGAGTGACTTGTCCCAGGGATCAGGTATATCTGTGAGCCCAGAGGGAGCACCATGATCCAATCTAGCCTCCCCGCTCCACACCCTTCACCCTTTGTGGATGAGCTCTGTGTGGTGGACTGGACCAGGCTGGGATGCAGTTCTCCTTGCTGCCTGGGCCGCTGTTATCACAGTGGGATGGGGAAGGAAGCCTGTCTGCTGTGTGGCTTGGTAACAGTGTGAGAGGTCAGAAAGTTTGAGGATGCAGATGCGTTCAGATATGTATATGGCAAGCCCCCAACTTCCACTTGGCCCTGGCTTTGGCCTGTGTCTCTGCTGTCTCGAGTGGCTTCGGCTATCTGTGAGCCAGAATTGCCCCCTGCTGTAGTAACAGGGCTGGCAAGCTGCTCAGCTGACCCCTTAGGCATTTGACCAGATGCTGGGATCCAGAAATGAAGAGGTGAACAAGCATTGGTGAGCCCTGGGAGCCTCACAGCCACTTTCCTCCCTGTGAATATTGACTGAACATCCACCTGATAGGCCTGGCTGCTGTTCATGTTGGGGCTGTTATTATTTTCTTCAGTAACACTGGCTGAAGGTTTGTTGTTATCTTTTGAACCTGGTTTGGGGCAATAAACTAACATCCAGGTTATTTAGCCAGACCATAATAGCTAGGTGAAACATGTGCTGTGACATTTCTAGCCAAGTCAGATTACTTTCTAGGGAAATTCCAGTCATTTTCTAGGAAGATTGACTATAGCTGAGTTTGTAGAGACATAAAAACAAATTGAAAGACTCCATCAGGAGTGTAGGTTGTTACTGGGTTGGAGGCTAAAGTGGCTGGACTGTAGTCTTCATTAAGCTTCGCTTCATTTTGGGTATTGGTGGGCATTGAGGTTATGTAGCCTAGGTCAGAGCTAGGGTGGGTGCCTGTGGGCTCCTGAATGCCACTGTGTTCTTAAAAGCAGGCATGGGGACATCCCCTGGGGCAGGACCTGGACTAGGTGGAGGCAAGAGAGGTACCAAGGGTGCAGAATTTAAGGAAGCACCCACTCCTGGGTGGTGCGAGTTGTTGCCATTTTCCCAAGACACCTGTAGTATTTGAGCTTCATTCAATTGAGAGGATATAGAACAATGTTGGAAGGAAGCTACTGGATTCAGTTCAGCAACAGTTTTTGTTATATGCAGTTATGTGCAAAGTACTGTGGCAGACACCAATTGTTGGGACAAGGACCCTGCTCTCAGGGCTTCCCACACAGGGCAGGGGAGGCAGGAGGTGATATGCGAGAGGGAGGCACACTTCATGTGGACCTCACAAGAGGGAGAAGCTCCCAGCGTAAGTAAAGGGGCCTGGGGAGGTGATTTTAAAACATGGTGATGGTGGGTTGGGCCTCGAAAAATGGTAGCATTTCTTCCCCAACTCCCAGTTGTCGTATTTTTGCCCTAATTATAAAAGCAGAAAATTTCAACCCTCAGACAAAGACAGTTCATTTTTTATTTCTGCCTCTTTCTGTAGCATTTTAAATGATATACCAATCTTCTTTTTCTCTTGGAATTCTTATCTGGGTTTTTGCTTAACACATCACGGGCACCTTACTAAGCTGTTAGAAGTCTTAGAAAAGTGTCATTTTCATTTTTCATGGTTGTGCAAAACTCCTAGGAGGCAAATTATTATGTACTTCACTATACCCTCATTGGATTTTTTTGCTTTTTTTTTTTTTCAGACGGAGTCTCGCTGTCGCCCAGGCTAGAGTGCAGTGGTGTGATCTCAGCTCACTGCAGGCTCCGCCCCCTGGGGTTCACACCATTCTCCTGCCTCAGCCTTCCCACGTAGCTGGGACTACAGGCGCCCGCCACCTCATCCGGCTAACTTTTTGTATTTTTAGTAGAGACGGGGTTTCACCGTGTTAGCCAGGATGGTCTCAATCTCCTGACCTCGTGATCCGCCCGCCTCGGCCTCCCAGAGTGCTGGGATTACAGGCGTGAGCCACTGCGCCCGGCCCCCTCGTTAGATTTTTAAGTTGTTTCTAAATTACTTACAAACAGAACAACCTGTCATGTCTTGGTGCCTTGCAGGTCTGGATTCAAATCTTCCATTGATTCTTGTATATTTTTCTCTGCATGAAATATATTTTAATTCTCCATGCCTTCCTTCCTTATCTATAAAAAATGAGTGTCTTCTCACTGAGTGCTGGTAGCTATTAAATCAGATCTTAAGACGATGTACTACCTCTCTTCTTTCCTTTCTTCTCTCTTAGTTTTGATTATGCCCTAGGTTAGCATTCCAGAAATAGAATTATGAAGATAAAGAATAGTTTGAGTCTGGCCGGGTGCGGTGGCTTACGTGCGTAATCCTAGCACTTTGGGAGGCAGAGATGGGTGGATCACCTGAGGTCAGGGGTTCGAGACCAGCCTGGCCAACATGGTGAACCCAGTCTCTACTAAAAATACAAAAAAAAGAAAAATTAGCCGGGTGTGGTGGCAAGCACCTGTAATCCCAGCTGCTTGGGAGGCTGAGGTAGGAGAATTGCTTGAACCCAGGAGGCGAAGGTTGCAGTGAGTCGAGATCGTGCCACTACACTCCAGCCTGGGCAACAAGAACAAAACTGTCTCAAAAAAAAAGAAAGAGTTTTCATTCATATCACCTAGACTTAAACATATTTACATTTTGCAATATTTGCTACATCTGTTTCCTTTTTTTTTGTTGAAGTATGTTAAATTGTAAACATGACATTTTACTTTAAATAACTGAATATTCATCTTAGAGATATTTTCATACTTAACCACGCTATTACTGCACCTAAAATATTAATGCAAATTCTTAATAATCTTAAACATTTAGCCATGCTCAAATTTCTATTTTTTAGTATGTTCACATCAGGATCCAAAAAGTCCATAAAATGCATTCGATTATCTCTCTTAATCTATAGTTTCTCTCCTCATCTTTTTTTCTTTTTCCTCAAAATTTATTTGTTTAAAAAGGGCAGCTGGGTAGTTCATCCTGTATAGTTTCCCATCATCTGAATTTTGTGTCCTCATGTTTTTTCATGTGTTCCTCTCACCCCTATTTCCTATAAATTGGTAGTGAAGTTTAGAGGCTTGTTCAGATTCTATATTTTTAAACAAGGACACTTAGTAGGTGGTGGTGAGTACCTCTCTCAGGAGGCGCATGACATTGTCATGTCTCTGTAGGCACTAGAAGCCACTGATGACCATTTTTAAGATCCATCAGTTTTTTGGGGTTGCACAGGAAGTCTCATCTGGAACAGTCCCCTATTAGCTCTGTTCTCTGTTAACTCGAGGAGTTAATAGGTATTAGTAGGTAGAACAAGGCTGTTGCAGACAGGAGGAGCTATTGAAGACGTCGCATCAGAATGAGCAGGCCGTGTTCTGCAACAGCAAATCTAGTTTGACTTGACCTTTTTTCATGGAACAGAGGAGAGGAAAGAGCTGGCAGAAGGGAGTGTGCAGGGCACAGAGTGTATAGGGCCTACTATAGCAGTCAGGAGTGGGGACTTGGGGGGACTGGGGTTAGAGACGGGCCTTGCTGACATGAGGTAGCTCTTGTGGCTTGGCCTCATGGGCAGAGTAGAGGAAGAAGAGCCAGAAACTAGGTGTGGCATTGCTCTTGGGAAGGGTAAGAAAGGCAGGTGGTATGTGGCAGGCTTTGCAGGGACAGAGCTGGTTTTAGTTTTCAGCAGTTGAGATTGCAAGATAGCCGTCTGTCCCAGGCAGACAGGTTCCAGCGCCAGGGCGGGTCGGCAGGTTGGAGGAGAAGCTGACAGTTGAAGATCTAGCATCACTGATGGAGAGGTGTCTGGCATGACTCGGTGAGGAAGCTCATGTCATTAGAGAAAAGATAGCACTGGGCTTCCAGGGCGTGGAGGAGGGTTTCAGGGAGGGACCTTACGGATGTAAGTGTTGCCAAGAGGTGAAGGGAAATGACGGTTAAGAGGAAGCCATTGGATTTTCAGTGAGGGAGGAGGGTCCTGGATCCTTAGGAGACTCCGCCTGTTGGGTTGAGAGGAGAGAGAGGAGGGAGCCAGCGTCTTGGGATGGGAGGTGGAAGGGCTTAGGGGGCGGGTGGTTTTGTTTGTTTGTTTGTTTTTTAATAACACAGGAGATTGGAACATTGTCAGAAACATCACTGAGAGATAGTGTGGAGAAAGATCCATAAAGAAGGAGAAATTGGGAATGTAAGGAGGAGGGACCGGGGCCTGAGTGACGGGGCAGGTTGCCTCCTCTTTGTTCCCGTGGAATCTGTTCACAGCACCCAGTTAACTGACTTGCATATCGTTTGCGTGTCCCCTCCCATTGCTTAGAGCTTCTCAATGGAAGCACCTTGCATTGTTCCCCCATAGAATCCCCCCGTCAGACGTGGTGCCAGTGATAAGGTGTAGCTGTGAATGAATGGAGGACTCAAGCTCCGCAGGTTAAGAGCACAGGCTCTCCTGTCTGACCAACTTTAGTTCAAATCTCTGTTCTGTCATCTAGCCATGTGGTCTTGCATAAGTCGCTTAACCTGTTCAGGCCTCTGTTTCTTCATATAAGCATATGGGGGTCATAGTACTTAGTCACAGGATTGTGCAGGTAAATGAGATAATTCAATTAGGTTTCTGCATCTGGCATAGAGTAAGAGCTTGATACCTGGAAGCTTTGGAAATTAACAGAATCATGAATGCAGATTGTCTTAGAAGGGGATTGCTTGGTCTCAAGAACAGGAGGGCAGGGAGGAACTATGGGCAGGGTATGCAGGAGTATAGGTGGGGAGCAGTGGCATGGGGAGTTGTCTCCTCAGAGAGGTGGGATGCCCTGTGCTCAGCTGGGAGCACTGGAAACTTTAGGCCCGGCCACCAAGGGGTGTGTGGTCATCACCCTGTAAAGTGATAGTTAGTGTGTCTTTGTGATGGACACGGTTGGCCTGGCCACAGAGCTCAGCCAACTGGGAGACTTAGGAGGACTTAGCCTGTGGTTGGGAGAGTGGCTCCCAACTGACATGAACTGGGCCAGAATGAATCCTGGGATCAGCCCATGGGTAGGACCTGGGGAGGCCTTGGGGGCCTAGAGCACTAGAGAGATGCTGACAGCGGTTTCCATGGGAATAAGGGAGGAGGGGAATCCCAGGCTCAAGATCTGGGACATGGAAGGTGTTCAGGGAATGACAGGGCATGTGCTCGTGGGAAAACTTCAGGCCATTACAAGACAATGGACGAGACTCAGTGGGCAGTGTGGCCTTAAACGTCATGCCCTCCCCTGTAGTATAAAAACTGATTCCTTGGCCTCCATCTGCCTTGATTTCCTCATCTCTAACACGGTTTATAACCTATTTGAGAAGCAGGCATGCACCTGGAAAGACAAATGCAGTTTAAATAATGCATGCTTTTAATCATCTAGATTAGCAACTACTAGGAGGATGCGTTTTAAAACATATATAATGTTTATCTTTTCCTCCCTCCACAACTACCTGCTTTTCCCCAACCAAACAGCTCAAAGTTGACAGGATGATAGAAATGAAAGTAATTTACATTGCATAGAAGTCACTCCTATTGGAATAAGCAACTCTGTGTGTCATTTAGAAACTAATTGGCTCAAAGGCATGGGATCCACAGGAAGACAGAGTGAGTCCTATGGACATGGAGGGCAAATGGGCAGGATGGCCCTTTCACAAAAGGGAAATGGGCAGGAAAATAGGCAGGATGGTACCTTCACAAAAGGGAAATGGGTGCTGTTGGCTGGATGTCCACCATGTGCCAGCCACAGCAAACCCACTTAGATGCCTTAGCCTTCTTCTCACCACAAGGACTTGTGTGCCATCCAAGCCTAGAATTCTCTGCTTTCTTGATCATGAGCTGTCACCTAGCACGGCCTGGCTTTTCTCTCCTTCCCACGTGAGACCTTGTCCTTTGTCTACCCCTAGTGGTGGTGATCCTGAGGGGACCTGAAGGCTAGGCCCAGGGATGGTTCTGTGCTCTGTGTCTATTCATGCATGCATTCCAGAAACACATTTGAGTGTTCACCAAGTGCTCAGCACTTTGCTAGGCATTATGACTCAGATGAGACCCTTAGCCTCCCGGAGTTTACATCTTTGTCACGGGCATAAATCAGTGACTAAGGCAATGGGTGGTGAATTGAGGGTGGGTCTGCGGTGTGGTGGAATGGGCTCTTCTGCTGTGAGCCTTTGTATTCCTTCCCCTAGGAACGGGCACGCGCTCTTGGCATTCATGTTCTCGCGTCAGGAGGGCAAGTTGAACCGCCAGCAGACCATGGAGCTTGGCCACCACATCCTGAAGGCGCACATTTTCAAGGTGAGATGCACACCAACTTGGGGAAGGGTTTCTTTGTTGTCATTTTGAGGTTTTGCTTTGGAGATTTTAGACAGCTCTGTCAGCCATCCAAGAAACGCTCCATGCACCTCAGCCCAAATGCAACCTCCTCCTGCCTCCCCTCTCCAAAAGTAACCGCTGTTCTGACTCAGCCTGGGCATTTCCTTGCATTTTGCTATAGTTGATTGCTCAAGTGTATATCAGAGTGCTGTGCTTAAGTTTTACTTCTTTCCACCTTTAAATCTCTGATAAGTTTCTTTTTATCTAAAGGTTCCACTTTGTTCATTACTTTTTGTTTCCTTATTATTGATTTGTTCGAGAACCTGAGTTTCTTGACCTGTGTGATTTTGTACCACCTGGACTTTCTGACTGTGTTTGCCCAGGCTGGAGAGCAGTGGTGGGATCATAGCTTACTGGACTCAAGCCATCCTCCCGCCTCAGCCTCCCAAGTAACTGGGACTATAGGCACGCTCCACCTTGCAGGGCTCAGATGGTGATATTCTAATTCTGTCATTTATTCTTCCTCTAATTTACTTCCAACATGGTAAAACCTTGTCTCTACTAAAAATACAAAAATTAGCTGGGAGTGGTGGCATGTATCTGTAATCCCAGGTACTTGAGAGGCTGAGGGATGAGAATCACTTGAGCCTGGGAGGTGGAGGTTGAAGTGAGTTGAGATTGCACCACTGCACTTCCAGCCTGGGCGACACAGCAAGACTCTGACTCAAAGAGAAACTCTCATCTGCCATCTCTCTCCCAAGGCACAAAGTTAACCTAGTGAAGGCAGGCTGGTTCCTTGACCCTTGGTTTCAGGTAGTGAAAGCTCGCATGTCCAGGCATTCTTTGTGTGTGACCCCGTGCCTTCTGCAGGTATCTGCACCCTCTGCGGCAGACCCACTTTCAGAGTGACCCTGCAGGTGGGAAGGAGATGCTCAGGCAGATCTGTCTCTGATTGTTTCCAAGATCTGTCTCGATTGTTTCCAGGGCCTCAGTAAGAAGACGGGAATTTCTTCAAGCCATCTCCAAGCCCTGTGGATCGGCTACAGCACCGAGGGGCTGTCCGCCGCCCTGGCCTCTCTCAGGAATCTCTATACTCCCAACGTGAAGGTGAGCAACCTTCTGCACAGAGAGCCGGAGACCCAGCCCTGGCCGGCTGCTGGCCGTTCCTCCAACAGCCCTGTTTCCCTCTGCCCTGGGTGGTGGTGAGAGGACGCAGAGGAGCTTCTAAAGATGTGCTTCCCTGATCACACGGGCTTGGGTGCTGTATTACTCGTTCTTCCAGAAGTTTAGCTTTTCTTTGGCAGGAAGATGTGGGTGGTCAGGGCTGCTCTGAGCACATGTGGTGACTGTTTCACAGCAGATGTGATAAGGAAGCAATTTACAAAAGAAATCAAAGATCAGAGAGATTTCTAGGGAAAACGGATTTTTTAAGTGTCCTGCGTTACTAATCTGGACCATCTCTTCAGAGTTCATGGGAAATTAAGCATGGATGGGTGATGCATAGAGATAAGTACACAGAAAAACAAACATCGAGGTTTCATGTATCCATATTTCTGCCTATGGAAAGGGTATCAGCATGGCCTTCTGTGGAGCCAAGAGCTTCTTCACTTCTTGGTCAGTGGCTTTCATGTCATGATGTTCCACTCAGCTTTTTAAGGTAGATTTTTCTTCCTGATTTCATGTAGCCTGGGAATCTGAAGCACACAGAGGCCAAGCAGCCTGTTAAGGCCACAGAGACAGTGTCCAGGCCTTTCAGCTTCAGGCCCTGATGTACCCGGCTGCCTGTGGAAGCCCTGGGTCAGTTTAGGGAGCCAGGTCTTCCCCCCGAATCACTCACATTGTTTCATCTTTCATTTCAGCTAAGAGTGTATCTCTCGGCTTCTCCATAACTAATAAAATTCTATAATCATAAGAAAGATGAGAATAAAAATGGCAATATGTTTTCATATGTTAATGAATTTCTGGGCATAGAATTTATTTTAATATGGAAATAAGTAAATGGGAAACATCTGTTGAGTACAAGTTTTTAAGACAGTAAATTTAAAGGTACTGCATAATAGTGTAATGAGCATGGCCCTCCTGAGATTATAAACTTTGCTCTTTAACGTATGTGCGATTTTAAGAGTTAATCATTTTTACTTTGTTTTGTAAAACTCCAGTGTCACCTACATCTACACCATCTCCGAAATTATTTCTATAATGTGGTTATAGAATCTTAAGTCTTTTCATTATCCTTCTGTTTCTTTTATCTTTCAAGGGGGGAAAACGGTTTTCACAGGATCTTGAACAAATTACAGTAATTTTAAATTATGCATGCAATTAAGGAACTTTTTTTAGAGTGTATTAAATGTTGTCATACAGGAATGAATGTCATTTTGAACAATAATTGCAGTTTGCCACTTTGGTAAATTAAAGTGACTTGCTCTGGGATGATTACTTGGTAGATGGATTTTAGTTGCAGTGGCATGCCAGCAGTCTCTAACCATGTTGTCTCCTGTGGCCAGGCCAGGATGGGGCCAGCCTGGGCCCCGCTGGCCCACTGGAGTCCCATCCAGCCAGTGGTTTTGTTGTACCATCTCATAGGACTGGTGGCCAGCCGCAAGCTGTGGCCTCAGGAGGATTTAGGTTGCAGTTCTTTTCTCAGCTGACAACAGAAAGGAGAGGAGAACAGGAGCTAGGTGTGGCCTTTGGCCCAACTTCCCTTGGCCGGGAGATCCAGTCATATCCTACATCATAGTCAGGAAGGACACATTTTAAAACAATTGTGCTTGTGTGAGCTTCCAGTGTACTTAGTGGGAATGCTGATGCTGCCCTATGGCCACCCTGGCCAAGCCTCTTCTGGTCCTCATGATCGTATTGCCTCGCATATCCCCAGCTCCCTTCCTGTTTTCCTGTTTTCATTAAATCCAGAAGTTGAGAGATACCACCACTTCTGAGTGTTGTCCAAGGAGGGCTTCTGTGATCATGGTCGGAAAATTTCCATATCGTTGGGGGAAAATCTATAGGATGAATCATTTAAACAGGTTCCTTCAGCACAGTGCCGTCTCAGCCAAGACTGCTGCTCTGCCACCTGGCTGCTCTGTGACCATCATTAGCTTTGTGCTTAGCGCTCAGCTCGGCCTTACTCCCTCTGAGCCTTGGCTTTCTCACCTATAAAGTGGAGACACAAAAGAGGCTGTCTCTCAAGTGATGAGAAACCTTACTGAGATGTTAAAGGTACTGGGAACATACTTGGCATTTATTATGTTTACATGAATTGTTGTTAGTGCTTTGCCTCATCTCTGGAAACAGTGGCTCTGCTGTAGGCACCTGGGAAGTTTTGGATGTGCCAGTTGGTGCTTGTTAACAGGAGCTGCCGACCTTGAGGATGTGATGGTTGCAGGTGACTTACCTCTGCCCTCATCTCGGCATGAGGTGTCCCTGCTGCTCTGTGCTGGTGAACAGCCCAGGCTGGGCATGCAGGGTGATGTGGACAGGAGGGCAGAGCTCCCTCCTGTGCCTTCCAGAGGTCAGGGACCTGAGTTCTTGTCGTTTCTGAAGACTCCATGAAAGGTTGATTATAACATCGATTAATGTTTATTTAACATGTACAGATGCTGAGTGCTGTGCTAAATGCTTAATGCACATATATATACATACACTTTTTTTTTTACACATTGATTTTTAATCTTTACAACCACCAAGTGAAGTGAAACTTTTATCCTCATTTTTTTAGATGAGAAAACTGAGGTTTAGGGCAGTTGATACTTTCCAAAATCACACAGCTGGAAGGGCGCCTGACACTCAGCAAGCCCTTGCTCTGCAGGTGCCTTTATCACTTGATGTGTTTACAGCCCTGGCTGCCAGCTAAAATCA
The DNA here is from genome assembly GCF_000001405.40 of Homo sapiens. Taxonomy (NCBI): domain Eukaryota; kingdom Metazoa; phylum Chordata; class Mammalia; order Primates; family Hominidae; genus Homo; species Homo sapiens. The sequence goes on from NC_000002.12 coordinate 159,189,773, forward strand.
CCTGGGAGCTCTGGGCACCACAGCCCCAGCCCCAGTTAAGTCAGAATCTCCAAGAGTGGGGCCAGGGTATTGGAAACTTTCAAGCTCCCAGGTGGTTTCAGTGTGCATCAAGGTTAAGAACCATAGTTTAGGGGAAGGTGATGGAGGGTTAAGTGGTAAAAATACGTACAGCATTACACCGACAAAGGAAAATGTTATTCCCAGAAGCAGAGGAAGTGTGAATTGATGACATCTTTAGGAAACCTCTGCCCTGAGCACATGCCTTCCAGGTAAACTCTTGTAAGGGATTCATCATGGTACTCCAAGTATACCTTCCACCATTATTAGCAAAAGAGTACCTGTTAGATAGAATGGGATGGCATGCTGCTGTTTTCTTAGGTGGCACCTAAAGCACAGAGAGGTTGAGGAATTTTCTGAAAATCACACAGTAGGTTAGTTTGGGGGCTGGCTGAGAACTCACACCACTTAATCCTTCATTTTTTAGGCCCATGGATCTCAAGAAGGTATGGGGTTGATGGGGGAGGACAGAATGTAACTGGCTGGCAAAATTATCCAGGGAATTTACAAATGATCCTGCCCATCCTGTGGCTAGCAGAGTCTGGTGTGCCCCTTGGTGGCATTGCGTGTATTTCCAGATGTGTATCTTCTCTACTCCTCTTGCTGAGGACTGGTTTCATTGGCCTTAATAAAATCCTATTTCTTCAGCATAATCTGATTCTGTCCACGCTGTTACTCAAAGGGATTTTTAAAACACTTTTATTATTTTATTTTTATTTTTATTTATTATTATTATTTTGAGATGGAGTTTTGCTCTTGTTGCCCAGGCTGGAGTGCAATGGCGTGATCTTGGCTCACTGCAACCTCCGCCTCCTGGGTTCAAGTGATTCTCCTGCCTCAGCCTCCCGAGTAGCCGGGATTACAGGCGTGTGCCACCGCAACCAGCTAATTTTTGTATTTTTAGTAGAGACTCAGTTTCACCATATTGGCCAGGCTGGTCTCAAACTCCTGACCTCAGGTGATCCACCCACCTCGGCCTCCCAAAGTGTTGGGATTACAGGCGTGAGCCACCATGCCCAGCCACACCTTTATTAATGTTGTAGCATAATGCAGTCTTAAAATGCTTTTGAATTAGATCAGAGTCTGGTGGCATTTTTAAAAAGCAAGCCTATATAGATCTGTAGAGCAGGCTTGGTGGGGATTAATTAAGTCATTTGCCTGAAGTTGCCCATGAAACAGCAGTGTTAGGACTGGACACCCTTTCTGATCTCTCATCCATTCCTCCACAAGTACAAGTTGACAGCGAGACCCTAGAGGCTGGGTTGGTGTTCACCTGGATCTGGCTAGACAGTGGTCTCTCTGATGGTGTAGACAGCGGGGTGGTGGTCAGGTGGTTGGCTGGCTCCTTGTCACTTGCACATGGCCTGTTCTTCCTTAAATGTAGATGGCAGTCCCAGCAGTGTGAAGAAACTGATGTGTGGGTCATCCCCATCCATGGAGGGGCTCTGTTTGCCTTTCTTCTCTGTGAACTTCTGTATCGTAGAACCAGTGTCTGGTGCAGTGGACTAAGCAGGAAAACAGAGCATGCTGAGGGATAGAGAGGGCCTGGGTGCACAGGGTACCCTCTCCCCCATGTCCTGGCACTGGAGCAGAGCCCTGCAGGAAGTGATTATATTTATGGAATGAGCATTCCAGTCAGGGAACTAAAAGGGGGTAAAGACCATGAGGCCGGCCCTGCTTGGCATTGTCACAGCACGTGTTGGGTCCAAGGTGGCTGCAGTGAGGGAAGGATTCTGCAGAGAAGATCAGAGAGGAAGCTGGAGGCCTGTATCACAGAGGTTCAAGCTTCAGCAGCCAAGACATCTTCAAATTTGACACCTGGGGTTCTAACCTGTCACTATGCCATTGTGAGTTATGGTTTCACTACTTGGTAGTATAATTTTCCAGACCCATTTGTTTGTAAATATTCTGTTTGTCAGCTACTCTTGTGGACATCTATCACTGAAATACCATGAAGTTTTTATGCCTTGTCATCTCTCTGTATCTTTTAATGATCCCCATGTGTCTCTAGTCAATAAATGATAGTCTCTGTGGTTTTCACATTTAGTGGGCAGGTGGAGGACCTGCCAGGCTTTGGCAGGGGCAGTGATTGATGTGGGTCAGGACCATTGAAGTAAGCCATTGAAAGAAACACACTGGGCATCTTAATAGCTGTTAAAGGAGCATCATTTGTATCTAATGATCTGAAGATCTGAAAAAAAAAATATTATTATACCTAAAATTTGCGTATGTTCAGTAATTTTATTTTAAAACCTGTAGATAAAAAGCTTTTCCCAATACCTAGATCCAGGGAGATTACTAAGTGGGGGATATAGTAATTAGTGGAAGCAGCACATTATTTTCTAGCAGTATTATGCTGCGGACAATCATGGCACATGTGGACATTTCCATATTTTCTGTTTCTTTTAGGAACACATCCCTATAAAGTATTTGTATTTACTTTTGGCCTTATCTCACTATTAACACCATGACTATTTTTTTCTTTTTAAAAACATTTTTTATAGAGACGGGGTCTTGCCATGTTGCCCATGTTGGTCTCAAACTCCTGGGCTCAAGCAGTCCTCCCTCCTCAGCCTCCTAACATACTGGGATTACAGTTGTGAGCCACTGCACCCAGCCACAATTATTACTTCATTACCAGGAAAATGAATTTCCTGGTTTTGTTGAGGTTAAACAGTGATTTTTCAAAGTGTGGTTCCCCAAACCAAGAGTGTCAATATCAACGAGGAACTTATTAAAAATGTACCACCCAGATATAATGAATCAGAAATCAGGGGGTGGGGCCCAAGAATTTGCAGTTGTTTAGGTTTTTTTTGTTTTTGTTTTTGTTTTGCTTTTGAGACGGAGTCTTGCTCTGTCCCCCAGGCTGGAGTGCAGTGACGTAATCTTGGCTCATTGCAGCCTCCACCTCCTGCGTTCAAGCGATTCTCCTGCATCAGTCTCCTGAGTGGCTGGGATTACAGGCGTGCGCCACCACGCTGGCTAATTTTTGTATTTTTAGTAGACACGGGGTTTTCACCCTGTTCTTCAGGCTGGTCTCGAACTCCTAACTGCAGGTGATCCGCCCGCCTCAGCCTCCCAAAGTGGTGGGATTACAGGCATGAGCCACCTTGCCTGGCTATTTGTTTAGTTTTTATTTTTAATTATGGTTAAGAAACACATAAAAGGAAATTTACCATCTTAACCATTTTTAAGTCTGCAATTCAGTAGTGTTAACAATATTCACATTGTTGTGCGATAGATGTCCAGTACTTTTCATGTTGCAGAATCAAAACTCTATATCCCTTAAGCAACAACTCTCATTTCCCCTGTGCCCAGGCCCAGAAACCTTCATTCTACTGTCTGTGAATTTGATTACTGTATATATCTCATAAGTAGTTTCACTCAGTATTTGTTCTTTTGCGTCTGGCTTGCTTCACTTATTTCACTTCCCCGAGGTTTACCCATGTTGTCACATATGGCAGGATTTTCTCCCTTTTTAAGCAGGAATAATCCATTGTATGTATATGTACCACATTTTCTTCATCCATCCACTGATGAACACTGAGGTTGCATCTACCTGTTGGCTGTTGTGAATAATGCTGCAATTAACATGAGGGTACAAATATGTCTTTGAGATCCTGCTTTCAATTCTTTTGAATATGTACCCAGAAGTGGGATGACTGATCACATGGCCGTTCTATTGTTATTTTTTGTTGTTTTGTTTTTGTTTTTGAGACTGAGTCTCACTCTGTCGCCAGGCTGGAGTGCAGTGGTGCAATCTCAGCTCACTGCAACCTCCACCTCCCGGGTTCAAGCGATTCTCCTGCCTCAGCCTCCCAAGTAGCTGAGATACAGGCACACACCACCACGCCCAGCTAATTTTTGTATTTTTAGTAGAGACGGGGTTTCACCATGTTGGCCAGATGGTCTCGATCTCTTGACCTCGTGATCCACCCGCCATGGCCTCTCAAAGTGCTGGAATTACAGGCGTGAGCCACCGCACCTGGCCTCTACTGACATTTTTAATTAAAAATTTTTTTTTTTTTAATTTTCACATCAGGGCCTTGCTGTGTTGCCCAGGCTAGAGTGCAGCAGGCTGTTCACAGGCATGATCATAGTGCACTACAGCCTCAAACTCCTGGCCCCAAGCAATCCTCCCACCTCAGCTTCCTGAGTAGCTGGGATTACAGTCACGTGCCTGGGGCAGTAGTTCTATTTTTAATATTTTGAGGAACCATCTTACTGTTTCCCAGTAAGCTACACTATTTTACATTCCCACCAATGAGAATGTGCATTGTTAATATATTCCCAGGTGATACTGGTGCACATTCAAGTTTGAGAACCACTGGATTAAAATGATACCGAAAATTGAGGATACTGCCCATTTCCAGAAATGTTTAGATGACATACATGTGACAATCTTGTTGGGGGGCCTTGTCCAACAGGTGAGCCGTCTCCTGATTTTGGGAGGGGCCAACGTGAACTACAGGACAGAAGTGTTAAATAATGCCCCAATCCTGTGCGTCCAGTCTCACCTTGGCCACGAGGAAGTTGTCACTCTGCTCCTGGAATTTGGTGCCTGCCTGGACGGAACGTCAGAGAACGGCATGACTGCCCTCTGTTACGCAGCAGCTGCTGGCCACATGAAGCTGGTGTGTCTGCTGACCAAGAAGGGAGTGAGAGTAAGCGGCAGCCTGCTCTTTTGGGGCTGGGGCAGGGAAATGGCTTCATCTCATTGCTAGAATTGTTATTTGCTGGGCCAGACTCTCTTGTCTCTGAAACCACAGCATACACAGAAAGGGTCGGGCTCCAGGGATTGGTCACTTTGTAATGTGGCAGCCTCAGAGAGGTTTGTTTTGCTCATACACAGCAACTCTGCTTAATGTTGTCCAGGGGAAGGCAGAATTCCAGGGAGACCCTGGCTCCTAGCCGCATGAGGAGGGCCAGCCTTTAAAAAGCCTGCAAGTATCGATCTAGAAAGCACCAAGATTGGTTTAAAATATTTTAAATGTTTGCTTTTTTCCCCTCTCTTCTTCTTATCCCATTTTATGTCCTTTTAAAACAGTAGGATGAGTTCCATGAACTCATGAAGAAGCCATGTGCCTGAGCTCCAGGAACTAGATTGCCTGGAATCTTCATCTTTCCACTTGCCAGCCCTAGGGTATTGGGCAAGTTATTGAGCCTATATATGACTTCAGGCTTCTTATCTGTAAAATGGGCATAACAGCAGTCCCTACCACAGGGCTGTTGAGTAAGCATTCAGTCATATATGAAGTAAGTATGTATTGCTATACAAGTTACTCTAGAGCGATCAACTTTTTTTTCTGTTTTGACAGTCTCACTCTGTCACTCAGTCTGGAGTGCAGAGGCATGATCTTGGCTCACTGCAACCTCCACCTCCCAGGTTTAAGTGATTCTCCTGCTTCAGCCTCCAAGTAGCTGGGACTACAGGCACATGCCACTGTGCCTGGTTAATTTTTGTATTTTTAGTACAGATGGGGTTTCACCATGTTGGCCAGGCTGGTCTTGAACTCCTGACCTCACATGATCTGCCTGCCTTGGCCTCCCAAACTGTTGGGATTATAGGTATGAGCCACCACGTCTGGCCAGGAGCTGTCAGCTTTAATAGGGTGAATGAGAATGATATCGAGCTCACAGTAAATGCTAGGTTTACTGGAAGCATTTTTTTGGGAAATGTGCCTTTTGAATAACAGTAGAGATAAACTGCTAATTATCTTTTGTCTTTTAATTAGGATATTTAAAGTTCAAAAAAATTAGGCTTATAACAGCTGTGGGAGATTTATTTTTTTCTCTCAAATCCAACATTTGGGACATACATAAACTTCAGTTCATGGAGAAGGAAATGTGTGGCTAAGCCTTTGGGGTGGGTATGTTACTGCTGCACATCACCGCACCTCCATTTACGGATGGCAGCTGGGCTTTACACTTTATTCTGAGGCCAGCAGGCCTCCCCCCATCACAGCTGAAAGCTCTGGAGTAGGAGGCTGAGTGCTATGTCAGGGGGCTCTGGCAAAGCCTCTGAATGAGGGTACAGGGCGTCCCCAGAGTTGGCAGGCATGCAAGGCTAGGCCCTGGGCTCTGCTCCCAGGCCCAGTACTCTGGGGTTTAGACAGGGCATGAAGGGCTGCCGCTGCTTTGGGGCCTTGAGGAGTAGGTGTGTGGCACTCACTCACTTTTTCTGCCTAGCTGGCCTGCCCTGACTTTGTGGCCGCCCCCCCTTTACTTGCCAGCATGCCCAGGCCACCGGCCTACATGAGACCTCCTTCCCAATCAGATGCCACTTGGACTCCTTTCCTGCCCTTCCACACTCAGCTGTTTTTCCACATCCCTCTCTTTCTTCGGATCCCCTGGCTCAGTGACCAGAGAGTGGCTCTACTCCTTCAAATTATAGCTTGTCACAGCAGACTTAGAATGCCCCACCCAAGCAACCAAAGTTGGGAAATACAGGGATTTGTCCGAGGTTTTGGTCTGTGTCTCCACACATGCTCACAAGAGAGTTAGGAGCTTTGTGTAGTTTGCTGCAGGGACATGGGAGTAAGGAGGGTGTTTTGTGACCCTGAATCTTGCAAAGGGAACCTGAGGCCTGGAATGGTACATTCATTACCATCTGGAAGTAATCCAGACTAAGGTTCCATGTTCTCCAGAAAGACAAGTTGGAATGTGAACCCCATGTACGCTTACAGGGAGTGGGGTTTGCACACAGCTAGGTGGTGCATCTGCATGCTCAGAGGCAAAGTAATGCTCAGCTGTAACCTTCCCCTACTCCTGCCCCCAGGTGGACCACTTGGATAAGAAGGGCCAGTGTGCGCTTGTCCACAGTGCCCTACGGGGCCACGGTGACATTCTCCAGTACCTGCTGACTTGTGAGTGGTCGCCGGGTCCTCCCCAGCCAGGCACCCTGAGGAAGAGCCACGCCCTGCAGCAGGCGCTGACCGCGGCGGCCAGCATGGGCCACAGCTCGGTGAGTGGGGCAGGGGTTTCCCTCCTGGGAAACAAGAAGCTGTAGCCCAGCAAGTCAGTTGACACACTGAAGGACCGAAAGAAGGAGGATGCCAAGAACTAGCATTTGGCGTTGACCACCTGCAGTAGAAGGTCTTCTATGGGCACCACATCCTTCCCGTGAGTGACAGTGCACACTCCTATGCACACGTGATGGGGACAGGCAGGCTTATTTTTCTATGGGAAGCCTTTTGATGACATTCACTCTCAGCTCTTCCTCATGTCTCTCCTCCTTCCCTGCTCTGCCCTCTAGACCTGCTGTTTTAAATTTTTTCCCCTTTGATTCGTTTCTTCTGTCCTTGTGTTCATTTAAAAATAATCACATAGAATCCTGATTCTAAAATCGTTCCTGAGTATTTGAAGGATTTTTAAAAATAGAGCTTTAATGCTTTGATAGCACACAAGAATGCTTGTCATTTACAGCTCCTCCACTGAATGAAAACTCCATGCAGTAGTTAAATAGAGCATTTATTTCTGACAGATGTTGGTATTCCTCAGTTTGAAGATTTAATTGTCACCTCCTGACCTGTGTGTCTTGGCTTTCTTTATCTGTGAATTTAATAATGTTTTGCTCGCTTCCTCCTGTGTATTTCTTACTCTGAATTATCTTCAAGCAATTAGAGGTGCCAGTATTTGGTAAGATTCTTTTTCTAAAATGACTTTAGTAAATTCGAGTGGGAAGCTGGCTGGCTGACTTTGGCATTCAAAACTCATGAGCGGACACACACACAAGCATGAAATAGTGGCTGGCTAATTTCTGGTTTAAACATTAAACACACACACACACACACACACACAGAGAGATACTGTTAAACACACATATGAAAATGTAGATGTTTTCCTTTTTTTAAGTGTGAAAAGTCATCATTGGGAGGACCATGAATGCCTAGGAATGACCTTGGTCTTAATCCATGCTAACCCCCTTGTTTTAAAGCTGGTTGGGAGGAAATGCTGAGCGAAAATCACCTCAGCACAGCCAGTAGGGTGAAAAAAGCAGGGTTTGTTCACCATAAGACTTGGAGGGTATGTTAGTTTCCTAATGCCATTATCACAAATAGATGCAACCTTAGTGGCTTAAAGCAGCACACACTTACTCTTAGAATTCTGATGGTCAGAAGTCTAAAATCACACTATTGGGAGGTCAGCCTTCCTTCTGAAGTCTCTAGGGGAGAACCTGTCTCCTTGCTTTTTCTCAATTCTTGAAGCCACCTGTATTTTTTAGCTCATGGCCCCTTCCTCCATCTCCAAAGTGCCTTACTTTCACCTTAGCCTCTGTCGTCTCATTTCCTCTGTCCTCTGACCTGGACTCCTCCTGTCCCTCTTAAGAGGATGGTTGTGATTGATTAGATCAGGTGTGTATCAGATATAGACCTTGATAATTTGAGATAATCGCCCCATTTCAACATTCATAATCACATCTGCAATTCCTTCTTGCCCTGTAAGGTCACATTCACAGGCTTTGAAGATTGGGATGTAGACATCTTTGGGGGCCATTATTCAGCCTACCACAAAGGGTGTGGGCTAGGAGACTGGAAGGTGGCTTTGTCGTGTTCTCCCGTTGCTCGCTGCTGTTGCTCAGGGTGAACGCCGGCTCAGGTCCAGGGCACAGATGCCTTGTCTCCCTGCAAGCCAGGCTTCCTGCCTCCATACCTGTGACTTGACCCGCCCTTTGACAGGAAGAGTCCCATAAGGGAAAAAGAATAATGCTACCAGCAGAAAATGTATTTGAACAATACTTTGTAAAAATTTGCAAAAACGTATATCGCTTTGTTTTCCTTCCTTGTGAAAAACTGATTCACTATCTTGTGATTTATGCAGAAACTGCACTTTGTGTGATCTGCCATGTCCTTTGTTGATTAGGCTGGCATATTTGGGTCATGTTGGAATTCATTAGAATTCTGAGTACCTAGTAATCCTGAACCATATTGCTGAAATTCACTGAGATTTTTTTTTAATTCTTCTCCAACTGAAAGTGTGAATAGCATATGAATTATGCTTGAAAACAGTTTTCATTATATTTTTCTCTCCTTGGGCAGTGTGAGATAATGGTTAAAAAACAACACACTGTCTCCTTTGATACATGGGCTATAATAAGCACCTCTTGCTAAGAGAACTCATTAAATCACCTTGCCACTTCTGACAGGTGGTCCAGTGCTTGCTGGGGATGGAGAAGGAACATGAAGTAGAAGTCAATGGCACCGACACATTGTGGGGAGAAACAGGTAATTATAATGCCACTGCTTGTAGTCTGGGGCAGCTTGCTTGATGTTTTAGCCCTATTTTGGCCTAATTGTCTTAAGAATGACTGATATATGTAGTCCTGTTTCTATTTTATCACAAGCATTTGAAGTTTAGAGCTCCTTGAACTTTCTACATGAGTAGCAAAACTTTGCTGGAAGCGTAAGATTTTATTTTTTAAAGCAATCCTATTAACTGATTATTTTGAATTAGACTAGCAGTTACGGTACATCTGATGAATGTCAGATGGAAGTACCTAACTAAGGTGTTGTTTTCTGATTTGCCAAATCTCACACATCTAACCAATGTGATCTTCCTGTGACCTGTGCATGGCGAGCCAGGCATGAACTTCTGTCCCCATCGTCACACGAATCAAAGGCGGCTCAGCACAGAAGGCAGTGGCCTGCCCTGCCCTGTACAGAATGAGGGTAAAACTCAGCCTCGTGGGGTTTACTCACATTACCGTACGAATGCAAGCTATCGGGTCATTTCCATTGGTCTTTACAGTGAGAAGCCTGGGCTGAGCACATCCTGGTGAAGATTTGAGCTGGTTACTTGTGAGACTAAAAGTAATGCTGCTTTCCAGTTTTCCACTTGACTGGATTAGTGTTAGAAATCTAAGACTTTAAATTACAAGTTGTTTTTAAATAGATGTCAGCATGAGTATTTAAAATGAATTTCCAGGTTATGTTTCTGTGTGTGTACCTGGTATATATGATTTCCATTTTTCTTGCACAGATTTGTTTCCAAATGCTTCTAAATTATTTCCTAATAAGCCAAATGGTGGTGTGAAGAGCTTATTAGATAGCTCACCCTAGGGGAAAGCCACAGAGCTTCACCTTCTGGCAGGAGTGCAGGCCTGTCCTTCAGAGCCTCACAGCTGTTTGTTCCATCCCCTTTGTGGGTCCAAAGAAGGAGCTGGGTGTGCTCCCAGGCGCAGAGAAAGTACAGAATTCCAGCGGAGTTGGATTATGTCTACGGGTAAAAGTATGTGGATTGAAATATTGCCTAATTCTTTATGGAGTCCTTCCCCTTCCCTTTTAAACAGTATAGGCTGCTCTATAATTTGGTGAAAGAAAAGTTTCCATCACATTCCAAATGATGTGGTGGGCAGCAGTGTTGCTGAGTGGATAAGAGCATGACTGCTGACAGCCAAAAGGTCCAAACCCCTGTTCTTTCATTGCCTAGTGATAAGAGCCTCCTGGGGCACTTGGGCTTAGACATTCTGATTCACTAGGGGGAAAGCCCAGGATTTGATTTTCTTAACAAGCATCCCAAGTCATTTCAGGTTACTCCTAGCTCCCTGCAGAGCTGTCTAGAAAGCCTGACATAGGGTGACACACAGTGAGAGGTACCCATGAAGACGATGGACATCAGGTCTAGCAGCCATGACATCACACATTTAGCTCAAGTGAGAATTTCTAACATTTTAATATTCAAGATGACTTTTTTATTTGGAAGAAAATTCCAGAGAAGGGCTGACTTTGAAGGCTTTGTTTGAGCTCTCTTCTCTCAATGACCAGTCCTGAATTGCATTATCATCCTGCTTGAGAATCTGCCAATCAGTTGATGGCTAAAGACACACATGAGAAACAACAGACTTCCCACCAGTCTTTATCTAGATCAGAATTCTTGGCACAGTTTGGCTGGATTCTCTACTTCAGGATCTTACCAGGCTCCTAATTGGGTATTGGCTGGGGCTGTGTTCTCGTCAGAGACTCCACTGGGGAAAGACCCACTTCCAAGCTCTCAGCTGTTGGCAGAATTCATCTCCTTGTAGTTGTCCCTTGGGTCTTAATGAAAAGGTAAACAGTAACTTGGCCCCTCCCTTCCAAAGCCTCATGAGTAACCTTCAGACCACTTTGCAACCTGGGAAGCAGTTCACACTCTTCCTCACCAGGCATCAGGGTGAATTTCATCAGGCAAGAGTTTACTTGAGACGTTTGTTAAAATTTAAAGCAAGAAGAGGCAAGCTAAGTGCTGTTTTTCAGGCTTAGCCACAGTGGCTTTCTGTGGACTGCATGTCAACAAAATCCACCTTGCCTTCTCTGCATTTTTCTGTCTGGTACCTTTCTCTTGTGCCCCTTCAAAGACAACCACTATCGTCTACTGCCCCAAGCCTTCCTACTTTCCAGGCCTGCATTTGTCAGAGGAATACCCTGAAATCTTGCAGGGGGTTTCAGCTGAGAGAACATCTGCAAATATAGGTCCTTACACAAATGTATACTGCATGCTCTGGAATGTGACATCCCGTGTTTTGGGATTTGGCCACGTGGGGTCTGTTACCGACCCTAAATGTGGGAATGAAGGCAGATGAGGCATCGTACAGAGAACTGAAGGCCTTGAGAGTGAATGGGTCAGCTCACAGTCCTGGTTCTCACCAAGGCTCAACTTCAAGCCATGGGCCCCGGGATTCCCCAGCCTGTGTGGCTGTACTGCTGTGTGCATTGTTGCTCGTTGCTATAGGGACCCACAGAAGGGAAAGTAGTGGTTTTGCATCCTGTTCTCGTTTGGTCCTCATTCCTGGGTGTAGTCAATGGTGTTTTGTGTCCAAAACACTCTAGGATGGACTGTATCTGTCCCTAGCCACAGCACAAGGATAGGATCCCAAGAGTAATACTTATCTGGGATATGGGAAGGTGGCAGAAAAACTGGAAGCTTTGTGTGGATAACAGTTCATTATTTATTTTGAAACCTTAAGTATGTTTACACAAGTCTGTCCAGCATAGATTTAGCTGTGAACAGCTTGGCTTTAAAATGCTAGCTGATGAGGTGACAAGGCAGAGCTTCCTCGTCTGTTTTGACTCACCTGCCTGCCTTTGAACAGCCTGTGGTTTTCCTGCAGGGATACCCCCGTTAGGAGGACAGCTACCTGCCCATCTCTTCTCTGCCATTGCCAGAGCCAGTGGCGCAGGAGCTTAAATTCACGCACAAATTCTTCCTCCAGTTTTCTGCTAGGAGAGCCTTGCAATTCAGTGAATCTATTCCACATGGCAGAAGTGTGGTTGTCGTGCCTGTTGCTGATTGGAAGCATTGGGTTCTTGGTTAAGAATGACGGCCACCAGCCAGGGAACAGCAGCCCCGTGGAGGTCCCCCTCACTCAGGCCGTCAGTGTGGTGGCACTGGGCACAGCAGCAGCCCTCCACCCTTAGAGCCCTGCACATCTGACTGCTGGTGACCCTGAGTCAATGAATGTCATCACAGAAGTAGGTGGCTCCTGTGTTAGGTTGAAGGAGACAAGAAAATGTACAATAGAATTTTAAGACGTTCATAAAAAATGGGAACAGTATTTAGTTTAGGGTTTAGGGGTTTATTGCAATCAACCCACAGCCTTTAGAAAACTTGCAGACTGTCTCTACTGGTTTTGGAGAGCAGAGGGCTTAACTTGTTTAAGTTTCTGTTTTCACCAGCATCCAGGACCATTTGGTTTTTGTCTGTCCAATGTTTAGGGACCAGCCATTCAGAACTCAGTTCTGTCGTTCCAGTAGCTCTCAAGCTCTCCCTCTCCCCATGCATCCTCCCCACCCTCAAACAAAAGGCCCTAGTGGAGAATAAGTAGTATGATCCATTCATCAGAAGAAAGCTCAGAGCAGATGATGAATGCCTGCATCTAACAGTACCACCCTCAGGATGCCAAGGCTCTTGGCTCGGTGATATTCACAGACTCAGTCAGTGTCTGTTCCGTAGTTTCTCGGCAGCCTGAAACATGGTGAGAACCCACCAGATGCTTATGGCATCTGTTTCAGGCATTCCACAGCTGTGACAACTCCATGCTGCCTCCCAGAAAGTTCTGGCTACACTGAGTTACTATCTCCATGTCAGTGTTTGCTGTGAATCAGCCCAAGCCGAAATGACCAGAGATGCTTAGCTGGTGACCTCATGCTGCTGTGGATTGGCAGAAGGACTGTGTTTGCAAGTTCCAAGCCACACTCAAGTGTGTGAGCCTGCTTGTGGGCTTCTGGTTAGAACCTTGCTCTGAATAGAAGAGAACAGAGGCCCTTCTGCTCCAGCACTTGCCATTCAGGCAGATGGTCCTGTCTGGTATCAGAGCCTTAACCCTCTCCACTCCCTTGGCTCACTCTCCAGTTCCCTTCGTAGGACTTACCATCAGTACATCTTATTCGATAGGCTTTTCTTTTCTTTTTTTTTTTTTTTTGAGATGGAGTCTCACTGTGTCACCAGGCTAGAGTGCTGTGGTGCAATCTTGGCTCACTGCAACCTCCAACTCCCTGGTTCAAGGGCTTCTCCTGCCTCAGCCTCCCGAGTAGCTGGGATTACAGGCATGCACCACCACGCCAAGCTAATTTTTGTATTTTTAGTAGAGATGGGGTTTCACTGTATTGGCCAGGATGGTCTCCATCTCCTGACCTCATGATCCACCCACCTCGGCCTCCCAGAGTGGTGGGATTACAGGTGTGAGCCACCACGCCCAGCCTTGATAGGCTTATTTGATGTGGCTTATTTGATAGGAGGCTGCTTTTCCCAAATTGTGAGCTTTTTTGGGTTTGTTTTTTGAGACAGGGTCTCACTCTGTCACCCATGTTGGAGTGCAGTGGCACAATCACAGTTCACTGCAGCATCTGCCTCCCCACACTCAGGTGCTCCTCCCACCTTGGGCTCCTGAGTAGCTAGGACTACAGGCATGAGCCACCACACCTGGCTAATTTTTGTATTTTTTTGTAGAGATGCAAAACATGGGGATTCGCCATGTTGCCTAGGCTGGTCTCAAACCCCTGGGCTCAAGCAGTCCTCCTGACTCAGCCTCCCAAAGTGCTGGGATTACAGGCATGAGCCACCACACCCAGCCAGTCATGGGCTTTGTGAAGGCAGAAATTTCCCTGTCTCTTGTCCACACCATTGTGTATGGCAACCGTCCGTTCTAGTGCTGCCCAATAGAACTTTCCGTAATAATGGAAGTGGTGTCTGTTTTGTCCAGCATGGTAGCTACTAGCCACATGTGGCTATTGAGTACTTGAAATGTGACTTGTGCAACTGAGGAACAATAGTTTAAAATCTCATCTTAATTTATCTAAATTACATGTGACAGGTGGCCACCAAATTGGACAGTGCAGGTATAGCCTGGTCCTTGTCATATAGGTATTGACCAAGTGGACAAGTGGATTTAAATGAAACAAAGTCATATTTTTAGTGAGGGAGATGTTCACTTGCAGAATAATTTGGGAGAAATACCTGTGGTTGGAGGGGGAGCAGTAAGGGGCCTGGTCACTCATAAAGACCCAGTGTCCTGATTTCTTGGTGTCCTAGCTCAGACCATGCTCTGTTGGACTCCAAGATGGCTCAGATCCTCTCGCCAAGTCCTCGGTGGGGCACCTGTGCTGAAGGCATGGTGGGCTGCTGGTTTGGATCTTTGGGAACACAGCTAATAGCCAAGCATGGTGTGGGCATAGCCCCATCTGTGTCCATAACATCTCCCTCTCTGCAGCCTGGGTGTGCTGTGTCCTCATGCTGGTCTCTGGCAGTCGTCCTGCCCTGTCGTGGTCACCTCCTCAGAGGTCCTTCTGTTTGAAAGAAGGTCGCCAGCACACCCAGAGCCCCATGCTTCATGCACAGGACGCTGGCGGCTCCCCAGGGCTACGCTTCCCTAATTTCTGGAAGGGGATGCCCTATCGGAGTTGGTTAAAAGTGTGACTGAAATACTTCATGTGAAGTGTTTTTATGTTAAGTCAGTAATATTTTAATTGTTGAATACTTTCTAAAGGAGTTTAGTCAGGTAAATAATTTTTATTGTCAAAGCTACTATTTGCCTCTGTTCAGATGGGCCAGATTTTCTCCGCTGTGAATTGAATGGGCTATTTAGCTGCGTCGTAGGCCTCCCTTTGTGTAGCGCATTGAAGCAATTCCACTTGGCATGTGTGCTCACCGTAGTTTACTGTTCACTAATTCTGGATGGAATTTTGGACAGAACCTGCTCCCTCTGGATCTTGAGCCTCAGGCAGTGCCCTGCAGCTGGGGTGGGTGTTTCCAGGCCCCTCTTGGGGGTGGGGTCCTCACACCTGTTTCCAAATTGGGCTGCGAAGCTGGGTCCTGTTGTATTTGACACTTTGATGATTTTCGTTTCCCTCTTGTTTCCATGGGACTGCTTTCCTTTCCCCTTTTGTGGCTCTTTTGGCTTCAGTCACAGGGAGGCCCCAGGCGTGGACGGTGGGCTTCCCACATCCAAGGCTGCCCCAGAGCACAGGGAGCTGGATGCCTAATTACTGTTGGTGTAAAAATGACCCGTTCTTCATTTGAATTTACCTTAGGCATTTTGGAGAGAGAAGGGGCTGTTCTTTGGTAAGAATGTAAAATAAATGTCAGGCCTACTGGATTGAGCCTTGCAGTCACATATACAGCCATCCCCCACATAATGATGTTTCTGTCAGCGATGGACTGCATGTGAGAAGGTGTTCCCATACAATACTGTGTCTTTATTTTTTCTATGTTGCTACTTTTTCTATGTTTTGTTACACAAGTACCACCGTGTTACAGCTGCCTACAGTATCCACTACAGTAACAGGCTGTACAGCTTAGCAGTTTAGGAGCAAAAGGCTGTACCATATAGTCTAGGCATGTAGTAGGCTACACCATCGAAGTTTGTGTAAGTCCACTATGTGGTATTAGCACAATGATACAATCACCTAACGACTCATTTCTCAGGATGCATCCCTGTCATTGATGATGTGTGGCCTTTCTCAGGAAGTATCCACCTCATTAGGTGATGCATGCACATCTCAGGACAGAATTTCAGGTGAGAGATTGGAAGGAAAGCGTTTGCCCATGGCTTGTTGGGGCATGTGGAGAATATGTGTTACATGGAACGCACATGGAGGATGCTGTAGAGAAAACTGCGACTTGCTGTCGTACACTGAAGATACTGGATTTTTCAGAGGTCCTGAGCATCTCACCAGTACTGGTTTTGGAAATTTTTTATCAAGGCATTCCTTCCTCTGCAAGTGTTTGTTCTAAGAAGGTTCAGTAAGATTAGTGGGCATGGAAGTCCAGACTGCTGTCAGTCAGAACTATCCTCGGCAAAGCAACACGATGGGGAGTAAGCCAGTACCCTCAAGGGTGCGTGGGAGGGACCACCCAGGATCCTGAAAGGAGCAAGATGGGGTGGGGTGACCCTGTGCCCTGTAAGGGGAGGGACAAAGTGGGGTTACCAACATGGAAGGGGTAACAGGGCTCTGGATGGAGGAGGATGTGTATGGGGGTCCTCCAAACAGTGGAGGCAGATAGGGGATCAGAACTGAGGGGGCTGGGTTTGTCCATACCCTATCCTCCTGGTCTCACAGACCCCTGGGTTTTGCCCCTGATGTGGGTGGGTTCCGGAGACCACTCCTCTCTGCGAAGAAGGCAGAGGGGTCAGGTCAGCATGTCCCCGCCCTGTAGGGCAGGCTGAGTGGCCAGCAGTGAGCAGGTAGAAACCCAGGGGTGGTGTCTCAAGCACGAACAAATTAGCCCCTTGACCACCTTCATCAAGCTGTTCTTGCTGTACAGAGTCCATTTTTCTAGTGAGTGATTCCTGAGTATTTAATAAAAAATACTTCTGCCTTCAACAGAAAAATGTATTCATTCATATTTTGGGAAGGATTACACTCCCACAGAAAAATCATCCTTGTTTCTTCTTGAAATGATATTTGGATTCTTTCTGTGTTTTGGGGGCCAGATGTGAGGTTGTGTAAAATGCTTTTGTGGAAATGCCCCCTTTTTACACTGAGACCTCATGTGGTGTCCTGGCATGTAATGAAGTCCTCAGCACAAGCTTAGCCCTTACCGAGAGGAGAGAGAGAACCTTATGCCTGCTTTAAATAACTTGGTGTGTAACCCAGCCTTCCACATGCGAACATTCTCAGCACACTTTAGAAGTGACAGCTGTCCAAAGGTCCGGTCTTCTCATGGATTCTTAGAAGAACAAAGTCTGTATGAAAGATGGCTTATGTTGTTGATCTTTTAGGAAATTATTTTTAAATTGAGGTTACATTATTTATAGCACACACATTATTCCTCAAAGGATTTGAAGAGACTTACTTGAAATGATGCAGATAAGAACTTTAAAACACTAAGTCAGGAATAGGACATGAGGAACCGCTCAAACATTCGTGCCATGGCATACTAAATTGAGCTACTACTGTGGCTGTGGAATGCCATGTGGCCAGAATTAGAGGGGAACACAATCCTTGTAAACCATTTTTATTGTCCATGGGAGAAATCGCAGCAGTTCCTCAGAAAAAGAGAAGCACTTTCTGGTACTTTCATTCTAAACAACTCTCATAGAAGGCTGTTGGATGCTTTAGATATTTTTAAAGGTGACTTCCTGGAGGCAGCATTGTAGGAGCTAAGAACTCAGACTGGCCAGGTCCAGTGGCTCACGCCTGTAATCCCAGCACTTTGGGAGACTGAGGCGGGTGGATCACGAGGTCAGGAGTTCAAGACCAGTCTGGCCAACATGGTGAAACCCCGTCTCTACTAAAAATACAAAAACTAGCCAGGCGTGGTGGCGGGTACCTGTAATCTCAGCTACTCAGGAGGCTGAGTCAGGGAATTCCTTGAACCCAGGAGGCAGAGGTTGCAGTGAGCCGAGATCGCGCCACTGTACTCCAGCCTGGGCGACTGAGCAACACGTGTCTCAAAAAAAAAAAAAAAAAAAAAAAAAAAAAACAACTCAGACTTAGCCACACTCCCTCTAGCTGTGGGACCTTAAGTAAGTGGTTTAATTTCGGAGGCTTATTTTCCTCATCTGTAACAGAGAACTAAGAGTAGTGCTTGCCTCATAGAAGTTGATTGTGTTCACTGAATTTATGAATATGGAGGACCAAGAGCATCGTGTAGGCAGCCCTTTACAAATGGCATGGTATGTTATTTAAATCCAATAGCATCTTCCTGTTTTAATCAAGAGCATGACTTCAGGTCCATTCAGTTGCTTGGGTTAAATTTCTGATACTGACACTGATTCCCTTTGTGATTTGGGGCAGATGATATAACCCCTGTGACTCAGTTATTTCACCTCAGTAACATGGGCATCATCATGACACCTGGTTCAAAAGGTTCTTAACAAGATTAAATGAGAATCCACCCAGGGTATTTTGTGCAGCTCTCAGCAGTTGATACGTGTTGATACAATGCTATGTATTGTCAGGGTTGTGATAAGTTGATTAATATTATTAATATAATATGTTAATGTATGCTATACATTTGTCAGTTGAATAAGTGGATGTATAAGTGATGGAATCTTCAATTTTGCAATTACTTTGGAAGATGGAGTCATAAGTGAAGGATGGAAAAGAAAGGAATTTTGATCACACACATGAAGTCCTGTTTACAGGTGCAGTTACACATTTTATTTTTTAAAAGAAGTTGGCAATTTGAGGTTCCTGTTTAATCTTGAATGCACATACAGGCTGACAGTGTTTTTACAGTAGAGTTTGTAACATGGTCAGGAGTGTTCTGGTTACCCAGATTTGGATTCTGCCCTGTATTCACCTCTGTTAGATAGCTCGGTGAAAATGGGTTCATGTCTGTCGGCAGAGGGAGCCACATTTTTCCATGATGCTTGGTTGATGCCTGTTGCCTTATAACACAGAATCCCCATACTTGGCTCCAGCCAGGCTGCTTCTGCAGGCCCCATCATGGCCATTGGGAGATCTGGCCCTCCTGGGAGAGTTTTGCCAATGGGAAACAATAAGGAAGGTGTTCAAAACCACAACTTTTTAAATTCGTGCATGAGATAGTTCTGAGAGATGCATCCTTAGGCGATTTGGTCATTGCGTGAAAATCCTCCAGTGTACTTACACAAGCCTGGATGGCACAGCCTATTGCTCCCAGGCTCCAAGCCTGTACAGCATATTGCTGTACTGAATACTGTAGGCAGCTATAACACAAAGGTAAATACTTGTGTGTCTAAACATGTCTAAACATAGAGAAGGTATAAAAATATGGTATTATCATCTTATGAGACCACTGTGCTATTGTATACGCAGTCTGTCGCTGACTGAAACATCATCACACAGCATGTGACTGTACCTGGGCAGTGCTGGCTTCCATTTGTGAGGTCACTGAGCAGCAGCGCCCCAGCCTGCAGAAGCTTCAGTTGAGGCTGGCAGTGTTGGAGGCTTGTCCCAGACACCAAGGCTTGGGGTGTTTGTCTCCCAGTGCAAGTACAGTTTTCTGGAAGAGCCATCTTGATTACCTTTCATTTTATCCTTTAAATTGTTGAGGATTAGGTTAGATAACTGCCTTGTCTTTGTAGAGGTGAAAAATTTATAGCTCTTGGAAAGTATGTTCTTCTTTCTAATAGAAGCCTTCCCCTCGCTCAGAGACGGGAGGAAATGCCTAACAAAGAACACAGTGAAGCTATGAAATTTGGCTTCTGTAAATCTTAGTCCTATTTCTAGAAGGTGGGGCGGGGAGGCAAGGCACATTGCCTGGCCTTTTGGGGAAAGGTTGCTGCTTTCAGCCAGGGAATGTGGGGGCCAGCTTCCCTGAGGCCCTCAGTGTGACGGCCGAGCTCCCAGTGGCAGCAAAGCGAGCCTGACCGGTCAGCCGCCATATAGCCACTTAGAGTCAGTTACCAAGGCAGGGTGGGCAGTCATTCCCAGAGTTTAAAAAAAAGAAAAAATCCTAAAATCCCTCATTACATTTTACCATTGAGATAAAGTAGCTGAGAAATGTGCAGTGTGTCAGGCACACTCTTTCCTGGTGTTCTCTGCCTTTACAGTTGAGCAGGGTGTGGCCATCGGGCCTGCCACTGAGGGTCAAGCATCACTGCCTTCACCACATCTCACAGTTCTCACCTTGGCCACAATTAGATGACATTTGTGAGGACCCTGCTGCTTTCAATTAATGTTGACACTCATTTTTTTCATTTTCCACTCATTTTTTAAAATATGGGAGAGGCCAGGATAATAGGAAGTAAATTGCACATGTGAATACAAGCAAGTAAATTGCACATGTGAATATAAGCATACAAGCAGAGCCCAGCCGCCCTGCCCTGCCCTGCCCGCAGTGCCCTCTCAGCTAGCAGGAAGTGGGTTCTGCAGGTACAAGCTGTTCTCTGGAGGTACTCAGTTCCAGTTTGCAGAATGGTTTTCATACATCCGTGGGTAATGCATGAAAAGGTCATAGTCTGCCAGCGGGAAGCAGCTTCTGTGTGCGCTGACCCTGCCGCCCTTCTCTCCAAGCCCCCAAGTTGGGTCCAAAAGCAAATGTGGGTGGGAATACAGACCCATTGTTGTGATCTGTAAGCCAAGCGATCCTGAGCCTGGGGAGCACATCCTGTGAATTTGAGTGACAGATCTGCTTTAAAATTTTAGGAATAGCCCTGTTTGTGGAATGACTGTGTCCCCGGCAAGTTGACAATTGAGTTTTTGCAAATCAAATCTTTTCCCAGAGAACTTTAATATATAAGAGATTCCTGCAAACCATCCATTTTATGGTGCAAAAAGCTCTCTCACTGCTGTTTCCAATACGTTCAGATTGTTGTCAGGTTTTGTTTGTTTGTTTGTTTTTTGTTTTTTTTTGAGATGGTGTCTTGCTCTTTCACCAGGCTGGAGTGCAGTGGCGAGATCTCGGCTCACTGCAAGCTCTGCCTCCTGGGTTCAAGTGATTCTCCTGCCTCAGCTTTCCCGAGTAGCTGGGATTACAGGAATGTGTCATCACGCCCAGCTAATTTTTGTACTTTTAATAGAGACAGGGTTTCACCATGTTGGCCAGAATGGTCTCGATCTCTTGACCTCGTGATCTGATCTGCACGCCTCGGCCTCCCAAAGTGCTGGGATTACAGGCATGAGCCACCATGCCTGATCTTTTAATTTTTTTTTTTTTAAGATGGAGTCTTGCTCTGTCGCCCAGGCTGGAGTACAATGGCACAATCTCAGCTCACTGCAACCTCCGCCTCCCAGGTTCAAGCGATTCTCTTGCTCAGCCTCCCAAGTAGCTGGGATTATAGGCGCGTGCCACCACTCCCGGCTAATTTTTGTATTTTTAGTAGAGGCAGGGTTTCACCATGTTGGCCAGGCTGGTCTTGAACTCCTGACCTCAGGTGACTTGCCCGCCACAGCCTCCCAAAGTGCTGGGATTACAGGCATGAGCCACTGCACCTGGCCAGTCAGGTTGTTCTTAAAATGAACGTCTGCCATTACAAACCTACTTGCCTTCTCAAGACAGGACAGTGTTGCTGAGGTATGTGCTTTCATGGGAATCTAATTCACAAATGCCATCTTGTTAAGGATTTTACAACTAGAAGAAATTGTGTCCAATTTGAGTCCTAAAAAGTGCCATCTGTTCACGTTGATTTTTGAGCTCCCATTTCATACCAAGTCTTTTTTTCTCCATCTTTGTATTTCATTGGCCAGAAGGCAAGGTACTGCCCATAGCAAGGCATTCTCTTCTCCTGCCCTCCCCTGCCCTCTTTTCCTTCGGGTCAGGTGGGGTGCATTAACCCTCACTGGAGCCTGGTGGGCAGCACCAGAGGTCGGCCTTTGCAGCAGAATAGCTGGAATTCCTGAGCATAATTTAGCCATGGTTCTGTTTGCTTAAGCATGTGGGTGGCTATTCTTCAGTCTCTCTTGTGTTCGTAAGTCCCTGTGGCTGCTAAAACTTGAGATCCCCTGAAAATGGCAGAGCCTCAGGAGTTCGCCGTGATGGCCCCAGAATACTCAATCTGCTTAGAAAAAGGAAAACACAGATCTTGTTGTCTGTCTGCATCATTTGTAAACGAGAGCCTTGTCAGGAATTTGTGTGTAGAACGTGATCTGTTTTAAGCCTGAGCATAGTCTGCCTGTGCTTACAGGTTTTTAGTTGCCTCAAGAGGGAGTCACCAAATACATAGCAAGGGTTGTGAAGGAAAAGGAGGACAGGGTCCAACCCAGTTGCCATGCCCGGGGTGGCGCACTCGCCCCTTGTCAGTTGCTCCAACTTGTGGTTTCTCTGATGCCCCTGTGAAACAGAGGTCCCTATTTTTAGTGCTGGACTGTCATTTCTGATGTGCTGCTGTTGCAAAAATTCAGTAGCAGCTTTAACAGAAATCCTGATTTAAAGGCCCCGTTTATAATGTAGATGAAGCTTGTTTACCAAATAAAAGAGCAGAATGCTGTGGTGGATTGGCTGCTTCAGATCTCATCAAATGGAAGAGTCCTGTGTTTATTCCTTTGCATGGCATCATGCAAAGGCCCTGCCTCTGCGTGGAGCCCATGCGTCTTTGTTTTGATTCATTCCTTCTTCTGGTCAACCAGGGAGAGGAGGAAGAGGGAGTTGTTCCTTGCCTAGAGGAAAATGGCAGAGCAGCAGCAGATCCAGGTAGTGGTTCAATACCCAGATCTTCTAGCGTAAGAATCATGCGTGTTCAGGGTCACGATCAAATCAATCCAGAAAATGTATATTGTAGGAGAGGAAGAAATCACTTCATCCCTACCCTTCACAGTTCTTGGGACAGACTGCAGCAACGAAAGACAGATTAACACAAACAGAAGTTGAATAGTAGGTATATCTTGTGTTGTATCCATGGGAGATACCCAGAGAAATGAGTCAGTGTCCAAGAGGTGGCTTAGATTTTAGGCTTAAAAACCATCATCCCGGCTGGGCATGGTGGTTCACGCCTGTAATCCCAGCACTTTGGAAGGCCAAGGCAGGCAGATCCACGAGGTCAAGAGTTGGAGACCATCCTGGCCAACATGGTGAAACCCTGTCTCTACTAAAAATACAAAAATTAGCCAGGCGTGGTGGCACATGCTGTAATCCTAGCTACCCAGGAGGCTGAGGCAGGAAAATGGCGTGAACCCAAGAGGCGGAGGTTGCAGTGAGCCGAGATTGTGCTACTGCACTCCAGCCTGGGTGACAGGGCGAGACACCGTCTCAAAAAAAAAAAAAAAAAAAAAATTTCCCTGAAACAAAGATAAATGGTTTGGGGAAGGCCAGTTATGGGGAGGTACCCAAGAAAAGCAGTTAACAAAGGTAAGGTTTGAGAGCCAGATTCTCCACTGATAGAAATCTCTAGTGATGTAGTCATCCTTCTCTTCTTGGTAATAGAAAGGAAGACACCCATGAATTTTGTCTTACAAGAGGATAACTTATCTGTTTTTGGGATATCTCCTGTGTCTGCAGTCTCTCAAAATAATCAACTCAAAATCTTTATGCGAAAAGGCATATTTTGGGGTGGCATATTCTGGTCTCTCACAATATAAAAGTACCCCAAGCCTTATGTTAGTAGGAATCATTAACGTTATCATCGTGGCAGGAAGAGACTACAGCGAGAATTCCTGGGACAGCAGGGACCAGAACTGGTTTGTGTAGATTCTCAGAGTATAGATAGGATCACATTGGACCCTGGTTTCCAAACATTTTAGGTATGGGAACCCCCCCACCTCTGTCTCAGTGCCTCGGTATGTAAAACTGACATAAATACCATTCTGCTAATGGTATTTATGTCAGTTTTACATACCGACACGCTGAGATGAACTTTAAATGTCTGCTCAGTAAGGGCAATGGGCCTGTTTGCATAACACAAATATGAATGGTACCTGCAGTCCAGATCAGCTGTAGCATCCCTGCCCTTCAGTATTTTGTTCTGGTTGCACTGTCTTGAAAGAATCCACTTCGTCATCCAGATCAGTGATGCAGATGGCAATATTTGTTAAGAACGGCTCTTCCTGTAGTTCTAAGAAATTATCTGACTAGAAAGATGACAGGAAAAGCACTATTATGAGACTGCCCAGTGATAAGTTATTCTGGGCACCCATGGTAATGCGCTGGGCCCCAAGGTATTAGAATTTAGTAACAGCGGCCGGGCACAGTGGCTCGCACCTGTAATCCCAGCACTTTGGGAGGCTAAGGTGGGCAGATCACCTGAGGTCAGGAGTTCGAGACCAGCCTGGCCAACATGGTGAAACCCCATCTCTACTAAAAATATAAAAATCAGCCGGGCTTGGGGGCTCGTGCCTGTAATCCCAGCTACTTGGGAGGCTGAGGCAGGAGAATCCCTGAACCTGGGAGGTGGAGGTTACAGTGAGCCAAGATTGCACCACTGCACTCCAGCCTGGGCAACAGAGCAAGATCCTGTCTCAAAAAAAAAAAAAAAAAGGGGGAATTTAGTAACAGCAAATGTTGTGGTGGTTGGGTGGGGGGTGGGTATTGTGTTTGTTACAAATTTTTAAATAAGCTGCATTTAAAAAATGAAATTTGGACTAAGCATTTGCGGAAACTTTGGCCTCTTCATAACTCTGGTCAGGCTCAACTCTTTAGCTTTCTGCAGGGGAAAACTGAAGCTCACAGACCTTGAGGATTTGCCAAGGTCATACATAGCAACTGGGACTAGATCATATCTTCAGGTGTCTTGTCTTGTGTTACATCCTGGACCTTGGGACTCCAGAGCTGAGCAGTCTCTCACCTGCTGAGAACCATGGTGCACAGGCCCCCTGTGCCCTCCACTAGGGTGACTCACTGAACACACATGTTGGTACCAGCACTGACTTCTCATGAGGACCTTGGCTCGGCTTACCAGCTACCTCCTTGGAGAGCTGCAAGGGACTATGTCCCAGTGCATGTGAAGGACTGTTCTACCACAGAGAACTGAAGTTGTTACGCCTCTTGGAAAAATATTGTAGCATCAGGTGTCAGAGCATCTTGACAGCTGGCAGATGCCTGCTCCCTCTGGTGCTCAGATAAGGCCTGGGGAGCTGGGAATCAGCTCCTGACTTGTTACCTCCTCTGGTCCACCACCGCTTTAGTGCTGTCTGCTGCAAACATAGATTAAGAGGCTTGAGGACATCCAACAGGACAGAGCCCTTTAAATGCATTTTTCTGGAGAAATGTGGTGGCCTCCTTTCTGAAAAGAAACAGGCCATCATCTGGGTGGTGAGGAATAGGGCGTGGAACATTCGGAATCAGCCAGGCCTACAGACTGGCCCTGAGCTCCCTGGGCTGCCATGTAAACTCTTATGAGGGGCTGGTCTGTGATGAGGCCACTGAAGAAGTTCCCCTCACTGCTGAGGTCCACACTGACTGAGGACCAGAAGCGAAGTGAGAGCTGCCTTACCGTTCTGGAAGGATGGAGAAGGGGATGCTTTCCCCATGGTCATCCTGGACCTAACCCTTACATTCTTAGGTCCACAAGACCAGGACTGCCTGCTGCCCACGCTTACTCCCTCACTTTCCGGTGACGAGGCCCCAGATAGAACGCAGAGCTCAGGTGATCCACGGGAGAGATGTGGCTACCTCTCTGTGACATGTGAAGAGGTGAGGTTGCCAGCCACACTGCACCATGGCCCTAAGGACAGTCGGTAGAGACTGTTCAGTAGGAGAGCTAGTTTCTTGCAGGGAGATAACAGGTTTGCCGCCTTTTGTTTATGTGGCTCCTGGAGGTTAAACCATGGCCATGCTGACTGGTGTGACCAGAGGAGGTCACAAATCAGCAACAGACTCCCAGCTTCCCTGGGCATTATTGTAGGCACCAGAGGAAGCAGGCATCTGTTAGCTGCTCTGAGGGGTGTCAAAGAAGACAGGCAGACCAAGGGGTGTGTGCAGACACCAGCATCACTGAGCCCTTGGCTCCCGGGGCTTAGCTCTGAGACCCGAGCTCAGAAGGTGCGCAGGAGACAAACCAGGTCCCGCCCTTGCTAATCGGAAGCCCACAGATGACCCTCTCCCGAGATGGCTGTCGTGGCACTCTGCTTTTGAACTATGTATGAACAAAATCCTCTGTGTGTTTTCTTTTGGGTTTGGTTTCTTTCAATCCTTGTTAAGTTTGTGAGACTGACTTGGTCAGTCGTGTTTAGCCACATGGTGTTTATTCTTGTAGACATGTAGTGTTCTGCTGATTGACTATGCCACTTTCTTGAAGCTTGCTAATGATGATGATGATGGTTGTTTGGATTGTTTGCAGCCCGGGGTGCGGTGAGCATTTTTGCTTGTGTTTCTGGTACACCTTGAGAGTGCCTGCAGGGTGCATCTCTGCAAGTGGGTTGCTGGGTGGGGAGATACACCTGTCTTCAACTTACTCGTAGCGTCAGCCTGTTTTCCAGAGCAGCCACCATGCACCTTTCTGCTAGCAGGGTGCAAGCTTTCCTGTTGTTCCGCATCCATCTCTCGTTAATGAGCCTGGTTACTAATGGGGCTTGGTGCTCTTCATAGGCTCCCTGGCATGGGGACCACACCTTTTGAAGGCCTGTTCTTGTGTTGCCCCATTTTCAGCCTGAGAGGTCTGTCTGCCTGACTGACTTGTAAGAAGACTTCCCTATTCTGGAAACTGGAAATATATAGGTTCGAGGCTGTATTTAGAAACAGAGCCATCCCAGGCACGTGCTGGGAATAGAGCCAGGGTGCTGTGCTCCATCTCCTTCCTCCCTCCAGAGGAACAGCCATCCCTCGCCACTCAGCCTTTTCCTGGCCTCTGGTCCCACCAAAGAGCTGATCATCCTGGCCTGGGGTTGTTTCTGCCACCTCCTCCGTCCTCCTCTCTAGACAATGATTCTTGCGATGAGCAGAAGCAACTCTTCGAACTACACCCCCTGCTTATTACCCCCAAATTAAGAATCGGGGAGTGGGGATGCCCAGGCTGACGGGAGGGTGTCGTGAGTACCCCGCCTCGTTGTCCTTTCTCCTTGCATGCCATTTTTCTTTCATCCTTAGCTGACTTCCCGCAGCACCACCACGACAGTGGGCAGCTCACTGCCTCTGGGCCAGCGTGTTCACTTGGGCCCTCTACAGTTGGATCTTCTTTTCTTTCTTGACTTTCTTAACCCTGAATCTTGACTTGTTAAAGAGATTCTTTAACAAGGGGGGAGTGACGTGCACTCTAGACTGCCTCAGTGATTATTCTTGTTGAATGAAATTTTATGATTTTAGGGTAAGAGGCCAAACTAGACAATAATACCAACCTGTGTTTGCATTGCACTGTATTCTGGTTATCTCTTCCTGAGAAAAACAAAAACAAAACTTAGCCACCTCTGAATCTATAGTTTAGGCCGGGCATGGTGGGGATGGCTCACCTCTGCTCACATGGCTTTAGCTGGGGCAGCTTGACCCAGGCTGGTGGATCCCCTTCCAGATGGGACATGCATGTGGCTGGCTGGCTGGTGCTGGCTGTCTGCTGGGAGCCCATCTGGAACTGGCAGCCATGCCCAGGCCTCAGTTCTTCTCTCTGTGGGTCTCACCACAGGACTGCTTGGGCTTCCTCTCAGCATGGCATCCGAGCTCCAAGAAAGAGTGTTCAAGGAAGTGCAAGCAGCCCATCTCTTAGGACCTGGGCCTTGACATGCACACAGAATTGGTTCTGCTGTGTTCTGTTGGTCAAAGCTGTCACAGAGCCCCCGCAGGTTCAAAGGGGGAGGACATATAGACCCCATCTCCCACTGGGGGAGAGAACTGTTAAAGAATTTCTGGCTATCTGTGCTCCACCACATGCTAACAGATTCCCCTCCATGTGACTTTCCTTTAGCCCTGACTGCCGCCGCAGGAAGAGGGAAGCTGGAGGTCTGTGAGCTGCTGCTGGGGCATGGAGCTGCTGTGTCGCGGACAAACAGGAGAGGGGTTCCACCTTTGTTTTGTGCAGCACGCCAGGGGCATTGGCAGGTACCCAGGGGGCCCCTGAATGCTTCAGAAGCAATGAGTGGGGATGGAGTTCACTATTGCCTGGCTCCCCTGAGAACACAATGCAGCTCCCCTGAGCCTGTCTGTTCCCCATCCTCGGCTTCTGCTGTGCCATCAGGACTGCTTGATAGAGCCACGTTTGACAAGATAACACAGTTGGCCACGTAGGCTGGGGAGCAAGGCTGCTCAAGGCTGAGCTATCCAGGTCAGAGACACAGCCACTGCCTTCAGCTGTGGAGGGAAGTGGAGTGGGTGGATTCATCGTGTTAACAGGAGACTTGCTTTAACATATGTGCTGTTGTAGTTTGGTGACGCATTTGTCCAACATACTTGGAAGAAGAGCAGTTCTTTTGTGCTCTTTGGAAAAGAAAATGTTTCCCTCTGGTCCAGCACTGATTCAGGCTGGGTTTTTTGTTTGTTTTTGGTTTTTGTTTTGTTTTGTTTTTTTACTATGAAATGATGTATTGTTGTGGTTCATTCAAGGGAGCAGGGAATCCTTGCTCCTTCATTTCGTAAACAGTGACCACATACCTACCCTACACCTAGCACCAAGTTACACATACACTATGGATGCAAAGGATGTTATGACCATTACAAAGAAGAATTTTCTAGACCAAAGTTTTGGTCATGGAATCGCGTCTCTGCTGATGCCTGCTGGCTCCCTTGGTAGGAGCTGTGAGTGCTTCCTGGCAGGATTCTTCTCCCCTTTCCATTCCTAAGAGCTTGGTTTGTACCATCTCTTCCCTGTCACCCTCACTGCTTCACCTTGATCATCTGGCTAATCCTTTCCTGGCCCTGCTGTGTCCTAAGTCACGGGGAATTTTGGAAAGCATTTGTTAGTGGATAAACGAGCAAGAAGGCAGTGGGATTGTGTTGCCTCCTGTTGCTGCGGCCATGTAACAGGTGATGTGTTGGGGAAAAATGGGCTAAGCTACGGGTGAAGCAGTTCCTGCTGGGATGGTGGTGATGGGATACCCCTGTCTGGTTTTCTAGGGTTTTTTCTCCCCAAACTTATGACTATGCATGGTTGAAAGGCATATTTCTAGGGCTGAGAATCTCCTCAAGGTGCTTTGCTAAAAGTTGCCTTCCCCGAAGGGCATGCCATCCGCCAATGCTGCATCTTAGGAAAGCCCATGGCTTGGGTGTGTGGTGGGCGAGCTTCTTTCTGCGACCCCCTCATGCCCTGCACTCAGCTGTAGGTACTTAGTTTCAGTGCCCGTGGGGGACCCCATGACCGCTGCTCGCCCCTCTTAGTTATGCTTCATTCTCCCACGCCCCTGTGGCTGTCTTGTCCTTGTAGATAGTGATTGGCATCCCTCCTCCCCCAAATTACCATTTCTCTCTGGTATGTGTATATTTAGTTGATAACAGCAATGAATTGGGCATGTTAAAAAGAGTGCATATTTTGGAAAAGGTTCTGTTCAAAGGAATACAGTGGAAAGATTTTCCAGGCCCCATGGTTCACACAACTTACAGATTTTTGAAAGAAAGTCATTTGACTATTTTTAAAGGTTGAGAAACCTGCCTGGGTATAGCAGGTGTGGTGGAAAATGCAGCAGGAGGATGGTAATTCCAAATGTCTCTTCCAGATTGTTAGACTGCTGTTGGAACGCGGCTGTGATGTGAACCTAAGTGACAAGCAAGGCCGGACGCCCCTCATGGTGGCTGCTTGTGAAGGGCACTTGAGCACCGTGGAATTCCTCCTTTCAAAAGGTAGCAGCGTGATGCCCTCAAAGGTTTCTTTTGGACGGACACAGAGAGAACTTCAGCAGACCCATTCAGTGCTTTCTGATTCAAATTCTAAGTTTTCTGTTAATGGAAATTTTCTAATAAACAGTAGAGAGAATAGGCAACACAGCCACATGCCTGGTATTCCTCTTCAGCAGCGATGACCATTCTGCCAGCCCATCCGGCCAGTGTCACCCTTCACAGTGCTTGACTGACACTTGGTTCAGGCCGGGTGTTCCGCAGGTGTGAAACAATTTGCTTTCTGGCTTTGTCATCTCATAATGTTCATGTTCTGTGAATGGGCTTTCCTTTCAGGTGCAGCCCTTTCTTCTCTAGACAAAGAGGGTCTGTCAGCATTAAGCTGGGCTTGTCTGAAAGGTCACAGGGCAGTGGTCCAGTATCTGGTTGAAGAAGGAGCTGCAATAGACCAGACAGACAAGAATGGCCGCACACCCTTGGACCTGGCTGCCTTCTATGGCGATGCCGAGACTGTGAGTACCAGCAGGTGTTCCCCACCTCCACCTGCATTGGAAAGAAACCCCAGGAAGTGAACAGCTCAATCCAGGGCCTGCATGAGGTTGTGTCTCAGTGTCATCAGAGAGTGTGTGTGTGTGTGTGTGTGTGTGTGTGTGTGTGTGTGTGTGTCTTGTCAGGGATCTTTCATTTTTCTCTAATTCTGTGACATGCAGTCTATTCCAGGACTTAAGATTTTAGTCGACTCTTAAAAGCTTAAAAATACCTGCTTGCAAATAGCACATACAACAGACACATACGTGAATATGCATACACATGTGCATATGTGATTTTCTCAGTCATCCATATAAATAAAACTTTTGCATAGATCATTTAGAAACTACTTTTATATATGGTAAGTGACTAATCAAATGACTACCTGGTTGCTTTTTTTTTTTAAGTTGTTTTGTTTTTAATTTATTAATTTTTTTTTCCCAAGATGGAGTCTTGCTCTGTTGCCCAGGCTGGAGTGCAGTGGTGCGATCTCGGCTCACTGCAACTTCCGCCTCCTGGGTTCAAGCAGTTCTCCTGCCTCAGCCTCCTGAGTAGCTGGGATTACAGGCATGCACCACCATGCCTAATTTTTGTATTTTTAGTAGAGACAGGGTTTCACCATGTTGGCCAGGCTGGTCTTGAACTCCTGACCTCATGATCCGCCTGCCTCAGCCTCCCAAAGTGCTGGGATTACAGGCGTAAGCCCCTGCACCTGGCTTATTATTAATTTTTGAGACACAGTCTTGCTCTGTTGCCCAGGCTGGAGTGCAGTGGTGTGATGACTGCAGCCTTGTTCTCCTGGTCTCAAGAGGTCCTCCCACCTCAGCCCCCTGAGTAGCTGGGAATACAGGCATGCACCACCGTACCTGGCTAATTTTTAGAGACACGGTTTTTCACCATGTTGCCCAGGCTGGTCTCGAACTCCTGGGCTCAAGTGATCACCCCACCTTGGCTTCTGAAAATGGTAGGATTACAGGCATGAGCCACCATGCCCGGACAAAGTTTTATTTTTAATTGACAAATGATTGTGTATATTTATGGGGTACAGTGATGTTTTGATACTTGTACACATTGTGGAATGATCAAATCAGGCTAATTCATGTATCCATCACCCAAATAGTATTTCTTTTTGGTGAGAGCATTTGAGATCTCTTTTAGCTATTTTGAAATAAAGAATACATTACTGGCCGGGTGCGGTGGCTCATGCCTGTAATCCCGGCACTTTGGGAGGCCAAGATGGGCAGATCACTTGAGGTCAGGAGTTCGAGATTAAGCGAACTTGAGGTCAGGAGTTCGAGATCAAGTGAACTAGTAGATACTATTTTAGTATCTACTAAAAATACAAAAATTAGCTGGGCGTGGTGGCGGGTGCCTGTAATCCCAGCTACTCAGAAGGGTGAGGCACGAGAATCACTTGAACCCGGGAGGTGGAGGCTGCAGTGAGCCAAGATCATACCATTGCACTCCAGCCTGGGCAACAGAGTGAGACTCAGTCTCAAAAAAATAATAAATAAAAGTTATTAATTCTAGTTGCAGTACTGTGCAGTAGATACCAGAAGTTACTCCTCCTGTCTAACTGAATCTTCGTACCCTTTGACCGGTGCCTACCCTTTCCGCAGGTCCCCCTGTCTCCCAGCCTCTTTCTGTTCTCTGCTTCTGTTGTGAGTTCAACTTGTTTAGATTCCACATATAAGTGAGATCATGCTGTCTTTCCGTGCCTGGCTTATTTCACTTAGCCATAATGTCCTTCAGCTTCATCCATGTTGTGGCTAATGACAGGATTTCCTTATTTTAAAGCCTGCATAGTATTTCATCATGTACATATACTGGTTGTTTTTAAAGTGATATGGCATTGCCTAAAAATAATATGGAAAGCTTTGGGCACTATCTTTATCTCTTTGCCAAATGCCCATGTCTAATCGAGGTTTGAGGGAATAAAACCTTGATAAACTGAGAACCGTGAAATGTCTTTCAGGGCAGAAACTGATTTTATCAGGCTCCATGTCCCAGGCACCCAGCAGGTGCCAGAGAAATGGTCAGCTACATGAGAGTTACCAGTTTCCAATAATTCAATACATCTAATGGAAGGACTAGCTGGAGAGACAGATGCTTGCAAACCTGGCAGTGGAAGCCATGGCCCTGTACCTCTGTGCCTTGGTGCTTTTAGAAGGCAGCGCTGTCAGAGTTCAATGGTATAAACTTCAGTACCTTGTAAACTCTACTTCATGTCAGTTTTCAAAAACATACTCAACTAAATCTCACATGTCTACACTTATTTTTCAGCTACCTTCCCACATTGTGTAGTTTATCAAAATTAGAGAAGAGTGAAGGAGCTTAGCATTCCAACATAATTTTTTTAATACCGTGGCAAAAACACATAGCATAAAATTTACCCTTAATCATTTCTAAACATATAGAGTTCAGTAGTTTAAGTATATTCACATTGTTGTACAACCAGTATCCAGAACTTTTCATCTTGCAAAGGTGAAACTGTATTTGTTAAACAACTCTCCATCTCCCCCAGCCCATCACAGCCACCACTCTACTTTGTGAGTTTTTTTACCCCTTTAGATATCTCATGTAAGTAGAATCATATAGTATTTGTCTCATTGTGACTGGCTTATTTCACATAGCATAATGTTCTCCAGGTTCACCCATGTTGTAGCGTGTGTTAGAATAGCATTTCCTTCCTTTGTAAGGATGAATATTGCTCCATTGTACGTATACACCACATCTCGTTTATCCAGTCATCTGTCAGTGGACACTTAGGTTGCTTCTATGTTTTTTGCTGTTGTGAATAATGTTGCAATGAATGTGGGTGTCCAAGTATTTATTCAAGACCCTGTTTTCAGTTCTTTGGGGTATATATCCAGAAGCAGAATTTCTGGCTCATATAGTGATTGTATTTTTAATTTTTTGAGGAACTGCCCTACTTTTTTTCCACAGTTGCTGCACCATTTTACATTCATAGCACAGTGCATAAGGGCTCCAGAATTGTTCCACATCGTCACCAATACTTGTTTTTTGTTTTTGTTTTTTTGAGTTGGAGTCCCACTCTGTCACCCAGGCTGAAGTGCAGTGGTAGAATTTCAACTCACTGCAACCTCCGCCTCCTTGGTTCAAGCGATTCTCCTGCCTCAGCCTCCTGAGTAGCTGGGATTACAGGTGCCCACCACCACACCCAGCTTATTTTTGTATTTTTAGTAGAGATGGGGTTTCACTATGTTGGCCAGGCTGGTCTTGAACTCCTGACCTCAGGTGATTGCCTGCCTCGGCCTCCCAAAGTGCTGGGATTACAGGCGTGAGCCATCACGCCCAGCCAGTACTTGTGGAAGGACTAGCTGGACAGACAGGTGCTTGCAGACCTGGCAGTGGAAGCCATGGCCCTGCATGTCTGAGGTGCTTTTTTTAATAGTAGCTTTTTTTTTTTAATTGTAGCCATCGTAATGGGTATAAGGTGAACATCTTCTCATATGCTTGTTGAGCACTTGTTGATCATTTTTGTAGAAATCTATTCCAGTCCTTTGCCCATTCTAAAGATGAGGTTATTTGGTTTTTGTAGTTGGGTTGTAGTTCTTTGTGTAGATAATCCCTCTAGTTAGTGTCATTTTGAATAATGGGGTGGATGATAGGAAGCATATATTTTTAGATTCACATGAAAATCTAAAATAGCCACAGGCTAAAAAATGGCTACAGGCTAAAATGGCTCCAGTAAATGGAGAAATTTTAGTGGCCACAGTATTTCTTCCTCTTGTTTCCAGTTTGGTTCAACTGACAGCTATTATATCACATCAAATCAGTCTTTGTACCGTGGTATCAAACTTGCCATCTTTACTCTCCCAATTTCCTTCACATCTCTTTGAAGTGGATTATACTCGGGTCCATCCGGTCCCAAGCTGCCAATCTTAACAGTCTGCCGTGCACAGGTTGTGTGGGTCTGAGTATTTCTAAAGTCACCACTGCTGTGGCCTGCTCATTTGTTAGAGCTCATTGAAGAAGTCTGCTGCCTACTTCATTGGAGATGCAAAGGTGACTATGTCCCGTCTCTGTGGCCTGGGAAGTGGTGTGAGACAGAGACAGATCACGCATGTGTGCACACACCCACCTGTGGTAGCGTGTCCCCTGCTTTCCTCATCCCTGACAGCAAAATCTCTTCAGCAGTGAAGGTTTTAGCTGTGGATTGCAGCTCCTCTTCTCTGTTTCGTGTCCACTTTATTTCTAGTCTAGGATCCTTAATAGGCAGAGGCATCTAAAATCAGAGTGAAGCTAAGACTGCCCACCCCTAAATCCGTGTGCGCCCCTGAACTCCTGTTCCCAGCTGCTGCTTAGGCTTCTGCTGTCTCTGCAGGTGCTGTACCTGGTGGAGAAGGGAGCCGTGATCGAGCATGTGGACCACAGCGGGATGCGGCCCTTGGACAGAGCCATCGGCTGCCGGAACACATCTGTAGTGGTGGCGCTACTCAGAAAGGGAGCCAAGTTAGGTCAGTGAGCACTGCCTCCATTGAGCAGGAGGAGCGGTGAGCTCCCGATTGTAGAAGCCTAGACAGCACAGAGAGTGACCTGCTCCCAGGTTAGGAAGTAAGATGTCAGATGTTTGCAGATCTCTGTCTCAGTCTCACTTAATCACCATTATACACAATGTGTAAGTAGCTCACGGTGTTTCTGCGGGGAGGGTGTGGAAAGCAGAGGCTGGTGTTGAAGGACAGTCTGGAGTGGTATCAGTGGCCAGGAACCACGCCAGAGAGGAACCACAGCCTCTTGCTGTGGGGTGGGGCCGGGTAGTGCTGCTGAAAGCTCCCCCAGGTGACTCTGAGCAGCAGCGGAGGCTGAGCCACTGTTCTAGAGCCACCAGTCAGCTGTGTGGGGAAATGGCCACCACAGCAAGTTTCTGTGAAGAAGTAGTAGTATGATTTCATGGAGACAAACTAGGACGATACTTGAGGATTGTGTGGGGGACCCTGAGTAGGGAAAGCCCTTTCCACGTGGCTGGCTTTGACACAAACACACCATTCCAGATGTGGGGAGGGTCACTATTTTGGTTTGATGTATGGAGCCCTTGGTCAGGAGCAGCTCTGGGTAGGGCACTGTGATGAAAATGCTATTCACTAATACTGTCAAGCAGTGAATAGTGCCAGGAACTATCCAAGCAGTTTCGCCCTCTGCCTTAATCCCTACCACAGCCCTGAAAGTCTCAGTGACAATCCCATGATTTTACAGATGAGGAAACCAAGGCACCGAGCAGCTAAATGGCTTCCCCCAGGACTGCCTTGTGGTACTCGCCGTGGGGACCTAGCAGCTGGCTCCAGGGCTGTGCTCTTCAGCACTCCTCCCACAGTGTCCCGAGAGCTCAGGCAGGGGTTAGAGAGGTTGTGGCCGAGCTGTAGGGTAGGAGAGAGAAGCCATGACATCTCGGAGTACAGCAGATGACACAGCACAGGGACTGCGTGCTGAGAACACATGCCTGCACGGTGGCCGCTGCAGGAACTGAGGAGGTTATGCTAAGGCCTCATTTAATTAATTTTCCCCACATCCCACCCGGAAGGGAGGAATGAGTTTTCGCTGCTCGGATGCCTTCGTTTCTCATTACTTTTTTCAGTAAAATAACAAGGACAGATTTGAGTGCCCAGGTCAGTGGGAAAGGATTAGCAACAGCCTCGCCGGCGTCCTGCTCCCTCCCTCATCGTGCTGTGGTCCTTGCAGCTGGGCTCCTGCTGGTGCTGACCTCCAGCCGTGGGGCCACGGAGGAATTGGGATCCTTTCCGCAGGGCCTCTGAAGTGCCTCTGAATGCGTGTTTGTTTTGCAGGAAATGCTGCTTGGGCGATGGCCACTTCCAAACCTGATATCTTGATTATACTTTTACAGAAATTAATGGAGGAAGGAAATGTGATGTACAAAGTAAGTGGTTCCGCCCTTTTCTTTGCCATTGAAACTGCCTGGGAGCACCCTCTTAATTGGGTACATAATGGCTACAGCTGTGCTACTGCACAGTCTCCATGTAATAGAAGTGCAAAAAGTGGCTGGGTGGGGTGGCTCACGCCTGTAACTCCAGCACTTTTGGAGGCCGAGGTGGGCAGATCACTTGAGGCCAGGAATTCCAGACCAACCTGGCCAATATGGCAAAACCCCATCTTTACTAAAAATACAAAAATCAGCCAGGTGCCTGTAATCCCAGCTACTCGGGAGGCTGAGGCAGGAGAATTGTTTCAATCTGGGAGGCAGAGGTTGCAGTGAGCTGAGATTGCACCACTGCACTCCAGCCTCAGCAACAGAGTGAGACTCAGTCTCAGAAGAAAAAAAAAAAAAGTGCCAAGAGGTGCTGACCTGGCCTCATGCCCGTTGTTGGCTTAATATCTTTCCGGCAGAATCTTAAAGGTAGAAAGCACCTCTCTTTGTGTCTGAGAGCCATTATTTCTGAGCTAATCCTTGAGGTTGTAGTGGTGACTTCCTGTCTGAAGCCATGGCGTGAAGCTGAGTCACCTCTAGGTCAACTGAACATCATAGAGAAGGTTCCTCAGCCCTTCACATTCTGAGTTCAGAACACCATGCTGAGGCACAGTCATGAGACGTGGGAGAGGAACACCCAGCAGACATTTCTAGAAGAAAAGGGTTATTCTGTCTCCTAAGCCTTTCCTAATTTTTAATATCTATTAATTTCTAGAATTTGAAAGTGTTGTTAGAGATTTTTACTTAATACAGTCAAGTAATACCTCAGTTACTCAGAAGACTGAATTAATTTTTTCCATTTTCCCTTGGAAATGGAAATATGATTTACAGATCAATAAACTTCACTTTAAATTTTTCCAAATAAGACATCAGTTTAGGTCAGAGGTCAGCAAACTTTTTTTGTAAAGGGCCAGACAGTAAATGTTTTAGGCTTTGCAGACTGTGTGGCCTCTGTCACAACTCCCCAGTTCTGATGTGGGGGCACAGATAGCACAGAGTGAATGAACACAGCTGTGTCCCAATAAAACTTTATTTGTAAACACAGGTGGCTGGCCAGACTTAGTATCCAAGCTATAGTTTGCCAACCCCTGGTTTAGATAGATATGCAGGCCATTTGCATAGGTCACTATTCTTTGCAGCTCTGTGATTAGACAGAATTAAAAGATTATAGGGGAAAAACTAGATTATGACCATGTTAATCCTTTTTACTGTTAGGCAGCTGTATTTGGTATGTTGTAGATTTTTTCCTTCTCATTTTTTAAAATAGTAACAAATAAATAGGCAATATAGCATGACCCAGCAGGGTTCCTGGCTTGGAATCAGCTTGAAATTGAGTTGAGTGTATTGTTGTGGCTTTGAAGTGCTTTTAATATGGATTGGTAGGCAATTATGTCAGAAATAGGAAGCCATTTTCAACAGGCTTCATACCTGCTGTGCAATGGGACTGACTGAGCAAATGGATTTTTTTAGCTTTGAAAATGATGTGTGGTGCTGTTCTGATTTTTAAAGCCCATGTTTTAATTCCTCTTAGAAGAAAAATTATTATTCTGCAGCAAGCTCTCTAGGTTTATCTACAAGATGCTACTTGTCCTAGGAATAGGATCAGTTTTTCATCTGATTTCTATTACACTTAGCATTCAAATAGATTTGAGATCATTCTTGAAATAATTTTCAAAAATACATACCAGAAGGTAATCTGATTCATTAAGTTTGGTAATTATCAATCTAGCAGTTTACAGACACCTTATTGTAAAACCAGCTTCTTTCTCACTGTGTAACCACAGGATGCGGGTGCATGTGAGGACAGTGAAGCCCTCATGTGCCAGCCCAGTTAGTGAACTAGCTCCCACCTTGACACTTGTTTGGATGCTTTCAATGTTCTGTCGTGGGTTTGCAGGGGGGAGTAAACTCCCCACGGTGTTCCAGGTGTGGGAGTTATTCATTTTAGAACCTCTGAAAAAGGACAAATGTTTGTGATTTTTGAATCCTAGAAAGGGAAAATGAAAGAGGCAGCCCAGAGGTACCAGTATGCCTTAAGAAAGTTTCCTCGAGAAGGATTCGGAGAGGACATGAGACCCTTCAATGAATTAAGGGTTTCCCTCTATCTCAATTTGTCGCGATGCCGAAGAAAAACAAATGTAAGCTGTGCCCCTTTATTCCAACCCAGTCTTCCAGCAACAGAGCCCTTCTCCAGCAGTGAAGGCCAGCCCTTCTCCAGACCAGATCCTGGGCCCTCCTGTCCAATTTGCTTGCACATTTACATGAACCTGGCATGTGGGAAACAGCTCCTATCCGTGACTATCGTTTGGTCACGGCTGCTACGCTCCTCGCATGATGTTGAAGGAATGCACTTGGGTTTCGTTTCCTTGGCCTCAGTAATGAGAAGCAAATGCAGTCTGCTCCTCTGCAGCTTCCCAACACTGTTGCTGCTGGCACTGCCGTCCCCGGATTCAGGAGAGTCCAACCCAAGCCTATTGTGGTGGGCCTGCCTTCTGTGTTAGGTTTGCTCAGAGGGTCTGCCAGTAACTAATTTGTAACCGGTCGTGGGGAACTCATAGTCGATTTGTAACTAGTAGATCTGTTTCAGTAGTACTTCCTACCTTTTTTTTAACTGTGTCCTCCTGCCCCAGTCTGTTGAGCTGCTTGCTTCTGTGCCCTGCTGCCGGAATAGATGCAGTGTCTGCGCTCCTCTCTGAGGCTGCCCCTCCACCGGGCTGTGAGGTTCCACCATCTGGCCTTCTTGGGGCACTGTTACTACCACTGTTTTCATAGTGGATTCTTCTCCTAATGATATTAATCAACCATCATTATCTCCTCACTTTAAAACAAGATAGAAAACGGAACTTTCCCTTCCTCCCTCTCTGGCTGTGCCTCAGAGCGCTGCTACCCTTTAGAACAAAACTAGACGGGCTTCCCACAATCGTGTGTCCAGGCTGCTTCTGACTCCTGTATTTCTTGTCGACACCAGGACTTTGGCATGGCAGAGGAATTTGCTTCCAAGGCTCTCGAATTGAAGCCCAAGTCCTATGAAGCCTTTTATGCCAGAGCAAGAGCGAAGAGAAATAGCAGGTACCGTCTGTGGTTATCTTTGTGTCTAGAGCTTTTTTTCTTGTGGGATCAAACCTGCCTGTTGAATTTGGGGAGGTTTTGCTGCAGAAGTGTTGCTCAGGTGCCTCTCATCCTTTTTAGTAGTGAATTAGTATTACTACCTGCTTCCAAGAGGCATAGTAGTGGACATTATCAGTGATGAGTAAACTTCTATTTTCTCCTGACGTCTCAATAATCATTCCTTCCCACCCCTCCCCCCACGTGAAACTTACTGCAACATGAACTTCCTACCTAGTTTAGTCCATATTTCAAGGAAACTGCCAACTAGGGACATTAGGAAGTTCAGAGGTGGGGAAGAGTGATATAAGCCTGTTGACTGAGAGATGGGCACAGTGTTACCATGGGATGGTAACAATATTAAAAAGATTCTGGCGCCCACTGATTCATGCTTCTCCCTATTCCCAGTCCAGTGGTCTTTATGGAGAGCAGGGCTGTAGAGTCCCACCTACCTAGGTTAGAATTCAGCACTGCCACTTAGCTGAGTTACTCTGGGCTGGTTAAGTGGGTCCTGGCCACCACCGTAAGTGTTCAAAACTCACTTGCTACCTTCTCTTTCCTTTGAGCACAGCTCTTTTATGAACAGTTACACTCTGAGCATGTTCGTGTGTGGTTTGTAATGTTACCTTACATTTTCCTACAAAGGCAATTCGTGGCAGCTCTGGCTGACCTGCAAGAGGCTGTGAAACTCTGTCCCACCAATCAGGAAGTCAAGAGGCTTCTGGCCCGCGTAGAAGAGGAGTGCAAACAACTCCAGAGGAGTCAACAGCAAAAACAGCAGGGCCCGCTACCAGCTCCACTCAACGACTCCGAGAACGAAGAGGACACCCCAACCCCTGGCTTAAGTGACCACTTTCACTCTGAGGAGACTGAAGAGGAAGAAACTTCTCCCCAGGAAGAATCTGTTTCCCCAACTCCCAGGTCCCAGCCATCCTCATCTGTCCCTTCCTCATACATCCGAAACCTTCAAGAAGGGTTACAGTCCAAAGGAAGGCCGGTATCGCCACAGAGCAGGGCAGGAATCGGCAAGTCCCTGAGAGAGCCTGTGGCCCAGCCAGGGCTGCTCCTGCAGCCCTCCAAGCAGGCCCAGATCGTGAAAACCAGCCAGCACCTGGGCTCTGGCCAGTCGGCAGTGAGAAATGGCAGTATGAAAGTTCAGATCTCTTCTCAGAACCCTCCTCCAAGTCCCATGCCAGGGAGAATCGCTGCCACTCCTGCTGGGAGCAGAACCCAGCATTTAGAGGGAACAGGTACTTTCACTACAAGAGCTGGTTGTGGCCACTTTGGGGATCGGCTGGGCCCCAGCCAGAATGTCCGCCTGCAGTGTGGTGAGAATGGCCCTGCACACCCTTTACCAAGTAAGACGAAAACCACAGAGAGGCTTCTGTCTCATTCCTCCGTGGCTGTGGACGCAGCCCCTCCAAACCAAGGTGGGCTGGCGACCTGCAGCGACGTGCGACACCCAGCTTCCCTCACCAGCTCAGGCTCTTCTGGTTCTCCATCCAGCAGCATAAAGATGTCAAGTTCAACCAGTAGTTTGACTTCGAGCAGCAGTTTTTCAGATGGCTTCAAGGTCCAAGGACCAGATACTAGAATTAAAGACAAGGTTGTAACCCACGTTCAGAGCGGTACAGCTGAGCACAGACCCCGCAACACGCCGTTCATGGGCATCATGGATAAGACTGCGAGGTTCCAACAGCAGAGCAATCCTCCAAGCCGCAGCTGGCACTGTCCGGCACCAGAGGGGCTGCTGACAAACACGTCTTCTGCAGCTGGCCTGCAGTCTGCTAACACTGAGAAGCCCTCTCTCATGCAAGTGGGAGGATATAATAACCAAGCCAAAACCTGTTCTGTTTCTACCCTGAGTGCAAGTGTCCACAATGGGGCACAAGTGAAGGAGCTAGAAGAAAGCAAGTGCCAAATTCCAGTCCACTCTCAAGAGAACAGGATAACTAAGACTGTTTCTCATCTGTACCAGGAAAGTATCTCCAAACAGCAGCCTCATATTAGTAATGAAGCCCACAGGAGCCACCTCACTGCAGCCAAACCAAAGCGATCATTTATAGAGTCAAATGTGTGAACCTTAAGAAATCCCCATTTGTGGAATTTGGAAACGTGTGTTGACTCCTGGTGGTAAATTAAATAGTTTTTTTCATCAGAAAAATTATTTTTTAGCCATTTTTTTTCTTTGGGGTGGATCTGATGCCATTGATATATCTAAAATGTGGGATAAAACTTCTTTAATAGCTAGAAATCACCATAAATAAGAATGCTAAACAGAATTGAAAATTATATCAACTTAAAATTTTAAGACAGCCCAGAAGACATTAATGACTCTCACTTATGAAATTGTTTGGCTTTTGCCACTTTCTTCCTTGCCTTTGCTATATGGTAGAATCACAGAACTTACTTAGAGAATAAATATGTCTATTGTTCAAGAGTAACAGGTTTAACTCATGACCAAGTGATGTACATCCAAGTGATGTATTCTGGAAACGATGGAATTTTACAGTTACAGTTCCATTGAGTCAAATCCCATTTTATATATACATAAAAATTAAGTTCTGAGTGAGTTCTAGCTAAATATAAGTGCGACTGTAAACGCAGCCAATTTTTTTAAGCAGAATATGAGAACACCTAAGTATTCTCTTCATAGCAGTTCCTATAAAGGGATTAAACACTTATTTCTGTGTTATGGTTCTTATTCATATATTTTTATAGCACTTTTGGAACCTATATTTGTGCTTGAAGGTGTTTTTGATATTTGGAAACAGTATAAGCCATTTGGAGTCATGATTGGTGGTCAAGTGGATTCAAGCTAAAATACTAAGACCAGCATTCTTAGTGGCGCTTATAAATTAGCTCTCACCTGGTTTCCAAACTGCTTTTAACAATGGTAGTGCTCCTGGAACAATCCTTCCAAGCTCCTCTAAGGACAATATTTAATTCAGATACTAAAGGTAAGACTGGTTGTTACTTTTGTTTTGTTGTACAATTAGTACTTTATAGTCACATGTTGTATATATTAAATAGCCCAGTTTTATTCAGACTTGTAAATAGAACTATTTCAATGTAGTTAATCTAAAAACAAAAAAGAAAACCCCAGTCACGATTTGCATGTTCTCTGTAAGCTTCATCCATGCTGGTTATTGCACTGAATGATATATTATTAGGGCATGTTAACAGTATACCAGTAACAGCACTTTATCTCATTTATATGAACACCTTTGAGGTGCTACTTAAGTCCAAGCTCTGATGTATTATTCATTTGTAAAGATAAGGTACAGGAATGAACCTTGGTTTAAAGGTATTTTTATATGAAAATGGTGTGTTATTGGAAGATGTTAAAATGCTAATTTGAGAGAAGTAGGAGTGTATCTGTTTTATATGTTGGGATGTGAAATTTATTTTCTAAAATTGAGGAGAAGGAAGTTATATATTTGCAGAATGTTTTAAAGTGAATTGTTGTAATGAAGTTCCTGTGAACATCATTATGGTTTTGTACAAATAGGAACCTCTGATGTCATTCTTCAACGTTTGTTCCTGTGTGTACAATTGTACTTTGTATGAACAGCTTTATCATTTTTATAGGCTTTCCATGAGTTTTGCTGTAACTACTATGGCTTATTTATTTTCTTTAATATTTGTGAAAGTCTTACTCCTTTGTTAGTTTTGTTTCTGCACAACTACTGTACTTTTCCATATGGAATAAAGACTATTAATAGAATGTGTTTTGCACTAAATGAGTCAATGGATAAGTAGAGAACAGCCTGATGACAGCTATCTCTGTTGCTTTTAATCTTTGTTACCCTAGAGGGAATAGTGAAAAGCATATTTTATATTAACACTACAAAATGCTTATTTAATTTCGTTTTATAATTTCAGAATAAGGGTGACAGCTGCTAGAAATTCCACAATACTCAAGGGCCAAATTTAGTCTTTTTGCCTCAAATAGAAAGAAAGCATGCAGGAAAGCAATATATACTTCCTATCTATCTGTTTCAAGACATCTTGGTGTCTGTTTTTACTGGCAACGGGACATCTTTACTACTGTAATTCTCAAACACTTTGGCAATACACTGAACACTGTTATGACAGTTTGTTCTTTAACACATTTGTATTATCTTTCAGTTAAAAGTATGTCTTTATGCCTACATATTTCAAAGTAATATGAGAGAGAACATTAAACTGTGTTGTATTGTGATAAAATTCTTGGAATCTTAAACATCATAATACCTCAGGTTATTTGGTCACTGCTCTTGCTAGCAAGGCTAAGTAGTTTCAGTCCTTTAGAGCTTTATATTTAATGGAAGGTTAAAAACAAAAACGGGATGGGAAGGAACGTATCGCCTAATACATAATTCTTGTCATTAGATGATTTTTCCTGTAAAGGAGCTAATAAGAATATTCTCGTAATTTATTGTACATTATGATTTTGATATATACTTAGTAAAGATAAGTAAGGTACTTGGCCCAGCCAGGAAGAGGTGATACATCCTTAGAAAGCTAATGGTCAGTCCTGACAGGACTGGGTGGTGGGCAGGTGTTGCTGCTCCACATTGCCCTGAACTAACAGTGGGGTCTGGAGTGCCCAGCATGGGGGCTGTTTCATGTCCCCTCTTACTGATGGTTTTGGTTTGCTTGTGTGGAAGACAGTTGTTCGGCTTTGGTTTATGTTTTATACAAGAAGAGATGTGTCAATTAGGTAAATTACTGGCATCTTAGTTTTCAGCAGTTTTGTTTTACAAGAAACTAGCCTGGTAAAGTATAAGAATGCAAAATACTGGCTGGGCGTGGTGGCTCATGCCTGTAATCCCAGCACTTTGGGAGGCCAAGGCGGGCGGATCACGAGGTCAGGAGATAGAGATCATCCTGGCCAACATGGTGAAACCCCGTCTCTACTAAAAATACAAAAATTAGCTGGGCGTGGTGGTGTACGCTTGTAGTCCCAGCTACTCAGGAGGCTGAGGCAGGAGAATCACTTGAACCCAGGAGGCAGAGGTTGCAGTGAGCCGAGATTGCACCACTGCACTCCAGCGCAAG
Organism: Homo sapiens; assembly: GCF_000001405.40. Lineage (NCBI taxonomy): Eukaryota > Metazoa > Chordata > Mammalia > Primates > Hominidae > Homo > Homo sapiens. The sequence continues at coordinate 159,233,976 of NC_000002.12, forward strand.
TCTCAAAAAAAAAAAAAGAAAGAAAGAAAAGCAAAATACCTTAACACTTATTTTAAAAAATGCCTTTTTGGCCAGGCGTAGTGGCTCACGCCTGTAATCCCAGCACTTTGGGAGGCCAAGGTGGGCGGATCACAAGGTCAGGAGATGGAGACCCTCCTGGCTAACACATGGTGAAACCCCGTCTCTACTAAAAATACAAAAAATTAGCTGGGTGTGGTGGCGTGCACCTGTAGTCCCAGCTACTCAGGAGGCTGGGGCAGGAGAATGGCGTGAACCCAGATCGCTCCACTACACTCCAGCCTGGGTGACAGAGCGAGACTCCGTCTCAAAAAAAAAAAAAAAAAAAAGGCTTTTTGCATTTTCTAGCAATGACTTTGAATGATTTAATTTTTATTTAAAAACCAGCTAACCTCCTCCATCGGAAAATGTCTATCAAAACAGAGACAGCTGGACCAATGGTAAGTTCTTTTAAGTTTAAAAAGTGTTCTGCTGAAATTATTAGCATACTTTATTTAAAGAATACAACAGAAAAACGGCCGGGCCTGGTGGCTCACGCCTGTAATCCCAGCAACTTGGGAGGGCAAGGCAGGTGGATCATGAGCTCAGGAGTTTGAGACCAGCCTAGCCGACATGGTGAAACCCTCTCTCTACTAAAAATACAAAAAGTAGCTGGGTGTGGTGGCACGCACCTGTAATCACAGCTACCTGGGAGTGAGGCAGGAGAATTGACTGAACCCAGGAGGCAGAGGCGGCAGTGAGCCAAGATCGTGCCATTGCACTCCAGCCTGGGTGACAGAGCGAGACCCTACAAGAAAAGAATACAACAGAAAAACACCTAGAACATGCTTCTAGCCTTTCTAATCCTCAATAGTAAGAATGTGAGAAGCATGTCATATTAATAAAAAAGTTTTCTGGAACCATTGATTATGAATCCTAGTTATGTCGTAAAGGTTAACAAAGTTTAGCAATACATTAAGTTAAAAAGGTTTACAAAGAATTACAAAGAAATGTTTGGAGATTTCCATGTTAGCAAGGCTTGCTGCCTTTCTGTGAACATGCAGCATATTAGCTATGAGTTCATAAAATGCGTAGTCAGCCTTTTCCTATATTTACATTGCTTTTCCCTTTTTATTTCCAAGTTTCAACGTTCCTGAACAATTCTTCAGCAACTGGAGGTAATAGTGCAAAGAAGGGTGCAGTCCCAGAGGCTCAGCCTGCGCTGACAGTGAAGTTCTAACAAGCTTCCCGCGGATGGCTTCCATTCTAGTAACAACTTTGGACAGGCAAGAAGTTAGCACCACCTTTACTTCCTGAACCTGAAGTTTTTTTTCTGGAGTGAACATATCAGGCTATTGTGTAAAAATGCCTTTGTATAGTTACTCCAGCTTAGAATTATATGTGAGAACATTTAATAATTCTTCATTCTGAAGGGAGGCTAGAGTTTGTCACGTTATATATTTCAGCAAAGTCAACTTGACTTACTCAGAATTTATTTCATCTAACTTGTACCTAGGTTTGGAAAATAAGAAAAAAATCGTTATCCTGCAAACTTAAAATCCAAAAAAATTGCTTCAACATCTGAAGTGATTTTTCTCCATTTAATCATAAACAATCTACAACCATTTTGCTACAAAATGGTCTCTTTAAAAGGCCTCCAAAGAGTTATTGAATGAATGGCTATTACCTAGAATGTAAACATCTGTTATTCTAGAGTAGTCCAACCTTTAGTTATAAAGAGAGATGACCTACATCTAACAAGAATAAATGTGGGCACTGTTGGGAATGATAGTAAGAGGAATTTAAAAAACTTAGGACACTGCAATTTAAAGTATAACTTTATTTCTATATAGCTGAAGATTCTTTTCACTAGTACAAAAAGGCTTTTATAGTAAGTCCATGTGTTTTTTAAAGAATGAAAATTGACAATTTTTATAGGTAACTAAATTTAAGAAGTTTACCTTTTTCCTGTTTTGCTTTTAATAATGTCTGATTAGTATTTACCTATAAATCATTCAAATGAGATCACTGAAAATATAAATAATACAATATCAACAATTTTACTTTTGGTGTGTCTCCAGCCATCTATTGATGGCCATTTTCAGAGTCCTATTTGGTGTAAGTACCGCTGAAGGAAGAACAAGATTTGTCATGGGACTTGTACGTTTCTTTTTGCTGATCCAATTTTCCATTGCTTCCTTTTCATATGAATAGCCATCTAAAAAAAAAAAATCACACAAATTACATGATGTAGGAAAGGGAAATGAGGATGTCTAAAATGAAGTGAATGTAAAAACTCCCTGCAGAGGCCTTTATTGTGACTTAAGGGTTATTCCTGTCTTGCTTGTACCAGCACCCCCAAAAATCTCTCTGCCACAACACCTGAAATGCATTGATTGGATGGAGACGTATGAAGCAAAAATTGCCCAGAAGAGTAACATTATAAACACTTTGAACAGTACCACTGAGACTGGGACCCTGTCAAATTCAGACACAGTGGAAGAGAAGAAAGGAACAGAGCTGGGTAGAGTGGGAGTGAGGATAAACTGCCCATCAGAGCTGTTGGAAAGTTTGGCTGAATCATAAGGCTCTTTTCAACACCTTGAAAAGTCAGGAAAACAGGTACCCAGAGATGACAGAATTTACTCCCCTAAGGATTTGACAGCGAAGGGACTTAGGTTTTTTTGTTTGTTTGTTTGTTTTGAGACCAAGTCTCACACTGTTGCCCAGGCTGGCATACACTGGCGAGATCTTGGCTCACTGCAAGCTCCACCTCCCAAGTAGCTGGGATCACAGGCACCTGGTACCACATCTGGCTAATGTTTTGTATTTTTAGTAGAGTTTCACTATGTTGGCCAGTCTGGTCTTGAACTCCTGACCTCAGGTGATTCACCCACCTTGGCCTCCCAAAGTGCTGGGATTACAGGCATGAGCCACCATGCCCGGCCACCAAGGTTTTTTTAAAACCATATTCTTGCAAAATTATTTGCCTTTATACATGTAAAGATTGGACTTTTGCTTCACTACTTTCATTTTTATACTTGTAGCTCTTTCTCAAGCTGAAAATCTTGGTTCCTGATTTCATTTACTCATTTAGTCTACAGTACATATCACTGTTTCAAAATAATGCCAGTATATTTACTAACATAAAACTGAAAGAAATTTTAAGATTACTTTATGGTTCTTTCCGTCATCAAGGACTAGAGTGGTCCCAAAATACTGTGTCTGAAAACAACACTTACTTGGTTTCAAAGTTAAAACTATAGGCTGGGCGTGGTGGCTTTCACCTGTGATCCCAGCACTCTGGGAGGCCAAGGCGGGTGGAGCCACTTGAGGTCAGGTGTTTGAGACCAGCCTGGCCAACATGGCAAAACCCTACCTCTACTAAAAATACACAAATTAGCTGGGCATGGTGGCAGGTGCCTGTAATTCCAGCTACTCAGGAGGCTGAGGCAGGAGAATCACTTGAGCCCGCGAGACAGAGGTTGCAGTGAGCTGAGATCGCACCACTGCACTCCAGCCTGGGTGACAGAGCAAGACTCCATCTCAAAAAAAAAAAAAGTTACAACTATAAAACAAGGTACCTTCAGAGGGGTCTAATCTAACCCTGTCCAATCCTTGTTACCCACCCTTCCCATATAAGTAACCATGTGTAATCCATTTTCAAATATGTATATGTGCACACAGTACATATACATTCTACATAAAAGCTAGCATACTAGCCACACTATTTTGCAACTTGGTGTGTTTATTTTCCCCACAGTACTCCACTGTAAGGATGTAAGATGTAAGGACATCTGGGTGGTTTCCAATCTTTGCCTTTTACAAATAGTGCCGTACCAAGGAAACCCCAAGAAAACCATACACACACAAAATACAAATAGTGCTACAATGAAGTCTTATGCATGTGTCACTTTTGGGGAGATTTCAGAAGTAGGATTGCTAAAGCAGCATATATAATCTCGCTAGATAGTGCCAACTTCCTTCCATAGGAATTCTAAGTTTTTCATTCCTGCTAGCAATGTTTATGAGAATGCCTTTTTCCCCTACAGCCTAACCAACAGTATATGTTGTCAAACTCCTGGATTTTTGCCAGTCTCTAGGTAAGCGATGGTACAGTATATCAGCTGGAGAATCTTTTGTTCATATGTTTGAGCCATTTGCTTTTCTTTTTCCTGTGAGCTATTCATATTTTTTGCCCATTTTTCTACTAGGTTGTCCTTAAGATTTCATATATATGGAATATCAACACTTCATCAATTTCTCCCTTGATTCCCAGAGAGCGAAGTTTTCCCAATTCTATCAAGGAATTTACTTACAAATTCTATCAAGGAATTTACTTACATTGTCTTTGGGACTTTAAAAGTCTTTGAAGAGATGGGGTCCTGCTGGTCTCAAGCTCCTGGGCTCAAGTGACCCTCCTTACATCAGCTTCCGGAATAGCTGGGACTCCAGGTACAAGCCGCTGCGCTCTGCAGGTTTCCCTTTTTATGTCTGGGTTTCTGATTCATTTGGAATTTAAATATACACTATGCAAGATGGATCCAATTTTATCCTTTTCCACAGGGTGGTCTTATTGTCAAAATACCACTTGTTAGAAGTGATTTTTACCACTGATTTTAAATGCTATCTTTATCAATCACTAAATTTCCAAATGTACATGGATCGATTTCTGGATTTTAAACTTTTCCATTGTTCTATTCCTGGGCCAACACTACACATTCACTTATGGAGGTTCTCGACATGTAACATCTCATAGGACCAGCAACCTTCCTCATTGTTTTTTTCTAGGTTATTTTTGCTGTTCTTGTTTATTAGGTTCCACGTGAAGAATCACCTTGTGTATCTCTCGGTAAAAAGTTTTATCAGGATCATGTCAACCCTATGAAATGGAGAAAGCTGATATCCCGCAGCCACTGAGTCTTCCTACCCCTCAGCATGCTCCACCTGCCATTATACTTTCACAGGGATGTTTTTGTTTTTATGTAGGGTTGAAAGTTTTACCTATTTCTTAAGTTTGGGGTTTTGGTGTGTGTGGTTTTTTTCTAAGATAGGGTCTCACTCTGTCACCCAGGCTAGAGTCCAGTGACATGACGGTAGCTCACTGCAGCCTCGACCTCCCAGGCTCAAGCAATCCTCTCACCTCATCCTCCCAAGTAGCTGGGACTACAGGCATACACCACAACACCTGGCTAATTTTTAAAAATTTTTTGTAGAGAAGGGGGTCTCATTACGTTGCCCAGGCTGGTCTAGAACACCTTGGCTCAAACAACGCTCCCACCTTGGCTTCCCAAAGTGCTGGGTTTACAGACATGGATTATACTGCACCCAGCCAAGTTTAGGTCTCATTTGTTCTAGTTTTTGTTACTGTAACTTAACTATTCAGTTATAACTTTTAAGTGCTTTGGTTCACTGAATCTTACTTAACTTGCTACTTTACAAAATTCATATTGTTTATAGATTTTCTATTCTTTTGGGCTTTCTACATATACAGTTATATAGAAAGGGTTTTTCCCTTTCAAGTTTTTTTTGGTGGGGGGGCAAGGGGTGGCTAATATTTCTAAAACAATAGCTGAGAGAGAGCATCCTTTATATCCCTGACTGTAATGGGAATGCTTCCACTGGCTTCTGTGCCAAGGTATATGTATTTTTTATCATATAAGAAAGTCGGCTAGGCTCAGTGGCTCATGCCTATAATCTCAGCAATTGGGAGGCCAAGGCAAGTGGATCACTTGAGCCCTGGAGTTTAAGACCAGCCTGGGCGACATGGTGAAACCCCAGATCTGGATTGTTTTGGTTGTTTCACCTCTGTGTTACTTTTGCCTACTTACAAATTAGTACCAGCTGTGTAGCTCCCCCACCTTGGGGGCCTGAGTTCTGGCCCTGAGAGACTGAGGTTCTGAGAAACTAAACTTCTGTTTCCTCCGTCCTAGAGAAGGAAACATGCTTTCTGCAGAAACTGTTACCTGTGACTGCCTTTTGCTCTTTTTGAGATATATTTCACACCATAAAATGCACCCATTTGTGGTTCTTGGTATATTTCAGAGTTGTGTATCACTCCATCAATCCCATACCCATTAGCAGTCACTGCCCCCGCAGCGTGTGGCCACCTCTAACTGACTTTGTCTCTATGGATTTGCCTGTTTTGGGCATTTCATATAATGGGAATCATACACTATGCAGCCTTTGGTATAGGGCTTCTTGCACTTACCATAATTTTTCCAAGGTCCATCCTCTACATATTTGTGCATTTTTATGGCTCGATATTCTCTTGTATGGCTATACGACATTTCATGCATTCACTTGTTGATGGACATCTGGGTTGTTTCCACCTTTGGGCTACTAATAATGCTGCTATGCCTGTACAACTTTTTGTATGATTATGTGTTTTCAATTCTCCTGCCTATAGACTTAGGAGTGGAATTGTAATAACTTTCTGAAGAGCTTCCAGACTGTTTTCAACAGCAACCACACATGAAGGTTCCATTTTCTGCACATCCTTGCCAACACGTATTTTCCTACTTTTTGATTCTAGCCATCTTAACAGGTATGACATGGTTTTGATTGGCATTAATGACACTGACCGTCTTTTGAAGTGCTTATTGCCAAACAGCATATCATTAGACTGTTCCAGGGCACCATTACCTATATTAACTTCTTTAATCTGCACAACAACCTTATGATGTAAGATATTGTTAGCATTCCTATTTTATAAATGAGGAAACTGAGGTATGGCCTGAATAACTTTCCAGGGTCACACAGGTAGGGAGCAACTGACCTGGGATTTAAACCCAAGCAGTGTGGCTCCACAGACAATGCTCTTACTCTCCCTGTACACGGGACTTCCAGAAAGGACAACTATAGTAACTGAAATTTTAAAAAAATCTCATTGGACAGGTAAACAGCAGTTAGACAACTGCAGGAAAGACAACTGGTAGGCAGGTCCAAGAAAAACACCTAGAAAGGCTTAAGAGAGAAGCTGCAGGGGATGAGAATGGCTGAAACATTTCCAGAACTAGTGAAAGGCATGAAAGAGAAAAGTCTACGATGACAAATAGGAATTAGACAGTATACTTGAACTGCAACTGAAAAGCATACCTGAAGTCAGAGTATAACCAAGTATAACCCAACACGGTGAAGGCTCTAGAGAAAAAGCAGAGTGGGCAGATCAGGTTTAGGAGGTTTTTATATGTTCAGAATAGACCTGAAAGAAATAATCTAGCTGGAACACCTACCAGTGCAGGGCAGGCATTTCTACTCTTTAGCCCCAGTTAACATTTAGTTTTTAGGTTTTCTGTAATTCTAACCAAAATACCACTTTGTGTTGTAACATAAGATGATTCTAAAATTTATCTTGGCTGGGCACATCACTTGAGGTCAGGAGTTCAAGACCAGCCTGGCCAACGTGGCAAAACCCTGTCTCTACTAAAAATACAAAAATTAGCCAGACATGGTGGCACGTGCCCATAATCCTAGCTACTAGGGAGGCTGAGGCAGGAGAATCGCTTAAACCCAGGAGGTAGAGGTCTCAGTGAACTGAGATCATGTCACTGCATTCCAGCCTGGGTGACACAGTGAGACTCTGTCTCAAAACAAAAATTATCTTGACAGCTAAATTGGCAAAAATGACCAAGCCAAATTTTTTTAAAGATTGGACATAACTAAAAAGGTACAGCAGTGCCTATCAGTATTAGGAATGTATACAAATGTACCTGTAAATACATGACTGGGGATGTTTTCTTTTTTCTTTTTTTTTTTGAGATGGAGTCTCACATTGTCGCCGGGGCTAGAGTGCAGTGGCATGATCTCGGCTCACTGCAACCTCTGCCTTCCGGGTTCAAGCAATTCTCCTGCCTCAGCCTCCCAAGTAGCTGGATGTTTTCTATAGAGTCACTTGTGGTAAGCTGGCAAAAAAATGGAGAAAGATGCCTATAAACAGAGTAAGAGTTAATTTCGGTAACATCCATACCAGGAAATGCTATCCTGCAGATAAGAATGAAGCATGTACTTCCAAATACACTGACAAATGGTGTTCTCTCTGATACACTGTTTGATACACTGTTGATAAACAAAAGCAACTTTTATTTATTTATTTAGAGATGGAGTCTCGCTCTGTCGCCCAGGCTGGAGTGCAGTGGCACGATCTCGGCTCACTGCAAGCTCTGCCTCCTGGGTTCATGCCATTCTCCTGCCTCAGCCTCCCAAGCAGCTGGGACTACAGGCACACGCCACCACACCCAGCTAATTTTTTTTTAAATATATTTTTAGTAGAGACGGGGTTTTACCGTGTTAGCCAGGATGGTCTCGCTCTCCTGACCTCATGATCTGCCCACCTCGGCCTCCCAAAGTGCTGGGATTACAGGCGTGAGCCACCACACCCGGCCAAAAGCAACTTTTTAAAAATATGCATCAGGCTGGGTGAGGTGGCTCACACCTGTAATCCCAGCATTTTGGGAGGCGGGCAGATCACCTGAGGTTGGGAGATCGAGACCATCCTGGCTAACAAGGTGAAACCCCATCTCTACTAAAAATACAAAAAATTAGCTGGGTGTGGTGGCACATGCCTGTAATCCCAGCTACTCTGAGGCAGGAGAATCGCTTGAACTGAGGAGGCAGAGGTTGCAGTGAGCCAAGATTGTGCCATTGCACTCCAGTCTGGGCAACAAGAGCGAAACTCCCTCTCAAAAATAAATAAAGTATGCATCATAACTCATTTGTTATAAGACACTATAAATGGATGGAAAAATAACTAGAAGGATACACCTAAACCGTATCATTGCTACATGAGAATACAGAAGAGCCCCCATTTTTAAAATCGCTTGTCTGTTTTTCACTAAGCCCGTATTACTTTCATAATTTAAAAGTATGAATAAAAATGAGGTACAAGAATGCTGAAATACAAACAGGTCCTGAAAATTTTTCTGAGGCAATTAGTCCAATAGATATAAAAATATACATAAGGAAAAACTGAAAAAAGATGTATTCTGAATATTCAGAAAAATGTAGGTGGGAAAAGGAAAGTAGAAGAGAAATTAGAATTATATGCTGGCAGGAATTTCTCCACACATGTATCAATCATCAATAGAAAGAAATTGGTTCAATTCTGCTATTAATGATTAGGATTGGGTTTTTTAAAAAAATTCAACTGTATGTTTCCCATAGGAACACCTATAAAACAAAGTAACACAGGAAGGTTAAAAATAAATGAGTGGTAAGTCTACAGGGATTACGCTAAGAAAAAAAAGCCACTTGAAAGCTGTTTTACTACATGATTCCACTGATATACCATTTTTGAAATGGTGGACAAATTAGTGGTTTCCAGGGGCTGGGGTCGGAAGACAGTAGGGAGATCATGGGTCCAGTTATAATTTGGAAGTGCTCTGTCTCAACTGTAGTAAGGTAATCACAAACCTCTAGACAGGATAAGACTGTGTAGAGCTTCACACACACAGATAAGTACAAGTAAAACTGGGGAAATCTAAGATCTGTGGGTTCTAGCAATGTCAATATCCTGGTTGTGATATAATAGTATCATTTTGAAAAATGTTACCAGTGGGGAAAGCTGGGAAGTGCACAAGGTATATGTCTCTATTGTTTCTTATAACAGCATCAATTAAAAATAATAAAATTTAAAAATAAATGTGTGGTACCAGAAAGGTTAAAATCAAAGACATAGACAATAGGAAAAAGTAAGGCTGTGAAGCAATTAGAATTCCTATACACTGCTGGTGGGCATAGAAAGTGATTTAACCACTCTGGAATGCTATTTATGTATACCTTCTCCTAGGAATATAGCCAACAGAAATGCATACATATGTTAACCAAAAAAACATGTACAGAAAGGTTCATAGCAGCACTATATATAACAGCCAACAATGCCCATCAACAGAATGAATTATATGCACACAATGGACTTCTATACAGAAATGAAAATTAAACTGCTTTGTGCAACAATATAAATGAATCTCACAAACATGTTTAAGAAGCCAGACCCAAGAGAGAGACACGTTATGATCCAATAGCAAACTAATAAAGCAATCTATCCTATTATAGTCTAAAGGAGGAAAAAAAATATGTCAATAGCCTAAAAATTCTCAGCAAACTGGAGATAGAAGGGAACTAACTTGATAAGGGGAGCTAATTATCATACTTAATGGTGAAAGTTGAATGCTTTCCCTCTAAGTGCAGGTGAAGGTAACAATGTCTACACACCACTTCTTTTCAACATTGTACTGGAAATTCTGACCCAAAATAACATGAAAAGAAAAAAAGGATTCATACAAATTGGAAAGAAAGAAATTACTTACATGACACACTCATGTATGAAGAAAGTCTATTAAGCTTCTATTAAAAAGCTACTAACAGCCCTACATATCTAAGGGGTCTGCATCCACTGATTCAACTAACTGCTGATAAAAAAAAAAAAAAAGCCAATACAGTATAACAGCTATTTACAAAGCACTTACATTGTATTGGGCATAAGTAAGCTAGAGATGATTTGAAAGGGGACAGGATGTGTGGTGTGTAGAGAGCATCCACAGACTTTTGTGTTGAGGGAGTTGGTTACTGAAGGATGACTTTACTACTCAATGTAGCAAGGTCACAAAGTCAATATATAACATTGTATTTCTATTTGCTCAAATTGTACAGTTATAAAAATATGAGCTACTGGCCAGGCTCAGTGGCTCACACGTCTTATCTCAGCACTTTGGGAGGACAAGGCAGGAGGATGGCTTGAAGCCAGAAGTTCAGGACCAGCCTGGGCAACAGAGAGACCCCATCTCTACAAAAATAAAAATTTTTACAAGTTAGCCGGGCATGGTAGTAGGTGTTTGTGGTTCCAGCTACTTGGCAGGCTGAGGCAGAAGGATTGCTTGAGCCCAGGAGGTCGAAACTGCAGTGAGTTAAGATTGTGCCACTGCATGCCAACCTGGGCAACAGAATGAGACCTCATCTCTAAAAAGTAAAAATTTAAACATTTTTTTAAAATAAGCTACCTAAAGATAATTTTGACAAAATGTGCAAAACCTGTAACAGAAAAGAAGACCTAAGCAAATGCAATGCAAAGTGATACCATGTTCATGGATTAGAGCAGTTCAACTCCAAACTAATCTATAGATTAAACACCATCCCAGTGAAAATCCGGGCAAGGAAACTGAGAAAGTGTTTCTAAGATCTATGTGGAAATGCAAAAGGAGCAAGAATAATCAAAACAGTAAAAGAACTAAGTCATGTGATTTTCACTATCTGACTTCAAGACTTACTATAAAGCAGCCGGACACCGTGGCTCATGCTTGTAATACCAGCACTTTGGAAAGCCAAAGGAGGACAGACCCCCTGAGGCCAGCAGTTCAAGACCAGCCTGACCAACGTGGCGAAACCCCATCTCTACTAAAAATAATAAAAAAAAATTAGCCAGGCATGGTGTTACACACCTGTAATCCCAGCTACTTGGGAGGCTGAGGCATGAGAATCACGTGAACCCGGGAGGCGGAGGTTGCAGTAAGCCGAGATGGAGCCACTGCACTCCAGCGTGGGCAACAGAGCAAGACTCTGTCTCAAAAAAAAAAAAAAGACTATAAAGCTACAGTAATCGAAGCACTGTGGTAACCGGCCCCCAGATAGACATAAAAATCAATCAAACATCATACAAAGTCTAGAAATGGATGATTTCAACAAACATGCCAGGTAATTCATTAATAAAATGATTTCTCAATAAGTGATGCTGGAACAACTGGATATTCATTTAGGAAAGCCATAAACAAAAATGTGAAATAAGTCCTAGACCTAAACCTAAAATTTAAAACCTTAAATTGTCTAGAAGAAAAAAGGATAAAAGATCTCTGAAACCTTGGGGTAGACAGATTTCTTAGGACTCAAAGTATGAAAGTGAAAAATAAGATTTCATCAAAATTAAAAACGTTGTCTCTATAAGAGACATCATTATGAAAGTGATGAGGCAGGCTACAAGACCAAGAGAAACTATGTGCAATACATTACCTTACAAAAGACTTGCATCTAAAGAACTCACAACACAGTAAGATAATCCAACATGAAATGGGGAAAAAACTTGAAGATATAAATTACAGAAATGATATATGACTGGATAAATAAGCTCAGAAAAAGATGCTCAACATCATTAGTCAAGAGGGAAATGCAAATTAAAAGCACAATAAGAGGCCGGGTACAGTGGCTCACGCCTGTAATCCCAGCACTTTGGGAGCCCAAGGCAGGTGGATCACGAGGTCAGGAGATCGAGACCATCCTGGCTAACACTGTGAAACCCCGTCTCTATTAAAAATACAAAAAATTAGCCGGGCGTGGTGGTGGGTGCCTGTAGTCCCAGCTACTCAGGAGGCTGAGGCAGGAGAACGGTGTGAACCCGAGAGGCGGAGCTTGCAGTGAGCAGAGATCACACCACTGCACTCCAGCCTGGGCAACAGAGCGAGAGTCTGTCTCAAAAAAAAAAAAAAAAAGCACAATGAGATACCACTTCATATCCACTAAAATGGCAAAATTTAAAAGACTAGCAATACCAAGTGCTGGAGAGGATGTGGAGAAACTGGAAGACTCAGCTAGGAAATTAGAATGATACAATCACTTTGAGAAACATTTTGGTAGTCCCTTTAAACATTCGCTTATCGTACAACCCAGTAATTTCACTCCTATATATTTAACCAAGAGAAATGAGAAATGTCCAGACAAAGATCTGTACATAAATGTTACAGCAGCTTCAGTCATAATAGCCACAAAATAGAAAAGACCTGAAAGTCCACTGACAGGTTAATGGATAAACATATTATGGCATATCTATGCAAGGAAACATTACTCAGCAATAAATATAAATTACTGATACTACAAGCTAGATCAATCTGGAAAGCTGAGAAAAAGCAGCCAGACTCAAAAGAGTTGCAGCCAGAAGGAAATGTTGGATTGGTATCTGCCTCATGGATGAAACTAAAATTTGAGACCTGTCTATGGTCACGTGTGGTTTTTTTTGTAGAAAAAAAGCACACTGAACATCAGAGTGAATATTCAGAAGCCTCTCAATAAATTGAGACAGAACCCTATTACACTCTTTGCTGCCAGGTTTTCCTAAGATTCACTTTTAATAAATCAACTGCAAACAAGAGTCCTGATAAACCAGTCAAAAAATGTGCAGCCACTGCTATACTCATAGCAAATTTCATAGCCTGAAATAAAAATAGCTAATTGACTTTTATTGAGTGTTTATTATATGCAGGTACAGCTTTAAGTACCTAATACAGATGAACTCATAACGATAAGACACTACATAATTAGTTCCACTAATAATGTGGACAGTGGACAGCATATACAAAGTAAGTCCATCAGCTAATTATCAGAGAAGATGAATAGATGTTTTATACTCAAATATATGTAAATAGTAAACTACCATGTAAAAAAAATTCATTGCCTCCCTAGCCAAGTAAGGACTATAGTTTCAAAACAACTATTAAGCTGGCAAAAGTAAATGGAGTTATAAAATACAATGATCACAAAACTGGAAAACCAGGTACAATTAGATATATTACTGGCAGCACTCTAAACTGTTTTTTTTTCCTAGAAAATAACACATCTAACGAAATGTGTCAAACTGTTTTCACATTCATAAAACATCCTCAAATTGACTAATTCTGCTTTGCAACATATAACCCACGTAAATAACCCTAAGAAATGGTAAAAACAGAAATGTGCCAAGATGTCAGCATAATGCCATTTACAGTGTAAAGATTTGCAAGCACATACACACCAACTAACAGAAAAGTCAAACACAATGTATCATACAGCCACAATGGGATAAAGCTATTCAAAGTGAAAACTCCAGACAAAGTCAACATAGACTAAGCCAATATTCAGAAACATATAAGGAAGCTGTAGGCCAAAATTAAATAAATATATATATATATATATATATAAATATATATATATATATAAATATATATATATATAAAATTTGGATTCACTGATTACAACTATGTATAATAAAGTATGTAGGTCTGTTAACACTTAGAAATATGGAATGATACAACTTTATAATTAAATTCTTTGTAGAAGATTGTTTAAATTCATGATAGACAAACACAAGAGATCTCAACAATCTGTCTTTAAAAAATAGTATTTTATCTTTACATCCTAGCAACTAAATACACATTTCACAAGTTTAAGTAAAACTTAATCCTTTTGTGTCAACTCCACAACTACTCTGTTCAATTTCATTATGAAATATACAATATTCATTTGTTCACCCAAGGTTTAATTAGTTTAAGAAAAAACTACTTAAAATTCTTCACATTTAAGCAAACTTCTGAGAACTGTCTAAACTTTTTATTCATTTAGCACAAAACATCCCCTGCAACTTAGTATAGCATCACACATACCTGATGCGATGACCGGATCTTTCATAAGTTCTCTAGTTATTGGACATATAAATTCATCAGGAATTCCTGAAGAAAGGGATTTAACCTTGGTCCTGAGCTCTTCAATTTTCCTCAGCACTTTACTACGCAGTCCTAGAGATTCTGAAAAGAAATTACTGTTAGGGCTGGATAACTACTAGTAATCCTTACTACTAGGATACTACCAGTAATCCTTATTCACAAATAGAGTTTGTTGTTGGGGTTGATTTTGAGACAGGGGCTCACTCTTTTGCCCAGGCTGGAGTGCAGTGGCAAAACGATCACCACTCATTGCAGCCTTGACCTCCTGGGCTCAAGTGATCCTCCCACCTCAGCCTCCTGAGTAGCTGGGACTACAGGCACATGGCACCATGCCCAGTTAATTTATGTATTTTCTGTAGAGATAAGGTTTCACTATATTGCCCACGCTGGTCTCGAATTCCTGGGTTCAAGTGATCCTACTGCCTCATCCTCTCAAAGTGCTGGGATTACAGGTGTGAGCCACCACAGCCAGCCACAAATAGAGATTTTATCTACTACCACCAGAAATCTTCTGACATACTGTTTTACCGCATGAACTATTGTTTTCTTTATAAATTCCTTAACAAATCTCTGTTGTATAGAATACTGTTGGTTAAAATATATCAGCAGCTAATAGCTCATTTTAAATAGATTCTGAAAGTTCAAGAATTTCAGGTTGCCAGACACTAATATACTCTACAAAATCAGAAAAGGCTCATTACTGCTTACTTACACAACAAAAAATTTCCTAAAAATCATTTTTAAATATGTTTGAGTTCAAAACATAAAAATGCCATGTTACGATATTTTTAAACTTAATGAAACTGGATATATTTGCTGATTCTTGTAAGAAACACAATCACAAATAAAGCTCATCTGTTTGTCCAAACCATAAACAGTTTCACTTGTTTTTATTCTTAACTTTAAAAGATTTTTAGTTTTAGAAAGTCTAATGAATTTTAGGAATTTTAGAATTATTGGCTGTTTACACTTTTAGAACTAGTTGACAGTTCTACTTTAGGTTGAAGTGGGTAGAAGAATTAGATTTCAGAATGCCTTACAGTTACTAGAAAAAGCCAAACCAACTTTCTTTCTGTTGGGAGGTAATGCTCCATGAGGTTTATACATGTCTTAGGACACCCTGTGTTTCAGACAGTCTTCTTGAGGATGTCTGAAAACATCCTTGGAAGCTAGAGATAGTGCGTCCCTCCCTGTGGGAGGGCAGATGTTTCCTGACTACTATAATGTCTTGCCTCTTGGGGGCTATTTGCTTAGCCCCCTCATAAGACTGGGGGTTTCCCAAGCTCAGGGCTCCTCAGCTGTGACATAAACATAAACCACCACCATGAAACTTACTTAAGAGGGAAAGGGGAGGCTGGGTACAGTGGCTCATGCCTGTAACCCCAGCACTTTGGGAGGATTAGGCAGGTGGATCACTTGAGGTCAGAATTTCAAGACCAGCCTGGCCAACATGGCAAAACCCCATCTCTATTAAAAATACAAAAAAAAAAAAGAAAGAAAGAAAAAAAATAGCTGGATGTGTTGGCACATGCCTGTAATCCCAGCTACTCGGGAGGCTAAGGCAGGAACTTCACTTGAACCCAGGAGGCGGAGGTTGCAGTGAGCTGAGATGGCGCCACTGCATTCCAGCCTGGGCGACACAGTGAGACTCTGCCTCAAAAAAAAAAAAAAAAAAAGAAGGGAAGGGAAAACAATCAGAACCTGAAGTGCAAGTGTCTGCTGTGTCACGAGTAATAAACCGTTTGAGTCAGTCAGGGCTCATTGCCCACATTCATGTGAATGTGGCAAGTTACCCTAGCAGCTTCCTGCCACCAAAGGGCTGCTTTCCTCTGACTTCCTTCCAATGGGATATGCTGAAATGAAACTGAGGATTTTTAAAACAATTTTTTTTAAAGTGTCACAAACAAATCAATGATTTCTTTACATGTTGAATATGATTTTGCAAAAATATTTATAACTTAAAAAGATTCCCTCAAATTCTTTATGAAATCACCATCCAGTTTCAAGAGAAAGCTATTTCAACACAAAGTACTCAAAAGTGCTTAGTTAGGGAAGTACCTCTAAAATGCAGCACAGTGTTAGCTGATCACCACAGCCAGCCTTGAATGTAACAAATCAGAGAATGGTCATGACAGTTTATCGAGTCCACCTCTTCCCAGAATGTCCCATTCACAATGCTGTGTTTTCCAAGGGTTAGCTGAGCTGTATTTTTATTTTGCCAGGCAAATACAGTGGAAGGTTTACGAGGAGTTATAATGATGGATCATGTATTCTAAGCTAAGTAAGGTGGAAAATAAGAGTAGAGATAGATAAGAGGTACATAAGATTAATAGAATAAAGGCTTAGATAAGATCAAGATTTGCTGAAGTGGGGTATTAGAGGATGAGATGGTAGAAAATCTGTCGTGACTGGGGTATGCTTCCTAAAAATCTTCCACCTGGGTAGAGACATGGCTTCAAAAACTGTCATAAATGTTTCCAGAACATGTTTGCAATAAGACAGTAGACATCTCATTTAAAGAGATAATTATATAACATAATAAGAAAAGGAGGCTGGGTGTAGTGGCTCATGCCTATAATCTCAGCACTTGAGAGGCCAAGGTGGGAGCACTGCTTAAGACCAGGAGTTTGAGACCAGCCTGGGCAACATAGCAAGACTCTTTCTCTACAAAAAAAATTTTAAAAATTAGCTGGGCATGGTGGTGCATACCTGTAGTCCCAGCTCCTCAGGAGGCTGAGGCAGGAGAATCTACAGAGCCCAAGAGGTAGAGGCTACAGTGAGCCATGTTCATGCCACTGCACTCCAGCCCGGGCAACAGAGTGAGACTCTGTCTCAAAAAAAAATTAAGAAAAAGAAAAAAATATAGGAGCAACTAATATTCTTTAAAAAGTATATTTTCCTGTCAAAAATATTCTACATGTGTGCTAATACTTACAATGCTTCTAGTATTTATAACAGAGAACACAGAAGGCCTAATTCAAAATTCCCCAGAGAAGGTTAAATTGGGCATTATCCTTCTCCAATCCTAACGTCATTTAGAAATGAAGTCAGATCATCTTGCCCTCAGGGAAGCGTTTACTAAACCACATCCCCAGAGCTCTACCGGAACCAAACATCTCCTTTTGTGATTGGGAGTTAAGAATAAGTCTTATACACTTAATTGCTGAGAAAGAAAGGACCCTTACCAGCTAAGGGCTAGTAAACCCTCGGTACCAGTATTGGGCAATATCTGGCTATTACTGACTATAATCCTGAAAAGACATCTTGATGACAAGTTAAAATCACCCAACTCTGGAAATGCTACATCACTGAGAGTTTGATGGAATCTAGACACTAATAACCATCAAATATACAAAACTAAACTAACGGATATAAAAACTCAACCCCAAAAACCTCTGACGAAACAGAAGGTAACGGGGTTCCGGAGTGAGAGCTGGGAAATGACAGCATAGAGCAGAGATGTGGGTACATGAATGAGACAGAGACCTTCCTACGTGTGCCCTTTACTCTCCCAACTTTGTCCTGTAAGTACCGATGCCACAGCAGCCCCAGCTGGAGGCCAGTTACCAAGACAGCACGAGAGCCTGGAATTGAACAAGCACAGACCACCAAGCTGGTCACTGACTCACCTCTCCCCTACCCTGACAGAGAACAACAGAACCAAATGCTGGTTTCTTACGAAGAAAGCTAAAAATCTGCTTTTTAAAAATTAAAAATTAATTTAAAAAATCAAATTTCTACATAGAATGATCAAGAGAAGACACGAAACCTATATTAAGAATGGAAAACACAGCTATAGATACATGAGGAATTTTTAAGAGGGTATGAAGAACAGGATAGAAGCAGTATAGTTTTTAAATTTCTCTGAAAAAACAGCAACCAGATAAACTCAAATTGCATGGACATTTCCAACAAAACAAGATAGCAAGATATCTTCATGAACCCTACAATATACGTGAGTGAGGACAAGCCATTAACAGCCATAAAGACCTGTGGTTGGCATCTGTGTAGAAGAAAGCAACAGGACATCTGATGGGCCTGAGCAAATGAGACCCCAGCATGTCCAACAAGTAAGCACTGGAAGGGAGAGTGGGCCAACTTCAGACAGCAGCTGACCAGGGAGGGTTATGCCCTTTCAACAGGGGGTCATTGCACAGTAACTAGATTTGAACAGCCTATTTCACTTTAATCACATATAAACAACAACAAAAAAACTGTAAATGTTCAATTACTTAACAATAAATGCAGTTACATAGGCAACAAGTGAAATCTACATAACGAATTAATAAGAACCGAAACATGAAACTTTCAAAACCCGAGGATACTAAGACAGGTGATGTATTTAAATTTCTAGTTTTAATTTTAAATTAGAAAATGATAAAAATGTCTTATGTGCTTTTATGATTTCTTGGAAAGAAGAGCAAATGGAAGAGTGAACCCTTTGAAAAAAATCTCGTTCCCAATTAGGCATCTATGGTTGATAATTATCTGAATTTCATAAATACCAACATGATATACAATAGTTCCTTAGCATTTGTCATTTTAAGTTTCTATCATTTTATCTTCTATAGCAATTCCAAACTCCAAGATACGTAGCAATCTGCCGCATTCCCAAGGCCTAGATATAAACTGAGGCCAATGAGTAGCTAGATGGAAGCTGTGTGGCTAGTTAGTAGTAGACTCAACTCGTTGCGTAATATCACATCTAAAAGTGACTTTCCTACTCTTAACCTTTCACACTTTATGCCTTTTGAATGAGATATTAAATGTTATAGTAGTAGTCACAAATTCATAGCAAATGTCTTAAGACATATCCCTCTCAACATCAAGGATCTCTTGAACCTGTACTCTGTCCAGACATTCCTTATCCAAATATAGTTCTAGATATAAGGAATTATTTCCTAACTAAAGCTGTACGTCTATTGTACCCTAGGCTTCCATTAACACAATCCTAGAAAATGACTATTATCCTTGGGTAAAGCTCCAAAGTCAAACATACTCAAGTCTGCAGAAATTTCATTTATTGTGTATTTACAAAAGACTCATTGAAAAAAGATTTGATAAACTGCTCAATTCCTTAAAAATAATTTAAATGTCAAACATAATAGATATACGACTTTGGTCTCAAACCCTCCAATGTACTTTACTGTACAATTAATCAACTTCCTCCATTTGCTGAATGTTAAACTCAGATTTATTCACATTGACATGGCAGCTGTTTTAAACAGTTATATCACAAAGGCAAACGCAGGTAAAATAGATATGCATTAAAAAAGCAAAATTCAATAGCATATATACTCATTGGTTCACCTCAACATATTTGTTTCTAGACCAAATTTAATTCTCTATTAGTGCAATTTACTATTTTGAGGTCTATTTTTCTTAAAATTCAGGACTAAAAGAAATTCATTGTAGCTTACAATACCATTTATAGAAGATTAAAGTTAGCCACTTGATCCTTTATAATGAAGGTTGCAAAAACCTTAAAATACATTAGAATGACATAAAAAATAAATGTTACAGTCAATTTTTACTACTTTATTCTAATTTGTTGAGTTTGCTAGATCTCCATATCTTAAACACAAGCCTAAGAGTCCTTATTTACTAGAGAATGTGCAACATTTTTGTCTCCATTCTTAATGGTTTTTCAAATTCACCTATTAGACCATCACAGAACTTGTTTAAACTGTATTTCAATTTTGGCTTGGGCCTGACACTTCCAAAACCCATTTCACTGAACTTTGAAGTAAAATGATTACTACTGCTAAACCTGAGACTCATCCTTCAAAAACTAATTGAATCATTAATTGATCATTAATTGAATCCTACAAGAATGTCTTATTCTTGGCCAGGCACAGTGGCTCATGCCTGTAATCCTAGCACATTGGGAGGCCGAGCTGGGAGGGTCACTTAAGGTCAGGAGTTTGAGACCAGCCTGGGCAAAGTAGTGAGACCTCATCTCTACAAATAATTTTAAAAATTAGCCAGGCATGGTGGCACATGCCTGTGGTTCCAGCTACTCACGAGGCCGAGGTAGGAGGATCACTTGAGCCTAGGAGGTTGAAGCTGCAGTGAGGCATGACCATGCCAGAGGACTCCAGCCTGGGCAACAGAGGGAGACCCTGTCTCAAACAAAAAACTAGAATGCCTTATTTACCTAGTTATAAAAATAGAATTGTATTTCTATTGTTTCTATATGCTTTTCTTATGTTTTCAAACATCCTTTGTTGAATCTGAAATTATTTCATATTGTGAAGTAATTCTACTTGATAAGGTACCCTTAAGATTAATTGTGAGAGATTAACAAGAAATTAAGATGCTAAATTTGTGAGTTTTTTTTAAAAACAAAGCCCCTACTCTATTACCTACTCTCAGAAGAAAGAGGAAGTTGAAAGGAAATGTTTTATTACAGAGAGATGCTGGGTGCAGTGGCTCATGCCCATAATCCCAACACTTTGGGAGGCCAAGGCTGGAGGACTGCTTGACCCCAGCAGTTTAAGACCAGCCTGGGCAATAGAGAGACCTCATCTCTACAAAAATTTGTAAAAATAAGCTGGGCGTGGTAGCATGTGCATGTGGTCCCAATTACTTGGGAGGCTGAGACAGGAAGACCACTTGAGCCTGGGAGGTCGAGGCTGTAGTGAGCTGTGATCGCACCACTGCACTCCAGCCTGGGCAACAGAGTGAGACCCTCCTATCTCTTCCCCCACCCTGCCACCCCCACACAAAAAGAGATAGAAAAGTGACTGTACTTGGCCAGGCACGGTGGCTCAGGTCTGTAATCCCAGCACTTTGGGAGGCTGAGGCAGGCGGATCACAAGGTCAGGAGATCAAGACCATCCTGGCTAACATGGTGAAACCCTGTCTTTACTAAAAATATAAAAAATTAGCCAGGCATGGTGGCAGGCGCCTGTAGTCCCAGCTACTCGGGAGGCTGAGGCAGAAGAATGGTGTGAACCTGGGAGGCGGAGCTTGCAGTGAACCGAGATCGCGCCACTGCACACCGGCCTGGGTGACAGAGCGAGACTCCATCTCAAAAATAAATAAATAAAATAAATTAAATTAAATTAAATAAAGAAAAGTGACTGTACTCAAGTATAGCCTGAGTATAGTACAAAACCACTTATGTGTTTTCACAAAATCATTCTGTTAACTCCTTAAAAGGCCATAGGCTTCCAAGAGATTTAAATAGGCTCACGTACTATGTTTACTATGTAAGGAAAGTAAAATACTTATAATACTATACTTTAAAATGGTTTTCTATAACAAAGATTTTTAGTTATTTCACTCTTCATTAGTAATAAATCTCAACATGAATATCTTATTTCCTGAGCTTTCTGGTTAACTAAAATTTTACTATAGCATATTAGTAATAGTGTCTGGCAATTATGTTTATTAGAGCATGATATCAAAACTTGTTTTTGGTAAAGATCTAGTACCCAGAATACATAAACAACTCTTACAAAGTCAACAATAAAAAGACAACCCAGTTTAAAAATGGGCAATGGATCTGATCAGACATTTCTCCAAAGAAGATATATAAATGGCAAATAAGCACATGAAAGATGCATGTCATTAGGTAAATGAAAATCAAAACCATAATGAAATTCCACTTCACAGCTGCTAGGATGGCCATAATCAAGAAGATGGGTCATTAGTGTAGTGCCAGAACATTAAGAAGAAACCATTAATGCAACAAAATCCAACTGCAGAGTAATTTGGTAAAAGTTGTTTTGAAGATTGCCTATCTTTCACTAAGCTTACCAATTTTCAAATCATCAGCCAGACTTTCTTTTGTAAGATTCAACAGTTCTTTTCCATCAATGTTATTCATCTTGAAAATACCAACAAGATCTTTTAAATCTTGTGCACAAAGCCATGTTGAGACATCCTCCTCTGACCAATCTTCGGTAAATTGCTTCAGCTGATGTTCTGTGCGCCTTGCTTAAAATAAACAAACAAGTAAGTGAGATAACAAAAAAGTATTTCCTTTATAAACATTCTCACTTTGAATTAAAAGTAAATGAAATTTCCTTAAATCTGTGTTTTATAGCTAGGTACAGTGGCTCATGCCTATAATCCTAGCTTCTCAAGTGGCTGAGGCAGGAGGATCACTTGAAGTCAGGAGTTCAAGACCGGCCTAAGTAACATAGGGAGACCAGTCTCAAAAAAAAAAAAAAAATTGTTTTACCACTTTAACTTGCTTTTGGATCATTTTCTTTTTCACATCAGGAAAACAATTTTTTATTATATAAAATTCATACCAGCAAAGGTATTCTATTTGCTCCATCATCTGCATATCAGCACCACTATTTAGATAATTCTGACAGTGATAAAAATAAAACTCCTAAATTATGTGCCAATGTCGCTTGATGCCAAAATAAAACCAACAAAATACAACGATAATTTCGATTTTGTCCTGAGGTTATATTTACCTGAAAAATTAGTATGGAGTATAAACAAATAACTTAGAAACCATGGGAGGAGTGGGACACATGAATGTGCACTGAAAGCATTTACCAACAGCTTTAACACAGCCCAGCCACTTCAACACTGGCTTCTGTAAAATTATTATTATTATTTTAGAGATGAGTTCTCACTCCCTTGCCCAGGCTGAAGTACAGTGGCGTGTTCTCAGCTCACTGCAGCCTCATGACCTCCTGGGCTCAGGTGATCCTTCCCACCTCAGCATCCCAAGTAGCTGGGGCCACAAGTGCACACCCCCATGTGTGGCTAATTTTTGTCTTTTTTGTAGAGATGGGGTTTCACCATGTTGCCCAAGCTAATCTCAGACTCCTGGGCTCACGCAATCCATCCACCTCGGCCTCCCAAAGTGCTGGGATTATAAGTGTGAGCCACCATGCCAGGCCAAACTATTTTTAAATGACATTAAATTTGGATGTATACTTTATATTGATAAAAGCAATGTGAATAACCTGTCAAATGATTTACTAACTTTTTTTTTTTTTTTTGAGATGGAGTTTCACTCTTGTCGCCCAGGCTGGAGTGCAATGGCACGATCTCAGGTCACTGTAACCTCCGCCTCCCAGGTTCAAGCGATTCTCCTGCCTCAGCCTCCCGAGTAGCGGGGATTATAAGCATGCACCATCATGCTGAGCTACTTTTTTGTATTTTTAGTAGAGACAGGGTTTCACCATGTTGGCCAGGCTGGTCTCGAACTTCTGACCTCAAGTGATACACCCACCTTGGCCTCCCAAAGTGCTGGGATTACAGGTGTGAGCCGCGGTGCCCAGCCCGATTTACTAACTTTCTGACCCTAATGGTGAGTGGGGTTGAAATGAGTGAAAAATGATGTCCTTACTAACCTTGGCAAAGTGTTTCCAGGTCAAATTGCCAGATGTTCACTGTTTTGTCCATTGAACCAGTAGCAAGTAAAAGGGTATTAGGTGCAAAAGCACAAGTTGTGACATACCTAGTTAATAAAAACAACTATTATGTATCTTCTGACTAATTTTTAAATTATATTAATACAAGGTGAGGTTAAGTTCAGACCTGGTGTGCTGAGTCAATGTGTGAAGTATATTCTCAGTATTCTGAAAAACAATAAAAACAGCTTTAAATTTACTCAAGTAAGAGTAAAGTTACTGATGAAGACTCATTTGACATAAATGGGTTGTATACTAAGTGGATATATTAATATTTATTAGTAACTAACATAAGTTGAAACTTTACTCAATGAATAGCAGAAACAGCATCTGTAACAGCATTCTCAGGTACTTACTTCACTTTTTGTCAATTATCGGCATTATTGTCTGCTAGCCACCTCCTTAGAAATTTTTAGTACAGTAGACCCTTGGCATTTGCTCATCTGTTTGAACCTACTAATAGTAACCTAAACATCTATTACCTGAAATAATTCATATTTTTGACTATGGCATTTGACTTGTATACATTGCAGGACCAGTGAGTAGAAATTAGTCCCTTGGCCGGGTGCAGTGGCTCACACCTATAATCCCAGCATGTCGGGAGGCCGAGGCAGGTGGATCACTTGAGCTCAGGAGTTTGAGACCAGCCTGGCCAACACGGTGAAACCCCATCCCTATTAAAAATATAAAATATTAGCTGGCATGGTGGCACGTGCCTGTAGTCCCAGCTACTTGGGAGGCTAAGGCAGGAGAATTGCTTGAACCCGGGAGGCAGAGGTTGCAGTGAGCCAAGATCGCACCACTGCACTACGGCCTGGGCAAAGGAGCAAGAGTCTGTCTCAAAAAAACAAATAAATAAATTAGTCCCTTAGAGTACACTAAGGTGTCCATCTAACATTTTAGGTGTATTTAAGTGGGACTCATACATATTTTACAGAGACAATTTAGTGTTATAATTGTTTTTGAGAATGTAAAATCTCATGAAACGTTCATGAGAAATATTAAAGATTTACCTCACCTAGCTTGAGTATTCTTTCCCATTTCCTGCCAGAACACTCAGTGACTCGAACTTCTGTGTGGAAGACTAGCTTACATCACTTGCTTAACTCGCTACCCTTTGATTACTTATATCTCCATTTATTTGCTGGCATAGCTACAGCATTAGGAGGCTCCACTCAACATTTTCTTCTTTTGGACAATATTTTTTTCAACTACTTTATTTTTGAGACAGGGTCTCACTCTGTTGCCCAGGCTGGAGTGCAGTGGCACAATCTCGGCTCACTGCAACCTCCACCTCCGGGGTTCAAGCCATCCTCTTGCCTCAGACTCCCAAGTAGCTGGGACTACAGGGACGCGCCACCACGGTCAGCTAAGTTTTTGTATTTTTGGTAGAGATGAGGTTTCACCATGTTGGCCAGGCTGGTCTTAAACTCCTGGACTCAAGCCATCTGCCTGCTTCAGCCTTCTGACATGCTGGGATTACAGGTGTGAGCCACTGCACCCGGCCACAACTTGGTCTTTACCCACACATGGATCAGTAAAAAACTCCCATTTTCCAAGTCCATGATAACCTATCCTTTCTTATGCCTCTCCCTAAATCCAGCCAGGACTCTAAGAATGGTAGGTCACTTTCAACCATATTCACCAAAAACCCTAGGGTAAACATTCATCCTTTGCTATTATGGAAGCCTGGTGTAAAAGTTTAATAATTGATTGTATGTGATGTTTTGAACACTGGTGCTCTTTAAATATGTATAGTTTATGATCACATTTAAAATCTATCCATCTTAAAATCATTACTGAAATATTTAAGGGCTTGTTGCAGAACCAATATCTTACTTGCGTAACTATTTTAGCATTTGTGAAAATATTTATGTTCTTAGTCATACTAAACAGAAAAAATATATACTTTTTCTACCAGGCCTAACTTGAAGTTCAGTAGTCTAATAAACATAACTTTCATAGATCACCACAAGATTTTTAAATACTTACAGTATCATATACTATGACAGACTTATCCACTGACCTTAAAAGAAAATAAATTATAGGTGAAAAGTTCTATAAAAACAAAGTACAGCATTTATGTAATTAGTATTTTTAAGTAATTTTAGTAACTTTTCTAGAAAAGACAGATATTAACATACATTTAGAATGCAATCCTTTTGTTCATATGCATGAAAACTTTAATTCAAAAAACTACACGTGGCCAGGCGCAGCGGCTCACGCCTGTAATCCCAGCACTTTGGGAGGTTGATTCGAGCGGATCATGAGGTCAGGAGTTTGAGACCAGCCTGGCCAACATGGTGAAACCCATGTCTACTAAAAATACAGAAAAAAATTATCCGGGCATGGTGGCGTGCACCTGTAATCCCATCTCCTTGGTAAGCTGAGGCAAGAGGATGGCCTGAACCTGGGAGGTGGAGGTTACAATGAGCCAAGATCATGCCACTGTACTCCAGCCTGGGTGGCAAAGTGAGACTCTATCTCAAAAAAAACAACATGCCATATATAAAATTTAGAAAATTATAAGCTTTATTAAAACAATAGTATATACTATTTACGCTACATGACCATGAACAGAACAAGCATCTCTGATATATAAATAAAACACGACTCTATAACAAGTTAGTAACTGAATGGGAAAAACCACAAGGAAAAGCTATTATTTGCTACTTGGTTTTGTTTCAGATAGCACTATTCTTTACCATTGATAAGGCGTGCCTTAAATGCTAATCAATGTATATATGTTTTGATTATGATCCATTTTTGAAAATTATAATTCTAAACTTGATGTTGACTACATGATTCCTTGTAATGGTATAAAAATTAAAAGCAGACATCTGGGGTTATGCTAGCAAAGAAAAAGAACATCACACACACAAAAATACAACATTATAACAAAATGAGTAATTTAAAACAATGGATAAATATGCCTCTATCTGGCATTTCTACCCCCCTTGGAAACAGGCTTTTATGCCAGAACAATATACACTACAAGGTGAAAAAACATCTGCAATACAAGTGGTACCACACTCTGCAGAACATTAATATTTGTACTTATTAAGGGAGCTGATCACAGTCTGACCACAGGATTCACACCTATTAGCTTAAAATTCCTTGTTCAGTAGACCCTCCAATGTTGATGATGGATACTGACTACAGAATCTTTGTCATAAGTTCAAAATAGAAATTATACTTTAAAAGTTCAAAGATATAAAATAAAACACAAGAACTTGGGAAGCATATACTGTCAGCCCTCCATATCCACAGGTTTCCTATCTGTGAATTCAACCATGAATCAAAATATTCAAGAAAAACATAATAAATTGAAATAGGAAAAAAATAACAAAAAATAATACAAATAAAAATACTGCAAAACTATTTACATAGCCCTTACATTGTATTAGGTATTATAAGTAATCTAGAGATGATTTAAAGTATATGGATAATGTGTGTAGGTTACATGCAAATATCACACCATTTTATATAAGGGACTTGAGCATCCACAGGTTTTGGTATCCAAGGTAGCAGTCCTGGACCCAATCCCCTGCAGATACCAACGGATAACTGTAATGCATTCCAGATGCAAAAAGAATTATAGCTTTCAATGTTAAACTGCATCCAAAATACAGTGAGAAATAGTATTGACAGCTAACACTACGTGAGTATGTATGTGATGGACATAATTTACAGACACTTTTATTTAATCCTAAGTTCTTCAAGGTACAAGTTCTTATTTGTGAAATATCTGAAATTCTTAGGCCAAATTCTGCTATTTTGAGCATCCTTAAAACACACACACAACTAAAGAGTGATGTCAGCAAGATGGCAGAGTATAACTTCCCATGCTTGTCCCCTCACAGGGACATCAATTTGAAAAAGTATCCACACACACACAAAAATACTTTCATAACAGCTAAGAAAACCAGGTCTCCAGCTATAGCTACATGGCTGGGGGTCAGGAGCATGTTAAATATTACTTTTCAAGATTATATGATGAGATGAAAGGAAAACTGGTCAACTGAAACTCATATATATATATATATATATATATATATATATATATATATATATATATATTTTTTTTTTTTTTTTTTTTTTTTTTTTTTTTTAAATAAATGAACTGGTCATTGGGTGAACTGGCTTTTGGTTAATTGACCTAGAGCCCAGTTCTGCTTAAGCCTGACTTTTCTAAAGGGATAATTAGCCAAAATTTCATCTGGAGCTGGCTAGAGCCCAGCCATGCTAAGCTTACAAAGAAAATGGTTCTCTCATCTGGCCCCCATTACACTGTCTCAAATAAAATCCTCATTGGTACCACAAATCAAAAACAAAACCCCAAAATTAAAAAGAAATCCCACTTTCCTAGACTACCACCAGAGACAATTCAAACCAACTCATCACTTAATAAGCAGGATTATCCTTAGTGATCTCTATGAGCATTGGATTGGGAAGACAGAAATCAGTGCGACAGGCAAGAGTCCACATATGGGAACGGCAAGCAGTAAGGCTGAAAACACAGCCCCGAACAAAAATACAAAGCACCCTGAGTGTCTGCCCAAGGAATCTGGACGATTTCACAGGCCACAGCTAGCCATGAGGGCAGTGGAATAAGTTCACTTGCTGATGAGGTATAAAAAGGAATTTGAGAAGCGCAAGGCCAAACATGAATAAACCAGTAGGAGACCACTGAATCCATGGAAAAAAAAACAAAAAACGAAAATTATAAACACATGAACAGACCTGCAGGCTCTGGAAGAAAGGATTTTAAACTCACTTCCTATTGCCTTTAGTTTAACTAATGATGATTCCAAGGAAGATGCAATAGGATTTGATAATTCATTAGATTTTGAGGAAGGTAAATTAGGGTTAGGGAAAAATAACAGAAGTTTTCAATATTTTGAGATTTGAGTTTGAGAGATCAGGAGAATAAAAGCCAACTTACATAGACACAAAATAGTTTGAAACTACTGAAGCAATAAAAACCCTCAAAATATTCCCTAAATTGAAGCCAAATCAACAACCACTAAACAAAAAATCCAACTGTTTGGTGTCCCTGGTTATGTATTTTCTTCCTGCTATAGTTCCTCCCCCAAATTTTCAGTACATACATTCTGCCACAATCTGCCCTGTCATCTTTCCCCCAGTTTCCTCATGAGGCAGGTATTCAACCTTTTGATACTCCATTCCTACAGTTTTGTGGTGCTCTAAAACCTCAGCTCTGCTCACTCAAGAATACAAGAGAAACCCGTCAATTATATCTAGACAGCTACTGGACAACATCAACAACACATAGCTATGTGCTTGACATGGACGTGGTGTAATCACAGACTCCTCGAGATCCGTGACATCGCAGTGACCCATCTCAAAACTAACTTTGTACAATGGCCAAAAAACTAATCAAATACAATCACTAGCAATTATTTCCTGAGCCCAAGTATGTTGCTAACATTTAAAGATTTTACACTTCAGTATTTTAATTTTAAATGTATTTATGTTTCTTCTCATTTAGAAAGGATTTGCAGTCTCTTACAAAGATAGAGCAAAAACAAAAGTTATGTGAAGAACCTGAAGGGGAAGAGAACGTAAGAATGAGGTGAGGGGAGAGAATGAAGGTGAAGATTAATATAGATTAATATCAAAAACACGTGTCATAGGTCCTGTCCACTTTGCCAAAGAAAGGTTGCAAGTTTGATTCTGAGCTTCTTCAGTAGCAATGCAAAAAGGAAATATGACCAGTTATGCAATGTAAAATAGAAACACAAACCCAATGCTTGGGGAAAAAGGACATGAAGCCCTCAGACTGAGACCTGACAGGACCACTTTCCCCAAGGCCTTTAGAGGAGGATGCTATGAAACATAAACCGAGTCCTCAACAACTCTTCCTGAATGAAAATAAGTTTCAAAGAGCTGTTCTGTAATGCTGCTTACTGTAAGCTAATGGCTAATAGCTCAATTCAGAAAAATGGGGTAAAATACGTTATATAATTGGTGTTCTGGATTACATAAATTATATCTATTATTTTATGTACTATTTAATATATATGTATTGAGCAGTGATGTCCCAAACATAATAAATGCTTTATCTGCATTTTCTTAATCTTCATAACAATGTTATGAGGAAAGTGCTATTACATTCTCCATTTTATAGTCAGAACATGAAGCTGGGAGAAGACACGGAACCAGAACTTGTTCAAGGTCCTGCAGCTAGTTAAGTGGCAAGGCTGGGGTTAAAACCCAGTTCTGTGTAATTCTAAAACCCATGTTTTTTAATATTATGCTTGCTAAAATATCTTCCCCCAATGTATCAAAATTGATTCAACACAGGCACATACTCTGATGATTTCAGCCTAAAAACTTGAAAAGTGATGGTGTGGCTATTCAAATTTCACTAAAGCTCTCAGAAGACATCTACTTTCAAGCAATCTAGCATCTGATAACCCTCCGTGATACACAGATGGCAACGTGTCCTTTTCAGTTACTAAATGAACTTACTTGTTCAACAGGACTGTTAGCAATATTGTAGAGAAAAAACATGATTTGCATTTTGGGAAAGATAACGTTAAGCCTTCTTCAGCTAGTCATTGCTGAGCAAGAGGGGGCTGTTCATGAAAGCACTCCTAACTCGTGACAATAAACTCTATCATTTACTTACAAAATAGATAAAATATAAACAACTGTCTTGTTGGGGAGAGGAGAAACCTATTTCCCACCCCTTCTGGGGTAAGATTCTTGGCCTCTTTCCTCCCTCTCATGCCTAGCGGAAAATAAATGACAAATAACTGGAGAGTGTGGGGCAAGCGCTGGGCCATGGAGCTGAGCCCCTTCTGGATTTTCTCTTTTTTCTGATCTGCACTGGCAGGGGAAGACTGCAGTGGTCCATGCTGCCCAAGAGCAGGTGGGCAAGTGGGTTGCCGATCAAAAGTCATGTTACCCAGTCCCGTATTGCCCTCTCATTGGTTTTCAACTCAAGAAAAGGAAAAGGGCCAGGCGCAGTGGTTCACATTTCTAATCACAGCACTTTGGGAGGCTGAGGTAGGCGGATCACCTGAGGTCAGGAGTTCGAGACCAGCCTGGCCAACATGGTGAAACCCTGTCTCTACTAAAAATACAAAAATTAGCCAGGCATGGTCGCGGGCACCTGTAATCCCAGCTACTTGGGAGGCTGACGCAGGAGAAGCACTTGAACCTGGAAGGCAGAGGTTGCAGTGAGCTGAGATCGCGCCATTGCAGTCCAGACTGGGTAACAAGAGCGAAACTCCATCTCAAAAAAAAAAAAAAATAAAACAACAACAACAACAACAACAAAAAAAAACAACTCCTAACTGGCTGGGCCTGGTTGCACACACCTATAGTTCCAGCTACTTGAGAGGCTGAAGTGGGATGACTGTTTGAGCCCAGGAAGTCAAGGCTCCAGTGAGCCACTCCAGCCTGGGTAATGGAGTGAGGCCTTATCTCTAAAGCAAGCACACACACCACACACACACACACACACACACACTCACTCTCTCTCTTTTCTTCCTGTCTCTCACACACAACTGTGGGCATTTTAAAAACTCATTTCCAAGGAATCCTAAACTCTGAGACCTTCTGGAAACAGGCAGACTTTATTTGAATTACAAAGACTGACCCGGCTAGGTGTGGTGACTCATGCCTGTAATCCCAACACTTTGGGAGGCCAAGGTGGGAGGATCACTTGAGCCCAGGAATGAGATCCCTGACTCTACAAAAAATACAAAACTTAGCCAAGCATGGTGGCCTGCAAGTGTAGTCCCAGCTACTCAGGAGACTGAGGTGGGAGGATCACTTGAGGCCAGGAGGTCAGGGCTGCAGTAAGCCATGATAGTGCCATCACACTCCAGCCTGGGTGACAGAGGAGACCCTGTCCCAAAAAAAAGACTGACTCTTCCTGTTTTAACAGCGGCTGATATATATAATGTTTGTTGTATCTGGCTAGATCAAGAGAAGTAGGGTGGAACAAAAGACAAATTCTGCTAAGGGGCTGGAGCAAAGTTATTAGGGGACAGAAGTGGAGAAAGACCAAGGGAAAAACCTCTTGCGTATTTTGCTACAGGACCTGTAACGCCATCACAGCTCTGAGGGCTGGTGGAATATGTGAAGCAGATGTGAAAATCCAGCTGTCTTCTGCTATGCCAGACATTAAAAAGATCTTCAAAAATGTAGAACAATGCCACTCTTTTCACTATTTATTTTTTCCTCAAAAAGCTAATATGCAATAATCTATTGCTTTTAAATGAATTTAAAATATTTCAGAATATTCTCGATTGTATTTTCTAGTATTATAAATAGTGATAGATGTAACCCATATAAGCAAAAGCTCTTTAGGGTAATAACTTTTAAGAGTGTCAAGGAACCTTACTTTTTTTTTGAGACAGAGTCTTGCTCTGTCGCCCAGGCTGGAGTGTGGTGGCACGATCTGGACTCACCGCAAGCACCGCCTCCCGGGTTCACGCCACTCTCCTGCCTCAGCCTCCCGAGTAGCTGGGACTACAGGCACCCGCCACAACGCCCGGCTAATTTTTTGTATTTTTAGTACAGATGGGGTTTCACCATGTTAGCCAGGATGGTCTTGATCTCCTGACCTCATGATCCGCCCGCCTCGGCCTCCCAAAGTGCTGGGATTACAGGCGTGAGCCACCGCGCCTGGCCAAGGAATCTTACTTTTAAGAATGTGAAGGAATCTTAAGACCAAAAAGTATAAGAACCACTGACCTAAATCATGATTCAATTCTTCACTTCTCTATTCTGACCTATAACCGCATTCTGTTGTCCATTCACTTTTCATCTCTAGCCACTTATATTCATCTCTAGACACTAGTCTCCTATAGCTAGGCTTTGCATGTTAGAATTGCTTTAGAAGTTTCAGAAGTTCTCCTAAATTTAATATATAAGGTTTGAACAAGTTCTAACACCATCCTAGGTTCTCAGGGGTTTTTTTGTTGTTTTTTGTTTTGAGTCAGGGTTTCACTCTGTTGCCTAGGCTGGAGTTTAGTGGCACGATTGTGGCTCACTGCAGCCTCCACTGCCTAGGCTCAAGCGATCCTCCCACCTCAGCCTCCTGAGGAGCTAGGACCACAGGTGCAAGCCACCATGCTTGGGTAACTTTTTATTATTTGTAGAGACCAGGTCTTCCTATGTTGCCCAGGCTGGTCTCAAACTCCTGGGCGCAAGTGATCCTCCTGCCTCAGCCTCCCAAAGTGGTGGGATTACAGGCATGAGCCACCATGCCCGGTCCATCCTAGGTTCTCTGTTATCTCTACAATCTGTTTTTCTGGCCTCATTTCTCCTTATTTATTTGAATGTTTATTATACATTTTGATCTACTCAAGAATTTCCTGCCTCCTGGAATGCTCTTTCTGTTCCTCAATCTTCCCATATCTGCATAGAAATTCTATACTGCCTTTTCCAAGGCCACCCCTATCTATGCCATACACACCTTCATTAGTACACCTCTTTTTTCTTTCTTTTTTTTTTTTTAAAGAGACAAGTTCTGACTTTGTTGCCCAGGCTGGAGTGCAGTGGCATGATCATAGGTTGCTGCAGCCTCAAACTCCTGGGCTCAGGGGATTCTCCTGCCTCAGCCTCCCAAGTAGCTGAGACTACAGGCACACACCCCTATGCCCAGCTAATTTCTTTAATTTTTTTTTGTAGGGACTGGGTCTCACTGTGTTGTCCAGGCTGGTCTCAAACTCCTGGCCTCAAGTGATCCTTCTGCTTTGACCTCTCAAAGTGTTGGAATAACAGGCATGAGCTCCACACCCAGCCCTTAGTACACAATACTGACCTACAACCACATTCTGCTGTCCATTCACTTTTCATCTCTAGCCACTTATATTCATATACAGCCTCGTTTTATCCTACTCACTTTTTTTAGTCTCCCTCTTTCCCATACGTATTCATTCTATCTTATCATTGACTTTTAGTCACAAATAGAATCTATCATTAACTAATTGACCTATTTTTATCTACTAAGTATGATTTAAATATGCCTGTCAATTCTTCTAAAAACTAAATGTTTATTAAGTTTATTAATTTACATTTCTCATTCATTTGCCTGTATATTTGTCCAAATAAACTAGAAATATTCAGAAAAATATTTGAATGTGACCTTGAGCAACACCATATACCCAAAAGCACTTGATAATGTAAACTTCCATTTATCCAGAATGATTGGGAAAGACACATTTCCATAAATACAATGTTAACTAAGACACACATATATACAAACTGGCAAAGAATTATACCGCTATAAAATGAACTTAACACAATATTGAGTATCACTTAACACTTCCTCCATGACTCAGAGGATAAGTACATGTCAGGGTCTTGCAGTGTTATTAGTTCATCACTATGAACATCAACTACTAAATAGAAAAGAGGGGATTTAAAATGTCTTCAAGAGCACAAACACTGTCTTATACTTCCTTTTCTATGCCCTATTCCAACTGGCAGAGAGCTGGGCACATAATCATTCTGTCAGCTAACCTGTCCCCTAACACAGCAGACAGAGTTCAACTTTATTTGTTTAAACTTTCCAATGATTTAAATTCTAGGTCAAAAGACAATTACTATAAATACTTTTTGATGATGAATAATCTTCATCTTTAGAGATCAAACAGCCACATCTACAATAATGACAACAACATAACTAGTAATTTGGCTGTTTGGCAAGAATTGGAGCATATGGAAAAAAAGAACCATCAGCCTTAGTCCAGACATTCTAAATGGAGGTTAGGAGCCTAAATATCTTAGCTGGAATGAAAGTTGCTATGAAGAGCCATAAATGTGGGTCAGAATGCTATGACCTGTGAGATCAGACAGGAAAGTTTTAGAAAATCTAATGGCAAGGAGAAAATATACAAAAGTATTCAAAAGGAAAAGAGTATAAAGTAATTGAATCATGAAACGATGTTCCAGCCCATTGCCTAACAGAATAAAGCTTTGAAAAATAAAAGCCAAGGTTGACAACTTCAACACAGAACTGGAAATCATAAAAAGTGACACCACTGAAAAAAATTGCCAAATAGGAATTCTAGGACCAAAAAATAAAATAAGCAAAATTAAGAATTCAATGGACCAGTTTAATATATTAGCTGAAGAAAGGAAAGGGAAAACCATCCAGAATGAAGCATAGGAAACAGGAAAAAACAAACAAACAAACAAAACAGAAGCATAAATACAAAAGAGAGAATAAAGTTTACAGTGAGGTGTAATGTGCCTTTAATTGGAATCCCAGAATTAGAGGACAGAAAGAAAGGAACAGAGGCAATACTTGAAGAGATAATAAATAAGAATTTTCCAAAAGTGGTAAAATATCTTTCCACAGATTTTTTTTTTTTTTTTTTTTTTTGAGATGGAGTCTTGCTCTGTCACCCAGGCTGGAGTGCAGTGGTGTGATCTCAGCTCACTGCAACCTCCACCTCTTGGGTTCAAGCAACTCTCCTGCCTCAGCCTCCTGAGTAGCTGGAATTACAGGTGCCCACCATCATGCCTGGCTAATTTTTGTATTTTTAGTAGAGATGAGGTTTCACCATGTTAGCCAGGCTGGTCTTGAACTCCTGAGCTCAAGTGATAGGCCTGCCTCTGCCTCCCAAAGTGCTGGGATTACAGGCATGAACCACCACGCCCTGCCCAATATCATTCCAAGGATTTAAGAAGTTCAATGAATTCCAAGCAAACTAAATAGGAAACTCATATGTAGATACAAAGTGGATATGCAAAAACCTCAAAACAGAAAATTTCATGAGCAGCCAGAGAAAAACACATGAATTACATCCAAAGGAACAACAGTTAGAATGAAACTAACTTTTCTATAGCAATACACAACAATAATATACCCTAAAATTTGTTTGTTCCAACAAAGCAAGGTTGGTTTAACATTTAAAAATCTTGTAATTCACTCCACTAACAGAGTAACAGAGAAAAATTGTATCATCTCAAAGATGTAGGAAAAATCATCTGATGAAATACAATACCCTTGCATGATTAAAAAAATAACAACAAAACTCTTACAAACTAAAAGGAATAGAAGAATAAAGCTTATCTCCCCAAAACCTACAATGATCATATTGAATAATGAAAGCTTTCCCTCTGCAGTGAGGAATCAGACAAGGCCTGTTATTGCCACTTTTATTATCCTGGTAGTATCAACAGTTCAGTAAGGCACAGAAGATACCAAAGATATAAGGATTAGAAAGGAAGGAACAAAACCATCATTATCCACAAATGATCTGATTTCATATACATATAATCCAAAATAAGAAATTTCCTAGGTAAGTCCAATTTATTTCCATTATATATTTCCTTATATTGGCCACATCTTTTATATACTAACAAGTGCCTAGAAAGAAGGCTAATAAAAGATGAGAACTTCTACACAGAAGACAATTATTGAAATTCAAAGATAAATAAATGAAGAAATATGCAACATTCTCAGATTACAAGACCAATATCATAAAGATGTCAATTCTCCCCAAATTCATCAGACTCTATATAATCCTAATTAAAACCCAAACAGGTTTGTGTGTGTGGAGACAGGAATTGGGGCAATTTAACAAGTTGATTCTAAAATTTACATGAAAATGTCAATAGCTAGGAATAGACAAAATATAAAGCCTGGGAGAGACAGAATGATATTAGAGCAAGGACAGAAACAGAACAAAATAGCAGAAACAGTAGTTAAGAAACAGACTCACAAATATATTGTCAGTGATTTCTGACAAGGGAGTACAACAAAATGGAGGAGAAAAGTGGTCTTTTCAATACGTAGTACTAGGACAACTGGATATTCACGTAGAAAGGAATAAAATGGGATTCCTATTGCACATCATACACATTAAGTGTGAAAGGCAAAACAATGAAGGTCTTAGAATATAGGAAAATATCTTCATGACCTCAGAACATAAAGAAGCTGACTACACTAAAATTATAAACTGTGAAAAGGCAAATCTAGAGGCTGGGAAAATATATTTGCAACTAGCAACAAATGGCTCAAATATAAAAATACACACACACACACATACATATATAACAACAAATCAGTAAGAAAAAGATAACCTAGAGAAAAAAATGGGCCGGAGGCATGAACAGGCACTTCATACAAGAGAAAATACATATGGCTAATAAACTTCTGAAAAGGTTCCAACCACTTTGTTCTGGGGAAACGCAAATTAAAACCATAGTAAGGCAACACTACACACTCATCAGAACGGCTAAAATTTTAAACACTCACAATACCAAGTACAGGCTAGGATACAAAACAACACTGCTATAGAAGTATTAATTGTTCAGCCACTTGGAAACTGTTGTTATCTGCCAAAGTTGAAAATGCACGTATTCTATGACTCAGCAAGGCCATTCCTATGTACTTATCTTACAGAAATGCATGAACATGTACACCAGGACATACAATATATTCATAGAATTATTATTGTAATGCCCTCAAACCAGAAACAATCATATAACCATTAACATTAAAATGAACTATTATATATATTATAATGTATCCATGCCATGGAATATTACACAGCAATGAAAATCAAAGGGCCACAGCTCCAGGCAATAATATGAATTAATGTCACAAGTGTAATGTTGGGTACAGGAAGCCTGACAAAATAATTCATATTGCATAATTTGTTTTAGGTCAGTTTTAAAGAAAACAGCAGTAGTGCATATGATCTAACATGTTGTCACCAAAAAGGGGCACTTGCAAGGGGAGGGCTTCTGGGGCAGAACCAGCAATGTTCTATTTCTTGACCTTTGTGGTGGCTCATCAAGCTATTCTTTGAGGTTTCATGTACTTTTCCGTGTGTCTGTTTGATTTCATATAAAAATGGTTTAGGAAAATTAAACCAACTAGCTTACCCTGAGACTAGCATCTGCCCATCATGGGAAAAAGCACAAGCCAGAACAGGAGCACAGTGCCCACTCAGTGTACTTTTATATTTTAATTCAAAACCTGCAAATAACAAGGTAACAGAGATTAGAAAGCTGACCATGCTTAGAATTGATTTTTAAGTCAACACCATTTCACTTATTTATTTAACAAATAATCTTTGAGTGCCTAAAGGACACAAAAATTAAAAATCCTCATGCAGCTCAGATATCTATAAGGAAATAATTGGGATGCAGTGTGATTAACTGGTTTCTGTTGACTAAAGAATAAAGTCAAATTTTTAAAGAATTGAAGTAGCTTTACTCAGAAGTCTTACTGAGGACTACAGACTAAGGCCTATGGCCTGGGAGCTACAGGGCAATCTGTAAGACCACTCCCAAGCAGCGTTTCAGCCCGCTGCGTACATACAGGTGGTAGAGGTTTAGTATGTGCAAAATCACGTCAAACAGAAGTTACATTAAAGCAGAATCACCTCAAGGTCTGGGTTTAAGAGTACATCTGGTTATAGATTTCTAAAGTGCATTCGGTTACGGATTGCAGAAACATGATCACTAACCCCACTGGACGTTATCTCAGGTAAGAAAAGGCAAGGCTGGGCTCATTTATCTTTTAAGGAATGTAGTGACTCAGGGAAGAGACATGGGGGACTCTGTGCTCTCCTCTGTTTTGTCTTCAAGGCATTCCTCCAGAGAGCTGCACATTGTCATAGAGTCGGGGGATTTGTCAAATTATGCTGGCAAGCAGAAAGGAGCAAACATGGCTTCTTGTGTTTGTTACCCTGTCTCACATTTCAAAAGCTCAGTAATGGATTTTAAAAAGCAGTTCAACAAAGGCTAGATGGGGTAATTTCATAACTACCAAAATTTTTAACTTTTAAACTATACCACAATTTTAGTGTCTGATAAAAACAAAATACGCCAATTGCCCAAAAGACTTAAAAAAATGCTTACAATTTTTTAAATCTGGCACTTAAAAATATTTTCTCATCCTGTAAAAAAATACTTTCTCATCCTGTAAATAATCAATGGTAATTTACACATCTTGTAATTCCAATATTATCTTTATAAAATATAACACTCCTACAAAGTATAAAAAGGTATAAAATCCTTTTCATGCTTTTAGAATTACTAAATATAAACATCACAACTACTTTAAAAGTATACTGAGGGAATTCAATATATTTTGGTGACAACCTATAAAAATAAAAAGAAATTGGCAGGGGTTGGGAAAGAAGGAAAAGGAAATACACGAGGGAAATTTATAACTACATCAGACACAATAAAACCTTTTTTGAAGTGTTAAATGTCTTTTAGTGAGGATAACAAGCATTTAACTAAAGAAAAAGGTCATCAGAGTAAGTAAAAGTTTCAAGCTCAAAACAGGAAAAAATATATATTTTTATCTGGGAGAGCAGAGACACACACTAAAGACACCGTGCTAAGTGCTAGAAATACAATGATAAACTTCAAAAGGCTTTAATTCTAACTGGGAACAGAGCAATAAATAGGCATGATTAATCAAACAAAGCAAACATATTAAGTTGCACACCAAATTAAGACTATAAAACTTCAATACAACAATAATAGGTTATGTCCTCAAGTATAAGACCCATATGTCTCTCTACTCCTCCCTACAAATAAGCAAATAATAAGGTACAAATGGTGATAAATGCTTTATGAAAAGATTTTATTTTTATTATTTTTTTTTTGAGAGCATCTCCTTCTGTCACCCAGGCTGGAGTGCGGTGGTACAGTCTCGGCTCACTGCAACCTCCGCCTCCTGGGTTCAAGTGATTCTCCTGACTCAGGCTCCCAAGAAGCTGGGACTACAGGTGTGCACTACCACACCTGGCTAATTTTTGTATTTTTGTCAAGACAGGGTTTCACCATGTTGGCCAGGCTGGTATCAAACTCCTGACCTCAAGTGATCCACCTGCCTCAGCCTCCCAAAGTGCTGGGATTACAGGTGTGAGCCACCACGCCCAGCCTTATGAAAAGTTTTTAACTGCACGTTTATAAACTGTCATGTATGTTTTTGTTAAAAAGTCAGTGTCAACATATTTTCCAGTAAACATGAAAGGCTTTACTTTTGAACAATTACTAAAGGAACATATTTATTTCCCGATAAAAGGTTCTTCTCTATACACTATAAACTAGGATAATTATGAACAACAAAAATACAGTTTGTCATTTAACTGAAGCTTACTAGGTAACAAATAATAATATTCTGAGGCTCCTGAATCAATCAAGATGACCACAAAATTTCAGATTCCCCATGAAAATGTCAAGGAAGGAATTAATAA
This sequence comes from Homo sapiens, assembly GCF_000001405.40. Lineage (NCBI taxonomy): Eukaryota > Metazoa > Chordata > Mammalia > Primates > Hominidae > Homo > Homo sapiens. The sequence goes on from NC_000002.12 coordinate 159,274,035, forward strand.
AAACAGAAATGTACACTGGTAAAGAGAGTGGGAAGAGGGGCATCAGCAAACCAGAAACTGAATCAACTTTGGGGAGGCAGAAAGCACATTAAGTAATGAAGAAGTATAAAAGAATAACAGCCCAGCATACAAAGAGACAGGGGTACAGCCAAGAAAGTTATTCTGCCCTAGAAAACACCCCAAGACTGGCCAAGCGCAGTGGCCCACGCCTGTAATCCCAGCATTTTGAGAGGCCAAGGTGGGAGGATCATTTGAGGCCCGGAGTTCAAGACCATCCTGAGAAACAAACTGAGACACTGTCTCTATAAAAAATTTAAAAATTAGCCAGGGCAAGACCTGAGAGAGGAGATGGAGAGGGTAGGAAGAAAATACCTCAAGGTTCCAGAATATCAATAGCCAGGAAAAAGGAAAATTAGAATGACACAGACATAGACCTGAAAAGAGAAAAATGAACTGACTGACTGTATACAGACCATTCAGTGTCTACCTCCAATCTCTCCCCAACTTCACCCTTAGTATGCTGCACAAAAGCCAAGCATTTATCCCTGGCGAAACCTTTCAAAAAATACAACTGCCTGGGAAGCTCTAGGGTGACAGAGTGTCTACTCCCTAAGTCCCCAGTCCTTCACCCAGAAGGGCCAACTACCCACCTCCTCATCCTAGAGGGAAGCCAGCAATAACGAACCACTTCTGTGCACAGAGCTTCTAAACATTGTCTAATTCTTAAATGCAAACAGAGTACTAAGCAAAAAGGGGACTCAACTGCAAACAAAGATCAGAAAACAGAAGGGAACTTAAAGCAAAAACTCCTAAATGACATCCTGAGAGTTTTGAGATCTTACATTTATAAAGGACACTATGAAAAGAAAACAAAGAAGATGGTGAGCTTTTAGAATCTGAAAATATGATTAATGCGATAAAACATTCAAAAAAAGGTTAAGACAAAAAGCAGAGAAATTTTCCCCTAAAGTACAAGAAAAGAGAGAGAAATGTGGGGGATAAAAAAAGAGAATCAATTCAGGAGGCCCAACATTCAATTAATGGAAGTTGTAAAAAGAGAGATGAATTAAAGAAATAACATAACGGAATAGTTTATTCCAAAACTGTACAAAATAAGCTTCCTGACTGAAAGGGTCACCTGATGGAATAGTACAATGGATGGGAAAAGACCCACACACTAACAAAAAGCAGTACCTACAGTGAATAAATAAAAAAATGTAGTGGTATAAACAGTGTTTACAGAAACTGTGAAAACCACAAAGGAGTTGAAATCAAGTGCAAAGTGGTCACCTCTGGTGAGCAGAAATGTGCATGGCAGTAGAATGGGTGAGGTCATGATCATCAATGAGCATCTGATTTTTAAATCATGTGTATTATTTTGACTAAAAGTTTCTTAAACCATATTTTAATACTTACTTTTAGATACTCAAGGTACCTTAAGTAAAAAGATTAAATAGAAATTTTATCCAGACCACAAATAATTTTAGAGAAGCACTATTTGGCATACATACCTAAGATATGGGTAAAAGAAACAATCCAAATTTTGACTTGGCAATCCTGACCACATGATGCCAGTCGAAAAAACTGAAGACCTTGTTCTCCATCTAAAATTTATTAAAAATAAATACAGAGAATTTGTAAAACACTGAAACCCCCCCAAAATTCCCATTTCTTATACTAAGATCTATTAATTCTACTCATTTAAACCATGTTCACAAGTTATTAGTTAACTTATATCATTTAACAAAATGCTGATTAAAGAATTTCTTTTAAACAAGGTACTATGTGGGATTATTAGTCCTCAAGTTGCTACAAAAAAATACCTTTCATTTTCCTTCCTCAAAGAATAGAACTCAAGGCTGCAAGGACCAATATTGAGCCACTCAATAGAGCATCCTCCTCTAACTCAATTTGAGAGTCTATGAGGCTAGCACTGATAGGAAAAATCAGGAAGAAAAGTCAGTTACTTTGAGAGTGTTAAATGTTTAATCATTCCTAACCTTTTTTTAAGGTCATAGCAATTTCTTCCTTTTTTTTTTTTTGAGATGGAGTCTCGCTCTGATGCCCAGGCTGGAGTGCAGTGGTGCGATCTTGGCAGCTCACCGCAACCTCCACCTCCCAGGTTCAAGCAATTCTCCTGCCTCAGCCTCCCAAGTAGCTGAGATTACAGGCATGTGCCACCACACCCGGCTAATTTCTGTGTTTTTAGTAGAGACGGGGTTTCCCCATATTGGCCAGGCTGGTCTTGAACTCCTGACCTTGCAATCCGCCTGCCTCAGCCTCCCAAAGTGCTGGGATTACAGGCGTGAGCCACTGCACTGGCCTAAAGTCATATCAATTTCTTAAAAGCCTGATCTATAGTTCACATGGAATAATAATGGGAATTTTTTTCCATCTGATTTAATCAAGCCAAAGGCTGGAATTATAGAAATCAAAAATAACATCAATTCACTCCATTTGGTTGAAAATATTATATTATTTAGGGAAAGTAATCAGTTATATGGTGTCCCAGAAGAGCTACTACATTACACTTACTTAATTTTAGTGTATCATTATATATCTACTAAAGTTCCTAAACAATTTTGGATAATGTAAATATTGACATCATCAATGCAATTTTATACAAGTTGCACCTAATATCACAAGTAGTTTCATCAAGTAAGTTTTGGCACTCATATGCAGTAAAGCACAATTAAGAAATTGAGGCTGGGCATGGTGGCTGAAGTCTGTAATCCCAGCACTTTGAGAGGCTGACACCAGGAGTTTGAGACCAGGCTAGGAAAGATGGTAAGACCCTGTCTCTACAAAAAATTTTTTTAAATTAGCCGGGTGTGGTGGCACACATCTGTAGTTGTAGCTACTTAGGAGGCCGAGGCAGGGGATCTCCTTGAGCCCAGGAGTTTGAGGCTGCAGTGAGCTATGATCACACCACTGCACTCTAGCCTGGATGACGGAGCAAGACCCTGTCACCAAAACAGAAATCTAATATCCATCTTAAGATTGTACTCTGGCTTAACAAATTTTCAGTATATAAAATTTAACAAACGTGTACACCTGGGCATGTAAATTTTTTCTATGGACTCTGCCTCTTTGAAAGTACAAACACTTTACTAACGAACAACAAATTAAATTCCATTTCACTGAAAGCTTTTTTAACTCCATGGGACTTCCATATTTCAATAGCATTTTTGTTTCTTTCTGTAGCATAGATTTACCCAAAATATATCCTTTCTAAGAGAGATCTTGAGGGATACAGGCAATTCCTGATAATCACTGTCTTTTTAAGACAAAACATTTTATTCAATAAATGGCTGAGAGCAAAATATTTCTGTATTAGACCTAATTAGCAACGCTATTTGTTTCTTAACTAAATAGATCCTTTGAAGTTAATTCTGAAGTTCTCTAAGTAGTGAAAATTCAGCTAAGACAATGGAAAATTACACAGGTTAAAATGTGCTTATGTTCAGTATCTAAATATAATATTTAGAAACATACTTTTCTTCAGGAAAAATATTTAAATTATAATAACCTAACCTACACTTTATCATTTAAAAACTGGAGAGAAATGATCATTTACTCTCAGGTGCAAACAGGATTATTTTTCCTTATTTCAGCAAAATGTCACAAGATGAGTCAATATGTCATAAGTATTTACAGATAATAACAAATACGAAATTAAACAAATTGAAATTATATACTTTGTCTTCTAAATACAGTTGTTCCCACAAATTCCTACAATAATCACTTTAAAGCATGTACCAATTTGTTTCAGAGAATTTACTCATAAGGTTAAGATATATTTCCACAGCAACACTAAAGGAACTAAAGAAGGCACAAAGATTAAAATTATACCGAGAGAAGTGTATAATATGTTCTAAAGGCAGGGTGGGGATGTGGGTATCATTTCAGAATCTCACCTAGAATTCTCTGCCTGGTTTAGTGAGCCTTTCCTGACCCCATAAGCTCCCAATCTCTCTAAATGCAGGACAAAAAAGCCCTTATTTTTATTCTAATATTAACTAATATAATAGTATTTTCATTGGAAATCTATCTTCAGATCATTTAGAACCAAAAAAGGAACCTAGATCTCTCCACACTTATATAATTCACCACATTCATTGAGTGCCTACAAGATGTAGAGAAGGTCCCACAGAAATGGAAGCAATGGCTTGTTTGTTACAAGCTGTTCTTACAGTAAAATATCACAGAACAATATACTAAAAGAATAACTGCCTTAATTAAATTAGGGAGGGAGTTTAACGTAAGAATGGGTTTATGAAAAGAAAATCTATTATTTCAGCAAATCATTAAAAGGAATCTTACTCATCAATCTACATTTCAAGGCCTACTCTGTATCAGGCACGATGAAGAAAAATGACCCAGGCCCTGCCTGCCTGGAGCTTACAAGCTAATAGGAAAAACACCATTAAATATTATCCATATAAATATAGAATTAAAAATTGTGATACTTAGTACTGTAACAGAAAAATAAAGCATGCAAAAAAAAGACTATATCAAAATTATACAGATTTAATGCAGGGGTTAAGATCAGGAGAGACTTATCTTTAGTGATTTTCAGCCAAATTCTAAAGGATATTAACAGCAAACCAGGTAAAGGGTCTGCACGTAAAACCCTTGGAAAAATCTTAGAAACATTCCAGGAATGAAAGAAAGTCAATGTGGCAAAAAATGCATAAGGCCAAGAGCAATTTGAGATTAGGGGGAAGCAGAACATGTTTTGCTTTTGGGATTTGAGATCTTAATCATATCTTAACAAGCCACTGATGGGCTTGAAAAGGGGGGAAATACCAAAACCTTTCTGTCTACTCTTTGGACCTGTTTTGTCCAATAGGGCAGTGACTGGCCATATGTGGGTATCAAAGACTTGAAATGCAGCTAGTCCAAATTGAAATGTACTATCTGTAATATACATACCAGATTTCAAAGACTTAGTACGAAAGATAAAATCTTATTAATAATTTTTATTATCAATTATTGAAACTACATTGTAGATATATCAGGATATATTATTAATTAATTTCATCTACTACTACATTTTAAATTTTCCTAAGTGGCTTGCATTACGTTGTTATGGATAGCACTGGTCTGGTAACAAGACTGCAGGGGGACAAAAGCTACAGAACTCCCATCCACTAACACGGAAAATGAAAACTCTAAAGAAAGAACTTTCCAAATCACTGTACCTATTTAAAACCAAGAGACTACATTCAGGAGTTCTGTTTATTTCTAAAAAACTAATTGTGTTGGCAAACATTTTATAAATTTAGCTTTTCGAAGATTAAATTAGTAAATGGAAAACACAGCTTCTATTTCCAATTTTTAAAGTTTACATTTCTACTTGAATATCAATATAGTGTTCTTTTAATTGCAATTGTATCAATAGGGTTAGGTCCTCTAAATTGCCATATCCAAGGAATCTGAATCTGTTGTACCAATTTGAGCCACCCCCTGCATATAATAAAGAATGTAATTTTCTTGCAGGAAACTCCAAGACCAAAAAAAAAGAATGCAATTTTCTCATATATTTTTTCATGATTTCATTTTTGGTCAAAAAAGAGAGAAGGATAATCCCTTTACAGGAATAAATTAAGAGGGCTCCTCACTCTACTAATGATAACATAAAAAAGAATAAAAGAATGAAAAGTCATATACAGCACAAATTACAAATAGGAATTTCTAGTGCTTAAAAGAATAAAATAACCAACCAGAAACTGGCTGTGAAGAAAAATCGCAGCAGGTAATTCCAAGATCATGTGCTTTTTCACTATGCAGACACCTCATTTTATCATCCCACACTGTTAAATCACCACATGAGGAGCCAGTGACAAAGAAGCTTCCATTAGGAGAAAATGCACATGCCGCCAAGGAGCCATCTTTAACACTACCACATCTGAAATAAAAGCAAAAAGTGGGTTTTCATTTCAGAGTATCCTTTACTTTATACCACAGTCTCTAACAGCAGCTTGATACAGTGAAAAGAGAATAAATGGCTATCACAGAACTAGAGAGAAAGGACAACTGATGCCTACAGAAATAAAATATCATTTATATGCTATGAACTGAGATATACTGTCTAAAAGCAAGGGAGGATTTAAATATCCTCCCTTAAACATTTTAACTGGTATGTTCAAGCCTAAATTACAAACCAAAGTCCACATATCTTCATATTTTTCCACAGGGCAAATCAGTATAAACACATTAAAATATGTAAAACTTAACCAGAAAAGCAATGACAAGCAACATCAACTACAGCCATATTTTTTAAAAAAGGTAAGATAAAACTATTTTTATTGGAAAATATGTTATTGGAGTCAAAGGTACTTACAACGTCTGTATTAAAAATTACCCAGAAGTGGCCGGGCGCGGTGGCTCACGCCTGTAATCCCAGCACTTTGGGAGGCCGAGGCGGGCGGATCACGAGGTCAGGAGATCGAGACCATCCCGGCTAAAACGGTGAAACCCCGTCTCTACTAAAAATACAAAAAATTAGCCGGGCGTAGTGGCGGGCGCCTGTAGTCCCAGCTACTTGGGAGGCTGAGGCAGGAGAATGGCGTGAACCCGGGAGGCGGAGCTTGCAGTGAGCCGAGATCCCGCCACTGCACTCCAGCCTGGGCGACAGAGCGAGACTCCGTCTCAAAAAAAAAAAAAAAAAAATTACCCAGAAGCAATGGCGAGGTCTTCAAATATAAATTATTTATGAAAGGAAAATGCTGTGGGCAAGTTAAAATTACGTTAGGAAGACAGGGAGGCACGGTGCTGAAGTATTAGTATTTGCTCAATTAGGAAAAATAAGCTGTTAAAAACCCAACAATTAACACACTGTCCCATCCAGCAGGGTATCTATCATTTATATATAATTAATTACATAGTTTAGGGATAGTTATGCTATAGAGCCAGAAGTCATCATTGGATAAGTAAGATTCCTAGTTGACAGCTGGATTTCATGCATATAAAAAAGATATTTGGCATAAGTGTTTATTAACACCACTTAAAACATGTCACCCTCTTCAACCCAAAGACCTAAGCTTAAATGAGCAATAGTTGTTGACCAACTAGCATTTGTGCTCTAAAAGATGTTGGGAGACAGAAGGAGGGGGAGGTACACTAGGCTCTTTTAATTGGTAATTACTTAAAAGCGCATGGTTTCTAATGTACTTAATGTCATCTAAAAGTGTTAGCGTGAAAATTTTAACTTTTTTTTTTGAGACAGGGTCACTCAGTCACTCAGGCTGGGGTACAGTAGTGCAATCCTAGCACACTGCAGCCTCAAACACCTGGGTTCAGGCGATCCTCTGACCTCAGCCTCTGGAGTAGCGAGGACTACAGGCACACGCCACCACGCCTAGCTAATAAAAATGATAACTTCTGTTACGTATATTTTGCCACAATATAAATAAATGTGAATAGTTTTAATGTTGTTAAATTGCAATACAACATTACCAATGTAAATTAATTGGTTTTTTCCAAAAGAGTTTTTCAGGCGAGTTTTTAAGAAATGATAACACATCACCACCACACCAGGCATGAGGTTCCTTCTTCTGGGCTTGGTCATTCATCCAGCAAGAATTGCAGTCACAGAAATAACTGCATCTCTTAGCTGAGCTTTACATACTATTAAAGCTTTACATACTATGGGCCGGGCGCAGTGGCTCATACCTGTAATCCCAGCCCTTTGGGAAGCCAGCTGAAGCGGGTGGATCACATGAGGTCAGGAGTTCAAGAGCAGCCTGGCCAACATGGGGAAACCCAGTCTCTACTAAAAATACAAAAAACTGGCTGGGCATGGTGGCAGGAGTCTGTAATCCCAGCAACTCGGGAGGCCGAGGCAGGAGAATCGCTTGAACCTGGGAGGTGGAGGTTTCAGTGAACTGAGATCCCACCACTGCACTCCAGCCTGGGCAACAAGAGTGAAACTCTGTCTCAAAAAAGAAAGAAAACACTTAAACCACAAGTGACAAAAATAAAGCCTAAAATTACTGAACCTTCAAAATACTGCTTTAACTCTTACAATTAAAAAAAAAACCATAAAAGTCTAACAAGATTAACTCTTAATTTTAAGATTGGCGCTAAGCAAATCTACTATAAGAATCATATTAAACAACTCTCTGGGTTTTTGACCTTTAGAAGGCCAGTTAAAAAAAATTTTTTTTTTTTTGAGACGGAGACTCGGTCTGTCACCCAGGCTGGAGTACAGTGGTGTGATCTCGGCTCACTGCAAGCTCCGCCTCCTGGGTTCACGTCATTCTCCTGCCTCAGCCTCCCAAGTAGCTGGGACTACAGGCGCCTGCCACCATGCCCGGCTAATTTTTTGTATTTTTAGTAGAGACGGGGTTTCACCATGTTAGCCAGGATGGTCTCGATCTCCTGACCTCGTGATCCGCCTGCCTTGGCCTCCCAAAGTGCTGGGATTACACGCGTGAGCCACAGCACCTGGCCCAGTTAAAATATTTTTCCTTGTGCTACCTGAAAACTATTGGCTTCCTAGGGTCATCAAAATATTTTTCTTTTTTTCTACATCACTTAGACTGTGCAGAGTATCAAAATATTTTGCTTTCAGTTTTTTTTAAGTACACCTAGTCAACAGGATTAAAACAGGAAGGATTTAAATATCCATACCTATATAATTTGTATGACTGTGCATTCCACAAAACCACAGTTCCATCAGCTGCCCCTGATGCCAAACACGTGGAGTCTGGGGAAAACTGGCAAACCCTCACAGGGCTGCCACTAGGCTGTTCCATCACTGCCAGCATCTGTCCATTTTCAGTATTCCATAGGACAGTGGTACCATCTGTTGAACACGATGCCAAAATATGTCCTGAAGGGGAGAAACAGCAGCAGTGGACAGCATAGGTATGAAACTTCAATGGAGAATGTGGCAGTTCAGTAAAGTCACGTAACGAGTACAGGCGAATTGTTTTGTCCAAGGAGCAAGTAGCCAAGAGGGAAAAGGAGAAGGCACAGCAGTTGACATCGTCACCATGATCAGCTAATGTGTGAATCAGTTTCACCATGTTCTTTATTTGAAGAAAAACAGCCTGAAATTTTTAAGCAGATAAAGATTATTTATTCTAGGAATCAGATACATGCAATTTGAGTCTATATAAAAGGGCCAAAATGTTTTAATTTGCTCAATGAAAGCTTCTACATCAACATTTTAAAGCAGTGGTCCCCACCTTTTCGGCAGCAGGGACCAGTTTCATGGAAGACAATTATTCCCTGGACTGGGGTGTGGGGGATGGTTTCAGGATGAAACAGTTCCACCTCAGATCATCCGGCATTAGATTCATAAGCAGCACACCCTCGATCCCTCGCAGGCGCAGTTCATAATAGGGTTTGTGGATGCCTGGAGCCCCAGCTACAAAAATTAGCTGGGTGTGGTGGCACATGCCTGTAGTTTCAGCTACTTGGGAGGCTGAGGCAGAAGAATCCCTTGAAGGGAGGAGGAGGTTGCAGTGAGCTGATATCGTGCCACTGCACTCCAGCTTGGGTGACAGAGCGAAACTCCATCTCTAGAGTTCTAGAAAATAGAGTATTTTCTATTCTAATAAACTATCTTAGCTGTTCCCTTCACAGGATGGAGCCAAGGCTATCTGCTCCGCCTTCAAAAAAAAAAAAAGAAAAAAAATCTAACACTGCAGCTGATCTGACAAGAGGTGGAGCTCACTCATGCCCTCACCTCCTGCTGTGCAGCCCAGTTCCTAACAGGCCATGATGGGTACCAGTCCTCGGCCCTGGGGGTTGGGGATCTATGTTTTGTTTTTGTTTTGTTTTGTTGAGACAGGATCTCCCTCTGTCATCCAAGCTTGAGTGCAGTGGCATGTTCTCAGGTCACTGCAACTCCCGCCTCGCGGGTTCAAGTGATTCTCCCACCTCAGCCTCCCAAGTAGCTGGGATTACAGGCATGTCCCACCACGCCCGGCTAATTTTTTGTATTTTTAGTAGAGACCGGGTTTCCCCATGTTGGCCAGGTCTTGAACTCCTGGCCTCAAGTGATCCGCCCACCTCAGCCTCCCAAAGTGCTGGGATAACCAGCGTGAGCCACCGTACCCGGCCAAGGGAGCTCTGTTTTAAAGGACAACCTGTTACCTGGGATAAGAACAATTTGGAGAAAAAAAAATCTATAAGACTATAACCTCTGATTCTCACAACCACCGTTGTCATACCAATAAATTTCCACAACTCCTCAAAAAGAACCTTCAAACTGTCAAATAACTTCAAACTGATTTGATGTTGAGCTTTCAAAACCTAAGGTGTTTATTTCACCTTTGAAGCCTTTCTCATAAGGAGTTCTCAAAAATACCTCACTCCAGATCTGCTCATCTCAACTCAAAAAGTATTTTCTATTCTAATAAACTATCTTAGCTGTTCCCTTCACAGGATGGAGCCAAGGCTATCTGCTCCGCCTTTAAAATCAAACTGTAGGATTTGCTCTTAAAAAAAAACAACAAAAGTCTCATTGAAAATTTATTAATAAGTGACCATGTTGAAAGCTGTCCTATCATGGTTTGTCATCCTGTCTGATAAATAGTAAAATTATACAAAAGACTTGAGGTGAGGAACCACCTCTGAATGAATCAAGGAAACCAAGAAAAGAAAACCTAAGAAAGTGTCAAAAAATGAACTTAGCCAGACCACGCTCAAGAACAAATTTACAAATTTAGAATAAAATCAAACTCATCATGGCAAACAAAATCCTATACAGTCTTATGTAATCAAAATCCTATATAATTCCCGCCTGCCCACTTCTCAGATCTCAACTCTGGCCACTGTCCCTCTCTTCTTTCCAGCCTCCTTGGCCTAACAGTCTTCCGTCTCCATAAAGCGGTTTTCTCAAGCTGAAATGTTCTTGCCTCTGCTCTTGGGATCCTATTTGTCATTTAGATCTCAATTTCAGTGTCTCTCCTCAGAGACGGTTTCCCTATTTAAAGTAGCCACTCCCTAGGCTAGCACATCACTCTATATTCTCAGCAATTACCACCAGCATCGGATATTTGTTAAATTGTCTCCTCCGACTAGGATGTAAATCCCAAAGGAGTAGGTACTTTGCCATCTTGCTCATTTCTGTATCCACACCATGTAAAACTGTCAGGCACCTAATGTACTTAAATAAATATAAGTTGAATATTTATTTTGTTCGAGCCCAACTGAGTTCCAGCCTTTAAATAATCCATATGTAATATGAAATTAGAAAATCTACCAAGACTAAATATATATACACACACAGAAACATAACTGACGGTGGAAAACTGGTGTCAAGTGAGGCAGAATCAGCTCTGAAAGGGGCAGGTATAACCTTGACTTGTAAAATTGATAATCCTTTGTCCTAGTCTTATTTACGGAAACACCTCTACCAAAGAAAAAAAAAGTCTGGGCGCGATGGTGCACACCTGTAGTCCCAGCATTTTGGGAGGCCGAGATGGGTGGAACACTTGAGCCCAAGAGTTTAAGACCAGTCTGGGCAACAAGGCAAGACCCCATCTCTCTAAAAATAAAAATAATTAGCTGGGTGTGGTGGCGAGCACCTGTAGTCCCAGCTACTCGAGAAGCTGAGGCGGGAGCATCACTTGAGCCCCGGAGGTGACGCCGGCGGTGAGCTGTGATTGCACCACTGCACTCTAGCCTGGGCAACAGAGCAGGACCCCATCAATCAATCAAACAAATATTAAGGCATAAGGAGCATGCCTTTCCCTATCTTCATCTTATCCTTTTAGGATAAGTTCAGCTTCTTTTCTTCGAACATAAACTCCAATAAAGCCTAAAAACCAAACACGAAAATTTCTGGTAGACTATCCCTGTACTGCTGTCTTGAAAACAATCAAGACCAGGTGGTGCTTTCTGGAGAGCTCGCAAATCCCAGCTGTGCAAGTGCGCACAGGTGATTTTCCAAACAAACTCCGGCTCCCAGCCCTCTGCCGCACTCAGCTCCCTTTGCAAGTTCCAGGGCATTCAGTGGGAAGTACCGAGGCCACCGTCAGCTGAACAGTTTGTTTTGAAAAAGCTCTCAGGCCTACCCAGGACCTGCCTTGGGGTAGGGGGGGCGGTGTGGGCGTTCCCTCGGGCCTCGGCTGTCACGCGAACAGTAAATTCCCGGGCACACCAGGTCAGTTGGCCAGCGTAAACACATGAATCCCATCTCATTCAAAGCAAACCCGAAAGGTGTCCAGCGCTCCCAAAATAAAGTCCGCCACTTACACCCCCCATGCACGAAAGACCAGGAATGTGCCCCCCTCTATGAGCGGCCGGGCCTCTGTGGACTGAGCGACCCCAGGCAAGAGGGAGGCCTGGGAGGCAGGGAGCTCACCCGCAAGGGGCTTCCTTCCACCCGACGCCGACACGCCCGCCCTAGCCCCGGGCCAAGGGTGCACGAACCACGCCTCGCCGCACTCAAGGTCCCGGTTGGGCCCTGCTGCGCGGTTAGAACCGGGAAATGGAGGGCTCAGACGCCCCGCGCGAGCAGGCCCAGCCGCGCTTCCCCACCTGCCGCCACCGCCGCTGAGCCGGCCCGTGGGCGCGGCCGCTCTCACCTGCAGGAGCGGGGGCGCGCGGGATCCGCCTTCAAGGTGCCCACGGGCGGTGCGGGTCACGTGCCGCGCAGGTGAGGCTGGCGGGGCGGGCGCCGGCGGAGACCCAGAGCAGAGGGAACAGGCCCCGCCCCCGAACGCCCGCGGGGACCCAGAGCGGAGGGAACAGGCCCCGCCCCCCGAACGCCCGCTGTGACCCAGAGCGGAGGGAGTAGGCCCCGCCCCGCGAAAGCCTGTGGAGACCCAGGGCGGAGGGAACAGGCCCCGCCCCCGGGACCGGCCCCTGAGGCGGCGCATGCGCGCTCTTCCGCCCGGACTGCGAGTTCCTCCCCAGCTTCTGGCTCCTAGGGTCAAGGCGATTTCAGGCTTGGAAAGGGACTTCCGTCGCAAATCTTTCTGTTTTTGCTAAAGCTGCGGTCGCAAGGCCTAGTGATCGCCTGAAACGTCGTTTTAAAGGGGCGTTGCATGGAATGTTCGGCCATCCCTGCTGAAAGTTTTTACCTCTTTCTCCAGTTCTCCACCCTGCACTGTGTACTCCGAGGCCGGTCTCCCAGATTGGCCTTCTCTATTTCGGCCACCCTGGGCGGTCCGTGACTTGGCGTCTTCTGCCCTCGCCTCCTCATTCGGGTTCCCCTAGGGGTCTCTCCCGGGCAGGCTGCCTGCCCCGGGCCCCAGCCCTGCCGTTGGGTGGGTATCCTGAGCTCACTGGAACCCCGGGCGCCTTTTCTTCAGCCTTTCCCAGTGCGTCCCACTGGCTCACGGTAGACTGGTTTCCACGTGTCATTGACTACAAAGTGGCCCTGCCAGTGCTTTTTGAGATAAAAATTATCCAGAAAAAAAAAAGTTCCTGAGCAAATTACCACTTGTTAACTAAATGCACAACATAGTGTGGGACTATGTTCAGATGAAAATCAAAGATACAGAGAGCTTTTATTTTTAATCCATGAGGAAACATTAAAAATATATCAGCCTGTGGAGACCGAAGTTACATTTGAAGAGTAATGACCTAAAATGCTCACATTTAAAGATGAAATTGAGACCGTGGGAAACTATTTGCAATGAAAAAGATTAAGGGGAAAGGGAAGATTAAAAATTAGGATTTTGTGAAGTTCTTGTTAATTTTTTAAAATTAGCGGAGTGCATCATGATTGAGACTTTGAACACCAAATTCCATTCCAAAGTATTGCCAAAACAGTATTTTTCTAAAAACAAGTTTTTGATTGTATAAATAATAGAGCTCTCTGTAGGAAACACAGAATATATAACAGGAAAATAAATAGTCAATAATTACACCCCTCAGAGATCACCCACTCAGAGATAACATTTTCTCTCAGTCTTTCAGAAAAACTAATTTTACAAAAAGTCCTGGAAACTGCCTTTTTAAACAAACTTGTGTCATGAGCTGTTCCCATGTCTAAAATTTCATTAGCTTTTTTTTCTACATAATGGTCTACATATAAACATACCATAAATTATTTAACATTTTCCCTGTTGCTGGATGGTTTCAACAATTTTGATCTTAGTGTAGATAATGCTGGATTAAATATCTTTGTACCTAAATCTTTTTCTTTTAGCCTCAATATATTACCACGTTATGTACATAAATCTTTTTCCATATTTATGAATATGTACTTAGGATAAAAATTGAAATGGAGGCCAGGTGCGGTGGCTCACGCCTGTAATCCCAGCACTTTGGGAGGCCAAGCTGGGTGGATCACCTGAGGTCAGGAGTTCAAGACCAGCCTGGCCAACGTGGTGAAACCCCATCTCTACTAAAAATAGAAAAAAATTAGCCAGGCATGGTGGCACGCACCTGTAATCCCAGCTACTCAGGAGGCTGAGACAGGAGAATCTCTTGAACCCAGGAGGCTGAGGTTGCAGTGGGCAGAGATCTCCCCATTCCACTTCCAGTCTGGGGGATAGAGTGAGACTTTGTCTCACAAAAGAAAAAAAAGGAAATGGAATCACTGGGCATAAAGGTGTAGACAGTTTTAATAAGTATTACCATACTGCTCTTCAGAGAGGTTGTACAGTTTACACTCTCAGCAATATGTAGTTGTGTTTGTCTCTCCACTTTCTTGTCAAACTTGAGGGATACCTTTTTTATCTACACTAATTTGTGTGTGGGTTTTTTTGTTTGTTTGTGAGATGGAGTCTTGCTCTGTCGCCCAGGCTGGAATGCAGTGGCAGGATCTTGGCTCATTGCAACCTCTACCTCCCAGGTTCAAGTGATTCTCGTGCCTCAGACTCCCAAGTAGCTGGGATTACAGGCGCCCGCCACCGCGCCCGGCTGACTTTATGTATTTTTAGTAGAAACAGGGTTTCACCATGTTGGCCAGGCTGGTCTCGAACTCCTGACCTCAAGTTATCCACCCGCCTCAGCCTCTATCTACACTAATTTGATAAGCCAAATTGGTTATAATATTCTTTAAGTAAAATATATAAAAGAAGCCCGTGACTACACCTGCCAGTAGTTTAGCACCATGACCTCATGTCCAGTATAGTCAGCTTTGCCTGTCCTACAGAGACAGGCAGTTTCAAAGATAGAAGCCTCATTGAGGCTGGTCTCCAGAGATCTAACTACTTTAACACTCTGTCCTGTACCAGTTCACTCTACAAATCTATAAATTCTTATAAATGTATCTTTATAAATTCTGTTTCTATAGTATATTGGCAAGATATTTTAGTTAACATCTCCCAAAGTAGTTAGACCTTTGATTTGGAATATTAAAGATTTGAATGTTTTATGCATTCCTCACCCTAATTGTGTAGCTGTGAAAATCTTATTTAAGGCTGGGTGCGGTGGCTCACACCTGTAATCACAGCACTTTGGGAGGCCAAGGTGGGCAGATCATTTGAGGTCAGGAGTTCAAGACCAGCCTGGCCAACGTGGTGAAACCCCGTCTCTACTAAAAATACAAAAATTAGCCAGGCGTGGTGGTGCACACCTATAATACCCACTACTGAGGAGGCTGAGGCAGGAGAATTTCTTGAACCCGGGAGGCAGAGGTTGCAGTGAGCCGAGATCGAGCCACTGCACTCCAACCTTGGCAACAGAGTGAGACTGTGTCTTCAAAAAAAAGAAAATCTTATTTAAGGATAAAAATCCCATTTTGTCATTAATTTCTTGTTCTGCTCCTTAAAATAATGCTACTTGAAGAATATAGAAAACAATTTTAAGTGATGTATTTAAAGAAAAACCACCTTTTCTTTTCTTTTTTTTTTGAGACGGAGCAAGCTCTGTCGCCCAGGCTGGAGTGCAGTGGTGCGATCTCGGCTCACTGCAAGCTCCACCCCTGGGTTCACGCCATTGCCCTGTCTCAGCCTCCCGAGTAGCTGGGACTGCAGGTGCCAGCCACCATGCCCGGCTAATTTTTTTATTTTTGATAGAGATGGGGTTTCACCATGTTAGCCAGGATGGTCTCGAATTCCTGACCTCATGATCTGCCCGCCTCTGCCTCCCAAAGTGCTGGGATTACAGGGGTGAGCCACCGCGGCCAACCAGAAAAACCAACTTTTCTTTTTTTTTTTTTTAATTTTATTATTATTATACTTTAAGTTTTAGGGTACATGTGCACAACGTGCAGGCTTGTTACATATGTATACATGTGCCATGTTGGTGTGCTGCACCCATTAACTCGTCATTTAGCATTAGGTATATCTCCTAATGCTATCCCTCCCCAACTTTTCAATTAAATAGTAAGCAATACATGTTGTCAAAATACAGTGGCAACGGGAACCGAATAGATGTGAAGCAATGAGTGAGCCACCAATTACTAAAATATGTGGTCCTGAGTAAACAAGAGCTTAACGGAGAGATGAGAGGCGCCTGTGAAGTTGGAAAAGGTGGGCATAAGAATGTGTGCTAACTAGACCTGAAGTCTAGGCCGGCTGAGGGGTGAGCTTTGGAAACACCCAGTTTCACAGGAAATACTCAGGCATGTATTGAGGTTGTTTTCCTTTGCAGGCAAACCCAATGTCAGAGTTTCCAGAACAGTTGGACAAGGTAGAGCTCAAGGTATAAAAACTCCCTTGAGGTGTTCAGTTTATGAAATTATATCAAGCTGAACGCATGAAATTTGCCTTTTTCTATGTGTATATTACACTGCAGAAGACGTTTTTAAAAACATCCTGGCAGATTGCCCAGAGATTATCTCATATCTGATGCAACCATCAACTCTCCACATCTGGTATGAGCCACAGTGCCACCTCCTTGTAGAGAACTCTGGGGAGCTGGAAAGCTGCAACTCTGCCTGGGAGCAAGATAACTTCTGCATCATAAAATGTTCTCTTAATTTGCTTTATCCTTTGCCACTATGTAAAATTTACACCTTCGAACTGGCCATCTTTTCATTAAACCATTCAGAGTCCCTGTGTGCCAACCCAGTAGTAAGAATTAGCAGAGTTCTTTAGAAACAACTGGAATTCCATACAGGAAAAAAGAAAGATCCAGGGGCTGCCTAACAACAAAACAGAGGGTTGGGATGAGATGGTGTATATTGGGCACAGTGAGAACTGCCTGACAGCAGAAAATATGCATATGGCTGGAAGTAAGAATACCAGAAAGAAATGTAATGACATGTATGAAACTTGGTATTTGGTACACACTAAAAAATTTTTTTGCAATTCTCACTGTGCCTTTTTCTGCCTTTATGGTACAAGAAATATTTTTTGCTTATGAAATTTTTATTTTGTTTTGTTGGTTTTGTTTTTGTTTTGTTTTCCAATTCCTGGGCTCAAGCGATCCTCCCACTTCAGCCTCCTGAGTAGCTGAGACTACAGGCGTGCAACACAAACCCCAGCTCATTTTTTGATTTTTATTTGTATAGAGACAGGGTCTCACTATGTTGCTGAGGCTGGTCTCAACTCCTGGGCCCAAGCAATCCTCCCCCCTTGGCCCCCCCACCAAAGTGCTGGGATTACAGGCATGAGCCACTCCGTGCCCAGCTTTTGTTTATGAAATTTTAAATTGCAGTTTACATTTTTTCATTTTCTTATTGTCTCATTTTCTCAAATTCTTTATTTTCAGATACTATTATTAATGTTCTTCAAGAGAATTCAAGATGTTAATGCATTTCTGAAAAAAATACTTTTGTTTCCAGATTTATGGTTTTTATTACATAAGGTAAAAATATTACAGATACGGAAAAATTAATTCATTCAACAATAATTCAATTTACAGAATTACAGATTATGTTTCCAGTTTACTGCCTATTATAGTCTGGAATACAGTATTTGATGCTACCAGTCTTTGGCATCTTGTAACATTCTGTCAATTAATTGGCCAAATAATGCTAGGTCTCCATTTTAACCTGATTATCTGGAATTAATATTTCTCCATATTTTCACTAATGACTTTCAAACTAGTTGACTGATTTTTGCCTAAAGAAAATCACGATACTTCTTTAGTTTTACTTTTTGTTTGTAACTTAAAAAGGGAAGGACAATTGTCACATTTTAAAGAATGTAATAAAATGTCATACCTGACGTAGCAAATTGTATTTTTCAAAAATAACTACAACAATATATCCCATCCCACATGCTCTTCCAAAACTTTGCCACTCACCCTCAAGAGGTGGGGGTTATGTCCCTTCCCCTTAATTTGTGTGTCATTAGACTGACACACGTGATAGACAACACTGTATAACTTCCAAGCCTGGGTCTTAAGAGGCAATACGGTCCTTGAGTCACTTTCCCTCAGCAGCCAGCCACCGTGCAGTGAGGAAGCCTGGGCTACATGAAGAGACCCACATGGAGAGGAATGAAGTTCCTATCTCTCAATCCAGGCTGAGCTCCCAGCCAATAACCAGTGCCTGTGAGTGACCCCTCTTGGAGAGGGGTCGCCAACTCTCGGTGGAGACACCAAAGCTGATGTCATGTGAAGCAGAGATGAGCCTTCCTGTCAAGCCCCGTCCAAGTTGCAGATTGTTATTTTAAACCACTAAGTTTTGAGGTACCTGCTTTTGCAGCTAGATAACTGCCAGAGAGATAGAAGTGTAGTAATTAAAGGCTGAACTTTGCATTGTTTAGAATTTCTTTTTTTTTTTTTTTTTTTTTTTTTTTTTTTTTTTATTATACTCTAAGTTTTAGGGTACATGTGCACATTGTGCAGGCTAGTTACATATGTATACATGTGCCATGCTGGTGCGCTGCACCCACTAATGTGTCATCTAGCATTAGGTATATCTCCCAATGCTATCCCTCCCCCCTCCCCCGACCCCACCACAGTCCCCAGAGTGTGATATTCCCCTTCCTGTGTCCATGTGATCTCATTGTTCAATTCCCACCTATGAGTGAGAATATGCGGTGTTTGGTTTTTTGTTCTTGCGATAGTTTACTGAGAATGATGGTTTCCAATTTCATCCATGTCCCTACAAAGGATATGAACTCATCATTTTTTATGGCTGCATAGTATTCCATGGTGTATATGTGCCACATTTTCTTAATCCAGTCTATCATTGTTGGACATTTGGGTTGGTTCCAAGTCTTTGCTATTGTGAATAGTGCCGCAATAAACATACGTGTGCATGTGTCTTTATAGCAGCATGATTTATAGTCCTTTGGGTATATACCCAGTAATGGGATGGCTGGGTCAAATGGTATTTCTAGTTCTAGATCCCTGAGGAATCGCCACACTGACTTCCACAATGGTTGAACTAGTTTACAGTCCCACCAACAGTGTAAAAGTGTTCCTATTTCTCTGCATCCTCTCCAGCACCTGTTGTTTCCTGACTTTTTAATGATTGCCATTCTAACTGGTGTGAGATGATATCTCATAGTGGTTTTGATTTGCATTTCTCTGATGGCCAGTGATGATGAGCATTTCTTCATGTGTTTTTTGGCTGCATAAATGTCTTCTTTTGAGAAGTGTCTGTTCATGTCCTTCGCCGAGAGATCCGCTGTTAGTCTGATGGGCTTCCCTTTGAGGGTAACCCGACCTTTCTCTCTGGCTGCCCTTAACATTTTTTCCTTCATTTCAACTTTGGTGAATCTGACAATTATGTGTCTTGGAGTTGCTCTTCTCGAGGAGTATCTTTGTGGCGTTCTCTGTATTTCCTGAATCTGAACGTTGGCCTGCCTTGCTAGATTGGGGAAGTTCTCCTGGATAATATCCTGCAGAGTGTTTTCCAACTTGGTTCCATTCTCCACATCACTTTCAGGTACACCAATCAGACGTAGATTTGGCCTTTTCACATAGTCCCATATTTCTTGGAGGCTTTGCTCATTTCTTTTTATTCTTTTTTCTCTAAACTTCCCTTCTCGCTTCATTTCATTCATTTCATCTTCCATTGCTGATACCCTTTCTTCCAGTTGATCGCATAGGCTCCTGAGGCTTCTGCATTCTTCACGTAGTTCTCGAGCCTTGGTTTTCAGCTCCATCAGCTCCTTTAAGCACTTCTCTGTATTGGTTATTCTAGTTATACATTCTTCTAAATTTTTTTCAAAGTTTTCAACTTCTTTGCCTTTGGTTTGAATGTCCTCCCGTAGCTCAGAGTAATTTGATCGTCTGAAGCCTTCTTCTCTCAGCTCGTCAAAATCATTCTCCATCCAGCTTTGTTCTGTTGCTGGTGAGGAACTGCGTTCCTTTGGAGGAGGAGAGGCGCTCTGCGTTTTAGAGTTTCCAGTTTTTCTGTTCTGTTTTTTCCCCATCTTTGTGGTTTTATCTACTTTTGGTCTTTGATGATGGTGATGTACAGATGGGTTTTCGGTGTAGATGTCCTTTCTGGTTGTTAGTTTTCCTTCTAACAGACAGGACCCTCAGCTGCAGGTCTGTTGGAGTACCCTGCCGTGTGAGGTGTCAGTGTGCCCCTGCTGGGGGGTGCCTCCCAGTTAGGCTGCTCGGGGGTCAGGGGTCAGGGACCCACTTGAGGAGGTAGTCTGCCCGTTCTCAGATCTCCAGCTGCGTGCTGGGAGAACCACTGCTCTCTTCAAAGCTGTCAGACAGGGACACTTAAGTCTGCAGAGGTTACTGCTGCCTTTTTGCTTGTCTGTGCCCTGCCCCCAGAGGTGGAGCCTACAGAGGCAGGCAGGCCTCCTTGAGCTGTGGTGGGCTCCACCCAGTTCGAGCTTCCCGGCTGCTTTGTTTACCTAAGGAAGCCTGGGCAATGGCAGGCGCCCCTCCCCCAGCCTCGTTGCCGCCTTGCAGTTTGATCTCAGACTGCTGTGCTAGCAATCAGCGAGATTCCGTGGGCGTAGGACCCTCTGAGCCAGGTGTGGGATATAGTCTCGTGGTGCGCCGTTTTTTAAGCCGGTCTGAAAAGCGCAATATTCGGGTGGGAGTGACCCGATTTTCCAGGTGCGTCCGTCACCCCTTTCTTTGACTCGGAAAGGGAACTCCCTGACCCCTTGCGCTTCCCAGGTGAGGCAATGCCTCGCCCTGCTTCGGCTCGCGCACAGTGCGCACACACACTGGCCTGCGCCCACTGTCTGGCACTCCCTAGTGAGATGAACCCGGTACCTCAGATGGAAATTCAGAAATCACCCGTCTTCTGCGTCGCTCACGCTGGGAGCTGTAGACCGGAGCTGTTCCTATTCGGCCATCTTGGCTCCTCCTCCTATAGAATTTCCTTATCACTTCAGTGAATTACGAATAGAAATATGCCAACACAATATCTCTTTGCTTAAAATGGATTAAACTCAAACTTGTTAGTTATAGTTATTTGTCCAAAATTTGAAAACTACTATAGGGAAATATAATTTGGTTACTTTCTTTTCATTTTATTTGCATTTTATTTTTTCTGAAGCAGGGTCTCACTCTGTTGTCCATGCTAGAGTGCAATGGCGTGATCACAGCTCACTGCAGCCTCGACCTCCTGGACTCAAGCCATCCTCCCACCTCAGTCTCCTGAGTAGCTGGGACTACAAGCGCACGCCACCATGCCTGGCTGATTTTTGTATTTTTTTTTATAGAGACAAGGTTTCACCATGCTGTCCAGGCTGGTCTCAAACTCCTGACCTCAAGTGATCTGCCTGCCTCAGCCTCCCAAAGTGCTGGGCTTATGGGTGTGAGCCACTGCGCCCAACCTGTCTAATACTTTTTAATAAACTTTCATTCCTGCTCAAAAACTTGCCTTGGTCTCTCACTCTGCCTTATGTCCCTCAGATGAATTCTTTCCTCTAAGGAGGTAAGAATCAAGTTGCTGCAGATTCTGTGGATTAGCCACTGCTAACACCATGAATGTGTGTCCCTTTCTCAGTAGTGACTTTTCTATCTTTTTTGAATATTACAATCTAAATAATTTTCAAGACCGAGACCAATGGTTATCTCATTTGTAAAAGAATCTTCCTGGCTCTATAATATACTATCAATTGATGTGCTACATCTACACATAGAGTTTGAAGAAGCCAACAGATCTGTTTTTCCCATCTGAATTCCATGCCAATTGAAGAATACAGAGACAACAGAGATCAAAACATTTAATATTGAAAAAGTCTAAGCTGGTGACGTGGGCGAGGTGTTTGCCACAATGGGCTTCTTGATTCTGAACCCCAGAATTAAACTGATTTGCCCACCCAGAAAGTGCAGAAAAACTGGAAGCTTCCATCCGTAGGACAGGTTTTGCTGCCAGGCTTGCAGCACAGCCCACATCAACCAGAATACATGCTCCTATAGGCAGGCCAAAGAGATGGCAGGGGGCACTGAGCTATACAAGCTCATTCTCTTACCTTAACCCACCTACCACAGAGGGGAGGCATGAGTAAAGTATGGCAGGACCAAGAGTACCACACTGCTGGAGGTCCCATCATGGGGAAATCGAACCCAGGAGTGCATGTTCTTCCAACCCCAGCTTCCTGCAGCTTGTTCTTCTCTTCACTGAACCACTGAGGAAGGCCAGCCAAGGTTGCAGCCATCCCCTGAGGGTATTGTGGGAAGGTCCCACACTCCTGGATTGTCTTGCTCCTAACTTTCACTAAGTTACTCCCTTAATACCAACTGTTTTTTTGTGGATCATTTTTAGTCAACAGAGGTCAATATTAATTTTTGCCCCCATAAAGCTCTGACATAGGCCAGATCGGTGTATTAATTAAATCAATTATGGGGCCATTCTGTACCCCAAACTGAATAATTATTCCCTAATCTTATTCCCATTGTAGACTATGTGCCGCCATAGTGTCCAGATTTGTTCATGAGAGGCTCTGCAATGAGATTAAGTAACTAAATTAAAATATTCCAGCAACAAAATGACTAAAATATGACTCTAACTGCTTCCTGTTATGAAATTCATAAAATAAAATTAAAGACCTAAGTTTAAATCTCCTTGAAAATTAAAGTCCAAAGGCATAAAAAGTCAAAGGAATTTAAGTTAAATCCAATTATTTTTCCAAAGAAAAAATATTTTGCTTTTTTGATACATATAGATTTTGTCTTATGGAGTCTTCCATGGTGATGGTTATGAAATTAGCGTTACTAGAACTGCCAAAAGCAGTGTGAACCCAAACTGAGCCACAGAGAGACCAAGAAAGAAACAAAGAAGTTGTTGGAGAATGGCAAGGGCTTGCAATCCACAATATGAATGCATTGGCGACCATAGATGCGTCAGAGGGGGTTGGGACAACAGGAAGTTTTTAGAGGCAAAAGAAGAAATCAGCCAGGCATGGTGGTTTATGCCTTGTAATCCCAGCTATTAGGGTGGCTGAGGCTCAAGCCCAGGAGTTTGAGGCTGCAGTGAGCTAAGATCACCACTGTACTGCAGCCTAGGTGACAGAGCAGGACCCTGTCTCTAAAAAAATAAAAAAAGGAGAAATCCACTAAAGTGTATTGAAACAACACCCTGGGCTACAGGGGCTTATTACAGATGGTGGCATTTGTTCATTAGTGGTACCGGCTATTGCTAGAAGAGTGCCATCATAGAAGTGGCTTAGCTGGAAATTCCAGTTGGGAAAGTCCTTTGTGACAGTTCCTGTTACAGGACTATGTGTGAATGACCGTACCTCCTTTACAACCTTCCAGCTCCATTTCGTTAGGGTTTGACATAAGTGATTCCATTTTGGTACTGACAAAGCATTTGTGGTTTAAATGAATCTTGTCCACCTTTACCTATCTAGGATAATCATACCCAAGAAAGAGTCTCCTATGAGACCAATATATAATAGGTCTGGACTTTTTTTGTTTTGCCTGTTTTTTTGTTTGTTTTTGTTGTTGTTGTTGTTCATTTGTTTGTCTGTTTTTAGGAGATAGGGTCTGGCTGTCACCCAGGCTGGGGTGCTGTGGTGCAATCATAGCTCACTGCAGCCTCCAACTCCTGGGCTCGAGCCATCCTTCTGCCTCAGCTTCCCAAGTAGCTGGGACTATAGGCATGCACCACTGCGCTGGGCAAATATTTTTAGTTTTTGTAGAGATGGGACCTTGCTTTGTCACCCAGGCTGGTTTCAAACTCCTCGCCTCAAGTGATCTTCCCACCTCAGCCTCACTAGTTGCTGGGATTACAGGCATTAGCCGCTGCATGCCTGGGTCGTATTTAATATACTTCATCTTTTTATGCCTTCCCATTTCTCAGGCATGTTCTTTAGGGAATAGGCAATATTTGTGTCCACACCTACAATAATTGTATCACCTTGAAATTCAACAGTGAGTCAGTGAGACGACTTTTTTTAACAGCTTAATTGACTTTAGGCCTCTGAGCCCAAGCTAAGCCATCATAACCCCTGTGACCTGAGCGTATACATCCAGATGGCCTGAAGCAATTGAAGAACCACAAAAGAAGTGAAATAGTCAGTTCCTGCCTTAACTGATGACATTCCACCATTGTGATTTGTTCCCACCCCACCCTAACTGATCAATTGACCTTGTGACGTTCCTTCTCCCGGACAATGAATCTCAGGAGTTCCCCACCGAGCACCTTGTGACCCCCGCCCCTGCCCACAACAGAACAACCCCCTTTAACTCTAGTTTTCCACTACCTACCCAAATCCTATACTGCCCCACCCCTATTTCCCTTTGCTGACTCCTTTTTCGGACTCAGTCCACCTGCACTCAAGTGATTAAAAAACTTTATTGCTCACACAAAGCCTGTTTGGTGGTCTCTTCACACGGACGCCAGTAACATTGACATATAATGTATATGCCATACAATTCATCCATTTAAAGTATAGATTTCAATGGCTTTTAGTATATTCACAGAATTGTGCAACCATCACTGCAATCTAAGTTTAGAATATTTTTTATAACTACAAAAAGTAATGCTATACCTATTAGCAGTTACTACCTGATCCACCCAACTCTACCAACAAACCTGATCAACCACTAATCTACTTTCCATTCTCACAGCTTTTCCTATGCTGATCATTTTATGTAAATGGAATAATATGTAATCCTTTGTGAGTGGCTCTTTCATTTATCATAGGATTTCCAAGGTTTGCCCATATTTTGGCGTATTTGTCAAGTAATATTCCATTGTATATATGGCACATTTATTTTATTCATTCATCAGTTGATGGAATTTGAGTTTCCAGTTTTTAGCTGTTATGAATAATGCTGCTATGAAATTTGTGTATAAGTTTTTGGTTGACAGATGTTTTCAATTTTCTCAAGTATATACCTAGGTGTAGAATTTCTGGGTTATAAAGTAATTGCTTAACATTTTGAGGAATTGTCAAACTGTTTTCCAAAACAGTTACACTATTTCACAATCCCACAAGCAATGTATGAGAGTTCCAATCTCTCCACAACCTCACCAACACTTACTATTTTCTGTCTCTTTTATTATAGCCATCTTAATGATTCTAAAGAGGTATCTCATGAAGTCCAATTTTTCTATTTTGTCCTTTTGTCACTTATGGATTTGGTATAGTATATAGGGAGAGTTTGCCTAACCCACAGTTACAAAGATTTACTCCTATGCATCCTTCTAAGAGTTTTTAGGCCAGGCGCAGTGGCTCATGCCTATAATCCCAGCACTTTGGGAGGCTGAGGAGGGTGGATCACAAGGTCAGGAGTTGAAGACCAGCCTGGCCAAGATGGTGAAACCCAGTCTCTACTAAAAATACAAAAATTAGCCAGGCGAAGTGGCGGGCTCCTGTAATCCCAGCTACTCAGGAGGCTGAGGCAGGAGAATGGCTTGAACCCAGGAGGTGGAGGTTGCAGTGAGCCAAGATCAAGCCATTGCATTCTAGCCTGGGCAACAGAGCAAGACTCTGTCTCAAAAAAAAAAAAAGAGTTTTATAGTTTTGGCTCTGACATGTAAGTCTGTGATCCATTTGGAGTTAATTTTTATGTGTGGTTAAAGGAGAAATCCAACTTTATTCTTTTGCATGTAGGTATCCAGTTATCTTAGCACCATTTGTTAAAAAGGCTGTTTCTCCCGTTGAATTGTCTTGGCACCATTTTCAAATCAATTGGACATAAAGATAAGGATTTATTTTTGGACTCTCAATTCTGTTTCATTGGTTTATATGTCTATCCTTATGCACTGCCACACTGTGTTGATTACTGTAGTTTTTAGTAAGTTTTCAAATCGGCACATGTGATCCTCCAACTTTCATGAAAGTGTTCTCTTTCAAGATTGTTGTGGCTATTCTTGGCCCCTTGCATTTCCTTGAGAATTTTAGAAACAGCTTGTCAATTTCCACACACACACAAAAGCTGTCTGAGATTTTAATAGAGATTGTGTTGAATCTGTAGATCAACTTGGGGATTATTTTCATCTTAACAATATTAAGTCTTTCAACTGTAAAAATGGCTTGTCTTTCCATTTATTTAGGTTTTATTTCATTTCTTTCCACAGTGTTTTATAGTTTTTATGGCACAAGTTTTATACTTCATTTGTTACATTTATTTCTAAGTATTTTGTTCTTTTTGATAATATTACCAATGGAATTATTTTATTAATTTCATTTTCAGACTTTTTCATTGCTAACACAGTAAGTCCTCACTTAACATCATGGATACATACTTGGAAATTGCAGCTTTAAGTGAAATGATGTATAATGAAACTAACTTTACCATAGGTTAATTGATAGAAACAAGTATTAAATTCCTGCAGCATATTTCTGGTCACAAAAACATCACCAAATTTCTAAATAAAGACCAAAACACTTGTAATAATATTAAACATTGAAATAAATGTGAGCTATCCATACATTTAAGACAGATTAATAAAAAACAAGTAAGGTAATTATTTACCTGCTGATTCCAGTTCAGGGCCACAGGTGGCCAGAGTCTATCTCAGCAGTTCAGGGCTTGAGGCAGGAACCAACCCTGGACAGGACAACATTCCATCGCCAGATGCACTCACACACACCACCCACACTCAGACTAAGGCAATTCAGACACACCATTTAACCTAATGTGCACATCTTTGGGAGGTGGGAGAAAACAGAATACCTGGAAAAAACCCACACGACAAAGGGAGAACGTGCTAACTCCAAACAGGACAGGGGATCCAGTGGAATCAATTTTTTTTTCTCATTCTTATAATGAAACAATGTAGAAGGAACTGACGTTATTCAAAGACCTGCTGTATACAGAAATACAATTGATTTTTGTCTATTAGCTTATATCCTGCAAACTTGCTGAACCTGTTTTTTAGTTATAATAGTTTTTTTGTGTGTGTATTTATTAGGATTTTCTCTGTATAGGAATATATCCACTGTAAAATAGAGATAGTTAGTTTTACTCTTTTTTCCCAGTCTGGATGCCTTTTATTTCTTTTTCTTGCCTAATTGTCCTGGCTAGATCCTCCAGTACAATGTTGACTAGAAGTATGTTACTTGTTTATTTCTTGCTTATATTAAGGGGAAAGCATTGAGTGTTTCATTATTAAGTCTGATGTTAGCTGTGGGTGTTTTGTCAATATCCTTCATCTGGTTGGGGAAGTTCTCTTCTATCTTACTTTGTTGAGTATTTTATCACAAAAGGTGTAAGATTTTATTAAAAGATTTTTTTCTGCACCTATTGAGATGATCATGGGGTTTTTGTTTTTATTCTATTGACATAGTATATTACATTAATTATTTGGACATTAAACCAATCTTTTATTCCTAGAATAAATCCTACTTGGTTATGGCATATAATTATTTTTATATGTTGATGGATTTAGTTTGCTAATATTTTGCTGAGGATTTTTGCACCTATAATCTCATAAGAGATATTGGCCTCTAGTTTTCTTCTCTTGTGATGTCATTTGATTTTTGTTTTAGGATAATACTGGCCTCATAAAATGAGTTGGGAAGTAATCCCTTCTCCAAATATTTTGGAATCATTCATGAAGAATTGGTATTAGTTCTTCTCTAAATGTTTGGCAGAATTCAGTGGTGAAGCCATTTGGGTCTGGGCTTTTCTTTGTGAAAACTTTTTAAAATTCTCATTAATTCAGTCTGTTTCCTTGTTATAGTTCTAGTCACTTTATCTCCTTGACTGACTTGCAGTACGTTGTGTCTTCTAAGAATTTGTCCATTTACACCTAAGTCATCTAATTTGTTGGGATTCACTTGATCATAGTATTCACTTATACTCCTTTTTATTTACTTTTGTAAGGTCAGTAGTAATGTACTCTCTTTCATTCCTGACTTCAGTAATTTGTGTCTTGTTTTTCTCAGTCTAGCTAAAACTTTGTCCATTTTGTTGGCAAATACTGTGTACTTTCACTTATATGAGGTACCTAGAGTAGTCAAATTCATAGACAGAAAGTAGAATAGTTATTTCCAGGGACTTGGAGAAAGGGAGAATGGTAAGTTATTATTTAACGAGTATAGAGTTTCAGGATTTTTTTTAACAAATCAAAATTACATATATTAAGATATACAAAGTACTGTTTTGATATATGTATACATTGTGAAATGATTACCATAATCAAGTTAATTAACATATCCGTCACCTCACATTGTTACCGTGTGTGTGTATGTGTGTGTGTGTATGGGTGTGTGTGTGTGTATGGGTGTGTGTGTGGGTGGGTGTGGTGAGAACATTTAAGATCTACTCTCTCATCAAATTTCAAGTACATAATATAGTATCATTAACTATAGTCACTATGCTGTACATTAATTTTAATAAGAGCTTTCTGCCATATGAACTTGTCTGCTGCAATCTCTCCCTGAAGGTGAGCTACATGGAAAGCCAACTGAATAGAAACGTTCTTGCTGAGTGAGGAATTTGAGCAAGGAAAGTTGGTTATTTGATTTGGGTGTATAACATAACTGTATCTTTCTTCACATAATACTCCAGCTAGTCTGGAGAGCTACTGCTTAAGGGTCTCAGATGGGCATTCTCAGTATTTGCCTCCACATTGTATTTTTTTTCTTCAACTTTTATTTTAAGTTCTTGGTACATGTGCAGGATGTGCAGGTTTGTTATATAGGTAAACATGTGCCATGGTGGTTTGCTGCATAGAGCAACCCATCACCTAGGTGTTAGGCCAAGCATCCATTAGCTATTCTTCCTGATGCTCTCCCATCGGCTCCACCCCGCTGACAGGCCCCAGTGAGTGTTGTTCCCCTCATGTTCCCATGTGTTCTCATCGATCAGCTTTGACTTATAAGTGAGAACATTTGGTATTTGATTTTCTGTTCCTGTGTTAGTTTGCTAAGGATAACAGCTTCCAGCTCCATCCCTGTCCCTGCAAAGAACAGGATCTTGTTCCTTTTTATGGCTGCATAGTATTCCATAGTGGATATGTACCACATTTTCTTTATTCAGTCAATCATTGATGGGCATTTGGGTTGATTCCATGTCTCTGCTATTGTGAATAGTGCTGCAATGAACATACGTGTGCATGTATCTTTATAATAGAATAATTTATATTCCTTTGGGTACATATACAGTAATAAGATTACTGGGTCAAATTGTATTTCTGCTTCTGTGTCTTTGAGGAATCGCCACACTGTCTTCCACAATGGTTGAACTAATTTACACTCCCACCAACAGCGTAAAAGTGTTCCTTTTTCCCTGGGTTCAAGCAATTCTCCTGCCTCAGCCTCCCGAGTAGTGGGGATTACAGGCACACGCCACCATGCCTGGGTAATTTTTGTATTTTTAATAGAGAGAGGGTTTCACCATATTGGCCAGGCTGGTCTTGAACTCCTGACCTCAAGTGATCTGCCCGCCTCTGCCTCCCAAAGTGCTGAGATTACAGGCATGAGCCACCACACTCATCCTTTTGCCCATTTTTTAATGCGGTTGTCTCGTTCTTGTAAATATGTTTAAGTTCTTTTTAGACTCTGAATATTAGGCCTTTGTCAGATAGATAGATTGCAAAAATTTTCTCCCATTCTGTAGGTTGTCTTTTTATTCTGATAATAGTGGTTCTTTTTTTTTTTTTTTTTTTGCTATGCAGAAGCTCTTTCATTTAATTAGATCCCATTTGTCAATTTTTGCTTTTGTTGCAATTATCTTTGACATTCTGATCATGATATCTTTGCCTGTGCCTATGTCCTGAAGGGCTGAAATACACAGACCAGTGACACTATGAAGCAACCACATAACAAGTCTGCAAAATAACCAGCTAGCATCATCATGACAGGATCAAATTCACACATAATAATATTAACCTTAAATGAAAATAGGCTAAATGCCCCCAATTAAAAGACACAGAATGACAAGATGAGTAGAGTCAAGACCAATTGGTATGCTGTCTTCAAGAGACCTATCTCACGTGTAAAGACACATGTAGGCTCAAAATAAAGGGATGGAGGAAAATTTACCAAGCACGTGGAAAACAGAAAAAAGCAGAGGTCACAATCCTAGTTTCTGACAAAACAGACTTTAAACCCACAAAGATTAAAAAAGACAAAGAAGGGCATTATGTAATGGTAAAGGATTCAATTCAATAAGAAGAGCTAACTATTGTAAATATATATGCACCCAATATAAGAGCACCCAGATTCATAAAGCAAGTTCTTAGAGGCCTACAAAGAGACATAGACTCCTACATAATGATAATTGCAGATGTTAACACCTCACTGACAATATTAGATCATCAAGACAGAAAATTAACAAAGATATTCAGGACCTGAACTCAGTTCTGGATCAAGCAGGCCTGATAGATATCTACAGAGCTCTCCACCCAAAAACAACAGAAAATATATATTCTTCTCATCACCACATGGCACTTACTCTAAAATTGATCACATGATAGGAAGTAAAACACTCCTCATCAAATGCAGAAGAACTGAAATCCTAACAGTCTCCCAGACCACAGTGCGATCACGTTAGAACTCAAGACTAATAAACTCACTCAAAACCACACACTACATGGAAATTGAACAACCTGTTCCTGAATGACTCCTGGGTAAATAATGAAATTAAGGCAGAAATCAAGAAGTTCTTTGAAACCAACGAGAACAATGAGACGGTGTACCAGAATCTCTGGGATGCAGCTAAAGCAGTGTCAAGAGGGAAATTTAAGCTAGAAAGACCTCAAAACAACAACCTAACATCACAACTAAAAGAACTAAAGAACCAAGAGCAAACAAACCCCAAAGCTAGCAGAAGACAGGAAACAACCAAGATCAGAGCAGAACCAAAGGAGATAAATACATGGAAACCCCTTCAAAAAATCAACGGATCCAGGAGCTGGTTTTTTGAAAAAATTAATAGACTGCCAGCTAGACTAATGAAGAAAAGAGAGAAAAATCTAATAGACACAATCAGAAATGATAAGGGAGAAATGAACACTGACCCTACAGAAATCCAAACAAGCATTAGAGAATACTACAAATACATCTATGCACATAAACTAGAAAATCTAGAAGAAATGGATAAATTCCTGGACACATACACCCTCCCAAGACTGAATCAGGAAGAAATTGAATCCCTGAATAAACCAATAACAAGTTCTGAAATTGAGGCGGTATTTAGCTTATGAACCAAAAAAAGCCCAGGACCAGACGAATTTACAGCTGAATTATACCAGAGGTACAAAGGAGAGCTGGTACCATTTCTACGGGAACAATTCCAGTCAATTGAAAAGGAGGGACTCCTCCCTAACTCGTTTTATGAGGCCAGCATCATCCTAATACAAAAACCTGGCAGAGATAGAACAAAAAAAAGAAAACTTCAGGCCAATATCCCTGATGAATATAGATGCAAAAATCCTCAATAAAATAGTGAGTTTCAGGTTTGCAAGATGAAAAGAATTCTGGGGATGGATGGTGGTTGTGGCTGTACAACAATGTGAACACACTAATTACCAGTGAACTGTACACTTAAAAATGATTAAGATGATAAATTTTATGTTATGTGTATTGTATCACAATTTTTTACACTTGATCTTAGCCAAAAGGCTGAAAAATGATTTTTTTTTTTTTTTTTTTTTTTGAGACAGAGTCTCGCTCTGTCACTCAGGCTGGAGTGCAGAGTGCAATGGCACGATCTTGGCCCACTGCAACCTCGGCCTCCCAGGTTCAAGAGAGTCTCCTGCCTCAGCCTCCCAAGTGGTTGGGGTTACAGATACCCACCACCACGCCTGGCTAATTTTTGTATTTTTAGTGGCAACGGGGTTTTGCCATGTTGGCCAGGCTGGTCTTGAACCCCTGACATCGGGTGAACTGCCCGCCTCGACCTCCCAAAGTGCTGGGATTACAGGCATGAGCCACTGCGCCCGGCCTATATCACAATTTTTTAAAAGAAAAAAGAGGCAACTAGAAAAAGTGAGATATTGGTACCTGGCAAATGGTGAGTGCTAAATTAGTATAGTATCAGTGGGAATGGAAAGTTGCAAATGAATTCACACTATAGGAATTTTAGAGGAAGTCTCAATAGGATATTGTGGAGAGGGGAAGTAAAATAGAAGTCCAGAGGAACTCTGAGGTTTCTAACCTTGGGTGGCTAGATATGTGTTAATCCTGTTAACCGAGGTATGGAATGCAGAGGAAAGAGCAAATCAGAAAGTAGGAAGATTATGAACTCAATTTTAGATGTGTTGAGTTTGTGTTACCTGTGGTATGTCCTGGTAGGGGATTAAAGATAAGACTTTGAGGTCAGAAGAAGGAAAAGGAGTACAGTTGTTCCTCAATTTATGATGGAGTTATTTCCCAAAAAACCCATTGTAAGTTAAAATATCCTAAGTCAAAAATGCATTTAATATACTTACTGAATAGCATAGCTTAACCTAGCCTACCCTACATGTGCTCAGAACACTTACATTAGCCTACAGTTGGCCAAAATCATCTAACACAAAACGTATTTTATAGTGAATTGTTGAATAGCTCATGTAATTTATTTGAATACTTTACTGAAACATGATTTCTACTGAATGCATATTGCTTTTGCAACATGGTAAAGTTGGAAAATTATAAGTCAAGCAATGTAAATCAGGGGCCATCTGTGTATGAATTGATATAGGAATCATCAATGATAAGTAAAGCTGAGATTTTCCAGCCTTTTCACATCTCTGAATAAAATATAGTGTTTTAGTGCTACTTTCAATGTTCCAAATAGCCGCAAATGAATGGTACATGCACCTGTAATGATATCGCATAAGCGATAATTATTTTAATGCCATTATTTGGTAAATATAACATTTTAGGCATGGCATCATGGAAATACAAGAACAATTACAATAACAACAACAACAATTGTTGTACGATAGATGTACTTAATGTTTGCCTGTTTGTTTTTGAGACAGAGTCTTACTCTGTCACCAGGCTGGAGTGCAGTGGCGTGATCTCGGCTCACTGCAACCTCTGCCTCCTGAGTTCAAGTGTTTCTCCTGCCTCAGCCTCCTGAGTAGCTGGGATTACAGGCATGCGCCACCACACCTGGCTAATTTTTGTATTTTTAGTAGAGACAGGGTTTCACCATGTTGGCCAGGATGGTTTCAATCTTCTGACCTTGTGACCCACCCACCTTGGCCTCCAAAAGTGTTGGGATTACAGGCGTGAGCCACAGTGCCCAACCGTACTTAATGTTAAAAACATTGAGAAATAGTCATGGAAGTAATATTTGAAACTGTATAAAGATGAATAAGGGACATAATTTTTATTCTTGGTTCAGATAAGGCATCAGCCTGCTACATTCAAAGCTGAAGTGCCCCATTTTTCAAAAGAAAGTTTCTTTCCACTTGTCTTTCATATGACTCTCAAATTATCTAGAGGGCTTAAACGTATTTTACGCCACCATAGCACCAGTTCCACATGGAAAAAAATCAACATTGAAAGATGAACTACCATGAAAATCCTCTGCCTGTAGTGGTGACCACATCCTATGCTATAAAGTGCTGATAAATAAAAATGATGGATAAAACAATAAAATTCAGGATGTAACACATCCAGATACCAAATCTTCAGGTCTCTGAAGAAATGGATTATATTAAAATTTAATTTACATAAAATAAAATGCAACTATTTAAACTGCACAGTATGTTGAGTTTTAACATCATTTAAATGGTAGAATAATTCCATCACACAAAAAATTCCCATGACACTTTGCAATCAATCTTTTTCCACCCCTGGCTGTAGGCAACCACTGATCTGCATTTTTTCACTGTAGATTAGTTTGCCTTTTCTTGAATTCCATAGAAATGGAATCATATGGTGCATAGTCTTTTATGTCTGGCTTTTTTGTTCATTATGTTTTTGAGATTCAAACTTGTTGGCATATTAGTAGTTTATTACTTTTTATTGCTGACTAATGTTCTATTGTACAGACATAGCAAAATTTGTTTATTCATTTGTTAATGAACAGTTTTTTCCCCCAAATTCTGGCTATTATGAATAAAAGTGTTATTAACATTTATGTTCAAGTCCCTGTCTAAACATGTTTCCATTTTTCTTGATTAATACATAGAAGTGGAATTAGTATGGAAAGTGTATCTTTGAGTTTATAAGAAACTTGAACAATTTTCCCAAGTGGTCATACCATTTTCCATTTCCAACAGTACTGCATGAGAGTTCCAAATTCCTCTACATCATTGCCAACAAGTGGTATTTATTTTCAGCCTTTTTAGTTTTAGCCATTGTAGTGAGTGTATAGTTGTATCTCATTATGCTTTTTAAAAAACTCCCATTTCTTTGATATTAATAAAATTAAACACATTTGTGTGTGCTTACTGTCCATTTGTATATCTTCTTTTGTGGAGTTATATTTTATAAGGGTTTTTAACATAATTTTGATACAAACCTTTCAAAAACAGGTGTATTGCCAATTCTGTGTTTTCTCCCAGTCAGTAGTCTCTTTTCTTTATAAAAAATATTGTTTTGAAGAGCATACGTTTTTAATTTTGATGAAATCTAACTTTAGCATTTTTTTCTTGGGTCTTGTGACCTGGCTAAATTCACTTATTAGTTTTGATCACCTTTTTGTAGTCTCCTTGGGATTGTGTATATAAATAATCATGTCATCTGCAAATCAAGACAATTTTGCCTCTTCCTTTATATTTTGAGTGCTTTTTATTTCTTCTTTGTTACTGTAAAGGCTAATACTTTCAGTGCAATGTAGAAGATATGTGGTAAAAATGAATGTCCTTGCCTTGTTCCCAGTCTTAGAATGGTCAAAGTCCATTAGTCTAATGGACTAATGGTCAAAGACCAAATAGATGCGATGCCATGTATAGGTTTTTCATAATGCCCCTCATCAAAGTGAGGAGATTCTCTTCTAGTCTTAATTTGCTTAGAATTTTAAACATGAAATGGTAAATTTCAAATGCTTTATCTGCATCTATTGAGATAATTGGCTTTCTTCCTATATTGTTAATATGGTAAATTTTCTAATGTTCTATTACTATGATGTTTTTCAAGAGTTAAACTAAACTTGTACTCTTGTGATAAATCCCACTTGATCATAATATATTTTCTTTTTGTATATTGTACTTAAGAAAAAATCCCCAGGGCTTCTGTTTGTTTTTGATATATTTCATTCTCTCTTCATCATGCTCATTTTTCCTTCAACATATTTATAATATCTATTTTAAAGTCCTTTCCTCTTAGTTCCATCATCGTTGTCATTTCTGGGTCTGTTTCTCTTGAGTGATTTTTTTCCTGGTTATGGGTCATGTTTTCCTTCATTTCATGTCTAGGTATAGTAATTTTTGATTGAATGGTAAACATATTAAATTTTACTTGTTGAGCGCTGAATTGTGTTGTCTTCTCCAAAGAGTATTGGACTTTGTTCTAGTAGCCTGTTAAGTTACTTGCAGATCATTTTGATCCTTTTGAGGCTTGTTTTTAAACTTCATTAGGGCAGGAGTATAGTAGCCTTTTCTCTAGGGCTAATTTAGTCCTACTCTTAAGGTATGACTCTTGGTGTCTCTACTCAATTTCTTGAAAGTTCTATGAAGTTTCTGTACTTGGGCTGGTCAGAACTCAAATGTCTCCCAGCCCTGTGTGAGCTTTGGGGATTGTTTGACTTATAGATCCCTGGTCATTCTTTGCATGGCCTTAGAGAGTTTCACCCTATTGATGTGCAGGTTAGTATTCAAGTGTCTCAGGGCAGACTTGATTTCTGGAGCTGTTTCTGTGTAGCCCTCTGTTCTCTGGTATTATAACCTGGAAACACCAGCAACCTCAGCCTTCCTAAACTTTGACCTCTGTCTCCTCAACTCAGTGTGATTTCTGTGCTCTATTTAGAATATATCTCCTCTGCTAAAGTCCAGAAAGTGCCTTCAGCAGAAGCCAGGGAAAACACAAGGCCAGCTTCATTTGTTACACTTATTTTAGGAATTAGAGTCTTGTACTGCCTATAATCTAATGTCTGAACACATTTATTTCATATATTTTCTCCAGTTGCCTGATTGATTACAGTGGGAGGCTTAAAGTTAGACCTAGTTTCTTCCTCATGTACAGAAGCAAACTTAGCTTTCATTCTTCTTTTTATATTTTCATTCCAAAGCAATGTAACTGTTTCTAAATAAACTAGTATGC
Source organism: Homo sapiens (assembly GCF_000001405.40). Taxonomy (NCBI): domain Eukaryota; kingdom Metazoa; phylum Chordata; class Mammalia; order Primates; family Hominidae; genus Homo; species Homo sapiens. Next base: position 159,310,373 of record NC_000002.12, read on the forward strand.
ATTAATATTTTAAGAATAAACATCCTGGCTGGGCGCAATTGCTCATGCCTATAATCCTGCTACTTTGGGAGGCCGAAGTGGGAGGATTGCTTGAGCCCAGGAGTTCGAGACCAGCCTGGGCAACATGGCAAGACCCAATCTCTTAAAAAAAAAATTAGCTAGGTGTGGTGGCATGGGCCTGTGGTCCCAGCTACTCAGGAGGCTGAGGGGAACATTGCTTGAGTCCAGGAGGTTGAGGCTGCAGTGAGCCATGGTTGCATCAGTACACTCCAGCCTGGGCAACAGAGCAAGACCTTATCTCAAATAAATAAATAAATAAATAAATAAAATGAAAATAAACATCTAGATATTATTCTGTAATGCTACCAGTGCTCAAATCAGTTTTGGAATATTTTGTGGAAAAATGCATTCAACAAATATTTAAGGTCATCAAGAAAATCAGTCATAGCATGTTCTGAGGAATGCTGTTTTTGAAGGCCAAAAACAAATGTTTAAGTCCTAACTCAAGTTTACCAAGCTGGGTGGCAATGAGTATTAGCAGTATTGGTATTAGTTTTCTTATCTGTAAAATAAGCTGTACCCTAATCTACATAAATGAAGCACGCTTGAGTTGTACAGCATGTAGCCTGAATAACTATGAAGCAGTAGCCCTGGCTATATCAAGATACTTCCATCCAAAAGAAAAGACTCAAATCAAATGGCTTACACAACAAATTTATTACCTCACCTAGCAAAATGTTCAGATGTAGTGGTGGTTCCAAGGTTAATTTGATGGCTCATGTTATTACCCAAGTCCTTTCTTTCCCCCTCCCGTCCTCACCCCTTTCCTCAGTTACTTTTATTTTCTCTCTGCATAGTTATATAATGGCTGCAGAAGCTCCAAGCATCATGGCCTCTGACAACCATCTCCAAAGACAAGAGAATATGTCTCTTTGGGACACAAGTTCTCCACAGGACACTTCTCCAGGAGTCTCCCAGCAGACTTGCTCTCGTCACTACCTAGAATTCTATCACATGCCTTCATTAAGCAATCACTTGCAAGAGGAATGGAATTACTATGGTTGGCTTACTAACAAAGATTCACCCCTGGAATCATATGGCCAACCAGCATCTAAAGGAAGGAGTGAAGATAGACAAGACTGCTGCTGAATAGGCAACTGAAGTGTCTATTTATTATATAGATATTTTACATACAAAATATCTATACAATAAAAAACTAACTTAAGTTAGATCTTATATGTGAGGTTAACCTGCATCTCAATCATTATGTAATGTTATATCAATTTTAATCCTTAAATGACATTTTTTAGTAAATTCACCAGTTATATCTACTAGCTAAATTGACCCTCCTTGGTTGTAAAAGATTTTTTAAATGTTTAAAAAGCAAACAATGTACATTTGCTGCAGAGATATTATATACAGATAAGGAAGATGACATTAGTCTTTCCAAATTCTACCAACTAGAGGAAAAAGCTAACATTTAAATATATACATACATCCCCTTCAGAATTTTCTCCATGCTAAGTACAATATATTTTACAGAAATACTCTATGTTCTATACTATAGCCAGCCTTTCAACTTAATTTACTAATATTTACATAGATTTACATAAGTTTTAATGGCTGGGTAGAATCTGTCTTTGTTTCAAAAAAGTCACTTCTGTATTCAAAAGAATTGAGACTTGGCACAATGAAGACAGGAAAGTGCATCACGAATGCTGAGTGCAATCTTGAAAAAGCTGTGAAAATATCTGGAGATTAGAAAAATGATTAGAATAAGTCTATAGCCTCTCCAGGCCTTTTACTGTCTCCATGCAAATCTGTGTCATGTGAATGCCTCACTCGTTTTTAATGGCCTACTAATGTCACTGAGCTTTCCTTTTACCTCCACCCAAGATCTATTCCCAAATGGGAATAAGCCTTATTTCTCTTTTTCATTCACTAATGAATTTCTCTTCAAGATTCAACCACATTCTTTTGATAGCCACTACCATGATTATTATGGCTATTTTTACTAAGGGACATAACGAGGAGTCTGTTCAGAGGTAATAAGGATATTCTTTCAAGTCCAGCTTAATACTTAATTTTTAAGAAAGGTTTTATTTTATTTATTTATTTGGGACAGAGCCTCACTCTGTTGCCCAGGCTGGAGTGCAGTGGCACGATCTCAGCTCACTGCAACATCGGTCTCCTGTGTTCAAGTGATTCTCCTGCCTCAGCCTCCCCAGTAGCTGGGACTACAGGTGTGCACTACCATGCCTGGCTAATTTTTGTATTTTTTAGTAGAGACGGGGTTTTGCCATGTTGGTCAGGCTGGTCTGGAACTCCTGGCCTCAGGTGACCTGCCCACCTTGGCCTCCCAAAGTGCTGGAATTACAGGCGTGAGCCACTGCACCTGGCCAAAAAAGGTTTTAAATTTAAAAAACATTTAAAGAATGAACTACGCACAATTTATGGTATTGCCATAATGCATTTTTCTTTAGGCATCTAATGAGAACAACCCAGCTAATCTTCATGTGTATGGCTAAGGAAGAGAAACTACAAATGGATATCACATAGTAATTTTGCCACTGCCTTTCCATGGACTTAAATGCTAAGGTGCAAAATTCTTTCCGTGAAGGTCCAGAAGAACCCAATGAGCTTTTTCCTTTCACCTTGGATTTAGCCAACTGCCTATCCAGCACACGTACAAATACTTCTTTTGCTACAGTAACTCATAAATCTGTTAGCCCCAGTCTCACCCAAAACTCTATTTTCTAGGAACTTCTGTATACCTATCTGAGCTTTTCCTTTAGCACCATCAGTCTTTCCAAGTAACCACAGCAAATGCGAATGTTTCATCTCCTGAATATCACTTGCTGAAAGTAAAATTTGGGGCCATTTCTACAGTCTAGAAAGCAGATAGGGTTAAGCTATGTCTACATAAGATAAAAACTACAAAAAGGTAAATGAAAATTAAAGCTGTTCATGTGACTAGAAAAAAATGCTTGATACTGCTCAAGGAAACAAGAGAGGACACAAACAAATGGAAAAACATTCCATGCTCATGGATAGGAAGAATCAATACCGTGAAAATGGCCATACTGCCCAAAGTAATTTATAGATTCAATGCTATCCCCATCAAGCTACCATTGACTTTTTTCACAGAATTAGAAAAAACTACTTTAAATTTCATATGGAACTAAAAAAGAGCCTGTATAGCCAACACAATCCTAAGCAAAAAGAACAAAGCTAGAGGCATCACGCTACCTGACTTCAAACTATACTACGAGGCTACAGTAACCAAAACAGCATGGTGCTGGTACCAAAACAGATATATAGACCAATGGAACAGAACAGAGGCCTCAGAAATAATGCCACACATCTACAACCCTCTGATCTTTGACAAACCTGAGAAAAACAAGCAACAGGGAAAGGATTCCCTATTTAATAAATGGTGTTGGGAAAACTGGCTAGCCATATGCAGAAAACTGAAACTTACACCTTATACAAAAATTAACTCAAGATGGATTAAAGACTTAAACGTAAGACCTAAAACGATAAAAACCCTAGAACAAAACCTAGGCAATACCATTCAGGACATAGGCATGGGCAAAGACTTCACGACTAAAACACCAAAAGCAATGGCAGCAAAAGCCAAAATTGACAAATAGGACCTAATTAAACTAAAGAGCTTCTGCACAGCAAAAGAAACTATCATCAGAGTGAACAGGCAACCTACAGAATGGGAGAAGATTTTTGCAATCTAGCCATCTGACAAAGCGCTAGTATCCTGAATCTACAAAGAACTTAAACTAATTTACAAGAAAAAAATAACCCCATCAAAAAGTGGGTAAAGGATATGAACAGACAATTCTCAAGAGAAGACACTGATGCAGCCAACAGGCATGAAAAAAAGCTCATCATCACGGGTCATTAGAGAAATGCAAATCAAAAGCCCAATGAGACACCATCTCACGCCACTTAAAATAGCGATCATTAAAAAGGAAATAACAGATGCTGGCGAGGCTGTGGAGAAATAGGAACGCTTTTACACTGTTGGTGGTAGTGTACATTAGTTCAACCATTGTGGAAGACAGTGTGGTGATTCCTCAAGGATCTAGAACCAGAAATACTATTTGACCCAGCAATCCCATTACTGGGTATATACCCAAAGGATTATAAATCATTCTACTATAAAGACACATACACACGTATGTTTATTGCAGCACTGTTCACAATAGCAAAGACTTGGAACCAATTCAAATGCCCATCAATGATAGACTGGATAAAGAAAATGTGGCACATATACACCATGGAATACTATGCGGCCATAAAAAAGGATGAGTTCATGTCCTTTGCAGGGACATGGATGAAGCTGGAAACCATCATTCTCAGCAAACTAACACAGGAACAGAAAACCAAACACTGCACGTTCTCACTCGTAAGTGGGAGTTGAACAATGAGAACACACGGACATAGGGAGGGGAACATCACACACCGGTGCCTGTGGGGGGATTGGAGGCTAGGGGAGGGATAGCATTAGGAGGAATACCTAATGTAGATGACGGGTTGATGGGTGCAGCAAACCACCATGGCATGTGTATACCAATGGAACAAACTTGTACATTCTGCACATGTATCTCAGAACTTAAAGTATAATAATAATAATAATAAATGCTTGATACTTTTCAAAATTCAAAATCTGTAATAAGTTGTTAGGAAAAAATAATCCAAATATTGGGCACTGGTTGGGCAGTAGGGAGAAAGAGCCCTCTTCCATTGATGGTAGGAGGCTAAACTGCTGCAGTCGTCTGGAGAGTAGCATGGCAATATCATGGCAAGTTAAACAAGTACAGACCTAACAACTGGGGCATACTCCCCTGTGTAGATCCAAGAGAAACTCTTACCTCAGGATATTAGTTATCTATTGACGGATAACAAATTATTCAAAACGGAGTGGTTTAAACCAACAATAAACATTTATTATCTCATAGTTTTTGTGGGTCAAGAAATCAGGAGTGGCTTAGCTGGATAGTTCTGGCTCAGGGTTGCTTATGAAGTTTCAGTCGAGATGTTGGCTGGGGCTCCGGTCATCTGAATGTTTAACTTGGGCTAAAGGATCCACTTCTAAGATGCCTCAGGCACAGGGCTGGTAAGCTGGTGGTAGCTATTGGCTGCTCCATAGGGCTGGGCTGCTAAAGCATCCTCATAACATAATGGCTGGTTTTGCCGAGAACAAGTAATCCAAGAGAACAAGGCGGAAGCAGCAGTGTTATTTTATGACTTAGTCTGGGAATTCACAAAGCTATCACTATGCCATATTAGGTTGGTCACAAAGATTAACCCCGACACAATGTGGAAAGGGATTATACATGGGCATGAATACTAGAAGACAAGGGTCACTTGGGGATACCTTGGAAACTGGATTCCATACACAAGTCCATGTATTAAAAAAATCACTGAAGTATTATTTGCAGTGACAATGAGTTGCAGGCAACCTAGGTTTTCATTTCTAGAGGAATTTGTAAGTAAAATGTTGTGTATGCCTCTGATGGAATACCTTATAGCAATCAAAACCAATGAACTAGAGTTACACATTTTTTCAACTCAAAAGAAACAGAAACAGAATTTAAAAACAATAAGATTTATAGCATAATACAACTGATATGTCTAAAAACCACTGTGTGTACATACGTATTTTTCATATTATATAAAGAAACATATTGCTAAATAAATACATAAGTAGTCGACTGGAAAGGCATATTTTAAGTGGTTGTATATAGGGGAAAGTGGAGATGAACTGAAGAATAAAACAAAAAAAGTAACACAGAGGGGCTTTGCAAGAATAATGTAAAGAGTGTGCCATGAATTGAAGAAAGAAATTAATTACCTCAATTATTTGAGGTTTAAAAAAAATTCCTTTTTTTGTAGAGTTGTAATGAGGCCAAAGCAAGTCTAAGAGATCTTGTTGAAGCAAGATTCCCAGCAGATAAGATTCTATTCATTTCCCTAGTTTTTAAAGTCACATCCCCCTGGAAAGAAAATTTTAGTGGCTTGGCCGGGCGCGGTGGCTCACGCCTGTAATCCCAGCACTTCGGGAGGCCGTGGGGGCAGATCACGAGGTCAGGAGATCGAGACCATCCTGGCTAACACGGTGAAACCCCGTCTCTACTAAAAATACAAAAATTAGCCGGGCGTGGTGGAGGATACCTGTAGTCCCAGCTACTTGGGAGGCTGAGGCAGGAGAATGGTGTGAACCCAGGAGGCGGAGCTTGCAGTGAGCCGAGATTGCACCACTGTACTCCAGCCTGGGTGACAGAGCAAGACTCCATCTCAAAAAAAAAAAAAAAAAAAAAAAAAAAAGAAAGAAAAGAACATTTTAGTGGCTTATGTCTGTAATCCCAGCACTTTGGGAGGCTGAGGCAGGCAGATCATCTGAGTTTGAGAACAGCCTGGCCAATATAGTGAAACCCCCATCTCTACTGAAAATACAGAAATCAGCCAGGTGTGGTGGCACGTGCTTGTAGTCCCAACTACTCAGGAGGCTGAGGCACAAGAATCACTTGAACCCGTGAGGCGGAGGTTGCAGTGAGCTGTGATCACACCACTGCATTCCAGCCTGGGCGACCGAGCAATACTCTGTCTCAATAAAATAAAATAAAATAAAATAAAATAAAATAAAATACCTCCTTTATTCTCCTTGTTGAAATAAAATTCTTTTAGGAAGACACAAACCTCTTTCATTTCTCAAATGGAGATATTTGAAAAGCAAATAACCTTGAAAGAGGAAGCTCATAAATTAAAAGTACAATTAGGAATAAATGTCTGATAGCAGATTTCCTTGTTGAGGATGTGTTTAAAGGGAGAAAGCTAAAGGGACAGAATTTTGAATTTCCTTAAAGAATATGGGGATTGAGGGGCTGGAAAAGAGAAGGAGCATGGAGGGGTACATTAAGGTACTAAAGACAGATTAGATCCTTCATAATTCAGATTAAAACTGGTGCTTGTGACAAGTTTTATTTTGGAGTTGGAACAAGAAAAAGATCACCTTGCATTTATGGTTAATTTACTTCTTTTGGGTTTTAGGTGTACCTATAGACACATCTTCACCTGTTTAATTTTCACTGTGGTTAACAACTCAAATATTACTTTACTGTCTGCATACTGTTTCAAACTGATGATTATTTTCTGTGTTCAACAGTAGTGGATTGTTTGGTTATCCTTGGTTGGTCACCACTTGAGTGGTAATCTAAATCTAAACTTGAAAGTAGGCCAGTTTCTTAATAATTTACAGATTTTAGGACTAAAATGAGGAAGCTTCAGGTGAAAGCCTAATTTATCTTAAGGAAAATATGTTGTATATACTTGCAATTATGTGACAGCAGAGAGAGTTAGGATAATCTTTTTTTTTTTTAATTTGAGGAGAACAATGATACTGGTTTTATTGAGAATAAGCCCAACCAAGGGCACTGGGAGTGCATGAATCACTTACATAACAAGTGATCCACGTATGTATAGTAACCACTGTCATGTGCTCCAACCGCAGCCCTTGTGGGCTCATGCCCACTCAGTGTTTAACAGCTACCTCTGCTGAGTAACAACAATGAAGACACCAGTCCGAAGTAGCCAGTGTTTACCAAGCCTTTCTTTTTTTCCTATTTATTTTTAAAATTATCACTCTCAAAAATTTTGGTGTGTGTGTTTAAGTACTTTCTTATTTATGAGCCCCTGAGGCACCAGACATGTTATTATCAAGCCCCTTATATACCATCTAATATAAATTAACATAAGCATATATAATCTCTAAGGCAAAAAAAAATCATCATGAAGAATCCCCATGGAGCATCAGGCAGTTCTAGAAACACAAAAACCAGACACTTTTATTCACAGTGCTGCCTTCTTCCCTGCTCTACAAAGCATTTTTGCTTAAGCACCAGCCCCTTTAAGGCATCACTGCAATATCTGGTTAACAGAAACTGACATATTTACATAGTAACAGCTGATTTTTCATATAAGTCTTCACAAACAATCTAGAGATACTGAAAATACTCTGTGGCTTTGAAGCTTTGTGAAGTTAAAAAAATTTTTTGCAAAACATTTCTATATTCTCTCTTCATGATAAAAAGCAGTGGACATTATCTAAGGCCCACTTCAAGGGGCTATAAGCTCCATGAAGGCAAGGCCTGTCTTGTACGCCAATGATTCTCCGGAGTCTGGCGGAGCCCAGCAGGGCAGCAAATTGCATTTCTTGAATTCTTGGAGAAATACATGTCTTATTAGACTAATTTATATATCCGTTTTTCTTCTTGACAACTGAGTTATTTGGCTACCCATAGAGGCATTTTTCAGACCAGAACAAGATCTAATGTATTCTAATATTTTCATCTTGAAAATGTGAAATAAGAAAGAAGACAAGGTTCGGAGAAGTTCGCAGACCAGAGAGGTTTTCAGGCTACAGAAGTTTGGCCACCTGACTTAAACTCACCCTCTTCCACCCAGCCCAGTGCTCTTTGAACCACACTCTACACACTGTTCCTCCTACAGGTCTCTGTAAAAATCAAATTTAAATTAACTGGCTTTTAAAAAAGAATATATTTTCAGGTACATTAAGAAAAACTAAAAAATTAGTTTGTAAAAGTCTTTTATTGTATCCGTGCCACACATAGTGAAAAATAACACTCCTAAAAAAAGAATGCTACCTTTTCCACAACATTTTATTTTAAATAAAACTTCAAGTACTCTTACGTAGGTACAAAAAAAATCTGATCTATTTGCCTCCAACAGGCCACCACAACACACAGTAGATAAAACACAGTGGTTACAAACGTCTTTTAAATTTATTTCTGAGGCAAGGCAAATGGGAGGGAAATGTTTCTATGAAAAAATACTGTGTGCGTAGGAAATTGTCACAATTTTATTCCACATGGATACAAATGATTATACTTTAATTTAGGCCCTGGTGGCTTAAAATTATATAACAAAATAGAAAAATGGAAAACTAATATCCCCTACACCCTGTTTCAAAGGCAGGCACTACCAAGATTAAGGAGACGCCACAGTGTTGGTAGAGGATAATTACTGTACAGACTGTATAGCTATCATTACCTTCAGACGAAAATAAAATGCTACAATCCTCTAAGGCATGAACAATAATGTCTGCAAACAATATATACACATAATACATATTTAAAACAAGACTTAATATAAACAAGAATGAACAGTATATACATGTCAATTTTTTCACTGTTTTGAAATACAATTTAACTACACAAGTGATGCAGCAACATATATATATAAATGTACTTGTAACTCTACAGTAAAGTTTCTTTTTGGTGCTTTTATAGCACATCAGTGTAAACAGTTTAACTTGGCTTTGTTTTATATTTTAAAACATTCCTTGTATTTTCAAGATTTAAAGCAATTTTCTAGTTCTTCCTTTTCACAGAAAACGAAGATTCTGGATGTGGTTTAATCATAAATAATTCATAAAATTAAATACATTCACTAAAAAATAAACTACAAAGTAAAAAAATGAAAAATAGATATTTATTGAGAGGGAAAGGAGAACCATTTCCCACATTAGAGCTCTGGTGTTGAGTATTCAGTGCGATTTGATATATTTTAATTGCTATTGCACTATAACACCCTTTCCTTTGAAAATTCTTTGGGTGTGCTTCCCTGTTCTACCTAAATTAGCTGATAAATCACACAAACCAATAACCGAGGGCCTTGGTTGTTGTAGGAATGAAGCCTTTAAAAATGGTATCATTCTTCTGATACTTTTTTTTTATACTTAAGGAAAAAGAAAGTCATTATGTATGTGCCTTGCACGTTTATGTAAATACAGTTCACATTGCTGGTCTCATTTGTCCTTGTTTAGAAGGAAAAAAATAAAGAGATTATTATAACTTCAGCTCACTTTGAAAGTATCTGTCCACTTTTTTTCAAAATACTTCCTCATATTGTGGCCAGCTCTGCCTATATCAGAATCATCTTCATTAAATGTTTCACAGTTGTCAAAAACAAGCCTGACATCTAGAGCAAAGGTTTCAAGGTTTGGATACCTGAAAGAAAACAAATAATTAGAGATTGCGTTCATAGAGTGGATTTGTTTTGTAAACAAATGAAGAGTTAATAAAGGGTAAAAATGAAAGAAAAATGATTAGGATAACTGCATTTAAATTGATATAAAATACATGATATCCTCTTACAAATGGAACATTTAAACATTTTTGTATGTTCTGGAACATACTGGATTTAAAGAACAGGTTAAATGAAAAAATAGGTTTCTCCAAAGATCAAAACATATTTCAACTGGCATTTTCCCCATAACCCAACTCCTGTTTGACCTGTATCACACAATTCTGTCACAGGACCTATCCCACTTGACTAGTTTATTAAGTTCTCTGACCAAATGTATCACTTGCAGAATCCTATTATCCATATTAAAAAATGCTCAGCTGCAGTAGAAATTATGTCAATGCTCCCCATGCAATGATAAAAATTACACTTGTCCTGTAGCTTCTATATACACCCCAAGATATGGTGCTCTGCGTTGTCTTCCCCATTTCCCATTTCTCTTCTCTTCATATGTGCTCTTCTGCCCAAGCAATAGAGTATGATGAACCCAAACAAGCAAAACAAGCATATGCTATCTTTCTACTAGAGGTAACATTATGAGGGTCTGTCTTTCAACAAGAAGCACTGTGGCTTCTGTGCTTTTCTGGCGGGATAAGCCCAATTCTCTTTCTCTGTAGAAAAACAGAAAAGAGAAAAGAAAGGTGAATGAATCTGCATAAGCTTATTAGTAAGAAGGGAATGGTCATTTCAAACCAACTCAAGCCAGTTCAATACATTTTAAAAGATAGCTTTTAGAAATGCAAATTTTAAGTTAATTCTAACCTATGACAATCTGTATACTAAAATAATGTAACCATTAAAAATATCTCATGAGTGTAAATTAGTACAACCACTATGGAGAACAGTTTGTAGGTTCCTCAAAAAAACTAAAAACAGAGCTACCATGTGATCCAGCAATCCCACAGCTGAGTATATACCCAAAAGAAAGGACATCAGTTTATGAAAGAGATATTTGCACTCCTATGTTTGGTGCAGCACTGTTCACAATAGCCAAGGTTTGGAAGCAATCTAAGTGTCCATCAACAGACGAATGGATAAAGAAAACATGGTACTTAAACACAATGGCGCACCATTCAGCCATAAAAAAAGAATGAGATTTTGTCATTTGAAACAACGTGGATCAAACTGGAGGTCATTATATTAAGTGAAATAAGCCAGGCACAGAAACACAAACATCACGTGTTCTCACTTATTTGTGGGATCTAAAAATCAAAACAATTGAGCTCATGGAAACAGAGTAGAAGGATGGTTACCAGAGGCTGGGAACTGCAGTGGGGAGGTGGGGATAGTTAATGGGTACAAAAAAATAGAAGGAATGAATAAGACCTAGTATGTGACAGCACAACAAGGAGACTATAGTCAATCATAGTTTAATTGTACACTTTAAAATAAGTAAAAGAGTAGAAGTGGATTATCTGTAACACAAAGGATAAATGCTTGAGGTGATGAATACCCAATTTTCCATGATGTGATTATTATGCATTGCATGCCTGTATCTCATGTAGTCCATAAATATATACACCTACTGTGTACCTGCAAAAATTAAAATAAAAATTAAAAAAAGAGAAATACCCTATGAGGCACTGACGCTGTGAGATCTTGTCAAAGTGGAATTCTATTTCTTTGGTGAAATATCTTGTATGACCTTTCACTCGCTTCTTCTGTGCGATAATGAAAGAAATATTTCTCTATGCGTAATGTGCTCACAGAGTTAAGTCAGCCCTTATGTAACCTCATCCATTTTCCTAGGAATTACTTGCTTATTTTTACTGAGGTTAAGAAATTCACATAAAATTAACCATATTAAGGTGGACAGTTCAGTGGCATTTAAGTCACAACACTGTATTATCGTCACTTCTAAAACACTGTCATCACCCTGAAAGGAAACATCATACTCATTAAACAGTTATTCCCCATTCCTCCCTCTTCCCAGTACCTGGCAACCACCAATCTTCTATCTGTCTCTATGGATTTATCTATTCCAGATACTTCATCTAAATGGAATCATACAATCTGTGTGGGAATGATTTTTACAAAATATTTTAAAGTTGATTTGAGAACTACTTCTGCCTTTGTTCCTTACCCTAAGAAAAGGTTAATGATTAACATTAGGGAGAGTGGAGTCCAGGAGAGAATTCTAGGTGAGATTCTAGGTGAAAAAAGTATACAACTCATATGTGTGTCCTTCCTTTATGGGATGGGGCAGCTAATGGAACTCAGAAAAATTCATGTAAGTAGGCCCCTCCCTCTATTCTAAAAATTTCTAGTTTAAAAATTTGAAATATGGTTTGTGAGTTTTGGTTCCAACTCATTAATTTGGGTTTAATCAAACAACTCAAAGTGGAGAGTTCGAGGAGCTTGAATCCACTGAAATTTTGCTTCCCACACACCTGGCATCACAAACAGGAATACACAGACTGTTTCCTTCTCTCTTTCTCTTCCCCTGTGACTTCCTCCATTCACTGGGACTCATTTTTCAAAGGAGCTCTGATTTTGTAGCTTTTTTTTTTTTTTTTGAGACAATCTCACTCTGTTGCCCAGGCTGGAGTGCAGTGGCGAGGTAACTCACTGCAACCTGCACCTCCAGTTTCAAGTGATTCTTGTGCCTCATCCCTGAGTAGCTGGGACTACAGGCATACACCACCATGCCCAGCTAATTTTTGTACTTTTAGTAGAGATGAGATTTCACCATATTGGCCAGGCTGGTCTTGAACTCCTGACTTTAAGTGATCCATCTGCCTCCACCTCCCAAAGTGCTGGGATTACAGGCGTGAGCCACCTTGCCTGGCCCATATGATTTTGTAGCATTTTTTTGTTATAAATATTTCTAAGCCTATTTGTTTTAGGAATTTTGAGGTTTACGTTAATCTTTTATCCAGGAATTGGAAGATCATGGAAGTTAAAATCAAGAGTTAATTTAAATACTAGTAAAGTCTTCATGTGTAATTCTTTTTCTTGGCCATGTTAGTTATAAATTTCATTGTGCCATCTACCTAGACAACTATTTTGATAGAACAAACAAAAGAGGCTGGGTGAGGTGGTTCACGCCTGTAATCCCAGCACTTTAGGAGGTGGAGGTGGGCGGATCACCTGAGGTCAGGAGTTCGAGACCAGCCTGGCTAACATGGTGAAACCCTGTTTATACTAAAAATACAAAAAATTAGCCAGGCATGGTGGCGTGCACCTGTAATCCCAGCTACTTGGGAGGCTGAGGCAGGAGAATCACTTGAACCCGGGAGGCAGAGATTGCAGTGAGCCGAGATGCACCACTGCACTCCAGCTTGGGCAACAAAAGTGAAACTCTCTCAAAAAAAAAAAAAAAGAACAAACAAAAGAACTAGTCCATATCTAGGTAACAGTGTTTGCATATTGGAACCAATCAGTACCAATCAATCATTTAAACGCTTCCTTAACTTAGGCAGGTCCCTTCTGTAATTAAAAAATAATAAAACAAAACAGACATAAACCTTTGGACGGCTGTTATTTCATCCTCCAAAGAAATAAATTTGTCATTTGGTCAATCTAGTAAATCAGTTGATATATGTGAGGGATGCTGATCATTATAAGTTCTATTTAACTCTTCTAAATTGAATATAAATCATAGAGAACAGTTATTTTCACCAAAAGAATGTATAGGAAGAACTAAATAATATACTGGATAATAACAATGTAATTAAAATATATATTGTATGAGTATCAGGAAAGCCTCCCAAAGTAAGTAACTTTATTCTTGGAATAGGATTGCAAAGAGAATATGGTAGAGAAAAGCAAATAAGCTTTCTCTCCCGCATTTAATAAATGGAATTTTGGTATTCTCCAATAACTCACATTAAAGCTCTTAATATGTAAAGCTTCCAAAGATCTTCTATTTCTACATTGTGATAATCTAACAATATTTGAGTCAATTTTTGTTAAATCCATATGACGTGTGGTTGATACTCCATGGATGCAAAATACAAATTCCGGCTTATATGTTACTTACTTTGGGAGGCTCTCCTGATACTTTTCCTTACCTTCAGCTTGGGTTTGTGGTGCTCTTTCAATGTCAAAAGCAGGTTTATTACACGGGTTTTTAATTTCTTAAATAATTTTAGTTGGTTTCTCTTCTATACTATTCTACTCTAACCAAATACACACACACACACACACACACACACACACACACACACACACACACACACACACACACACACACCTGCCTCAAAGGCAGGGCCTATATCTTGCTGTTAATTAAAATATCTTTGGCTCACTAAAAATATGCCTAGCATATATCAGGTATTCAATAAATATTTAGTGAACTGAAATGATTTACTTACTGTCCACTACTTAGTTTCTCTCTAATTGTGGAAAAATCCATAGGCTTCTTAATAACTTTCTTATAACCAGGAACAAGTTTCAAGTTTACAGGAAGTAGAAAAGGCCATGCATCCTCATGAGTTTCCATTTCAGTCAGAATCATACTAAAGAAAATAATGTTTGAAATCAGTATCCATACTTTACAACTGTCTTATTTTTTAATTAAAAAAGCTTTCAGTTATTATATATATATTATATATATATATATATTATATATATATATATATTATATATATATATATTATATATATATATATATATATATTTTATATATATATATATATATATATATATATATGAGATAGGGTCTTGCTCTATCGCCCAGACTGGAGCACAGTGGCACCATCTCGGCTCACTACAACCCCTGCCTCCCGGGTTCAAGTGATTCTCCTGCCTCAGCCCCTCGAGTAGCTGGGATTATGGGTGCACGCCACTATACCCAGCTAATTTTTGTATTTTTAGTAGAGACAGGGTTTCACCATGTTGGCCAGGCTGGTCTTGAACTCCTGACCTCAGGTGACCCACCTGTCTTGACCTCTCAAAGTGCTGGGATTTCAGGTGTGAGCCGCTGTGCCAGGCCCAATTATAATCTTTCAAATAAAAACTCAATGCAAATTAACATTAAAAGAAGATAAAGGAATACATTTACTATACTTTTACTTATATATTTTCTTAACATTTATGCTTTACATTTTTTTATTTACATAAATTATCAGAAAGAAAGCTTTAATATGGTAAAAGGTTTCTAAACAAATAAAATGGGGCATTATAAATATACAGTGCATGAAAACGGAAATAATACCTGCAAAGAGCTAGGTCCTTGGAGTCATCTCTTTTAGGTTTCTTAACTGAAGTAAAACTTTCTTGTTTTGACAAGTTAATAGAAGTGTTTTCCTCCATTTTTCTTTTCTTGAGGTCTTTGTTTCCTCTTTTTAGTGAACTACTTGTAGATGCAGAGTCTTCATCTTCAGTATCTCCTGTTAAAGTTACCTTCTTGCCTTTCTTTGACTCATTAGTCTTTTTTCCTTTGACATGAAGTTTTTTGATTTTTAGAGTTTGACCACTTGCCTTTAATTTAAAAAAAAAGTAAATGAGGTGTAAGAAAGTGACTGTCTACAGACCTATTATTTTAAATTATGAAAGTCTGACAGGACAAATAAGTAAAAAGAATAACTCTGATCTAGAATGTTGATAACTATTATTCTTAAGAAAGATCTGTGTATTTTTTCCTCTCATAATATAAGGATAAAATCTAATAAAACATGAAAAGTCTATTCATCTTAAGAATTCTTAAAACTTGAAGATGCTAATCTCATGGTAATTCATCTACAGAAGGTGTCTGTAGTATTCTTTCAGTCTAGGTCACTACTTGAATGAGTTTAAAGATACAAAAGAATTCTCTTTTGGAGCACAACAGAATTAGGAACAAAGATGAATATAAATGAAAATATAGAGATTGTTAATAAGAAAGTTGAAGAGGTAATAAAAAGCCAGGCCAAAAAATGAAAAAGAGCTAAGGAAGTGTCAAATAGAGAAGTCCAAGTGATCAAATCTACTAGAAATTGATTTGATTTTTTTTCCTGGATAAAAGATAACAGGTATTTGCAATAAGAAGAGAGTTCCACAAACTTGTGGTTCCCAGGTGTGAACAAAGCAGTGGTGAAAGATGGGGCAAAAAGATGTCTGTTTTTGAGAAAAACAACATAGAAAGAAATGACATAAAGGACATTATACTTGGAATCGAAGGATATGAATTCCAGCTATGGCTCTGCTACTAACTTTAAGCAAAAATATTTGTGAGGCCCTGTTTTCTCACTTAAAAAATAAGGATGACAAGCCACATACTTGCTAAAGTCATTCTAGCTCTAGAATTACATGCAAAAAAGAACTCTCAACATGGTCTTATGCAATATAACTACAAATTGCAGGCAGCACACTGATGCAACAAGAAGGGTGCCCCACCCTGTATTCATAGAGAAAAAAAATCTGCCTTTTGAGAGTTAAATGTTATAATAAATATAATAGATCATGAAAGAAAGATATGTAAACTTCTGGCAACGTATGGCTTTTATTTTTATTTTCCAAATATGTGGTACACACCAAACACTTTTAGAAAACTACTATTCCCTTAACCAGATTGTTAAGAAATCCTAGACTGCAAAGTCACATAATCAGTGTAGCAATAATTTAAAGTTGGCTGCAATCTTTTTTTTTTTTTTTGAGGCAGTCTCGCTCTGTTGCCCAGGCTGGGAGTGCAGTGGTACAATCATGGCTTACTGCAGCCTCAACCTCCTGGGCTCAAGACATCCTCCCATATCAGCCACCCGAGTAGCTGGGGCTACGAGTGTGAGCCACCATGCCTGGCTAATAAAGTTGGTTGTATTCTTAAAATTGGCTGAAAAACAGTCCTTTGGAGTATTTCATAGCATTGTCTTTGAGGATTTCATGACCCCTGCCAGTACCTTACTTAAAAATGCTCTTAAGCAGTTAAAATTATTTGTTTCTTTATTGGCAGGTTAAAGTATAGTTAAGGAGATATTTTAATTGACTAAATAAGGCAAACCATAAATCCAACACTTTCACCATATGATATCAAAGAATCACAACCCCTGTCACTAACTGAAATAATTAATATGTTTTATTCAGTCTCTTCTCCATTTAGTTATTTATATTCATTAAAATCTGATTATTTTGGGTTTTTATATTACACTGAGCTTTTACTCTGAATCTCTAAAATCATTAAAAAGGAGAACTTAATATAATGAAGAAAAAGTCCATTTAATGACAAGTTAGATTAAATAACTGTGTTACTTAAAACAGAGCTGGAATTATGAATAGTGGGCCAAAACATTTAGTTTCTATTTGAACTAAAATATTACTTGGGATAATTTTCTAACAAATTAATATTCACAATAAGAAAATATGAAATTGGGCCAGGCGCGGTAACTCACGCCTGTAATCCCAGCGCTTTGGGAGGCCCAATGGGGGCGGATCGCCTGAGGTCAGGAGTTTGAGACCAGCTTGGCCAACATGGTGAAACCCCGTCTCTACCAAAAATACAAAAATTGGCTGGGTGTGGTGGTGCACACCTGTAATCTCAGCTACTTAGGAGGTTGAGGCACAAGAATCACTTGAACCTAGGAGGTGGAGGTTGCAGTGAGCTGAGATCACACCACTGCACTCCAGCTTGGGTGATGGAATGAGACTCAGCCTCAAAACGAAAAAAAAAAAAAAAAAAAAAGAAAGTATGAAATTGAAATCACAGAATCAAAAAACTTGTGATTTTTTAAAGACAAAAAATGATGTGTGTCAGCTGATGATCTCATTAGATAGTGCACCTACACATACTTTAAAAGCAAACTTTTATCAAGTTACTCTGTTACCTGATTACTTTGCTCTTGGGCAGGGCATTCCCCCAACCCCCATCACCTTTTCTTGGCTAGAGTACAAATTCAAAGAGGAACTTAGTGGGTCTTAAGCAAAACTTATCAGATTTCATGAACAATGGTACATATCTTTCTAGTTTATATATTGATAGAAGTCACAAACTGGTGGCTCACCGGCTCCAAACAGGCCACAGAATGTATTTGGTTCATATAATGCTTGTAAAAATTCTGAATTTGTTTCCAATATTTAATATTTGGGAGGACATAAAAATCCATAGTCTTGACTTCCCTTGAAATATTAGTGGGTTCTGGAACATGGGGCCCACATTCCTACATGGCAACAATTGGGTGGAGTTGAGCTTTGACTATTAAATTTAAATAGGGCCATGACTCCCCTGTTTGCCACAGTGCCCATGAGGGGTCCAATGAACTCTTTCATGTCATTTACTTGGCTTTTGTAGGCACTGAAGTTTGAAATGTCTAATATGTGAGTTTGTGTGTGTATGTGTGTGTGTATCTAAGAGTGTATATTCATATAAGTGGCCCTCCATATCTGCAGGTTCTACATCTGTGGATTCAACCAGCTGCAGATGGAAAATATAAAACAAAGGCCGGGCACAGTGGCTCATGCCTGTAATCCCAGCACTTTGGGAGGCCGAGGCAGGCAGATAACTTGAGGTTAGGAGTTCGAGACCAGCTTGGCCAACATGGCAAAACCCCATCTCTACTAAAAATATAAAAGTTAACCAGGCATTGTGGAGCACACCTGTAATCTCAGCTATTCAGGAGGCTGAGGCAGGAGAATCGCTTGAACACGGGAGGTGGAGGTTGCAGCAGTGAGCCAAGATCGTGCCACTGCACTCCAGCCTGGGCAACAGAGTGAGACTCTGTCTTAATAGGAAAAAAAAAAAAAAAAAGAAAATATAAAGCAAAAAATCCAACCCCCTCATAACAAAACAACAATTAAAAAATAATAAATAAAAAACAATATAGTCTAACAACTATTTGCATAGCATTTATTGGGTATTTATTGCATAGTTTTATTGGGTATTATAAATAATCTAGAGATGACTTAAAGTATACAGGAGGATGTGTGTAGGTTATATGCAAATAATATTCCATTTTATATAAGGAACCTGAGCATCTGTGACTCTGGTATCCATGGTGGATCCTGGAGCTAATCCCTTGCAGATTTGCAGATACTGGGGTATAGCTATGTTGTATATATATGCACACACACACAAACACATACACATCTTTTCGATTCTGTGATCCTGTGATCACATATATACATACATACACACACACATACACGCAGAGTAAAAACAGTTAATCAGGATAATGTATGCAGAAAAAGCCACTTGAGAGCAAGGTGTATGTATAGTATAAATATTTTTAAATAACTATGAATTAAATTGAAAGATACTTTAAAAACCTTAACCCTTCATTATATATCAAAATCAATGTTTAGAGTTTTACTGTTGTAAGAAATATCTAGTTCACTACATTTAAAAAACAAAAAAAGCAGAAGCTTAGAAAGCTGTACTCACATAGAAGGGCTTGAATGAGATTACAGATCTTATGTCTCCAAGTTTACTGCTTGAATGGTAGATAGCTAGGATACTAATTTAAGAAAATTTATTGAAAACAAACGTCCAATGACCTACCAGGTGATACTCCCAAGACCAAAAACACTAATCTGTTAGTAATTCATAGAGTATTAGAGAAACTTTCTATAACTTAAGTTATGAAGTTATAAGATAATTTTATGTACATCAGTGAAGACTGCTGTTAAGTTATATTTAACTATGTATGACAAAAATGATCAATGAGAATAATCAAAATAATCAAAAAATGACTATTAGTGAATATGATGCCATGTAAGACCACTTGCTATCTTGTGAAATATAGTCTAAAATATAAAATACTAAAATAAACATTTCACAGAACTATAAAGTTATAAAAACTTTCACATTTATGACCTTATTTGATCTTCACAAATTCCCACAAAGCAGATACTATCCCATTTTACAAATGATAACCTCGAGGCAAAAAAAGCACTCCCATGTTTACAGATCAGGAAGGTGGGGAGAAATCGATGAAGATTTGAGAAGAAGCAAAGACTGGAAAGAAAACCAGGAGAGTATGGTATCTTAGAAGTCAAGTGAAAATCAATGTTTCAAAGAGGAGAGAGCGTTCAGTTCTATCAAATGTAATAGGTCAGATGACATAGGCACTGATCACTGGAGTGAGAAATCTGAATGCTGTTTGTGGTCACAATAAGAGCACTTTTGGAGAAGCTGTGGAGGTGAAAATCTATAGTGAGTTCAAGAGTGAATCAGGGCCAAGTGTGGTGTCTCACACCTGTAATCCCAGACTTCGGAGGCTGTAGTGCGAGGATCAGCTGAGCCCAGGAGTTTGAGACCAGCCTGGGCACATAGCGAGAACCCATCTCTACAAAATTAAAAAAAAAAAGCCAGGCATAGTGGCACAGGCCTGTAGTCCCTGCTGCTTGGGAGGCTGAGGTGAGAGGATAACTTGAACCTGGGGGACTCAAGACTGCAATAAACTGTGATAGTGTCACTGCATTCCAGCCAAGGCAACAGATCAAGATTCTGTCTTAAAAAACAAAGAGTGAACCAGAGGAGAGATATTAGATAGAACCAGAACAAAAAATTTTCCAAGTGTTTTTCTGTAAATGGAAGGAAAAAATGGAGGAACTGGATCAAGGGAGAAGTGAGGACAGAAGAGGGTTTTTGTTTAGTTTTCTTAAGATGGGAGAGATAGCAGCACATCAGTAGGCTAAAGAGAGGAACCCAGTGGAGAAGGAGAAATTGGTGATGCAGGAGAAGGGAGAACTGCTGGAATAATATTCCCAAGGAGGTAAGAATGGATGGGATCTGAGGCACAAGTGGGAAAATTTGCTTAGTTAGGAGTTCATGGCAACAGCAGAGAAGGTAAGGTATGTGAGCCCGGATGCAGAAGGACAGCAGATGTGCTGGCAAGATGTGATATTTTCTTCCGATGACTTCCATTTTCTCAGTTGAATGACAATAAGTTGAGAATGAAGATGGAGGAGGCAGAGCTAGAGATAAATTATTGACATCATTAAAGGCCTCTAACACCTTATTTATTTATTTATTAATTTAGAGATGGAGTCTCACTCTGTCACTCAGGCTGGAGTGCAGTGGCATGATCTGGGTTCACTGCAACCTCCACCTCTGAGGTTCAAGCGGTTCTCCTGCCTGAGCCCCCCAAATAGTTGGGACTACAGGCATGTGCCACCACTAATTTTTGCCTGGCTAAAATTTTGTATTTTTAGTAGAGATGGGGTTTTGCCATGTTGGCCAGGCTGGTCTTGATCTCCTGGCCTCAAGTGATCTGCTCGCCTCGGCCTCCCAAAGTGCTTGAATTACAGGTGTGAGCCAACATACCCAGGCCTTAAAGCCTTGAATTTAAAGGCTGAGTATTACACAGCTATATTCAGATACAAAGGTATAGGTGCTAGAGAAATCAGAGAATTGTATTAACCAGAATAACGGTTTTACCAAGGGCAGGGGCAGGCAAAGGACCTAATGGTGGAAGCAATGATTGGGATAATGGGATAATGACACATAAGACAGAATAGGAGGAAAGAGAGGACATGAAGTGGGAGAGCAACAGTGAAAAGTCTTAAGACAAACCGAAAGTCCTGGTGAGATCCAAGGATTGTTGGAGTTGAAGTGCTACAGGGAGTGAACTGGAAGGGAAGAAAGGAGGTGGACAGATGGATGTTTGAAGTGAGTTTATGGAGAGGCGGTAGTTAAAAGTTAGGTTAAGAGATTGTTAACAATTAGCTTACTGTTAATAATTAGGTTAAGAGATTAAACATGGGAGAAAGTAACTGAGGTAGGGAATACCTAGAGTCTGCCTTCAAAAATAAACACCATAAAATTCTGCATTTTGATCTAGTAATTAAAAAGTTGTTTGGAGCCAGGTGCAGTGGCTTGCATTTGTAATTCCAGTGACTTGGCAGGCTGAGGTAGGAAGATTGCTTGAGGCCAGGGATGAGACCACTGCAGGCAACATAGCAAGACCCTATCTCTCTCTCAAAAAAAAAAAAAATTAGCTGGGTGCAGTGCACACCTGTAGTCTCAGCTACTCAAGAGATTGAGGCCAGAGGATAGCTTGAGCCCAGGAGTTTTAGGCTGTAGTGGGCTATGATCATACCACTGCACTCCAGCCTGGGCAACTGAGACCATGTATTAAAAAAATAATAAAAAGATAAAATAAAATGAAAAGTTTAGTTTTAGATTGGTCTTACCTTAGCAATGCAAGCTGGACAAAACCAGTCTCCATCTGGGATTGTTGTAATCTTGGGTCTATGGCAGTAGGTATGACAGCCTTTGTCACAGCCATCACAAAGAAGAAGCAGTTCTTCATTATCTCCCTTTCGACAGATTTGGCAGTACTATAATACATGAAAAATCATTTAAAATTAACGCTCTGCCATGAATAATAGTTATTGGGATGTTAAACACACCATAATTCCTAATTTATATTAGTAATGAACATTCCGCTTGCTTACAAATATACAGTAGCCATACACATCTATGTATCTTTCGTTACACAGATATGGACCACATGACGGGTGAGCAGTTCTATTGGGGTAAATGCACATTTCAAGTACACTGCAAAGAACAAAGCTAGAGGCAGAATGCCTTGCACACACTTCAGAAGCATGTACACATTAACATATGAAATAATTAACATGACATTAGAGCACATAAAGCAATGAATAGCTTTAATACATGATGTTTTATTTGTTTAATGTGCTTCATCTTTTGCTTATCTTAGCATCCTCATGATATCCTGAGAAAGAAATAAGAGTTAGAGTATTTTTTAAAATCAAAATTAGAAAACTTGTATTAGTATCATAATTACGTATAATAAAAAGATAACCCTAGATTTTTGACTAATTCATCTATATATTGTGATAGATTGGAAAATGTGTTCAAACCAGGAAACGTTGAAAATCAACCCAAATCAAACATGTGTCACAAGTGCAGAAAATGGATCCTACAAAATGGTTTCTAAGGAAAAAAGATACAATACATGTAAGAAGTTAAGAGGTCATTATTTATTTTTTTAGAATTAAAAATAAAACTAGTTGTTTTCTACTGAAAATTTTCTAATATAATTAAAGACTTTAAATCTGCAAAAAGAAGACTTTTTCCATGTACACATATTCTGTACGGTAAGTTTTACAAAGGAAAGAAGAAAAGTTAGACAAGTAAAAACTTCCAAGATGGCTTTAAAAGACAGTAAGCATTAACACTGTTTTTTGACATCTAGTTCATACTCCAGTCACAAAAAAAAATGTCCTGCAGTCCATATTTTTAAAAATGAAAACATGTAACCAGAAATCATTTAAACTACTTTAAAGTTAGGTATTTATACGCTCTTAAAAACAAAATAGCTTAACTGTTCCAACTTACTTTAATTTTCAATGCAACATTATATCTTAGTCTGGGAAAGTCTAAAATGGTCTTCTTATAACTTAGTATGTATACCAATGACAGTTGTAGAATCTTATCAAAACAGCAGACACACTATTCAAGTTAACAAATGTTTATCAAATGTATATACTATATATTTCATATTAACATTGGCGCGGTTACCAAGGGCAAAAGCAGCAGTTTAACATTCCAATAATCAGTATCTATTTTTTGACCTTTCCTAACATCACCATCACTGAATACCTTAAGATGGTGTTGTTTCTCCATATTTGAGTTACATCGTTAAAACTTCTATTGTAAAAGTATTCACTGAGAAATAACAATTGCAAGGTTATATGTATATCCCTGTAACAACACAATTTAAAAATCAGATTCATGAACATAAGTAAATACTCATTGTTTTCTCTACTAGGCAACTATAAATGCTACAAGATCTGTCTTACATCTCACACTTAGGATTTAAAAATAAAATTATTTCCTGATACTTTTAAAGAAAGGGTGACAGATATCAAACTCATAACAATTTTGAAAAATTATAGTAATAGCTCACAATATGTTACAGTAAATATATTATTATTTGGTTTTAATTCCTCTGCTACTACAGTAAAAAATAGTGGATGCTGCCTACTGTTTAACAATATAAAGCATACTGTGGGTAGAGAATTATCTGGAGGCAAATTATGACAACTCCCTCTTTTTCTTGATAACCTTGGTCTTTGTCCAAAAGGGTATTTCTAAAGATATCGAGCACTTTAATATTTTGTCAGGACTTACTATGAGGATTACTATAGGCACTGTTATGTCTCTAAAGGTTATAAGGTGCTTCTTAATCTTTGAATATGAAACACTGCCTTCTTTTCAAGGTAGTTTCATAGCAAGAAATGTATTATTAAGCATTTTAAAAAGGAAATGAAGATTGTGAGAGATGGAGTTATATGATTAATAAGAGTAGATGAAGAACAAGAGAAAGGTTAATGAATTTGCAAAAATGGAAATAAAGCTATAGATTGCAGAATTTAAATATATCAATATAAAGGCAGGTTTTGATACAAGTTTTAGGTTTATGTGTGTAAGTTTATAATAAAACTGAACACATCATGATGACTGCTTTGGTGTAGATGAGAAAAATATAAATACAAATTTCATTTTGATCTAGGACTTAATCTTTTTTTTTCAGTTTTATTTACAGACAAGGTCTCATTATGTTGCCCAGGCTATAGTGCAGTGGCTGTTCTCAAGTGTAATCACAGCACACTACAGCCTCGAACTCTTGGGCTCAAATGATCCTGCCTTGGCCTCTGGAGTAGCTGGGACTATCAGCATGCACCACCATAACTGGCAAGAAATCAGTCTCAGTTTCTCTCTCTTTTTTAAAAAAATCATTATTGCCTAGATCTCACCAAATATATTTGTCTAAGGTGACATTCAAGCTGGTTTTAATAATAATTTTTAGAAGGAAAAAATATTTGTACCTGGTAAAAACACTATTAAATGAATCAAACAGTGCCTTAAAATTTATAGTAAATTCTGGGCCAGGTGCGGTGGCTCATGCTTGTAATCCCAGCACTTTGGGAGGCCAAGGCAGGCGGATCATTTGAGTTCAGGAGTTCGAGACCAGCCTGGCCAACATGGTGAAACACTGTCTTTACTGAAAATACAAAATTTAGCTGGGCATGGTGGTGCACGCCTGTAATCCCAGCTACTCGGGAGGCTGAGGGCAGGAGAACTGCTTGAACCCAGGAGATTGAGGTTGTAGTGAGCTGAGATTCTGCTACTGCACTCCAGCCTGGGCAACAGAGACTCTGTCTCAAAAAAAAAAAAAAAAAAAATTATAGTAAATTCCAATCTGAATTGAGAAAGACCCTGTATTCCAGCACATTATGAAACTGCAGATTCATAGATGTTTTAGGAAGCAGTGAAAAACCATAGAAGAAACGTAATTTATTTGTGTGGAATTAATAAGGCCTTGAGTAGTCTAAGCATAAAGGTAAAGACGAAAGAAAGAACTCTAAGTTATTTAAGAATCAATTCTTTTCTTCAGGGAAACAACCATTTTAAGTAAAGGAATTTCACCTTTAACCATTCATGAAAAGAATCTCAAATGTTTAAATTTTAAAGCTAGTCTGTAATTCAAAGTAAATGGTAGCCAGGCACAGTGGCTCACGCCTGTAATCCTAGCACTTTGGGAGGCTGAGGTGGGCGGATCACCTGAGGTCAAGAGTTTGAGACTGGCTTTGCCAACATAGTGAAACCCCATCTCTTCTAAAAATACAAAAATTAGCCGGGTATGGTGGTGGGTGCCTGTAATCCCAGTTACTCAGGAGGCTGATGCAGGAGAATCCCCTGAACCCAGGAGGCAGAGGTTGCAGTGAGCCAAGATTGTGCCACTGCACTCCAGCCTGGGTGAGCGAGACTCTGTCTCAAAAAACAAACAAAAAAGCAAATGTTAAAGTAATTCATAAAAGACTACATATAATAGATAATTCTATATATGATAATATAAAAGAGGCAAGAGGGACACTTGTACATGATTTAAAGTAAATATTTCTCTGGAAAACATGAATTATAGCTCTGTATTTTGAACACACACCATTTTGGTGCCTGATACAAAATAGAGATTTTTGTGATAAACTAAATGATAAACTAATTGGGGTTGTAGAAAGAAGGTGGAAAACCAATTTTAATTAGTAGAAGACAGACTAAAGGATCTACTGTTCATGTCAACCACATCTGATGCCAAATACATGATATAAGCACATAAACTAAGAGTTCTCTGCTTATCTTGTATTTACTTATCTAAGTGCTTCTTAGAATTAAAAAATGAAAACTGATAGAAAAAGACATTTTAGCTACGCAGTAATATAGCAGGTAATGTTAGCAATGGAACTGTTTACTACAGTGAAACAGCCTTCAAGATTTAGATTAATAACTATTGTGCTGATGGAATGTGGGAGACAACTTCAGTTAGAGGTATAAACGATATTCAAAGGAGGCAGAAGCAAGATTTTAAAAAATAAAAGATAACACATTTGAAAGGTTCCTTCAGTAAGGAGGAAAGTATCAAAAATCTTTTAGAATTAGAAAAACTCTCAAGTATAGCATACATTATTATGACAATAGGTAATGTATAATTAAGAAAGATCTGGAGGTTGGAAGAAACAGGACAAAGTAAATTAGTTATAATATTTCTTAAATAAAAACACTTACAACTTTCATAATTGATTTTTCCCATGCTATTGATTTCTGTAATTGCTGAATGCACAGAGCTACCTGTGCAGCACTGCGAGCTTCTGATAATGCCCTTCTCCATACCCTGAGCCCTGGAGCAATATCCTCTTCAATTCTGCATTGAAATATAGAAAAATTAAGTAGGTCATGTCCACACTTACGATTACGGAATGTGAAACAATCATCACACTGAAAGCCAAGCAATGACAAAAACATGTAACAGCCAATAAGTATAAGGTTTAAGCAACTAAATTTGATGTAGTGCACAGACTGTGGCTACGTGCCTCAAAGCTTAGTCACAACCAGGTAGATGTAAGATCACTTTGCAGGATTATCAACGCACATAACAAAAAAAAAGTTTTTACAAAGCACCATGCAAATAGCATGATCCGTATGGATCACAGACATACAAGAAGATACATAGATAACAGGCAATAGAAAATAGGCTCCAATTAGCAAAGAAGCACAATAATTTTTCAAGTTAATCTCAATAACCTACCCGTCACCATCACCACTAACGGATGGTGCAGGAGCAGGGACAGTAACTGTGCCCACATTATCCAGTTTGATCTGAATGGTGGTACTTAAGGGGCTCTTCAGATACCTTCTTTCAATGTTCCGCTCCAAATCAGCCAGCCTGGTTACAGCTATATCTAGGGGGTTGTCACTCTTCCGTTCTAGTGCATGTGCACTGCTTTCGTCTTCGCCAGTAAATTCTCCATCATGCTCCTTGCACAATTTAGTAAATGATTTATGTTCAAAATATACCAAGTCCTCCCTTTCTGATGCAGGCTCTGGACACATCCAACCCTATATATCAAGAGAATAGTGTTATTATGGTTTCCTCTTAAAATGCTAGGTGGGTGAATTACCTTTACTTAAAATACAGCATTGGATACTGGCAGATCTCAAGGATTGTTACTAAAAGATTTTACCTTGTGTTTCCTAAAACTAGGTGGAAATAAGAAGAAAAAAATTAAAAGAAATAGTTGTAAGAAAAGTTTGAAAAATAAAATTTATAAACTTTTGATATTATAAAAGGTATAAGAACAATCAGCAAAATATTTTGAAGGATTTTAGACCAAAATGCTTATCAGTTTCATGGGATCACTTAAATGGAAATCTCTGGGTAGCCTCTGAGCCTTTGCTCTTCCTTTCTGTTTTCATTCCTTCCATTATTCTTCTGTACAGGTCCTTCTGTGCTCACCATTTTTCCTTTGACTGCAGGGGCTTCAAATATGCTATTACCTTTATCTGTATTGCTTTTCTTTTGCTCCTCTTCACCTAGTTAACGCCACTCATTTCATAGGTCTCATGTTAAGATTCACTTTAACATGAAAGGATCCTGATAGGAATCCTTTCCTGACCTCTTTCAGGAGCTAAGTCCCTCTCTGACAGGTTCTCATAGGACCATGCTCCTTAGCCTTGTCATAAATGTAATTTTATAGTAGTGTAATTATTCGATGAATATTTTTCTACTTCTAAATTCCATGAGAGCAGGGACTATGTCTGCTTTTACTCATTTATCTCCAGTACAGTGCAGGCAAATAATGGGCACTCAATACATGTATGTTGACTGAACAATCAATGATCCTGTAGCTCAAAATCCTTCAAAGATTTCCTATTCTTTAGGAAATGTTCACCATGGCATTGAAGTACCTCAATCTATCCCTTTTCATGTTCCCATTCACACATCTTATGTTGCAGTCAAATTCTATAATTTGCTCTTCCACAAACATGAGATAAGCTTTCCAATCCTCGTGCTCTGCTCATGCTGTTCCCACTTCCTGGGATGATATTGCCTGGTCTCCAATTGTCCAAACCATACTCATTTTCTTAAGTTCCATTTCAACTTCTAAATGAAATCTTCCATATCTCTGCCAGAAGTCAGTATTCTTCTTCTAAATTCATACATTACTCTGTTCTCAACAATCAGCTACTAGATTCTGCATATATGTATATGTCTGATCTCCCTATTATATGACAAGCTTTCTTATGGTAGGAACGACACTTTATCCAATTTTTTGGTGTCCACTGCCTGAGATGCAATAGGTATTTAATAAATGCATATTAAATGAAAAATGGAATAAACTTAAACATCTCTTTAGATATAATTATTTTATCTTATATACTAGGATAAATTCTTCCCCTTTAACTCAGTAGAATATTTATATTTAGAAAGGAAGGATGGACTCTAAAATGGTGTCACAGATACAAGCTGGCTTCAGTTCCTGCCTCCAATGCCCTCCCCGTCCCTGCCGCCAACCACTCAGAAAACCCAAAATAAATATACGGCACTGAGACGATCACCAGCAACATCCCAAAATTCAAACATGAGGATGAGATAGTTCCTGTGGCAAGAGAGAAGTGAAAAAACTCTGAGCAGATGGTAAGAGAACTGGACTTCCATATCCACGATGCTTCTCTACCCTCATTCTGCCAGGAACCAAGCACACAGAAAACTTCCCCCTAACTCACAGTTTCTACACTGAAAAAAGTGAGATCAAGATAGACAACCAACTTATCCACTATGAAAAACAGTGTGAAAGTTCCTCAAAAATCTAAAAATAGAACTACCATACGATCTAGCAATTCCATTAGTGGGTATACATAGAAAAGAAAGAAAATCAATATATGGAAGAGATATTTGTACTCCTATATTTACTGCAGCAATATTCACAATAGCTAAAATATGGAATCAACCTAAATGCCCATCAACAGATGAATGGATAAAGAAAATGCAGTATATTTATAGGATGGAATATTATTCAGTCATAAAGAAGAATGAAATCCTGTTATTTGCAGCAAAATGGATGGACTGGAGGACATTATCCTGGGTGAAATAAGCCAGATACAGAAAGACAAATTATTATATATTCTCACTCATATGTGAGAACTAAAAAAGCTACTCTACTCTAGAATGTAGAGAGTAGATTGGTGGTTACCAGAGGCTGAGAAGGGTAGGGAGAGAGTGAGAGTAAGAGAAATTGACTAATGGGTACAAATATATGGTTTGACAGAAGAAATAGGAGAATACATAAAGACAATTAGACAAAATCTGGAAAACAATTCATGATTTGAATGAGAAAATCAACAGAGACAGATATAAAAAAGAACCAAACAGAAGTTCTAGAGCTAAATAATTCAATGAATAAAGTAAAAAATACAAGACTAGATCAAAAAGACAGACTAGACCAAGGGGAAGAAAGAATTTCTGAAGACAGGTCGTTTGAAGTAACATAG
Source organism: Homo sapiens (assembly GCF_000001405.40). NCBI lineage: Eukaryota > Metazoa > Chordata > Mammalia > Primates > Hominidae > Homo > Homo sapiens. The sequence goes on from NC_000002.12 coordinate 159,340,206, forward strand.
GCAGACCAAGGGGTGGGGGGAAAGAAAGAAAGGAAAACAAAGAAAAAGGAAAAAAAGAAGGAAAAAGCCTATAGGATTTATGGGACACCATTAAGCAAACAAATATTCCTGTGGGTGTTACAGAAGGTGAAGAGAAGGGAAAGGTGAGGAAAAAAAATTTAATGAAATAATAGTAGAAAACTTTCCACATCCTGGGAGAAAGAGGAAAATTCAGGTACAGGAAGTTTGAAGAATCCCAAGAAATTCAACCCAAACAGGTCCTCTTTGAGGCATATTATAGTCACCCTGTAAGAAGTCAAAAGACAAAGAATTCTGAAAGCATTAACAGTGTCAAGTCACATATAAGGAAATCTCCATTAGACTAACATTGGATTTCTCAGCAGAAACCTTGTAGGCCAGGAGAGAATGGGATGATATATTCAAAGTAGTGAGAGAAAAAAAAAACCCTACCAGCCAAGAAAGCCTTCAGAAATGAAGGAGAAAAAGAATCTTTTACAGACTGAGGGAAACTGAAGGAATTCATCACCACTAGGCTAAACATGCAAGAAATGCTCAAGGACTCCTATATCTGAAAGTAAAAAGATGATAACCACCATCACGAAAATATGAAACTATAAAACTCACTGGGAAAGCTAATACACAAAGGAGAAAGGAAATTATTACACACATAATTTTAAAAAGCCTGATGATAAACTGTATCCTTATGGAAAAACACCCAGCCACAAAAATAAATAATAATCAAGGAAGTAAGGAACAAAGGATTATACAAAACAAGAGAAAAGCAATCAATAAAATGACAGGAGTAAGCACTCACCTATAAATAGTAATCTTGAATGTAAATGAATTAAATTTCCCATTTAAAAGACATAGACTGGCTGGATTAAAAAAACAAGGCCCAACTATATGCTGCCTATAAGAAACTCCCCTCACCTGTAAAGACATATGTAGACTGAAAGTGAATGGATGGATAGAAATAGCCCATGCAAATGAAAACCAAAAGTGAAGAGGAATAGTTATACTTATGTCAGATAAAAAAAACAAACAAACAAACTTCAAGTTAAAAGCTGTAAAAAGAGACAAAGAAGGACAATTATATAAATAAAGGGATCAATTCAACAAGAGAATACAATAATTGTAAATATATATGCACTCAATAACAGAGCACTCAATACATAAAGCAAATATTATTAGATCCAAATGTAGAGGTAGATCCTAATATGATAATGGCTGGGGATTTCAACATCCCACTGTCAGCATTGGACAGATTTTCTAGACAGAAAATCAACAAAGTAACATCAAATTTAATCTGCACCATAGACCAAATGGACACGTACAGAACATTTCATCCACCAGCTGCAGAATACACATTATTTTCATCAGCACATGGAACATATGCCAGGACTGACCATATGTTAGGACTCAAATCTCAAAAAATTTTAAAAATTTGAAATCATATCAAGTATCTTCTCTGACTACATGGAAATAAACTATAAATCAGTAACAAGAGGAACATTTAAAACCATACAAATACATGAAATGTAAACAACAGGGTCCTGAACAACCACTGGGTAAAAGAAGAAATTAAGAATGAAATTTAAAAATTCCTTGAAATAAATGAAAACAGAAACACAACATTCCAAAATGTATGGGACACAGCAAAGGCAGTATTAAGAAGCAAGTTTATAGCAATAAATGCCTACATCAATAAAGTAGAAATATTTCAAGTAAACAATCTAGCAATGCCCTTCAAGTAACTGGAAATGCAAGAACAAATCAAACCCCAAATTAGTAGAAGGAAAGAAACAATAAAGATCAGAGCAGAAATAAACCAAATTGAGACAAAAATACAAAAGATCAACAAAACAAAAAGTTACTTTTCCTAACAATAAAATACCTAGGAATGCAGCCAACCAGGGAGGTGAAAGATCTCTACATGGAAATTGCATCACACTGCTCAAAGAAATCAAAGATGATACAGATGGAAAAAATCCCATGGTCATAGATAGGAAGACTAAATATCATTAAAATGGCCATACTGCCCAAAGCAATTTACAGATTCAATGCTATTCCTATAAAACTACCAATGAAATTCTTCTTTGAACTAGAAAAAACTATTGAAAAGTTCATATAGAACCAAAAGAGAGCCCAAATAGCCAAGGCAACTTCACTTCTTGGGCTCAAGCCATTCTCCCACCTCAGCCTCCCAAGTAGCTGGGACTATAGGCACGTGTCACTACGCCCACCTAATTTTTGTATTTTTTGTAGAGATGGGGTTTTGCCATGTTCCCCAGGCTGGTCTCAAACTCCTGAGCTCAAGTGATCCTCTCACCTTGGCCTCCCAAAGTTCTGGGATTACAGGCATGAGCCACTGTGTCCGGCCTCAGCAGCATTTTGATACATGAACAATGAATTCACTAAAAAAGAAATCAAGAAGGCAATCCCATTTACAATAGCTACCAAACAAACAAGCAAAATCAAAAACAAAAATCCAATTCTAGGAGTAAATTTAACCAAAGAAGTGAAAGACCTCTACAAGGAAAACTATAAAACACTGATTAAAAAAAACTGAAGAGGATGAGAGGATACAATCATGCTTATGGATCAGAAGAATCAATATTGTTAAAATGATAATACTACCCAATGCGATCTACAGATTCAACACAATCCCTATCAAAACACTAATGATATTCTTCACAGAAATAAAGAAAAAATATTAAACTTTGTGTGGAATTACAAAAGACTGAATAGCTAAAGCAATCCTGAGTAACAAGAACAAAGCTGGAGGTATCAGACTACTAAGACTTCAAAATAAACTACAAAGCTGTAGTAATCAGAACAGCATGGTACAGGCATAAAAACTGACACATAAACCAATGGGATAGAATAGAAAACCCAGAAATTAATCCACACCTCTACAATCAACTGCTTTTTAACAAAGCTGCCAAGAATGCTCATTGTGAAAAGAATAGTCTCTTCAATAAATGGTGCCAGGAAAACTGGATATCCATATGCAGAGGAATTAAACTAGACCCCCACCTCTTATCCTATACAAAAATAACTCAAAATAGATGAAAGACTTAATGTAAGACCCCAAATGATAAAACTACAGAAGAAACAGGACACTGGTCTGGGAAAATATTTTATATATAAAACTTCAAAAGCACAGGTAACAGAAGCAAAAATAAACAAATGCAACTACATCAAATGAAAAAACTTCTGTACAGCAAAAGAAAAAGTCAACAGAGTGAAAAGAAAATCCTCAAAATGGGCTAAAATATTTGCAAATAATACATCTGAAAGGAGATTAATACCAGGATATACAAGGAACTCAAACATCTCAACAGCAAAAAACCAAACAATCTGATTAAAAATGGGCAAATAATCTGAACAGACATTTCTCAAAAGAAGACATATACATGGCCAACAAATATATGAAAAAATGCTGAACATCACCACTCATCAGAGAAATGCAAATCAAAGCCACAATGAGATATTATCTCACCCCAGTTAGAATGGCTATTATCAAAAAGAAAAAAAACGGCCGGGCGCCGTGGCTCACATCTGTAATCCCAGCACTTTGGGAGGCTGAGGCGGGCAGATCACAAGGTCAGGAGATCAAGACCATCCTGGCTAACATGATGAAATCCCATCTCTACTAAAAATACAAAAAATTAGCTGGGTGTGGTGGTGGGCGCCTGTAGTCTCAGCTACTCGGGAGACTGAGGCAGCAGAATGGCGGGAACCCGGGAGGTGGAGCTTGCAGTGAGCCAAGATCACGCCACTGCACTGCAGAGCCTGGGCGACAGAACAAGACTCCATCTCAAAAAAAAAAAAAAAAAAGAAAAAAAAAAAAATGAGATGCTGGTAAGAATGCATAGAAAAGGGAACTCTTACATACTGTTGGTGGGAATGTAAACTAGTACAGCCACTATGAAGAACAGTATGTAGGTTCCTCAAGAAACTACAAATAGAGCTATCATATGATCCAGCAATCCTACTACTGGGAATTTATCCAAAGGAAAAGAAAATTGTCGTATTGAAAAGACATCTGGCCGGGTGTGGTGGCTCATGCCTGTAATCCCAGCACTTTGGGAGGCTGAGGCGGGTGGATCACCTGAGGTCAGGAGTTCAAGACCAGCCTCAACATGGAGAAACCCCGTCTCTACTAAAAATACAAAATTAGCCAGGCGTGGTGGTGCATGCCTGTAATCCCAGCTACTCAGGAGGCTGAGGCAGGAGAGTTGCTTGAACCTGGGAGGTGGAGGCTGCGGTGAGCTGAGATGGCGCCATTGAACTCCAGCCCGGGCAACAAGAGTGAAACTCCGTCTCAAAAAAAAAAAAAGAAAAGAAAAGACATCTGCATCCCGATGTTTACTGCGGCACTATACACAATAGCCAAAATACAGAATGAATCCAGGTATTCAACAACAGATAAATGGATAAAGAAAATGTGGCATGTATACACAACAGAATGCTATACAACCATAAAAAGAACGAAATATCCTGTCATTAGAGGCAACATGGATGGAACTGGAGGACATTACTTTAAGTGAAGTAAGCCAGGCACACAAAGTTAAACACTGCATGTTCTCATTCATGTGGAAGCTTGAAAAAAAACTGATCTCATAGAAGTAAAAAGTAGACCAGAGGATATACTATAGGCTGGGAAAAGTGGGGGCAGGGAGGGATAAAGAGAGATTTGTTAAAGAATACAAAATTACTGGCTGGGCGCAGTGGCTCACACCTGTAATCCCAGCACTTTCGGAGGCCGAGGTGGGCAGATGATCTGAGGTCGGGAGTTTGAGACCAGCCTGACCAACATGGAGAAACCCTGTCTCTACTAAAAATACAGAAATTAGCTGGGCTTGGTGGGGCATGCCTGTAATCCCAGCTACTCAGGAAGGCTGAGGCAGGAGAATCGCTTGAACCTGGGAGGTGGAGGTTGCTGTGAGCTGAGATCACGCCACTATACTCAAGCCTGGGCAACAAAAGTGAAACTTGGTCTCAAAAAAAAAAAAAGAATACAAAATTATTGGTAGGTAGGAGAAATAAGTTCTCGTGCTCTATACCACTGTACGATGACTATAGTTAATAATATATATTGTTTCAAGTAGCTAAAGGAGGATATTATTCTTAACAGAAAAAAAATGGTAAATGTTTGAGATAATGAATATGCTAATTACTCTGATCTGATCACTATACATTAAATGTACCAAAACATCACCATGTACTCCATGATACTGTACATTATCATTTATGATTTTAAAACAATTTATGAAGCAAATTCTACTTATCTTAGCTACTGATAACACAGCCAAGAACATTTAAGCAGTCAGCAATGTGATAAAGGTCAAAGGACCAAAATCTGAGTATGTCACCAGGAAAATGTTTCAGGCCCACACTCGGACTTTACACATATTTTTTAAAAGCCTGATGATACACTTTCCCAACCAACAGTCAACTAGAATTGGCAAATGAGTTGGGAAAAAGCTGGAGGAAAATAGGGCTTATGGAACCAATCAAATTTAAACCAGCAAGCAGTATCAACTGACAAACTGAGAGGACAACCACAGACTATAGAAAGTAGATGTAGCAGTTTTAAAACCAAAGCACACTAGGATCATTTAGGTTAGGTGCAAAACCTCTTCTCATTTCCTGAGGGAATTATTGTCTGATAATTGATCTTCATACTGATGATTCTGTGCCACCATGATAAGTTAAATCAGGCTTTTTATTTTCAATTTAAGAAGGCAATGAAATGTGTAACATAAGCGATCCAAAAACACATTAAAAAATTCTAGCACTAAATGGAATAATTTTCATTTCTCCAGAAAATAAAATAGTGTGAAAGGGTTCATCTGTTGAAGATGCCAGAAAGATGACAATACACGAGGCACTTTTATACTGTATTATAGAACCTGGAGGAGGAGACATAGTTTACTAGCACAATAGTTTCAATAATAAATTTTTGCTTCCCAACGTTGGTAATTACGTTTGTCACAAGAAAGGGATATTTTATTAGCTCTGGAAAACTACATTTTTTGAGATCCTCAAAAGTGTCCAAATGCCTATGTTAAACTAATTATGAAGCAAAATCTCAATTATTAAATAGGATAGCATTATGCCATAAATTTCTCATTCTGAATAAAGCAAGGCATTTCAAATCAAATTACATGGAGATTAAGGTTTCTAAACCTTTAGTACCTTAGCAGATTCTAGCCAGGCACAGTGGCTCATGCCTGTAATCCCAGTATTTTGGGAGGCCAAAGTGGGTGGATCACTTGAGGTCAGGAGTTTGAGACCAGCCTGGCCAACGTGGCAAAACCCCATCTCTACTAAAAATACAAAAATTAGTGGGGCATCACGGCATGTACTTTGGAAGCCTGAGGCAGGAGAATCACTTGAACCTGGAAGTGGAGGTTGCAGTAAGCCAAGATCACACCACCGTACTCCAGCCTGGGTGACAGCGTGAGACTCCATCTCAAAAACAAAAAACAAAAAAACAAAAAACCCCCAAACCAAAACAGAACCTTAGCAGGTTCTAAACCTTTCATGCTTTTAAGGAGACCTTTATACCCCTCTTTACAAAACCAAAAATTCTTGCACAAGGGTAAAGCTTTCCTTTTGTTTGTCCACTGGAAACCAGTTCTGATCATTACCTGTAACATGATAATACCCAGGAGATAGATGAGGGAATGAATGAATAAATCAGTAAATAAAAACTTTATATATATATATGTAGGGTATGTGTGCATGTGTCAGTATATCATAATGGTCTATAACATATATTTGGATATATCTATATTGGTCTCCAAATTAAACTATATAGTATAAAAGTCTGACATATAACAAGGCTTGTATGTAAGGAAGTTCATGGCCCTATATGAAACACTACAATAGGAGTTTGATAATATTTGTACTAGATCATCACATTCATCTCAGTGAAACTGGAATTCTGCTGGTAGTAAAGAACTGCGCATCGGAAATAATACCTCTGAATACCATTAAGGAGGTAGCAAGATTACTAAAAAGAACATGGGCTCTGGAGTCAGACTTGGTTTAAATGCACATTTAGGCACTTACTATATGACCATTGGCACATTACTTACTCTGAGCCTGGTTCCTTAACAGATGGGGCAAATTAATCCAGGATTGTTTTCAGAATTAAATGAGACAAAATAAAAACATTTAGCACATTAACTAGCATATATTAGGCAAGTAATAAACATTAGTTATCTTCCATTATCCTAAAAACATATTTTATTCCAAGTCGATTTTACCTTCACTTGCAAACTTGCTGATGCAACTCTCCTTTCTAGATCTTCTACCTGTTGAAGGACACTCAAATCCATTTCCATTGCTTGTTCTTCTACTGACCAGTTCTCCACAATATCTCGAGTTACTTGGTTTTCTTCATTTTCATTCAGTTCAATAATAGCAACTACATTTAAAAAGAAATTAATTTAAAAATCCACTTATTAAGCTTTTCCCCACAGAGACCTCTTCCAGAAAGTGAATAAAATTCTAGGAGACCCATGTACATCTAACTTGACATACACAAATGCACTTGTGTATGTACAGGCAGCTTACTCTTAAAAGTAGAAACACGCTAAGAAACACAAAACAATATGCTACGGGTGTAAAAAATTACAAGACAGTAACACCAACTTAAAAAATATAAATAGTTTGTTGAGTAAAACAGAAAAAAATAGTAGTGCATTAAGATATCATTTCTCTCTTGATATCTGTGGGGGATTGGTTCTAGGACCCCCTCTGCCCCCATGAATACCAAAACCTAGAGATGTTCACATCCCTTATATAAAATGGTGTTGGCCAGGAGTGGTGGCTCATGCCCATAATCTTAGCACTTTGGGAAGCTGAGGTGAGAGGATCACTTGAGGCCAGGAGTTCGAGACCAGCCTGGGCAACATAGTGAGGCCCTGTCTCTACAAAAAATAAAAAAAACTAGCTGGGTGTGGGGGCATGTGCCTGTAGTCCCAGCTACTCAGAAGGCTGAGGCAGGAAGATTGCTTGAGCCCAGGACTTTGAGAATGCAGTCAGCTATGACTGCACCACCATTCTCCAGCCTAGGTGACACAGCAAGACTCTCTCACAAAAAAAAAAAAAAAAAAAAAAAAAAGGTGTACTATTTGCATGTAATCTATGTACATCCTCCCATATGCTTCAAGTTATTTCTAGGTTACTTATAGTACCTGAGACAATGTAGATGCTATGGAAATAGTTGTTATACTATATATTATTTAGGGAAGAATGATAAGAAAAAAAAGCCTGTATATGTTCAGTACAGATGCACCCATCTTTCTTTGACTGTTTGATCTGCGATTGGTTGAATCCATAGATGTGGAACCCATGAATATGAAGGACCAATAGACTGTACTAAAATATGGTTTAGAATAATTAATTCTCATAACTAAGCAAGAAAGAAAGCTGAAATATCTTTTAGGTACACACCATCCTTATTCTTGAGGCAGGCTTGAGTAATATAATCCAAATGTTTCTGAATTTGTTTTTGTAATGCCTTTTCTCTTATTCCTCTGAGATGCAGCACTTTGAGCAAAGCTTTTAGGTCCTCTGGGTCAATAATTCTCCACCAACCAAACTGCATTTCTAAGTCAAGATAAATAAGTAGAACTTTTACAAATATTTTGAATAGGAAATGACACCATGGAAATAAAAAGATTTATTAACTATATATAGAACCATCAAATATTCAGTTATAATACAGGAATCCATAATATTGAAATTGAGTAAGTGGCTGTAAACCATCTCAATGTACCTACCTTCTGGAATAGGTTTTGGACTAGGAAAATCTACTGGTTTTGCTACTTCAACAGCTGCAGGTTGAGCTGAAGTGGCCTTTTCATTCTGTGGTACTGGAGATTCACTTTTACTTGAAGCAACATTGGAAGTCAAGAATGAATTACCATTTCCTTCTGATAACCCTAACCCCGATCCTAGACTAGGTACAGATGATGTAAATGGAATATTAGAAGTAACCACACCAGTGGGCCATCCACAAAACTGAAGTCCCATCATAGATACTCCACCTTTCACCTGCAAAAAGAAAACATTTATTAATGAAAAGTAGATTACTCTAAGAAGTTAGGAAAAATGTTTGGAATATGAAATTATTTTTCAAATTCCAAAAAATATTCTTTCATTTATTACAATTACAGGAAAACAAAATACATTAGCAACAAAAATGTTAAATTCCATGTTCTTATTTGTTTCCCAAAGTAATTTTCCTTTCGGATATACCGTTACAGTAATAAGTTAAAAAGTAATTAAAGAAGACTTAGACAAAGTCTAGAAATCAGTAGTTCTAATGAACCTTGGTGACAGAAATTCTGACTTGTTTTAGTTTTCAAACTGTAGCAGGAATATTTTAACTATCTGAGTGAGCCCCCTTGAGCAAAAATCTCCATGGGGTCAAAGATTACATAAAGCAATATAAAAATGAGTTACAGTTAGCAGTACTAACCTGAAGAGGTGATAAAGCAAATGGATTTAAGCCAACAGGATTCTGAGCAGAAGATCCAAGAGGAGCTGGGGTAGGTGAAGGTGACTTAGATGGTGGCTGAGACTGAGGAGTCACCAAAGAAGCAGTTGACATATCGGCATGAGTAAGTGAAGTGTCATCACAGGGTGTTCGTGGCAAAAGACTAAACCATTGTCTATTCTTTTCAGTCAGCGTTTTTAGTAACTGGTCATTGGGGAGAGGACTGTAGAACTTCCCTGGACCACTTGAACCAGTATTAAACAGATTATTAGAGTCTGCCTTTTCCACATTGCTTTGCGTTGCTGTTGACTGAACGCTGCCCAGTGAATGTTTTCCACTGTTCTGATAAGACAACGTGCACCCATTTGCACCAGCATTTGGTTTGGGGGTCATAACCTCTGACTCAGGAGGCATCTTAGCTACTTCCAAAAGCTTGCTTAATTTGGAAAAAGAGCCAGGTTTCTGAAGGAATAGATTTGTGTTATCTTTTTCTTTAAGATCTTCCTTTTGTTCACAGTGATCTGTATTTGAACAATTTAAACTGTCCCCAGAAGTCTCAAACATTTCTTCTTTGATCTGGACACTTTCTGCCTTTTTCAGTTTTTCTCTTTCTTTTGCAATTTCTTCTAGTCCTACAAAATGAAAAAGCATTATGAACATCAGTTACTCCAGATCAAACCAATACTGTAATTAAATTTCATTACTCTTTATCAAATTATATGCATAAATACTTAAACTTTTCTGTATTACCTAATACTCCCTATATTTTCCTTTTTTATAGATTATAGCTTTCACTCACTGGAAAATTAACATATATATATATATATATTTTGTTTGTTGGTTTGTTTACATTTTATTTTGAGATGGACGGAGTCTCACTCTTCTTCCAGGCTGGAGTGCAATGGCGTGAATTCAGCTCACTGCAACCTCTGCCTCCTGGGTTCAAGCGATTCTCCTGCTTCAGCCTCCTGAGTAAATGAGATTACAAAGGTGCACCACCATGCCTGGCTAATTTTTTTGTATTTTTAGTAGAAACAGGGTTTCACCATGTTAGCCAGGCTGGTCTCGAATCTCTGAGGTCAGGCAATCCACCTGCCTTGGCCTCCCAAAGTGCAGGGATAACAGGCATGAGCCACCACTCCCAGCCGGCATTAACATATATTTGTTATAAAAAATTAAAATCCGGTGGGGGGAGGGGGGAGGGATAACATTGGGAGATCTACCTAATGCTAGATGACGAGTTAGTGGGTGCAGCGCACCAGCATGGCACATGTATACATATGTAACTAACCTGCACATTGTGCACATGTACCCTAAAACTTAAAGTATAATAATAATAATAAAAAATTAAAATCCAAAAATATTAAAAGTACAAAAAATATTACAAGCTGTACTACACAGCAAAAATTACCCTTAATATTTTTGTATTAAACTTCTAGGAGTTCTGTATGTGATACATACACACTTAAATCCACATAATTAAGGAAAGAAATTCTACTACATACATAATATTCTAAACTGCTAGAGGGTTTTATTGAATAATACCCTGTAAACACCTTGACATGTCGATAAACATATAACTTCATCATAAATTTTAATGGCAACAGAATGAACTATATCATAACTTAAATAATTTTCTACTGATATATAATAATAGGTCCCAATTATTCACTATTATAAACAATGCTGTAAATAATGACCTTTTATCTGTATTTTTAGACTTGTTCTCCCAATTTACTTCCTTAAAATAAATTCCTAAAAAAAAAACTAAGATGTGTACTTTTCAGAGTTTTTGAAATATACTGTCAAACTGTCCTCTAAAAAGTCTGGATGAATATATACTCATATTAAAGTAACTGAGAGCATCTGTGTGCCTACACCCTCAATGAAACTGGATGCTGTCAGTATTTTTTGTCTTTGCCAATATTTGAGGTGAAAATCTAGATTGCATTATTTCTGGTCATTAGTAAGGCTGAATATCTTTTCATAGGTTTATTGGTATTTCTCTTTTGTAAATTTCTGGTTCATATTTTTGCTCATTGTTTTAAAAATAATTTATAAGAACTATTTTAAAAACATAAATCCACTACTTTATTCAATTTGAAAAGTAATATGCTCACAAGTTAAAATATTCAGTCATGAAGGGTATAAAGTAAAGGCCTTTCTACCTATTCCTTCAATCTCTATTTCTACACTTCAGGGGTAGCCATGGTTAATTACATCAATACACCTTCCCAGAAATAGTATATACGTTATCTATGACTACCATTTTGCATTATTACATAAATGGAATACTACTATTCACTTTTCTGCGGCTTAGAATAAAAACCAAACTCCTAACCAAGGCCTACAACATTCTATAATCTGGTTCCTGAAAACTTCCACCACCTCTGCACCACTCTTGTCCTTGATAACTCTGCTCCTCTTCTCACTTTCTATTTTCAGCTTCTTGAACATGCTAAGTTCTTGCCCTTCTCAGAGCCCTTGATCTTGTTCTTCCCTCTGCATGGGATACTGTTTTGTTGACTGGCTCCTTATCCTTCATGTCTCAGATAATAAACGTTATTTCCTTACGGAGATTTTCTCTGATCACCTTATCTAAAATTAGGACCCCCCATTCATCTTAGAATGTCATTCTATATATTTCCTTTACAGAATTTAACATTAATCATGATGTTTGTTTATTTTTGATTACCTTCCCTCCCACGTACTAGAATTTAAATCAACAAGCTCTGTTTAAAGGCAGAGCAATGTCTATATCTTTTTTTTTTTTTTTCTTAGATAGGGTCTCACTCTGTCACCCAGGCTGGAGTGCAGTGGTGTGATTAGGGCTTACTGCAACCTCGACCTACCAAGCTCAAGTGATTCTCCCAACTCAGCCTCCAAATTAGCTGGGACTACAGGTGCACACCACCATGTCCAAGTAATTTTTGTATTTTTTGTAGAGACGAGGTTTCACTATGTTGCCAGGCTAGTCTCAAACTTCTGAGCTCAAGCCATCCACCTGCAGATTACAGGCATGAGCTTTGGGATTACAGGCATGAGCCACTGTGCCCGGTCAATGTCTGTATCTTGCTATTATTGGATTCCAAATGCTTAGCATGGTGGCCACTACAAAACAGTGGCTCAATAAACCAGGCACAGTGGCATGCACCTGTAGTCCCAGCTACTTGGGAGGCTGAGGTGGAAGGATCGCTTGAGCCCAGGAGTTTGAGTCCAGCATGGGCAACATAGTGAGATCCTGTCTCTAAAGAAAATAAAAGAAGGTGCTCAATAAATATTCCTTGATAACGAAATAAAAGGATGAATTTAATTCTTTCACTAACAGTATTCCTTAGAGAACTTTCCAAAACATGTAACTGTAGCTCATCTGTAGTTCATTTTTGTGATCAGCTGCACAATTTTGTTATATAGGTATATCATAATTTATCCAACCAGTCCTTTATTAATGTTTGACATAGCCCTCATATCCTTCTCTTCAAATTAGTTTCTAGTTGAAATTAAATCCCTATACATCAGATTTATACTTCTGACCAATATAGAGTAACAGGGACTAGATTACCTTCTTGTATGAAACAACCAGAAACAGATAAAATACATGAAACAACAGTTTGCAGGAAACTGAACATCAAATAACAAAGTTGAAAAACAAACTCAGTGAGTCTTGTGATTGCCCCAGCTTACTGCCTTGGGACAGCTTCTAGGATACAACAATAAGGAGGAGTAATCCAGGTGGAGCCTGGCAAACTCCCTAAGATGAGAAGATGCAACTGAAAGCTCAGGGAGACAAAAGTGGCTAGAGTGCTCAGGAGAATATTCTGGAAGGGAGAGAGTTGCACAGAGAACTCCAGTGATCTGCAGAGGAACCCCTCGAGTATTTAGCTAAATACTGATCAGCACATATGTGTGAGGCTTGGTGAAAAAAGTACCTTAAAGGATTAGAGGGGAAAGTGCCAGGTGCTCACACAGGCTGGGAATAGTTCCCGTTCCTACCCACCAGAGTGGGAAACCTCAAGATTCATAGGCATTGGGTAGAGTACTCAGAAGGATCTTGCTTTAGGAGCAGGGGATAATCAGCCCTAGAATGAGCACTGTTCTAGTTCTGCCTGACAAAGTTTAAATGCAAGACTTGAAAGGATCGAACTTTTCCAAGGATGTAACTTAACTGTGCCTTGGTTAAACAAAGGTCAAGAATACAGGAACTTAAAAATATCCAGCACCCAACAAGGTAAAATTCACAATATCTGGCATCCAATCAAAGTTAGCAGGCATGCAAAGAAGAAAAAAAAACAAGACATATACTTTTACCTCCAGTTAGGGACATGTGAAAATAGTCACAAATATTTTCCTCATATACCTGTGTGTTCCAATCCTTTTAACTTTAGATAATGTATTAGTTAGTAGTGGAGTACTAATATTTGTATTCTGAGAACTAAAAAAATTTCAAAAATTGCTGTCATATATTCTAAAACAAATAAGAAACACACCTATTTTTACTAGTTTGAGACTAGAAGATGACTTATTTGTATCTAATATTGAGCTGATGGTAATTTCAAAAGTCATGGCTATCTTTGACTTTTACATTCAAATTGCTTAATCCTAACAGTTAAACCTCTAATTAAAAAAAATATATATATATTTTTTGAGATGGAGTCTTACTCTGTCACCCAGGTAGAGTGCAGTGGCATAATCTCGGTTCACTGCAACCTCCACCTCCCAGGTTCAACTGATTCTCCTGCCTCAGTCTCCCAAGTAGCTGAGACTAGAGGCACGTGCCACCATGACTGGCTAATTTCTGTATTTTCAGTAGAGATGAGGTTTTACCATGGTGGTCAGGCTGGTCTCGAACTCATGACCTCACGTGATCCGCATGCCTCAGCCTCCCAAAGTGCTGGGATTACAGGTGTGAGCCACCGCCTCTGGCTGTAAAATTACTTTTAATCATTTGAAAATATATATGGGATATTTAGTGTAAAGAGATTCTTTAATTTTAAATTGTTTTCTATCTTTTATCTCATATAATCCTCTGGTCTTTCTAGTCCTTACTTCTTTGACATGTGTCAATGACTATAGATAACCATCTTCAAAGCAGAAGAAAGAAGAGGAAGGCAAGTAAGAGAGAAAATTGGAAGTACTCTTCACTTAATTAACTACCCTGGCAGCAACTGCAGTACACAATGACAAAATATCATTTCCTAATTTAAATGAATGCTAAAAGTAGCAAAGTTTGCTACTGGAAAGAAGCTATGTCTTCTTGAGTTTTACCAGAATCACTCTGACCCCTGTTAGTTCACTTAATTGTTCTCACGGGATTCTGGGGGTCAATCATTCTTGCTTCCAGTGAACCATCTTTCCTTTGGCTCCCCTTAGTTGGACTGAAGCAAGCTAAAACTTTCAGAGAGTTTTTACTAAACTCTAAGTGAAAAAGAAAAAGCAAGAAATGTAAATATAGAGTACAGGTTGAAGAGAGGTTCAATCACAAATGGCCCCTTCCTAGGGTTCAAGCACCCCTACCCACTCAGTATGGCTAAACCTTAGGAGTACTCGCAGAGCTTTCCCATCTTCAGTTGACAGTGTTACCACAAACCAGCTCCTAGGAAGCATCTTGAAGATAGTGGAAGGAAGATGCTAGGAAGCATCTTGAGATTATTGTGGAAGAGACTAAAGGAAGCAGATTCTTATTATGTCTATTTAGGATTGTTCCTTTCCAGGCTGATCCAGAAAATTTTAAGATGATAACATAAAACCATTACCCTTAATGAAAGATTCTCACATTTCCATGGTAGCAATTACATTGTATACTTGCACACTTAATGCTTTAACCATATCCTAATACAAAATGGAAGAACAGTATTCATATCACAGTATAATTAACAATAAACTTGTTTCAGTTTCCTTCCAATACTGAATAAATTATCTATAACCTAACATATCCCAAATGGCTTTAAAAAAACAGTGAACTTCTTCCAGGCAAGATGGCTGAATAGGAACAGTTCCGGTCTGCAGCTCCCAGCGAGATCAACACAGAAGGTGGGTGATTTCTGCATTTCCAACTGAGGTACTTGGCTCATCTCATCGGGACTGGTTAGACAGTGGGTGCAGCACACAGAAGGCGGCCGAAGTAGGGTGGGGCATTGCCTCACCCAGGAAGTGCAAGGGGTCCGGGAACTCCCTCTCCTAGCCAAGGGAAGCCATGAGGGGCTGTGCTGTGAAGAATGGTGCACCCTGGCCCAGATACTACGCTTTTCCCACGGTCTTTGTAACCCACAGACCAGGAGATTGCCTCCGGTGCCTATGCCACCAGGGTCCTGGGTTTCAAGCACAAAACTGGGTGGCCATTTGGGCAGACACTGAGCTAGCTGCAAGAGTTTTTTTTCATACCCCAGTGGTGCCTGGAGTGCCAGCGAGACAGAACCATTCACTCCCCTGGAAAGGGGGCTGAAGCCAGGAAGCCAACTGGTCTAGCTCGGTGGATCCCACCCTCACAGAGTCTAGCAAGCTAAGATCCACTGGCTTGAAATCCTCACTGCAAGCACAGCAGTCTGAAGTCGACGTGGGATGCTTGAGCTTGGGTGTGGGAAGGGGTGTCCGCCATTACAGAGGCTTGGGTAGGCCGTTTTCCCCTCACAGTGTAAATAAAGCTGCCAGGAAGTTCAAACTGGGCGGAGCCCTCTGCAGCTCAGCAAAGCCGCTGTAGCCAGACTGCCTCTCTAGATTTCTCCTCTCTGGACAGGGCATCTCTTAAAGAAAGACAGCAGCCCCAGTCAGGGGCTTATAGATCAAACTCCCATCTCCCTGGGGGAAGATGCAGCTGTGGGCACAGCTTCAGCAGACTTAAACGTTCCTGCCTGGTGGCTCTGAAGAGAGCAGCAGATCTCCCAGCACAGTAGTCAAGCTCTGCTAAGGGACAGACTGCCTCCTCAGTTGAGTCCCTGACCCCCGTGCCTCCTGACTGGGAGACACCTCCCAGCAGGGGTCGACAGACACCTCATATGGTAGAGCTCTGGCTGGCATCTGGTGGGTGCCCCTGTGGGACGAAGGTTCCAGAGGAAGGAACAGGCAGCAATCTTTGCTGTTCTGCAGCCTCCGCTGGTGATAACAGGCAAACAAGGGTCTGGAGTGGACCTCCAGCAAACTCCAGCAGACCTGCAGCAGAGGGGCCTGTTAGAAGGAAAACTAATGAACAGAAAGGAATAGCATCAACATCAACATAAAGGACATCCACACAGAAACTCCATCCGAAGCTGACCAACATCAAAGACCAAAGGTAGATAAATCCATGAAGATGAAGAAAAACGAACGCAAAAAGGCTAAAAATTCCCAAAACCAGAATGCCTCTTCTCCTCCAAAGGATCACAACTCCTTGCCAGCAAGGGAACAAAACTGGACGCAGAATGAGTTTGACGAATTGACAGAAGTGGGCTTCAGAAGGTGGGTAATAACAAACTCCTCTGAGCTAAAGGAGCATGTTCTAACCCAATGCGATGAAGCTAAGAACCTTGAAAAAAGGTTAGAGGAATGCTAACTAGAATAACCAGTTTACAGAAGGACATAAATGACCTGATGGAGCTGAAAAACACAGCACGAGAACTTCAGAAAGCACACACAAGTATCAACAGCCGAATCAAGCAGAAGAAAGGATATCAATGATTGAATATCAACTTAATGAAATAAAGCGTGAAGACAAGATTAGAGAAAAAAGAATGAAAAGAAATGAACAAAGCTTCCAAGAAATATGGGACTATGTGAAAAGACCAAACCTATGTTTGATTAGTGTACCTGAAAATGATGGGGAGAATGGAACTAAGCTGGCAAATATACGTCAGGATATTATCCAGGAGAACTTCTCCAACCTAGCAAGACAGGCCAACATTAAAAAATACAGAGAACGCCACAAAGATACTCCTTGAGAAGAGCAACCCCAAGACACACAATCGTCAGATTCACCAAGGTTGAAATGAAGGAAAAAATGTTAAGGACAGCCAGAGAGAAAGGTCGGGTTACCTACAAAGGGAAACCCATCAGACTAACAGTAGATCTCTCTGCAGAAACCTTACAAGCCAGAAGAGAGTTGGGGCCAATATTCAACATTCTTAAAGAAAAGAATTTTCAACCCAGAATTTTGTCTCCAGCCAAACTCAGCTTCATAAGCGAAGGAGAAATAAAATCCCTTACAGACAGGCAAATGCTGAGAGATTTTGTCACCACCAGGCCTGCCTTACAAGAGCTCCTGAAGGAAGCACTAAACATAGAAAGGAAATACCGGTACCAGCCACTGCAAAAACATGCCAAATTGTAGACCATCGACACTATGAAGAAACTGCATCAACTATTGGGCAAAATAACCAGCTAGCATCATAATGACAGGATCAAATTCACACATAACAACATTAACCTTAAATGTAAACAGGCTAAATGCCCCAATTAAAAGACACAGACTGGCAAATTGGATAAAGAGTCAAGACCCTTTGGTGTGCTGTATTCAGGAGATGCATCTCACATGCAAAGACACACATAGGCTCAAAACAAAGGGATGGAGGAATATTTACCAAGAAAATGGAAAGCAAAAACAGAAGGGGTTGCAATCCTAGTCTCTGATAAAACAGACTTTAAACCAACAAAGATCAAAAGAGACAAAGAAAGGCATTACATAATGGTAAAGGGATCAACACAACAAGAAGAGCTAACTATCCTAAATATGTATGCACCCAATACAGCAGAACCCAGATTCATAAAGCAAGTCCTTAGATACCTACAAAGAAACTTAGACTCCCACACAATAATAGTTGGAGACTTTAACACCCCACTGTCAATGTCAGACAAATCAACGAGACAGAAAGGTAACAAGAACATTCAGGATTTGAATCAGCTCTGGACCAAGAGGACCTAATAGACATCTACAGAACTCTCCACCCCAAATCAACAGAATATACATTCTTCTCAGCACCACATCGCACTTATTCCAAAATTGACCACATAATTGGAAGTAAAACACTCCTCAGCAAATGCAAAAGAATGGAAATAATAACCAGCAGTCTCTGAGACCACAGTGCAATCAAATTAGAACTCAGGGTTAAGAAACTCACTCAAAACCACAAACTACATGGAAACTGAACAACCTGCTCCTGAATGACTACTGGGTAAATAACGAAATGAAGGCAGAAATAAATAAGTTCTTTGAAACCAATGAGAACAAAGACACAACGTACCAGAATCTCTGGGACACAGCCAGAGATTTAGAGAGAAATTTATAGCACTAAATGCCTGCAACAGAAAGCAGGAAATATCTAAAATCGACACCCTAACATCACAATTAAAAGAACTGAGAGGCAAGAGCAAACACATTCAAAAGCTAGCAGAAGACAAGAAATAACTAAGATCAGAGCAGAACTAAAGGAGACAGAGACACAAAAGGCCCTTCAAAAAATCAATGAATCCAGGAGCTGGTTTTTTGAAAAGATCAACAAAATAGACAGACTGGTAGCCACACTAATAAAGGAGAAAAGAGAGAAGAATCAAATAGACACAATAAAACATGATAAAGTGGATATCACCACTGATCCCACAGAAATACAAACTACCATCAGAGAATACTAGAAACACCTCTACGCAAATAAACTAAAAATCTGGAAGAAATGGATAAATTCCGGGACACACACACCCTCCCAAGACTAAATCAGGAAGAAGTCCAATCCCTGAATAGACCAATAACAAGTTCTGAAACTGAGGCAATAATTAATAGCCTACCAGCCAAAAAAAGCTCAGGACCAGACAGATTCACAGCCGAATTCTACCAGAGGTACAAAAGCGAGCTGCTACCATTCCTTTTGAAACTATTCCCAACAATAGAAAAGGAGGGACTCCTTCCTAACTCATTTTATAAGGCCAGCGTCAATACCTGATACCAAAACCTGGCAGAAACACAAAAAAAGAAAATTTCAGGCCAATATCCCTGATGAACATCGATGCGAAAATTCTCAATAAAATACTGGCAAACTGAATCCAGCAGCATATCAAAAAGCTTATCTGCCCTGATCAAGTTGGCTTCATCACTGGGGTGCAAGGCTGTTTCAACACATGGAAATCAATAAATGTAATCCATCACATAAACAGGACCAATGACAAAACCCACATGATTCTCTCAATATATGCAGAAAAGGCCTTTGACAAAATTCAACAGCCCTTCATGCTAAAAACTCCCAATAAACTAGGTATTGATGGGAGGTATCTCAAAATAATAAGAGCTGTTTATGACAAACCCACGGCCAATATCATACAGAATGGGCAAAAGCTGGAAGCATTCCCTTTGAATACTGGCACAAGACAAGGATGCCCTTTCTTACCAATCCTATTCAACATAGTATTGGAAGTTCTGGCCGGGGCAATCAGGTAAAAGAATGAAATAAAGGTCATTCAAATAGGAAGAGAGGAAGTCAAATTGTCTCTGTTTGCAGATGACATGATTGTATATTTAGAAAATCCCATCGTCTCAGCCCAAAATCTCCTTAAGCTGGTAAGTTATTTCAGCAGTCTCAGGATACAAAATCAATGTGCAAAAATCACAAGCATTCCTATCCACCAATAATAGACAAACAGAGAGCCAAATCATGAGTGAACTCCCATTCACAATTGCTACAAAGAAAATAAAATACCTAGGAATCCAACTTACAAGGGATGTGAAGGACCTCTTCAAGGAGAACTATAAACCACTGCTCAAGGAAATAAGAGAGGACACAAACAAATGAAAAACATTCCATGCTCATGGATAGAAGAATCAATATTGTGAAAATGGCCATATTGCCCAAAGTAATTTATAGATTCAATGCTGTCCCCATCAAGCTACCACTTTCTTCACAGAATTAGAAAAAAACTACTTTAAATTTCATATGGAACCAAAAAAAGGTCCCATATAGCCAAGACAACCCTAAGCAGAAAGAACAAAGCTGGAGGCATCACACTACCTGACTTCAAACTATGCTACAAGGCTACAGTAACTAAAACAGTATGGTACTGGTACCAAAACAGATATATAGAACAGTGGAACAGAACAGAGGCCTCAGAAATAATGCCACACATCTACAACCATGTGATCTTTGACAAACCTGAGAAAAACAAGCAATGGGGAAAGGATTCCCTGTTTAATAAATGGTGTTGGGAAAACTGGCTAGTCATATGCAGAAAACTGAAACTGGACCCCTTCCTTACACCTTATACGAAAATTAACTCAAGATGGATTGAAGACTTAAACGTCAGACCTAAAACCATAAAAACCCTAGAACAAAACCTAGGCAATACCATTCAGGACATAGGCATGGGCAAGGACTTGGTAACTAAAACACTAAAAGCAATGGCAACAAAAGCCAAAATTGACAAATGGGATCTAATTAAACTAAAGAACTTCTGCACAGCAAAAGAAACTATCATCAGAGTGAACAGGCAGCTTACAGAATGGGAGAAGATTTTTGCAATCTAGCCATCTGACAAAGCGCTAGTATCCAGAATCTACAAAGAACTTAAACAAATTTACAAGAAAATATAAACAACCCCATCAAAAAGTGGGTGAAGGATATGAATAGACACTTCTCAAAAGAAGACATTGATGCAGCCAACAAACATATGAAAAAAAGCTCATCATCATGGGTCATTAGAGAAATGCAAATCAAAACCACAATGAGATACCATCTCATGCCAGTTAGAATGGCAATCATTAAAAAGTCAGGAAACAACAGATGCTGGCGAGGCTGTGGAGAAATAGGAACGCTTTTACACTGTTGGTGGTAGTGTACATTAGTTCAACCATTGTGGAAGACAGTGTGGTGATTCCTCAAGGATCTACAACCAGAAATACAATTTGACCCAGCAATCAATCCCATTACTGGGTATATATCCAAAGGATTATATATCATTCTACTATAAAGACACATGCACATGTATGTTTATTGCAGCACTGTTCACAATAGCAAAGACTTGGAACCAACTCAAATGCCCATAAATGATAGACTAGATAAAGAAAATGTGGCACATATACACCATGGAATACTATGCAGCCATAAAAAAGGATGAGTTCATGTCCTTTGCAGGGACATGGATGAAGCTGGAAACCATCATTCTTAGCAAACTAACACAGGAACAGAAAACCAAACACCACAAGTTCTCACTCATAAGTGGGCGTTGAACGATGAGAACACATGGACATAGGGAGGGGAACAACACACACTGGGGCCTGTCGGGGGGGTGAGGGTCTGGGGGAGGGATAGCATTAGGAGAAATACCTAATGTAGATGACGGGTTGATGGGTGCAGCAAACCACCATGGCAAGTGAATACCTATGTAACAAACCTGTATGTTCTACACTTGTATCTCAGAACTTAAAGTACAATGAAACAAAAGAAAACAAAACAAAAAACAAACAAATTAAAAAAAAACAGTGAACTGGACTGGAAAAAAAAATCCTTGGTTTTGGCTGGAAGGCCATAGGGGCTTTCTTCTTTCCCACTTCCCTGAGAGGCAGCAGCAGGTCAGAAGGCCTTCAGCTGAGGTCAACACTGTTCTCAGCGTCCTCCCTATGTAGACTTTGACCCTTGATATGCATATGTCCTAGCACTGTTTCTAAACCCAAAGGTCCCTTGATAATGTTTATCATTACTCAGAAATTAAGTGCTTTCTACTCTTTCTCACACTAATGCATACAGGGCAAGGTGTGGGGTACAGTGTTTCGTCTCTTGGAGTGCTCTTGCTGCATGTCCAAGTCCTGTGGAATCATTATGGAGGCTGGGAATCCTGTGTACGGTTACTTCTTTGCTTGTAGGTTACTCTCACTAACAAACTTTGCTGCTATTAGCACCATGTGTGTTAGTGGTTTGTGTAACCATCTTGTACTACAGTTGGTGCCCAACAAAGTCCCGATGTCATGGCTTTCTGAAAGAGGAGAACCCATGGGTCAAAGAATTTCTCCTGGGGACAGTGGTAATTCACTTGGCAGTTAGGATGGTCTCAGTAGCTACGCCTGAGAATGGCAGAAGCCCTCAAGTGGTAAAGAGGGTTTCCAGTGGCTTGAAATTAAGTTCTATCTCTTCTCCTTATCAGCTTAGAGATTTTCAGGAGTACAAATTGGTAGGGTGCACTAGAAAGGGTGTGGTAGTCTCTCTAGAAGGGAAGGTGGGGCAAATTCCCACTGTTTATCTGTAATATGAGGCAACTGGTCCTGCTGTATGTGAAGCCAGTTACTGTGAGGCACGGTGTACAGGAGCCTGAGTGAGAACACCAGCAGGAGGAGATCCAGCATTATACAGAGCAAGAGCAAGACTCTTATTAGCTCCACTACTGTAGGGATAGTAGAGGCTTGGCCTGCTAATTTGCATGGTTAGGAGACAACAGTGTTGTTAAGGGAAGCTGAGTAAAAGGAAACACATGACCTGGTTAAACAATGAGCAGTCTGGGTTGACTAATAACACTGGGGCTGATGTTGTAACCCTGCTTCTAAACTGGATGCTTGGTAGCATGGGTAATACGTATTACCATTGGGGTGATTTTCCTGCCACTTGAATGTGAAATGGACTAGATCCACAGATAGTGTAGTTACTCTAACACACTCTGAGACAACTGGCTGTGTTAGCGTAATTATAAGAAAATCCAGGGTTTGAGTAGAGAATCCCTGACAACATGCTCTTGGTGCAGAGAATGTTGGATGACCGAATCAGAGCAGGTCCTCCTAAGTGGACAACTGCTTTGACTTATTCCTTCATCTGGGAGGCAATGTTGGACATGAAATAGTTCTTTTTAGGTCATACAAGCCCCACAGCAGAGGCGGAAATGGAAAGAGACAGGGTCTCATGAGATGCACAGGTTTCTGCCCAAAATATAAAGAAAGAAGGAACAAAAGAAGGAGTAGACCGATAGGCTGAACTCAGGCAATCTCCCTCACACCAATAAATGTGATATTGCTCATAAACAGAAGGAATGATAAGACAGAAATTGAGAGACGGCCTAATTCTTGAGTGTGGGAATGTAGTCCTATTCAAAAAGTTAAAAGACCCACTGAGACTGTGGAAAAGGGACATGTGAGATGAAACATGATACTGAATAGTTTACAGACTTGAATAATTATTGGGAGAGGTGGAGTCACCAGAAGATTAGGTGAAGAAGGTCCCTGGGGAGGACGAGGGCTATTGAGCTTCATCCACACAAACTGATAAGATCTAAAGGACATAGAGACAGGGAGATACTCTGCATTATCTTGACTCTGGAAGTGGCATTGCTGGTGGGAATGCTCCTAGTCATCAGCTCCACTTTGTGAGTTTGAGTCAACTCTAGAAGCCAAGCTTCTTTGTTCCTAATCTGAGCCCTTTCAAACTCAAGGAGAAATACAGGTGGGCTCAGTCCCCTTTACTCTCTTCCAAGGGATCCCTAACCATGTACCCCAGATGATTATGCTGGAAAAGAGAAGAGCCTCCAATATTTACGGGTTTGCTAGAAATGGAGGACCAAGTATCATAGCTCCAGACTGCAGAAGAGCTCTGGTAAACAAGTTCCTCAACTGGGGTTTGGAGTCCATGTTACCTATGGCTGAAAGATTAGAATTACAATCACTGCAACGGCTTTTGGACCTTTTGCGTGAATTCTAGTTGTTTCTTTATCAGGGTGGGGTAATTAAGTCCACATGTCAGTTGGACTTTTTTTCTTTTCGAGACAGGGTCTTGCTCTGTCCCCAAGGCTGAAGTGCTGTGATGCGATCGTGGCTCACTGCAGCCTCGAACTCCTGTGCTTAATTGATTCTGCCACCTTAAACTCCTAAGTAGCTGGAAGTATACCTGGCTAATTTTTCTGTAGAGATGGGGTTCCACCATGTTACCCAGGCTGGTCTTGAACTCCTGGGCTCAACTAATCCTCCCACCTCAGCTTCCCAAAGTGCTGGGATTACAGGTATAAGCCACCATGCCTAGCCCTTAGTTAGACATTTTTTGTGACTTCTGTTAGTAGCTTCTATAACTGTTGGCCAGGTATGTTGCCAAAACCCACCTGTACTTACAAGGTCGGCAGATGTTGTGTGACACTATACTTACAAGGTCGGCAGACGTTGTGTGACAGTGTTGCACACCTAGAGGTGAAACAGGTTGCATTTCTTATACAAGAACAGACTCAGGCAGGGGTACTGCACAACACCATTTCACAATTTAACAACCCCGTTTGCCTAACTCTGTTTGACACTAGTACTGCAAGTGATCTATGACTGGTCTCAGGCAGAGACTCTGATGGCATGTGTTAGTTTTTGGGTGTTTGATCTCCTCTAGCTAATGAATGGTATACACCTTTGGGGTTACTGTGTCTCCTGCATTTGCAGATAACATACATATTATCAAGACTTAGGTATATTATTATATATTGGGGTTTCTAGATATGATACAATTAAGCAATGAAAGTGCTTTCACAGCTGCTGGCATTCTACAATGGGACCATGTAGAATGGTATTGCCAACATGGTACTAAGTGGCTGTTCTAGGCTCGTTCTTAACCACGGGCAGTATAGAATGCTGGAATAGCATTCTGAAAGACAGCTGTACCCATCCTTTTAACAATGACTTCTATAAGATTGTCTGGTCCGGGTGACCTCTGCTGTTTATACTCATAAAGGTCCCTCCACTTTGGTGAAGTTCCTTGGCACCTGGGAGTCAAAAAGCAGAAACAGACGAAGAATCTACTTGGTATGCCAAGACCTGAGTTTTTACACCTCAATAGTTATTTCCTTTTGTTGTACCTGTCATAATTTCAACAGGTGGCTGGGAGGTTTGTGTGTTCATATTACAGACAAATGGATGGATACAAACTTGGATGCTCTCCTGACTTCCTGATGACACTGCTAGCTACACCTACAGAAGGGCAATTTTGATTCTCTCTTTATTCCAAACATTCTAAATTTCTGTTGTATGCTTATTCTGCAAGTGGGAGATTTTGCTGCAGTCTCTATACCCATATAGTATACTCTATCCACAGAGTTTCTCTGGTGAGAAAGTGCAACTCCTGCTTTCATGTGGAACTTACTGTTGCAGAAAGAAAGAACAGACCACATAGGTTGTCCTTAAAGATAATGATGGACTGTGCTTGGGCATAAACGTGCCTGACCAAAAAAAGTGAAAGTGTGGTTGGAGCATGAATAACTCTCTCTTCACCTTTCTTGCAGATATTAACAGACTGTACCAAATAATCCTCTGCAGCGATCCCACACAATGACAGTGCAAAGCTATCACAATGTGGGATTTGTTATGCTTAACATACTCAACTGTGGAGGACCTTCTGGAAATTCTACTCCCAGATAACACCATGGGAATTACTCCTACCTGGTATTAACCAGAGTTCTCATTTGCCCTGGCCCTCCATTAACTCTTCCCTTACTAGTCATGCTGTGTAAAACTCTACTCAACTTCTCAGGTGCAGAAAACACCTACTCTTACATCTCGGCTCCCAGTGGATCCATGCCCCACATTAGGAGAACCCCAAAGCAGCATAAAACTCTCAACCAAATACTTCCACTTCAGACCTGCAGTTGAGTCTAATAGCATGCCGACAGTGTGTTAACCCCAGAAAAACATAAATGCCAAGTGGATATAAAATGTAGCATTAAACCTCTGTAATCCAGTGGAACCTGTCGTCTTATGTGAAAGGCATGCTTACCCTGCCTCCCACCTGTAAATAACACTGCACATTTTGGAAGTACTATGAGACCTTTAATAGTGACTCAAAATCTAAGACACTGGTCACTTTTCCAGCTGTGGTCTCCAGGGCTAGCATTAGAGCCTATCTGCAGGTGTCAAGGATACAAGCTTTCATTACTTTGTACAAGGGCTCTTGCCTTGAATAGTCACCTACGAAGCTGAGGATATGACCAGCAATTGCTATCATGGGAAACGCTGCCATTGAGAAAGCCTGGGATCATATCACTGAAATTAGTATTGCTTCCTTGACATGAGTAATATTAGAGAATTGCATAGCTTTGGACTTTTTGTTGGATATGCAGCCAGATTGCTCATGGGAGCTCTGTATCTCCTAATGCTGTGGTATATTGTTTGTTTTAGAATTTCTCTGGCTATATGACTCTTTCAGCACTGTCAACAAACACTGAAGGCACCATTTAAAATCTAATTGCTTTCTATTGCAGATGGGGACGCATATATCTAGTGAGCCACACCAAGGGTCAGGGGGTGGACTGAGAAGGAATAAACCCTCAGTCTTAGCTAAATGGGCATGGGGGCTCTCTTCCTTCTCTTGTTCCCAAGACCCATCAGCAAACCTGCTTAGCCACCGAGCTGATGTGCAGAGGAACAGTAGGGTCTTTAGCTGCTGTTCTCAAAGTCCTTGGTTTGTAGATCCTGGTCCTTTGTAATGCAAACTCCCTAGTGTTGTTCCTAGGCCCAGAGGTCCTTTGAGATATATGTTGTTTCTTAGAATAATGAAGGACTTGGACTAACCTCGAAATATATAGTGGTATGAAGGCAGAGCCTTCTCTTTGAGTGATCTTGTTTCTTGTCCAGTCTCTAACTGGACAAGGCACACCCCTGTGGAACCACTGTAGGGGCTCAGAGATCCCCTGAGTGCTCTGTTACTTATCTGAAGTTATCATCACCAATAAACATTATTGTTATTAGCACTGTGTGTAATGCTTGTGGTATATATTACCTTGCCTCTTGTACAACACGAATTTAATTTAATTAATATTTTTCTGTGAAGGTAATCCAATGTCTGATATCTTCTCCCCATAATATTAATTGATGTTAATGTTATTATAAGAATTTTTTAAAAACTTGTACATTTAATGTTAAATCTAACCTTTCTTTATTAAGAACACATTATACTTTTAAGGAACTTTTAAAAAGTAATAAATAAGCAGCTGGGCACAGTGGCTCACACCTGTAATCCCAGCACTTTGGGAGGCCGAGGTAGGCAGATCATGAGGTCAGGAGATCGAGACCATCCTGGCTAACACAGTGAAACCCCATCTCTACTAAAAAAATACAAAAAAATTAGCCAGGCATGGTGGCAGACGCCTGTAGTCCCAGCTACTTGGGAGGCTGAGGCAGGAGAATGGCGTGAAAGTGGGAGGTGGAGCTTGCAGTGAGCCAAGATCGCGCCACTGCACTCCAGCCTGGGAGATAGAGTGAGAATCTGTCTCAAAAAAAAAAGTAATAAATAAGATGATGACAATAATGTATATTGTTAATGTTGAATTAACTTTCAGCACCCATTTATTTACAGTAGTTTCTACTAGTTTGACACTTACTGATCTTTATCAGCCTTGCCTGTCAGACACACTACGTGCTCATATTATACACTTGTATGTTCTCTTTGTCTTCATACGTGCTGTATCTTTCCAATTAGATTGTGAGCTTTTTGTGGATAGGGACAGGTTAACTGATTCTTTTGCATCTTGTTTTGCTCAAGTGATCCCCCTATGCCAGCCTCCTGAGTAACTGAGATTACAGGTGCACACCACAGTCAGCCATATATATGTGATTTTAGTAGAGACAAGGTCTTGCTACGTTGCCCAGGCTCGTTGTGAACTCTTGGGCTCAAGCAATCCTCCTGCCTCAGCCTCCCAAAGTGCTAGGATTACAGGCATGAACCAGTGCACCTGGTCTTCTTTTGCATCTCCACAGCACTTAGTACAAGGCACAATACAGGTGTAAATAAACACTTGATGAATAAATCATCTGAGTTTTTTCCTCATTTTAATTAGCTGTAAGATAAAGAGAAGGAATCTATACCTATTATTTATAAGTTCTTAGCACATAGAATACAGCAGACGTATATTCCCTTATTATTTCATTAATGTCTATTAATATGTCTATTAATGAAATAAAAAACTTCAGAAGAAAATAAAGTGAAAAATTATCCCTACTTCCCCCTGCTCTGCAATGACCACAAATAAGAGTATAAAGTACAACTGCTATTTATATATCACTTTGCAGTTGTTTTAGATCCATTATCTGACATGATCCTTGTAACAATCGAAGAATTCATATACAGCTTATTAATATTTTTTTGCAGAAACAGAAATCAGTGTCCAGAGAGGTTATGTAGAAGAGCCTGGATGGAAATGGAGGTCTAATATGTAAATTCAATCAATGATAATCTGAAAGGCCTAAAAAAAAAAAAAAAAAAAAAAAAACTGTCTCCTATAAGCTATTCTTATAAAACCTTATAAAGACATTAAATTATTTATTTACTTATTTAAATCTTAAAGTATTTTAAGTGTGCCTGTGATATATAAAGTACTATCCTTCCAACACTATGGAAAATTAAAAGCACAGATGAAGATTATAAGATTTAAATAAGGAAATAGTATATATATTAATGTGCTAAAATAATGGTCTAATTAATTATCTGCTTTTCTGGGAGTTCAATTTCACGTTTATTAAAAGGTCCACTTAAATAAGCTGGGAAGTTTGTGGAAAAGCTTAGGATTTGAGCTGGATCAAGAAGGATGGGTGAAATTTCGATGGTAGAAGAAAAGCAGATTATTATTATAATAAACAAGATTTGGCAAAGATGCAAGGGGAGGAATACACATGTGTTCAGTGAGTAGACTGGACTAGTTGAATTCTCATTAACAGAACAGCATAAAGACAGCTTGGGGTCAGAATTGTATACAGTCTTGAATGCCAGGCTAAGTACATATTTAACTACATCATGTTACAGGTTATAGAGGTCATTTAAGGTTTCAGAGTAGAGACATGATATGATGACAGAATGTGATGGAAGGAGGGAATTGTATATAGAGAAGTTGAGGACAGGTGTAATAATCCAGGTATACAATGATAAAGAACTGATTTCAGTAGTGTTGCAAAGAGACTGATTTCAGGTATTTTGAAGGAAAGTTGATGTCCTAGATACTTCAAGTTTACATGCCCAAGTGACTAAGAAGAATGTGGCTCTTAAACATATTGAATATTTAACTGGTCTGGGGTAGGGCTCAGATTGATCATTTTCTTAAGCTTTTCAGGTGATTCATAAGGTTAAAAAGCCACTCACCTAGGCATTAAAAAAAAATCTTTGTTGGACATTTGAGTTGGTTCCAAGTCTTTGCTATTGTGAGTAGTGCTGCAATAAACATACGTGTGCATGTGTCTTTATAGCAGCATGATTTATATTCCGTTGGGTATATACCCAGTAATGGGATGGCTGGGTCAAATGGTATTTCAACCCAAATGTCCAACAATGATAGACAGGATTAAGAAAACATGGCACATATACACCATGGAATACTATGCAGCCATAGAAAAGGATGAGTTCATGTCCTTTGTAGGGACATGGATGAAGCTGGAAACCATCATTCTCAGCAAACTATTGCAAGGACAAAAAACCAAACACCGCATGTTCTCTCTCATAGGTGGGAATTGAACAATGAGAACACTTGGACACAGGAAGGGGAACATCACACACTGGGGCCTGTCGTGGGGTGGTGGGAGAGGGGAGGGATAGCATTAGGAGATATACCTAATGTAAATGATGAGTTAATGGGTGCAGCACACCAACATGGCACATGTATACATATGTAACAAATCTGCACGTTGTGCACATGTACCCTAGAACTTAAAGTATAATAAAAATATATATTTATTAAAAAAAAAACTGCTCTTAAGTCTCCTAGGCACTGTACTACCTTTTTTTTTTTTTTTTTTTTTTGAGACGCAGTCTCGCTCTCTTGCCCAGTGGCACAATCTCGGCTCACTACAAGCTCCGTCTCCCGGGTTCATGCCATTCTCCTGCCTCAGCCTCCCGAGTAGCTGGGACTACAGGCGCCCGCCACCACGCCCGGCTAATGTTTTTTGTATTTTTAGTAGAGACGGGGTTTCACCACGTTAACCAGGATGGTCTTGATCTCCTGACCTCGTGATCCGCCCGTCTCCGCCTCCCAAAGTGCTGGGATTATAGGTGTGAGCCACCGCACCCGGCCCAGGCTCTGTACTTCTAAATGACCCATACTTTTGTCATTTTAAATTAGATCCTATACTAAAACTTTGACTTAATTTCATTTCAAACAACCCCTCCTATTGACTGCTCTAATTCATTTTAAAGTATCATTCATTTATTTATTTATTTAGAGACAGATCTTCACTCCTGTTGCCCAGGCTGAAGTGCAATGGCACGATCTCGGCTCACTGCAACCTCTCCTTGCCTCCTGGCTTCAAGCGATTCTCCTGCCTCAGCCTCCTGAGTAGCTGGGATTACTGGCATGCGCCACCACACCCGGCTAATTTTTTTGTATTTTTAGTAGAGATGCGGTTTCTCCATGTTGGTCAGGCTCGTCACGAACTCCTGACCTCAGGTAATCTGCCCGCGTTGACCTCACAAAGTGCTGGGATTACAGGTGTGAGACACCGCGCTCGGCCAAAGTATCATAATTTTTGTTATGTATGTATATATGTATGTATTTATTTATTTTTGAGACAGGGCCCGCTCTGCCACCCAGGCTGGAGTGCAGTGGTGCACTCTTGGCTCATTGCAACCTCTGTTTCCTGGGTTCAAGCGATTCTTGTGCCTCAGCCTCCAGAGTAGCTGGGACTATAGGCACGTGTCACTGCATCTGGCTAATTTTTGTACTTTTTGCTAGAGACGGGGCTTTGCCATGTTGCCCAGGCTGGTCTCAAGCTCCTGGCCTCAAGTGATCTGTCTGCCTTGGCCTCCCAAAGTGCTGGGATTAAAGGTGTGAGCCACCATGTCTGGCCCATAATTTTTCTATTGGGAAATAAGCCATTAAATTTATCTCTAATTTCCACTTTCCTACATTATACTCAATAATTTCTTACAGCAATTCAACCTTCAAGATCCTTCTTTCTGTCTTCCTTTTATCCCTGTTTGCTCCTGAGGTTATGGCCTCCCTACTTCTTAGCTGGGTTACTGTAACGGTTCCACAGTCAGTTTCTTTACTACTTCTTCCAATCCAATGCGTACTTTGCTCCCAGGTTATCTATTTTAGTGTAATTCCCCTGCCAAAATTAGTCTCTGTTCTCCAAGAGCTCACAGTCTAGTGGCAGAGATGGCCATCTGTACCAAACATTATGACAAAATGTTAAGTAAGGTACATAATGTTTCTCAGCTTTGATCCCTCTAGGCACTTCACTTTCATAGGTTCTGAGCTTACTCTTTAGTGCAGAATCCTAACATTATTAGAGATGCCTCTGGGATCATTCCTGAATTGGAAAGCAAGTATACAGAACAGAGGTCTATTTGTATAAGCTAGAAAATTCTCCCAAGTAGATCAATCAGAACAATTCATTTTTGTTAGATATTGAGATTCTGCATAACATTTTCATTTAAAAAAAAGTGATCCCATTACTAAAAACAAAACCCTTAAAAGCAACTGCTTTATTTATATTTTCTATTAGAGTCATCTATATGATTAGCCAGTCTTCTCTCCCCAGTGGACTATAAACATGACATGGATTCTATTTTATACAGCTTTGTGTCTCCTACAGTGCCTAGAAATGTCTAGCACATAGCAGGCATTCAAAAATGTGTTTTATCTTCCATGTCTGATGGGGACAAAAGTGTTAATGTTAGTGCTTACAGATTTTCAGAATGTAAGAACATTTTTGCTTCCATGTACCAACATGAGTCAATAGCTATTCTAAAATATATAAGCACTAACATAACACTTTTGTCCCCATCAGAATTTGGCATTTGAAAATGTCCAGACATGGAGCTCTGAAAAGTTAAATTCGAGAAGGTTTACTGAGCACATAAATGCATAATGCACTCTGCTAGTTAATGTAACAGAAATGGAGCCAGCGAAAGAAATCTAAAGGTAGAATATCATGAATTTGTGGTAACACAAAATTCAAAAAAGGAAGAAGTCTGAAGGAGAAGGAAGTGATCACAAATTTCAAACATTAACAAGATTTGAAAAGGAATGAGGATTATGATGAAGATCTTAGATTTAAGCAAGTTACCTGCAGGGGGTTACTGTCAGGATGTATGCTTATTGTAAAAGAATAAACCACTTATTGGGAAGTTTGACAATGGGAAGAAAGAGAAATGGAGCAGCAGCTATAAAAGGTAATATAGATGGAAATACAAGTCTCTGTCCACCAAAGAAAGAAAGAACAGCTTATGTCTGATGTCAGAAAGAGTAGCAAAAGAATATCAAGGGCTAGGAGGAAGTGTGTATCAGTGAAGGGGCATTATGAGTGCAAAAGGAATGAGAATTAAGGTTTTACATGTTTACCAAACATTGATTATGGGAACACAAAATATATTGAAGAAGTAACAGAGTTTTAAAATATATAGTTTCTTATTTAACAATTTGTATCGGATTATGAGTTCTAACCTTCACCACTCTCCATGCCTTCTACAAAAATCCCCCCACATTGGGGAAGAATCCAGTACCGGCGTCTGTAACGATCTTGGCCAAACATCACTGAACGCAATGAGTGAGACGCATCAAAGAGCTTCCTTCTGTACTGACTCTGTTGCTGTTAAAAAAATGGTACATATAATTAGGTTTGGGATGTTAAATGCTTTAAAAATTAATATATATGTAACTTTATACTTATTGTACCTTTAAGCACATAAATTTCACTACTGGGAAAAGAGCAAAAGGTCTAAATATTCATGCCTGACTTCAATTTCAGTAACATTTATAAAGATAGAAATCATTTTAAGGATAATTATTTTTGTTGCCATGGAGTAAAAGGATAAGCTACCTGATAAAATAAAACTTATCCTTTTACTTGATAATAAACAATGGGATCAAGTATTTTATGGAGCCAAAGCAAACTGGTTCAATTCAATTCTATTGCTTACAGTATATAACAAATAATACATATAATATGGCCAGGCACAGTGGCTCATGCCTGTAATCCCAGCACTCTGGGAGGCTGAGGCGGGTGGGTCATTTGAACCCAGGAATTAGAGACCAGCCTTGGCAACATAGTGAGACCCCATCTCTACAAAAAATATGAAAAATCAGCTGGGCACGGTGGCACATGCCTGTAGTTCCACCACCAGGGAGGCTGAGGTGGGAGGATCGCTTGAGCCTGGGAGGTCAAGGCTGCAGTGACCACGCCATTGCACTCCAGCCTAGGTGCCAGAGCAAGACTCTGTTTCAAAAAGCAAAGCAAAACAAAAAACAAATAATATATATGTAATTGGCTAAACCTGTATTTGCCTATGTTTACACTCATGTTGTAAACCTAGACAACATATAATTAAGTTTTGGGATAGGTCTGTGAAGAATCTAATATTAATACCATACACAGGCATCTCGTAATACCTTTGAAAACTCATTTTTGTTCTTATAAAAAGCTCATCTTAAATTTCACTAATGCTATGAAATTCAGTTTTTCTTAGTTTTTTTTTCTTTTTTTTTTTTTTTTAGAGACAGGGTCTCGCCATATTGCCCAGGCTTTTCTCAAACTCCTGGGCTCAAACGATCCTCTCACCTCAGCCTCCCAAAGTGCTGGGATTACAGGCGTAAACCACTTCTGAAATGGAATTTTTAACAAGATGTATGTAAATACATCCACAGTTTACAAATCCAATGCAAATAAAACCCACAAATATACAAATGTAAAATAAAACCTAAGATGCTGAAACTGTTACTATGAAATTCAACTGAATTTTTTAGTAATTAATTCCAAGAAATAAAACTATGCCTTAATTGACATTTTGTATTTATATGAAGAGCTGAAGAGTATAGAATATTTTCTTTCTAGGCTCTGATTAAGTTCAATATCACGTTTTAAGAGGCAGGCTTTTAACCTTGGCATTAAGCTTGTAAAGTTCAATTGTAAGAATGTTTCTAGTGTTCCTCATCTTATTTTTTTTTCTGACAAAAATGCTATTCAGAATCTTCATTTTTAATTACTCACCAAAAGCCTATTTTTGCTTAGCAGTCAGAAAAACTAATCCCCTTACAATGTAGATTTCTAAAACACTGTGAAGAAGTTAAATGTTAATCAGAAAAGTGCTTACTTTACTCAGTTTTTCAATCTGTTTTTCCAGCTCTTCAACACTTGCTGCTTGGTCACCTTCATCCTATACATAAGAAAATACAGTGTCATTTATCTGTTTTAAGATTTATTTATTCAATCAGTAAATATTTAATGAAAGTCTCCTATAGGCACTGCGGAAAGGTATTAAGACTCAGTTCTTTTCTATAAACTAATAATCTGGTAGAGAGATACATAAAACATTATGTTTAAAAAAAACACAAAAACCTAGGTATGGTAGCTCATGTCTGTAATCCCAGCACTTTAGGATGCTGAGGTGGCAGGATCATTTGAGGCCAGGAATTTGAGACCAGCCTGGACATCATAGTCAGACCCAGTATCTACGAAAAATAAAATTAGCTTAGTGGCTTGTTCCTGCAGTCCCAGCTACTTGGGAGGCTGACACAGGAGGATTGGTTAAGCCCAGAAGTTCAAGGCTGCAGTGAGCTATGATCATGCCACTGCACTCCAGCCTGCAGACCCTATCCCCAGAAGAAACAAAACAAAACATAGCAAACCACACACACACAATAAACTCCCCCAAAGCAGGAAAGTATAAGGGTCTCAAAGAGAGGTAGTGATTAAAACCTGTGAAGTTCAAGGCAGAGTAAGACTACTTTTAGTGGAAATGTATACCAAGGGAGGCTTTATGAAGAAGTCATGTTTTAATTAGCTACTAAAGAATGGTTAGAAATGCATCCAGCAGAGAAAAGAGTCTGACATGTCTTGACATGAGAGGTGCATAAAGAGGTAAGGTAGGAGATGAGGCAAGATGAGTTTAAGGCTAGATTTTGAAGAGCTGTAAATGCTTGGCAATTAACAAAATGATCCTTTGAGGGTGGGTTAAATATCAGAACTATGCTTTCCAAAGGTTGTTCTGGCAATAGTTGTAAGATGGTGTGGAGCAGAGAAAGGATTAAAATTGGTAAAACTAGCTAACAGATTAGAGAAGGAGGGATATGGTTCTTACTAGCATAAAAGAAATAAAGATGGAAAAAAGCAAATGGATGTAAGAGATATCACATAGTTATAGAGCTGTTAAGTCTTGCCAGCTCATGAATATGTGGCACAGAGGGGCAAGGGAGATGATGGAATAAATAAATTATGATGTTAAGGTTTTAAATCTAGGAGACTGGAAAAATACTGATACTATCAACTGAAGGAGTTATTTTTGAAGGGAAGAAGATTAGTTATACTATATACTTGATATACTTGAACACATTGAGTTTTTAGAATAAAAATAATTCCTAACATGCATAGTCCTAATTTCATAAATAGAAGGTTTGTAAGTAATTGTGTGAAATTTGTCATTCCAGAAAATGACAACAGAAGAACTATCTCCAAATTGTAGGTTTTAGAGGGAAAGCATGAACAGAAGGTACACGGGTTTCTTTGGATCTTATCTGCACTACTAGACATAGGCAAATTACTTAACCTTTGTAAGTCTATTCATCTGTAAATTTGGTGATAATGTTACCTACTACATGAAGGTTTTGTGAGGACTAAGTAAGAACAGATCTGAAAGTAACCAACAGTGTTCCTACTTTAATAAGAAGATGCAGGTACAGCCCAGATTAAAGAAAAATAACAACTTGTTTTTGATGTTTACTTCCTATAAGCATTTATAAAAAGCCACACTGTCACCAACCACACACAAATATATATTTCTGACCAGTATGGCTACTACCCAATGAAAAAAAAAGTGAAAAAAAGACTCCCATAGTTGTACCATTATCTCTCATTCATCCGCTCCTTACCCAAACTTAGGGAACCCAGTTACAAAGGTATTTAGGCACATTATTTGTGCTAACAGTAACATGAATTCTATTTGGAATTAAAAGAAAACTCAAAAGATAACTAGCTCAACAACTCTTAAATCTTGACTTTTATGTGAATATTTATATATAGATTCTAAAATGATCTTCTGATCAGCAGGACAAATGTCTGATAATCTGTTCATGCAAAAATACAGTTCAATCAATAAATATTCAAAATAGATATCAAATATTTGAAAATGCCATGTATCAGCCAAATATTCTAACTGCAATTTTTAAGACTCTTCCTATGATGCAAAAAGAAATAAAATGTCTCCTAAAGTTTTATTTAAAGGAGTTTTGGCTAATAGTACTTAAAATTTTCAGACATTAAAAAAACCTTGGAAGAATAGACAGAAAGGTAGTAGCAGCAACAACAACTAAGAACACAGAATCTATCCCAGTCACAGTTCCCCAACCAAAAAACAGCATCATTATATGTCCCTATATGTCAGAGTTTAATTGTCCACAGAACCTCTCACAGGCCAACTTGTGAGGTTAAACTCCCATAGGTCTCAACACAACTCTACGGAATGAAGGAATGAAGAGTGAGGAGAAGAGGGAATTCTCTTTGAGATAAAGGGGCTATGATCTAGTCAAGGGCAGTATCTTCTAATTGAAAGGGATCCTATGGGTCTCAATAAGAAAACCTCCCTGCCTTAAAGGAAAAATCAATCCTTTAAGGAAGGTAACTACCAATACCCTACTTAAAACTTAACTGAGAGGCCAAATCTATTTTTTGAGAACTAATGTGCCTAACTTATCAATTTCATTAAGTAGTCAAAATTTTACTTACATAGGAAATTGATGTGTCTGCCAGTTCTTTATTATAAAGAATAATTCAAATCATTTAACATGAAATGTTAATTTGACTTATTAGGTCCTAATATTTATTACTTTATAAAATTTTGAAATTGTTTTCTCACATTACTAACAAGGATCTACCTTTGCCAGTGAAATCCTAAAATCTATTTAACTCTATAATTCAACACTCATAAAAAAGTGAAATATGGCTGGGTGCAGTGGCTCATGCCTGTAATCCCAGCACTTCAGGAGGCCGAGGCGGGTGGATCACGAGGTCAAGAGATCGAGACCAGCCTGGCCAACATGGTGAAACCCTGTCTCTACTAAAAATACAAAAATTAGCTGGGCGTGGTGGCAGGCACCTGTAATCCCAGCTACTCGGGAGGCTGAGGCAGGAGAATCGCTTGAACCAGGAGGCGGAGGTTGCAGTGAGCTGAGATGGTGCCCCTGCACTCCAGCCTGGGTGACAGAGCGAGACTCTGTCTCCAAAAAAAAAAAAAAAAAAGAAGTGAAATACTACCTTAAATGACACATCTCCTTTAAAACTTTAATAATGATTTTCAAATAGTCTATGTGTAAAGAATAAAATGTATGGTTTGTTAGTTCTCTGTTAAAAAAGAAACCAAGTGAAACAAATAATTTCTGTAAATAAATTCTAGTTTAGTAAGATAACTATACAGGGGAATAAACTAAAATCCCAGTACATAGTTGTCCAAGTTATTGAACTTATGAGTTAACACTTTAAAACAATTTATAATGTGAAGTGCTAAAAGAGGCTACTAATTCTATGAAAAGGTGATTAATTTTGGTCAGAAAGGCTTAATTCCTGCTATGGAAACAGCTCCACTTGCCAAATGAAGCAGATTGCTTATAAATGTTATCTTTTGTTTGGGTAATTACACTTCTGATACTCAAATTATATACCCTTCATATTATTTGTCACAGATGAATGTACATAATTCAGTAGTTTCAAAAGTATAATATTATGAAATAAATTATTTCTGCAAGGAATCTCAATGTAGTCTCATTTTCAGATTGGTACTCTTAAAAGCAGTAAAGTTAAATTCATTACAATGAGTTCTTGAATATGACATGAAAAACACAGGGAATAAAAGCAAAAACAGACAAGTGGCACTATATCAAATTAAAGTGCTTCTTCATGGCAAAGGAAACAACAGACTGAAAAGAGAACCTACAGGACAGGAGAAAACATTTGCAAATCATATATTTGATAAGGGGTTAATATCTAAAATATATAACTCTTACAACTCAATAGCAAAAACCAGATAACCAGATTTTAAAAATGGCAAAGAACCTGAATAGACATTTTTGCAGTGAAGACATACAAATGGCCAACAGGTATGTGAAAAGATGTCCAACATCACTAATCAGGGAAATGTAAAATCAAAATCACAATGAGATATCATCCCACACCTGTTAGGGTAATTACTCTCAAAAAGAAAGAGAAAGAAAGAGACAGACAGGAGTGTTGGCAAGGATATGGAGAAATTGGAACTCTCATACACTGTTGGGAGTGTGGGATTGTAAAATAGTGTTACACTGTTGGGAGTGTGGGATTGTAAAATAGTGTAACCACTATGGAAAACACTATAAAGGCTCCTCAAAAAATTAAGAATAGAACTATCTGATCCTGCAATCCCACTTCTGGGTATTTATTCAAAAGAACTGAAATCAGGATATTGAAGTATTTGTGCTGTCATGTTCATTGCAATGTTATTCACAATGGCCAAATGGTGAAAGCAACCCAAGTGTCCACTGATGGATGGATGAATAAACAAAATGTGATATATATATACAGTGAATATTATTCAGCCTTAAAAAAATCCTGCCATAAGTAACAACATGGGTGAACCTTGAGGACATTATGCAAAGTGAAATAAACCAGTCACAGAAAGTCAAATTCTATATGATTCCAATTATATGAGGTATCTAAAACAGTCAAACTCATAGAACCAGAGAGTAGAATGGTGGTTGCCAGGGGCTGGGAGGACAGGGAAATTGGGGAGTTCCTATTTAATGGGTGTGAAGTTTCAGTTATGCAAGATGAATAAGTTCTAGAAAGCTGTTGTACAACCTCATGCCCATAGTTACCAACAGTGTATACTGTACACTTAAACATTTATTAAGAGGGTGAATCTTACGTTAAATGTTTTACCAAAATTAACAAAAAAGAAAAGTTCATTCTAATAAATTTTACCATTCTGATTTAAAATACAACATTGGAAATGGAGAATTTATGACAACATTTTGTACTCATGATATTTTTACTTAAGAAAGAGAATTATGTAGCATATTATAAATTCTACATTGATTCATAAATTTGATTATCATTGGTTCCAACTAGATATTATTTTCACACATTCCATCGATAAATTCATCTCTCAGCTTTCTTTCACATTCCATTGATAAATTCATCTCTCTAAGCTTTCTTTATTTCTCCAGCATTACTGAGTTGATGCAATAAGGGAAAAGAGTTCTTTCTAGACTTCCTTAGCTAAGAGCTCTTAGCATTGAGGGCAGAAGAAATAGTTAGCTGCATGTTGTTTTTTGAGGTCAATTCCACAGCCCTATCTAGCATTCTTTTCTGATAAAAGGTGAACTTCAATCTTTTATATGTGTCCATTTTCATGACTTATGGTAGCTTTCCCTAAACTCATATACATACACACACACACACACATCCCTCTATGACCTTGCCTTCTTCCCTTTGACCTACTCTTCAAAGGTAGCTCCTTCACCTTGATTGAAGCCCCTCCAAAATCTTTAGAACCTTATACCACAGTGCTTTTTAAAATTTCTTTTATCTTAAATCCCCTTCTCTCATTTTATTGACTCTTTTCTTTCCATCAAAAATCATCTCGTCTTTAACATCTGTAAAATCCTTGGCTCCTTCTCCTGCTCTAGGAACTCCCTGTCTTCTGAGGCACAATGCTTGAAATAGTCATCTTCATTTTCTCACTTTCTATTGTAATCAATCAATTACAGCCTGGTAGGTGTGCTCATCCCTCTAATAAAACTGTGTTGACACTGGTTACCAATGACCTCTATGTTGCCAAATTCAATCAACATTTTTGGTCCATATCACACTGCTTTAACACTGTTTATCACTCTCCTTTTTGCAATGTTTGATTTTCTTGATTACTGTTATTATTACATGTGTAGAAAAGACTTAACATAGCAGGCCTGATTGGTATCCTCTGGAAGGCCTTCTTACAAGGTTGGTCCTTGGCCTGGCATATGGGAACTTGGATTTTGGGAGGGTTAAGATGAGCTCTTAATATGGACCTGAACTATTTGCGCTAACAATGTGGATTATGCTGAATACCTGCTTTTCTTCAGGGAATCTGATATTTTGGCACATGCTATGCAGAGGGTACCTACAGGTACCAGCCCCCAGTAAAAACCTGGACACTGAGTCTCTAATGAGCTTCCCTGGTAGATAACATTTCATGTATGTTGTTGAGTGAATTAAGCCTGTCCTGTGTGACTCTGCTGGGAGATGACTCTTGGAAGCTTGTATCTGGTTTCCTCTGGACTTTGCCCATATACTCTTTGCTGATTTTGCTTTGTTTCCTTTTACTGTAGTAATTCATTGCTATAAGCACAAGTATATGCCGAGTTCTGTGAATCATCCTAGTGAATCACTGAACCTGAAGGTGGTCTTGGGGACCCCCAACTCACAGAAATCTCTAACCTCTCTGCTCTTGCTTCTTGAACAAGGAGCCTTGTGGGCTCCTATTAAATACTGATGTTCCCTGAGGTTCCAACCTCAGTCCACTACTCTATTCACTAAACCAATCCCCCTCTGTAATCTTATTACCTCATGATTTTAAATTATCATCTACCTGATAATAACACCCAGATCTATATTTCTAAGAGCAAACTCTTCTTCAGGCCTCAGATTCCTAAATCTAACTGACTGCTAAGCTCCTATACATGGGTACCTCAAACTCAGCAAGTCCAAAAATAAATAATCATTTCCTGTCTTCAATTATCTGTTCCTTTACCTCCCCCTGCCCCCAATTATCTACTTACTCTGTTCCTGATTTCCCTATTTTAGTTAATGGCAACAATAGCATGAAGTCTTCCAAACCAGACTGCTGGAAATCAATCCTACCACTCTAACAACCTACATAGTCTACCTTCCATCTTCAAGTCCTGCCCATTCTTCCTCCTAAATATTTATTAAATCATTTCCTCCCTCATCCCAACTACCATTGCTCTAGTTTCTACCCCTCACAACTCATCTAAACCATTGCAGTATCTCCTGACTGATCTCTGCACTTCTGATGTTGCCCCACCTTTTGTGTCTTTCTCACAGCTGCCAGAGTGAGTAACTTAAAAATTAATGCTGACCATGCCATTCTCTGATTATAACCCTTCAGTGGCTTCCTGCCACTAAAAAAGCAAAAGATCCTAGTTCATCATTGTTGCATATGAGACTCCAGTAACACTGAAGCACTTGCAATCCCCTTAAAGCACATTGTGGTTTCCTGCTTCTGTGCCCTTGGTCATGCATTTCTCTCTGCCTGGAACACTCTTCCCTAGACCTTTACCCAGGTTAATGTTCAGCTCAGCTTATAGCCTGAGCTGATGGGTCCAGAAACTCTTTGTGGGAGTTTATTACTCAGAAAGTCTAAATGCTCTTAAGTTGTATCTGCCTAGCACATTGTCAATACCCCTCTCAAAGCAGTTATCACATTATGTTTTCTTTTTGCAAATCCTTCTCAGTGAGACTGTAAATTGAGATGGGACTTTCAGTGCCTTATTCGTCTTTGATTAAAAATACCTAGAACTAGAGAAATAGTAATTGGTGTTTGAGGAATACATTATTTTCACTAAACCTGACAACACTTTTAAAGGCATGAAGCGCTGTACAAATGTAACACAGTATGTTAACAGAATGAAACAAAATACCTGAAATTAAAAATCTGCATATCTCTTTGGAGAATTCTCAAGAAATTATATTAAAAAAACTTCTTTTATTCAGTCTTAGTGTCTTTTATGTATAGACATTCTACAAGATATTTACATAACCATCACAAAAATCTTTATGGGATACAGATTGTAATATTTGTTTTTCAGATGAGGAAACTGAGGCAAGTAAATGTCAAAACTGAATTCAAATCCGAATCCATCTGACTCCAAATTCTGTTTTTAAAAATATGTTATGCAGTTCTAGTTGTCTTAAAATCAACCTAAATTTCATTACCTCATCTTCACAGATATCAGTCTTTTTTCCTTTTTTGTCTTCTTTATCTTCTTCATCCTCATCATCTTCATCCCCTTGGTCATCACTGTCATCGTCATCATCATCGTCATAATCACTGTCTCCTCCCTTCCTTCTTCGCTTGCGTCCTGGAGTGGGTGTGCCCAAGGGATGCTGCTCTTCTCCCAGATCAATGCCACCTGAAGTGTCTCTTTTGCCTGTTTTCTTAGCATGAATGATTCTGAGCCTTTAAATATTATGAAAAGTGATGACAAGGAAAAAAAGACTTCTCAATATACTTTTAAAAGAGCAAAACATGAGTTGTATGCAAAAATACCTTATGGCATTTCTTTTGTGTTAAGCGATATACCAATGTTAAAAAAAATTAGAATTAGGAAACTTAAGAAATGTTTCCATAAATTACAGGATGCATTCACTTTCAAGAGTTATTCTAGATATCTCTTTGGAATTAGACTCATTAAAAAAAATGATGAAAGTTGAAAAGAAGAATTCTAACAATGGCTGAGTAATAATTTCTGATCCCATACTAACTGACTGAATAAATTTCAATTCAAATTACTACAAAGAAACTAACCTCTTAACATAGGAGTAATTTCTGCCTGATATTTTCTGGCAGGAAGATAATTAAGTTTTAATGCTGAATAAGTTTAGCTAGATTCCGTAAAAGCAAATTTTAATTAGAAAGCAATTAAGAAAACAAGTTACAGTTCCAAACATTCTGTTTGTGATAAAAGCAACTTAATAGCAACCACAATCTTAGAAAATGTAATTGCTTGACTTGTTTAAAAGAAAAAGAGAAAATGACTTTCTTCTAAGTATGAAGAATATAAGCTCAATGAATCTCATTATATCTTTTGTCCATTGCAAATTCTGCCCCTGAGTTTTATTAATTTTATATCCCATCTAAATTGAGCATTATCTTTTCTTTAGACAATAAAAGTTTAAATTCTATCTTTGCAATTCATATGCTTTACTGGGAATTTGTAGAAAAAGAAAACAGTACATTAACTTTAATAAAACAGGACTTACTTGCGGAGTTTACCTTCTACCACCCATTTATCTCTCCTCAAGTTTGACATATAATCAATGTTCTTGTCGATTTCACTGCCAATGCAAGAATTTATTAAAAAGTGTAAATTAATCAATTTATGCAATGCATTAATTTGATATGCAATA
Organism: Homo sapiens; assembly: GCF_000001405.40. Classification (NCBI taxonomy): domain Eukaryota; kingdom Metazoa; phylum Chordata; class Mammalia; order Primates; family Hominidae; genus Homo; species Homo sapiens. The sequence goes on from NC_000002.12 coordinate 159,383,753, forward strand.
AACTTGATACGTAAATTAATGCATTTTTGAATAAGTAAAAATGATACAACTGACCTCATGCATATACACGTTCATATATGTATGTGTTTATATATGTATACACAGATGTTGAAAAGTGATAACTTCTTCAATGGATACAACATTAGTATTAGAAAATTCACTGTGGTTTCTATCTTAAACCAAGAAAGAAACTATGCATCAATTGCCTTAGAAAGACAATATTCCAAGTTTTGTTGCAGGTATTTTAAGATGTGATAATTTCCAAAATCAAAGCAGGATACCAGAACACACATGGATATTTACATAAGTGCACATACATACATATGCATATACACTAAGTGTATATATATAAACAACCAAACAGTAACTAAGAATATTATGATATTCTTTACCATTCTGTTTTACTTTACCAGTAAAGTCAAATAGGGATGCTTTTTCCCTTCTAAGGCAAAAACCATAGTGTACCATTTACATTGAATTTGGGTGTATGTGTTTTGAATAAGTGCCACTTAGCATTACTATTTGTTATCATGCTCATGCTTAAATGAAATTATTCTTTCATAAAATTGTAAGACGTGAATATTATTATATTTTTTAGGATGACTGTCAGTGAATAGCAGAAACAAACAAAAAATTACATTAATACAATATCATAGCTAAGATAGGTACAGAAAACTTAAAATTTCCACACTGGTAGAAATGCATGACCCCGAATATTTGGATTGATCCTTTTTCTAGAAAGGTAAAGGACTAAAAGTTGTTAAAAATCTGTAAAATAATGAATAACAAGGACAAGATGAACATGAATTTGTTCAGAAATCCTGAATACTAGAGTACATGTTGGTATTAGTATTTTACTAGTAACAAGTACTAGAGTGAGAACTCTGACTTTTAAATAGGATCAAATGCTTTAAAAAAGTATAAATTAATACACTGATAAATAAATACTCTATGGTTCTATTAGCATACAACAAAATAAAAAGTGGCTACGTAATTCTGTGAATGGCTACTAAGCAAAATCAGGTAGTCATCTGTCCTTAAAAGACGTGAAGGAAAAAAAAATTCTGTATTCTTGTGGTGGTACCACATTCTGGTACCATAGCAACTAAAAATATAAAAAAAGTTATGTATAAAGAATTAACAGAATTATTAAACAAAACAGGTGACAAAGACCACGTATTACAGACACACAGTATAATCCAAATTTTTTTTCAATACACTACAAAGAAATACATGAAAATATTATTAGTGGCCATCTCTAAATACTGAGATAAGTACAATTTTAATTTTCTTCTTTGTGCTAGTCTGTAACTTTCCAATTTTCTATAATCAATTTGTATTACTTTTTGATTAGAAAAATTCAAAATGGAAAAATCACGGAAAAGCCTGGGCATATGCTCACCTGACCACACTCTTGCTGCATGCCAGTTCATTGATCAGGAAAGCCAGGACTGAAGCTTTCTGTGCTGGAGTGTGAGCCTGAAAAGCTTTGGTCTTCAGACTTTCAGTAAGCTCAGTTTGTCCACAGTGGGCTTCCATAAATATCTGTAAAATCTCGGAAACATTGTCTCGATTCACACCAACATTCAGCAAATGTTCTCCAAGAGCTGTTTTAGCCTATAAAAGTTTGGCATTTTTATCAGTATTACTCACAACCATTTATACCATAAAAACAATAAGATTAAAAATCCTCATATTATTTGATTTAGATACTACTGACAAGAGCTTTATTCACTTTTTTTTTAATGAAAGAGACACAAAAATAGTCAATAGAAGACAGACAAATATTCAAGTATTTGTTTCTTTCTTTCCCCGCTTCAAATCCTTGGTTCCAAGTCAGGCAGGGAGAAGAGTATGCAAATTCATGGGTAGCAGAAGTTTTAAATTACCTATCAAGCCTTCCATGACTATAAAAGCGACACCAACCTTTCCCCAAGTTTCATCTGGATATTTTATCAGGAATGACAGAGTGGGGAGGTTAAAAAACAGTATTGTTTTCTACCCTTAAAGTGTTATAGGTTTTACTGGCTGGGGATAATAAATAGGGAAACACTGAGGGAGATAGAAGAAAAACAGGTGCATCTGGGAGGTTCTCTCTCCACAATATTATCTAGAGCAAAGCTCCCTGGAATGTATACTGTATTTGGAATTAAGATAAACATGAACTTATTGAGGATCCACTGAGCAGCACAGGGTCTTAACGTGCTGGTCTGTAGGTGCCTTGATTAGCTTCAGTTATTCACAGTGATTGAGAGAGAACAAGGTATAATATCAGAAGGCACATACAAGTTCTAGTTGCCTTATGAATTATGAATTCTGTTGTTGATGAATATCGCTTAAGGATTTCCTTAAATCACCTTGGTCTTTGCCTACAGCTAGAGGAAAAAAGAATAACTTGAGAATGGTCTACATTCCTTAAGCTTTATAACCAGGTTTTCTTTGTATGAAGTGTAACCTGACACAAATCTACAGTTAACTTTGTGAGACATTATGTGGAAAAATTAGATCAATCTATATAATCTTCTGCTAATATGCTAAAGCTATCTACCAATGCACTGACAGTACAAATTTAAAACATTTTATATTTTGTTTTTTTTTACCTTGTATCCTGTTATTAGACCTGGATCACATACAGCAGCTGAGAGGAGCCTCACAAGCAAGTCTTGTACTTCACCCATGCTGTCCCCTATATTTAGCAATCCCTCTTGAAGAACACTCAGGTTTGGAACATCAATATTCACATCAAAGCCCAAAACTTTACCAAAGTTTCGTAAGAACTGCACCACCATGAGACAGTCTGAAAATGTACTTCCAGAGAGAACAAGTCCTGGAATACGAGGCAACTCTGGCAAAGGCTGAAAATAAAATGAAATACAAATAAAATAAAAACAGCTTAATTTTTTAAAAGCCATGATTTCGTATCTTCTAAAGTAAAATAAGCTGCTACCTTTTTTCCCCTCTTGTATTGTACCAGTAGCTTCCTTTGGGATGCTAAATTCTCTGGGGGCATTTCTGTAACCCCCATGGAACTAAGCATAGTGTCTTGAAGTATCTTCATACAAGTAAGCAACCATTAATAAATTTTGGTTGAACTCAATTATGAACTTAGATCTTTGCAAAAGAGACATTAATTTTAATCAACTTGCATATTCAATCAACTGACATATCCATATTAACAAAACATGGATTATATAACTGGAGCAAAAATTAAATAAAATATAAACATTTCAAAAGTACTTTACCATGGACATACTTATAGGGGCATGTGCACCAATTTCTTCTAATGATGATGACATTTAAAAATCACACTTTTTTTGTAGCTTAGAAACAAACAGCATGCATCTGTGGGCTCTATGGTTGGAGAAAGTGGTACCATCTATGGCTAATGAATGCAGATAAATAACTAGGTCCACATAACTAGAATCCATGACCCTGTACATAAACCCAGTTATAATGCAACTAAAGGTCTTTAGGTTTCCCTGTATTTAGGCAAGTATTAGCTTCAGTATTAAAATTAGCTATCTCTGTTGTTATTTCTCAAATATGCTCACATATTAACATTTTAATGACTTAATTGCAGTACCAGTTGTCATCAACATTTTAAAATTTCAATAAATAGGTAATCTGAATTAAAAACATTTTGCCTGTTAATGAGAGCCTAAAAAAGTACTTTAAATTTTAATTGGAAAAAAAGTGACATAAATATTTCTATTTATCTGAATTGGTCCTTGTTCAAAAATATTTCTCCACTCTGCATTTATTGAGGTAACCAATTGAAGACTTTTTCTGTTAATACTGTGTGGAAACACAAAACTATAGATAATAGCTCATCTCATACAAATATTTTATATTCTTCTTGAAAGCCAGTTAATTCTCATTCTCCCTTTTTCTTGAACCACAGGAAACATATACATTTCTATGTAATTCTAAAAATTTATGTAGCAAAGCTGAGCTATTAAAAATATGGCTTAAAATGGACTTACATATTTGATATAGTACATATGAATTTAAATGAAAATAAAAGATACAAGAAAATGAAGCTCACTTAGGATTTAAAAAGCTTGATCACTATGAGCTTATTAAATGTGTTAACTAATTTATATACCCATTCTCTGCTTAGGAAAATTTAAATATCCAAATGACTACAACTAGTAAGTATACTCTCATTTTTATTTAGAAGCATTTATGCTAAGTAAATAAATAGAATATTAATATAGTTCAATCCATTCTAGAGTACTAAAAGTTTTCTTTAAGCACTTTAGAAAAGAGCTTACATAATTGAGTTAATGGGTGCAGCACACCAGCAGGGCACATGTATACATATGTAACTAACCTGCACATTGTGCACATGTACCCTAAAACTTAAAGTATAATAATAATAAAATAAAATAAAAAAAGAGCTTACATAAATCAAGAGATAATCATTATTTGCAAATCATTTGAATATTGCATATAAGTAAATACATATCCTACTAATTAAGTATAATAATATAGAGATGAAATGCATTATTGATATTTTTCTAGAAGTACCATCTTCTTAACTATAGTCAAAACATCATTGATTTTTACTCAAAAGTATATGAAATTATGCTGGTTGCCAAGATTACAGCAATGTTTCTAAATTTATACTTTTATGTATTTCAGCAACATTACATGTCTGTGAAGCACTATGGAAGACAAAACACATATGAGGTGCTTTGGTTGGACACAGTTTCTTGGCTTTCAGGATGATAAACAGTATAGGCTCTGGAGTTTAACAAACTGGAGTTTGAATCCAAATCGCCATTTATTAGTTGTGTAATCTTGGGCAAGTTCCTTAACCTCTTTGTGTCTCAGTTTTCTCATGTATAAATGGGAAGAAATACTAACTCCACAAGATTGTATTGAGGATTAAATGAGAAAATTCAAATAAGTGCTTAGCACAGTCCTAGCATGTAGTAAACATGTTCAATAAAGGTTTGCCACCTAAAGCACTGAAGGAGGTCACAGATTATAAATCCTCATTTATTTAAATATCCATAGGGATGTGGGGAGGAGTTGAGATTTTTCTGTGCCTGGAATCCCAGAACTTTGGGAGGCTGAGGTGGCTGTATCACTTGAGCCCAGGAGTTCAAGACCAGCCAGGACAACATAAGAGTCTGCCGCTACAAAAAATTAAAATAACAAAAACCCAAAAAACTAGCCAGGCATGGTGGCAAGCGCCTGTGGTCCCAGCAACTCAGAAGACTGAGGTGAGAGGACCACTTGAGCCTGGGAACGAGAAGTTGAGGCTTCAGTGAGCTATAATCCTGCCACTGCCCTCTCTCCAGCCTAAATGACAGAGTAAGACCCTGTCTGAAAACAACCAACCAACCAACCAACCAACCAACCAACCAAACAAACAAACAAAAAAACCGCCATTACCAGCACAAGAGCTCCAGAGAGGTTTACTTCTAGCTATCTAGGAAAGGCAAATTGACCTAGAGTTGGAAATTCACTGCTATAGTTAAAAATGAAAGGCTTTCACAATAGCAGCTCTGGCAAAGAAATCAGGTAAGAAAACTGGAAAAATTAAACTTATGAATGAAATGGTGTACATGACGTATAAATTACCTTTTGGTCTGCTAAGCACATGTCTTCATTAGGCTTCTTTAGTTCCTTTGCCATTTCTAATTCTAATCTTCGCTGCTCTAGTTTACGCTCTTTATTTAATCTTTTCTCATCACGTTTTTCTTGTTTCAACCGCTCTTTTTCCTTAAAAAGAAAACCATGTACACATATTCTTCTTAATCATTATATATGTTGGAATAAACTTAGAATTATGTAGCAACATTGAATTATTTTGCTTTTCATTAATCTTACTCTCTAATTTTCAAAATAATCTTATGACTGTATATATTTAATATCAATATTAGATTTGACCTAGACTATTTTGTTATTCAAAATTTGTTCAATCATTTGCCAAGTTATAAGAATAAAATACTTATTAATACAAGCAGGTACATAAAATGAACATGGGCAACTACATATCTTATTAAATAAAGTTATTAGCACAAATTTTAGTGTGGCTCCAGCAAGCAAATGATTTACAGCAGGAAAGTGGAAGTAACATGTTTGAATTTGCACAAGTAGTTCTTTCAAAGTGAATTAGCTAGTCTTAAGACAGCACCTGTGAGGAAAGAAAAATATTATTCACCACCATAAACAACACTTAAGAGAATGTAAAATCAGTTGTGAAGGCAATGTCAAAAGCATTAAGAATGTTTTGGTAATGGCAACAATATGGAAATAACTGACTTGTCTCTCTGTTGTAGGGAATGACTTTGTTGGAGCAAGTGATTTTCTATAATACCATTATCGTTACTTTTTCATCATATCTCAAATATAGCTCTCATTTATTTAGGGGAGAAATAACAGTAGAATCATCAGTCAGTTCTAACCTACTACCGCACACGTGCCACACATTGCTAATTGGTTTACTTTTGTAAGGCTGATTATATCTCTTCCTTGATTAAAAGTCTTTTGATTTTCTATCAAAATAAGGTCCAAGTCCTTACTTTTGAATTCCAGACTCTTCTTTTCTAATCTTACCTCTCATATTTTTTTCTGTGTAGGTTTAGAATTTTCTATTCCTGATGAACATTTATTTCCTCAGCTGCTTATACTGGTTCACTCCAATCAAGATCTTCATTTTTCCCATCTTGCATATTTAAATCCTAATTAAACACTACCAATTTCTATTATGTTTCATAGCTCTTAACTCTGATTTTAACACAGCAGTCATTGCTTTCTGTACTATATTACTATTTTTGCCCATATTCTAATCATCTCCATTTCGATTATCACTTGTAAGCAAGCACCCTGACTGCTGCTGGAGGGAAGGCCAAGAGGGAGAAAGAGAGGAGTGGAGAAGAACATGGGATCAGAGAGTAGAGAAAGTACAGTGTGTTTGAAAAATTGCTAGCAGTTTCAAGACTGGAGTGTAGGCTGCAAGTTGAATAGTTGCTGAATATTATGATAGCCAGAGGCCAGATCCTAAGGGCCTTTTTATATGACATGCACAAGTTACTGTTCATTTTTATACTGCCTCTGAATTTCTGGGTTACTGATTCATGCAGACATTCTGGGAGGACAAACTATAAGGAAGCTTATAAGATTGTTGACACCAGCAAAGTTCTATAATTAATTTTACCAATTATAAACCAAAAAGCAGTTTCTGAGGGTTTGATTTTCAAATCAAATTATTAGTTAATAGCCTGAAGTACTATTATTACTAGCCCTTACAAAAGGGCAGCAGAGTCACCGGTAGAATAACTTTTTTCCCCTAGAACTGAAATTTCGATTCTTAAACCCATGAACTGTTGCTCTAAGAACTTTCCAAAGGAGGGAAGATTTAAGTTTTTGGTTCCTCACCAGAGTAATGAATTAGCATCACTAATAGAAAAAAGCATATTAAATATCTCTTACTGATTTGAAAGTAGATACTGTAAAATTTTTTGCTGCACTTCTATGCCACGTGATGTTTGTCACTAAAGAATTGCATGTACTACAGTGTCTATGCCATATAGCCCAGATGTGTAGCAGTCTATATACCATCTAAGGTTTGGGCATGTCACTCTATGATGTCTGCACAATGATGAAACTGATTAATGACACACTTCTCAGAATGTATTGTCATCGTTAAGTGACACATGGCTTTACACAGAGCTAATCCAGATCTATTAATGATGTCCATAACAGCAATTATAAACATCATAATTGAGACTACTAGTTACTAAAGTTGTTAAAAATGGTTGCTATTACTTCTTAAAAAGAGAGAAAATCCATGTGACACTGATGCTCTTTTCACTGTGCCAACTTCCCACTGGTAGCAATCCTGGAGGTACATACATACTCAATAGACACACGGACAAGCTAGATAGAGTGCACTGAATGCCATAAGATAAATATGGATTATATTCTTGGAGTATCAATTTTAGCTGGTGACATGCAATACTTTTTTCCACTTGAAAAAGTAAAATATGGAATAGAATGCAAAAGTCATATCGATATTTATGATAAAATGGAGATTTCCAAAAAATTAGAGAAATCGGTGTGACCTTTATCAGTTAAAGACAAGCATTTATTACTGTCTACTATTAGGCATACTTTAATGGAAATGTGGAGTCTCTCAATTCAGCATGAATTGTATAGAACTAATACAAATTCTGTGGTTATGGTACAAGTTAACTCTGAAAGAGCCAGAGCTTCCAAGGTCCCCTCAACCACCAACTAATATTTATAATGGCATATAAAGCCAGTCACAATCTAGCCCCACACAAGCGCTTGTCTCACATCTCACAATTCACAGTGGATTTCTCATGTTCCAGCCTCACTGTATGACACACCTGTGTGGAGAAGACAGCATAGCCCCTTTGAAGTTACTGCTTGGATGATTAATGACGATGAAGCAACAACAAAGCCAAGACGGGCATGTACACTAGGTTAAAATGGCTAATACCCTCTTTGTACCCCCACCCCCAGGTCTTGTTTAGTCACAATACTGTACCTTTGTATATGCCATACCTACTGTCTAGAATGCCTAGTTCCTCCTCCTTCACAAGAAGTCTGTATAAAGCCTGTTTTTTTTTTATCGTTCCCACAACTACTTCAGACATGGTAGTACTTCTTGTTTTTGAGCTTCCATATAACTTATTATAGCATTTGTTGCACTGTGTAGCAATTATTTGTTTAAAGTTGATCTCTCTCACTCAAGTATAAGCCTCTTCTAGAGGGCAGAGGAACTAACTTATTCACCTGTTTCTTCATGGACCTATTCAATTTCCCCCCTGGACACCTGGAGAAAGTTTTTAATGAGTTTATCTTTCTCTTTGACTCTTGAGCCTGTATCAGTCCAACTTTCCTCTCCCACTGGTCTCCATAGTCTAAGTATTGTTCTTACTTCTGACTACAGTAGTGATATGACTGTAATAGATACATGCGGTATGCCATGGCATATAAAAATTATTTGAGCATTTATAAATTTGCTGAATGATTAATTCTTCAAATGACACAAACTAAAATTAAGGTAACATTTTGAACTGGTTATTAAACGAATTCAATAGGCAATTTCTTCTTCACTTTTAATATTTTACTCTGTGGGCAAACATAATTGCTATCTTCCATTTTCAGTCAAGAGTATTTATAAACCTGTAATCCAAAAGTGGAATTAAATACATTTATTAAGAATATTTAATTACATTTAGAAATTTAAAAATTATCTAAAGGCTTTTTTGAAAAGTTAACATTTGACTGATGACTGAACAACAAATAGGAACCATGTGAATATTTGGTGGAAAAACAGCAATAGTACAGACCGTTCATTCAGGAATAATAACAAGACAAAAATGATCAGAATATAGTGCATAAGGGACAAATTGTATGAAGTAAAACTGGAGTGAGAGGCAGAGGTCAGTGGGAAAATGCCATGGTGAGGAGTCTGAATTTTATCGTAATTGCAATGAGAGGCCCCTGGATAGTGTCAGGATATGATCTGGTTTACTTTTTGAAAAGATCACTTTGGCTGCTCTGTAGAGAATGCATAGGGAGTGCTGAGGAAAGCAATAATGAGAACAGAGAAACCAGGCTCGCTCTTTCAGCTATTAGGATTTAAGTCATTACTTTATGTACATATGCACTTATTGGCTTTATTTTGGTTTAATATTTTAACACAGTTGCCCTGCCATTTCTTTTCAAAGTATTTATGCTTAATATGTCCAGCCCTATTAATAACTTGTATTGCTCCAATATAGGTGGGTTAATTTTCCTTCAGCTCTTCTCCCTTTATCTGCTACCTGTTTTTAGACTTAAAAGTAATTCAGATTTGCCCATGAGTATTCTGTATTCTACTTCTGTTTCTTTTTGCTTAGGACAAAGGTAGGTAGGAGAGGGAGAGCTATACCAGGTTTCTGGTATCTCTCAGTTTTATTGGAAGAACTGTAGCGGACTCACTCTATTTAGTCAAGAGTATATCCTTTTCCTCTTGAGAGGTGCTCTTGGGCTTTGATGGATTCTTAGAATATCTCATTTTCATCAGCTGTATTTATCCTGTGGCTACCACCCTCCACTCAACCCAGATCTCCTTCACCTCTCTGCAGCAGCTTCCCCCACTCTCCCCAGGCCCTAGTGGGCAAATATGAAAAACCAGCGGGAGGGTTCATGTCTCTGAGGCCTTTGGGGTGCCTCTTTCACCTGGGCATTCCCCCTCTCAGATGATCTCATTCTTACTATTTTACTGGATCTTCTCTTCTAATGAAGCCTAGTATGCCTAAAGATAACGTTCTGGGTTATTTTAGTTAGCTTTCCTCCCTGCCAAGAAAAACCAGAATGGCAAGCCCTGGTTCTTTTTATTCCTTCTGATTAAAAAAAAAAACAAAACAAAACCCATGATTGGTAGGGAAGAACTTGTCTCCTGAGGGATTTTCTAGGTCTTTTCCCTGAGCTACTAATTGCTCCCTCCATTTCCATCTCTCCAGATTGAGAGAATTAGGTTCAGTGTTCAGGCTTTTAATTAGTCCCCTTCCTTACTCTTCCCTTCACTGTACTGTTTCCATAAGCGAATAGAGAGCAGCCATGCCAATTCCTGGAATACGTTACCTCTCTCTTTCCCTGACTGTCATTTTTCAGAGATTATGGTTACAATTCCACGCACAGATGTATAGATTCAATTATTATGTTAGGTATAGAGGGTGTCAATAGGCCTGGGTAATCAAAAGGTTAGGGAAAAAAAGACAGCAGGAAAAGTGTTGGAGTAAAACTTCCATAACCTTTAGGAAACGTCACAGAAAGTGATTGTTGTAATATATGTTACATGCTATGTTAAGTCTATGCTAAGAGGTACTCTATGTCAGTAGTTCGCAACCTGGGATGCATCTTGCTAGGCCCATTCTACACATACGTAGTATCAATGGTTAAGTACTATGTGGTGCCAGGCACTGTTCCAAGAACTTTACATACACAGAGACACATATCCATTTACTCATCTCTTCAGCCCTACAAAACAGAATTCAGTATTATCTTCATTTTATAGATGAAATGAATCACAGAGAAGTTAAATAACATGCCCAAGGTCATATAGCTGGAAAGTAATGAAACCAGAATTCAAATTCAGATAATCTGGCTACTTTGCACAGGTTTCAAAACAATACACCTATTTTCTCTACACATCAAAAACCTATATTGCTAATTTAAGCTAGAGCTGAAACCAAAATACTGAAATACAGCCTCCCAGCTTCTAGATCAAACAGTGTCATTTTCATTAATTCTCACTTATTAAATGCTTATCTCACTCAAAAATCCCATACCTAGGAGGTAGGTATCATCTCAATTTTAAAAAAATGGCTTGAAAATGTCAAGCAAATTGGTGGCAGAACCAGCAGGGGAACCTGTGTCTTTCAACCTCCAAAGCCCCAGTTATAATGACTCTATTCAACTGTTTCAATACAGAATGTTATTCCTTTGTAACATATATCTATTTCAACCTTTAAGTGATTTCTATTAACCTCCAAATAAGCTCATTCTGATTGTACTGCAATAATTTTCTTATTCTGAATTATTTGTTAAAAGTTATTTTAAGAAAAGTACTTAGCCTAATTTTACATAGAGAATGCTAAAGAATAATTCTTAGGGCAGAAATCCATGGTCGGAATGATTTGTGTTTGAATTAGGACATACAGGATTTGTCTAGGCATGCTGTAATACTAGTTTTGTGAAACTCTGGTGTGATAAATAGCTACTTTTATCTAAACCAATGTTATTTACTACACTAAAAAAAGACAATTAAAATCTTAGCCAGGAAAACTAACACATACATTGGAACTCTTCCTACATTCTTTTATGTTCTAACACTCAGTTGCTATCTCTAAACTTTTGGTTTGCATATGAAAACCAGTAAATCACAACAAACCTATATTCTGAAAAATTTATATTTAGAAGAGCCAATGCTTTAGGAAAAAGCATTACTTTATAAGGTAATATTTTTCTAGAAACATACACTTACTTCTGCTTTTTTACGAGCTTCCATAGCTTTCATAAGCATCATGTGTTGTCGCCTTCGCTCTCGTTCCTATTAGGCCAGATAAAATGTGGAAAATAACTCAGCCACAATTAACAGTTTGATTTTCCAATGAAAAAACAAAAACAAAAACAAAACAAAAACTCAGTATAGCATGTTTAGCATTTATAGACAAGTCACAGTAAATACTAAATATAAGACAAGAATGGCCAGTCTGTGCATGTTTTAGTTCAGGTTTAGAAAGCAAATACAACAATCAAAAGCAAAAAGGTAAAGCAATGAACATGGAGACAGTGTAAACAGAAGCATACAAGATTTACTTATGGTCAGTTGTGATGCTCCTTCAAAAGCTGGCAGAACAAAAAGCATAATGGTTGGCTGGAACAGGTCAGTTACCTTACATCTGCTATTAGAAAAACCACAAATACTATGGCCAATTAAACTAACGGTTGTGTTGTTCTTAAAATTTTAGATCAGGAAGAAATTGATTTATAGTCACTTTAACTTCATGATTTTAGAGTAGGTTATTTTCAGTACAAAATCATTTTGCAAATCCAATAAGCCACCAATAAATTAGAGTTTTTTTAAGGCTTTTATACCAATTTAGTTAAACTAGTCTTGTTTCACATACACCACCAATGAAATGGGATATTCCTATTTACTGATGTCTGCCACCTGATACTCTATTTAAAGCCACAAAAGCTGCACCATGGGCTCACAGGTGGAATCTTAAAGGCACAGTATGAAAATAAGGTAAGCACTAGTTTAATTTGACATTCTCACTTTACTTTTAAAATAAAAAAATCACTTATTTATAATATCTCATCGATTTTTTTGTTTAAGCATATTTGGTTTCTCCAAAGGGATATTTCTAAAATTATTTCTAAAATTTGTCTATGAAACCAGAATATATTTCATATTCTCTCATCAAACAAACTCAAAATTCCCACTGTATTCAATGGCAGTTTTGCATCTAGAATGATGGGAGAATACGGGTCATAATTATATCTAATTGTATAGTGATCCAACTTTCTTTGTGACATCAGTAATGTAAATTTTTAGAGAGCAGCCTTATTTAAGGCTTGTACAATTCAATGTAAAATCTTGGAGATGCATCATACTTCTTTATAGACAGACAAGCAGATGTATGCAATGCACTGTGCTGTAAAGCCATGCAGCAGTATGTAATATGACAGCAGCCAGTGCTACACTTTATGCATTGCTATGACAACCATATCACAACCAAATCACAATGCGGTGTTAGATGTACAAAAATAAACATACCCATACCATATCTAGTCTATGCCTCTCCAACTCCTGGTAGAAAGAGTTGGCACAACATTATGAAACAGAAATCACAGAGTCATAAAACCAATTTTTTAACCCCCCAAAAAGACACCAATACCAAAGCAAGGCAATAAACTGTAGGTTGAAGGAAAAACTTAAGCAGAAATTATATCAGAAATTTTAAAGAAAATATTTTGAAGATTTTCCCCCAAATAGGTTTAAGCAATATTATAAAATGTACATTCAACAATTGTATAACTATACATATACAGACCTGATGTTTCAGAAGAACAGCTTGTTGTCTTCTCATTTCTTTTTCCTTAAAAATAAGAAACTTTTAATACGTGATTTTTAGAGAAGATTTAGAACATGCTAAAAGTATTAAAAGTTCCTTTTCTGAGATTCTATAGTTTTTCATTAGGTTGAACCATATGAAATGGCCAATATTCAATTATTTTTTATTTATAAAATGTCAATTCGATTTTGTATGCTTCTACCTAACAAATACTTACATAGAGATCATATAATATGGTAAATATGGTAGCAAGGATCTTTCTTCAGTAGTCATTTTAACTTAAAATTTAACGAATGACTGACCTAACTGCACACTTCAATGGCACATTCATTGAACCAACTAGCTAGATGGTCAGAGCCTATCAGATATAACCCACACATGTATTTTTAAATCAGTTTAATACATTATGGTGCAACCCTCAAATCTAGCTGATTAGAACTCTCTCCATTCTGAATATAAACTCTCAAATATACTCTATAATTAACATCATTTTTTTTTCATTTCTATACACTACGTATGAATTAAAGTGACAAAAACTAGGCAATCAGTGTGAAATTTTCATGTCCACCTATAATTCAGGGCACCATTCCAAGGGGATGGGGCTTAAGGCAAACCATTCTAGGAATGTCACTGATCTCAGTATTTCTATGAAGTTACAATATGGATGAAATTAATATTAACGGCAGACATGAAAAGGTAGAAATTTAAAAAATAAAGTAAGACAGTCTATGTAGAAAAAATAAACAGTTCCCTGGCTTTACAAAGTATAACTGTGGTGGCTGTTTCCAGTACCAGTAGGCTCACCCAGCTACCCCCTTTCAGTATTCAGTTACTGGTGGACGGCAGGGTGGGGGAGGGGAGGAAGGGGACAACTCTCCTATACCCCATGCCAGGAAATCAGAACAAAACACCCCCAAATACATGAAGTTAAAATAATTAAAAGCAGCTAATTTTATTATTGGTAAATAACAGTTGATGAAGTTTGGCTTTTGTTTCTGTAGGCTTTTCATTTTTAATAGATAAAACAGTTGCTGAATATTAACAAAGAAAAAGTTATAAAGGGGAGAATCAGATTGAGACTCAAATATAAACATACCTATACCATATCTAGTTTATGCCTAAACATAAACATAAACATAAACATAAATAACACACAAAACAGTTTTGGGGGGGGTCATTCTTATCTAGCAAAACTACATACAGGTATTAAGCAACAATTTGCATTTCTGATTTGATGTCTCCTAAACAGCTCAAAGCATTACAAAAAACCCTGCATAATAAAATAAAAATACACATACAATATACATACAAATAAAAACATACACTATACACATGTAGTATCTGCTAAACATATTTTCAGATAGTCATTTTGAAGAAAGCTATTTTTTCATATAACTGATGCCAGTATAACATATAGTTTTTATTTTTCAAAAATAAAAACTCTGATTCTCATCTAAACTAACCTTTATTCGTTTCTCGGCCTCCAATAATTTGGCATTTGCCGCTTCTTCCTTCTTTTTCTTTTTAGCCTGTGCATGCAAAACAGGTCTCAAAGTCATGCAACAGCACCACTACAACTTGCAAATAATGTCAGACTTGAAATGAAGCTACATGTCTCACAAGGTACGAAACAGTATGTAACACATATGTAGACAATTACAGATTTCCCCCCAGTTAACATTATGTTTAACGTAATAATTTTGTTTCTAATTTATAGAATAGCATTAGAATACACAAAAATTTCTTAGAGTCATAAGAATATGACAGCTTTTCTTCTTCAAGCTTTGTTAAGTCTGAAATAATTGAGTGTTTATGTTCTTTTACCTTAAAATTTAATCACAGAAAAGTGATTTTATGTCACATTGTTTTTCTGATTTTAAAAGTAAAACATAATCACTGTAAAACATTTAGAAAACAGAATAGATTTTAATTAATAAATAAAAATTATTTCAAGAATTAGTAATATTTGAGAATGAACCTGTTTATTTAAAATTTATTTTTAATACTTGAAAATTTGAGATAAAGAAATTCATTATTGGTTTATGTCTATTAAGTGAAGCATATTAAGTCTGATTTTCCCCATCTCTGTATAGTGTGGTTAAGTTCAAGTGTTTTTTTTTTAATAGAATGAAAACTTGTAATCTCATCTTTCATGAGGCACAATCTATTGAGACCATGCTATTTATCAAACATAAGCTTCATAATCTTAAAATCATTAACTGTGTAGAAGTTTCATAACTAGTAGTTACTGTCAGTTTACTTTAAAATAAAAACATTTTCAATTTCCGGTTTTTAAAATTAATTTGAAATGGGTAAGAAAAAATGTGTGTGTTTCTAGAAGGAATAAAACTGTAACAGAGAAAACCTCAGCTATCCGGAGCCCTCAGGGAATAAACTGTTCTATAAAGCAGCAGTTTCCGGAATGGTGGAGAAGTTGTAATAAATTTAAACATGAAAAGTTTATTTTCACTCTTTTAGATGGAAATAATTTTGAGACATGCCTGCTTAGACACAGTACACTAAACGTAATTTGGCGTTTTCTTGATGACTCAGGGCAACTATTTTCAACATCAGTTATACTGCACAGCTCCAAAGAGTAATGCCTTTGGGCTATTAAGGTTTTGAAAATTGCTTGCTATTCAAATAAAAGATTACAGGCTGTTGCTAGGCTTTTCAGTTCCTATATATGCTAGCTGAAGTTTTCCTGTATTTTTTCTTTGCTGTCTTTTGCCTATTACTTTTGCTGTTGCCAACAGATGTCCTCTATCTCTATTCTAATTAGCCTTGCAGGGAAGAGGGATATGCTAGAAACCAGAAAAACAATCTGATAAAACTTTGCACATTTAAAATTTACTTTTACTTTTGAAATCTTACTTCTGTAAACATTTGTTTCTAAACTAAAAGTAAATATCAGACTATAAGCCCTAATGATTTTTCTTTTGTTGTTTACTTTTATAAAAGTAAAACATTTTAGCGCATGAACTTTATGACAACTCCACTGACTGCTCAGAAGTTTTCCTGTTTCTTTTGCCTCATTTTGTATATCTTTACTGTTGGGATTAGATTAGCTTGCTAAATAAGGCTCAGATAAAGTTTTATTCTATGCAGAATGTTTAAAGAGAATATCTGACAAACAATTTGTGTGAGAAAACATGCACGCAAAATATTTATTTTTGCAGACTTAAAAATATATGGCTAAATTACTTTAATTATATTAAATTTAAGACTTCTACCTCTAGAATTTGCTGAGCTCGAAGTTCTTTTTCCATTCTGATTTGCTGTATTCTCTTAATTTTTTCCTGTAGGAAAAGTTATGATAACTTGAGATAATAAAATAAACTATCTGAGTAAAGAGTATTTGAGTGGAATCAAATAATTAAAAATATAAGTACAGGTCAGGCGCAGTGGCTCACACCTGTAATCCCAGCACTTTGGGAGGCCAAGGTGGGCGGATCACAAGGTCAGGAGATCGAGACCATCCTGGCTAACACAGTGAAACCTCGTCTCTACTAAAAATATTTAAAAAAAATTAGCAGGGCTTGGTGGCGGGCACCTGTAGTCCCAACTACTCGGGAGGCTGAGGCAGGAGAATGGCGTGAACCCAGGAGGTGGAGCTTGCAGTCAGCCAAGATGTGCCACTGCACTCCAGCCTGGGCGACAGAGCGAGACTCCGTCTCAAAATAAAAAAAAAAAAGTACAAAATTACCAAAGGATGGACATAAAAATTTCATTATTTAGCGTAAAACCATATATATTTTCATGTCTGAAATTAATATGATTTGATAAGGTTTCTCACAGTAATTTGTAAAATGCAAATGCTAAATAAACAGAAACTCAGTGAACCAAGCTGATTAAACTATATAGCCTGAAGATCTTTATAGATATTTGCAGTTACAAATAATACTTAACTTGAAATAATATAGGACTGAATAGCAGAAAAATCATGTATCAGCAGTCAGAAAACATACAGCCAATTCTGGATTACAGTCATTTATTGAATGGTCTTGAGCAAATAATAACTATTCTTCTATAAAATAGTGAGAGGTGTTTGCCCTTTCTCATTTGTCACAATTAAATAAAATGCTTTAAAAAGTATATAGTGACACAATTGTAACATTATTATTAACAATAATTTCCATTCTAAAATTTATTTCATATGTTGAATAGCATAATATAACATTGCTTTTAATTACAATTAGCCCATTTCAGAAATAACCTGTAACATTATTTTAAAATTAATTAATTATAATTTAACATTCCAGGGAATTATCTGTAGGACATAATTGGGGTACACGTTGTCTAAATTTAATGAACTGGTTATTGGATATGTTTTATAACTTAGTGATCATATAAATTTTGATAAAAATTTATATTTTAACTTAAAAAATTATCTCATATTCTATAAACACATTCTTAGCAATTTCATGTTCCTTAATCCGTTCAAAAGTCCCAAATTGGCACTGATGAGAATAAATACAAGTTAAAAAAGAAAACTCAAAGTTTCCTACTTGAAAATTGTACTTATCCTAGAATTTCCAGTGCCAACACCTGTATTTCACAATGCCTGCTCCCATCTCCAGATGCTAGTTGTACCTATTGAAGCTATACATTAATATGCATTTTAATTTTTTTAATGTACACTGATGTTATTGATTCCCTGCAGGATTCTACTGCAGGATGATGAAATTTTAGGAATTACTGTTTTGATTTTACAAGACTGATCACATTCTTTGATTTTGGTGATCTTATCATGGTACTGAATATTAATTGTAGGCTGTCAAAAATAAAAACCCCAAAGTGGGCCAAGTACTGTGGCTCACACCTGTAATCCTAGCACTCTGGGAGGCCGAGGCGGGCAGATCACCTGAGGTCAGGAGTTCGAGAAACAAACAGTGCTAGGTGGTGAAACCCCATCTCTACTAAAAATGCAAAAAATTAGCTGGGTGTGGTGGTGCATGCCTATAATCCCAGCTACCTGGGAGGCTGAGGCAGGAGAATTGCTGGAACCCAGGAGGCGGAGGCTGCAGTGAGCAGAGATCGTGCCACTGAATTCCAGCCTGGGCAACAGAGGGAGACTCTGTCTAAAAAACAAACAAACAAAAAACAAAACAAAACAAAAAACAAAACCCAAAACCCCAAAGTGTATCTTTTGTGTAATTTCCAAATCTTAGAAAAGATTGATCCATATTTGAAGTATTTATTTGAATTAGAACTTGATATCTGAGAAAAGTATACTCTTGATCTGACTTTTCTGCTCTTGTCAATTATAACATTATAAGGTGCTATGTTTTCAAGCCAGCAAAAGTCACTTGTTGTTCTCTTATGCACAGACAGGCAGGGAATCTTGGGGCTTACGTACACAGTCTAAAGCTTTATCTTAAGTATTCAAGTGACTTTTATATATATCCATACATATTTGGTAGTGTTATCATTAGCATGCAGATAAACATGGTAAATTATTATAATACAGGTTAACTTTGTAATGTTGAGTACTCAGCCACTGAGCCGGTCACTTTACATTTAATATCTTGTCAATCATTAAAAAATCATAAAAGCTTAAATTATCTTCTTTTTACATAAGAGAAAACTGAGGTTCTCAGAAAGTAAATATTTTGTCTAAAGTCCAATACTTAGTAAATATAGAGTCCTCGTCAGATCCCAATGCCTGTGTGCCTCCTGCTTTGTAATAATGTTTCTGAAATTTTCCAGAAAATTGTCTTAAGGACTATCTGGTGATATTTTTGGTCTACTAGGTGGAAAAAATAATCCAAAGGATGAAAACACATGTACTATTTTATTCTAGATCAAATGCTGACTTTAAAATAGACCCTATATAACAGAGAGTATGAGTAGAATTACTCTATACTTTGATTCACTTTGTTGAATCAAATAAATGAGATGGTATTCTGAGATTGGCCTCAGATAAATATCTTGATAAATATTAAGACCAGTTCATTTGCATTAATATTGCTGGAAACTTTGGAGCTCAATGCTTTTTCAATGAGTAGCAAAGACCATGTGGATTCAGGTTGTAGCTACTGTAAGACTTTAGGATCATAAAGCTGAATTAAAAGTACTGATGGGATCTAATGAGTCTCCAGCCATTAGTAAATAGAATAAGCTATAAAACTTTTTCAATAAAAGTATAACAGAAACAACAGTATTTCACTTAAAAATGAAATATGAACTTATTTTTTCATATATACTCTTTAGTAAATATATTTTAACGAATGCATTCACTAGCCTATTTCAGGTCAATCTTACAATGTCTAGCAGTCACAATTAACAAACTAAGGATGGAATTCAAGTTGACAACTGCTACTTTAAATTATGGTGGTAAAAGAGTACACTGTGTAGTTGGATGTTTTATATTTATCTTTAAAAAGTTGAGCATGTGTTTTGTTGCCAGTCACTGCAGTAGGCACTTTATGTTCATTATCTCATTTATTCAGATATTGCAGTTAACTTCTTTTATGATGGAAGAAATAAAGACTTAAGGGTTAAGCCATTCATCTAAGGTCACAAAATTATTAAGTAGCAGAGCCCATATTTAACTGTAGGCTGACTGACTACAAACTTAAATCCTAAATCCCAACTCTATATCAACTTCTCTAGTCATATTGCTTTAGTTAATACTGGAAGAAACCTTGGAGATAACCACATCAAATCCAACCCAAGCCATTTATTTAGCAGGTATTTATATAGTAACATAATTGATTTCATTTCATTCTCAGAAATAACTACATGCTTCCTAATATTTTTAAAAGAATAGTACTTTCTCCCCATTTCCTTTCTGCTTTAATGTTACCATGAATATGAGGAGATGGGAGAGTAGTTTACACATTCTCATCTTAAATGAAGCTGAATACCTTCTCACTTAATTTTTACCTATGAAAATTTAAAAATTACTTCTCTTACCTAAACTTAATTTTGAAAATCACATGGGGAGAAATATTGTAGATACAAGACAGAGAACTCTGGATTTGCTAAAATAATGCTGTCATCATTTTTTTTTTTTTTTTTGCAGTGGCAACTTTTAAGTAATCCTGAAAGCATTAAGAAGCAATGAAGGCAAATCTTATTTTGTATAACTTGAATTTAATTTTCTACTAATATTTTACATGTTTAAGAAAAACAAGCTTTTATTAAAATTTGAACATTCGAGCAATATACTTCATTGACTGATACATTAATTTAAAAATTCTGAAAATTGTTCAAGATATCAACTTATACAAAGTCTACCAGGATATTAAAGTACTTACACAAATTTACTGTTTGGTAATCATTTCTTTAAACACTTGGAAGTAGAAGACTTTATTAAAAAGGTAAAATTTTAATTAATAGAAGATAGCAACTTTCTAAATAAGACACAAATATTAATGTGAAATATAGTTATTTAAGAAATCAAAAATAATGTACATTACTAACAAATCCTCAAAATAAGTCCCATATTTTAAAAGTCACTTCCAATGTATACACATACCTGCTGTTTCATAATCTTTATCTGTTCTTTTTGCTTCCGCTTCTCCTCAGCAGCCATTATTGCTACAAGAAACCAAAGGATAGATATCATCAAAAAGGGAATGAAGAAAAGAAAACTCTTATGAATTCCCCAGTACTGACTCTTCGAGTTTATGTTACATTTAAATCACTCACCTTGTTGTTTTTTGGCTTCTTTAGCAACCCGAGCCTGTTCCTGCTTTTGAAGTTTTCTCAAAAGCTTTATTTGTGCTGCTTGCCTGGCTATTTCTGAAAAACACAAAATTTCAAAGAATATTAACAACTTTGTGTAACTACTAACCAAAAACAATAACTGTGTGAAAATGGTATCATCATAAAGGATATAATTATTACTTTTTTTTTTGAGATGAAGTCTCGCTCTGTTGCCCAGGCTGGAGTGCAGTGGTGCGATCGCGGCTCACTGCAATCTCCGCCTCCCAGGTTCAAGTGATTCTCCTGCCTCAGCCTCCCAAGTAGCTGGGATTACAGGCGTGCGCCACCACACCCAGCTAATTTTTGTATTTTTAGTAGAGATGGGGTTTCACCATGTTGACCAGGATGGTCTCCATCTCCTGACCTCATGATCTGCCCCGCCTCGGCCTCCCAAAGTGCTGGGATTACAGGTGTGAGCCACCACTCCCAGCCGAGGATATAATATTTAAGAAAATTGCCTAAGGTCAGACAGATACCAAGTAGAAGAGTGGTGTGGTAGACAACGTCATGTTCATTCCAACGGAAACTGAATGTTCATTCCAATGGAAATAATCAAATTATTTCATCAAATATGATCCCATATCTAGGACTACATAAAAATGAGGTTTCTTTTAATCTTTATCAGAGAGGCTTATTTAAGTACATTTTTTTTCACATTTCAAGTAAACCCCACTTAGTGGGAAAATAGCTGCTAATATTTTAAGACTTGTAATGTAGCTTCAGTCTTAACATATAAAAAAAAAAGAAAGACTCTCAATTAAAACAAATACAAAGTCCCCTCCCACCCAAACTTAGTATTTCAATTAGCTATAATGGTTAAGTTCCTGAATCCAGTGATATTTTCATTTATGAAGGAGAGGGACTAAATCTCCTAAATAAAAAGAAAGCAGAATTTCAATGACTTTTAAAGACAACCTAGTTCTTATAATCTTCAAGGATACATGTATGAAACTAGGGTAGATGAACAAAGTTAATGTCCCCAATTCTTCATTTCTCCTTTTATCCATGACATTTGTAATGTGACTTTGGAGCAATTCCCATCAAGAGGTGGAATATATTTTCCCGTCCCTTGATTCTGAACTCAACCATGTGATTTTCCATGGCTAAGAGGATGTTAGCAGTTGTGATGAAAACAGAGCTTGAAAGTTTAGTTGTATTCTTTCGGCTTTTGTTCTTGTGCTTTGCCCAAGACTGAAGATATGATTTGGGGGCTAGGCTATTGGGAGATTGGGACACAGGGAGCAGTTGACCCTACAAATGTGAACAAGCCCAGCCAAGATAAGCAAAGCTGCTTAGCTAATTTCCAGCTGATTCCATGTGCACAAGTGATTAAGACAGTGTTGTGTGCTACTAAGGTTTGGTGGTTGTTACCAAGCATTACTGTGGCAAAGGGTGTAACAGACACAGAAACCATGTAATATCCTTGCTTTCTTCTGCTGGCAAACTTGGTCTGAATACTTCAAACTCTAAAAGTGGTATATAATATTACTCATATAATCATTTTAGAAAGCATCACTTTGTATTATACATTGTTTAAATTTTGTAGCCACTGAACAAAGAAACCTAAATTATGTTCATTGACAAGGAACATAATTGCTAACACGTGAATCACTTGAGCTCTAAAAATTTCCACCATTTATTGATCGCAGGCACTATTGTGTTAAATTTTTCTTTTTCTTTCTTTTCTTTTTTTTTGAAACGGAGTCTTGCTCTGTTCCCAGGCTGGAGTGCAGTGGCGTGATCTCGGCTCACTGCAAGCTCCACCTCCCAGGTTTACGCCATTCTCCTGCCTCAGCCTCCCGAGCAGCTGGGACTACAGGCGCCCGCCACCACGCCCAGCTAATTTTTTATACTTTTAGTAGAGACGGGGTTTCACCGTGTTAGACAGGATGGTCTCGATCTCCTGACCTCGTGATTCACCTGCCTCGGCCTCCCAAAGTGCTGGGATTACAGGCGTGAGCCAGCGTGCCCGGCCTGTTGTGTTAAATTTACACCACCTTGTTTAATGTTCACAGCTACTTAATAAGATCAACATGATTGCCCCGCTTACACAAAAAATAACTAAGGCTCCTAGAGGTTAAATAGCATAGCCAAGAAAAAAACCCACAACTGGCTGGGCACAGTGGCTCATGCCTGTAATCCCAGCACTTTGGGAGGCTGAGGTAGGTGGATCACTTGAGGTCAGGACTTCGAGACCAGCCTGGCCAACATATGAAGCCCCCACCCCTACTAAAAATACAAAAATTAGCCAGGCGTGGTGGTGGGCACCTGTCATCCCAGTTACTTGGGAGGTTGAAGCAGAAGAACTGCTTGATCCCGGGAGGAAGAGGTTGCAGTGAGCTGAGATTGCACCACTGCACTCCAGTGAGACTCTGTCTCAAAAAAACCCCCAAAGAAACCCCAGGACTTTCTGACTCCACAGTCTATATGCCACTATTTCTAAAAATCTTTAAGCAAAGTTTAAATGCCTTAAGATTTTAGCTAAGAACGTAACCATATGTCCTCATAACAGCTGAAGTGAAGTTGGTCACTATGGCCAGTTTTCTATCACTGAGACTTTTAAAAAGGAGAAGAGATTAAAAAAGTCGAATTTCATCTAGTAAACTGGAAGTGTTAATGAAAAATAAAATGGAAGATGATGATAAAGTATTATCTCCAATGTCCCAACCATTTTCAATATTAGGAGGTTACAGGCATCATCAAAAATTTCTGGGTCACACAAAAAAGATGTCCTGTTCACTAAATACTCTAGGACATAAAAACCTATAAACTGACCTTCAGGGTCAGCAACCTCTGATAATAATATGGGTGAAGAATATTATTCTCATCTATAATAATGCCAGATAAATATTTCTTTAACATTAAGAATTGAAAGTTTTGAATTCTACAATAGAGGCCTGACTTTGTCTTGAAATGTAAAGATGTGCTGATAAAAATGTTTCCTAGAAAATATGGCATAAGTACGATCTTTTGCTGCAAGCTAAACTGATATTCTCTAATATAAGTTTAACTTTTAATAAGAAAATTCTATAATATATATAGAACCATGTTTGTGTATGAGCGTATCAATCAATTTCAAGCCCTACACAAGTACACAGTAATTTTTGTTTATTTGTTTGAGACAAGGTCTTATTCTGTGACCCAGGTGAAGTGGTATGATCATAGCTTGCTGTAGCCTCCAACTCCTGGGCTCAAGTGATCCTCTCCCCTCAGCCTCCTGAATAACCAGGACTATAGGAGTGCACCACTTTACCCAGCTAATTTTTTAAAAATTTCTTTTTGTGGTCTTGCTTTATTTCCCGGGCTGGTATTGAACTCCTGGCTTCAAGCAATCCTCTCACCTTGGCCTCCCAAAGTGCTAGGATTACACAGGTATAAGCCACTGTGTCTGGCCAGTAATTTAAAAAAATATTTGGGCCAAAAAAATTTAAAAGTTCAACTCACATCTTTTTACTTTAGCAAGAAATATAAAATTTTAACTAATCATTAAAAATTTACATAGATTAAATTTTACATTATGGGCAGTTGGAAAAGAAGATGATGTGAAAAAAAGAAAAAGGCCGGGCGCAGCAGCTCACGTCTGTAATCCCAGCACTTTGGGAGGCCAAGACAGATGGATCACCTGAGGTCAGGAGTTCGAGGCCACCCTGGCCAACATGGTGAAAACCGAACTCTACTAAAAATAGCAAAAATTAGCCGGGCGTTGTGGTGGGTGCCTGTAATCCCAGCTACTCAGGAGGCTGAGGCAGGAGAATCGCTGAACGCAGGAGGCAGAGGTTGCAGTGAGCTGAGATCGCGCCATTGCACTTCAGCCTGGGCAACAAGAGTGAAACTCTATCTCAAAATAAAAATAAAGAAAAAAGAAGAAGAAAAAAAGAGAATACAGAGGAGAGAGAATGAGTTAGATACCTAGAAAAGTTCACCCAAGCTGTAGAAATAAATTACTTCCAGTATCTTCTCATTTATTTGTTTTTTTTTTGGTTGGTGAATATATTATAATTACCTTTTGAAATACTAATTTGGAAAGTATCTTTTGTGGCTTAAGAAACTGTCTGCTTTAATTTCAAAGATGAAGTTTATTTTCAGATAGAATTAGAGATATTTTGGATATAACTCATTTCTTTGATCCTAAGATGCATTTTTAAACATTTTGACATCTCTAAGGTCAGAATGTAACTGATAACTGGCAGCTCTTTTCTTTCTTAGTGTACATCTTAAAATAACGGTGCATGGTATAGATTACTTATAGGCATCTCAGTTTCAATCGCATATGAAATGAATAGGTGCTACTTCATATTTTGGAAAATTTGAGATATTAATAGTATCAGTCAATCAACAAGCAGGTTTATTTATATAGAATGAAAGTCTTTATCATATTCAAACTTGGTCAGATTTTTACCTATATTCTGAGAAATTAGAGTTCTCATTTCACAACGTTTGGATGTACATTCAAAACTCACATTTATCTCACTATTCTGAAACTTTCTTCAAATTAAGTCTGGTTTTTCAGTCTAGTTGGTCATAGAAGGATAATAATATACAACAAAAACTTCTTCTAGAATCCTCTCAGATAACCCCCCAAAGTGTTACCAAAGAAGGCTTTTAGAAATGAAAAAGGTGATAAACTGTTTCATTTTTACTTTCTTTTCTTCACAGGAAAAAATGCAAACAATACTCCATACACTTGTAAATATTAATAGATTATTTACTTACTGTTAAATAATCTTTATATACATGTTGAGAAAGAGTACATGTAATATACAATAAGGTCAAAGGTAACAGAACTTGCAAAATGCAATCCAATGTATTATAACAAGGGTAAACTATGTAATTGAATACAAATCAATTTGAAATCTGGAGGGAGAATAAACATTCGGTAAAAGTTGAATAATTAACTTCTACTTTGTTACAACAAAAATATAGTTAATTTTCTAAATTTAAATTTGCTATTTTAGATTCTAACTTCTAATGATAATTAGATACGGCAAATATCCATGAAGATCCCATGTTTTGATTATCAGTTAATTTCAAACTTTCTTATTTTATGCAAACAATGTCCACATTCCCCAGCATTAAACATTATTCAGAAGGGTCAATAGCTTACTGACAATATCAGTTTTTAAAACCCATCTATGCCTGTTAATTTATTGACTTTTTAACCTTCACTAGTAACTCTTTGGGATGAAAGTCTTATAAGAAGCCAAATAAAATAAAAAAATCTGACTACCATACTGATATGGTTTGGCTCTGTGTTCGTACCCAAATCTCATCTCAAACTGTAATCCCCACGTGTCAAAGGAGGGACCTGGTGGGTGGGGATTGGATCATGAGGGGGTTTCCCCCCATGCTGTTCTCATGATAGTAAGTGAGTTCTCATGAGATCTGCTAGTTTTCGAAGTGGTGGATTCCCTTGCTCTCTCTCTCTTCTGGGTGCCTTGTGAAGAAGGTGGCTGCTTCCCCTTCCACCATGAGTGTAAGTTCCCTGAGGCCTCCCCAGCCATGCGAAACTGTGAGTCAATTAAACTTCTTCCTTTATAAATTACCCAGTCTCGGGTCATAACTTTATAGCAGTGTGAGAATAGACTAATACACATACTAAGATAAAAAATTTATATGATAACTGCTAGGCAGTTAAGCTATTAGTCAAAGTATGAACTGGAGACAATATTTGCCTGCTATCCATAAAAACTTGAAAATGATTTGTGTAATATGTTTAGATTTGTATAATATATGCTTAGAAAAGTGTAATATATATTTATTATAATTGTATGATAGTGAAGATCTAGAAGTAGCTTAAATAGTCATCAAAAAGAGACTGACTCAAGTCCACTTATTTTAAAAATCAAAAAGGATATATATGTATATGTGAGTGGTTGCATGTGTGTGTATGTGTGTACATATTTCTGGAAAGATTAATTATTCCACTGATAACAATGAGAATGTCTTTTATTTATTTCTTTAGAGACAGGGTCTCACTCTGTCAGCCAGGCTGAAGCGCAGTGGCATGATCATAGCTCACTGTAACCTTGAATTCCTGGGCTCAGAGGATCCTCCCACATCAGCCTCCACAATAGCTAAGATTAGAGGAGTGTGCCACTACACCTGGCTAATTTTAAAATTTTATTTGTAGAGATGGGGTCTTGCTTCATTGCCCAGGCTGGTCTT
Organism: Homo sapiens; assembly: GCF_000001405.40. Classification (NCBI taxonomy): domain Eukaryota; kingdom Metazoa; phylum Chordata; class Mammalia; order Primates; family Hominidae; genus Homo; species Homo sapiens. The sequence continues at coordinate 159,411,244 of NC_000002.12, forward strand.
AAATTCCTGGCCTCAAACAATCCTCCCACCTTGGCATCCCAAAGCATTAAGATTACATGTGTCTTTAAAGCATTCTATTCTATGAGTTTTGTCATAGATATTTGTTTTATAATAAAAAACAAAGCAGCAACAGAGAAGTCTATATTATGATGGTGTTTACAATGAATAGAATTAAGTCTTTTATACATTTCCTCCACATTTTGCTTATTTATAGGGATAATAAAAAACCCATGAGAAGTAGTAAAATTCTGTTAGATTTTTAAGTCAATTTTCATTATTAAACCTTTATTTTACATTGTTACATATCTTTATATATATGCCTTGCAAATATAAGGTATCTACACATATGTTGATATATTCAGACAGTCTTAAGCGGCTTCACATTTGTAACTAGTGACTCAAACTGCAAAGCCAAACTGTTCTATTTTACTCAGCCTTCTCTTTGCCATACATAGCATGGGACTTTCATGTTGACATTTTATGTATAATGTCAAATCATTAATACAGTTTAGGTTATTATCAGCACTTTGAGCTTGATAAATGATAATTTCTGGTTATCTTAAAGTACTTTTTGATTTTAATGTATTAATTTGTTATTCTGAAAATATATATACTATATCTGGACTACAGGAGAACCCAAACTAAAAGACTGGGGTTACTTACCAGTAATTGGAGTTCTCTGACTGAAAATTTACTCCACAGATCCACATATTTTGGAGTTATTCCCATGTACCACCTCAAGGAATCGGGAGCTGTTAAAATGAGAATTTCCAGAAGGTTGGCACGACCTTAAGGCATGTGCCAAGTGCTGGTTGATTCCCTTTCTGTGCAAGCCTTAAAAGCTTAACACCCACCTTTGTAATTCTAAATACACAGGATAGGATGTGTTTATGAGTAATGGTTCTTGAAAGATTACCTAATCAAAGAACTCCAGTTACCAGTGGGACTCCTTATTTTTTCATTTTATTCTAACACAACTATTTACTTTTTAAAAATTGAGAGCAGTGTCAATCCTAAGTCAAAAATATTAGAAATACTTTTAGTATACTTTTTAGTATGATTATTAGTGTCAGACACATTATGTTTCTTACCTTGAGCTTGCAGTTTTCTTAGCAACTTTGCATCTGCGTTATCTAGGAATTCAGCATTGCCAACATTTGGAGGTCGACCTTTCCGACGTCTCATCCTGGATTCCTCTCTTGCTCGTTGTCTATCTGGATTTGGTGGTCTTCCTCTACGACCTTCCATTGCCCTGATACGAGGAATGACATCCTCTTCTTTCAAAAGACACCACTGCATTCCCTTTTAATTAACATTTTATAGAAATAATATATTACAAACAAAATAAACACAAGAGATCAACATGTAAGAAAATTCTAGCTAAAAATCACATATATTTTGGAATTTACAACATTAGTATAAGCTTTAGGAATTTCATTTTTAAATTAAACTTAGATGTATAATTATTCATGGCCTTTGGCATAGCTTTAATATTCTTACTTTAATGACTTAAGCTTTAATTAAATATATAGATTTGTATCTGTATCTATAAATGTAGAGATATAAATCTTAATCACCATTTCTGAACTATAATGACCATCGAGTTAGCAGATATTTAAAAATGTTAGTTGTACAATGATGCCACTATAGATTGCTCTTATGGGTTATCAGTTAAACCAAAACACTAAGCTACCCAAATAATACATGAAAGTTTCTCTTTATAAATATTACAGCTAACAAATTAAGACAGAAAGAGTTAGAATATCAGGATTCTGCAATACCTAATAAATTAGTTAATTGAAGAATTGAACTTGAATGGTTGCCTATCATCAAAAAGAGACACAACTAGACAGGTATCAGCCTCCTGATGGAGGCTCATACAATCACCTATAAAATAGTACTGCCCCTCACACACACACAAAAATCAAACCTGGATTTGATCAAGCCTCTAGATTTAATTACAATAACTTTAAAAGAAACACGGAAGTATAAGTTAAACTATACGGCAAAATCCATTCTGTGGGAAATTCTATAAATGACCTAGTTTCTTCAACAAATGTTGCAAGAAGTAAGAAAACTGTAGGAAGTTTAACTGAACCTTAAAATATGTATCAAACAAGCCCAATTTGTGGACCTTACTTGGATACTTATTTAAATAGACAAACTGGCTGGGCGCGGACTGGCCGGGCACAGTGGCTCACGACCTGTAATCCCAGCACTTTGGGAGGCCGAGGCAGGCAGATCACCTGAGGTCAGGAGTTCGAGACCAGCCTGGCCAACATGGTGAAACCCCGTCTCTACTAAAAATACAAAAATCAGCTGGGTGTGGTGACAGGCACCTGTAATCCCAGCTACTCGGGAGGATGAGGCAGGAGAATTGTTTGAACCAGGGAGGTGGAGGTTGCAGTAAGCCGAGATCGCACCATTGCACTCCAGCCTGCAGGATAAGAGCGAGACTTCATCTCTAAATAAATAAATAAATAAATAGATAAACTGTTAAGAAAATTTGAACAATAAAGAGACAACTGAAAATCTGAGCAATGACTGAGAGTTGATGATATCAAGAACGTATCAATGTAAATAAGTACAACCACTATGGAGAACAGTTCGGAGGTCGCTCAAAAAACTAAAAATAGAGCTACCATATAATTCAGCAATTCCACTGCTCTGTATATATCTAAAAGAAAGGAAATGAATATACTGAAGAGGTGTCTGCACTCCCATGTTTGCTGCAGCACTGTTCACAATAGCCAAGATTTAGAGGTAACCCATATGTCAGATGGATAAAGAAAATGTGGTAAACATACACTACACAATGGAGTACTTATTCAGCCATAAAGAAAAATGAGATCCTTTCATTTGCAACAACATCATGGATGGAACTAGAGAATATCACGTTAAGTGAAATAAGCCTGGCCCAGAAAGGTAAGTTTTGCATGTTCTCACTTATTTGTGGGAGCCAAAAATTAAAACAATTGAACTCAACAGAGATAGAGAGCAGAATGATAGTTACCAGAGGCTGGGAAGGATAGTGAGAGGAGAGGGGCAAGGGAGTGAAGATGGTTAATAGTTATAAAAAATATGTGGGTAAAATAAATAAGATCTAGTATTTGATAGCACAACATGGTGACTACAATCAACAATAATTTATCATACATTTAAAAAAACCTAAAAGAGTATAACTGGATTGTTTGTAACACAAAGAAAGGATAAATGCTTGAGGTGATGAATACCCCATTTACTCTGATGTTATTATTTTGCACTGTATGCCTGTATCAAAATATCTCATGTGGCCGGGCGCGGTGGCCCACGCCTGTAATCTCAGCATGTTGGGAGGCTGAGGCGGGTGGATCTCCTGAGGTCAGGAGTTTGAGAACAGCCTGGCCAACATGGTGAAACCCCGTCTCTACTAAAAACACAAAAATTAGCTGGGCACGGTGGCGGGTGCCTGTAGTGCTAGCTACTTGGGAGGGTGAGACAGGAGAATGGCTTGAACTCGGGAGGCGGAGGTTGCAGTGAGCCGAGATGGAACCACTGTACTCCAGCCTGGGTGACAGAGCGAGACTCCACCTCAAAAAAAAAAAAATATTCTCATGTACCCCATATATATATACCTATTATGTACTCACAACAATGAAAAAAATTAAAAAGAAATTATATATTAAAAGTATAATAGTGGTACTGTGGTTATGAGTCCTTATCTTTTAGAGACACAAATGGAACCATTCCTTCAACAAATTTTGGAAGGGAGAAGTAGATGAGGGTATATGTAAAACAGTATTGGTCAAAATGATAATTCCTAAAACTTATGATGGGTACAAGGTCTATATTATCAGTCCATCTATTTCTGTATATATTTGAGATTTCTCATCATAAGCCTCCTAGTGGAGGCACATGCCAACACAATGCTAGTGTATCTGCGGCCGGGCTCAGTGGCTCATGCCTATAACACCAGCACTTTGGGAGGCTAAGGCGGGCAGATCAAAAGGTCAGGAGTTCAAGACCAGCCTGGCCAATACAGTGAAACCCCGTCTCTACTAAAAATACAAAAATTAGCCGGGCGTGGTGGTGTGCACCTGTAGTCCCAGCTACTTGGGAGGCTGAGGCAGAAGAATTGCTTGAACCCAGGGGGTGGAGGTTGCAGTGAGCCAAGATTGCGCCACTGCACTCCAGCCTGGGCGACAGAACAAGACTCCGTCTCAAAAAAAAAAAAAAAAATACTGCTTAGCACATAAATACATGTATCCTGCATGTGTCAATCAAAACAAATACACTGTTATATTACCTTATAGTCCAAAATAATATGTTCAGATATAGGAGACATCTTTTAAAAATAATTGTCTTATTATTTCTTTTTAAGAGTTAATTCCTTCAGTATGAAGGTTAAGGAAATTTTTAAAACGTGTTTTTCTCTAAAAATATCCTCAAAGTAGAAATTTTGGTTGAGTCACTAGAAGAAACTGTGCAACCAAAAATAACCCAAAGTTCTTGAGTTTTACGTTATAACATGATTTGCCTAACCTGGGGCAAGAAGTCTATGAATATCGCAGTTAATGGGTACTAAATTGTACGTGATTATGGATAATAGCTACATCTCACATTCTAAGTATTGTGCTTTGTTCCAGATACTTTGAATAGACTATACACTTTAATCTTCACAACATTTCTATCTCATATGGTGGGTTTTATCGTCTTTACAATTGAGGAAATTCAGGCTGAGTGAGGTTGAATAGACAGCAAAGAACAGACTGTGATTCAAACCCATGACTGTCTCACTCTAAAACCTGTGCTCCTGACCACTATGGGTACTTGATGTTATAAAGATGTTCTTATACCTGATAAGTGACAGATCATAACATTTAGCCATGAAAGCACAGCCAAGATTATGTCAAGAAAAGACCGTCAGAAAAAAACTAATGCATATGTTCATATATACATATGCTAAAAATAACATCTATACTAACTCCTTTCAGTAATTCTTATCTTAAAGATAATTTTAAAAATTAATTCTGAGGAAAATGAAAATTTTTTGCTGAGATTCCAAATAAAGTCAATAGGAACAATAGTTGTACAAAGTGTACTTTTAGGCCATAAGCCACTAAAAAGGAAGATATCAGCATAGTTTTATGTCAGGTTATGTTCACCAGCATGGGAAGCTTTTGATTAGTTTAGGTTTTCATTTTTTTATTATGTTCTTAAGCACCAAGGCAGCATGTATCATATAACTTGTAAAATATAAAGGTAACATTCATGATACTTGGAAGAGAAGAGTGACTACTAAAAGTCTGTAAACAAATCTGCATTTGGTTTTTAAAGTATCTTATTAATAACAAAATCAATTTTTGGCCAAAATTTTAAGAGTTCTGTCAACTTTTCTTATCCAATTTTTACATAGTTACATTTTTATTCAGCTAGGAAAATACACCTGTGTCAAAAGAGGAACAAAATATGTTGGTGCCTAGAACTTAGCAGACAAATATAGTGACCATATCATTCACATTTTTGCCCTTGGCATTTAAAAAGTAAATACTTTCTAAAGGGATTGCATATACTGGATTATGTATAATGTCTTCTGAATCTTAGATTTTAGAAAATGAGAAAAGAATCATTAGGAAAATCTGAAACTTATACAACAGCTTTAATTCATTGAAGAGCCAAAATAATTGTGGGTGAGAACAAGTAGTATTTTTCTCAATAAATTTTTCCTCAGGAAAAGCAAATACAATTTACATCATTTGATTCACATGCCATTGGCTTTTTATCTATCAGAAGTTATATATCAAAAGAATTTAATTCTTTTTTCTTGATTTCTAAGACTTAAAATAGTAAATATTTGCTGAAAATAATTTTTGTTGACTAAGATTTTTAAAATATGGATAAGAAAAGATGATCAACAAGATGGAGATAGCAAAAGATTAGGTTTTTTTTTTTGTTTTTTTTTTTTTGAGCTGAAGTCTCACTCTGTGGCCTAAGCTGTAGTGTAGTGGTGCAATCTCAGCTCACTGCAACCTCTGCCTCTTGAGTTCAAGTGATTCTCCTGCCTCAGCCTCCCAAGTAGCTGGGATTACAGGCGCTTGCCACCATACCCGGCTAATTTTTGTATTTTTAGTACAGACAGGGTTTCGCCATGTTGGCCAGGCTGGTCTTGAACTCCTGACCTCAGGTGATCCACCCGCCTTGGCCTCCCAAAGTGTTTGGATTACATGCGTGCGCCACCAAGCCTGGACAAGATTATGTTAATTATATTATTCTAATTCTGCTTTCGAGAGTTGCTAATTTGTATTCTTAGTGAATAATACCTTCACTTCTATAAATACTACAAAGAGAAAAAAGGAAAAAAAGAAAAGGGTTTACGTTTTATTTCAGAAGACTGAATAATCCAGGTAAATAAGGTAATGAAATAAGTGAAAGTACACTGTAAATCTGTAATATATTATAAAAATGAAGTTTTCACTACTTAAATATTTGTTGAGGCACCTTTACTCTGAGCAAGGCATAACATTATCTAAAAGTCAGCTAGAGAGAGACCTTTTCCCTAAAGGACCACATTTTTAACAAGGACCTCAGGCTCAGTCAATTCTAAGGCAGGTGACCCTAGGACCACACCCTCAGTAATGCATTAGAAAAAGAGTTTAGAGCTTGGGAGAGAAAGTTGTCTCAACTGTCCATATAAAAATTATGATGGCCTGGATTAGAGCACAGGAATTAGAGCTAGAAAGAGAGATGAATAGTACATTAGTCTTTTGGGAGAGAGAACTGGCTGAAATTGAACACCGCCTGGATGTGAAGGAGGAAAGCCTGAATGTAGACCAGAAAGGCAGTTAAGGTTTGGAGTAGTCTCTAAAGAACATGGAAAAGGGAATTAAGTGGCAATGATGTTTTCTTACTGAACAAATAAGGATGGAGAAATATTTGAGAAAACTGGAAAACAAATTTATTGCTCAACTTTTTTATGACTTATAAACAGACTTTTAAAGAAAGAAAATATTTCTTTTTAGTGAGTTCTTAAATATTTTCTGTATTCAGAAATTCAAAAGAGATCATGAAATTTATTTTCAATATGATCTTCCTATTTCAACATTTCTGTTATATAGTCTTCATAAATAAATGACTCCAAAGGATAGGTGAACCCTTCATGAGGGACTGGTTTGTTTTCACCTTATCTTATAGACAGTAAATTGCCCAATTAACTGGGTTTCCCACATTTCACTGAAAGCTAGGGTAAATATGTGGTTTAGCAGCCACATGTTTAGGTCTTAATGGGATGTGTTCTCAAGTCTTATTCCTGATTCAATTTTACTCATCCTGGCTTGACTTTTTCTTTTGTTGCTCCCATTTTTTAAATACTTGTAAGCTGATTTTTTTTTTTGGGAAAAGCAGTATATAATTATGTAAATACAGTATACCAGTCCACCAAAAGCTGATTAGCTGAATGATTTATTTGCTAAGTTATTGATGACTATTTTTAAAGTTTTAGTATCACCAAGACTGGGATGCAGCAATTTCACATGGATTTACAGTCCTGTGCCACTAGATGCCCAGCTTCCCAAGTTAACATTTGAGATGCCTAGTACTGTCCTTCTTGAATGCTCAATGTTATGTAAGTGAATGGAAGGACTTTGCTCTTCTCATATTTTTCTGGACTGAGACCTCTATCTATCCCAGTCCTTGCCTCTGGTAGTAAAATATTTGTGGGGTATGTTTTAAATCTGGATTAAGGCAATTGGTCTGACAATTTAAGGCCTATTAGTCATTTGGTAGATTGATCATTTACCAAATTGATTTCTGGTTAAATAATTTTCAGTAAATTTAACCATAGCGTAAGTAAACAAAGTTAATTTTTTCCTACCTTTCCTTTTGAAATTGTACTTTCAGAATCTTTTACTTCCCAATTTGTTTATATGAAACTTTTAGAATGTCACACCTAAAAGCAAATTGATCTTAAAGACCTCTTATATGCATTTACATTACAGATGAGAGAATTAAGTTAGCTTCAGTGTAAGTAATGTAAGATATGAAATTACCCTTCTAGAACTAAAAAAATTCTTCGGGAATGAGCAAAGAAAGGGTATCAGATATTTGCGACGAAATTTGACAATTCACATAAAAAAATTAACATCATGAGAAAAAAATCAAAATTTTGTTGGATTTCCTTATGCCTTTTCAATTTAGTATTATGTCTATTTCTAGCTACTTAATAGTGCCAGAGGTAGGCAGTGAAAGGGTGATAGATTATCAACTTTATGACAGATATTCTTAAGTCACACTAGTCATATAGCTTATTATACCATACACTACATAGCACTTTAAAGATGTGAAAGAGTAAGAACCATGAGAAAAGGTGTCATCTATTAAAAACAAGTGAGAAAGATGTGGTTTGATACAACTGTTTCCACAATGCTGACTATGCTTTCTACTTACTCAAAGTATGTCATCCTCTAATAGTCAACGACTTTCAATATCTCCTCCTTCTATATCCTTGGATTCACACAGTTGTCCTCCTAGTATAGGCCTCGCCTAGCCACAAAAATCCTACCTGGTAGATTAGTGACATAAATTTCCGGACTTATAGATTTCTGGTACTGATCTTTCATGTTCTCAGTGTCCATTCGTGCCCACGGCTATGTTGCATTAGGTGTGACAGTTAACAGCAGAGCTGAATTAGAACTCTGGTTGTTGACTTCCAATCTTTTGTTCTTCACTTAATTCGAAATAATTACCAGCATTATAATTGTGCCAGAAACTGTGTGTTGCCCACCTTACTGTGAAGCCTCCTCTTACTCCTTATTAACAAAACCCTAATTTTTAGCTGGGCAGCATTGTGCCTACTGTTTTATCTTCCTCAGAGAATAAGCTTCTCTAAACCAACAATCATTTTTTTGTATTCTTCAGTTTCTCTATGAACATTAGTTTTTCTTCAAATTCAGGCTTTCAACTTCATTTCTGTACTGAAAGGTGTGTTCACAATTTGCTCTATGGGAAAATGCCTTTAGGGGACATCTACTTACAGAAAAAACTGCCTGGCACATTAAGTATTTGCCACACATATTTACTGATTAAATGACTCAGAAAAAAAGGCTCTTTTCATTAAGAACTGTAGACATTTTACTTTTTATGGCTTATGCATTAAAAAGAAGAAACACTGTACTTTTTTCTAAATGCAACATCTCGAAGAAAAAAAGCAACATTTTCAGAGTCATTTTAAACTTGCTTCTTCTTTGCATCTTTCAATTTTATGCTTTTTTTGGGCCTGGTAACAGTAGATATTCCATACTCTAATGGTTCTAAACCTCCTGGTTGAAAGAAATAAACTTAAGGTCTTTATGCTTAGATGTATAGCTTTCTACAATTCACAAAAAATGCTTTTCAAGGTAGATCATCATATATTTCAAAATAATACGTTATTAACAATTTATTTTGACGCCTTCCTCTAGTCCTAAGAAATATGTAAATACCTCTTACCTTAGTGTTATATTTAGGTAAATAAAAATAATGCTATTTTATTACCAAAATATGTCTAGCTCAACCTTATCTTCTTTTATTCTGACAATCAAACACAAAGTAAAATAAAAACAATGCCATTTATTCAACAATTTTTTTATAATGTGATGAAACAGAAGTCCGTAGGAAATTTATTTACCTTACACCATTTTCAAAGGTGTTTCTTAAACTGCTAACAGAAATTCATTAAAAGGTAGCCAGCCAGTACAGCATAGGCTTATATAGAGTATTACAATTGTTTTGTTCCATGAAGTCTATCACTCCTCTAAAATCAAGATTTTTACAGAAGCTGGTAAGAAGTGTTTGAAAACTATCAATATGCTGAAAAGTAGCCGATGCTACAAATTCCTCACTACATCTGTGGACCAAAATAAATAAAACTGATAATGGATATATTAAGTGTATCTTATACCCTATTTCTTTCTTTACATTTTTTTTTTTTTAATTAGAGACAGGGTCTCAATCTGTCACCTAGGCTGGAGTACAATGGCATGATCATAGTTCTCTGTAGTCTCAAACTCGTGGGCTAAAGCAGTCCTTCCACCTCAGCCTCCCAGGGAGGTGGGACTACAGGCATGCAGCACCATGCCCAGGTAATATTTTTATTTTTTGTGGAGATGGAGTCTTGATACATTGCTCAGGCTAGTCTTGAACTCCCGGACTTAAGCAATCCTCCTGTCTTGGCCTCCCAAAGTGTTGGGATTACAGGTATGAGCCACTGTGCTGGGCCTTTTATCCCCGTTTCATTTGTAATCCTATTTTCTTGAATTAAGGGCATCTCCTTTTTTAAAGGTAATAATTACATTGTTGTCCTTCAGTAAATGATAAATTTATCTAAATTTTAATAAATATAAGCTCACACACCTCTCATCTTATTGTACTATACAAAAGTTAATATTTTCAACAATTGCTTGCTGTTAATATTAATAAATACATATATAATCATATCTTAAGCCCAGAAATATCTTGAATCAAAAAATGATTAAGCAAAATATCCACGGTATTCAACAAGAAAAAATAAAAGGCATCCAAATAGGAAGAGAGGAAATCAAACTATCTGTCTTAAGAGACAATATGATTCTATACCTAGAAAACCCTAAAGACTTTCACAAAAGGCTTCTAGGACTGATAAACGAGTTCAGTAAAGTTTGACAATAAAAAATCAATATACAAAAATCAATAACATTTCTATACGCCAATAGCATCCAAGCTGAGAGCCAAATCAAGAACGCAATCTCATTTACAATAATAGCCACAAAAAGAATAAAATACCTAGGAATATAGCTATCCAAGGAGGTGAAAGATCTCTACAACAAAAATTACAAAACACTGCTGAAAGCAATCAGAGAAGACAAAAAGAAATGGAAAAACGTTCCATGCTCATGGATAGGAAGAATCAATATTGTCAAAATGGCCATATTGCCCAAAGTAATTTACAGATTCAATGCTTATTCCTATCAAACCATCAACGTAATGTTTCACAGAAACAGAAAAAACTATTCTAAAATTCATATGAAACCTAAAGAGCCTAAATTGCCAAAGCAATCTAAGCTAAAAGAACAAAGCTGGAGGCATCACACTTACCTGACTTCCAACTATACTACAAGGCTACAGTAACCAAAACAGCATGGTACTGGTACAAAAACAGACACACAGACCAATGGAACAGGACAGAGAACTCAGAAATAAGACTGCACATCCATGACCACCTGATTTTTGACAAAGTCAACAATAACAAGCAATGGAGAAAGAAATCCCCTATTCAATAAATAGTTCTGGGATAACTGGCTAGACATATGCAGAATATTGAAACTGGACCTCTTCCTTTCACCATATACAAAAATTAACTCTACATGTATTAAAGACTTAAATTCCTAGGAACAAACCTAGGAAATACCATTCTGAACATCAGCCTTGGCAAAGAATTTATTACTAAGTCCCTAAAAGCAACTGCAAAAAAAATAAAAATTGACAAGTGAGACCTAATTAAACTAGAGCTTCTGTACAGCAAAAGAAACTATCACAGACAACCTACAGAATGGGAGCAAATATTCACAAACTATATATCTGACAAAGGTGCAATATCTAGACTCTGTAAGAAACTTAATTCAACAAACAAAAAATAACCCCATTAAAAAATGGACATGAACAAACACTCCTGAAAAAAAGATACATGGAGCCAACAAATATACACAGAAATGCTCAACACCCTTAATCATTAAAGAAATGCAAATCAAAACCACAATGAAATACTATCTCATTCTGACACTAGTCAGAATGGCTATTGTTGGCCGGGTGTGGTGGCTCACACCTGTAATCTCAGCACTTTGGGAGGCCAAGGCAGGCAGATCATGAGGTCAGGAGATTGAGACCATCCTGGCTAACACGGTGAAACCCTGTCTCTACTGAAAACACAAAAAAATTAGCTGGGCGCGGTGGCAGGCGTCTGTAGTCCCAGCTACTCAGGAGGCTGAGGCAGGAGAATGGTGTGAACCTGGGAGGCGGGGCTTGCAGTGAGCCGAGATGGCACCACTGCACTCCAGCCTGGGTGACAGAGCAAGACTCTATCTAAACAAACAAACAAACAAAAGAATGGCTATTATTAAAATGTCAAAAAACAATAGTTGTTGGCAAGGTTGCAAAGAAAAGGGAACACTTTATACACTGCTAGTAGGAATGTCAATTAGTTTAGCCACTGTGGAAAGGCAATGTGGAGATTCCTCAAAGAACTTAAAAACAGAACTACCATTAGACCCAGCAATCCCACTACTGGGTATATACCCAAAGGAAAATAAATTGTTCTACCAAAAAGACACATGCCCTCACATGTTCATTGCAGCATTATTCACAATAGCAAAGACATGGAATCAACCTATATGCCCATCAACAGTGGACTGAATAAAGAAAATGGTATATATACACCCAGGAATACTATGCAGCCATAGAAAGAATGATATCTTATCCTTTGTAACAACATGGATGCATATGGAAGCCATCACCTAAGTGAGATAATGCAGGAACAGAAAACTAAATATCACATGTTCTCACAAGCGAGAGCTAAACATTGAATATCCACAAACACAAAGATGTGAACAGTAGACACTGGAGACTACTTGAGCGGGGAAAGTGGTGGCGGGGGATGGGGCTGAAGGTTGAAAAACTACCAATCGGGTACTGTGCTCCAGGATCATTTGCACACTGAACCTCAGTGATGCACAGCTTGCCCGCTTAGCAAACCTGTACACGTACCCCTGAGCCTACAATAAAAGTTGAGAGAAAAATAAATAAAGCACTGTGTCCCTAAAAAAAGCATCAAACTACATGCTTAAAAACGATTTCATTTTATTGCATGTAAATATGCCACAATAACATTACTTTTTAAAGAAAAAAGTTTTTTCAATTATGGGCTTTTTTTCTTTAAAAATAATATTAGCAACAAAGAAATTCTTAAACATAAGAAAAATTAAAGATTTTATCTTTTCTGAAATAAAATACTGATAGGCTGTTGCTTCTCTTTCAGATTTATCACAGGTTGCTGTATAGACTTTGGGGGTGAGGGGACTTGTTTTTGTTTTCAATTAGCTTTTTTACTTCTTTAGTATTTAATGTTGAGCTGAATGGCCTTTTATGTAAATTATACTACTGGAAGGAATAAATCATTATCTCAATAAACTAGAGAAAAACCCAGAATTCTGCAATGCAGGTATTATCTTCTAGCAGAAAGTATTATCTCCTAAATTTTATATATAATATATGGAGAACTGGAATTCTGCTGATGCAATTTTTGTTATGTGTTAAGTAAAATTAGAACATATAGAACTAACGTTGGGGGTTTTGGGATATGTTTTAAGATTAAAAAATGATGAAAAAAATATACTTCCCAGGAAAATGTTTTAATAGGAGAGTGATTAAGAATAGAGCTGTCCCTTAGTATCCAGGACCTCCCTCTATGAATACCAGTATCTGCAGATATTCAAGTCCCTGAATAAAAATAACACAGTATTGGCATATAACCTATACCTATACTCCTATATACTTTAAATCATCACCAGATTACTTATAATAGTAAACACAATGTAAATGTTATGCAAATAGTTGTTACATCATATTGTTTAGAAAATAATGACAAGGAAAAATGTCTGTACATGTTGACTACAGATACATTTTTTTTTCCTGAGAATTTTCAATCCACAATTGCTTCAATCCGCAAATGCAGAAAACACAGATATGGAGGGCTGACTGTACTAATGAATCCACAAATACAGCATTTCATTTGCTATCAAACATCACAATAGATACATGAAGCTTGGAAAACTGTAGTGGCAACATTTAAGATCATTTTGTACAATCTCCATGCATTTGGAAAACTATGAATTCTCAGTTTTATTGAATTACAAAGAATAGGGGTATTTAGTTTTAAAAGACAGGAAATTGTTTTTCTGTTGTTGTTTTTTTAGATGGAGTCTCACTCTGTCGCCCAGGCTGGAGTGCAGTGGCCTGATCTCGGCTCACTGCAACCTCCACCTCCCAGGTTCAAGCAATTCTCCCTGCCTCAGCCTCCTGAGTAGCTGGACTACAGGTGCCCACCACCATGCCCAGCTAATTTTTGTATTTTTAGTAGAGAAGGGGTTTTGCCATGTTGGCTAGGCTGGTCTTGAACTCCGGAGCTCAAGTGATCCGCCTGCCTCAGCCTCCCAAAGTGCTGGGGTTACAGGCGTGAGCCACAATGCCCGGCCTGTTTTTCACATTATATACATAAAACAAGCAAATTTTAGAAAAGACACAACATGCAAAAAATGTAGAAAGCAAAAAAAATCCTTTGTTATCACCATTACATCCATCATTAGTTTTGACACATTTCCTTCTAGTCTTTTAATATCCAGTTTTTTAAACATGTTTCATCATCAAACCACTTACACAATTTGCATAAAAGCAGATATATTGTAAATACGTATGATCATCACTGCATGGTAGCAGTAGCTTTGTGTCACACTATATTTTACATCTTCTACAAAATTTAGGGTGATCAAAATTATTTCACATCATAATTACTATAACAAAATTATATAATCTTGGTTTTCAGAGAACATTCTTATATAATGATATACATTTCCAGTTAACCATATGCTTAAACCTATTAATCACACAATCCAGTATATAAAAATGTACATGGTTTTATAACTATATGCATCTCTAATTAATTAACTAGAACACTTTTTTGGATGACTTACCTTTAATTGTTGTTTTCTAAAAGTATCCTGAATTCCTGTGTACTAATTTTGGTTTTAGCTAAAAGAAATGCTCTCAAAATTACGAATGTTTTCCCCTAGCATTCTGCTGAAATGTTGGCAGCTTAACATATTTGGCTTTAGTAATTCATCCTATTTCCTTGATTGGAATTGATCTCAACAAGACAGTATGCATTTGGAAAACACTGATTATATTTAATAAAAAGTGAATGCATGTCAAGGAACATTCTACTCTGTGTAATGAGGCTTTATAGATTAGGTCTAATTATCACTGATATAAAACTAAAAATCCTTTATATGCTAAATAGCAATTAGCTTTCCTCTCCGAACAAAAATCTAGTGAACTTAAAATCACAAAGACATCTTTGGCATAAATAATACAAGTAAGAATCTGATAACATGAAACAAAGACTTTTAAAACGATTAAAGTTTCTAATATGTTTTATGACTTTAAAACTGATATCGTGTATACAGAATGTGTAACACTGTGGTTCACTAAAATTCTAAGAATCTGGTGACAGATTTAGTCTAAGTCAAAATCTTTAGTTTTTAAAAAAATAGAAAACCCTAGAATATATTTCCATATATTTCTATAAATCTCAGATAAACCCATTTTGACATTTTAGAACTACCAATAAAGAGACAGGTAGATCTGGACATAACTTCTTTCTTTAAAAGTCATGGACTACAATAGAAAATAGGTTACATGATGTATGCAAAAGATTACTTTTTCAGAAACCTTGAGTTCTAGTTATGTCTCAGCCTTGTGTGTGACCTTAAAAAATTCCTTTAAGCTTCCAAACTCAAAATAAACCTCTTACAGAATGAGGGAGACCTTTTCCATTTCAAAATTATAAAATTAAAGGGTAAGATAGGATAGAAAAGCTCCCTATTCACAAAGAAAATATTAATTGCCAAAAAACTTTTCTATGCATTATAATGGGACAGAAGAGAGAGAGGTTCAAGGAAGAAGGAAAATATCAACTTCAGCTGGCTGAGCATTTTAGCCTTTTGAAACATTTTTATGCATATGATCTCATTTTAATCTTGCCATAATCCTATGAGACAAGAAGTGTAATTATAATCGTTTCTATTTGGCAGATAACAAAGTGGATGGAAAAGGGGGCATTATTTTGTTATTGTTCAGAATTACAAGAGTATTTCACGGATTAACAAGAATCTAGGTCTCATCACTCCTTAACTGGGACCCCTTTCAATGCAGCTAAAGGGAATAATAAGCACATGCAGCTGAATACAACTAAGGAACAAAGGGAAAGCATTAAAGAAAACATACAGGAAATGAGATCTCCTTGGTGGGTTCTTTTTGCTGACTGGTGAGGATGTGTACTTAACACTGTAAGCTCAAAGGGAGCTGTGGTGATATGTTCAGAAATGTGTACCACTTAATGTAAAAACTGAATTTCTGCAAAAACCAGAAATTTCATTCACCTAATTTTAAGAAATGACAAAAAAAAACTTATCAAACTTGTGAAAATGCATCATATAGCGTGGCATAATCAAATGGACAAGATTCTTCCAAAACACTAGGGCATACATATCCTCTTTTGGACTGACTTATAATAATAGGGTCTTCATATTCAAATTAGTTTTTAAAACTAGCTGTACTTTTCAGAAAACTAATGTTTTCCTATATTTCATATGAAGATGCAGATGCTTTTATACCTATATAAACTGTAAAGTTATTGGTTGAATTAATAAACAGAAAAAATTTACTTAAATATGAAAAAGATACCTATTATGTCAAAGCTCCTTGTTACTGAAACATAGTTAATTGAGGCCTTAATGAGTGCTTACCACAAAGTTATATGTATAGCCATATGAACTAATTAAAGAAAGGCAATGCTCCAGAGTGTAGTGAAATTTACTTCATTTAGGTTATGGTACTACTTTTTGGTTCAAAGACTATACTTTTTAAAAAGTGGATACCTGCGGTCCATCTCTGGCTTCATAGAAGTCACCCACTCTTATTTTTGCACTGAAGCTGAAATTGTCCCTTGAGATATCCATTATTCCATTTCTGCTGAGATACTGAAAAAATCACATATTTTTCCACTTCAGGTTTTAATAATTACAACCCAGCTTTGATGTATAGCTAGCTTCAGGACACTAATGTTTTGCATATTCTATCAAGGGGCTCTAAATTTATAGGAGATCAATTTAGGTTAAGTACAATAGTCCCATACAAGAGAATATTTAGTATCAAGGAACTTTATCTGAGAAAGGAGTACACTTTTTTTTTGTACATGATCATGCTTAATAGGCACCAAATGTACATTATTTGGTGAAAAGTATGTACCTTTATTACTTCAGGGTACTGCCTAAGTTTCTTTCCACATGGAGCATAATATGCTACTTCTCCTTGAAGGCGCCCTCCAAAGTTTCTTATTCTTGTCTCTCTCTGCCAGCTACACATAACAGAAATGAAGGTTATGACATACTTAATTTCAAGAAAGCTTTTAAAAATTAAAAATAAGTTAAAGTATACATGTTCTCTAGAAAACATAAAAAATGAAAACAAAAATAAACTCCTCAAACAACCCAAATACATTAACTCTCAAAATTATTTAGATTTTTAGCTAATTCAACTAGAAAATTAATTATTCAATTTATATATTAAACTCCATCAAAATTTTTAGAAATCATACTTGATTACTTTGGGTACTCTGACATTTCAGTAACATGTTAATGTGTACTGATTTTTTACATCTGAAAAGCTTTAAGGGAGGAGTAAAGTAAACCTGGCTCTCTGCTGCTTGGGGTTCACGTACATCCAGTCTAAAAGCTGTCATTTCTAATTAAACCATTTTAGCCAAACTCTGGTTGAGTCCCTCAATTTTGACCAAAGTGGCTTTTACTGTCCTTTAATTCTATCTTCACAAAAACTTCTCACAGTCTCATGTACTCCTGCCCTTTGCCATCTGATTTGCTCTTGGTTCTTTTTCAGTCATGTTCCTACTTGGCTGTATCATCCCACCCCAGCTCTGCCATACCTCCAGGAAACAGGATTAATTTCAGTTTTCTGATATACCAAATTCCTTGCCCTTTGCTCCGGCTCTTCTGCTCTAATAAATACTATGCAGCTATGTACTTCTTCTATTAATTGTAGAGAATGAGAAATCAAGTATACATCAAACTTGCATAAATATATGGGGGAAAAAGAAAAAGGAAAACCTTATTTTGCATACCCATATTCCAATGGAATACGCAGTTCACGTTCATCTGTTACTCTTCTTCTTTTGGAAGTGCCTTTAAAAAAATTCAATTGGTTAATATAAAACATTCATTAATATAAATAATAATATTGATAGTTTAGAAACTTTTCTTTAAAAAAGTATATGTTAATAACTTGGATTTAGTGTATTTCTGTAATTTATACATTATTTTTAGATGGTTTTCAATAAAACACTGTATAAGGCAGGGGGCTTTTTTCTTCTTTTGGGTCTGAATGACAGGATAACTAGTTTTTCTCTCTAAAGAAAATACAATCCAAGGTAAAAATATACACCTTTCCTCTCATTTTATTATTAAAGAAATGGCTAGAGAAGCAGGAGAGAAATAGAGGTTTCAGAAAATCTATTTAAACTGTTGACTTTGAAAATAGGAGTTTTTGGATGCTGAAAAATTTCAACAGCTGGCTCATATATTTAAAGACGATTTAATTTCTATGTCCATATAAATCCATAGTCAAAAACACTACCAGGTCTTTTAATTAACCTAAGCCACCAAGGAACAGGATTATGATTTTATGTAAAAATTTTCTAAGACCGAGATCAAGTTTCACAAACACAAATAAGTTCATCTAAAATTAGTAGGCTATCATATTGGTATGTGGTAAATGAAAGTAAAGCTAGAAACTGACAAGAGGAGAGTGAAATAAGTAAAACAACAAAATATTTTACTATATACATCTATATTTTCTTAGACATTGAATGAGAACTGAGAGTAGTTGTGGAATATTAAGTGTATAAATGTTTAATGAAGACCTCTAGGAATTTATAAAAAGTCAAATGGGAAAAAAAAGGACATGGCACGTTAATGGAATAAGAATGCTACTCTCTAATAGAAAAGACACTGGCTATATATTGGGCAGATAGCATCTTAAGTAACCAAGTGAGCTTTTTTATAAAGTACAGTTGGCCCTTGAACAATATGGGTTTGAACTGTGTGAGTCCACTTATATTCAGATTTTCCTCCGCCTCTGCCACCCATGAAACAGCAAGACCAATCCTTCTCCTCCTCAGCCTGTTCAACATGAAGATGAGAATGAAGATCTTTATAATGATCCACTTCCAGGTAATGAAGAGTCAATATATTTCCTCTTGCTTATGATTTTCTTACTAACATTTTTCTTTTCTCTTTATTGTAAGAATACAGTATATAACACATACAACATACGTTAATTGACTATTCATGTTATCAGTAAGGCTTCTGGTCAATAGTAGGCTAACAGTTAAGTTTTTGAGGAGCCAAAAGTTAGATGTAGATTTTCGATTGTGTGTGGGGCCAGTGCCCCTAAATCCTGCGTTGTTCAAGGGTCAACTGTACAAAAAAGTCCAACTGTCAATTAAATTCTATATTCTAGAAGCACAAACTGAACACAAAAGCAGAAAGGTTCAAAACCAAAGGAACTATCATCAATCAGATCCTTAAACTGGAAACTCGGGGGGAAAAAAAAGACCAGGTAATGAGTCATATCCTTTGAAAATACAGGCTCACCTTCCTTAGCCAACCTAAAATCTAACTTTAATCTTGATTCCAGTGAGATCATCTCCAGAACACTCTTATCAATAAAAATTCTTGCTATGGTTTGACTTCTACTTTAGAATAATAAAAATAAAGTGTAGGTACCAGAGTGTGGGCTTGAAGTAAGTGTGGAAGAAGATGTACCAAGAAAAGCAGGTGACTGGGATTCAGAACATAAGGCAGCAGGAGCAGAGCCTGGGGCTTTTGCTATGTGGAGGTTACGAGGTGTTGAGTGACCTGTGAGACTCATGGAAGGGCTTTTGACAGAGGAAGTTGTTTTATTCAGTTTCATTGAAGTTTTCTCTCCTTCAGTATCACTATCTGATTCATCTTGGTCTTTATCATCATCATCTTCTTCTTCTGATCCTTCTGTATCTGATTCTGAATTACTATCTGATTCTGGGAAGTAAAAGAAGCATTTGTATATTATAACTAGATAATCACCAATAATTTGCAGTTTGTATCTAAATGGACTAGCTCAGGAACCAGCACCTGTGAATGAGAACTCAAATGAGCAATTTTCCTACAGAGTAAATGTTATAAGCTATTTGAGAACAGTGTATTTAGGCTATCAATCTTCAAAAACAATTTTTTAAGTGTAAGTTTTACTCAACACTTTAAACAGTTCTCATGTGACACTATTCACATGATGAGTTCTGCTTAATGGCATCAAAATAATTTTTTATTTAACAGAGAAACTAAAGTAAAAGAGGGGATTAAATTGACTGTTCAAATGAACAGATTCCAATGGCTTATGAAGTACAGTAAGTCAAATATGAGAAAGAGAAATCTGAAACTACCAGCATACTTCCATTTGGGCTTTGGAGTAAAAGAAGACAATTTTCAACAGGAGATTCTTGGTCTTTTGGCTGCAGTTTTTCTATTTACATACAAGACTTCATCAGGCTTTTCAGGCCTCTCAAAAAACCAGGCTTACAGAAATAATTATAGTAGGATAATTCAATAATTTAAGTTTGTTCTAGCTACGTAGTTCTATGTATGATGCATCCATTCCTCTACATATGTAAAATCTATTACTAGATTAAACTTGATAAACACAGGAGTGATACTTAGACTGTTTCCTCATAGTTCACGGTACAATAGCTTCTGTGGAATTCTGGTTTGTGTTATACCATTTGCCTATATTGAAATTCATTATAAAAGTTAGTTTTGAAAGTTATGAATATTGATATTTATGATCTATCATACAAAGTTGTTTTATGGAAACCCCAGGAAGAGTGGTTTTACCCTGAGCACGAAGTTTGTTTTTAACTTACAGACACTTTAAATTGTACAGCTGAGTATATTTTCCTATTCATATTAGCTGCTAAAAAAAATTAGTTGAATCTGTAGTTGACCAGTAACAAATCCACAAACATTTATAATATGTATTTCATTTTTGTATTCGCAATTTAAGCTCTCTTGTATTTTATGTTTTCAGTCTTCTGTGGAATGAGGAGAGGGAAGGAAAATAAAAATGCAAAGAAGTTAACCCTAGACCCAGCAAAAAGAAAAAAAAAAGTGACTCAAAATTAAATCAGAGAGTCCTCTATATGTTATTTAACAAATTTTCTGTTATTGATGAACATTCATAGAGATTTAGGTTTTTGGTACTTTCTGAATGACGACTATAATTTTATCTGTGTTCAAAACAGCTGGTGATGCATTTTAACAAGTAGCAGAAGAAATGAAAAAAGAGTGGTCCTGAATGAAATAAAAATTAAGCAAGTTGATGAAATTATGTCTTAATTTATGCATCATTTGTATTCACCCTAAAGTGATTATTTGTTTAATGTCAAATGAATAACAAGCTGAGAATCTGACTTAGGATTTCCAGTATCAATTACTCCTGTATTTTATGAGCTCATTATAGAAATGCACAAAGTTGTGTGAAACATAGTAAATGACGCTGATTTTAAGTCTGAATTAAGAAACCCTTTAAAATGTTTGGTTCACATAGCATTTAGAGAAATACTTTAAATTTTAAAATGAAAATAACCTGATTGGCTGTCATCAGATTCATCATCTTCATCATCTTCCTCATCTTCTTCTTCATCATCTTCCTCTTCATCCTCATTTGAATCTTCAGAATCTTTACTACTGGGAATGTCTGAATCTGTTCCTCTGAATTGTTCCACTAAAGATTTTGCAGGATGGGAGTGATGCTGTGTTTTTACTGGGTTTACATTATTGCTAACTGCTTTTTCCTTCCCTTGACTATGCAGGATGGGAGAGGCAGAGGGCATTACAGGTGTCTGATTGCCAGGGGTTCTTCTCCCACTTGTACTCAGATTTACAGGTGAGGAAAAAGGGGTGCTACTTGCAGCAGCAATGTTTTCATTAATCTTGCTCTGCATTTTAGTTTTGGTAGTAAGTGCTAGAGGAGCTTCTTGAATGACACTTTGAATAACTCCATTTGGTTGGTGATTACCTAAAAGTGCATTTGTCAAGAATGGATTTGGGTGGTTGTTTTCTAATGTTTGTTTTGGATGTGCTGGTGAACTAGAGGTTGCTTTTGGATTTGACAAAGCTGCAATAACCTTCTTCAGGCTCTTCGATGACTCTTGTTTCTTTAACTGTGATGGGAATGCCTGTTTATATTGTTCCTGTTGAAACATAAGTTAAAAAACACAACAAAATGTACCACAAAACAAAGATTGCTTTTATTTGCTTTCAATATCTGAAAACAAATTATAGCTATTATATCATATATAAATTTAAATCATGATATACAAATGCTGTAAAAGTAGCAACAGCTATGACTAGTTGGTTGCTACATTTTGGCTCTAATTTATTAAAATTTATTTAGTTTTTCCCCATTAAAAATTATATGCCTTTTGACTAGCCTCCCCTCTTTACTGTTGCTTCCATTTTCACAATAATCCAAACTTAAAACCATTTTCTTTGCATGAAATAGCCTCCTCTTAGAAATTTCAAGCTGACAAAATACTGTTTATTCTTCAAGATCCAAACCAAGAAGCTTTCCAAATTTCCCAGCCAGAAGCATTCTTTGCCTCTTTCCTTTGAGCTCTTTTACCTCTTTATATAGATGCTCCTCAGCTTGCCATGGGGTGACTTCCCCATAAACTCATCGAAAGTTGAAAATATCATTAAGTCAAAAATAGATACAATACACCTAACCTACCAAACATCATAGCTTAGTCTAAACTACCTTAAATGTACTGAAAACACTTACATTAGCCTAAAGTTGAGCAAAATAACCTATCAACACAGTAAACTGTAGAGTATCAGTTGTCTGCCCTTGTTATCATGCGGCTGACCAGGAGCTGTGGCTCACTGCTGCTGCTCAGCATCAAGGGATTATTGTACCAATTTCTACTGAATGTGTATAGCATTCGCTCCATTGTGAAGTTGAAAGATCATAAGTCAAAGAATTATTATTATTATTATTATTATTTTTTGAGATGGAGTCTTGCTCTGTCACCAGGCTGGAGTGCAGTGGCGCGATCTCGGCTCACTGCAACCTCTGCCTCCTGGGTTCAAGTGATTCTCCTGCCTCAGCCTCCCAAGTAGCTGGGACTACAGGCATGCACCACCATGCCTAGGTAATTTTTGTATTTTTAGTGGAGATGGGGTTGCACCATGTTGGCCAGGATAGTCTCGATCTCTTGACCTCGTGATCCACCTGCCTTGGCCTCCCAAAGTGCTGGGATTACAGGCGTGAGCCACTGCGCCCGGCCAAGTCAAACAATTCTAAGTTGGTGACTATATGTACTCTTATGCCATACCACCTTTAGTATACATAGAATATGCCTATATGACTTATACCTCTAAGGAGATAACTTAACATCTTTGATAAATTCCTCAGGGTAGAAACACTCATTTATTCACCTTTATGGTCTTCCTAAGACATTGCTCAGAACCCTGTGCTTGATATGTACTCAAAAAACAATTTTAGGTTGCTGAATGAATAACTTCCTGAGCAAGAACTTCTTTGAAGCAAAGATTTAAGATACTAAGCTGGTGGAAATGGACATTCAACATTCTGTGGGATCTACTTTAGTGTGCCTTTGCACAGTAATATTCCCGAGTAAACAATTTAGAAAAATACAATTTTCTTGGAAAAGATTATAAACTATTAAGCCATAAAATTTATGTCTATAAACAAAAACTTATTTAACTATTAGAATCCCCTTGAAAACAACACAATCATGAATTTTATTAAGCTACTATAATTAAAATATTACATAAAAATTAACAGCAGCAGAATTATTAAAATCCTTTGAGTTAACAGAAGGAGCTGAATTTCTTAATCTAAGGTAAAATTCTGCATTGAAAATGATTGCCTTGAAATTAAAATCAGTAGTGTTGTCAGCATCAGACCTGGGCTCCTAACACTAAAATCAGCAAAGATTTGTGATGGAGATTTCACAAGTGTAAATGCTGATGGAATGTTATATAAAATACTTATAAATATTTTATTATTATTATTTTTTTGGACTCTGTCACCCAGGCTGGAGTGCAGTGGCACGATCTTGGCTCGCAGCAACCCCCACCTCCCGGGTTCAAGCCTGCCTCAGATTCCTGAGTAGCTGAGACTATGGGCACGTGCCACCATACCTGGCTAATGTTTTTGTTTTTTTTAGTTTTTTTTTTGAGACAGAGTCTCACTCTGTTGCCAGGCTGGAGTGCAGTGGCGCGATCTTGGCTCACTGCAACCTCCACCTCCTGGGCTCAAACGATTCTCCTGCCTCAGCCTCCTGAGTAGCTGCAACTACAGGCACACCCCACCACGCCCAGCTAATATTTATATTTTTAGTAAAGATGGGGTTTCACTATGTTGGCCAGGATGGTCTCGATCTCTTGACCTTGTGATTCGCCTGCCTTGGCCTCCCAAAGTGCTGGGATTACAGGCGTGAGCCACCACGCCCAGCCTTTTTTTGTATTTTTAGTAGAGAAGGGGTTTCACCATGTTGGCCAGGCTGGCCTCGAACTCCTGACCTCAGGTGATCCACCTGCCCTTGGCCTCCCAAAGTACTGGGATTATAGGCGAGAGCCACCGCACTCAGCCTGAAATACTTATTAAATATTTTAAAGCAGCAGTACTAACAAGCAGTAAGCAATGTAAACTTTTTATCTTATTTAACATCTATACTGTATTAGTTTAGAAAATTGTTAAGATAATTCTTTGTAAATAAAAACTGTCACAAAATATTTGTACCTAAGGCAATACCTTACAAAGAGAAAGTGCTTAATTAGTAATTATTCAGTAAATTCTAGAAAATTATGCTAGTTAGATGTACCATTTCAATGTAATTTTATAGCAAAATTCTTACATAAAATACTTTAATATACAAGATTCAAATTTTCAGCAGAAAAATTAGTGTGTTTTCGTTTGTTAGAACATAATTATGTCATGTAATAATTTTGTAATCTTTTTTTATAGGTAGTAAGTTTTCCTTCTAAATATATAGGTCTAAAGGGCCATGAAAACAAAAGTCCCTTTAGTATTGTATTTTAATTTTCTGCAACTGTTCCTCACTGTAATTCTGAAGAATCACTTCCCATATATTGACACCAATAAGTTTTTAAAAATAGCCAAAGATTTCTATATTTTATCCCAATTACTCTTTTATAGTACACATATTATCATTTTTAAAATCAGGAGTGATGTGTAAAAAGGAGATGGAGAGAAAATTGAGACCTGTATAGCAGCAAATCTCTTGCTGCTTTAAGATATCCATTTGGGGCCAGGTGTGGTGGCTCACGCCTGTAATCCCAGCACTTTGGGAGGCCGAGGCAGGCAGATCACTTGAGGTCAGGAGTTTGTGACTAGCCTGGCCAACATGGTGAAACCACATCTCTACTAAAAATACAAAAAAATTAGCTGGGCATGGTGGCGGGCGCCTGTAGTCCCAGCTACTCGGGAGGCTGAGGCGGGAGAATGGCGTGAACCCAGGAGGTGGAGCTTGCAGTGAGCGGAGATCTTGCCACTGCACTCCAGCCTGGGCAACAGAGCGAGACTCTGTCTCAAAAAAAAGAAAAAGAAAAAACAGTTGATAAAAGAAAGCTGACAGAAGATCTACAAAATTCTACTCCTGGTCTATGTATTCAATCAATCTATATGGATTTAAGTGACATTTTCTTCAGTGTAAGGGTACTGAAGGATTCAATGATTAAATAACCTTTAAGAAAATAATGAACTAATGAGGGATGCAGGTAGGTACCTCTACCTCAATAATAGGTACTGACAAAGAGAAGGTAGTACCTTTTAGAGTTGAGTCTAATGTAAATGTCTAATTTTATCATCTGTAAATGAGGATAATATTAGTAGCACTCATAGATATTATTACCAATAAGTTAACGTATGTTCAGCAATTAAAACAATGGCTGGCAAACAGTAGATGCCCTACAAGTGATATCTAATTAAGTCGCCTAAAGATAATATTTGTAATATTGTGTTCAAACATAATGGTTTCCTACTCTAGGCTGATTCTAGAATAAAAAGCAATAATCATTTAATTATTAGAATTTTTTGCTGGACATATGAATTTAGTCTATGTAGTAAAATCAACAGCAAGAAAAACAAAGATGAGAAAATTCTCTGGAGTGTTTCCAGTGTTTGTGTAAGTAGAAGTTATATTTCATATAATCCATTAAGAATGACAAAGGAAAATTTTTTTTTTTTTTTTCGGTAGAGACAGGGTCTCACTATGTTGCAGAGGTTGGTCTCAAACTCCTGGGCTCAAACAGTCCTCCTGCCTTGGCTCCCAAAGTGCTAGGATTACAGGTGTGAACCACCATGTCTGGCCAGAAAAGTGATTCTTTATGAAGGGTTTTTACACTTAAAATGTGTACATTCTAGGACTACAGAGGTAAATTACTTGAGTTCACTTCTTTGAAAAAGAATATATTTGGCCGGATGTAGTGGCTCATGCCTGTAATCCCAGCATTTTGGGAGGCCGAGGCGGGCAGATCACTTGAGGTCAGGAATTTGAGACCAGTCTGGCCAACATGGTGAAACCCCATCTTTACTAAATATACAAAAATTAGCCTGGTGTCGTGACGCATGCCAGTAGTCCCACCTACTAGGAAGTCTGAGACAGCAGGATCACTTGGATCCGGGAGGTGGAGGTTGCAGTGAGCTGAGATTGAGCCACCGCACTCCAGCCTCGGCAACAGATTGAGACCCTGCCTCAAAAAAAAAAAATAAAAAAAAATTGGTATTAGGAAAAAAAGGACATTAATTTTAAACCCAAGTAATTGTGAAGCTTGTCTTACTCAAACATATTTATCCCCTTATTTCTAAATCCTTAGATCTTGGGTGTGGGGACTTACCTTAGGCATGGGTTGCAGGGGAGCTGGAATGACATGATTGCATTGCCAAAAATACATTAAACAGATACATATATGAATATAAAATCAGAGAAATTTAGTTTTCTGCTGTACATATTCTATTCCTGGAGACTAAGAAAGTATAAAAATGAAGGTAGAATTTAACTTAAACTTGTGTATTGTAAGACAATATAGAAGCTCTATCTTTCTCTAATAGTAAAATTCTTGTATAAATAATTTGTAACTCACCCGTTTGGATCTCAATTCACTGGTCAATAAACTAGATTCTTCAGAGGTATTTTTATTCCCTGCTTTAAGAACATCAGGAGAAGGAACTATGAGTTTCATGTAAGTTTCCTTTTTGGCTTGATTTACCAAAGATAAAGGTTTCACATTGGACACCAATCCCGTAGACTGTATTACACTGGTGTGTTTGTTCACAGATTCCTCCTTTGCCTGAGAGCTTTGGAAAATAAATGGAAGCTGCTGTGACAAAACCTGAGGCTGCTTCTGCTGGGATTGGAATGAGTGAGTCTGGGATTCAGACGCAAGAGGTAATGGCTGGTGTATTCTTTTTTCCTGGGCTTTTTCAGTTGCTTTCTGTCCATCTGCTTTTGGGTCTGAAATACCATGTAATAGCACCTAGATATAAAAATGAAAAGGTAAGTTCCTAACATCTATTAAGACAAAGACTATCAAGCAGTAAAACCTGGAGATAAAAACGGGTACTTTCAAAGTGTTCTTAATGCCTTATGATAATATCTAAAAATCTAAAAATTCGTAAAAGAAATACCGTATGTCCCTTTAAAAACATTTCTTCATCTTCTTTCTTGGGCAAAAGTATGAACTCAAAGTAATGATTAACTTTAAAACTACAGACTTTGAGAGTCAAGATAAACCAGTTAATTCCTAAATATGAATAATGTTTGGATACTGTCCATGAAAAAAATTATACCTGGTTGTTACTTTTATGTTGTGCTTCACTCTCTGAATCAGAATCATCATCTTCACTTTCTTCAATACTTTGATCTTCTTCTTCTTCATCTTCTTCTAGATCATCTGAATCACTGCTACTAATGCCTTCACTTGAGGTGTCTGATGATGTGCCTGAATCACTATCACTGTTGCTAGAACTTTCCATTGCTTTCTTCCTTGGTTTCTGGATAACGACAAGGTAGTTGGCAAGACTTTATTTTTGGAAAACATTCAAGTTTCAATAAAAGGTGTACTCTTTTTAATTTTCAAATGATATTTTCAATCTCAAAATGTCATTGTAGGAAAAAGTCACATATCGTAAGGATAATTATTTAACAAACTGATCAACTTAACTTACATGACAGAACTCCTCAATGAAAAGTGCAAGCTCTGTCATGTAGAATATTGAAAATATCAATATAGCATATGTGTAGATGTACTCATATGACTGTTATTCTTCAAAATGTATGACAGATTAAAAAGATCAGTTCACAAAATAATTCCAACTATGATACATACATCAAAAGTTACACATTTAGCTTTAGTCTTCTTTCTTTTTGCAGACAGTGAGTCAGTAGCCAAACATTTACCTATAACATGCCACACACACCTTTCTGGGTATGTCCAAGACTGAGTCCTTGCCTTCAAGAAACTTACTAGTGCTGGTGATAGGGGAGGGTACACAAATGCTTAATATAAAAGCAAATTATTCCATATAATAATAAGTGCTGTAGAGAAGATAAAGTAGGGTAGCAAAAGACCTATGGGGCTGCTTTAGTTAGGGTCAAGGAATTTAACTGTTTATGTTTCATTTCAGAAAATATTAAAAAAAAGGTAGAAGATGAGGTAGATAAATATGACGAGAGAGATTTATTTTTGGAACATTTAAGACTCTGCAAGAAAAATAAAATCCAAAGCTGGTAGAAAGTGGTTATTAGGTCACATAAAAGTGAAGTTTTGTGTTCAAGAAAACATAATAGTAGTGGACAAAAAGAGGAAAAATCATGAGATGTATTATAACAAATTAACAAACCAATCAATTAACTTATAAAAGAACTCCTCAATAAAAAGTACAAGCTCTGTCATGTAGATTATTGAAAATATTCATAATTATTTAACAATGGGAAAGTTAAAATTTCACCAATAGAAAGACTGAAAAGGAGAAACATTGAAATGATGGAGCCACAAGATTAAGTACAATCTAGGAACATTTTAATGGCATTTGCTGATAAAGAACAAAATATAGAAAAAATAACAATAAATTACAAAAGTTATGATCTTAACAGAAATACATCCTTTTATGACTACTCGGGATTGGGGAATGAAATACAGTAATATATCTCCACAACAGAGAGCCAAATTGAAGCCACGGTTACAGATTGCAAATCTGTAGTCTTTTTATTGTGTCTTCTGAACATTGATTCAGGTAACATTCATATGAGTGAGGAGAGTCACTCCCGCCATTATATTCCGTTTGCAATGACTCTTGTTTTTTTTTTTTTTTTTCGGGGACAGTCTCGCTCTGTCGCCCAGGCTGGAGTACAGTGGCACGACCTCAGCTCACTGCAACCTCTGCCTCCCAGGTTCAAGCAATTCTCTGCCTCAGTTTCCTGAGTAGCTGGGATTACAGGCGCCTGCCACCACGCTAATTTTTGTATTTTTAGTAGAGACGGGGTTTCCCCATCTTGGCCAGGCTGGTCTTGAACTCCTAACCTCATGATGCACCCGCCTCGGCCTCCCAAAGTGCCGGGATTACAGGTGTGAGCCACCACATCTGGCCTTGCAATGACTCTGCTTTAACTGCTCCAAACTAGTTACAAGAAGGCCTCTTTCAAAGATACACACTTCAATAAGCAGACTAATAGTTCCCATCATTTCTTGAGTTTTCTTCCCTCAAAGTAGGGCAGACAGGAACGAGAAACTGAATTGGAATTGTATGGGTACCCACACAATGAGAAAGATCACAAGGTAGAGAGATTAAAGGAAAATAATAATATATTAATATTAAGACTACCATTTATTTGTCAAAGAAACAGCTACTTCTTTGCAACCAAAATCTGTTGTAGTTTTCTAAGCATGTATAGCAAGACCACGAAAATCATAAGGTACCTAAACTGAAATTAACATTTTTGTTTTAGTAAGGGATAACAAAGAAAAGAAATAAGAGAGCTACAGTGATTTAGCAGAGAAAAATTAACTCCTATTTAAATGCCCAAGGAATAAGTGTGTAGCTTTTTATTTAAAGATGGCATGAGAAATGGGGACTATACTCCCCAGGAACAGTCATCCAGAGGTACTGGTTCTGAAGCTTTAGGGTGCATAACATTCCTGAGTCCCACTTCTAGACAGGGCACTTAATGTGATTCTGATGCAGGGAGTCTCTGCCGAGCATACTTTGGCCATGTGTAAATAGTTCTATTTTTATAAGGTAACACATTTAGTACTCATTAAAACAAACAGAAATGAGAAGACAAGTGTGAGTATTAGAGAAATAGGGAAAAAAGATGGGTTTGTATCACCAGTTTCATTAGAGTATATATGTGTCATTTCCACAAATAATTAGCTAGTAAGTCTCTTTTCTCTTATTTAAAATGTTTTATTACTTACAAATTTTTTAAATTTAAAACATTTTTTTAAATGAGTCAGGGTCTCACTTTGTCACCTACGCTGGAGTGCAATGGTGCTTTCATAGCTCACTGCAGCCTTGAACTCCTGGGCTCAAGCGATTCTCCTGCCTCAGCCTTCAACTAGTTGGGACTATAAGCTAAAACATTTTAAAAGTTAGTCTTCTTAGGTTTATCAAAAAGTGATCAAAGAACAGCTTATTAATTTTCCCCCATCCAATCTGGGAAAACTTTTCAGAACCTTATCCTTGAACCTTCATTTCACTGTATATTTATTTCTTTTAGTAACAAAACAAATACATATTCAAGGCTATGATGTACCAGGCATAGTTGCTCAAGTCTCTGGGGATACAAGGGTGTGAGAAACAGACACCAGCTCTGCCTAGTGAGAACTAGAAGAAGAGAATCAACAAACAATTTAAATAAATATTTTGAGTGATAAATACCATAAGTAAAACAGAATAACTGGATAGACAATGTGTGGTGGGGAGTGGGGTGGGGTTTTGCTTTACATGTAGTCAGCAGGTAAGACATTTCTGAGCTGAGACCTAAGGGAGAGCAAGAGCCAATCACCCAAGGACATAAGAGAAGAGCCTTTCAAGACGGGAAACAGCAAAGGAAAAAGCCACCAGCTAGAAGTGGGTTGAGTGTGTTCCAAAATGAAAAGGTCAGCAGACCAGTTAGAGCATAGTGAACCAGGGAGACAGTGATAGGAAATAAGCATGGATGAACTGGTGGAGGTCAGATCACACAGCTCTTATAAGTCATGGCAAGGACTTTATTCCCACTGGGATAGAACACTAGTGGAGGGAGTGATGACATTTGATGTATACTTCCCCCTCATTTTTTTATTGTGGTAAAATACACATAACATAAAATTTACTATCTTAACCATTTTAAAGTGTATGGTTCAGTGATATTAAATACATTCATAATGTTGTGCAAACATCAGTGCTATCCATCCTATAAAACTGAAATTCTATACCTATTAAACACTAACTTCCCATCCCTCCTTCCATGCTAGCCACTGGCAACAATCATTCTACTTCGGTCTATAATTCTGATGAGTCTAAGTACCTCAAATAAGTGGAATCATACAGTACAGTATTTGTCCTTTTGCATCTGGTTTACTTCACTTTGTATAATAATGTCCTCAAGGTTCATCCATGCTGTAGCAAATATCAGAATTTCCTTCCTTTTTAAAGCTGGATAATACTAACATGTATTTATGTATGTGTACACATGTGCCTCCCCATGTATTTTGCTTATCCAGTTATCTGTTGATAGACACTTTGGTTGTGTCTACATTTCAGCCATTGTGAACAATGCTGCTATGAGTATGGGTATACAGATACCTCTTTGAGACACTGCTTTCAATTTTGGGTGGTATATACCCAGAAGTAGAATTGCAGAATCAAATGGTAATTCAATTTTTAATTTTTTGAGGAACTGCCATACTGTTTTCCACAGTGGCAGTATCATTTACTATTCCCTAACATGTGATACTTTCAAACCATAAAAAATCAGATATGTTTTTAAAGGCTATTTTGGTTGTTGTGGTAAGAATAACTTGTACGACAGTTGGGATAAAACTCATTCAACCTTGAATTGTTTTATTCTTTTCTTAACAGGCTGTATATTTTAGTCTTAGTTTAATTATTTAATTAAAATATCAATATTTATTCTAAATGTATATGCAGACTATATGAGGGGACTGGACTTAATCAATGACTTTCAATGAGAATGGCTGAGATAAGTACCCCACCTCCCATGGGAGGTATCAAAATTAGCTGAACTTTTTTTTCAAACTACATGTGAAAAGAATGAATGAAGCAACTTTTTAAAAAAGTTTTGAAAACTGAAGAAATACTGGGTGAAAAAGTATAGGATTTTCTTCTTTAGTTCCAATGCCCTTTATCTCCATTTTACTTGAGCAACCCACTCCCACAAACCCATGCTGAACCACATATCATCTGAAAGTGCTGTTCTTTTGAAATCATAAGTTCTAGTATGCCTCACTTGAATAGACAATCTCTCTATAATGTTATTTCTGCTTAGTTGCCTTAGACACTACTATGGTACCTCAGAATCTATCTCTAAAACTGGGTAGAAAGAGGTGCCTCTTTGAGTTTTCAGTATGTTCTCCTAGTAACAGTTTTTAGTATGACAGCACTGATTCTGTTTAGGAATGTCAATGTAGATTCCTCATTAGAACTAAGTACAGGAACTGTGTCATATTCATGCCTCCAAGATCTTGTACAATGCCTTACACATTGTAGAGGCAACAAAGATTTTACTTGATTTTAGCACTACTTCTTAAGAGGTAGGATAGCATAAGGGTTAAAAGCATGGGCATTTAACTTTTGGAAGCACATATAAAAATGCATCCAATGATATGATGTCTGGGATTTGGTTCAAAATAATATGGGAATCAGAAATGGATGGTTTCAGTCAGTGTCTGGCATCAGAGAAACTGGCAGTAGCTCAGAGATAGGACCTTAGCGCTTACACCGAGACTGCCATTGAAACAAATCCTATGGGAGAAGAGCCAAGAGCAGGTACAGAACAACAGGTGGAGAGTATGACACTGATACCTGTGTCCCTGGGAGGAAACAATTAAGAATCTTTTATCATGTTTGCTTCAGTGCTCAGTGGTGTAGGTTGAAAGGGAAAGAAAATGGTTGTCTTGGGGCCTATGTACAGTACTTTTGCATTTTTGTGATGGGTACCGTCAAGCTTCTTAGCATTACCAGATGGCCTTCCCCCAAGTCTTCATATAAGCATGTTATACTCTGGAAAATGTTTTCTATTGAGAAGGAAATTTAAAGATTTAGAGGAAATATATCTATGAAATATGCTCAGCAAAAGAAAATAAATGTATTTGTTCAGTTCTGTTTCATTTGTTCCAGAAAATATATGGAGCTTGATGCTGTCTTGAAAAAGGATAAAGAAAGTTTGACAAAGTAGTTCTTAGGATTAAAAATTGGTGTATAAGAGGCAGTAGTTCAGATTTAAAGTTTGGATCAATGTCATGTGCAGTCAGTGACTACCCATATCTTGCTATTCTTGTTGTGATGTATCAGAAGCTTCCTGTCACAATATTACAGCTGAGATGGTGAAGAACATCATGTGTGTAGGATCACAAACTTTTGACTCTCTTCCACTGGAAAACCAGGCCCTGAAAGCAGTTTTTATAAAACACAGAAGAGAAGACACAACTCTTATCTTTGTTTCCCAAATGTTTGCAGTTGATGACAAGGCTTTAACTGGGACCTCTCACTCAAGAAGAAATTAAAAATTGGAGCAGACTAAATCCACTGATAAGAGTGTTCTAATACATAATATGCTAGATCATATAGTTAGAGGCTTCTCAGCTTACTTAGTTAGATAAATGAAACCTGGACTCAATGATGACCTACATTTTATAAAATTGAGATGTCACAGCTTCTGACATAATGTGGAAGAGGGAATCCAAAAGTGCAGAGTGATCAGAATGTAGAAGTGAATTTACCACCTGCAAGCTGCATACCCACCCTACTCCTGGAACCAATGATAAGAGCCAACAAGATCTACTCAGGAGGAAGAAATCGCATTAACAATCTGAACAGGAAAAATTTAACATAAAGAATTATTGATTAATAACAGAAGATTAACTACTAAGAGGAATAAAGTGACCTCTAAATAATACAGGAAAAGGAGATGTAGGGAATATGTACTTTTTGTAGGGCTAAGGTAGAGTAATGAAATAAAGATAACCTTTGAAAAGGGACTTTTTCCCCCAACCCCTTCATTCACCCAAGGCTAAGTTTCAGACTTTGTGGGAGAGGATGTGGCTATTGCCCACTGGATGGCAGAGAAACTCAATGAGGTATCACAGTCAAGGCTGACACACACAAAACACTGCTTGCTAAGATACCAGAAAAACATGGCTGGGAACCTGTCAGCTACAGTGGCAGTAAAATTAGTTTGAAAGCCACCTACTTTTCAAAACTTGCTAGTAAACTGCCTGCTGAGATGCCAATGAAACTCACTAGACAGTGTATACTACTGGGTCTCCTGACCACCACTGGATCTCCTGGATACCACCAGTAGAGAAGCTGTCAGCCAGCAAGCAAGCCACCCATTGGCAGCCACAGCGTAAGAAAAAGAAGAAAACACTAGAACCAGAAAAAGAAGTCCCAGCCACATGTGGTGGTTCATGCCTGCAATCCCAGCACTTTGGGAGGCTGAGGCGGTGGATCCCTTGAGCTCAGGTGTTCAAGACCAGCCTTGGCAACATAGTGAGATCCCATCTCTGCAAAAAATGTAAAAATTACCTCGGTGTGGTAGCATGCACCTGTAGTCCCAGCTTCTAGGGAAGCTAAGGTGGGAGGATAACTTAAGCCCGGGAGGTGGAAGTTGCAGTGAGCTGAGATTCTGCCACTACACTCCAGCCAGTGCAACAGAGCCAGACTCTGTCAAAGGAGAAGAAGAAAGAAAAAAGAAGAAAGAAGAAGAAAAAGAAGTAACATCTTCTTCCAGTGTTCTTCCAGGACCTTCTACTAACAAGGACTAACACTGCAAGAAGTGGCAAAGAAGAAAAGAGTGATTGAGAGCTGAGAGGCAATAAATTGATAACTTGCAAAGTTGGGGATATACATGAAATAAAACTGGCCATGATGCGACAACTGTTGAAGCTGAATAATAGGTACAAATGGTCATTCTGTCTACTTTGTATATTTGAAAGTTTCCATAATAAAAGGTTTTCTTATTCACTCTTTTCTAATGCACAGGAGTTAACCCACTTGCTTTCAAATCCTGGCTCAGTCACTTAGTGGCTAATTATTTTGGTGCTTTGCTTCTCCATTTGTAATAACAGTAGCTACTTCATTTCGGATACAGGGAAGAGTTAAAAGTTATATGAAAAGCAATTAGAGCAGAGCTGATATGCAGTGAATTCTCAATACATTTTATCTATTATTACTATTTGTATTATTTATACTGGTACTGACACCATAAATCACGTATCTATAAAAATAAAAGTTGGTAATTCATAAGAAATTAAACCATAGATTCTGTTGATTTGACCTTCAGAATGCTCATCTTATATATAGATCTGTTATATATTAGTCCTTCCAAGTACAACTTACCTTATCTTTGATTTTGTCAACTCTAGCATCCAAAGGCTGGTTTTTGCTTTGTTCCTGATTACATTTTCGATTTCCTCCACCTGAGCTTGTACTTTTAGTTTGTCCCATGGAACTTGAAGCAGTAGTGGATAGTACAGATGTGTTGATACCAATTACAGATGATGTATTACTTCCATTTATTGACCCATTTACACCTTGAAAATAAAAATAAACATGTTTATACAATGGAATATTATTGCATCATTTAAAAATGAAGTACAGATATATGTACAGTTGGATGAACTTGAAAATATGATAAGTGAAAGAAGACAGAAAAGGTCATGTTGTATGATTCCATCTACATGAAATATTCAGAGCAGGTAAACCTACAGGGACAAAGTGAAAACTGATCGCTTCCAGGGCTGAGAGAGAGGGGAATGGGAGGCAACTGCTTAATGGGTACAAAGTTTCCTTTTGCAGTGATAAAAATGTTTCAGAACAAGATAGAGGTGGTGGTTGTACAACACTGCAAATGCATTAAATACCAGTAAATTATTCACTTTAAGATGGTTAATATTATGTTAAGTGAATTTCACCTCAATTAAACAAAATGTTTAGAAAGATAATGAAATGCAAAACTTTGTGTTTTAATTGTAAAACACATTAGAGAACTTTGTAAAACACTTCAGTGAAAAGAAAGATAGTAAATCATCTAAAATGTTGTTATAATTTTCAAATTATATTCTAACAAGTTATTAATTGCAGAAATATTAGTGATCATTTAAAAAAGTACTAGGTTATTAATTTTAATGAAGTTAATACTTAATTACAAAAGAAGTAACACACTATATTGGGTTACATATAGGGAGGTAATGAAATACAGAGGAAAAAACAGTAGAATTGGGCTAAAATCCTGACTAGGCCACATCCATATGTAAGTAGTATTTTCTTGAACAACTTATTTGACCTTGGCTGTAAAATTAAAATACTTCTAATCTCAAAGAATTATTTTAAGAATTAAGCAAGAAAATGTGAAAAGGTCTAGCATAACACTATAAAACTGTTATTAAGGCCGGGTGTGGTGGCCTACGCTTGTGATCCCAGCGCTTTTGGAGGCTGAGGTGTGAGTATTGCTTGAGGCCAGAAGGTGGCCAGAAGTTTGAGACTGCTGGAAACACAGAGACCCTGTTGCTACAAAAAATAAAAATAAAATTTAAACACGTAGCTGGGCATAGTGGTACATGACTGTAGTCCTTGGGAGGCTGAGGCAGGAGGATTGCTTGAGCCCAGGAGGACGAGGCTACAGTAAGCTATGATCATACAACTGTACTCCAGCCTGGGCAAAAGAGTGAGACCTTGTCTCTATTAAAACAAACAAACAAACAAAAACAAAAAACAAAAAAAGGTATTAAACCTGAACATTATGAAAATAATATTAGAATGGAAGATTTATAGTACTTCACTTATGTAAATGTGGATACCTTTTTCGGGACCATTTCGATTACTTTTTCCCGAAGTCCTTGAATGGAATGAAGAAGAATCATGATTCTGGGCTGGGGGAGCAAATAGTGGTGGAATTCCCAGTAATGGTGGAAAGAAGGTTGCTCCTGTACGAGTATGAGCATCAGTTGTTCGCCACCATTCTGCACCTCAAAACCAAACAAACCAACCAAACAAAAATATATAAATTAACTTTCCAGTTAACGTCACAATGGCTTTCTATGTTTTATTTAAAAAAATTTCAAGTTTCATCTTGGAACAAAACTGAATTACTCATACTTCTGATCATTTTCCTAATTCTAAACAGTAGAACTTGTACACTTATCACTCTTCTCATTAGGTCAGTATCTAAGGATCTTCACTTGGCAGCTTTGTAGAGTTCAAACTTGTAAAGGACAAAGGTAGTCCATAGTTTAAAAAATGAAAGTGAAAACTTGGAATATAAAAGAAGTATTTCACTCTTTGATGACTTATCCCATAACTTTTCTCATCTGTTTCAAACCCTTAGAATTTAAGTTTACATCTACAACCTATGTTAAGACTTTCCTCAAATTACATACAATATAAATCTGGCTCTGATAAATCAGTTAGTCTAAATAATAATATAAGACTATTGTAATCCACTATATCTCAAGTACATTTATGGAAGAAAACTTCTATACTTAAAGATAACCATAAATATAGCAAAATCAGTAGGCCTTTTTATGTTCTAAAAAATAAGTTCTCAAAGGAGATTTCAAAAACAAGTAATTTCACATTAAAATATTAAAGATTTATAAAGCCTCTCCCCTTAAAGTTAATGATGAAAGCCTGAATTTTGTTTTTACTTCCACTCATTAATTACAGATAACAATGATTGTTTTATTGATATAAAATGACCAGTGGTAGAAAATCATTCAATAAAAGGTAAATACTTAAATAGTGTCTCTTAAAGTTTTAGAAAAGGAAATAAGCCAAATTTTATACATTTTTCAAGGAAGGATGAAGTAATCTTATATTGACCCATCTAAAATCTCAAAAACAATCTTCTCCAACTGGCTAGTCTGCTAGATTACCAAATCAGTTATTATCTTTCAGACCAATCTCCCAAAAGATATGGGGTATTTTTCATTGACTGTGACAACCATAAGAACATTAGAGGAAAAAAACCCACAACAATACAGTATGGGAGAAACTCAAAATTGTCAGTCTTTATATTATATAATATTAAAAACTTTTCTAGGAATATCCTTCATTAAAAATAGAATGTAAAATGGTATGCACCTTCATTATCTAATGGCAAAATCTGGTTTAAAAGAAAAGTGAAATTTTCATGGTAGCTGCCAGTCTCAAAGGTCTAAAAAACAGTATAAGTAGAAAACTGCAAAAGCTATTCTTCTGCACTGCAGGAAGGCATTACTAGTAAAATGACACCAATGTATATTCAGCCATGCCTGAACAATGGGAACTGAACCAAGAATAACTATACAAAAGCATTGATCATTTATCCACCGTTTAGATGAAAGATGTACATTTAGATAGGAAGAAAAAGTATGTGTTTTGGGCTTGTATCAGCACAGTCACAATCTTGTTATTTATAAGTTTGAAAGCTAAGTTCTACCTAGCTGATAAAAAGTTACTGTACTGAGGACCAGGCACAGTGGTTCACACTTGTAATCCCAGAGCTTTGGGAGGCTGAGGTGAAAGGTTCATTTGAGGCCAGGAATTTGAGATCAGCCTTGGGCAACAGAGAGAGACCCTGTTGCTATAAAAAATTTTAAAAAGCAGGGAGGGACTGAGGTTTCCCAAAGATATTTATATAATTTAACACAGAGTCTGTAATTAAAGTGGAATTCATAGACTTTGTAAACAACCAAAAAATTGCTAAGGTAATCAAAGTGTAATAAGACTCAAATATTTTAGACATAATCAAACTCAGAAAAAAAATTTTAAAAAGTATTGGAGAATGTCAATGGTAAATAAGCACATAGCTGGTGTGGTGGTATAGTTCTGTAATCCTCACTACTCGGGAGGCTGAGGCACAAGAATCACTTGAGCCTGGGAAATGGAGGTTGCAGTGAGCTGAGATCGCACCACTGCATTCCACAGCCTGGGTGACGGAGTGAAACTCTCTCAAAGAAAAAAAAAAAAAAAGTAAAGAAGCACACAGTAGAGATTAGAGAAAACAATGGGAAAATGTGTGTTATAAATAACCTGACACCACAGAAGAAAATACAAAACAATAAGATCAGTTAAATAAAAAGATGTGAATGGTAGAGCTTCTGACTATAAACTTTACAAATGTCTGATACTATTTCATAGGAAATAATTTTTGTTAAGTGACAAGCTTGTCTTCTAAATTTAGGAAAATAAACAAAATTTAGTCACAAACCAGCTTGTTGACAAAATGAAAAATACAAAATAAGGATTATATAAATCAGCATATGGTAAATTTCTAAGTATATTCAAAAGAAAGAACAGCATAGTAGCAACATTTAACTCTTTTTTTTTTTTTTTTGAGACAGAATTGTGCTCTGTCGCCCAGGCTGGAGTGCAGTGGCCTGCTAGGGGCTCACTGCAACCTCCATCTCCCGGATTCAAGTGATTCTCTTGCCTCAGCCTCCAGGGTAGCTGGGATTACAGGCATGCACAACCATGCCTGGCTAATTTTTGTAGTTTTGGTAGAGATGAGGTTTGGCTATGTTGGTGAGGCCTCAAGTGATCTGCCTGCCTCGGCCTCCCAAAATGCTAGGATTATAGGCACGAGGCACCATGGCCAGCCAATATTTGACATATTTAACTCAAAGATTCTATTAATAATATTTCAGAGGACATAACAGATCTCAATTTGAACCTAGAAGATTTAGCAGAATTTAAAAATCGTTCATACTTGATAGAGCCAAAAATACTTCGCAAAAATTCATGGTAATTTAATATGAAAATTAACTACAAAAAAGTACAAATATTTTTTAAATTATCATGAAATACTATTTCAATATAAAATGGAAATAATTTTATTATGCTAATACCCATTAAATAAATTTACATTTATTGATTTAATCTGAAATGCATAATACTTTAGAAAGTGCATAAAATATAAAAAATTATTCCTCATTAAAAACTCCTAGTAATATCTTCCTGTTGTGTCCTCATTTATTTACTGGGCAATTTAAAAGTCTGGCAATTTGGTTACCCTTCTGAATAAAGCCAATTATAGAAAATTTATATTTAAGTTACTGTAGGAAATCTGCAAATTAAACAAAATGAATCTTTGAAAACTAGGCATAGTCTCTGCCCATTTGGCAAAAAGTATGCTCATCTAGGCATACTTTTATCACTAAAGACTCTGTCTTGTAATTGTCTGTTCATCTATCTCCTAAAAACTGTAAGCAACATATAATATACTATGTTTATTCTTCTGTTTCTGGCCTTGTGTGCAGAGCATAGTAGATGTCCAAAGAATTTTGTACCTTAAATGAATAAGTGAATACTTTATTTTGGCTGGGGGAGCTATCAAATTTTTTTCTATATAGTAGAAGTATCAACATTATTGAACTCCAGATGAGTAATTTTTTAAATGTGTTAACCATCATTCTAGTACAAAAGACATTTGATTTTAATAATATAGTATTTACATTGTGGCTTAGAAATGTTCAAAAGCAACAGTGTAATAAAGCATGATAAAACAATAAAAATATTTAAGATATCACTATCTATATTGTTTTTATCTATTTTGATATTTATTCAGCAATCTTGTATTTCAGTAAATATCTGTGGAATGCTCATCTTGCTAAACAACCATGCTAGAAACTGAATAAATTCCTATTAATATTTTTGAAGGAAATGTTAAAACTTGGTTTAAGACTTCTTTAACTGTCCACTCACATTACTCCTCCTTAGCATCCCTGCTTCCCAGACAACTGAATTAAAGAAGTAATATGACTCAAGAAACAGTACTTGAAACACACATTTAACCATCTATCCTTTCTACACGTAGTTTTAAAAACACTTCTTTCCTTTTAAGGAAGGATTTGATAAATTATTAACCATTAAAGTGGGCAAAATGAAATAATAATGATAGTTACCAATTATGGACTAATTATGTGCACCAGATACTGTACTCAGCACTACATATGACTTAACTCCTTTAATCCTCACAAGAACCCTGTAAGTCAGATACTATTATTATGATTCTCGTTTTTCAGATGAGAAAACTGAGGCTAAGAGGTCAGATAATTTGTTCAAGGTCACACAGCTATGAACTAACAAAGCCAGATTTAAATTCAGGCCTATTTGTCTCTAGAATTATGCTATAACGTTTTAAATTATCTTACATACACTAAAACATGCAGACCTCACTAAAATTTATTAAAGCCAAATTAATCTATAGAAAATACATACAAATTTAGGCTTTCAAGATAATATAACAAATTGAAGCACGTTTGTCGAAAGTTTTAATTAACTGATGTCTTACTGAACTACTAAATCCTCATTATCTATAGAATTTTGGATAATACTGGTCTTCTTCCATGTAAGTGGTACAACTCTCTAGTTGTTTTGATCAAATACAGAAAAATAGGCTGGGCACAGTGGCTCACACCTGTAATTCCAGCACTCTGTGAGGCCGAGGTGGGCGGATCACTTGAGGTCAGGAGTTCAAGACCAGCCTGGCCAACATGGCGAAACCCCGTCTCTACTAAAAATACAAAAATTAGCCAGACATGATGGTGCGTGGCTGTAATCCCAGCTACTCGGGAGGCTGAGACAGGAGAACTGCTTGAACCTAGAAGGCGGAGGTTGCAGTGAGCTGAGACTGCACCACTGCGCTCTAGCCTGGGCAACAGAGCAAGATTTCGTTTCAGAAAACAAAACAAAACAAACAAAAAACAGAAAAATAAAGAAATTTAAGAGTCTAGCTCATTTTCCTTACAGTGAAGAAAAGTAAGACCTTGAAATAGGAGTGTAAAAATACTCATAAAACCTGAACTTTAGTTTCACACTAAATAATTTTTTAAAAAATCAAATAAGGCTGAGAAAAATTAATTCAACTCTACATTTACACTATGTATACTTTTCTGTATATTATACTTCAACAAAAAAACATGAGAAAAACTTGCCTGAATTACTCTCTCCTGTGACAGACACCTATTTCTCTAGTTAAATACCTGGATATCTAATTAACTGCTCTGCCACCTAACACACTTAGGGTGTTTAATTTTTTGCACATGATAAATAGGATTAAGCCAATTCTTGCACCAAAGTTTTAAATATACCAGGCATTAGACTATTCCTTTTGTTCAATAGACAAATTATTGCTTGAACATTCTCAAGCTTTCCTCCTTCCCTTGAACACTGTTTGTAACAGATGTTTACCTGGAAAAGATGCTAGTTGGGGATGTGCGGCTAAGGCTGTGGGTGTACCAAGTGTCCCCAAACCACCAAATTCTGAATGCCCTGAGCTGGCTGAATGTAGACCAAAGACTGGGTGGCTGACCATTGGGAAGGCACTCGACACTGTGGACAGGTTAAACGGTTGATCCCCAGCTGTTCTGAATAAATGTCCTGGGAGGGAAAAAAACACACTTAAAGTTGTACTATAAAAAACAGATGAGACTTATCTGATTTCAGTGTTTATAGTTAAAATTTATAATAATTTACCTATTACATTTTTATTTTACCCTTTTCCTGCTGCATTTTCTACTCTTCAAACCCTATAAAATGTTTCTAGAAACATGAAGACATGCTAAAAATCATTAAAATAAATGGCATAAATTAACTTTTGAATTTGAGATTTGAGAACCAATGTTTTAAGTAGATAATTTTCACTAATTAAAATTGTCTGACCTGAGGAAGTGAGGCCAATTTTCTGTTAATATATATACATTAATATATTTTCAATATATTTTACTCATAAGAAGGGAAATAAAAAACATCCTATTAATCTAAGGTTGAAAGCCACTGAAATAAGTCCAGGATCTGTCACCAGGTCAATACTCAAATTATTATACACTCTAAGCAAGGCCATCCCAGTTTCAACATGCCAGAGTTGAAGCTCTGTTCTCTAACACAGTCATGAGTTGTTTAATGATGGGGATGCATTCTAAGAAATGCATTGTTAGGTGATTCTGTCATCATGCAAACATTGTACAGTGTACTTACACAACCTAGGTGGTACAGTCTACCACACACCTAGGCTATAGGATACAGCCTATTGCTACTAGGCTACAAACCTGTTCAGGATGTTACTGAACTGAATACTTCAGGCAGTTGTAACACAGTGGTAAATATTTGTATATCTAGACATATCTCAACCTAAGAAAGGTACAGTAAAAATATGGCATTATAATCTTAGGGGGCTACTGTCATATATGTGGTCAGGCATTGACCAAAATGTCATTATGCAGTGTATGACTATACTTCTTAGGTGAGAAGAGTATCTTGATACCAAAAAGGGAATATATTCTAGTCTAATAAAACAATGCACAAGACAACATAAGTACTTAATAAACTTACAAAGATATTTCTAAATGTGTTCA
This sequence comes from Homo sapiens, assembly GCF_000001405.40. Classification (NCBI taxonomy): domain Eukaryota; kingdom Metazoa; phylum Chordata; class Mammalia; order Primates; family Hominidae; genus Homo; species Homo sapiens. Next base: position 159,454,776 of record NC_000002.12, read on the forward strand.
CAAGTGGTTACCAATATAAAAATCATTTTTAGCTTTCTCTGAGTAAGACAATGTTCAATTCAAATGAGTCTGACATTTTAATTCTATTTTTAAAGATAAGTGTTATAACTCCAGGTTGGAATGTTATATGATAAAAACATGACTTATTTTTCATACTTTGTAGTAATTTGGCAGAAAACTTTTCTAATACTTGGAAATCTTCCCTTTACTTCCAGGAAATAATTAAGGTACCCTGTCTTGCTACTGTGAAAAGAGAATACTCTAGGTTATCTTAAGAATTTACTGTGTGAACAGTATTGTGCTCTGTGTTAATATTAGAATAAAGCTTCCTTATTATCTCTTGTTTATATTATATCAGTCCTGACTGTGCACTGCAATTTAATTAGTTTTAACATAGTATGTTTGAAATTTACAAATGTAAGTTAAAAATAGTATACTTATTATTATTTAGTTATCAACCAAATCTCTTCTCTTTGCTTTCTTGCTCCCTGAAAACCAAGGGAAAGTCCTAAAAAACGGTCAGTGTACCCTCTAAAGTCTGATATAAAACCTATATTCTTTATTAAAATAATGCTATATTCTTTACTGAAACAAGAAGATCTGAATGACTTTTAAAAATAAGATTTAAATAAATTGCATTAAGTATGTTTTGTATCAGGCTATATAAGGAAAAAGTTCTGATTCAGGATAGTGCTCCACTACAACAAAGCAGTAACTAGATCTCACAGGGAAGATCCTCAAAGTATCTTTACAAGGAAGGCCCACAAGGATACTGTGAGGTAAGAGGACAAGGAAAGGGCATAAACTTGGGTGTCTCTTCTAAATCAGCTAATCATTGTTTTTGTTGAATTGGTTCTTCTGTTTTATCAGAGTGGACTGCATTAGCACTGAAGATGAGTCAAAATAAAACAGAGTATGCTACTGCCAAAAAAGCTACCCAAATGTCATTATCTTTAAGACCAGTGATAGGTTACCAGAAATATTGTGGTTTTTTTTTTTTTTTTTTTTTTTTTGGCAAATTCTCAGAAACCCAGCTAGTTTCTCAAAAAAATGAGCTTGTAACTATAAAAACCAGTTTTTACTTTCATTTGTTATTACATATAAAATCTCTGGTTCTCACCAGTCAATTCAACTTCCTGACTCAAATGTTGTTAAATGTTTTATTTATAAACATACTATGATCAGTTCTTTTCTTTCTCCATCAATTTGTGTGGTAAGCAAGTTGAACTGAACATTGCAGTTTTGGAGAATTTGGGGTCATCTGTAATTTATGTTTTACAAATAACAATTCCTAAATTATATCAATTACATGTATGTAGTTGTGATTTAATACAAAGAAATTTGAGGGAAGTAACCTCAAAATTACAAAAGCTATATTAAATATTACAAAAATCCAGAATAATTGAAATTATCAAGGATTAGAAACTGATAGAAACACTTCTGCAATAACTAACTGTAATTACAATTAGTTGTAATAACTAATTGGTAATAATTGGTAGTAAGTAATAAATAATTGGTAGTAATAAATAATAAGTAATACATAATTGGTAGTAAGCAGCATTCTTAGATGCATAGTTACAGCATTAATTTCATTATTGGGAAGAAGCAAACAAGCTAAACTTTGTAGTCTCACAAGCAGAAAACATAAGCAGTAAATAAATGAAGTTATCACTCTTGTGGCAACAATGAAGAACCAATGATACATACTTTGACAACAAAAAGTTCTTTTTTAACTCTAAAAGGAATGACATGTGGAAGCAACTGAGTAGAAAATTTCAGCAAAATGAGCTGTATACATCACAGATTCAAATGAAAAAAATATAGATCTGTACACAAGAATGACATCTATGCCTGGCAAGAATGCAGAGATGGGAGTTCAGATCAAGGCTACTTCAACTCTACTTCCTAATTCTTTCTTCTAAAATTCTTGGTTAAAATAGTTAAAGCATGGAAAGCATCCTTAGTGACGACTGAGTCTTACAGGTCCATTCCTTGCTGGTGAGAAAAAGATTCACGTCTATATTTAGTAAAGTATACTAAGATCACTTATCATAATTGTAGTAATACCATGCACTAAAAAAATACCCACGTGAAAGACTTCCTGTTTCATGCGGGAAAGGTTATACTAGAGAAGGGAAATAATTTAAGAATACATTTCACAATTTTACTATATTTTGCCTTTATAGCAAGAATTTAGAACTCAGTGATATTTTTAAAAAAGTAATCTTTTTCATTAAAAAGTTCTGTAATGCTATATATATAATTTTAATACTGTTTTTCTTCCATCTTTTACAAAACACAGATAGTAATTCCATGTAAAAATCTTACAGAATTATTCTGTTATTTAACAGTTTCAGTAATTCAAACATTTCATGAACATACCTATTAAACATCAGGTGCTATGCTTAAGTAACTGGCCTACAAGGATGAGTAAGACAATCTCTGACCTCAAGGAACTCATGTTTTGAGCATAATTTAAACAGTGCAAGACTATTTTTATACCATAATGTATAAAACAAGTTTGTTAATATTTCAGTATTACAAATTGGTACTGTCATATACAGGACTCAGTAATACAACCCAAACACCTAAAACAGTGTCTAGTACATAACGGACATAAAATAAATGTTTTTAATGAATTAATTCACTACTCATTTAAAGCAGAAGAGGCCTATCCATGGGACTCATTCCAAAGGCTTTCAATCAGAACAAAAAGCTGTCTTGAGTCTTTAGGCAAACTTGCAGTTATGGTTCCTAGATTCCTTTGCCTTATTTCCTCAACCCCTGGTCCTAATTTGTTAACATTAACACTGGCCCTTTATTCCTCCTTGATTCCATTTAGGTCACATGTTGGATTTGATCACACAGAATCCTACCACCTCCAGGATCTTAAACTCTTAAAGTTTCACCCTTGAACCACAATTTTCACATTTCCATTCCCTTATTTCTCAGCACCACCTCCAGCCCCTCCCAGGGCCACTCCTTTACCCTGTCTGTCTCTTTCCCTCTCAATACATCAATACCTCTCCTGTGTTAACCTTAAAGGAAACGTCCTATACCTGCTATGTCTACTTCCTCCTCACTTCTCAGAATCTTTCAACATTTGTGCCAAGCCCCAAGCCTCCCTTCCACTTGGTCTGTAAAAGGAAAGTTTTCATAATTCCTAGATCCCTCTAATCTTTATTGTTTTCATTCTCAACCTCTTATATAAGTCTGGCATTCCTGACTGCCTCTTTCATATTATTATTTTTTTGACATGGAGTCTCCAGCCACCCAGGCTGGAGTGCAGTGGCACAATCTCAGCTTACTGCAACCTCTGCCTCCCGGGTTCGAATGATTCTCCTGCCTCAGCCTCCTGAGTAGCTGGGATTTCAGCTGTGTGCCACTACGTCCAGCTAATTTTTTTGTATTTTCAGTAGAGACAGGGTTTCACCACGTTGGCCAGGCTGGTCTCAAACTACTGACCTCATGATCTGCCTGCCTCAGTCTCCCAAAGTGCTGGGATTACAGGCGTGAGCCACTGTGCCTGGTCCTTTCTTTTCTATTCTTTCTTTTTTCTTTTTTTTTTGAGACGGAGTCTCGCTCTATTGCTCAGGCTGGAGGGCAGTGGTGCGATCTCGGCTCACTGCAACCTCCGCCTCCCGGGTTCACGCCATTCTCCTGCCTCAGCCTCCCAAGTAGCTGGGACTACAGGCACCCACCACCATGCCCGGCTAATTTTTTGTATTTTTAGTAGAGACGGGGTTTCACCGTGTTAGCCAGGATGGTCTTGATCTCCTAACCTCATGATCTGCCCGCCTCAGCCTCCCAAAGTGCTGGGATTACAGGTGTGAGCCACCGCGCCTGGCCTGGTCCTTTCTTTTCAAAACCCATTATCATCCTTAAGATCTAGGTCGTGGAACCCTCTTGATCCTCTTCTTAACTATACATCTTTCAATAATACTATCTCCTTTATTGGATTTTCTTTTGCTTTTTTCCCCCTAAATGTAAAAGATTCCTAAAGATTTTGTCCAGCTATCTCTTTCCTTCTCTTATGCTTTCTCCTTCAGTATTTCACATGCTTATACTGTTTAAACTATCACCTCTATGCAAATGAATTATAAGCCAGGATTTTAGATCTTTGAGGCAAAAACTGCATCTTATTTAGCTCAGGATTTCCAATAATCTGAAACACAATAAGAATTTAATAAATTGTTTCTCACTGCTGTATTTTTGGTCACATTATTTCTTCCACTTGAGAACCTCCAAAGCCTATATAACATGCTCTTTGATTTCTGCCCTTTATAATTATATTCTTTACTAACTATTTCAAGAACCTATTGCTCAAGAAGTATTCCTGAATCTCCAGACAGTTATATTTGGGGCCTCTTTTCATTGTTCATGATAGATTATTGGCAATTTGTCCTTTATCAGACCATTACTAGGGTATAAAAGTTATGAAGGAAACAGCCATTTTTACTCTTTACAAAACATTGCACAAAGCAAACTGTTATCAGTTGGCAGAGGCAACACTTCATAATACCTGCTATAGGCATCTTCAAAACAGTACTTTTCAATTCTTTGTTTCACTCTTCTTTTAAAAGGCTAGAATAACCGGAAATTATTCTTTAAATGATTAAAATATAACATGTCACTTTGCTCCAATTGCAAAAGTCACTCACAAGGTTAGTAAAAGCTCACTAGGTATTTAGAATGATGTCACTTTGTGGCTTTAATCTTTTTATACAGCAGGGATTGCTGTTTTGTTTACACCCTTGGCTCCATTGCCAGGACAATGCCTTTAGTCTTCAACTATCTTAACATTTCAAACTACTGTTCACTAGGAAAATTTTGATCATAGACTGATGATGGCTCAGTCAATCCTATAATTACATTTAAAACAAAGCATATTCAGTATTAATAAAAAAGCAGAAAGATACTTTCACAAAATGAAATACAGCTCAAGTCAAATAGGCTCTATTAACCTTATAAGTACAAAACAAAATTACCTGGATAGTAGAATGTTTCACTTTTAGAAAAGAAAATGTTTCTTACATTAATATACTTAATATCAACAGATGTATTGCTCACAAAACCTGTCTTGATGAAAACTTTTGAGTTCTGCTCAGAGAAAACATTTGCAAGCTGATGAATTATACCATAAAATAATATTTTTAGAAGACCACAATTTTTTGCAGATATTAACATTCAAACATAGTTTCAATATTATTAATGTAAATATTATTTTAGTTTCTATTTTAAGATAGGTAACTGTATACATTTTACATAATAAAAATTAATACACATCTGCAATGCCTATGTTCTCAAATTACAATGAGCTGAATATTTTTCAGCAAAGCTTTTCAAATTCTACTAGCCAAATCAAATCACTACATATAAAAGTGATTAAAATCAGTACACAAATGCTGGTGTGTGTCAGTAACAAGGCATGGTAACTACAAATGCCTTTATTAATATTAAAGAATAATTCAACAAGGTTTTCCCCCTATCAGAATGAAATTGTACTGAACTAATGCCTTGACTCTAAACTACCAGTGAACAAAATCTCCCATCACTAAGGAAAAGTCCAGAAAGCAAATAAAACAAAATAATTGTAAGAACTAAGTATGTTAAAGCACTCAATCTTTTTAAAAGTCAAGAAAATTGCTTACCATGACATAACTTCACGTTTTTCTGTGTGCTAAAAGTGTCTTTTAATCTTTCAATGCTACACAAAATTGTTATATCATGTCTTCAAATTTTGTCTCCAGTTGTTCAAAATGGTAAGCATAAATTTGCAACATTAAAAATCAGGATCTAATGTACATCTTGCAAAGTATGGCTATTCATTAAAAATGGTGGTATATTCAAATAAAGTTGTTATGAGGACTTTAATTAATATCAGTAATAACTTAGTGTAATAGCAAAAAGAACATCATCAAAATTACTGTAAATCAAAGCAATATTCAAATTACTGGCTCACATATTAAAATTCTTAAGTATATTAATGTTTAAATATTTCTGAACTCAAAATGTCCAAATTCTGTAAACTTGAACTTTGATTAAGAACAGAAAGAAGTCTACAGTTACTGGTGACAAAACATTTCTCTCCAAGTAATTCTCATTTCACTCTTGCATTCTAAAAATGCTTTGAGCCAGTTAACCTTTATATATAATTTTAGAACAAAACAGGTATATTTCTATTAGACTATCTCATACAGAAGATAGTGTGGTATGGATGGATAGTATGGATGACAAATAATACAAATATATTTTATTTGAAATAAACAAAAATGCATACACAGCTCAATGGGTACTTGGAAACAAACTGTTCCTTGACTATATTACTGAGCAAAAACAGAACTGAAGCACAAACACGTTTTTTTTTTACATGTATGTGGAGATAGGCAGGAAGACATTACTTGTTTTTTTTTTAAACTGACCTTCCCTTAAGGCCTGGTCATAGAACTGTAAGCAATGTAAATGAATCCACCATTACCAGTTGTTATATTATATCTATGTCACCTGTGTATTCTGAGATTACACACATACCTGCCAATATACCTGGGACAGGTTATTTTATCACAGTTACACTTGAGTTCTTGGCAGGCAGGACTGAGGAAGAGTAATCTGAAATAAGTTTTACATCCTATTTAGAAGAAATCGTTAGTATTTCCTTAAATAACAGGTTACAATAGAAAGATACTGCCTGGAAGTTATCCTTTTCATTTTGGTTCATTTTCAGTTTTTGTTTATGATTTACATAGCTGTTTAATTCATTTGCTTATAGTACAATCCTGCCATAAAGTATTAAAGCACAAGATACCTGTTATTCCTTCAACATCTGCATTTTTCAAGTTTTATACTCTATATCCACAGTATGTCAGCAGTTCTTGACTGTTTAAAAAAATAAATGGCTAAAACTCTTCTAAAAATGCAGATGTCTATAACTACAATGGTACTAAGATGGGAAGGAGACAATGAGAGAAGGGATGAAAGCAAACGTGTTCAAGTGCAGGGAATGTGGTTCAAGTCTTTGGATTTAAAAACAAGTTCCCCAGAGAAGCTGACACTTCCTTTGCCCTCCAAAAAGGACCTGAAAAGTCCCAATCCAAACTTTGGAAAATTACAGTTCTGCGATGCAATAAATGATGATCAAAGCAGTCAGAGGGAGAAGGATGAATGTGCCTTCCACTTAGCTATAGACTGTAGTACAGCCTCTTTAGGTGCTGGTGGATCAGTAAAAACCACTGCAGTATCAGAAGTGCTTGGAAGGATAGGGGTAGAAAGTAATGACCATATACCTTGTCTAAATCAGTAGCAGCGCTTCATGGCTAGGAAACTTTTTTAAACAGTAAAATGTCTCTAGGATAGATCTCTCTCTCCAACATTAAATGTGGCAGAATTAAAAAAAAAAGACTTACACTTGGATATAGCAATAACAGAAAATTACAAAGCAGAGAACACAAAAGAATCAGACAATGCTATAGGTTCAACAGTATTCCATGAGGTTAGAAAACTGGTTAACTTTGAAAGCTCTAGCAAAATATCACTCTTGTTTATAAATCACTTATTTATCATATGACCACATGTTGAATCCTTGTCTTTCCACATACTGAAGAATCCTACATTCAGCCTTTAGGCATTCTGCATTTCTTTGCTAATGTTGTAGCTGAGTAATCTTGTTCCAGTCAATTTTGGTGCGGGTAACCGGAAGCTGCCGGCGCAAGACCTTGAATGTGGTATCTGACATTGTTTGACAGTTTTCACTAATTGCTGTCTGATATTCATTTTCTGCATTCTCTATGATTTTAATAAACTCCTTGGCAGTTTGTGCGTCATTCGAAACAGTTAGCGAATCCTGTACATCTTTATGACTAACCAACTGAACACTGCCATCTTCGTAATAGTGAACCTGAATCTTAAGCACTCCAACCACCTGGGCTGTAGGTGGTGTGATGGTAAACTTCCACTCTGATCTCCAACGACCATTCCAGAAGTTTTTAGGCTGACACTCATGGCTTTCAATACATGCAATAATAGTCTGTTGCCCATCGATAGTTTTTAGCATAAACAGTACAGAAGCCGTTGGAATAATGGTCTTTCACATAGGCTCTTAAAGCACTGTCACAGGATTCTCTCCAAGACTTCAGACCTCCATCTACTTGTTTTGGCTGGGGGTCACTTGCTTTTTTCTATAAGTGATCAAATGTAAAGGAAATTTTGTTTCTTGGATCTAAAACTCTGCTATTACCCAGGTCCCCCATGCTCTGTAATTATGACCTGATCTTCACATCCTTCCATCTTCACGGGTGTGAACTGATCCATGTTATAATGGGCAAATGCACGTGCTGCCCTTTCCCTGAGGAGACTGTCATTATTACATAGTAGCCGAATATCACTGAATACTTCATTAAATTCTCCTGCGGGTGCATGAGTGATGAATTTAGCAGCTATGCATACCTTCTCCTTATCCAACACACAATCATTGAAGTTGGCCATCTTGGGCTGTTCTCAACATTTATATTTTGACACTTAAAAAAGACGATTCCTTAACGTGTCTATTGTTAATCGTTCTGCAATGAACATGGGAGTGCAGACATCTCTTAGACAAACTGTTTACAAGTCCTTTGGGTAAATCCCACAAACAGGATGGCTGGATTATATGGTAATTCTATTTTTAGTTTTTTGAGGAACCTCCATACTATTTTCTATAAAGGCTGTACTAATTTACATCCCCATTAACAGTGTACAAGCGTTCCCTTTTCTCCACATCCTTGCCAATACTTGTCTTTTGTCTAGTTGAGAAAAGCCAATCTGACAGGTGTGAGATGATAGCTCATTGTGATTTTAATTTGCATCTCCCTAATGATTAGTGATGTTGAGCATTTTTTCATATATCTGCTGGCCACTTATATGTTTCTTGAGAAAAGTCTATTCAGATTGGGTTTTATTATTATTATTTTTTGAGACAGAGTCTTGCCCTGTTGCCCAGGCTGGAGTGTAATGGTGCGATCTCCGCTCACTGCAACCTCCACCTCCCAGTTTCAAACAATTCTCCTGCCTCAGCCTCCTGAGTAGTTGGGATTACAGGCGCCCATCACCACACCCAGCTAATTTTTGTATTTTTTAGTAGAGATGGGGTTTCACCATGTTGGCCAGTTCGGTCTCAAACTCCTGACTTTGTGATCTGCCCACCTCAGCCTCCCAAAGTGCTGGGATTACAAGTGTGAGCCACTGCGCCCAGCCTATTTTTATTTTTAAGTAGTTATTTTGAGATTATTTTGACTCACAAGAGTTGCAAAAATAGTACACAGAGTTCCTATATACTGTCTACCCAACCTTACTTCTCCTTATGTTATCATCTTACATGACTAAAGAACAACTTTCCAAACTAAGAAATTAACCTTGATTAACTAATTAAAATAAAGAATTTATTCAGATTTAATTAGTTTTCCCACCAATGTCACTTCTCTGTCCCAAGATCCAATCCAGGATCTCATATTACATTTAGGTGTTGTGTCTCCCTAGTTTTGTACAGTCGTGTTATTTCCTCAGTCTTGTTTGTTATGACTTTAATACACTGAAGTGTACTGGTCAGAGGTATTCTGTAAAATGTCCCTCTGGTTGAGTTTGTCTGATGTGTTCTCATGATTAGAAGAGGTGATGCATTATTAGAAAAGATGGTCAATGTGCCCTTCTCAGAGCAATTTATCTAGGGCCCATAATGTTGCTATGTAGTTCTGGTGACATTAACTTCGATCACTTGGTTAAGCTGGTATCTGCCAGGACTCGCCACTGTAAAACTACCATTTTCTCTTCAAAAGGCATTTTTATTAGAAAACAAGTCACTGGGAGCCGCGGTAGCTTTGGGAAGAAAAGCTGCCATTTAATAACATCAAACATGCCGAATAAGCTTTGTTCAAGAAATGATGCACCAATACTCAGGCAAATGACTATTCTTAAAAGATAAGGACAGTTCCTCTTCTGTGATAATTTTTGTTGGATCTAATGAAAATAATTAGAGTTCATAGATTAAAATGCTAAAAATACGGAATATTTTATATACATTTCTATATTCAAATATAGCTGTACTTCTAGTAAGGAAACAGAAAAAACTAAAAGTAATATAATTCTTGTTTTACTTTACTTACCTTAACCTAAATCTTGTTCTACTTATGTTTCAATACATAAGAAAGTCTTAGTTTTCCCATAATGAACATAAATTATTACAATCAGCTTTGAAAGTATAGACTGGGTGTATTAGTTTGCTAGAGCTGCCATAACAAAGTACCACAACTGTGTGACTTAGAACAACAGAAATTTATTGTCTCATAGTTCTGGAGGTTAGAAGTCTGAAATCAAGGTGTCAACAAGGCCATGTTCCTTCTGAAGGCACTAGGAAACATGAGTTCCATGCTTGTCTCCTAGTTTCTTATAACCTTGGGTATGCTTCCTGTGTCTTCACATGTGCTTCCTGCTGTGCATGTCTCTGTGTCTACATTTCTCCTTTGATAAAAATACTGGATATGTATTGGATTAAGGCCCAACCTAATGATCTCATTTTAATTTGATTAGCTCTGTAAGGTATCTATATCTAAGTAAGGTCACATTCTGAAGTATTAAGGGGTTAGGATTTTAACCTATGTCTTTTGAGGGGGAGGATACAATTTAACCTATAGTATTTGCTTTATTTTTAAGAGAACTTAATTGACTTGAACATATTAACTTTCTCAAGTAACCTACTACTAAAATCCCAAATTAAAACTACAAAGTTCTACTAAAAAGTGAAGTAAAATAATATTCTGAAAATACTTGTGATCAAACCTTTCATTAAATAAACCCCACTGCAAAAAAGGCTAGACAGTTGAAAATTCAACAGCCTGAACAGGCGCGATGGCTCATGCCTGTAATCCCAGTATTTTGGGAGGCCGAGGTGGGCAGATCACTTGAGGTCAGGAGCTTGAGACCAACCTGGCCAACATGGTGAAACCCTGTCTCTACCAAAAATACAAAAATTATTCAGGCATGGTGGCATGTACCCAACTTCTTGGGAGGCTGAGGTGTGAGAATCACTTGAACCCAGGAGGCAGAGGTTGCAGTGAGCTGAGATTGCACCACTGCACTCCAGCCTGGACAACAGAGTGAGACCCTGTCTCAAAAAAAAAAAAAATTCAAGAGACTTTATTTAGGATGTATAGATGCCTACAACATTAACACATCAACTAAAAGAGAAAATCATGCTGTAATAGTTCAGAGTATAACATAAATACTCAAAGAAACTTTGGCTTTATCCACAAACCATCAAGAGCAGGCCTATCTCATTCCCTGATGATTCTCTACTAAGTATAAACTTAAGTCTTGGCTGTCTCTTAAGTTCTAGTTAAACCATAATTTTGACTTTCAGGTTTGTTTTTCATACATTGCCTCTTCAGTAATCTCAACTGATCTTTTAAATTCCTTATCCTGTAGCTTATGATGCCCATCCCCAACTAAAATCTGCATAGTCACTTGATTATTACCAGAGCAATGCACAGCACAGCTCAGAAAACTTATTAATCAGAGTTAATTATCATTTAAGTTTTAAGTCTTAGTCCTGTAAATTCATCTCTCCTTCCCTTCCTTTCTTCAATAATTGTTTCTTATTATTATATATTTTGTGTCAGGCACTGACTGGATACATATTGGTAAAACAGATAAAGTCCTTGCCCTTTAAATGCAGAAGAATTGACAAATAAGTAAAACAACACCAAATGTCCAATTCTAAATTGTGAATAGTGCTATGGAGGAAATTATAGCTGCAGCAATTACCTAGAGACTATAATTAGAGGTCTAATTAAGGTCTGTATTAGTCAAGATTCTTCACAAAACAGAACCAACAGGATACACTAATTTATTATATATGATTTATTATAAGGAATCGAGATTATGGAGGCTGACCCAGGAAAGCTGGTGGTATAATTCTGAGAACCGAAGGGCTGATGGTGTTAAGTCCCAGCCACGGAAGAAGACTGATGTCCTAGATCAATCAGTCAGGCAAAGAGAACTACTCCCCTCTTCCTCCATTTTTTTTCTTCTCTGCAGGTCCTCAATGGATTAGATGATGCCCACCTACACTGGGGAGGACAATGTGCTCTACTCACTCCACTGATTCAATTGCTAAACACCCTTACAGACACACCCAGAAATAGTGTTTTACCTGAGTACCCACGAGCCAGTCAAGGGGACACATCAAATTAATTATTATAATATCTCAGGATATCTAACCTGAGACAAAGCATGAGGAAGAATCAGCTTTATGAAGATTTTCCAGACAGAGGGACAGCGTATTTGAAATTCTGAGTTGGGAAAGGATGTTTTGTATCTAAGAAGTAAAAGGTCAGGGAGGCTGAAAGATAAGGGGTCAGAATGAGAACAGTGCCAGACAAATTTGAGAAGGCAGGCAGGATTAGGTCATGGAGGATGTGCAGCCTTATGTAAAAATTAAGTTGAAAGTACAAAATATCCAGCTCGATATGGCTAGGTGAAAAAGTTAATCTAATGACTCACAAAACTCAAAAGCTTTTGGAAAAGGCTCATTGTAGAGATGAAGAAGCTAGACTGAAGGTTTACCAAGACCTAATTTATCTCTCCTCTTCTGGTTCTGCCTCCCTCAGACGGGCCTTTCCCCCCCAGGTTTCTGGAGCAGGAAGCTGCGGGGGCCAGTGCAAGGGGAGGTATTTTTCCTCCCCCAGCACCAATAAAAATCCCAGAATGGAATCTCTTTGCTTTGATTAATTGACTTATGTTGTGTCCATTCCTTAACCAATCATTCTTGTCTAGGAAAGATGATATTTGGATTGGCTAGGCTGGGTCACATGCCACACATCTGTAGTGTCTTAGGAAAAAATTTTTTTAAATTAAGTGATTTATTTTGGGGTCGGAGACAACTGCTGGTAATGGTGGAGTGAGGTGGTCGTATAAATCCTCCACAGAGAATAATTACTAAAATTGGGCTTTAAAAAGCCCCCTGAAATACTGGAAAGCATCCAAAAGCAGAAGAATGGCAGAGGAGAGTTTAGTCTGGACCAATGGTTAACAAGAAGTAAAAAGTATGACTTTGTAGCTTTCTGGTCTGCTGCCTAAATCACATAGTTATAACTACAGATGATGGTCAAATAAAAAACAGCAGGCTTATCAACTAAAGGTGCAAGAGGTCAGAATTCAGAGCTAAGGCAGCATCTCAAAATGTAAAGGGGAAATCTTGGTAGTGAGCAAACCACAGCAAGTATGAGACCCAAATTCAATTTAAACTATCCAAACGCCTAGCTGCAAGTATACTGTGCATGAATGAAAAAGGACTCCAGGGTCAGCACAAACTAGCTGGCAGAGAATGAAGATAAATCTACTCTTGAAAAGCAGAGCTGTATATAGCAGATCTGCTGGGTTTGATGTATTTATTTACTAAGTGCACTCCCTCATCATGATTATCTCAGGCGGCAGGAAGTACGAAGTGTCACAGCACTGAGCCCAAAGCAGGCAGAGCAACTGAAAATTAGGGGGTAATCTTAGAAGAAAAACAACAACAACAACAACAACAAAAACAAAACCCAAAAAAGAAACAGAGGAAAGGAGACCCATCTCTGCCTAAATACTTTGCCAATCAAGAATTTTCACAGGTACAGAGGAGACCCAGAGGAGTCTAGCATGAAAAAGCAGAAGTGGGAAGCCAAAAGAATCATAGCACAAATATTATCAGTACATTTTCTAACCACAGTAAAACTAAAATGGATATCGATTTTAAAAACTAAATGTTAATGACTTCCAAACTACCCATCAGCCAAAGAAGAATTAACAAAGGAAAATAGAAAATGTTTTTACTGGAATGGTAAGAAAATGACACATAAAACTTATGTGCCGCAGCTACAGCAGTAATTACAAGGGAAATTCATAGCATTAAATACATATATAAGAAAAGGACAAAGGTGCTAGATAAACGATCTAAGCTTCCCTCTAGAAAGTAGGAAAAGGCCTTGTGCGGTGGCTAACGCCTGTAATCCCAACACTTTGGGAGGCCGAGGCGGGTGGTTCACAAGTTCAGGAGTTCAAGACCAGCATGGCCAACACAGTGAAACCCCGTCTCTACTAAAAATAAAAATATAAAAAAATTAGCTAGGTGTGGTGGTGGGTGCCTGTAATCACATCTACTTGGGAGGCTGAGGCAGGAGAATTGCTTGAACACGGGAGGCAGAGGTTGCAGTGAGCTGAGATTGAGCCATTGCACTCAGCCCAGGCGTTAGTTCAAGACTCTGTCTCAAAAAAAAAAAAAAAAAAGTAGGGAAAAAGAGAAAATCATACCCATAGAAAAACAGAAGGAAATAATTAATGAGAGAAAAAAAACAGAAAATTGAGAAAACTCAATGAAACCAAAAGCTTGTTCTTAAAAAAATCTGTAAAGTTGAAAAACCTCTAGTCACTAAAAAGAAAAGACATAAGTTATGTATATCAACGATGAAAGAAAAAATCTCTCTACCAATCATACAGACATTAAAAGAATGAGGCAATATCTGGAACAACTTTGGGCCCATACATTTAATGATGTAGACGAAATGAACGAATTCCTTGAAAGACACCAACCAAAGCTCATTCAAAGAGAAAAAGATATCCTGAATTGTTCTATGCCTACATTTTTTACTTATTTTATTTATTTATTTATTTTTGAGACCGAGTCTCGCTCTGTCACCCAGGCTGGAGTGCGGTGGTACAATCTCGGCTCAATGCAACCTCTGCCTCCCAGGTTCAAGCGATTCCCCTGCCTCAGCCTCTCAGGTAGCTGGGATTACAGGTGCCCGCCACCATGCCTGGCTAATTTTTTATATATATTTTTAGTAGAGACGCGGTTTCATCATGTTGGCGAGGCAGGTCTCGAACTCCTGACCTCAAGTGACCTGCCTGCCTCGGCCTCCCAAAGTGCTGGGATTACAGGCATGAGCCACCATGCCCGGCCTATACCTACATTTTAAAAGGTGAATTCATGATTTAGTATCTTACAACAACAACAACAACTTAAACAAACAAACAACCAAAACTCTCCAGGCCCAGATGTTTCACCAGTGAATTCTACCAAACATTTAGAGAAAAAATAATATCATTATATATTCTTTGAAAAACACAAGAGAGGCAGGAATCTTACCCACTCATTTCCAACAAATCAACTGCAAGAAAACTATAGACCAATAACCCTCATGAATACAGGTGCAAAATTCCTTAAGAAAATTTTAGCAAATCAAATTCAACAGTGCTTTATTTCTATACTTGCTTTCTGCATGACCAACACTATTCTGAAAGGATAACCCATCATAACCAAGTGGGATTAATCCTTGAAATGCAAGATTGGCTTAACTATAAAAAAATTAATCAATGTAATTTGCCAAAATAGCAAGTTAAAAGGAAAAAGCCATATAATCATTTCAAAAAGTGCAGAAAATGCATGTGACAATATTTAATACCAATTCATAATAAAAGACTCTCAGCAAAGAACGAATAGAAGGGAACTGTCTCAGTAATTGCCAGGGCAGGGATGGAGGGAGGAATTTAACTTCAAAAAGATACAAGGCAACTTCCTGGAGTAATAAAATTGTCCTACAGCCTGGAGGTTACATGAATATATACATTTGTCAAAATTCATTAAAGTATACATTTAAAATGGTGAATTATATTGTACATAAATCACACCAAAATAAAGAAACTAAAAGTAGGAGGGTTTGCATGTGCAGCTTCACTCTGTTCTGAGAGGAACAGATAAAAGCAGGGCAAGCATAGAAGTGGAGAGCCAGTTAGAAAGAACTGCAATGATATAGACGAGAGATTTTAGTGCAGACTAGGGCAGTGGTAGCAGAGACAGAAAGAAGTGTACAGACTCAAGCTTTATTTTGAAGGTAGAATCAACAGACTTTAGATGTGAGGGTGAAAGAGAAATAGATAAATCCAGAGATCACTATATTTATGGCTTAAGCTACTGGATGATTGTGGTATCATTTAATGATAGAGAATGTGAAGGAAACAGGTTTTGGGAGAAAACCAAAAGTTTGTTTTTTGGATGTGTTAAATTTGTTAAGTTTGAGATGTCTATAAAACCTCTATGTAAAATGTATATGTTCAGGAGCTCAGAGAGAAAGTCTGGGCAGAGTCTTCCTATAGGTGTATTTAAACAAAAAGACAAGAAATAACAGGCCTCAGAATCAAGGCTTGGAAAATGCAAGCCTTGATTTATGAGTACAGGAATCTGGGGGAAAAAAAAAACTTAAGAAGGAGTTGTATAAAAAAATTTAGAGAAAAACTATGAGTAGTATAATGGAAGCTAAAAGGAAAGATTTTCAAGAAGAAGAGAGTGGTCAGCTATGTCAAATTCTGCTGAGGTTGAATGAGATGAGGCTAGAAAGATGACACTGCTGTGAGTTGGGATGTGTGTGAAAGACAAGAAGAAAGCATATGTAACTATCTCCTTTCAGAAGTTGGGCTGTGAGCATTCTGGCAGAAAACAGGGCAATAGCCAGAAGAGTATTGGGATATAAAAATGGTTTGGGGGCCAGGCGCAGTGGCTCACATCTGTAATCCCAACACTTCGGGAGGCTGAAGCAAGAGGATCGCTTTAGCCCAGGAGTTTGAGACCAGTCTGGACAACAGAGTGAGTCTCTACAAAAAAAAATTTTAAAAATTAGCTGTGCTTGCCTGTAGTCCCAGCTACTAAGGAGGCTGAGGTTGGGGGATTGCCTGAGCCTCAAAGGTTGAGACTGCAGTGAGCTGTGATCACACCACTGCACTCCAGCCAGACAAAGTGAGACTCTGTCTCCCCCTGGCTCCCCCTAAAAAGAAGGTGTTTTGTATATACTGCTTTTTTTAGGATGGGTGATACTAAGAGCATGCTTTTATACTGATGAACATGATCCAGTAGATAAAGAAGAACTAATGATAAAGTACAGAAGAAATGAAGTACTGAAAAAGTCCTTTATAATCTTTAATAAAAAACCAATAGATATTTGCTATTGTCTGTGAAAGTTAAGAGCCATATCACTTTGAGTTGAGCATTTATTCTATTTGGCTTAATTTATATTCTTACATAGAACAGGATTTCAAAGGAGATTTGTAATAAATATACATAAGCTACTAGATGCACTACTGAAATAGATTTTAAAGAAATGGGCTGTTGAAATGGGAATAAAGTTCATACACATGTATCAGAAAAGTTTATTACAATACAGAGCTGGGGAGATATGGCAGAGGAGCTATAATCAGATGAGTTCAAATGGGTAGATAATTGGTTCATTCAAGATTTGTTTCAACTTCTTTTTAGTGAGCATGGAATGTTTTTCCATTTGTTTGTGTCCTCTCTTATTTCCTCGAGCAGTGGTTATAGTTCTCCTTGAAGAGGTCCTTCACATCCCTTGGAAAGTTGTATTCCTAGGTATTTTATTTTCTTTGTAACAATTGTGAATGGGAATTTACTCATGATTTGGCTGTTTGTCTATTATTGCTGTATAAAAATGCTTGTGATTTTTGCACATTGATTTTGTATCCTGAGACTTTGCTGAAGATGCTTATCAGCTTAAGGAGATTTTGGGCTGAGATGATATATACAATCATGTCATCTGCAAACAGAGACAATTTGATTTCCTCTTTTCTACTGGAAATTTTCTATTGGAAATTTTCTATTCCTCTTTCCTCTATTGGAATACCCTTTCTTTCTTTCTCTTGCCTGATGGCCCTGGCCAGAACTTCCAATACTATTTTGAATAGGAGTGGTGAGAGAGGGCATCTTTGTCTTGTGCCGGTTTTCAAAGGGAATGCTTCCAGCTTTAGCCCATTCAGTATGATATTGGCTGTGGGTCTGTAATAAATAGCTCTTATTATTTGGAGATAGGTTCCATCAATACCTAGTTTATTGAGAGGTTTTAGCATGAAGGGGTGTTGAATATTATCGCAGGCCTTTTCTGCATCTATTGAAATAATCGTGTGGATTTTGTCATTGTTTCTGTTTATGTGATGGATTACGTTTATTGATTTGTGTATGTTGAACCAGCCTTGCATCCCAGGGATGAAGCTGACTTGATCGTGGTGGATAAGCTTTTTGATGTGCTGCTGGATTCGATTTGTCAGTATTTTATTGAGGATTTTTGCATCAATGTTCATTAGGGATATTGGCCTGTAATTTTCTTTTTTTGTCGTGTCTCTGCCAGGTTTTGGTATCAGGATGATGCTGGCCTCATAAAATGAGTTAGGGAGAATTCCCTCTTTTTCTATTGTTTGGAATAGTTTCAGAAGGAATGGTACCAGCTCCTCTTTGTACCTCTGGTAGAATTCGGCTGTGAATCTGTCTGGTCCTGGGCTTCGTTTGGTTGGTAGACTATTAGTTACTGGCTCCTCTTTGTACCTCTGGTAGAATTTGGCTGTGAATCCATCTGGTCCTGGGCTTCATTTGGTTGGTAGACTACTAGTTACTGCCTCAGTTTCAGAACTTGTTATTGGTCTATTCAGGGATTCGACCTCTTCCTGGTTTTGTCTTGGGAGGGTGTATGTGTCCAGGAATTTATCCATTTCTTTTAGATTTCTAGTTTATTTGCATAGAGGTGTTTATAGTACTCTCTGATGGTAGTTTGTATTTCTGTGGGATCAGTGGTGATATCCACTTTATCATTTTTATTGCATCTATTTGATTCTTCTCTCTATTTTTTATTAGTCTGGCTAGCAGTCTATTTTGTTGATCTTTTCAAAAAACCAGCTCCTGGATTCATTGATTTTTTGAGGGGTTTTTTGTTTCTCTATCTCCTTCAGTTTTATTCTGATTTTAGTTATTTCTTGTCTTCTGAGAGCTTTTGAATTTGTTTGCTCTTGCTTCTCTAGTTCTTTTAATTGCGATGTTAGGGTGTTGATTTTAGATCTTTCCCGCTTTCTTTTGTGGGCATTTAGTGCTATAAATTTCCCTCTAAACACTGCTTTAGCTGTGTCCCAGAGATTCTGGTACATTGTGTCTTTGTTCTCATTGGTTTCAAGGAACATCTTTATTTCTGCCTTCATTTCATTATTTACCTGGTAGTCATTCAGGACCAGGTTATTCAGTTTCCATGCAGTTGTGTGGTTTTGGGTGAGTTTCTTAATCCTGAGTTCTAATTTGATTGCACTGTGGTCTGAGAGACTGTTTGTTATGATTTCTGTTCTTTTGCACTTGCTGAGGAGTGTTTTACTTCCAATTATGTGGTCAGCTTTAGAATAAGTGAGACGTGGTGCTAAGAAGACTCTATATTCTGTTGATTTGGGGTGGAGAGTTCTATAGATGTGTATTAGGTCTGCTTGGTCCACAGCTGAGTTCAAGTCCCGAATATCCTTGTTAATTTTCTGTTTTGGTGATCTAATATTGGAAGTGGGGTGTTTAAGTCATCCACTGTTACTGTGTGGGAGTCTAATTCTCTTTGCAGGTCTCTAAGAACTTTCTTTATAAATGTGGGTGCGCCTGTATTGGATGCATATATATTTAGGATAGTTAGCTCTTCTTTTTGCATTGATCCCTTTACCATTATGTAATGCCCTTTTTTGTCTCCTTTGATCTTTGTTGGTTTAAAGTCTGTTTTATCAGAGAGCAGGACTGCAACCCCTGCTTTTTTTGCTTTCCATTTTCTTGGTAAATATTCCTCCATCCTTTTATTTTGAGCCTATGTGTGTCTTTGCCCATGAGATGGGGCTCCTGAATACAGCACATCCATGGGTCTTGACTCTCTATCCAATTTGCCAGTCTGTGTCCTTTAATTGGGGCATTTAGCCCATTTACATTTAAGGTTAATATTGTTATGTGTGAATTTCATCCTGTCATTATGACGCTAGTTGGTTATTTTGTCTGTTAGTTGGTGCAGTTTCTTCATAGTATTGATGGTCTTTACAATTTGGTGTGTTTTTGCAGTGGCTGGTACTGGTTATTCTTTTCCATGTATAGTGCTTCCTTCAGGAGCTCTTGTAAGGCAGGACTGGTGGTAACAAAATCTCTTAGCATTTGCTTGTCTGTAAAAGATTTATTTCTCCTTCGCTGTTGAAGCTCAGTTTGGCGGGGTATGAAATTCTGGATTGAAAATTCTTTTCTTTAAGAATGTTGAATATTGGCCCCCACTCTCTTCTGGCTTGTAGGGTTTCTGCAGAGAGATCTACTGTTAGTCTGATGGGGTTCCCTTTGTGGGTAACCCGACCTTTCTCTCTGGCTGCCCTTAACATTTTTTCTTTCATTTCAACCTTGGTGAATCTGACGATTCTGTGTCTTGGGGTTGCTTTTCTTGAAGAGTATCTTTGTGTTCTCTGTATTTCCTGAATTTGAATGTTGGCCTGTCTTGCTAGCTTGGGGAAATTCTCCCGGGTAATATCCTGAAGAGTGTTTTCCAACTTGGTTCCGTTCTCTTTGTCACTTTCAGGTGCACCAATCAAACATAGGTTTGGTCTTTTCACATAGTCCTATATTTCTTGGAGGCTTTGTTCTGTCCTTTCATTGTTTTTTCTCTAATCTTGTCTTCATGCTTTATTTCATTATGTTGGTTCAATCTCTGATATCCTTTCGTCTGCTTCATTGATTCGGCTGTTGATACTTGTGTATGTTTCACAAAGTTCTCATGCTGTGTTTTTCAGCTCCATCAGGTCATTTATGTTCTTCTCTAATCTGGTTATTCTAGTTAGCAATTCCTCTAACCTTTTTTCAAGGTTCTTAGCTTCATCGCATTGGTTTAGAACATGCTCCTTTAGCTCGGAGGAGTTTGTTATTACCCACCCTCTGAAGCCTACTTCTGTCAATTCGTCAAACTCATTCTTCATCCAGTTTTGTTATCTTGCTGGATAGGAGATGTGATCCTTTGTAGGAGAAGAGGTGTTCCGGTTTTTGGAATTTTCAGCCCTTTTGCGCTGGTTTTTCCTCATCTTTGTGGATTTATCTACCTTTGGTCTTTGATGTTGTTGACCTTTGGATGGCGTTTCTGTGTAGACATCCTTTTTGTTGATATTGATGCTATTCCTTTCTGTTTGTTAGTTTTCCTTCTAACAGGCCTCTCTGCTACAGGTCTGCTGGAGGTCCACTCAAGACCCTGTTTTCCTAGGTATCACCAGTGGAGGGTGCAGAACAGCAAAGATTGCTGCCTGTTCCTTCCTCTGGAAGCTTTGTCCCAGAGAGGCACCTGCCAGATGCCAGCCAGAGCTCTCCTGCTTGAGGTGTCTGTCACTGCCGCTAGGAGGTGCCTCCCAGTCAGGATACACGGGGGTCAGGGACCCACTTGAGGAGGTAATCTGTCCCTTAGCAAAGCTCGAGTGCTGTGCTGGGAGATCTGCCACTCTCTTCAGAGCTGGTAGGCAGGAATGTTTAAGTCTTTTGAAGCTATGCCCACAGCCGCACATTCCCCCAGGTGCTCTGTCCCAGGGGTATGGGAGTTTTATCTGTAAGCCCCTGACTGGGGCTGCTGTAAAAGGCTTTATTTTAAACATGGACTACAACACTGTGAAAGTTAAAAAAAAATTATTTTACCTACAAAATGAAAAAAACTCATGTTTTAGGTACTAAAAATATGTGTTAATAAATGACACATTTCTGGATAAATGGAATTATACTTTCATTCAATGTAAGCATCTCAATATAAATACTCTATACTCTTTTTTACTAGTAGCAAATAATGATTAAAAAAACGCATCCCTTTCTAGACAAGGTTTCTAATGTTATTCAGCAACTCGGCATACTCCATCCCTTCTGCAGCTTCCAACCATCCACTAACAAACAAAAAATAGTGCCCAACATATGACTCATGAGAACTGCAAGCAAATTCCAATGTCACTAATTCAGAAAACCAAGTGAGAAAAAAGTGTTCAGAAAACTCAGAATCTGTACTCAAGGATGCTATTGAAGCCTTCAAATAAGAAAAGACATTTCTTTAGGAATACTATGTATGTTAAAGACTAATTCAGAAATAAATAAGACAGCAGATTAGAATACACTGAAAGCTCACAACAAGGGTAAGAGAAAGAAGAATTACAAAAACAGGAAAATATAACTACACAAGTACAATTGTGTGCAATCATTTACACAAATTTATCTAAGGTAAAAAGTCAATCATAGCATCGCTATTTTTGAGCACAGTATATCATCAGAGGCTTGGACACTTACAGTCCAGCCATCATTTTGCGTATAAGGGAAATGTGAACAAACTTGTTAATTACTTGATGAAGACTGTACACAAGGTGGAGAAGTTATATTGATTTTTAAAAAATATATAGTGCGGCTGGGCGCGGTGGCTCACGCCTGTAATCCCAGCACTTTAGGAGGCCGAGGAGGGCGGATCATGAGGTCAGGACATCAAGACCATCCTGGCTAACACGGTGAAACCCCGTCTCTACTAAAAATACAAAAAATTGGCTAGGTGTGGTGGTGGGCACCTGCGGTCCCAGCTACTCGGGAGGCTGAGGCACAAGAATGGCGTGAACCCAGGTGGTGGAGCTTGCAGTGAGCCAAGATTGTGCCACTGCACTCCTGACTGGGTGACAGTGCAAGACTCTGTCTCAAAAAAATAAAAAAATTAAAAAATATATATATATGTGTATATATACATACATATATACACACATACACACACATATAGTGCTATTTTAGTTATTTTGTAATCCCTAAGAATATATTAGAAAATGGTTTGATCATAATATAATGACAGAATGACATCCTTTTTGTCATTCCATTGATTGGAAAAACAAAAATAAATGAAAACATTTATTTGACAATTTGCTAAGGTATTTTGTAAGCAAATATTATATATTTATGCATCACATTTATGCAAAAGTTTCCATTTTAATTCTGAATAAGAAAAATATCATTTAGTTTACTGCTTATAAACATGAAATAATGTATAAGATAAGAAATAGTTAAAATTAAAATGTTTCCTACCGATAAATAAATGAGTTAATTAACTTTAGGTATTTAATAAAAGGAATGTATTCTACCACACCTTTGTAAAAGAACCAAGAGTGATTTTGGGAGGTGCTTAAAGATATCTTCTACCTAATTAAAGAAAATTGAGGATATTTTCACGTTTGAAATAAAGCTCTCCTTAGTTTCGCTCTTGTTGCCCAGGCTGGAATGCAATGGCGCAATCTTGGTTCACTGCAATCTCCATCTCCCGGGTTCAAGCGATTCTCCTGCCTTAGCTTCCTGAGTAGCCAGGATTACAGGCATGCGCCACCATGCCTGGCTAATTTTGTATTTTTAGTAGAGATGAGGTTTCCCCATGTTAGTCAGGCTGGTCTCGAACTCCTGACCGCAGCTTCCCAAAGTGCTGGGATTACAGGGTGAGCCACCGTGCTCAGCCAAATTTTATTCATGTTTAAGAAACTTGTTATGCTCTAAACTTTAAAAATATTTTCCATCAAGTAAATGATCTGCCTTAGTATACATCTGTGAACTGGAGTAGCTGGAGCTTACAAGGTCATTTCAAATACTGGAAGGAAATCTAGGGCAAAGTGTCTACCAAGGACTTCCTTCTATTTCTTTCCCTCTTGGGCCTATTGTTTTAAAAGACTTCATTAATTTATTAATTAAAATGATAAAACAAATTAAGATATCAAGATTTAACTCTCAAAGACAATTCCTAGGAAGTATAGAATAACCAGTGCTATCCCAGCGTAAAATCCTGAAAAAGCAAAAAGACTAGGTGTTTAACCTAGCCTTTATTCAACAGGTCAATGCAAGTCATGAGAATATTTTATTCAGTGCTCAATAAAATATTATGCAAATTATTAAAAGAATGGCATTCTAAAATTGAGTTAAAAAAGGGTATTCACCACATGGGTTGATTGTAGAGCTAAGTGAAGCAACTCCAGTGGAAAGGCCACCTTTTGAAACTACTGAAGCCACAGAAGGTGTCGAAGATGAAGTTGGTGTAGTAGAGGAGGCTGCTGAGGATGGTAACCGTTCTCCAGACTCCATATCTATGAGAAGGGAAAATGTTAATTCTCAGTATCAGATAAAAAATTTTTTCAAAAGAATTCAACATAAACTTTTTGTATACTTTTAAAAATATAAAATAAATTTCTAAATACATGTTCTTTGGAAAGAGAAAATATGGAGTAGATAAAAACAATATAATTTAAAATACCAACTTATGGAATAAGTTTAAGTATACCAAATCCTCTTGAGTTTTCTTATACCCCCCAAATTAATAGTGGTTTGAATATAGTAATTTCACACAAAATGTGTATTGCCACAACCATAAATTAACATGTTATATTCGTCTTATTCATCCCAAATTACCTCACATCAGTTCACTTGCAACAGAATTCCTATGTTACCTTAATGAATAATTAAAAAAAAACACCACCACATTTGAATGGTCTGCCCCCTTATCTTCTAAATACAGATAGCAATATACTTGTAGCTCTTAAGTGTCCAAGAATCTGGCCTGGGAATCCCCCCCATACCCCTCAAAACAGGCAAATACATTTCAGAGTTTAACTTGAGGCAAGTTTAAACTATGATTTCAAAATGGCCTTAGTTGTGACCCATTTAAAATGACAAAAGCACTTCTAATCATCTTTATTAATTTGTTGGGCTTTATGGTTGTAGCCTTGCATTGGTTTTATTGCAATAACTAATGCTGATATTAAAAATTTGGAATATAATGGGCATTTTATATTCATTTTAATACTCTATGCATGCACTGATCCCACAATCAAGCAAGAAAGTCATTAAATTCACAGATGCTTTAAAGAGAACACGATCTACAATAAGAAAAAAGATACTGCTTGCCTATAAATGAATTTATGATCAGCCACATGAAAACTCTTACCATTTAAATAATCTAACTATAGAAAGATTTCTGTATTGAATTCTACAGGCAACTCACAGAAGAACTGTATCTTTACTAAGAAAAATAGTTGGATTTCATTTAAAAAATTGACTAATTAAAATAATGCAAGGCTAGTGTTTGCCTAATTGTTGATTGAATCCATAAAGTATGTAGATAATTTTTCTCATAAGATAAGATATATATGGGGAAGGTAATCTTAAATTGACATGCAACATCATTAGAAAGACCATTTCAATGAGCCTTCTAATCATATAGAATTCAAAAACTTCTCTTCATATTCTAGTATTGCTGTAAATCACTTCCATAAATGACAGTACTGCTATGATGAGTCTGTCCATATTCTTACAGAATTTGTATTTCTCTTTATCAGCATTCATCATGGGAAAGGCATAGTTGCTACTGATGGCTGCATGCAACTAATGTTTAAAGAGTAGGTTTTGGGTCAGCAACAGTAACTAATGAACTCTGAGACATGTGGCTGTCTGATGGTAAGGCCCATAAAAATTATTTTTACCAAGTCTAATTTTCACTAAATACAAAAAATATGGACTCTTTACCTAGAAGTGAGTTTAGGAAAAAGCTATTTTTTCTTTATAGCTGGTAACCTCATTGTCTTCAAGAATTCTATCTGCTACGTAAATATACTATGTAAAAAAAATAATGGAAGGGGTTTAAAAAAATTTGCCTTTGTACTCCACAGCAGAAGTAATTTGGTGACATAATAAGATAAGCACTTTAGCTGAGTACTTGGCATATAAGAGATCAATATAAAATAGTCATTAACTTTTTATAGGATAATATGCTATGAAGTATAGGTATTTCTTATTGTTGATAAAACCTGATTCAGGACTAAAGTAAGGAAAATCAAGAAGGCAAAAGAAGTAGTCTTGTATACATACTGCTTAATGGATATTACTTTCCCTGAAGAATTAATCTGAATAATTATTTAAATAAACGCACATGCACAAATATGTGTGCGCGTGCACACACACACACACACTCACAGATAAAGTATCATTAGGTAAAGTGATATATACAACGTTGTTTGCTACAGTACTGCTTAAAAATAAAATTTAAAACTGGCAATGAGAGTAGAACTAGAGCTAGTAGTATAGGCTGGGGCCTTTTTTAGTTTCAGTAAAGGTGTAATTTTTTTTCTTCTATATCTGGTTCTTTTTGCTCATTTAAGTAAGAAGGGGCTTAACTTCTTAAAAACATATGCTTATGTAACCATTTTCCTTAGAAGCTCTATTATAGACATTATTCATGTATTATTTTATTTCAACTATATTTATACTAGGTATTTTTAGCCTAAGATTTATTAGCTGGCTGAGTAGTCTTCTTGCATGTAAAGTACTAATTCTCTCATACTGGTCTTAAGTAGTTGTTGTTTTTAATAGGCATTTCTTAGTTCTAATAACCAAAAATTGGGTCAACTACTGCAAGTTCATCTTACACATACCCTTTTTTTGTCATTTTATAGAAATTTAACAAATCCACTCTAGCCTTTGCACTCTAGAATGAAGATTGTCTTATGCCTGAATTTACAAGGTTTAGTTTTAAGTCTTCTTTTTAAGTTAAATATTATTCTTTCAGTTTTATTTACTATCATCCCCTCTAAAGCACAAGAAATCCTGGCCATCAACTTGATAGTTAAAAGGTGAGAAGGCAATGCCTTTGTAATTGTGAAATTGTATAACTGTGAAAAATCCACAAAACAATCATTGGCTTACCATATCGTAAGAACTAGTCAAAGAACAGGTATAGATATGTAACAAACCTGCATGTTGTGCACATCTACCCTAGAACTTAAAGTATAATAAAAAATATATATATAAATAATAAAAACAAAATAAAATAATATGCACCAAAGGTTACTAAAAGCAGTGGGTCAAAATTTGAGGAGAAACAGGATATTTGCATAGTCTCAAAGTATCTCCTCCAAAATATCAATTAAATGAAAAGATGAAAAGAATAGTTTCACAGTGGAGAAACAACATTACCTATAACAAAATATCAACATCATGTATTTTCTGATGCCCCAGAAGAGTCCATCACTTCTGTGGTATTCTTCCCAAAACTACACAAACTCAGCTGAACCATGAGACACCACACAGACCCAAATTGAAAAACCATATACAAAATAACTGACTGGTATTCATCAAAAGTGTCACAGTCATGAAAGAAAGAAAAAAAAAAAGACTGTGGAATTGCCATAGGTTGGAGACTAAGGAGACTAGGAATTCCTTAGTGTGAGACCTAGGATCCCACAACTAAATGTGATGTGGGATCCTAAGTTGGATTTTAGAACAAGAAAAGGATATTAATGGCAAAACTAGTGAAAATCACATAAGGTCTGTAGTTTAGTTAATAGTATTCTATCAATGTTAATTTCCTGATGTTTATAATTTTGATAATTGCACTCTGGTTATACAACTTATTAACATTAGGGGAAGCTGGATGAAAAATATATGTGAACTCTGTTTTTTATTTTTAGGTCTAAAATTATTTCAAAATAAAAAGTAAAAAAACAAACAAAAAAAAAACCCACAAAGTCTTCCATATAGTAAGCACTAAAAAAAAAATACATATGCATTGAAGTTAAAGAGTATAAAAAACTAAACCTTGAAGGAATGAAGAACAGACTACATTGTGTCACTGAGATATTTGCTAATAAACATTATCTGGGTTCAAACACTGTGCCTGAAGTTTATTAGTTGTGATTTTGTAAAAATTATGTAATTTCTCTCAGTTCTCAATTTCCTCATGAGTGATTTCAAGAAGATGTAGTTGGGAGGATTAAATGAGATAATGCATGTAAAGGGTAGAGTACCTAGCATTTAATACTTGTTAGCTATTGTTTTTAATGAGTGAGCATCTATGTATATAATTACCCATGTGTATATGTGGCAAGAAAAGAAACCTCAAGGTATTCTAAATTATTCATGTTAAAGTGAATATTTAAGAGTTATACTATTTATAGATTATGTATATCCTTACCATGGAATTATATTTTTAGCCAGATAGATTACGTGCTAAGAATTTAAAATAAATGTCTCATAATTGTACCGATATCAATGTGGTAAGGTACGTTATCTTAAAATTTTCCAAATAAGCTGATTTTTCATCTATAATACAAATACAGATGAAAAATTAATACATTCATTTTGTTGACAAAATATGTTATCATGAGTTACTATTTATAATTCAAGCATAGTACATAAAAATCTGCAGAAACTCATTTATTCATATCTTTTTAGAAAAATATATTCATTAAAATAAAAACAGTTCAGGTATCCAAGAACCATCTATTCCTAGATTTCTGTTAGGGCCAGAGCATCCACATCTGACACCTACGCTCCTATAATGGCCTCTCGTTCTGACCCTTTGTGTTAAGAATACTCCTTTCATCTTGGGTTCCAAATGATCACGAACTAACCCATTCTTTGTGTTCAAAACCAGCCTAGATATCACAGGATCACAACAAATGGAGTATAATAACATGACCTCCCGTCTATAATTCAACAATGGAAGAATATCTAGTAGGTACATCTTTTAACTTAAGGCCATTCAAGAGATTATAGTTTCTAATGTATAACTTGGTCATTTTTTTTTGAGAACAAGGTCTCTCTCTGTCACCCAGGCTGGAGTGCAGTGTTGTGATCATGGCTCACTGCAGCCTCAACCTCCTGGGCTCCAGTGATCCTCCCACCTCAGCCTCCCAAATAACTGAGACTACAGGTACCTGTCACCATGCTTGGCTAAGTTTTTCTATTTTTTGTTAGAGACAGGTTTTTGCCATGTTGCCCAGGCTGGTCTTGAATTCTTGAGTTCAAACTATCTGCCTGTCTTCGCCTCCCAAAGTGCTGGGATGCCTTATTTCAAAATTTAACTAGGCTTGGCGCGGTGGCTCACGCCTGTAATTCCAGAGCTTTGGGAGGCCGAGGTGGGCAGATCACTTGAGTTCAGGAGTTCGAGACCAGCCTGGCCAACATGGTGAAACCCTGTCTCTACTAAAAATACAAAAATTAGCAAGACCCACGCGGTAGTGGGTGCCTGTAATCCCAGCTACTCGGGAGGCTGAGGCAGGAGAATTGCTGGAACTCAAGAGGTGGATATTGCAGTGAGCCAAGGTTGCACCACTGTACTCCATTCTGGGCAACAGAGTGAGACTCCGTCTCAAACAAAAACAAAACCAAAACAAAACAAAACAAAAAAATGAGAAGAAAAGAAAAAAGAAGGTTAACTAGTTAAAAGACGACTATAACCACAAATTAACGCAAAACACTATAGTAAAAAAAAAAAAATGTTGTGAACCATGGGAGAAATATGTGCAAAAGATGAAGGGACTACAAATGATTTGATACATTATAGATGTTTCCTGTAGCCTAAAGCAGTGATTTTGGTTTTCTGACACACCATCTCCCCCACCAGGGAACATATGGGTGACATTTTCGGTTGTCACAACTGGAAAAGTGCTAATGGCATTGAGTGGAGATAGAGGCCAGGGATGCTGTTAAATACCCTAAAATGGACAAGAAGAACAGTCTTCCCCTACAGAATTATCCAAACTAAGTTGTTAGTGTTGCTATGGATGAAAAACTCTGATCTAAAATATCAAAAAGGGTATTATTTGAAATTCAACTAGCTAAAACTTTAATAGTAATTCTATATAACTATAATAGTAAGGTGAGTCAAGCTGATTTTGATGACCCAAAGCTACTGTAATAAGTGATAAAATTATACTCAACATCTTTTGTGTCAGCATCCTTCTAAGAGTCTAATATTTCACATTTTATCCAAATGTTTAAACACTGATAATGTATCACATGTAATTAACACACATCACAATGCTCACTCATACTGGGTAACATACATTTGCTGTATTTTACTAAAATGACATTTATCTATAACAATTCTGAGCGCAAATAAAAATCCAAATTTATGAAAATGACAGACCACAACTTCTTCCCTGCATGATGATTTTATGTACTATAAAAGGATTCAATGATCAGTTGTTAATGATAATATTGTTCAAGTTTATGTATCTCAAGTATTCCTGTTTTGTGTAATCATAGAGTTCATGAACACTGACAGCTGGTAGGTGTAAACCTGAACAGGTGCTAACAGGGAGACCAAGACACGTTGCCTGAGATATGTAAACATGATTAGTTCCCTGTGTTTCAGGTGCACTGATACTTTAGTGTTGCCATATACCGTCAAGAAAAGCAAGGTAATAAAAAAAAAAGTATAGCCACAGATTAAAGATGCAGAAATTACAAATAAAAATAGACTTAGATATTTTTCCTGAAAGGACTTTTTTTAAAGAATGATTTTATTTGTACTAACAGTAGCAAAAGTTATCTGTGGGAGTTCAAAACACAGCAGATTCAGTGAGTCCTTACTTTTCCTTTATAATGTAACCTCAGAGAAATATGATAATTAGGAAGAATATCAGGAGGTAGTCACTATGCTACTTCTTTTGGTTTATCAGAACCACTAAGAGTAGAGTTTTATTATACAAGTTCAATATTTTCTAAAAATTCTGAGAAAGGTTTACATATAATTATTTGTTTAGACAACTTCCAGGCAACTGAACATTTGAACATATAAAACTTCAAGATATTAAATAGCAAAACAGAAACAAAAACCAGGCAACAAATGAAAAATCTTCTGTTAAAGGACATTCAGAAATAGGGGATGTGGCCGAAATACCTTATCAGACAGCAGACAAAATTATTCTTTGAAAATAATATGTTCATAGGAAAAAGATTCTATTCATAAAATTTTTATTTACCTAAATTTTCTGAAACAGAATTTCAAAGAATTAAGTATGGTATACAGTGGTTTAAAATGTGAATATGTAAAATGAATTGCTTTTTTTGTCATTTGACACATTTTACCACTATAAACAAACAATTTATTACATCCTCAAACAGAACTGGCTGGCAACCAGGTGTTCTGTGTGTTAACCTGTGATATTCAGCAAGTTTCAGACTCCCCTAAATACTAGTTTCCTTACCTAAAAAATTATGAGATTGAATTAAACCAGCTCTCAAGTTTCTATCAGAGTTTTACAAAATTGGTGGTTAAAAAACAACTGACCCCCAAAACCAACAAAAAACACACACAAAATTAATACTGCATTGAAATATTTAACAATTTAATTCCATTTTGTCCTTATCATTCTTTTCATTGGCAGTCTTGATTCTATCTCCAAATGTGTATCATGTTAAATTATAGATTTCTGTTAAATCTTTTAAAGATTTACTCTTGTTGTACTTCTATCTCAAAAGACCTGATGGTGAGAAATTATCCAAGGGTAAAAGCAGTGGTTTTCATATTGCTCAGCGAATAATCTATTCAGAGAGTATCCCTTTCCATCCAAAGGATTAAATATTCCTTTGCAATGAGCTATCTGTGGGGAAGACGTTATCCTAAGACTTATGAAAAAGATATAAAAGATAATAAGAGTTAAGAAAGATTTAATATCTCTATATCAACTAAATTGTAGGTATAGTCTGTGAATTTAAATACTAACTAGACTTAGAAATGTCTAACAAGGAAACGAAGGTTAGAAAGATAAAGAGAGATATGGTGTATGGTTAGCTGATCCTTTCATCTACAAATCCAAGGGGCTCCAAAGAACAAGCAAAAGACCTAAAACTTTGCTTAACTAAGAAACACAATTAAAATTTTAATTAGAATATTTAAGATAGTTCTGGAAAGCAACTGAAACCAATGCATGAGATGAAAAAATAAAGCAGAGAATCAAACAGAAATCATATTACTCTATATAAAATATCCATGTATACTCAGAAGCCCAGGAAGCAAAGTCTAAGTACTACATGTCTGATGAACTAAAATAAAAAGTCCCTTTTAATAGGAAAGATGCAGAACCATATAACAGGAACAATATACCTCTTAAAGAACAAAGTGGGGATAACAGGTTGTGAATACCGTGAAAAAAATGTGGGCTTTTCTTTTTCTTCTTCTTTTTTTTTTTTCTTTTGTGCTGGTCACCCTCACATTAGGTTTGTCTTTTTAGTATTACCACTTTCCTACTCAAAAGTCTTCAAAGGAATATATATCCTAGAAATATACTCAAACACATTGGTAAATGTATACATAAAGGATATTTATTACACCACTATAATGGCAAAAGACTTTTAAAAACACATTTCCATCAATAAAGAATTGTTAAATTAGATTTTAAAAATCTTTACTAGATTACTATGCAGGTGTTCAAAAAGAAAGAGGTAGACCTATACTAGCTAATATGTTAAATATAAAGAGCAAGGTGGTGGAGACTATAAATAGCAAGATCTCATTTGTGATAAAGAAAAATAAGAGGAAGATATATTCATATACTTGTATGCTCATAGACTATTTCTAGAAAAACATGTAAGAAATTTGTAACTGTATTTACTTCTAGGCAATGGGGAAACTGGATTCTAGGATGGGATAATTATTTTTCACCACATATTTTTTCTGCTTGAATGTTTTACCATGTGATTGTATTAATGACAGTTAAGTCAACAAAAAGAGAAAGATTTCTAAAGGTTTGTTATTGCTAGAAATTACCTTTCAAAATGCTCCAGAGTCTTATGCTACCTTTAAGTCTTAGGAAGCAGGGAACCTACTCCCAGTAACCTTGAAATAGAGGCTCTAGCTCTGGCCCACATACCAACTACTTGTGTCAAGGATCTTCTTTTGTATGTTTTGTACATTGTGATTCTATGTGAGATTTTGTTTAAAGAAAAGGTCCCAGTGCTTTTTTAAAAAGGTGGTAAACCATTGGTTTAATGAATATCAGTTCTCACTCCAGTTCTTAATAACATGGGTATCTTTCTAATCCTACTCACTGTGATGTCAGAGTCTGAATCCTCACCTTCAAGTAGGAGGCACTTTCACTGTTCCCTGGTCTTTAATTTCTAATTTCAAACCACTGCCCACGGTATCTTAAATCTTATTTCCTCATGGTGATCATATTCCTAGTTCTGCATCCTAAACATCTAGACTCTGACCTGTTGAGTCAATCACCTACTTGGGGAGGTTTTAAGTGATTTATTTTGTTATCTATCCACTATTCCCTTTCCAAGTTTCAACAAGAGAAGCAAACAACCAGAAGAAAGAACTTCAGAGCTTGAAGACAAGGCTTTTGAATTAATCCAATCAGATAAAGAAAAAAAAAAAGAATTTAAAAAAATGAACAAAGCTTCCGAGGAGTCTGGGATTATGTTAAATGACCAAAGATAAGAATAATAGTGTTCCTGAGAAAGAGGAAAAATCTAAGTTTGGAAAACTTATTTGAAAGAATAATCAAGAAAAACTTCCCTGGCCTCGCTAGAGATCTAGACATCCAAATACAAGAAGCTCAAAGGACAGCTGGAAAATTAATCACAAAACGATCAGGATTACAGGCCACAGCCCAATTGGATTTTTTTTTTAACACAAAGAATTGGATTTTTTATTTTTATTTTTTAATTTTTTAGACAGAGTCTCACTCTGTTGCTCAGGCTGGAGTATAGCAGTGCAATCTCGGCTACTGCAATCTCCACCTCCTGGGTTCCAGTAATTCTTCCGCTTCAGCCTCCCAAGTAGCTGGGACTACAGGTGCCTGCCATCACTCCTGGCTAATTTTTGTATTTTTAATAGACACAGGATTTCACCATGTTGCCCAGGCTGGTCTTGAACTCCTGACCTTAAGTGATCCACCCGCCTCGGCCTCCCAAAGTGCTGGGATTACAGGTGTTAGCTACCGCACCCACCAATAATTGGATTGCTTTTAACACAAAGAAAGGATAAACACTTCAGGTGATGGATATCCCATTTACCCTGATGTGATTATAATGCATTGTATGCCTGTATCAAAATATCTCATGTATCACATAATATATGCCATGTACCCACAACATTTGAAAATAAAAAAGAACAAAAAAAAGAAATACACCAAAATGTTAACGATGGTTCTCAGAATGGTGAAATTATAAATGACTAATTTGTTTTTATACTTTTCATTGGTTTTTTATATGTTTCAGTCTATTTCAATTTTCCACATTAAAAAATATTACACAAAAATGAAACACACCCATTTTCTGTTTTTTTAGGGGGAAGAACTAACCTTAAAATTTATATTTAGCATAGGAAAAACTACTGATCACAAGGTGATCAACAATGAAATGAGCTATTTTACAGAGGTAAAATCTATCCTTGATGATACTTTAGGAAGCTGATTAATAGTCATTTCTCCAGGATGGTCCAGAAGAAGTGAATTAGTCACAAACTCTGGAGCTTCATTTCCAGGTACCATTAACCTAAAGAGTCACAAAATTTCAGTAACACTAAAAAGAAATAATTTTACATTAAAAAGCCACATGTATTTTGAGAACCAACCTATCAGTGTTACTGGCCTATTCACTAACCAAAAAGCAAGATTCTAGATTAACTCATAAAGCCTATTTCCTCTCATTTACGCTTTTCCCCTAATAATGAAGAGACAGCATACTATCCATGGATAGGTATTTCTTGATGTCCAATATGTTACACCACTGAGTCGCTGATTATTCAAGTTATCAAGAACAAACTTGATAGAAATGGAAAAACAGCAATGAAATAGAAGACATAAAGAAAACTAATAGAAACTTTAGAACTGACAACAGTAATCTGAATAAAAAACTCACGAATGGACTCAATAGCAAAATGAAGATGATAAAAAAAAAGAGCCAATGAACTCAAAGGTAGATCAATAGAAATTATCCAGTCTGAACAACAGACAAAATAAGCATCGAAAAACAGTTAAAACTGACCCAGGGACCTGTGAGACGATAACAAAATGTCTGAGATTCATGTCAACAGAATCTTAGGGGAGGAAAAATGGTGTAGAGTTGAAAAATTATTTGAAGAGGTGGTGGCTAAAAACTTTTCATTTTTGGTTAAAGACATAAAAACCTAAAGATTCAAGAAGATGAGCAAACCCCAAACCGGATAAACCGAAAAAGAAATTGAAATCTAGACTGAAATGCCAGGTGTGATGGCTCATGCCTATAATCTCAGCACTTTGGGAGGTCTGGTGGGAGGATCACTTCAGGCCAGGTGCTAGAGACCAGCCTAGGCAAATTAGAAGAACCCATCCCTACTAAATTTAAAAAAAAAATTAGCCAGCCAGTATGGACTACAGGCACCTATCTGTAGTCCTAGCTATTTGGGAGGCTGAGGCAGGAGGACTGCTTAAGCCCAGGAGTTTTAGGCTGCAATGAGGTTTGGCTACACCACTGCACTCCAGCCAGGGTGAGAGTGAGACCCTGTCTCAAAAAAGTTAGAAAAAGAAATCTAGACAGAAATGAACAAAATGGACAATTTTCAACTATACAGCTTCCATCAATTTATTCCTTGAAAGTAAGCTGAAGCTTGGAATTACATTATATTGGTTTTCACCTATTCTTTCTTAGTCAATGTCAAAAACTAACTTCTTATAATGTTAATTTTTTCCTACATTTATGACAAAATTTCATAAATGCTAGCGTCTAAAAGAATACATAGCAAAATCATGCTTTAATTCTTTTTGTAAATACTAAATTTACTTATAATTAATAATTCTTAATCGAGAAACCATACATCAAACAGATATGAAATATATAGATGAAACATGTAAGATAGTCAAATCTCCCCTTGTTACACTTTTCAATCCAAGCTTTAAAAAATGGTCCAATTATTTTAAACAAAATTTTATAATGCAGAAGTCCAAAATAGCAATAGAATCTACGCGACCTCCTAGAAGTTTACTAGCATGGGTATGACCCATCTAACCTAAACCAAATCTTAGTATTATGGTTTCATATTAACATTTCACGTTAACTCTTTCCAGATTGATAATATCAAAAGTAAACCTTGACGTTTTGGGTTTTAGAGTTTTTTTGTTTGTTTGTTTGCTTTGAGACATGGTCTCACTCTGTCTCCCAGCCTGGAGTGCAGTGGCGTGATCACAGCTTACTGACTGCAGCCTCGATCTTCCCTGCTCAAGCAGTCCTCCCACCTGAGCCTCCTGAGTAGCTAGGAGACCACAGGCTCATGCCAGCACACCTGGCTATTTTTTTTTTATTTTTATTTTTGAAGAGATGGGATCTCCCTATGTTGCTCAGGCTAGTAACTTGAAGGTTTTAAAGGGGATATAAATGCTATAGACACATAAAGAAATTAACATTTAACACACACTGTGCTTTGGTTAGCACATTGCAAACCTCTGGAGCTCCAGCATGCATCCCTGGTCAGCTTCCATTTTTCTCAGAGGTCTCCATTAACGTAGGCAAGATTGACAACAAAATGCACCTATAACATGCTTTCTGACATTACTGGTCTTGTCTAGAATGCATGAAAACTTCCCCCAAAAACAGCTTTTTCAGAACCTATTATAAAGATCTGCAAAAACCCAGAAGTTTGCAGGAGTCTATTTTATGGCTACTATTAAGTTTATATAAATTTTACCTGTTTAATATGTCTGAGGGTCATATTAACCTTAAAACAAAATTTTTAAAGCAGGCTCACAAAAATTTATTCTAGTCCTATCAACACTCACTAATGTATGTCCTCCCTCCTTTAGTTGGCTATTGATATCAATAACAAGGCTTAGAAATATGCAACAACCAAATTGCTTATAGATTTAAAAGGTAATTTCAAACATTCCCAATTTAAGTAATGTGCACTTCTGATGTTTAATGGTTTCTAAACTAATGATTGCTAGTTTAACACGTGCCTATCTGCTAGAAAGGAGGTATATAATAATACTAGTGTTTGGGAGAAAATTAACTCTCTAATTGATGAGTATTAAAAGTCTTCTGTTGGCCAGGCGCGGTGGCTCACGCCTGTAATCCCAGCACTTTGGGAGGCCGAGGCGGGCGGATCACGAGGTCAGGAGATCGAGACCATCCCGGCTAAAACGGTGAAACCCCGTCTCTACTAAAAATACAAAAAAATTAGCCGGGCGTAGTGGCGGGCGCCTGTAGTCCCAGCTACTTGGGAGGCTGAGGCAGGAGAATGGCGTGAACCCGGGAGGCGGAGCTTGCAGTGAGCCGAGATCCCGCCACTGCACTCCAGCCCGGGCGACAGAGCGAGACTCCGTCTCAAAAAAAAAAAAAAAAAAAAAAAAAAGTCTTCTGTTAAAGGTTATAGCATTTTAGAGCTCTAAACTGATATTCAAATTTTTAGCAATCATATTACTTTAAAACTTCCCATAGGCTATAATAGAAGTCAAAATTCTCCTATTAATAATTAACTATTATAGCCAACTGTTGCTGAAGATAGTCATTATTACCATCCTAATTCTTCTTTTTATTTCTCTGACCTGAACTGTCATCTAATTCATTCCTCTTTCCCCATGAACCAATTCATTGACAAAAGTCATGTGGCAGCACATATCTATTCTCCCATTCGTATTAACAACAAAATTATACTGAAACTCCTTAGGCTTGACCTTATAGGCTTACTTATTTCTCAAAACTTACTTTCTCTGTATTTCCAATCAAACTTAATTAGTCACCATCACCTGGTTCTTGCACCATACTTTCCCAAATCCTTAATTCCAACTGCATCCCTCTCCTTAACATGTTCTTCATCCCTTGCCCCATAATTGCATATCAAATCCTTCCTATGCTTTAAACCCCAGGTCAAAGTGACACCATGAATGACACCCCTGACAAGGATACCCATAAATTACCTAAGCTGAAAGTCAGATATCCCAAACCCTTAGCACTGTTGACTGCTGACAATTTGGAGAAGTCAAAGTTCTAAATCCATAATAAAGTATTTTATCACTGTCTCTTTCACTGCACTTACCATATTTTATCCTGTATTACAACTATGAACTTGCATACATTTGCCTAAGAATTAGTAAGCTTATGGGAGTAGAAATCATGTTTTTAGTATCTTACATTTCCCAGAGCCTTAGAGGAATACTTTGCTTAAAACAGTTGCTTATTGAATGTTTGTTGAATAAATGAAAATGTGTCTTCATTATTTATGTGCCTTAAATTAATACTTCATATTTTAAAACAAAAATATGACAAGAAAAACAGCAACACTGTAACTATTAAGTTATAAAATCTGGATATTGGAGCTAGTATTTTATCAAGTCTGTTTCAAAATTATCACAGATTTTAAAATTCAAAGAAAATAATTGATTAAAAATAATTGTATTTCATACTTCAATGACAGAAGTCATTATCAACACTTTCAATTCAAACTCAGAATTATAGTATTTTTGTTGTTATCTGTTTTTACATTTGTAGTCCTTGCTTTTAACATGTCAAAAATCTCAGTTAATGTGCCAACAACCTCTGTTTTTGACACTTTCGGCACCAACACTAACATAATAATACAATTACTGAAAACACAGTTCTTTTGATCCTCAAAATACAGTAAACTAGTAAAACTAAAATATCTAAAAGTCACTTTAAACAGTTCTTTTGTGTGGTTATACCTTCAACTAGACACAAAATCAGGTCCACTCATTACATTTCATTGCAATTTTTAAGGACAGCATTCAACCATACAGCAAGCAATTCAGATGAACCCAAAATCAATGTATCAAAAGTAATATCTAAAAGTGCACTGTCCAATAGGACAGCCATTAACCACATGCAGAAAATTACATTTAAATTAATTAAAATTAAATAAAATTTAAAAGTCACACTAGCCATATTTTAAGTGCTCAACAGCTATCACATCATTATAGAAAGTTTTATGGCACAGTGTCTATCTAAATGATAATATTCTTCCCTCAGACCTGAAATCCTCTCACTTAGTGAGGAAGCCTGTTTCATACTGAGTAACTCGACTATTAAAACTGTTAAAACATGAGTTGGCAGCTTTAGGGCAGATACTACCTTATTAAAGTTTTCTTCAGAAAGATGGATGTGCAGTATTAGATACAAATCAGCAGTTAGCTCTATGAAGAAACTTAAACTAATATCATGTTACCATGTTTTCTTCACAGGGTATACTTACCATTACTAAAATGTTGGAATTTCATTAAAATCAGTGGTAGATTACTTGAGGTGGAGTTTAGCTTATTTATATTCACTTAAAAGCTTAAACTATTCACTCAGAAGATAACCTGAAATAACTCTCATTACATCTTTCATTACTTCTCAAATGTTTCCACTGAAATATCCCTAGCACAAATTGGAAGAATTTTGTTCTATTTGCAATATTGTAGGTCCAGGTTTTACTGGCAGAAGAGGCCATAAACATATACCTGATATAAGTGCTCAATGTATTAGTTAAAAAGAACTGAACAGAAAAAAAGCAGAAACAGGTTATGTGTGCATGGGTTTCCCTTTGCCCTTCCACTGATGCTGATGACACTCTCCGTACAGGGAGGGTCTTCAAGAGCTGGTAAGAAACTAAAGCCTAGGTATTCCACTGCCCTTTTATACACTAAAGCCGAGGTATTCCACTGCCCTTTTATACTAGCACTTGCATTAGAATTCCAGAAGGGCCTATTACTAGGTAGGCAAAGCAAACATAAATAATATACAGGTAATGCTGGCTACCAACTCTAAAATTTTAAGTCATTTCTATTGACTGAACTCTTTAGTCCCAGTTACAGCAATATTTTTAAAACTTCGGGTCATAACCCATTCAAGGTCATGAAATCCACATAGTAGAATCATAAAAAAATGAAATATTCTGGGTCACTCTCAGAGATATTTGAAAAACACATATATATTTGGTTTCCCAGTAATGTATGGTTTCTACAGGGAAGCACAGAAGGATTTTACAATCCCTAATCATACTAGCTGCTATATTAAAATGATTACTACTATATAAATATATAAACTACTATTTATACATATAAGTACATTTATATAAACATACACACTCACATATACATGCACATACTACTACTACTACACTAGCAGAATTCAGGCTTTCTGTACACAATTCACTGATGAGAGCAGCTGTACAAAATTCTAAGAATTCCTCTAGGGCTCGGTGGCATATACTCTTAACCTTCCAGTCTATGACAAAGAAATATGGAGTATTTAATTTGGCTGGGCACCTGGAATGCCACCTAAATACTAGTCTTTTATTCTATATACTCAACTAATTAAAGATACATCAAAGTTATTTCACCCAGATGCTCTAAGTGATAATTATACAAACTTTAACCATTTATGAAAACATCTGATGTTCAACCTTTCAGAAAGCATTTGCCACACCATGAAGCATGCTAGGCGCTCAGGATATAATGAATAAGTCAATTAGGTCAAATACACTACCTCAAGGGTTTATACTCTAGAGTAGGTTGGAGCAATAGTGGACCTAATCAATGCTGAGTTAAACAGATTCTTACTAGTAAGAAATTGAGCTAAGTGATAGTACCTGGGTACTAGGCATTAGAAGATGGTATTATATAAATTTAGGAAATGGGGTGGCCTTTTCAGGGGCCATATGTGTAGATGAGCAAACAAATTAAGAAAATAAGTAAGATATGCAGTTGGAAGATATTATATTTATTCTTAATTTTGTTAATAATTAGGGATATCTATATTAAAAGTTATGCATTTTCTCATGCTCCAAAAAATATAAAAACATTTAATATGAAGGCCGGGCGCGGTGGCTCACGCCTGTAATCCCAGCACTTTGGGAGGCCGAGGCGGGCGGATCACGAGGTCAGGAGATCGAGACCATCCCGGCTAAAACGGTGAAACCCCGTCTCTACTAAAAATACAAAAAATTAGCCGGGCGTAGTGGCGGGCGCCTGTAGTCCCAGCTACTTGGGAGGCTGAGGCAGGAGAATGGCGTGAACCCGGGAGGCGGAGCTTGCAGTGAGCCGAGATCGCGCCTCTGCACTCCAGCCTGGGCGACAGAGCGAGACTCCGTCTCAAAAAAAAAAAAAAAAAAAAAAAAAAAAAAAATTTAATATGAAAAAAGAAAATGCTTCTGAAAATAGATTGCCATCTTAGAATCCAATATTAATTATAGATTTAGAATAGTTTTTATAATATATAGGACATTATATAATTTTAATTATTTGCTAATTATCAAATTTATGATTCATCTTTACTTATAAATTTTAGTATCTACAAAGACCACATGGTAGTGTTGGAGTAAAATAGGAGAAACAGATATGAGTATCTAAAACTATATATACATTTTAATCGAAGAAGAAATACTTTTTTTTTTTTTGAGACAGAGTCTCGCTCTGTTGCCCAGGCTGCAGTGCAGTGGGTCATTCGGCTCACTGGAAGCTCTGCCTCCCGGGTTCTCACCATTCTCCTGCCTCAGCCTCCCAAGGACCTGGGACTACAGGCATGCATCATCCCGCCCAGCCAATTTTTTTTTTGTATTTTAGTAAAGATGGGGTTTCACGTGTTAGCCAGGATGGTCTCGATCTCCTGACCTCATGATCCGCCTGCCTCGGCCTCCCAAAGTGCTGGGATTACAGGCATGAGCCACCGCGCCCAGCCAGAAGAAATACTTTTTAAAAAATTAGGCTGAGCACGGTGGCTCACGCCTGTAATCCCAGCACTTTGGGAGGTCAAGGTGGGCAGATCACGAGGTCAGAAGATCGAGACCAGCCTGGCCAACATGGTGAAACCCCATCTCTACTAAAAAATACAAAAAACTAGCCAGGCGTGATGGCACATGCCTGTAGTCCCAGCTACTCAGGAGGCTGAGGCAGAGGAATCCCTTGAACCCAGGAGGCGGAGGTTGC
This sequence comes from Homo sapiens, assembly GCF_000001405.40. Classification (NCBI taxonomy): domain Eukaryota; kingdom Metazoa; phylum Chordata; class Mammalia; order Primates; family Hominidae; genus Homo; species Homo sapiens. The sequence goes on from NC_000002.12 coordinate 159,496,317, forward strand.
AGTAAGCCAAGATTGCACCACTGCACTCTCCAGCCTGGTGATAGAGCAAGACTCCATCTAAAAAAAAAAAAAAAAAAAAAAAAAATTAATGCTACCAGAATGGCTTGAACGTGGGAGGGCCGATTGCACCACTGCACTCCAGCCTGAGCAACAGAGTGAGACTCTGCAGGAAAAAAAAAAAAAAAAAGCCAGCCACGGTGGCTCATGCCTTAATCCCAGCACTTTGGAGGCCAAGGTGGGCGGATCACCTGAGGTCGGGAGTTCGAGACCAGCCTGACCAACATGGAGAAACCCCATCTCTACTAAAAACACAAAATTAGCCGGGCATGGTGAGGCATGACTGTAATCCCAACTACTCAGGAAGGCTGAGGCAGGAGAATCGCTTGAACCTGGGAGGTGGATGTTGCGGTGAGCCAAGATCGCGCCATTGCACTCCAGCCTGGGCAACAAGAGGGAAACTCCGTCTCAAAAAAAAAAAAAAAAAAAAAAAAAAAAATTAATGCTACCATAGTTAAAGAAGAGAATTTTGAGAATTCTGATAAAAATTCAAGAAAAAATTGTTACACATTAAGGATTTATTCCTTTTTTGCCTCTTGTGTTGAAATAGGTGGTGTATTATTTATTTAACAACTATTTTTGAGCATTAACTACAAATCTCTATGCTGGTTTAGTCGTTAGAAAATAAAGATAAAATCATAGTCCTTACCTTATAAAAGTTCATCATTTAATAATTCTCACTACTCAATTTTCTCTAAATTTCTTTTCATTTAATACTGTTATCTCCATAATTCAACCTAAATCTCAATTACTATAATTTTTTTATTTTTCTGATAAACAGAAATGTATGTGCTCACTTCACTAAATTCGGAGTAGTGAGAGGGGTACAAAGGAGATGCAAACACAAAGATTTTGGAGACAGGCAGTTTCACTCATGAACTACCAGGAAGAAAAAAGATCTTTTGCCTTGATGTAATTTTTAAATGATGACAGTTTTCATAAAAGTTCCACCCTCCACCTCCATCCAGGAAGTAGGAAGGTCCATGACTCATTATGCTTTCCCTGTGCTTGACTCAGGCTTCCTCTTTACAGACTGCCTAATTCAGCAGATAGGACTTCCTGATGTTGAGGAAATCCTTGTCTCTTAACAGTGGGCCACATGGTCCCATTCCTGTGGTCAAAGCTGTCTGAAACAGATATAACCCAAGGAGACAAGAGTTGGCCAGAAATCTATGTGTCAGTGGTCTCTAAAAGATTCTATACTCTAATCAGATTCTTTCTGATATAAACATTTTCAATGATAGAAACAGGGAAAGTGGTTGCTGAGATTAAGAGATCCTTAAGGCTGGGGGCCTAAGTATACAAGTTTAAAAAAGTGGGTTGGAAAAAAATAATGGAAGAGTAAATGTACAGAGAAGTTGAGTGGCCTTGAGAGAGAGAGAAGATACTCTTCTGTTACTGTTCCCTGCCAACGAAAGAGCCTAGTAGAAAACTTCCTAACAAATATGATGCTTGTCTTTTCTCATGTTCACTCATGCTACTTACACCACTGAGACATATTCTGGTTTTCACTTCCAATAATCCAAACAATATACTCCTTTAAATATACGCCCTAGTGTTCCTTTATCCATAAAGCTGGATGTGACTAACCTTGGGTCCCAACTTCCCATCTTTGAATTATGGAGCACTTTAGCTTCTACCCAGGAAGCTGCTAATTGCATGACTTTTTTACAGCTCTGTATTTGTTTTATGAATACACTGTATTATTCAGCACACAACTAGTATGTCTGTTGAGCTTTGGTTGCTGAATCAGTACAATGAAACTAATTATGCTTACTTCAAAGAGTTATAAAGAGAGGGCCTAGTACACTTCCTGCCAGGTATTTTGTTCTTACGTGTTTGGCCAGGAGAATACAAAGAAGAAAATATTTTCTTTAAACTTATGATATAAGGGTAAAAAAAAGCTCAATAAAAGTCAACATTATTTATTTTATAAGTTAAATGTAAGCAAACATGTTGAAATGTCAAGATAATTTTCAATTCCAAGCCGATTTAGTTCACAGGTAAACCTAAAGAGGTGTTCAAGAGTATATTAGGCGATCCCCTGTCAATCTAGCTTTCAAAAATGCCATCTTTACCTTAGCTTTAGATAATAGTATAATTTGAAATTTTGTTTTAGATAATAGTGACATTTTTATTTTAGTTCTTAGATAACTAAAATAGTAAAACTGCTTTTCCCTGAGAAGTTAATATGTAATTTTATAACCTTCATTATACACAAAATTAATTTTGTTCAGACTATAACAGTGCATTTTTCAGTAATCTAGGGACCAAGTTTTCTCCTTTTGACATTAATAATCTCCAAATATACACAAAAAGTTATTATTATAATTCCCCCTACCATTCTCTTAAGTATACCATTTGGTCAAATTATGTATTAACTTATTGTTTCAATTATGCTTCATCCATTTCCCTCATAATTTTTATTATTTTCTGAATTGCATACACTTGTCCATGTCTTACTGTACTTACTGTATTGGCAATACCCAAATATTAACATAAATAACGTTGACTTTTATTAAGCTGTTTTTCTACCCATGTATCTTAAGTTGGAGAAAATATTTTCTTTCTGTATTCTCCTGGCCAAATACATAACAAAATACCTAACAGGAGGCATGCTACACCCTCTCTTTATTATTATTTTTTTCTTCTACTTTTAAGTTCAGGGGTACAGGTACAGGATGTGCAGGTTTGTTATACAGGTAAACACGTGCCATGGTGGTCTGCTGCACAGATCAACCCATCACCTAGGTATTAAGCCCAACATCCATTAGCTATTCTTCCTGATGCTCTCTCTCACCCCCGTCCCCGCCACTCCGACATGCACCAGTGTGTGTATATCTCCTCTTTGTGTTCACATGTTCTCATTATTCAGTTCCACTTACACGTGAAAACATGCCATGTTTGATTTTCTGTTCTTGTGTTAGAATGCTCGGGATAATGGCTTCGAACTCCATCCATGTCCCTGCAAAGGACATGATCTCATTCCTTTTATGGCTGCATAGTATTCCATGGTGTATGTACCACATTTTCTTTATCCAGTCTATCATTGATGGGCATTAAAGTTGAGTCCATATCTCTGCAATTCTGAATAGTGCTGCAATGAACATACACGTGTATGTATCTTTATACTAGAATGATTTATATTCCTATGGGTATACACCCAGTTATGGGATTGCTGGGTCAAATGGTATTTCAGCTTCTAGATCTTTGAGGAATCGCCATACTGTCTTCCACATGGCTGAACTAATTTACACTCCCATCAACAGTGTAAAAGCATTCCTTTTCCCCTGCAACCTCACCAGCATCTGTTGTTTTTGACTTTTTAATAATAGCCATTCTGATTGGTGTGAGATGGTATCTCGTTGTGGTTTTGATCAGCATTTCTCTAATGATCAGTGATGTTGAGCTTTTTTTCATATGTTTGTTGGCCACATGTATGTCTTCTTTTGAGAAGTGTCTGTTCATGTCCTTTGCCCACTTTTTAATGGGGTTGTTTGTTTCTTATAAATTTGTTTAAGTTCCTTGTAGACTCTGGATATTAGACCCTTGTCAGTTGGATAGATTACAAAGTTTTCTCCCATTTTGTAGGCTGTCTGTTCACTCTGATGATAGTTTCTTTTACTGTGCAGAAGCTCTTTGGTTTAATTAGGTCCCATTTATCAGTATTTGCTTTTGTTGCAACTGCTTTTGGCATTTTCATCATAAAATCTTTGCCCATGCCTATGTCCTGAATGGTACTACCTAGATTTTCTTCTAGGGTTTTTATAGTTTTGGGTTTTACATTTAAGTCTTTAATCCATCTTGAGTTAATTTTTGTATATGGTGTAAGAAGTGGATCCAGTTTCAGTTTTCTGCATATGGCTAGCCAGCTCTCCCAGCACCCTCTGTTAAATAGGGAGTCCTTTTCCCATTGCTTGTTTTTGTCAGGTTTCTTGAAGATCAGATGATTGTAGGTGTGTGATCTTATTTCTGAGTTCTCTATTCTGTTCTATTGATCTCTGTGTTTGTTCTTATACCTGCACCATGCTGTTTTGGTTACTGTAGCCTTGTAGTATAGTTTGAAGTTGGGGAGCCTCCCGTGATGTTCTCTTTGAAGTGATGCCTCCAGCTTTGTTCTTTTTGCTTATTGTATTGGCCTTCTCTTTATTATAATATTCCTAGTTTTTATATGGAAGAATGAAGACCCTCTGTGACAATGCTCAGAGAAAATAAATTCCTTCATAGTACAAGGCCCTAAGTATACATCCTAAACATGTCTTAATATCACCTGCATTAAAATATGAAAACAGCTGGGAGGCCAGGTGCGGTGGTTCATGCCTGTAATCCCAACACTTTGGGAGGACAAGGCATGCAGATCACCTGAAGTCAGGAATTCGAGACCAGCCTGGCAGACTGGGTTTCACCCAGTCTTTACTAAAAGTACAAAAATTAGCTGGATGTGGTGGTGCATGCCTGTAATCCCAGCTACTTGGGAGGCTGAGTCAGGAGAATTGCTTGAACCCAGGAGGCAGAGGTTGCAGTGAGCTGAGATTGCGCCACTGCACTCCAGCCTGGGTGACAGAGCAAGACTCTGTCTCAAAAAAAAAAAGAAAAAAGAAAAGGAAAGAAAACGGCTGGGCACGATAGCTAATGCCTATAATCCCAGAACTTTGGGAGGCTGAGGCAGGCGGACTGCTTGAGCCCAGGAGTTCAAGATCAGCCTGGGCAACATGGTGAAACCCCATCTCTGTTTAAAAATATATATATAATATATATATATATTTTATATATATAATATATATAAATATATAATATATATTATATATATTTATATATAATATATATATTTTTATATATATTATATATATATTTATATATATATATATAAAGTAGCTGAGCATGGTGGCTTGCACCTATAGTCCCAGCTACTCAGGAGGCTGATGGGGGATGATCACCTGAGCCCAGGGAGGTTGAGGCTGCAGTGGGCTGTGATCATGCCATGCACTCCAGCCTGGGTGACGGAGTGAGATACTGTGTCAAATTCATATGCTGTACACATACACACACACTGTGTGTGTGCGTTTGTGTGTGAAAACATTCAATGGTTAAACACAGTGATATCATGAATAAAACTATGAGCCAAAAATTTTTTAGTATTTCTACAAAGTAAAACAAAGTACAAACTCAGTAATAAAATTATTCTAAAAATGACCATTACCATGATTTTACACTTTTTAAAGTATCCTTTATAAACATAGTTTTCTGATTACTAAAATTAATGTAGTCTTATGATAAAACCATATATACCTAATTTAACCACAAAACTGTCTGTACTTTAAATGATCATCTAAATATTCTACTTCAAATGTTGAAAAGTTAAGAATATCTGAGTTCCTCAAAAGGCTAAACATTAAGAGTTACTGTATGACCCAGCAATTCAACTCTTAGGTAGAATTCTACTCCTATTCTTGGACATATAACCTAAAGAAATGAAAATATATGTCTATACAAAAACTGGTACCTGAATGTTCATAGCTATTGTTCATAATAGCCCCAAAGCAAATAACCCAAATGGCTATCAACTGATGAATGAATAAATGTGGTATATCCATACAATGAAATATTATTCAACAATAAAAAGGAATAAAGTGATACATGAAGCAACATGGAAGAACCTTGAAAACACCGAGCTAAGTAAAAGAAGCCAGTCACAAATGACCATGGGTTACATGATTCCATTTAAATGAAACATCCAGAAAAGGATACTCTGTAGAGACAGAAAATATAGAACTATGGGTAGGTTGGGGGAAAATGAAGAGTGACTGCTAATGGATATTGGGTCTGTTTGGGGGATTATGAAATGTTTTAACTGATTGTGGTGATGGTTGCACAACTCTGTGAATACACTAAAAACTGAATTGTATACTTTAAATGGACAAATTGTATGATATATGAATTATATCTCCATAAAGCTGTTAAAAAAAAAAAGGCTGGCAAGGTAATTTACACCTGCAGTCCCAGCACTTTAGGAGGCCTAGGTGAGAGGATCCCTTGAGCTCAGGAATTCAAGACCAGCCTGGGCAACATGGCAAGACTCCGTCTCTCAAAAAGGAAAAAAAAAAAAAAAAATTAGCCAAGCATGGTGGCACGTGCTTGTGGTCCCAGATTCTTGGGAGGCTGAGACAAGAGGACTGCCTGAGCCTGGGAGACTGAGGCTGCAGTTAGCTGTGATCGTGACACTGTACTCCAGCCTAGGCAATAGAGCAAGACCGTCTCCAAAATAAAAGAATATCTGCATCTCTCAATGGTACTCAATGACAGAATGCCATTTGACTTAATGAATTCTCTATGGGAATTTTAAATTCAATATTCTTGATTCTAGACTCTATATCCAAGACCAAATGTAGAATGTCTCTAATATGATTTTTCATGTGCTATAATGAATGATATGCTGAGACAGAAAATCAAGTCACATACTCTTACCAAACTCTCTCAGGTGCTCGTCCATTTAGTAATCTTGCACCTCCACATTACATATACTTTTTAAAAACTTGGTAAAGCTATATTAATTCAGTTTGGGGACTAACAAGTTTATCCAATATTAAAAGTATATATATCTTCTCTCTATTCCCACCATCATCTTAATACAATCCTGAATCAGTTCTTATTGGAAATAATGCAGTAGCCTTCCAAGAGGTCTCTGCTTCTCTTTCCTTCAATACTGTTTCTACCAAGAGTAATCCTGTTTTTTTTAAAGCAGTAATCTTTTTAATATAAAAATCTGATCCCACCACTCCCCTACTTAAAATCTTTCAGTGTTTCTATATCACCTGTATGATAAAATCCCAGGTCTTCTGCTAGGCATAACAAGGTCTACTTAATAAGCCTCTGGTTTCTTTGGTCTCCTTTTCCACTCTCTACTCATACATTAGGTGACTAAACAACTTCTTGCCATTCCCAAATACACCACTGTCTCCTCCTGCATCCATGCTATGTTTTTAGTGCATGATGTTTGTTCTCCCTCAAATGCCCTGCCCTTATTCTCTGCCTTACTCCTACATATACTCTAGGTCTCAGCTCATGTGTAACTTCTAAGGAACTGTTCCGACTCACAAGGAAGTCTTAGGTCCTTTCCTGTTAATCTTGTGTATTCCCTAATTAAGTCACTTATAACATTGTACTATATAACAATTTTTTATTTTTTATCTGCCTTCTTCTTTTTTATTTATTTATTTATTTTTGAGATGGAGTTTCACTCTTGTTGCCCTGGCTGGAGTGCAATGGTGTGATCTCAGCTCACTGCAACCTCCCCCTCCCGGGTTCAAGCAATTCTCCTGCCTCAGCCTCCCAAGTAGCTGGAATTACAGGTGCCTCCCACCACGCCCGGCTAATTTTTTGTATTTTTAGTAGAGACAGGGTTTCACCACTTTGGCCAGGCTGGTCTCAAACTCCTGACCTCAGGTAATCCACCTGCCTCGGCCTCCCAAAGTGCTGGGATTACAGGTGTGAGCCACCGCGCCTGGCCGATATCTGGCTTCTTCTGGCAAATCAGAAAATCTCTTCAAAAGTTCCCACAAAGTAGTGAATTGAATAAAATATGCCAAACATCTATATTTTGCTTTAATGTTTTCTGAATATACTGTAAACTTAGTAAGGCAAAAGCATAAATGTTGATTAGTATATTTATCCTAACATTAAATAAACATGACTTGCAAAGAATATTATACAAATTCTTCTGATAAGAGATGCATGTTGGCACTTAGGCCTCTTAATTTTTTTTTTGTAATACTTCTTTATTTTATTTTTTTAATTTATTATTATTATACTTTAAGTTTTAGGGTACATGTGCACAATGTGCAGGTTAGTTACATATGTATACATGTGCCATGCTGGTGTGCTGCACCCACTAACTCGTCATCTAGCATTAGGTATATCTCCCAATGGCCTCTTAATTTTAATAAAGTGTTGAAACCTTAAAAATTTTTTTTAAGAGATGAGGGTCTTACCATGTTGCCCAGGCCCAAGTGCAGTGGATATTCACAGGCAGACCCTAGTGCACTTTAGCCTCTAACTCCTGGCCTCAAGCAATCCTCCTGCCTCAGCTTCCTGCGTAGTTGAGACTACAGGCACATAGCACTCTGTCCAGATTGAACCTTAAAATTTAACTTGCCAACCAAGAAATCTATTTGTGCCAATAAACTCTGCTTTTCCATATTTATATCAAACTTCTCAAATTCACTAAAGGCAGGGAGTTAGGCACCACTAGTTTATTTGTGTAAGCTAATTTTATTTTACTAAAAACACATCAATACCTTGGGATTAATCCAGTCACATTTGGTTTATCAGTCCCATATTGAACATCCTTCTCTCTTAAGACATATATTGGAATCTCATAAAAGGCAAATAGGGTTCTACTCAGCTTAAACCGTAAGATAATTTTTATATAAATATGCAATACTATATACAAATACATAAAAACACAAGTCCAGAACATTCCTTTAGCTATCAAAGTTCTACATGAACTTATTTGGTTCTCTAGTTCAATCTGTATATATAAGCTATATTTTAAACAAAGGTGCAGAGAGCAATTATCTTTCACAATCTGCCTTAGATGATAGAACTTAATTTATAAAGCTACATATTTATTATATAATCATGCTCAACTGATTTTAATCTTGATGGACAAAGAATAATATTATGAAAATGACTTATGCAATATCTTCAAATAAAAGTAATAAGCTCATTGTAAATGGAGGTAGTCATATACTTAGAGAAAACTTGACCAATAAAAATCTTAATTTAGAAAACAGTGAAGCAAAGAAGTATATGTAATTTCATAGAAGAGAATTCCAGCAGAGTGTCATCTCGTAGTTTTTCAAGTATTTTCTGAGTGTAAAATGAATTTTTTACTTCATAAACAAGTTTACCATACAATTCCTTTAATGTAATGATTCACAAGCCTGGCTGCATATTAGAAACACATGGGGGATCTCAAATATATATAAATCTGTGACAAGGCCCATCTCCAGATCAATTATATCAGAATCTCTGGGGGTGGGGATGTAAGCATTAACAGGTTGGGAAGCCCTCCAGAAGATTCCAAGGTTAAGAATCACTGCCATAGAGCTTTTATAAGCTTCACTATTGCCAGATTATGTCAATTTTGAAGTTCAAATGAAAATAATAACTAACATTCACTGTCTTGTTGGCCCAGTACTTAATATTAAAGATGCTATAAGACTCACTAAAACAAACAAAAATTTAAAAAGAAAGAAAATATCTGCTAATATAAGGGAATGGGAAAATATCTGCTAATATAAAGAATGGGAAAAATATACAGATAGCTTGGATGAAAAGGTCCCATAAGAAGGCGGCAAGAATATAGAATTCATCATCATCTTAAGCCCCAAAAGCCAAGTAGGAAAATAAAAGGAGAACAATTCATACAAGTAACAGCAGGTATGTGTATAAGGCAGCTTCTAAAACCTGAAACTGACAATGAAAGACTTGAAAAATAATTGGCTTTACTGCTAACTGAGGCTCTGAATAGTTACACATTGGCAAGCTAAGCGTATAATACATTATAAACTATCTACCCGGTGTCCAGATGAGCACTCAGGATGAGAGGTAACAAGGACAGTTGTGAGAACTCCCAGCTATCCTCCTGTCAACAATGACAGAGAATCTGAAACGGATCTCTCCTTTCCAAGAGTCTTCTGCCCCTCCCAAAAATCTCTTACAAGGGCTGGCTGGCAAGTTTACTATAACTAGAGTAGGCATATGGAAAGGTGGTAGCAGGACCTCCACCCCTCCGAAAAAATTTCTACAAGGACATGTGACTACCTGGGTAAGGCTCTCTACCCATGAATCCCTTGCTAGGTAATCCTTACCATGGTCTATTGCTTCTTGAGGCTCTACCTCACCTATATCCAGAGCGAGCCAGGATGACAGGAGGGAAACTGGACCTAGCAATGGAACCTACTGACCCAGCTATCCAGGAGATCTGAGCTGTAATATGCTGTATTACACTAGGATAAATGAATATCCACAAAGTTCCATTTCAACATCATGTCTAAGGAATGATTAACAAGCAGATTTGAACATACAGATACTTATTAGGAAATAGAAAAGCTTCCAGAAAGGGTTGATGTAGACTTCTATTAGCTGCTTAGATGGAGGAATATCTCCTGGTACTTGGGCAGTAACTCCGCAAAGAACCAGATCGGCCCAGTCCAGAAAAACTCCAAACTTTCAGGAAGATTACTATGAATACTTCAGGCACAGCTTAGAAAAGCTTAAAAAAGAAAGCCTGCGTTTCAGAAACTGTGTTATCTATAAGAATACAGGACCAACAAGGGAAACACCATTACCACAATGTCTTTTCTCCTCTCAGTTTTTAACCCTGAAAACTTTCCTTTTGGGATCACAAACAAATAATAGAGAGTACTGAGTTCTTTTCCACCCTCAGTAATTTGTGTCCTAGAGTGAAAGGAGGATAAGAAAAAGGAAAAGAGAAAGAGTAATTCAAGCAAGAGAATCTAACAAGCAAGATAAACTATCCAAAGAGGTCAGAGTCTGAAAACTGGCACTACTGGTGGGACTGATGAATAATCCATTACTCACACACAAATCTCTTGTTCAGTGTCAGGTGCAATACTTTGTGGAGCAGGTCAACATAAAAGTAATGGTACTTCTACTAAGTTATCTAAACTATAATTATAAAAGTTTTAGATTCATGGGGCCCCAAAATAAAGTCTGGTATAATTACAAATCAAGGCCTTCTGAAAAATGCTTAGATGGTCGTCAAAGAGAGATTAGGTGGCTGCAAAGAAGAGCTAAATGGTTTTGAGAACAAAAAACTTGAGGTTTCCTGTGTAAAATATAGCCTGATACATTAAAGAGAAGTACAAAACTTGAAGAAATAGGCTCCAGAAAAAGTTTATTAGGCAACAGATCAACAGCTGATTTAGTAATGAAAGTTAGGCTTCAAACAACTACGACAGTGAGGAGGTTAAAAAAAAAATCTAAACAATTATATCTAGAAAGAATATTAATTCCAAGTTTTGGGTGAAAACTAAGAGTTGGAAAGGTGTTTCTTTGAAGAGAAAAGCAGTGGTCTCCCTAAAAAAATTTCATTTGAATTTCACATATACTAGAGGTCCAGAAAGTTCTAAGGTATTAAGGGTTTTTGAATGTGTGTCTGCTTGTGTATAAGGGATTAATATGACTTCGGAAAATTTGATGTATTTTTCAATCAATGCACTAAAACATTAGGAATCAAATTAGATCTAGGATTCATTATAATCTTCCTACCATGAGAAGTAATCTAAATTGAATAACCAAAAAACTTTAAAATAAGAAAATGAGAAGGGACAAAGTGGGTAAGAGTTATACTAAAGGTATGATTACTTTTAAAAAGAAGGAACTTAAACGTTTTAAAAACGGAGGTTCAAAAGAGATCATGTTGTTTCAAAATGGAGGTAGAGACGTTTTGAAATAAAAATAACAGCACTACGTAAGTTACTTATTTATTTATTTAGAGTCTCCCTCTGTCGCCCAGGCTGGAGTGCAAGTGGCATGATCTCAGCTTGCCACAACCTCCACCTCCCGGTTCAAGTGATTCTTGTGCCTCAGTTTCCCGATTAGCTGGGATTACAGTCATGCGCCACCATGCCCAGCTAATTTTTGTATTTTTAGCAGAGATGGGGTTTCGTCATGTTGGCCAGGCTGGTCTCGAACTCCTGGCCTCAAGCAATCTACCCGCCTTGGCCTCCCAAAGTGTTGTGATCACAGATGTGAGCCACAACGCCTGGCCTATCTATCTGATTTCAAATATGGGCTATTATACAGCCTCATAAATAGAACTTCCATCACAAGTTCAGCAGGTTCCTTGAAATGGAAGTTGGCTTTGACATTTTCTTATCCTCTTTAAATTTTCTATTTCACTTAATTTTTAGTCACAGTGACTTCTTACTTTCTTGCCAGATCAGCAAAGTCAAACTAACAACATTTAAACTACTTATCTAATTACTGAATTTGTATTCGGTAAGTTATTCAGAGTATTTAGTTTGTTACAATTATATGCTCTATAGATTATTGAAATTTTGCTTTTAACCAAGTGGAAACTTATTTCCCAAAAGATTTCTCCAAGTCTAACTTTTGTTAATGATTTAAACACCCTATAATCTCATTCCCAGTTCCTACTTAAGATTCAAATTCATATTAAGGCAAATTGCCTCAGAGGTTTGCCAAAAATAAAAAAAAAAATTCCATGAGCTATCCATGTCAGTTTCTTCAAAATTGCTGGCTATTTCAATCTCCCTATGCATTACATACTCTCATGTATACCCCCTGACCAGAAATTTAAAGAAAACTTCCAATTAGTTTTCCTTTTATTTCCAGAAATTACTCTCCGATGTCCTAAATAATATTGTCATCAGGATGACCCATTATATCTGTTATTACCATTTATTTCCTTATTGAATCCACAAGTGGTAATTCATTACTGTTTGTGGGTTTGTGATATTATATATCCCTCTTAGGGAAACTTGTAATTAGGTCAAAGTTTCCCTGTTTTAATATTGCTCCCCATTTCCTCACTCTTATAACCTTATCAAGCCAGTGAAATAATCCCTGCCTTTTGGCTTAGTGGTCCCTCACTGATCTATGAAAAGATAGGTAAACATTGTTCTCCTAATCCATATTGAATTCCAGAATTTATACTTGTAAGAGTGATCTCAAAAATGCTGAATGAAATCATTATAGTCCTCTCTCTCACTTATAAAATATAAAATATTAACATATATCAAAGAAAATAAATTGACTAAAAAGAATATATTGGAAACACTTTCCAGTCAGATATAATTCAGTGATTTTATATTATAATGCAAAAAAGGCAACTAATAGATATCTTAAAAATGGGCAGAAATACACTTTTAATTCTAATTACTTGTGGAAACATCCTTTTATAACATTGTTCCTAGGGACTAAGAAATTCAAACTCAACGACCACTTCTAGAAAATATTACAAAACTGGGGTTACATACAACCAGAAGGCTTAATTATTTTTTAAAAGTTCACTTTAAGAGGTGGCTATTTACACATACATATGTTTTCACACATAACACATATGGCTTTTTTCCTCTCTTTTAAGAAAAATACCCTGTATGTGCTGAAGCCAGTATTCATTCAGCCTAATCTTTTACATTCACTATACAGTGTAACAGAATAAAATCAATGCTTGATTCAGCTATCTGGAAACAGTTTTGTGGTTCCTCCAAAAAGTTAATGTAAAATTACTACATGAATTGAAAACAGGGACTTGAAAACATACTTGTACACCTATATCCCTCAAAAGATGAATGAATAAACAAATGTGATATACATATATACATATTTAATATGTATTTGCATATATGTACAAACATATGTATATATGTACATTTGTATATATGTACAAATATATGGATATGTATACACAAATATATGTATATATGTACATGTATATATGAGCAACTGTGTATATATGTACATTTATACATACTAGTGTGTATGTATAAATGTACATTTGTATGTATATATGTACACATATACATATATCTATAAAATGGAACTATAAAAGGAAATGAAGTTGTGCTACATGCTATAACATAGATGAACCCTGAAAACTCTAAAGTGAGATAAGCCCAACCCAAAAAAGGACAAATATTGTATGATTCCACTTATGAAAAATATGTAGAAGAGGAAAATTTGCAGAGATGGAAAGTAGATTAGAGGTTACTAGGAGATGGGGGATGGTGAGGGAAATGGGAAGTTACTGCTTTTTTTTATTTTTAAATTTTTTTTGAGACAGGGTCTCACTCTGTCACCCAGGCTGGAGTGCAGTGGTGCGATCACAGTTTACTGCAGCCTCAACCTCCTGTGTTCGAGGCCTGAGTAGCTGGGACCACAGGCGTGTGCCACCATGCCCAGCTATTTTATTTTATTTTTGTAGAGCAAAGGTCTCACTACATTGCCCAGGCTGGCCTTGAACTCCTGGTCTCAAGTGATCCTTGAGACCCCGTCTCAGCCTTCCAAAGTGCTGGGATTCAGGCATGAGCCACTGCATCTGACCAGGAGTTATTATTACTTAATGGTTACAGAGTTTCTGTTTGGGATGATGAAAAAATTTTGGAAATACACTAATGATGGTTGTACAGCGCTGTGAATGTAATTAAGACCACTGGATTGTGTAGATAAAAATGGTTAAAATGACAAATTTTATGTTATAGATATTTTACTGCAATGTAAAAAAAATGTAATATACCAAAATCCATTAAACTATATACTTTAAATGGGTGAACTGTATGGTATGTGAATTATATCTCAAAAAAGCTATTTGTAAAAATTAATGTTTGAAGTCCTTCTTCAGTGCTTGAAGATACTGTTCTAGTTCCTTTTCCTTAAAGGAGCTTTCCTGGTCATTCCAATGACCGCTCTCTTACTGTCAACTCATAATATTTTACTTACATATCACTCATTAAGCAATTAATCTTATGCTCCTTTTGACATCTCTGGTTTTTTTAATTACTGTAACACATTTAATATTTGATTACACTTTGCTTATAAAACTAGACTGGTTGCTCAAATTATCAAATCAAGACTCATTTAATATTTGTTTATACTTTATTTACCAAACTAGATTAGTAATAGCGCAGATTGTCAAATCAGGACCCAGTAGCCCTCTATGTCTTCAAATCATCAAAAAATATTCAATTTTATACTTGCACAAATACATCAAATTTTAATAATGTTAAGACAAACTATTCCAGAAAAAATTAATCAGAATACTCATTCTCTGGACATTTCTTTCTTTCTTTCTTTTTTGAGATGGAGTTTTGCTCTTGTCACCCAGGCTGGAGTGCAATGGCGTGATCTCAGCTCACTGCAACCTCTGCCTCCTGGGTTCAAGTGATTCTCCTGACTCAGCCTCCCAAGTAGCTGGGATTACAGGCACCCAACACCACACCCGGCTAATTTTTTTGTATTTTTAGTAGAGATGGGGTTTCATCATGTTGGCAAGGCTGGTCTCAAACTCCTGAACTTAGGTGATCCACCTGCCTTGGCCACCCAAAGTGCTGGCACTACAGGCGTGAGGTGTCGCGCCCAGCCTCTCTGGACATTGCAATTTATAAAGGATGTAACAGATTTAGTTCAGTATAATTATTTAAAAATAGGCAATAATAAAATACTTTGAACAGAAATTTTTTTCTGATCAACCAGTCATTTCTTTTTCCCCAACTGAATCAAAGACATTGTCCAAATAAAACAAATTTTAAAACTAAGTGATACACAAACATTTAACACATACACTACTATTTTTATGACTAAGTAGAAATGCTCAGGAAATATAATTTTAATCATAAGTGGAATTAATTAAAATATGAAATTACATAGATAACTTAGTTAAAATAAAGAATGTTGTAGGGGTCAAACAACATTTTTGTTTACTTAAATAATCTGTTTAATGATTACAGTGACCATAAAATAAGTTATACCTAAAGAAGTCTTTAAGTCATGATAATAAAATAAAAGGAAAACTTCAGAGAAAGGTATAGGAAGAATGAATACATCTTTTTTGTTCCTTTGAAAAAATAGCATAAAATTTTGAGAAATGTATCAAAACAGCAGACTTGGTGTAAAGTCATGTATTTATAGAACAGAAATATATAGACAATGTAAAGTTTCTACCTATTCCCTCAGTATATACTTAAAATGATCATTCAGACTCATATCCTATTTTAATCTACACCAGGTTTTTAAAAAAACTGGTATTTCTGTATGTTTGACATGGCTTTGTAAAAATATTTCTTTCTTGCAGTTTGTCTGAATGACTTGCTCTTAAGTATCTTTAAAAACATCATAAATGTAAACAGTATTAATTCACATGAAATAACTTCTATTTCGATCCAGAAGGCAAAAGGTTTAAGTTTTTAAAATATGGCATTGTCACCTCAAAAGTAAGTATGTTTCAAAGAAAAACCATATTTTTATTCCCTACTGAAGTTGAACCACTTACGTTCACTTTTACAATGAAAATACCCAGCGGCATCTTAGAGATTACTGGTTTTCCAGTAAGAAACATAGCTATTTAGCAAATTCACTTGCCTAAAAAACAGCCAAAAAAGGAAAAGAAATAAAGACGGTCTCTAAGCTGATAAAATGTGTGGATTAAAACTCATTCTTCATTATTTAGAATGTCTTTGTGCCCTTAATCTTTGAAGTTTTATAATTTACACATGATTCCAACAAGCTTGGGTTCATTCCCAAGGTCACAGTATAGTACAAACAAAAAGATGATGATAATAGCAGCTGTAATTTTCTAAGCACTTATTAAGCACTATACACAGGGATGGGAACCAGGAGTAGAGGGAGTGTCTCTAATAGGTAACTATACTGAAAGCTCTGTAGTTATTCAAAGAACAACAACAAATGGTTTGACTCCTTGATCAAGAATCTAAAAGCCTTATGTCCCAAGGGTATGACTGTGTTACACTACAGAATGATAACTAACATTTAAAAAAGACAACTCCTTGTGACCTCAAACAGAAGTCTAAAAAATTTTTAATTTTAACATCATACATTTTTAAAATAAGGAGCATGATCAATGGAATCTAAAGACCTGGATTTGAATCCAGGCCTATCACCTAATCTATCAATGACCTTAGGGAATATTAATCTCCCTCATACTCAGTTTCTCCAAATGTAAAGCAGAAATACTATTTACATGACAGTACTAAAGTGAGAATCAACATATGTAAAAGCAGATAGTACAATTCATGAAAACAGCAGTCAATGAAATACTCTTAAAACTTGACTACCCAGAATAATTTTGTTCTTTGAAATATTTTTGTTACTTTTTAAATGTTTTTACTTATTAGATGTTTAGCTGTTACTTTCATTAGTAAATATGTAAAGTAGATAATGCCAAGATTCATTCAAGTATGTAGCAAATGCTCTCAAATTTCACTATAAACTACCTGTTTGACTAAGTAAGTCCAATTCATTCTTCAGTCTCAATTTGGGTTGTACCCACTCTGTAAAGCCTTCTCACATCTCCACTTGCATATCTAATGAACATTTTGGTCTACCACATCCAAAGTCAAAGTCCTGATTCTTCATCCTCATCCCACACCTTCTCCACCTGAAATTCTTCCCTATGTCACAGGTGATGGCAACACCATCCTTCCAGCTGCCAAAACCCTTAAAATCATCTTTTCTCCTCTTTCCTTGTATCTCACATCCAGCCCATCCAGAAATCTTTTTGGTTGTACCTCAAAAACATCCAGAATTTAACTGCTACTAGGCCACTACCTTCTCTCATTTAGATTACTCTAAGAACCTTCTAACTGGTGGTCCATGACTCCTTACATATAGTCTATTCTAAACATAGCAGCTGGAGTGATCCTTTTTAAAAATACTGAAAGCCCTGGAGTGGCTCCTCAAAGTCCCCACTGAGGCCCTACATGAATAACCCACTCACTCATTTCCTTTGACAATACCTCCTCTTACTCTCTCTCTCCATACCCGTACTCACAATGACAACCATTCATTTCCCTGAGCAAACCAGTCATGCTCCTGCCTCATGCCCTCTGCCTGGAAGACTTTCCAAAGGTATCCACATAGCTAACTTCCTTAATCTTTCCTCAACATCATCTTTTTTGTGAATCCTTCCTCAGCCCCTGAATCCCATCATCACCTAACCTTCACATCCTGCTCCTTTTTCTTTACTTCATAACATTTGTCATCTTCTAAAATGCTATGCAGTTTATTTATTATTATTAATCTCCACTCCTACTACATGTGCCACAAAAGCAGAGACCTTTGAAAGTTTCATTTGCTGATATTTCCCATGTACCTAGAACACCACACAAATATGCAAATTAAATACGGAAATAAAACAATACATTGGATATCTCTCCTTTGCGTCACCTTTAGCATTCTGTACTGACCTATATTTTATCAGTTATCACATTGTACTGTTAACAGCCTATTAATTTTCTGCCTCTTCCACTAGACTGCAGGCTCCTTGAGACAAGGGATTTTGTACTGCTTTATAATGCTATTGCCTGTAATTCCTTAAAGTGCCTGATACTTAGGCATTCCATAATATTTGATAAATTAATGAAAAAAATAAAACCATCCAAATCAAGTGTGTAAGCACCTTTACTATCTCCAAAATATAAACACAATGGTTAAGGGTATGACACTGGAGACTGTTCTGGATTCTGAATTGTGTTAGTGTTTTCAGTCTGGCTCTGGTATTTACTGGCTAAGGACCTTAATCAAATTATTTAAATTCTCTACAATTACTTTCTCATTGATAAAAATGGAAGTAATAATGGTACCTCCACCTCATGTGATTATCATGAATAGTAAATGACAAAAGAATTAGCCCAGAGGTTTGCATATAGTAAGTATTCAATAAATGACATAAATTACTTATTATAAATTAAAATAGAGGCACTATTATAACTTTTACTTTGATAACTTGACTAAGCTAGAATACTCACAAACTTAACCTTTAGAATCTCCTCAGAATATGCCAGTAATTTATATCAAAAATTACTGAGTTACCTAAAATAACCCTGATAAGCATTATGTGAAAGAAACTACCTTAATTCTTTCAACAAAAGAAGGAGTCTATTTACATTATCCCATTTTTTAACATTCCTAGATGTTAGGTTCTATAACATTCTTCAGTAACTACTTTTGATTTTTCATAATCTTATGTTTTCTTTTTATATAATCAACATACCTAATACTACAGTTTAAAAATTAAACATCTTACTACATAGATCACCTGCACTTATATGTCCATAATACATATATACATACATTCTTCCCTCTACTCTGAACAATTTTACTTCCAGAAATAAGACTTTTGAGAAAAAGTTAAATAATTTTAAGTATATTTGTCACTCTTTACTAAATCACCTTTAAGCTTTCTACTTCCCATTTCAGTCGTGTATCCAACAACATGTATATTCCTATTTATATTCCTTTGGTAATATTATATTAAAGATTGAGCAAAACTAAGAGTTCTGTTCCAAATTAAAAAGCCAATGTAATGGTGTTTCTTTTAAAGCCATAAATTTTATTTATCTGTCTATTGTTACTGCAAATGTTTTCCTATGTGCAGAGTCAGTTCTCCATTTTATAAAATACTTGTGAAATTCATTTCCTTTGTAGTTTGTAACACTATACAGAAATAAACAAACATACACATTTTACTTAAGCACTCACACAGACAGTAGACAAGACAACTGAGGTAAGCAGTTTAAATGATTGTCCCAAGACCACAGATGGAGTGACGGCCAGATTTAGGATTAAAACTAAGAAGCTCATTATTCCCTTCTTATATTCTGAATACTTAACATTGTTTTTATATCATAAGGATCTCTTTGCTAATTTAAGAATAAGTTAATTTCATAATTAAAATTGAGATATTTTGAGAATATGTAAATAGAATTATGAAACTTACTAAATCAAGATAAAATTAGAGTTTATCCAAAGTCTCTGAAAAAAATAATCTTTTTACTACATAAGTTATTTTTAAAATTTTGTTTAGAGTGGCAAGAAAGTGGCAGCTTAATATCATTTATCATTTCAATGTCTTTATTTAATAAAGCTAATTTCTTTAACCAAAACCTACAGTATGTGTATGAGCTGGTTGGATTTAAGATACCAAACAGAAATACTTTTTCATTTTAAAAAATCCTCCAAACTTAAACAGTAGTTTCTACTCTAATTGTAAACTTTAACTTCAGGATATATTTATAAGAGATCTATCTATGAAAAAACAATGTTAAAAAGTAAAGAAAACACCAAATACCCTTGCATTTACAGGAGAAAAAGACATAGAGTATAACATTAACAGCTTACTGTGGAGAGTGGGTTTAATCAGGAAGTAGCCATTATCCTTTCGATTCAGAGCAGTGACAGCACTCCAAAACAACAAGCCGTGATATTTTTCAGTTAAAAGGCATGAAAGAATACCTACTATTGTGTCCTAGCTTTGCTGACCCCAAGGGTCAGCATATGTCTTTTATCAAAAGCTATCATGAAAACATAATCCAAGTAAGCATTTACAATGCTCTATTTGTTGAAACACCTAAAATCTACCTAACACAACCTCTCTCTCTCTCAGTTACTCACAAAACATGGCTGTCTTATTCAGAGATTAGCAATTATTGTAATGAGATACTGTCGGAGAGGGTCAAATAGTACTTCCTGCAGTTTACACATCTTGATTTCCTGGTAAACAAACTGAAAGGCAGGTGGAGCACTTAGATCACCAGCAAACGTGAATGCTCACGTGATAAAACTAAGCCAGGTAAGGTTGATGTCTCAAGTAATCGTTCTTTTCTTAATTTTATTAATGTCAAACAGACAATAAAGAGAAGAGGTCTTTCTTCCTTTTTAAAGAAGGGTTTACTCCTCACATAAACTCACATGATAGGAATGCTTGAAAACTGGCACTGTTTAAAAGCAGGTTTCAAAAATCACTTCTGGCAGATAAACTATAAAAACAAAGCAATGCTAACAAATAAGAATAACTGCTCAAAAACCTGCCAAAAATAAAGAAAAGTCTTTAAATTTCAGCTGCTACAACAAAGTACACAAAATAAATTTCTGAGTTATAATAAAAGACCAAAATTAATTGTTTTGTGGTCAAAGCATGTCTATTTTTTTATTTGGACAACTTCCTGCAAAATAAGACTGCTTTATAATTTATGTGGCAGTCTTTGAAAAAAAAATTCCTATGATCAGAAAGTTTACATAATTTGAAACTTTTCTCTACATCATTTTAAACTCATATATCAAAAAGAAAACAAAACAAAATATTTAACCTGTGAGCATTTTTTAAAAACATTGTTAGCTTGAAAACTAAGTTTCTTTGTCCATAGTTTTTTTTTTCCCCCCAAATTGCTGTTTTTTCACTCTCTGAAATTTTTAGTGTAGTTTGATGAGGGAAGATTTAAATTAGCCATGGGTATCAAACAAACAAAAAACCCAACTCCATCAAAATGATAAACTAATTTACTACTTAAAAAAATCTAGATAATTCTGTAAATTCATAAAATTTGCATTTATCTTTAAAATTCTATATTTACTAAGGCCATGCATCAATATCCTAACTATTTAGAACAAGTAAGATTTAATTTTAATGCAAAAAGCTCTTAAGAGCCCGTTACAACAATATAATCATGTTAAGATATTAAAATTATACTACTTAAATTAGGTTTGTATTTATTCATTTTGCAAAATAAAGTTATAATGCACTGAAATAGAACAAAACAGAATGATAACAAATAACAAAAAGAACACCCAGGAGAGAAGACTGTGCCAAGGGTATAGAATCTCAGAACAGGTCTCATTACATATACGTAATATGTCATTTCAAGGAGTATGTATTCGGTATTGAGCCACATTAATGCAAGTTGCTAACATCACTAATCACCACCTTTACTACAATGACACATGAAATAGCAAGTTTTCAAAAAACTACAACTACGAAGTTAACATTTCCAGCTGAATTTCTTGGTCACGTTAACATTAAATAATTTAAAAACCATAGTAGTCACATGGAATGCAAAACACAGTTCTTATTTCCTTTATAGAAAATTTGAGATGTAATTCCTACCACATAAGTAGCTTTGAGTATGTAATTCATACACCAAAACAAAACAAAATTTTAAATCAGAAAATTATTATTTCAATTGTTTCAATGATTTATGACCATCTTAGTTTCCTATAATGTGTCAAATTTAGAGCACGATGAAATGAAAACATAAAGAGGTACAGCAAATAAATTTGATATTTGGTTTCACTGAAGGTGGTTTTTATCAAGAGGCAGTAACTTTTGATATTATGAGTTTACAATTCAGTTAAAAGGTAAGGAACAAAAACCAGTTGGAAAAAGACTTGCCCTCAGAGCTGACAAATGAGAAAAATATATCTTTTCCTTCTCTTGGGTATATTTCAGCCCTACTTATCCTCTGAGGCATTCTTTAACTGGACCTGGTAGTGCTATACAGACAAAAAGCTTCAGAGTGAATTCCCCTGTACTCTGGAAAGTCCAAGAAACCACAGAGCTCAGTCGTCCATATTAAGAACTATGTGCAAAATGAGGTGGGAAGGCAGAGGGAGAGACAAGAGGAGGAAGAAAGTTTCCTACTTTTTGCTTGCTTGCCTTCTGCTACAATAAATAGGTGTTACATAATTATTTATATCCCATCTTATTCCAACATAATTTAAGATGACTTACAAAACTATGAGTAGAAGAACAGAATGCCGTCTTTAAAACTAATATGAATAAAAGGGAAAATAAGAGGACATGAGAAAGATGAAAACACAAGGTAAAGCTGGAACAAAGAAACACCTATCGTAAGGTCTTGCACAAGTCTATGATGTGGGTGGTTCAGCTCCTTAGCAATCAAAGTGGGAAACAAGATCAAATTACAAAATTCTCATTCTCTGTAAGATGTAATTTACAAACAAGCTCCAAAGCATTCTCTAGGACTTAGAATTGAGAGAAGTTTTAAAAATAATTTTCAAAAATGCAACACTGGAGCATACAACAGTTTTCTCAATAGAATCTTTACAGCAATTAAAATAACAAATTTCACATAAAAGTTTCTTTTAACATTTCCTCAGTGCAAGCCAGAGTGATAACATAAGGAAAGATTCCCCAAAATAAGCCATCTTGCTAGGAAGTGTGCAATTCTTATCTGGATCTTTAAACATACACTAACAATTTCCAGAATCTTATGTTAAATTCCATTTTCAAATTCCAACTTCATATTCTATTTTCTTTTTTTTTTTTTTTTTTTTTTTTTTTTTTGAGACGGAGTCTCGCTCTGTCGCCCAGGCCGGACTGCGGACTGCAGTGGCGCAATCTCGGCTCACTGCAAGCTCCGCTTCCCGGGTTCACGCCATTCTCCTGCCTCAGCCTCCCGAGTAGCTGGGACTACAGGCGCCCGCCACCGCGCCCGGCTAATTTTTTGTATTTTTTAGTAGAGACGGGGTTTCACCTTGTTAGCCAGGATGGTCTCGATCTCCTGACCTCATGATCCACCCGCCTCGGCCTCCCAAAGTGCTGGGATTACAGGCGTGAGCCACCGCGCCCGGCCTCATATTCTATTTTCTAAAGTCAGGTTCTTATGCTAGATGAGAGCATAAGATCACATAAAATGAGATAACCAGGGTTCCAGATCAGGCAAAAGATAAAACATTGGTAGGTAGGTCCAGACAATTATAAGGGACCTTTCTTCTTTTTTTTTTTTTTTTTTTTGAGACAGAGTCTTGCTCTGTCGCCCAGGCTGCAGTGCGGCGGTGCGATCTCGGCTCACTGCAAGCTCCGCCTCCCGGGTTCACGCCATTCTCCTGCCTCAGCCTCCCCAGTAGCTGAGACTGGCCAAGGGACCTTTCTTTTTAACTGAAATGAGTTCCTCTTTTCGTTGGTGATCTTCCTTCTATGATCCTGCCCATTACAACAGCTGGGAGTCCAATCTATGATGATGTTTAATCCTCCCCAGTTTGGTATTTCTAACCGTAGTAGATAAATGTGACTCTGTCTTCACATTCAGTTTGCATCAATTTAGATTCATATTTGCATACTTTTAGAACATTTACTTTTTGTTACTGGTGCAGAGGAAAGACAGCAAAACTGATACAAAGGAAATGTCCTATCTCTTATTTTATTATACAAGAAAAAACAAGATCTACCAGTGATGTCAAACGACATGCTACCATGGTATAATATCCAGCCTGAACACTAATAAAATGTAACAATGATGCATTCTGGTTTTCATGTCAGGTAAATAGGTTGTAG
The DNA here is from genome assembly GCF_000001405.40 of Homo sapiens. Lineage (NCBI taxonomy): Eukaryota > Metazoa > Chordata > Mammalia > Primates > Hominidae > Homo > Homo sapiens. The sequence goes on from NC_000002.12 coordinate 159,520,231, forward strand.
CAAATCATATCTTCCTTACTACTGGGTTGGTCTGCTCTCTGCCTCCCAAAGATCCTAAATTTATGTCCTCCTGCCTCCCAGATTATGCTTATGTTGTTTCATATCTCTTCTCCTACCTCATTATCAGTTTAGGTCTCATCACTTTCAGGATGGCTCTCTCTCAGACTCTACTTGAAGGGCCCATAAAAGCTTTCTCTACATAATTTAGCTATATATTACTATATAATTATTTGGGGATTCTCCTTATTAGATCTTGAAATTCCTTCTTTTATATTACCCACCATGAATAACAAAATGCTCAACATGTAGCAAATACTCTAAATACAAATAAACTTACTATAATGCATTAATAAACTGCTGTATATATTTATAACAGCTCATGTTTGTTCAACATAACTAGGATATTTATTATGATTGCATCAATTGAACCAGAAGGCAAATTTTTACCATACAGGTGATTTCTGCATGGTATACAATCAACCCATATTTAATCAAACCTTGGGCTTTTCTGTTTTCAAGCTTGTCAAAATAATTTCAATTGTGAGACAACTTTTGAGAACACTACCAAAAACCAAATCTATTTTGTAAGCTAGTGTCAAACCTCAAAATGACGAAGATTAAATGACAATTTTCATCCAATACAGTTTGATTCGTATTTGAACTCATAACATAAAATTTATGAAGCTTATTACTTTATTACCATTCAAAGAATTCTTCCAATGTGTAGCCATTAAAATTTATTTCTGAACTTCCTATTTTATAAAAATTCAAACCTTAGTAATCTCAATATATAATTCTGCTATTGTAAAAGGTAGTAGTCTTTAGATTTGGCATAATATATACACTCCCTTACCATAATTTCCTGCAATAAGGAAAACCACTCCTAATATTTAAAAATATGTTAGAAAACATACACTGAAGTATCTCATATTATCAACTTAAATCAATCAAGATTCATTCTGTTCATTAAAAAAGTTATAGGATAATTATCATGGTTACATTATTAACCATCTTATAATTGTTTACTTCAAAGAACAAAAGTAGGAAACATTTCCATAATATAAATTGAAATGGCTTTTGAACAAATTTAACAACAAAAGAATATTATTCAATTTTCTTTCTTTTCCTTAAAAACAAAATGGAAAGAGTAAGCCAAAGACAGATACAGATGTGTATATTTTCATTTATTGCAACATAATAGATACACACAGAGGCTGTGAGAATACAATATTCATTTTTCTGCAGAAGAACAGACATTGCATAACAATGAGATTTGCTAATGAAATCAACCATCAACCTGAAATACATATGTATTAAACCAAGACCTCAGTGTCATTTTCTTTTTGAATCGTTTGTTCTTACTTTCATTTTTTTCTCGACCTTTTCAGTATTTTTGTCCTTTAGATTTTAGAACTTATGGGTGAAGCAAAATCAACTCTATATTACAATGTATTGCTTTTTATTCATCACATTTATTTTCAATGTAAATTCCAATTGTTCTGCTTCTATCAGCACTATTAGTGTACCTTCAGAAAAAAGAAATCAATGGATGCTACCAGAAGAAACAAAGGAGGTTTATTTCTATAGAGAATTGTTGGATCTCAGGTCCAAAAAATTTTTTATCAATATTTCACATAAATTCTATGTGAAAACTTTAATTGCAAGGCGAGTGCTTACTTATTTAATAAGAAATAAGAAAATAATAAATACATTTTAAAGTCACTTTTGTAATAATATAATTTCCTCGACAATTTTGACTACTGATAATTATTAAATGAAATAATGTAGGGCTAATATAATCATTAAAATGAAAATTATTCTCAAGTTTTTAAAATAATACTTTTCCCTCAAAATGTTTTACTATCCTGGTCTGCAAATGTTGATTACCAATTAATATTTTCAAAAATAAGTAATACTGGGAATTTTCTTAAAGATTTATGATTTAGTTACAATCTTCAATAAAAGCACAAGACTATGAAAATATTTAATGTGATGTATCTTAAAGAAAAAATAAGTATTAATGTACCCCCAGAATCAATTTATATCCTTTTGAGTATAGGATATTTAACTAAAGAGCTATCTGTGCTATTGGTTATCCATTTACACAAATTAGGTTTTCAATTCACCTGTGCTACAGATAAAATTAACAGGCTAATCTCTGGCATACAATTGCTACTAATTCATAATAATAACAGCTTTAACAACAACAACAACAAAAAGCAGTACTTATACCAACTAAAACATCCAGAGTCAAACAGAAGATTAAGTTTCCTGTTATATTTTATACTACGTTAATGTCTAACCTCAAACAATACCCTGCAAAAATAACCAAAGGCAGTATCAACTACAATTCTGTTAGAAATAAGTAAACAATTAGACGTTCCTTATTAAATGTAAACTCTGAAAGTTGTCACTGACGTCTAATAATTGTCAAGGCTATTTTTAAAACTTTGAAGAATGACTTGAAGCTACAAACCACACAACCACAGAACGATCAATCAATCTAAACACAAGAGATTTTCCTTTAAAAATCCAAAAATTTCTATTAAAATGTCAAAATATACATTAGACTGTAGAGAAACAGACGCTTTAAACGAGTATCTGTGCAATACCAAAAGCCTACTTTTACTAGTACAAAAAAAAAATCCTAAAACATGGTGATAGGGTTTGGAAAGTCATCTAGCTCATTGCTACTCCAAGTATAGTCCACAGACCAGCAACATGGAAATTATTTGTTAAAAATGCAGAATCTTGGCCAGGTATGGTGGCTCACACCTGTGATCCCAACATTTTTGGGAAGCCAAGGCAGGAGGATCACTTGAGGCCAGGAGTTCAACACTAGCCCAGGCAACACAACGAGACCCCATCTCTACAAAAAAATAAAATAATTAGCCAGATGTGGTGGCATGTGCCTGTAGTCCCAGCTACTCAGGAGGCTGAGATGGGAGAATCACTTGAGGCCAGGAGTTCTAGGCCAGCCTGGGTAATAGTGAGACCTGGTCTCTACAAAAAATATTAAAAATTAGCCAGGTGTGTTGGCACGTACCTGTAGTCTTAGCAACTCAGGACATTCAGGTGGGAAGATCACTTCAGCCCAGGAGTTCGAAGTTACAGTGAGCTATGACTGTGCCACTGCACTCTAGCCTGGGTGACAGAGCAAGACCCTGTCTCTAAAAAAAAACAAAAGAAACAAGGCTGGGCGCAGTGGCTCACGCTTGTAATCCCAGCACTTTGGGAGGTCGAGGCGGGCGGATCACAAGATCAGGAGTTCGAGACCAGCCTGGCCAACATAGTGAAACCCTGTCTCTACTAAAAGTACAAAAATTAGCCGGGCATGGTGGCGCATGCCTGTAGTCCCAGCTGCTCGGGAGGCTGAGGTGGAAGAACTGGTTGAACCCGGGAGGCAGAGGTTGCAGTGAACTGTGACACTGCACCCCAGCCTGGGTGACAGAGTGAGACTCCGTCTCAAAAAAAAGAAAAAGAAACAGAAATGCAGAAACTCAGGCCCCAGACTAGACTTACTCAGAATATTCTGTACATTAAAGTTTAGGAAGCCCTGATCTAGTACCTAACAATTTATACACCAATTTCAATAATTTCTGATATAATAACAACCCCTCAAAAAATCCATATTAAGAGACAGAATACTCAGGGAATAATTTATTTGTTGTGCCCAAAGTCCACGGCCTATCTTTTGCTTATTCATCTAAGTCTCATTCATATGGACTACTGATTTAAAATTTGTGGTAATATGAGGAATAAGAGGGCAGAAATAATATGTTTCTATAAACTATTGGAAAAAAATACATATAAAAAACAAGAATTTACACTCAGCAAAATTTTAAATTGATTCAGCAGAGGAGGCCTTTCTTCAAATAAAATATGTGAAGAAGCCCAGTATGTGCTCACACTGAGATTACAGGCTCACACCTGTAATCCCAACTCTTGGGAGACCAACGTGGGAGGATACATTGACGCCAGGAGTTTGTGACCAGCCTGGGCAACACAGCAAGACCCCATCTCTACAAAAATTTTAAAAAATTAGCCAGGTATTAAAAAAATAAATAAAATAAAATTAGCCAGGCATGGTGGTGCGCGCCTGTTGTCGCAGCTACTCAGCAGGCTAAGGTGGGAGGATCGCTTGAGCCGGGAAGTCAAGGCTGCAGTGAGCTGTGATCATGTCACTACACTCGAGCCTGGGCAACAGAGCGCAACCCCATCTCAAAAACAAAACAACAAACAAACCCAGAATAGCAGAAAATAAAGAGCTGCTTTTTGGGGTAGAGGAGGTACCTAGCAGCTGCCAAGATATTTCAATAGAACCAATTCACATGGTTCTGCAGGGGACACTCTGACCTGAGAAAAGGGGATTACTTAAGAGTCTAAAAACAAGTGGAAAAGTTGTTACACTAATCACAAAGTTCACTATTTATCAAAGCAAGTCCTCAAGTTTATTCTGTAGTATTTTAAACTAAGAACACTGGATTAAAATTACATAATTTTTTTGTAAGTAAAATTGATATTTTCCTAAATAAATCCAATCGGCGAAGTTAGAAGTAACTAAGGTTATCTTTAATTAAATTATTTTAATTAGTAGTAGGCCTGTCATTTACAAGGCATTATGTTAAATGCTAGTAATATAGATGAATGGACAAAGTACTCTATTTATCGTCTTGGAAGAATAAAATAAATACATGGTAGTCCCAGCTACTCAGGAAACTGAGGCAGGAGGAGTTCTTGAGCCCAGGAGTTCCAGACCAGCCAGAGCAATATAGAGAGACCCTGTCTCTAAAATAAAGATAAATACATGGAACATACTACCATTTATACCGTAAGAGTGGTATAAATAAAGTACTCTGAGAGCAAAATTAACTGAGGATGTCAGAAAAAAGGTTTACGAAAAAATGACATCTGAAGTAGGCTTTGGAAAGCAGTGTAGGAATTTGAATAACAAAGGTGGGTAGGTGGAGGAACTAGGAAAAGAGGCATCCCAAGGGGAAGGACAACATAAGCTAAGGATCAAAAGCTGAAAAGCACTGGATATATTCTGAGAATAGCTAAGGTGGCTTCCAAGCTCCCTAATAACAGGAATCATGAGTTGTTCCTTTTATAGCAGTAGCACCTATAACACGCAAGAGTTAATATACAGGTTGAATATCCAGAATTTGAAAAGCTCCAAGATCTGAAACTTTTTGAGCATCAACATGATGCCACAGGTGAAAAATTCCATACCTGACCTTATGTGACGTGTTGCACATTATTTAAAATATCATATATAATTGCCTTCAGTTTATGTGTATAAGGTGTAGATGAAACTAATAAATTCAGTGTTTAGACCTGGGTATCTCCCCTCCCCAAGATATCTCATTATATATATGGAAATATTCCAAAGTCTGAAAAAATCTGAAATCCCAAAAGCTTCTAGACCCAACCATTTCAGATAAGGAATACTCAACCTGTACCTGGGCAGCATAAGAGCTTGTTATGTATATACTGTTTGAATGACTCAATCAATCAGTAAAGTAATATAGTCTGGCTAGTACAAAGGACATATGTAAAAAAAATAGTGGGAGAGATATTTATTTGGCTGAAAACGTACTTTAAGACCTTATTGGAGATGACCTTAAATACCACACTAAGTGTTTGATTTTAATGCTGCAAACAATGGTAAACTACCTGCTTAGAAATATTGATCTAGCAGCTTTAAGGAGGATGAATTGAAGCAGGAAGAAGTTTACAATAAGGATATTGCAATAGTTGGTCTCCTGAGATAATTTAGGCAAAAGTGAGGTTTTGTACTAAGGTGTGGCAGAAGAGTGACAAATGAGGGGATGGATAAATATAAAAGTTATTCATATATAGAAGTAGGGATAATTTTTTTTTACTTCCTAGCTGGTTAAACTAGAGAAAGAAATGTAAAAATTGTATTGTAGAAGTAAAATTTATTGGACTTCAAAGCAGCCTTTATATGCAGAAAGTAGGAATACAAAAATTAAGCAAATGCCAAAAAAGTAGAGCAGAAATCTTTTATGCATTGATCACATAAACTGGTACAATTATATAGAAAGAAATTAGGCAACATATAGTAAAGTCAAAGCAGCATGTAGACCGTAATACAGTAATTCTAGATATCTCACCCAGAAAAGTTCCCATACATGCACATAAAAAGTCATGTATACGAATGTAAATTGCAGTTCTACTTGTAGAGTAAAACCTTGGAAATATTGGAAAATGAAAAAATGAAAATATCACGGTATGTTTTTATAATGAAATACTATATGGTAGTTAAAATGAATGACATAGAGCTACTTATATTAACATAGATATATATCTTTAATATGCTAACACAAACACTTGAGGGAAGTGAAGGTTTAAGGTTTTGTTTGCACTTCTGTTTATCACTTTATTTCATGCCAGGACAATCCTTTGGATAACAATGAAATAAACCAGTCATGAGGGAGAAAAATGAATGTCTTTTGGCAGATCATGAAACAAGCCTCTAGAGAAGGCAGAAATGAATAAAAATAAAAAAGCATGAAGTTTTAGGTTTAGTAAGGAGGTGAAACACTTCATTTCTCAGATATGGGTAGGGAGGTAGAAGGAAAAAAACCTAATAGTTTTTTGTTTTTTTGCTTTTGAGACAGGGTCTCATTCTATCACCCATGCTGGAGTGCAGTGGAATCTCTGCTCACTAGCTTATATAGTAAGTGTGTGTTTCTTCCTTTTTTTTTTTTTGAAACTGCAAACTATTTTTCAGAGTGGTTGTACCATTTTACATTCCCACTGGTAATGTATGAGAGTCTGATTTCTTCATATCTTTGCCAGCAATTCATATTGTCGCTATTTTTAATTTTAATTTTTTTAGACAGGGTCTTGCTGTGTTGTGCAGGCTGGTCTTAAACTCCTGGGTTCAAGCAAGAGTTCAACTGTTCTAATAGGTGTGTGGTAATATGTCATTTTTCAATTTCTCTGACGGCTAGTGATGCTGAACATCTTTTCATGTGTTCAGCTGACATCCGTATAACCTTTTTGGCGAAATGAATATCTTTTGCCCATTTTCTAATTGGACTGTTTGCCTTTTTACTATTGAGTTTTTAGTTTTTATATATCCTAGATAAGAGTCCTTTGTCAGATAAGCAGTTTTCAAGTATTTCCTCCCAGTATGTAGTTTGTTTTTTCATCATCTTAACAGGGCATTTTGCAAAGCAAATGTTTTTAATTTTGATAAAGTCCAATTTACAGATTTCTTTCTTCTATGGATCATGTTTTTGCATCACATGGAGAAACTCTTCACCAAGTTTTGTCTTGTAGGTTTTCACCTATGTTTTCTTCTAAAAGCTTTATATTTCTACATTTAAATGTATGATCCAAACAGGTTCTGAGCTACAGGAGAAGAAGAACTGAACAATCTTTTCATCAGGACTTCAACTACTTTGTCTAGTTAATTTCAACATTTACTGGGTATCCACTTAAAGTGGATACTACTTAAAGTAGTAGGCACTTAGCACAGTTACAAAGTATCAGTATCAGATACACACAGGAGAAAAAACACAAATATATATTTTTATTTCACTATTTTCAGTGTTTTGATAAGAGTTATACATGAGTGCACCTGACTTACCCAGGAAGAGCTTGAGAGTGTTTCTGTAGACTACATTTGCTCTAAACTTGGAAGCCTTCTCACAGGGGAAGGCTATGTCAGGAAGGGATAACAGCACTCAGTAAAGGCAAAAGGACTATATACACACCTCTTGCTTTAAGGAAGTATAAATCATTTAACATTTGGAGACTAAGTATGGGAGATTGAGGCATTACTTTTAGATGTAAGCAGGAGACAGGCTGTGGAAGATTTCATATACCCTGTAAATGAGATTAAATTTTATTCTGTAGTGGTTGGAAGCTAATAAGGAGTTTAAGTAGGTAAATAACCTAGTTTGATTTGTGATGTCAATTATATCATCATTGAGAGGATGATGAACTTGGACACAGCAAGACTAGGGGCAGAGACACTAGTTAGGGGGTTACTGTGACAGCCCAGGTGAGACATGATGCAAATCTACATTAAGATTTAAGCATCATGAACAGAGAAGGAAAGATGGATTTGAGAAATATTTAGGGGGAAAAAAAGAAATGTAGTCTTTGTTAAAAACAGGCCGAGAACAGTAGAGAAGGCCAGGTGCAGTGGCTCATGCCTATAATCCCAGCACTTTGGGAGGCCAAGGCGGTTGGATCACCTGAGGTCAAGAGTTTGAGACCAGCCTGGCCAACATGGTGAAACCCCATTTCTACTAAAAATAGAAAAATTAGCCAGGTGTGGTGGTGAGTGCCTGTAATCCCAGCTACTTAGTAGGCTGAGGCAGGAGAATCACTTGAACCTGGGAGGCGGAGGTTGCAGTAAGCCAAGCTCGCGCCACTGTACTCCAGCCTGGGTGACAAGCGAAACTCTGTCTCAAAAAAAAAAAAAAAAGAATAGTAGAGAAGTTATGAAACAGCAATCGATTGTAGAAAATCCTTTTATTAACCTCTAGTTAACCTGTAGGATTGTCTAATACAGCACTTACCAAAGCATGAAAAACACTAGTCCCATAAGATGTTCTTTGAAGGAAGGGTCAAATAAGTTGGAGGTTCACAAAACACATTAACACATTTTAAAAGGCTCAGAAAAAGTTGTTAAATAAAACAAAACCCTTTGGATACAGGAAGGGGAACATCACACACCAGGGCCTGTTGTGGGGGGGTGGGGGTGGGGGGAGGGATAGCATTAGGAGATATACCTAATGTAAATGACGAGTTAATGGGTGCAGCACACCAACATGGCACATGTATACATATGTAACAAACCTGCACGTTGTGCACATGTACCCTAGAACTTAAAGTATAATAAGTAAAAAAATAAAAATATACATAAAAAAATAAATAAAACAAAACCTTTTAACATTAACCCTATGTCTTCCAAACTTACTTGACCATGGAACCTTTTTTCATGAAATACTCCATACAACCAATGCTCTACCAAAACTACTTTGGGTACCACTGGTTTGGCAACAATGTGGGCTTTGGTTAAGCTTCAATCTTCTCTTTAAAAAAAAAAAAAGACATATGCTTAAATGTTCATTTATGTGAAATCTCTCTGGCTTCCTTTGTAACTCTCTCTCATTGCTCACCAACTCTAGCCATCCTGATTTCCCTATTATTCTTGGAATATGCAAAGCACAATCTCTCTCAGTATCGTGGCATTTACTGTTTTCTTTGGAACAGTTCTCACCCAGGTATCTACATGGCTCAACTCCCTCACTTCCTTAAGATCTCTGCAAAACTGTCATCTTATTGGAGAGGTCTTCAGTAGCCAATCTGTAACAAATACTAATTCATACCCCTGGCTAATTCATACTCATGACTCTTAATTTGCTTTACCTTTCTCCTAAGTGTTAGTTGCCATCTAATATACTACATACAACTTATTTATCTCTTTCACCAATAGAATGAAAAGCTCCATGAGTGCAGAGTCGCTGTTGTTTAGTACCTTATCCTTAGCACATGCAAGTAACTAGGCACTTAATAGTTGTTGAAGAATTTAGTGATCATCATATAACCTCTGATTGTATTTATTTTATATTAAAGTAGATAATAGGTAAAATACCTACATATCAACATATTCATTGATAAAAACAGTATTTTCACTTATGATTTTGTTTTTCATATTTTTCATGTCCACATTCAATATGAAAGATCTCACCAGTTTTATCCTTTAAAAAAAGTGAGGATTTTGGAAGCTTTCAACTCTAACTTTTCAAACTTTTCTCTTCATCAAAAACAAATCTAAAATTGCTACATAATTATATCTTTAGAAAATGCACAGTCATTTTAGTATAACTTCTTAAATTTCTCTTTAGCACTTCCTTAGACACTGGCCTGCAAAGGACTACCTATAATATTGAAAGTAGTAACCTTCACCCTCTAAAACAGAGTCACTTTCTTTTGTGATGTACAGTGATTTCTTTCTATAACTTTTGCAATTGTTAAGTGCTTTCATAGGTTTTAGGTGTGTAATGCCTCTACTTTTAATTTTAACCATGACTTATTACTCTTCAGTATAGATCAACTGTCCAGCTGAACGTATTTCACATAATACTCTCATAGTGACATATATTCCCCTTAAAACGGAAAGAAATGCTCACTGATAAATGCAGCAATTTTTCAAAATATCTCAGTATATCTATAAATAATCTATAAAACCCTTAAATATTTTAATATAAAATGCAATATTTCTACAAGAAAGGACTTTAAAAAATACCCAAATAAGTTAACACAAGATATATACTTTAATTGGTTCTGCTTCATATAAAATATTTATTGAGGAATAACAACAGAGTTATGCATATATAACTTTATAATCCAGATATAAACTCTCCATTCATCAAAATTTTTCTATATAGCAATATATTAATAGCAAAGTAAGGCCGAGTGCAGTGGCTCACACCTTAATCCTAGCACTTTGGGAGGCCAAGGTTGGTGGATCACTTGAGATCAGGAGTTTGAGACCAGCCTGGCCAACATGATGAAACCCTGTCTCTACTAAAAATACAAAAATTACCCAGGCATGGTGCCGCATGCCTGTAATCCCAGCTACTCAGGAGGCTGAGGCAGGAGAATCACTTGAACCCAGGAGGCAAAGGCTGCAGTGAGCCAAGAATGCGCCACTGCACTCTAGCCTGGGCAACAGAGACTCCGTCTCAAAACAAACAAACAAACAAACAAAAAGCAAATTAAAATGAAAATTCTGAATTCCTTCCAGTAAAAATACCTGCAATTGAAAAATAAATAAAAGTCTCTGAAATTATTATTATCATTATGCATCTGTCATGAATAATTAGGTGTATTCTGTGGGTATTATGTTTTATTTAAAGAGAGTTTTACCTGTAACTAAAGATATTTTATAACAAGTCATAATTTAAGAGTCATAAACTAGCTAAGTAGTCTTAGTTAAGTCACACTCTCTGACCCTTACTTTCCTCATCTGGAAAATGAGTGGACTGGTCCAGGGTTTTTAGCACACTGTTAGGCTTTAATATTCTGTGATTCTAAAAAAAATTTTTTTCGATCAATTTTTTTGATTGAAAAACTTCTATGAGATGTTTTTACTTTTGCAAACCAACTGAGAAATATTTCTGATACTAGAAATGCACATTCTCTTAAAAGCTTATTTCTTTAAAAAGTAGACAATAAAATATATTTATGTTTCTTTATAATGAAACACCTCAATTTGTACTGAAATGTGATGACAACTATTTATCTACTTTAGGTGAATAAAAGCTGAGAACAATTTATTAGACCATGGAAAAGACTCCTGAATACTAGAAGGTCACAGCCTATATGCTGAGCTGCTAGCAAAACATCTATGTGCTCCAAAGCTGCCATTTTTCTTCCTTGACAAAGACTCCATCTGCCACCGAGCCATTTACAGCCTCCAAGTCAGAATATCAATGATTTCCAACCATTCTGCAAGCCTGCTTTCACCTTGACATCACCTTTGTAATACATCTACAGCAGATGATACATATATCCCCAACTACAAGCATGAAGCCCATGCTTTATTCACCTGAGAGGTATTTAAGCTGCTCTCTAAAGTACCATTTTTATTCATGCTAACTTGCAAAAGAATTTTAAAGTGTATATATTCAATTATCTATACACTTACATATACTTTCCTATAATTCCTTTTGCTTTATGTACCTGAAATCAAATATATTCCTAAAACTTTAAAACCTAAAATGACTTTAGTTTGACATAGTTTTCAATGGCTTAGAAACTAAGACAACAGAAGTACATTGTATTTCCATTTAACAATCTGCCACAAAATTATTTTTTATAAAATATTTTATTTCCTTAGAAATTGAAAACACTAAAACAATGAAGAAATATTGATAACATTTCTAGTTTTGTACTCTAATCAATGTTTTTTAACATTTTAAACAAGTGAAACCCATTTACATAGTAATAAAATAAAACCAGAGAATTTTTCAATTATATTTTGTAGAATGCTAACTACCAAGAACTATTAAAAACACTTCTTCCATCCTTTTAAACAAAAGCAGTAAAATCCTTGGCTATAATATCCGTACAAATGAAAATAAAGTCTTACACTTTTATCTGAAAGTAAATGTTCTCTACCAAATAAATAAAAAATGAATTAAGGCCTATTATGTGCAAAATATTACGGGGAGAACAAAAAAGTTTAAAACAAGACTCATGGCCTCAAACTGCGGAAATAATAAATGCACTCATGAACAAGCATCTAAAAAGACAATGCACTGTACAGTGATAGGAAGTGTGTTACATAAGAAGGAATTTTGGAATTAGAAGTTAGGGACTTAAGTTTACTTGCATCTCTGCCCTGAAATCTCTAAGTACTTATGTTAATCATTTAACTCCAGAAAAACCACTAACTCACCTGTAGTTAAGTGACCATTATAAGTGATATCTAAGGTCTTTTTCTGCTCTGGCACTCTCTGATAAAAGGATTCTGTGTCAAGATGTCAAATGATTACACATGCTACCTGGCCCCAGATTTTACAAGTCACACTCGTTTTAGGTAGACATGGCCAGTACGGAGAAGGAAATGAGATTTTAGTTGAGTCTCCAAGAATGTGCAACATTAAAATATACATGGAGAGACAGAAAAAGTATCTCCCAGAAAAAGGAAATACCATAAACAAAGGTGCGAAAAACAAAATCATGACTTCAGATGTGTTTATGTGGCATTGTTATCCACAAAAAGTAAGAATAGGAGACATGATACTGGAGACAGAGAAACTAGAAAGTAAATTAATATGGCAATCTAAGCATGACCTGATAGGGTGGTGGTGGGAGTGAAAGGAAAACAAAGGATGCAAAAGATATTGAAGATAGATCACAGGCACTTTTAAGTTTTGATTATTTGAAGCTAGAGAAAACAGCAATCTAAAGTGGTATCAAGAGTTGTTATCTTGTTGTGGGAAATGGTGAAACCATTAACAGTAATAGGCCTGATACATAATCCTTTTTCTAAAACAATACGGAAAGAAGAATAGAATACATTAAAGAGGATTGAAGAAAGTCACTTAATTTTCAGAAAAAGAACACTGGACTAGGAATTCGACACCAATACCAGAGTCTCACCGTAAACTAGCTGTGCAATATAGATCAAGTCACTCTGAGGTTTGGTTTTCCAAAATGAAAGTGCTAAACTTATGATCATTTTCATCATTATTTTCAGCTTTATATATAACACATTATCTTAATTTCCCCACAAACTTCAAGTTGTAGAAGCAGGCAATCTTTCAAAATCCCTTCTTAATCTTGACTGATTTAACATTTTTTACACATATGAAAGGCTGAAAAGTACAAAGTACTTTATAAACAAAAAAGAAGAAGAAAGATTTTCACCAAACAAGTATAACTAATAACACAACTGCCACAAAACTAAAAGCAGAATCAGAGATTTCAGAATTAACCCGGCATTTCTGATCCTGCTTCAGCCACTAGCTGGTCATTCATTAAATATCCTTTATGAGCAACTAAGAGTAAACCAAAAGATATACAGTTTCCATGTTTAAGCATATCATAACTTTATTGGTGAGATAAAAATGAATGTATGTGAAACAAAAATGGACTTTTAATGTAGACTAAGCCACATACTAAGAAAATCATTACTTAACATTTCTAACGAAAGCTAAAACTGAACTGTAATCTGAAAACTGTGGTTAACAGAATAAATATTGTAAGTTTTCCTTTAACGAGAGGCCGTAATCAAATTAAAATTCTATAAATATTTCATACTGTTATTTTTTGCACAATGATTCCTCATAATTTCAAGTAAAAACCTTGTATCTATTCCTATGTTATGATTCCAAATACATGGGGGACTTATAAAGTGTGTTTCTGAAGGGATGTGTAAAGCAAATAGAGTAAAACAATTTTATTTACTAAACAGAATTTACAGTCATGCATCACTTATCCACAGGTATATGTTCTGAGAAACGTGTTGTTAGGTGATTTTGTTGTATGAACATCACAGAGTGTACTTACGTGAACCTAGATGGTAAAGACTACTACATACCTAGGTTATATTGTATAGCCTGTTATTTCTAGGCTACAAACCTGTACAGCATGATACTGTATGGAATACTGTAGGCAACTGTAACACAATGGTGTTTCTAATAGAAATAGGCCTGAAATGTGAATATGAAAAGTATTTGTATAGGTAAACATATCTAAACATAGAAAAGAAAAAGTAAAATTATGGTATTATAATCTTATGGGACAACTGTCATATATACAGTCTGTCCTTGACCAAAACATCATTATGCCTCCTGTGACATTGTATTCTGAAATAATTTGTACTCCAAACATAATTTCTTCTTTTTTTTTTTTTTCTGAGACGGAGTCTCGCTCTGTCGCCAGGCTGGAGGGCAGTGGCGCCCACCTCTCAGGTTCAAGCAATTCTTCTGCTTCAGCCTCCCGCGTAGCTGGGACTACAGGCATGCACCTCTGCACCCAGCTAATTTTTGTATTTTTAGTAGATAAGGGGTTTCACCATGCTAGCCAGGTTGGTCTCGAATTCCTGACTTCAGGCGATCCACCTGCCTCGGCCTCCCAAAGTGCTGGGCTTACAGGTGTGAGCCACCACACCTGGCCTCCAAACATAAGTTCTAAATCAATAAACAATTTTTATAGGGAAGTAAATTTAACAAACGTAAAAAAGGGAAAAGTTAACTTCTAGAAACTTGTCTTATTTCTTCCATTAAAATAAGTATGCCAATAATAAATAATTAAAATCATATACCAGAGCTTATTACTCTTAATTTTTCAGTACTTACTATTAACATATACACAACTAAAGATATAATTAAATTGGCAAGTGCTACATATGTTCCAGTGAGGTAAATTTTTGCTCTTTGGGAAAAATATTTCTATATACTCATGGACTTTGATCTCCAAGATGACTTCTTGCTTATGAAAAATACACCTGGCTGGGCGCGGTGGCTCACGCCTGTGATTCCAGCACTGTGGGAGACTGAGGTGGGCGGATCACTTGAGGTCAGGAGTTCAAGACCAGCCTGGTCAATATGGTGAAACCCCGTCTCCACTAAAAATGCAAAAATTAGCTGGGCATGGTGGCATGTGCCTGTAATCCCAGCTACTGGGGAGTCTGAGGCAAAAGAACTGCTTGAACTCGGCAGGTGGAGGTTGCAATGAGCCAAGATTGCGCCATTGCACTTCAGCCTGGGTGACAGAACAGTGAGACTCTGTCTCAAAAAGAAAAGAAAAATACACCTTTATTTTATTTGAAGAATATTATGACTCAATAAACTTTCTCTATTTTGCTTTAAAAGCTCATTATCAGTATGTAAAAATGATCACAGTATAGTACTTAAAATAAGACAAACAAAATTAATTAGAAATGTTCTGAGTGTTACCTATAAAAATACAACTTCAGATAATAATGAACCCCAGCTCTCTTTAAAGACATTAATATTCTCTCTTCATTATTAACATTTTACTAAAATAAAATCAATTCTTTTTCCACTCCTCAAAGCAAAATCCATGTTAGAAAATGGTCTGCAGCTACCAGGTCACTTCTGCAATTGTCTGTCTGAATCTTTAGCCAGTGCTAAACATATCTGTGTGGCAAAGGTTTGTGATTTATTGCTGCTGTAGTGATTTGGTAATTGGTCCCCAAGTTCTCATACATTAATGCTTTATTTTTAAATGGCACATTAGAAAAGAATAATTAATAGAAAGTAACTGATCCACAGTATGTGTGAAATTATATACAGATTTGCTGAACACATGAGCAACTAACTACAAATATACATTAAAAACCTGTTTAGTCCAGTGAATATTTATTGTAAACAAGTTTGAGGGGTTAAGTTCCAACACTGAACAGACATATGTGAATAAGGTAGTTTTGACCACAAGGAGCTCACAATCAAATATTTATTGATTGATTGATTTTTATTTATTTACTTTTTTTAAGGCTAGTCAAGCAAAGTAGTGGGAGTGGAGAAAAAAACAAAGAAATCTGTCACTGGTTGTGAACAATTAGGTGTAAACACCAGGGCTCTCAGATCAGCCACAATCAAATACTTTAAATGGAAAATTTTCTAAGTGTTCATATTTTTAATGAAATAATAGCGTATTTAAATTTGTATTTCTAATAATAAATAAAATAAGAGTATTTCTCAGTAACCCAGAAAGAACAGGCTGAGAAATTTAAATGCATACCATGTGTGTTAGTGAGTGGCAATCAGATCAGAGTGTTCAATCCCTGTGTCACACGGAGATAGCTACCACGATGGTTCTGAATTTTTTGCATTTTAAAATTTGTTGAAAGAATAGAAGCATGAGGTGAACTAATAGGAAAATGAAAGCCAATGAAGGAAGAAGATCTTCGCTAAATTCTTCAGTTGCGTGTAACTGCTCAAAGTTTTTACATGGCACATCAAGATGTCTTTTTTATTTCAAAAACCAATGTTAAGAAAAAAAGTAATGATAATTACTTTTATATAATAACCAAAGTGGATACAATTATGTTTTCTGAATTACGACAAAAATTACAAAAACAAACCAGTTTATTTGTTGACATTGAAAGAACTTCAAACATCAGCAAACGAAAGCAATCTTTAATATTTACATGTGGTACAGCAAAATTTAATCTATGTTTAATAAACAAAATAAAAATATCACTTTAAAATGTCGATATCACGATAGTGAAGAGGCAAAAGCAACCCAAGAGTCCATCCACAGATGAATGAGTAAATAAAATATGGCATACACACACACACAGGAGTATCATTCAGCCTTAAAACGAAAGGACATTCTGGCACATGCTACAACATGCATGAAACTTCAAGGACATGATACTAAGTGAAACAATCCAGTAACAAAAAGACAAATACTGTATGATCTCACATATACGAGGTACTTACAGTAGTCAAAATCATAGAGACAGGAAGTAAAATGGTGGGTCACCAAGGGCCAGGGGAAAGTGGTCATGAGGCATTATTGTTTAATGTGCATAGACTTTTAGTTTTGAAAGATGAAAAGAATTCTGGAGATGGATGGTGGTGATGACCGTACACCAATGTGATTGAACTGTACATCCCCAAAGGTCTGACTTTCAGTCTTCTTCTGGATAAAGGGATAAATGAGGCACTGTTACCTGTCTGTGTTAAGTGGAGGAGACTGAGGAATCTAACTAATTGAACAGACTTTGTATGTTTAATGAATGTTTAATAAACATTTCCCATTTTCATATAGTTTTTATATGTAGAGCTTCGCCTGTACCTATAACTATAACCTTCTTCTTCCCTCCTGCCCATTCTAGAGATACACACAACTGCTAATTGCTGAGCCTTTCGGAGTTTCAAATGTGTAAACTGTTTTTTCTAGGCTTTCTTCACTGTCATCTGATAATTCAGTTATTCGGTTCTCTCAATCTGATAAATCAGTTACTATTTATCTATTGCTCTCCAGCTTCCAGAATTTTGTTGGTATTCATTCTTCTCCTGTTTCTTTGCTTATGCCTTTTTGAAAATTTTTTTTTCCTATATAATTAATGGGGCTTCAACAGTTAGCTGAAGTAAGTGTGTATGTTAATCTACCATCTTTTTTTAGGAGCCTATTGTCCTCTTCCTCAGTCTCATGAAATCCTTTCTATGTTAGAAATTGTCTTCTGTAGGAAGAGGCTGGTTTCATGAGTAAATACTATGTGCAATTAACTTTTTTGTTTGTTTGTTTGTTTAGGAGGAGTCTCACTCTGTTGCTCAGGCTGCAGTGCAGTGGCCCGATCTTGGCTCACCGCAACCTCTGTCTCCTGGGTTCAAGGGATCCTCCCACCTCAGCCTCTCTGGTTGCTGAGACTACAGGTACGCACCACCATGTCTGGCTAATTTTTGTATTTTTAGTAGAAACAGGGCTTTCACCATGTTGCCCAGGCTGGACTCGAACTCCTGTATGTGCAATTAACTTTAAAGGTCAATTTTATAGAAAGGCTTCTGATCTTCACCTGAAATTCTGCTATGTCTGCTGTTTTTATCATTTCTTTTAATACTCACTGTATATATGAAATATTTGCACAACACCACAGTCTTTTTTGATTTAATCCTTGCATGTGGTACTCTGCATTTATTTGTAACTGCATTTTCATTTTAGGAATCTGACTAGATTTAACTTTCTAAGAGCCTTCCTCCTGCTTCTTGGCAAACACACTTAAAAATCACATCATTTTCTCTATGGTCATGTTGCCCATTCCAGTTGTACAGGCATTCTCATGTACCACTCTGGTGTGTCTTACTTATGAAAGTGTCTGCTTAATATTATGGCAAAAAAGCATTGTATATCTATACCTAGGGTTTTGAATTGGGGAAAGATCTAGGCACCCAGTTGAGGACCAACAGAGGACATTATCACATGATCAGAGATAAATCAATTCCTTTGTTTATAATCATACAGCCCAATACTCAAAAAACATAGTGGCAAAATTTGCTATGAAGCCTGCCTTCAAAACTTTTAACATTTTATCTTCTCACCTTATGTAAACTTACAAATACAAAAGAAAAGGGATGAGGGAAAAAGGAAGGGGAAGAGGACAACAGTAACAAAATGCAACATAACGCTTTTTCACTCTCTACTTCCAAGAGAATTCAACTTTTCCATGTGTCTTAAGACAGATACTACTTTATTTTCCTATAAAGTTGGAAAACATAAACTGTTTTTACATATTTTTTGCAGCATCAGCATCACTGTTCAAATAGTGATACCTATACTCTGCTTCAAAACGCAGGGGGCGGAAATCTCCATAGAGTGAATATTTTTGATGTGGCCTTTCCCACCCATAAGGATCATATCATGCTTTCTATAGTCAAAAAACATTAAACATACACCTCTACTGTGCCATCTACCACAGCTATAATGACCAGTTTATGTGTCTGTCTCTCCAGTAGAAGATAAGCTCCTAATGAAGAAAAGAAGAACAGTGCATTTTCTACTTTTATAAATTTAGTAAGTAACTCAAAAAGAACATAATGCTTATTAAATCAAGGAATAAATCATAACCATGAATTTCTCTTCAAGATAATGGAAGTTTCTTAAATATGCCAGCAAGGGCAAATAATTTAGGGGCAACACAGAAGAATGCAACCAAAAATATAAATTCATACACAGCATAAAGAATTTATAATAATGCTTTAATACCATTTATGTACTAGTGTCCTCCATAAAAATCTCCACTAGGAGAAAAGCTGAATATGAAACAGTCTCAAATTAAACATGGTGGTGGAGGGATTATTAAAATCAACCAACCAAAAAAATCTTCCAGGCTAGCCATGGTGGCTCATGCCTGTAATCCCAGCACTTGGAGTCAAAGGCTGAGATAAGAGGACTGCTTGAGCCCAGGAGTTCAAGACCAGCCTCAGCAACATACTGAGACCCTGTCTGTATTTAATTTAAAAAACTAAAATCAAATGAAACATCTTCCAGTGGCTTCTCTTCACATTAGAAAGAAGCTTAAACTTTTTTTTTAAATGATATCTGCCTACCTTTATTCCCACAGCTCACTACATTCCAGCCTCACTGGCACTGTGATCACTATAACCTCTGATTTTCACAACACGACACCTGGCTCTTTCTGGTGATTCATTTCTCAACACAAGTGTTACCTCATCAGGGAGACCTTCCCTGACTGTTATATGTATGTTGCCCTCAATTCTACCTGACTACCTGTATATGCTATCACATTTTCCTTCCTCCATCCCTGTTTGGAGCTCTTATCAATAATTGAGAATATTTTACTTATATATTTGTTTACTTCTCCCCAGTAGAAAGTAAACTTAATGACAGAAGAAACTTCATCTTATTGACCACAGTAACCCCAATATCTAGACAGTGGAAACACACAAGCAGCACTCCATAAATTATTTGTAGAATGAATAAATGAGTGAATGAGTGACAGTATGTGAAGCATACAATATAATGACTAAATGAATAAATGGCTAAAAATTCCTACCTAGGAATGTGCTGTCAGGCAGAATCTTTGAGACCAAACAACTTTCCATCTGATAGCTTTCTTCATGTCTCTTTCCTTACTGAATATCAATACTACAACTGAGGTACACAAAAATAAAGATAATTAAATGAGAGAGATTGGCAGTATATAAGTGGGTTGAAGAATGTGTCTCATAAGATCACCTCAGGGCACACACTAGCTGATTCTAGAATTCTTTTCTTTCATAATCCTGTTTCTGTCATTCAATCAACTAGCAAGTATGCACTGAGGATGATGTTTTCTATTTCTAAATATCCATACTAAGGTCTCTTGAACACAAGTTAGTTTTATATCCTTTGAGAGTATTGTAGTAAAAACAGCATGGTCTTCAGTTAGTGAAATATGAATTTGAATCTTAGTTACAACCAGTACTAGTTATGTCAACTAGGAGCAGTTACTTAATTTCACTAAGTCTAAGACAAAACGATACTTGGAAACTATCTGGTATATAAGTACCTTCATTGTTAGTTCTCCCTTAGAGAGCAGGAACTGAAAAGTAGAAGAAATCATAAGAATAGATCAAACCTATCTTTATTCTAATGTTCACTGTTGAAAACTGTGGTTCACCTGTTTACTGAGAAGCAACAAGTCACAAGCAGAGCTAACAAAATTAATGTAAATGTGACTACATTTGCAAAGGGTAAAATCACATCTCTCAACATAGTAGGCATTCATCTGCTGAAATAATAATAACATCAGGTCACAGAAACTTCAGCCTTTAAATTTTTTACACATTTCCTAGATTTGTATTTCTAAGAAATGGGGTGATACAGATGTTAGATCCAAACATTCCTGGATTATGACCTTTGTTTTACTGCTTAATCACTGTATGACCTTGAGAGAGTTATTTAACTTCTATAAGCCTCAATTAAAATCGGGTTGTTGATAATTTAAACATACTTCAAACATTTCCCATTGCTCTAGGGTAAACAAACAAAAGCCCTTATTATTATTATTATTATTATTATTATTATTGTTTTGAGATGGAGTCTCGCTCCGTTGCCCAGGCTGGAGTGTAGTGGCATGATCTCAGCTCACTGCAACCTCTGTCTCTTGTGTCAAGTGATTCTCCTGCCTCAGACTCCAGAGTAGCTGGGATTTCAGGTGCCCACCACCATCCCTGGCTAATTTTTTGTATTTTTAGTAGAGACGGGGTTTCACCATGTTGGCCAGGCTGGTCTCAAACTCCTGACCTCAGGCGATCTGCCCACCTCAGCCTCCCAAAGTGCTGTGATTACAGGTGTGAGCCACTGCGGCCAGCCAAAAGTCCTTGTTATTAAACAAACAGAAGTTCTCATTATGGTCTACTATGTCCTGTATTTTCTGGTTGCTTATCTCAAACTGCAATCCTTGCTCTCTGTACTCCAGTCATACTGGCTTTTAGTTCTTTCCTTCAAAGTGCTACGTTCCCTTCCTATTTATCTGAGTAGTAACCTTTACTGGAGTTCTTTTTTTCTTCATATGCCTTTAAGTTACTGTCCAGGTTCCTCTCATTTCAGCCTGAAGATCTCCCATTAGGGCATTTCTTATAGGCAGGTTTACTAGCAACAAATTCCCTATCTAAAATATGCTCAAAGAGCAAAAGGAAACCCATAGACAAAAGAATGAAAGGAAACCAGGAAAACAATGTATGAACAAAATGAGAATATCAATAAAGAAACAGAAATTTTAAAAAGGAACCAAATAGAAATTACAGAGCTAAAAGTTATGATAGCTAAAATGAAAAATTCACTAGAGGGATTAACAGCAGATATGAGTAGGCAGAAGAAAAGAACCAGTAAACTTGAAGATAGGTCAACTGAGATTATTCAGTCTAAGGAACAGGAAGAAAACAGAATGAACAAAAGTGAACAGAGCCTATGGAACCTGTAAGACAACATTAAGTGGACCAATATGCATTATGGATATGCCAAAAGGAGAAGAAAGAGAGAAAGGAGTAGAAACAATGTTTGAAAAAATAGTGGATGGAAACTTCCCAAATTTGAAGAAAGACATGAATCTACATATCCATATCCACAAGCTAAATGAACTTCAAGTAGGATAAATTCAAAGAGATCCACACAAAGACACATTATAATCAGCTATTGAAAGCCACAGAGAAAATCTTGAAGGCAGCAAGAGAAAGGCAACTTGTTATGTTCTTATGTACAAGGAATCTTCAATAAGATTAATAAGCCAGGTGTGCCGGTACATGCCTGTAGTCCTAGCTATTCAGGAGGCTGAGGTGGGAGGATTGCTTGAACCCAGGAGTTCATGGCTGCCATGAGCTATGATCATACCACTGCAATCCAGCCCAGGCAAGAGAGTAAGATCCTGTCTCTAAAAATAAAAATAAAAATAAAGAAGTATGAGTAAGATTAACAGCTGATTTGTCATCTGAAAGCATAAAGGCAAGAAGGCAGTAGAAAAACAAATCTGAAGTGCTTAAAAATAAAAAAATCCAAAGAACTATTAACCAAGAATTCTATAATATATCCAGCAAAACTATATTTTGAAAATAAAACAGAAATTAAGACCTTCCCAGGAAAATGAAATAAATAAGATTAATATTAAAAGCACCTAGCATCATAGTAAAAAGAGAAGAAGTGCAGCATAACAATAAAGACACAGGCTCCATGTCAAATGCCTGGGTTTGAATCCTAAACTTCACTGATTGCCATGTAACTCTGGGAAAATTCCTTAACTTCCCCATAGCTCAGTTTTCCCACCTGTAAAGTAAGAATAATAATGATACCTCCCCCTCACAAAGTTGTTCGGAGGATGAAATAAATTAAAGCTATAAACTCATGACAGGGTGCCTGGCACATATTAATCACTGAAATGTTGACTATTACTTATTATTATCATTATCATTTTATAGAGGTTCTAAAAATTTTAGTTCTTATTTCCTTGAATTTCCCATATTTCTGTGAAACAAACACTGACTATTGAGGAGGTATGATACAATAATAATCTTTTTGTTTGCAGAAGTATGAATTGGTAAAATAATAAAAATTTATTTTAGGTATGATAATGCTATTAGGCTAAATGTTCTATCACCTCCTTTAGCAAATCCTTTATTATCAGAGACACTGAGTAAAATAAGTGATAATGAATATACTTTTTTTTTCTCTCTCAAGCTTTGCCTCTGAGATGCTTATCCTTTTGTGGTATGGACTTATGCTTTTTATATAAACAAATAGCCCCACATTATTATCATACCTAAAATCTTAACAATTCTTTTTTTTTTTTTTTTTTTGAGATGGAGTCTCGCTCTTTTGCCAGGCTGGAGTGCAGTGGTGTGATCAAGGCTCATTGCAACCTCTGCCTCCTGGGTTCAAGGGATTCTCCTGCCTTAGCCTCCTGAGTAGCTGCAACTACAGGCACACGCCACCACACCCAGCTAATTTTTGTATTTTTAGTAGAGACGAGGTTTTGCCATGTTGGCCAGGCTGGTCTTGATCCCTTGACCTCATGATCCACCTACCTTGGCCTCCCAAAGTGCTGGGATTACAGGCATGCGCCACCGCGCCTGGCCAACAATTCTTTCATATCAAACACTCAGTCGATGTACACATTTCTTTGTCTTATATTTTTAAATTGCCTGTTTGTTTGAATCTGGACTCAAATAAAATCCATATATTGGATCTGGCTGATATGACTCAAGTCTCTTTTAATCTCTAAATGCTCTAGCCAATCTTTTCTTTTTCCTTCCTTATTATTTTTAGCTAAAGAAACTAGGTCCTTTTCCTTTTAGAGTTTTCCACAGTCTGGATTTTCCTGACTCTGTCCCCCTGGTGTAATTTAACATGTCCTTCTCTCCTTTTTATTTCCTGTAAATTAGGCTTGATCATATTTAGTTTTTTTTTTCCTTTGGCTGGACAGCCTCATAGGGGAGGTACATACTTTTGTTAGCAAGTACATAATTTCTTTCTTATGTAAAACAGTGATAATAATGGTGTCTAACTCTTAGAGTTAAGAGGATTAATTTACTACAGGTCAAAAGTTTAGATTAGTACCTGGCGCACAGTGAGCACTCCACTAACATTAGCTCTTATTGTTACAATGCATATAGAGAATCAATAGGATTTGATACCAGCTTAGATGTGAATTTGTGAAGAAGCTGAAGATAACTAATATTTCTACCTTGAGCGGCTAAGTAGATGTTGATATCATTGACTAATACAGGGAATATATAAAGAGGAGAAGGTTTCTGGAAAATTAGAAGAAAATGAGTTCAAGTTTGAACAGGTTGAATTACATGTCTGTGGGATAACCAGGTACCAATCCTATATAGAGAGCTGCAAATGGAGGTTCTGCAATTTAAAAGAGAGGTCTGGGGAGCTACAGATAAAGATCAAATGTTGGGCGGAAAGGGAACTTAATGAAGGTCACATTTATCACTAAAGACTACAAGACCTCTTTGAAGAATGGATTGGCATTGGGTAAGGAGAGGTAGTGGCACTTCGAGAAAAGGAAATATGTGGAAAAAAACATTCCGACAAAATCGTCAGTATATTTGTCGCTAAAGGAGTGCTTTGACTATAAAAGAATGTGTGTTGGAAACAGAGGGAAATTAATTTATGTAGATAGGGACAAGGCTACATTTAAATGGCTTTGAAATTCAGGAATAGGTAATTCAATTTAAGTAGGAAATAAGACACTGAAAAAGTTAGCAAGACAGCTGAATTCTGCTGTGGCAACATTATACAAAAAGCTATCATAACAGAATCTGAAAAGTAAAATGTACTTGCTATATTATTCGAGAGGATTTTAATTTATGCCAGTTTTATTTCCACTGAAGTTAAAAGGAATGTTGTCTAGGCACTGTAACTTTAGGCAATAGCCCAAAGGTGGAAGATGTTATCTTTAGTACCTTCCCATATCACTTCCCAGTCCCTTCTCCTGCCTCTCCACTTCCCTGATGAACCAGTGTTCTCAATCTGCTCTAATATAAAAAACTACATTTTTGCAATGATGCAATGTCTTGTTCCCTGAAGCACTCTGGTTACATCTCCTTGCTTAGTTCTACCCTGCCAGGAAATCATTCATTCTCTGTCGCCACTCTACAGATCTCAGCTAAGAAAAAGACAAAAACTGATTATCTAATTAAGGTAGTGCATACAACACTGTAAGTGATCAAAATCCTAGGAGATATTTAATTTCAAAAAGAGGAATCTATTAACACCTATGAATTTCAAGTTGTTAAAATATATACTATCTCTCTGTTTTCTATACTATACATTCCAGTTACACACTAAAAGGCAAAAAATGTCACTAATTTTCCTTATATTACACTTTGCACACCAGCAAAGCCAAGTTTGTTGCATAGATATTTACTGGGTCACTACTAGGAAAAAGTACTGAGACAGACTCTAATGAAACTGCAAGGATGAATAAAATATAATCTATGCCTTTACTAGATTATAAGGAGTTTACAGTCTAATAGGTAAAACAACTGAACACATAATCATCACGTAAGGATCTAAGGACTCTGTAACGTTTCTGAAACTTAACCTATGTATAAACCCCTTATGAAGACAGAAAAAAGGTTTTGTGAAACACCCTCCACCGACTGACTTATTATATTGTTACTGAAATATAGAAAAATACAACTACGGATAAGGATAAACTATTCCTCTTGCTTCCAGATCTTATTTCAAATACAATACCAAAACAATTTCCAAATATGCACATAAAAGCTATGAATAGCACATTTCAAGTTAGTATCATACAATGTTTTTGTGAAAATGAATCATTATAGTCAACATAAAAATGGTACTGACTGCTATTTCTCCATTATTTTTCAGTTACATTTTGGTTTGACATGCCTATAGTCTAGTGATATGGTTTGGCTGCGTCCCTGTCCAAATCTCATCTTGAATTGTACCTCACACAATTCCCACGTCATGGGAGGAACCCAGTGGGAGGTGACTGAATTACGGGGGCGGGTCCTTCGTGCGATGTTCTTGTGATAGTGAATGAGTCTTATGATATCTGATGGTTTTAAAAACGGGAGTTTCCTTGCACAAGCTTTCTCTCTCTGCCTGCCACCATCCATGTGAGACGTGACTCCTTCACCATGATTCTGAGGTCTCCCCAGCCACGTGGAACTGTAAGTCCAATAAACCTCTTTCTTTTGTAAATTGCCCAGTCTCGGGTAATCAGCAGCGTGAAAATGGACTAATACATCTAGTATGCCCTAAATGGTTTAATATCATTTGTTTCTACTCAAATGACTGCAAAACTTTTAGTTCACTCTGATGTCATCAGGCTTTCACTTAATACAAGTGAACCATTTACAATATTAAATCTATTTTTGTTCTTTTCTCATTAGACTAACATAATTAAACATAATCATAGCCCTGAAAATACATGGTAGTAACTGGTTGTAAGGTAGGCATGGCATACCACATGATCTAAGAATATGCTCATACTGATTTATTTTATATTAACATTGAAATTTTAGCCCTCTTTCTCCCTGTGGAGAATATATTTGCACACTCAGGTCCATGTACCCCTGTGTTGAAGTAAATTGCCATAACAGAAATAACAAATCTGAAAGGCAGAAATGATAGGGAGATTAATTCCAAATGAAAAGGATCCAAAGGTTTTATGGAGGAGGTAACATTTGAAATGAACTGTGACATTTGAGTTTAGTGCCAAGTGTCTACGTTTTCTGAAATTTCCTTTCCATAAAGATGACACTGAAAATATAAAGCTACTAGAGTTTAGAAAAAAAGACACACAGGAAATATTCAGTGGTAAGGGGAGTGAGGAGACAAAAATCGTAAATTTTATGAACAAAAGTTGAGGGGTTTCTCTTGAGGAGAAAGAAAATCAGAGAATAAAATTGCAAGCATGAGATGTGCTATTTGCAAAATAAACAGCATACTTTGCATGTTGTAAAGTTTACACATACTATCTTACATTCTGATGCAAATGTAGCTATGGATGTAATGTTTTAAAAATGCATTTAAAAATGCATTCACATAAGGACAGCTTCAGGAATATTTGTATTAGTTAAACTTTTTTAACATTCATGACTCGCAAACTTTTGATGCTATACAACAAAAAAAATTTTCCATTTTTGTCAAAATTCTTTCTCCTCCATGGTTTTTTCTGTGTATATTTATATAAAAAGAACAAAGAGGTCAAATATCATAAACCCATAACTCAGTGTACAACACCCATTTTCTCATCTCTAGTTTCTGCAGACTACAGTTATATTTTATCCACTCCCTGACTAGCATTTCTTATATCTCACAGCAGAAGTGTGCATTGGTGTTCTACAAAGTGTGAGTGGAAGAAAACAATTTACTAGCCATATTAAATTTCAAGTCACCTTAATTCAGGAAATATTTACCTAGTCTATATGCTAGACACTGCTGATTACAATAAGAAAACATCAAACCACAGCAGAAAACTGGTTTTTATTTTATATTCTCTGATGTTTCCATAATTATTCCTAGATCTGTAAAAGTTTCTTTTTTTAAGACAGATTTATTAAACAGTAGCTCATTTAGAATTTTCTGATAAATCAGAATCTATCTTTAAATCAAGGGATTGTGTAACATTACACATTTTGACTTGTTCAAAAGAAGCTAAACTTATATCTGTGCAGCATGGTGTTATTTATATATGCAGCCACTCATACAGAGAACATCATGCATGCTTTTAGCTCCATTAATTGTTAAATGTTAAAACAGTACAACTTCTGAGAAAATGCAGTAGAGGTAAAGAGAGGGTTTCTTTCATCCAAATATACATTTAGGAATAGCAATGGGAAATAGATTTACATGAAGTAACTGAAATGGCTGCTACATACTAATTTTGAAGATACTGTTCAAAATATTCAGACTCTAGAAAACAAAATGTTTAGGATGTATTTTATAACGTTACTGTACTACATTTTAAAATTTTAACACCTTTAGATTTGTCACTTGCTATAAAATATGGAAATTCTTAAAAAGATTTTCACTTCCAGTTTTATCACTGTTATTATATTTTACTAAAGATATTTTAAAATTGACTATAACTCTACTTTTGGTATTAGAAAAGTGAAAAATAAAGGTCAGATAGTACATAGTAAACTTGTTCTGGAAATGACTATTTTTTGCACTTTTCAGATAATGACTTAACTATCACTTACAACACACTAGGAAAGATATTTGACCTTTCCAAGTCTCAGTTTGGGCATCTGTAGAATGTAATGATATATCTTTTAAAATTGTTAAAGTTTCAAATAAGTACCTAGCATCTTAAAAAATCAGTGGATAAATAAATATTAGCTTTGTTCTTCATTCCTCAACACATGTATCAAAATATATTATCAAAATTAAAAATATTTAATGATAGTCAAGTACAGTGGCTCACACCTGTAACTTCCATGCTTTGGGAGGCCTAGGTGGAAGGATTGCTTGAGGCCAGGAGTTTGAGGTTCCAGTGAGCTATGATTGTGCCACTGTAGTCCAGCCTGGGTGACTGAGCAAGACCCTGTTTCTAAAAATAAAAACATAACCAAAGAAAAACCCCACTAAAATTTAATGGAAAAGCAATAAATAATATTAAATTTACATTAAAATAACTCATCACTAGGTATCTAGCACTTACCAAAGTTTTTAGTTTATAAATTCCTATAAGAGCTGAACATTAGGCTCATTTACTTCCTCAAATGTTATATTTCAACAACGTTAAACTAAGGCCGGGCGCGGTGGCTCACGCCTGTAATCCCAGCACTTATGGGAGGCCGAGGCAGGCAGATTAGTTGAGGTCAAGAGTTCGAGACCAGCCTAAGCAACATGGCGAAACCTCATCTCTACTAAAAATAGAAAAATTAGCCAGGCATGGTGGCATGTGCCTGAAACCCCAGCTACTCAGGAGGCTGAGGCAGGAGAACTGCTTGAACCTGGGAGGCGGAGGCTGCAGTGAGCCGAGATTGCACCACTGCACTCCAGCCTGGGCAACAGAACGAGACTCTGTCTCAAAAACAAACAAACAAACAAACAACTAAAACTAAAACATTTACATGTCTCTGAACATATGTTCTTTCAAGTCTATATGCCTATTTCCTCTTTCTAGACTCTCTTCTACATTATACTTCAAAGTCTAGACCACGTGTCTCACTCCTCTGCAAACGTTTCTTGATCCCCTGTGCTAGACAGAATGAATCATTTCCCTTTCCATTCTTCTCCTAAAACTTCCAGAGCTGTCTCATCTTTTGGCTTCCCCGGGCTACACTGGATGAAGAGGGATTGTGTTGAACCACACATAAAATACAGTAACACGAACGATAGCTGATGAGCTAAAAAACAAAAATCACAAAAAAAATCTCATAATGTTTTGATAAAGTTTCCAAATTTGTGTTAGGATGCACTGATAGCTGTCCTGGGCTGCATGTGGCCCACAGGCCACAGGTTGGACAAGCTTGACTTAAACCATGGAGACAGTAGAGTTCAAATAAAACAAGTGAGATGTTTAAAAAAAAAAAAAAAAGACATTTTCACACTGGCATAAACTTTTTTCTTTCTTTTTTTTTTTTTTTTTGATACAGAGTCTTGCTGTGTAGCCCAGGCTGGAGTGCAGTGGTGCAATCTCAGCTCACTGCAACCTCCGCCTCCCGAGTTCAAGCAATTCTCCTGCCTCAGCCTCCTGAGTAGCTGGAACTACAGGCATGTGCCACCACGCCTGGCGAATTTTTGTATTTTTAGTAGAGATGGGGTTTTGCCATGTCGGCCAAGCTGGTCTCAAAACTCCAGACAAGTGATCTGCCCACCTCTGCCTGATCCACCCACCTCAGCCTCCCAAAGTCCTGGGATTAAAAAAGGCGTGAGCCACCGCATCCGGCCACAATGGCATAAACATTCTTCATCAAGCTAGCTTGGTGTATCAGGATTAGTTTTGGCCAGGAGTGACAGAAAGCCCAAAAGTGAATGGCTCATACAATACAGAATTTTATCTCTGTCATGTCAAAGAAATCCAGGGATAGGCAGGCCAGTAGGGACAGTGTAACATCATGTTAGTAAGGATTTTCTTTCTTACTGCTGCTTTACCCATTCTCAGTATAGGGTTTCCACTCACAGTCCAATTATGCTCACAATTCAGCCAGCAAGGAGGAAGGGGGCGAAAAAGAGGATGTGCACCCATTCCTTTAAGGATACATCCTGAAAGTTGCACACACTACTTCTGCCTATATATCTCTTGCCAAAATTTAGCCAGATTACTATACCTAGCTGCAAGGGAGACTGGGGAAATGATGTTTTTATTCTAGGTAGTGATATACCGGAAAAAAAATTAGAAGAGGGGGAAAACCAGTATTAGGGACAACTATCAATCATGCCATACTTGGTTATATCTTCTCTGTGGTAGGTACCTGACATTTTAAATTTACTAGCTAACACCAGTATTTCTGACAGTATGTACACTATAAAGTTATACAGCAATTCCTTCTACATCTCAATTATTAAGTATTACTATTGGGAGAGGTGTATCTCTACAAAATTTAAGTAATATTCATAATAAAATTACCAAAGAGAAAAATAGAAAAAAAAATTTTTTTGAGGCAAGGTCTTCCTCTGTAGCCTAGGCTGGAGTACAATGGTACAATCTTGGCTTACTGCAGCCTTGAACTCCTGGACTCAAGCAATCCTTCCACCTCAGCTTCCCGAGTAGCTGGGACTACAGGCTTGAGCCACCATGCCTAGCTGATTTTGTTTATTATTTTGTAGAGACAAAGTCTCACTATATTGCCCAGGTTGGTCTTTAACTCCAGGGCTCAAGCAATCCCCCCTGTTGGGCTCCCAAAGTGCTGGTATTACAGGAGTGAGAGCCACTGTGCCCAGGCAAGAAATTTTAATAAAAACAGAAAAAGCCACTTTATTTAAAAGGTTGCCGGCCGGGCACGGTGGCTCACGCCTATAATCCCAGCACTTTGGGAGGCCGAGGTGGGCGGATCACGAAGTCAGGAGATCAAAACCATCCTGGCTAACATGGTGAAACCCCGTCTCTACTAAAAATACAAAAAATTAGCTGGGCGTGGTGGCGGAAACCTGTAGTCCCACCTACTCAGGAGGCTGAGGCAGGAGAATGGTGTGAACCCGGGAGGTGAACCTGGCAGTGGGCCAAGACTACACCACTGCACTCCAGCCTGGGTGACAGTGAGACTCAGACTCAAAAAAAAAAAAAAAAAAAAAAAAGTTGCCTTAGGACAGATTATTAAATATACAGTAAAATATTAAATAAGAATATCTGAAGATAAAATATAGCCACTATAATAATGAAATTACATATAAACAAGACTGCATGTAAATGCAACTGCAAAAATACGCTCAGAGAAGACAGAGGATTAAGGGAGATTTAAGAAAATAACCTCTGAATTATTTTATTATACTTTCTATAAATGCTATTTAGACACCTTTAATCAAGTAAGAACTGATCACAAAACAGAACAGTAAAAATTCTAACAGGATAAAGCAAAGTCAGGTTAGTCCAAGTTCTCAAATCATGTAATTTTAGACAAGTAACTTTACAGATATTGATGAGTATGATGAGGGTAAGAAAAGTGTAGTATGTGCCATCTTTTGTGCTAAGTGCTTTATGAGCAATGTTTATTTAATATTCCAGACATAATAATATTATCCCTACTCTAGAAAAGAAAAAATTGGGTCTTAGACTAAGAAACTGACTCATGATCACATCAGCTACAGAAGTAGCAGAACACAAACTAAAACAAAGGTTTTTCTAACCCCAAGTCCATGTCCTTAACTATTATGTGCACTACTTTCCCACAAACTCTCTAGACCTTGGTTTTCTCGCCCATTACCTAAGGGGAATGCAGAGTACTCTAAACTATTCTATAGTTCATTTTGGTTTTTTAAGATGTTGCCATTCTAGTTCTCTGACTCCCTTTTCCTCAAATAAAAGAACATTATATTAATAGGTCCAATTGGCCTCCTTGCTGAAACTTGCTGAAAGTCAATAAAGTTATCACTAATATACATAATGTAGAAATCTATTTATTAAAACAGACAAAATGGCCACAATTTGTAAGTAAGGTAAATTTGAATGTTTAGGATATATCACTGAACTTTATAGTAGATTTCACGCCCATTGGTGTTATCTGTAAAGGAGTAAGCCATAAAATTCTATCACGAAGAGGGAGGAAAGCTAATAAAAATTGAATTTAAATTTCATAATCCTTTTAAATTCAAATAATGCATCGTTTTATAGGTGAAGATACTGAGGCACAAAGAGGCTGACTTGCTAGAAGTCACATCGCTAGTACACAGTGACGTTAGTACTTGAACTCTATAGGTTCTAAAATCTAAGCTCTTTTCTATCCACCCTGCTTCCTGTGGTTAAATTATATTAATGTATTAATATCCTTATTTCAATTTTAATATAAGAACACTAAAGATACTAATTGATTTAGCACTTTCTGGTTTATTATGATTGCCAACAAACATTTGCTGAGTATCGTAAGATGTGTATTAAAATAAGTACCCTAAATACAATTATGTTATCAGTAACCCTGGAGTAATAAAAATTAAGCATTACCAAACTATTAGGAACAGAGAACAAGGATGATTAGGGAAAACCTCAGGGAGATGATTATATGTGGATATGGTATTAGAGAGACAGTTTGATTTCACCAGAAGAAATTTTTTTAAGTGTGAAAAGAAAAAGAATATTCTAGGTAAAGGGAATAGCATGAATGTAAGTGTGGAGCCAAAATGTGTATCCAAGGTAGGGAATGTAGTCCACATTAGGTAGAGTGTACAGTTCTTATTCTTGAGTAATAGAAAATATGCTGAAGACAGCCTGGGCACAGTTGTTCACTCCTATAATCCCTGCACTTTGAGAGGCCAAGGCGGGTAGATCACTTGAGGTCAGGAGTTCGAGGCCAGCCTGGCCAACATGATAAAACCCTGTCTCTACTAAAAATACAAAAATTAGCTGGGCCTGGTGGCACCTGCTTGTAATCCCAGCTACTTGGAAGGCTGAGGCAGGAGAATCACCTGAACCCAGGAGGCAGAGGCTGCAGTGAGCCAAGATTGCACCACTGCACTCCAGCCTGGGCAAGAGTGAGACTCTGTCTCAAAAAAAAAAAAAAAAAAAAAAAAGAAAAGAAAGAAAGAAAAGAAAATATGCTGAAGACAAACTGAGGAAGGATCTTAAATACCAAGTTAGAAGGTCTGGATTTGATCACATAGGAAATGAGAAGCCACCACACATTTTCAAGTAGAGAAATAAAAGGAACCGAGCAATGCTTTAATCAGATCAAACTGGGAGTTGTGTACAAGTTTCAGTGGAATTGATAATGGCCAGGAAGAAGGGAGATCAGTTAAAAGGTTTTGACATTTATATGGATTGTGACATCAAAGAAAAAAACAGCAATTCTCCTGACTTCTGAAAATTTTGATTAAAACATATATAAAGTATATATTACATAATATATAAATAGCTACTACACTTCAGCTCTGAAACAACCCATAATATAATCTCCCTCTCTAACCATAACATTTTACTTTTAGTTCTTACTATGTCATCTCATTATACCAGTTTATGGATCTATGACTAGTCTCCTGATCTCTCTACTTCCTTTGGATAAATCAGCCCTTTCCTGGCCTCATTTTATTCCAGCCACACGGTAAACATATATTTGAACTACTCTCTCACTAGCACTCTGAACCTGAATCAATGTTGAAATCTACCCTCTTTTCTTAACTCAAAGGGCCAGCAAAAGCCTCACAACAGTGTCATAACAAACTTAAGGTTTCTAATATCAGTCACTTATGAACCTCTCAAATGAACACTTCTTACTCTTTAACTGATATTTAACATCTAATAATATTAAATATCACCTCTCTTCCTGAAATTCTTGGATTTAGATCAGTTGCAATTAATTACTCTCTTAATGTTACCCTAAAAATAAACTGTGGGAAAAAAAATTTAAATAAAAATAAGCTGTGGGAGTCAGCATTTTTAAATTTTAAAAAAGGTTTCATTTAATGCTAATGTTAACTTCCTTGATTGTAAAGCACTAGATGCTAAACAGAAGGTTTCTATAGAAATATGTCAATATTTTATTATAAAATATTCAGTTAGGGCAATAAAGTTCTAATTAAGAAAAAATAAACAAGGAAAGAGCTACAAATCAAAGAAAGCTAAAATGCTGCCTCAGGAAAATGAATAAAATATGCTATAAGCATTAGTAGACAAAATTATGATGATAAAGCCTTTAAAAATAAATAAAATTTCTCTCTAGTCTCTGCAAAATGTTAAACTTAACAAATGAACCAGTTTTCAAAAAAAAAAGATTGAACATAAATAAAAACATTATTGATATGTGAATTTATACTTCTAATAATTAATGCTTCTGGATTTAATGAGTTAAATTAAAACAGTTGAAGAAGCAGGATCATGGAGTAAATAATTTGGTAGAAATTTATTTATCTGTTATTTAAGAGAATTTTTCAAAAATGATATAAAGTTCATGATTGTAATTCAGATTTTATCACTTAGAATTTTCTAATGTGGATAAAGGCCCTGGAAAAGTTTTTCTTTAGGTAATATATGTCCTTACACACAACAGAAATTAACACTTAAAATAAAATTAAAAAGTATCAGTTACTTAAGAGAACCATCCTTTTATCAAAAAACTCTCCATATCTGGAAGACTCTATAAATCCTATAAATATCAATAAAAAATTTAAGCAAGATGCCTAAAAACTCTACCAAGGCTATATATATGTGGTATGTGGTGTATGTGGGGGGTGTGTGTGTGTGTGTGTGTATTTTTTTTTTTTTTTTTTTTAGAGATGGAGTCTCTCTATTGCCCAGGTTGGAGGGCAGTGGCACAATCTCAGCTCACTGCAACCTCCACCTCCCGGGTTCAAGTGATTCTCCTGCTTCAGCCTCCCGAGTAGCTGGGATTACAGGTGTGTGCCACCATGCCCAGCTATTTTTGTATTTTTAGTAGAGTCGGGGTTTTACCATGTTGGCCAGGCTAGTCTCGAACTCCTGACCTCAGCTGATCCACCCACCTCGGCCTCCCAAAGTGCTGGGATTACAGGCGTGAGCCACCGCGCCCAGCCTACCAAGGCTACATTTTCATAATCTTTCCTTAATAATTCATTACAATCTCAAGTAATTTACTTTTATATATATTTCCTAATGTGGAATCACCTTAACCTTTCTGTCATTTTCTGGTAAAAATAAAAACTCAAAAAAGATGACGTTCAGAATTTAAGTCACACTGAAATAATTTAGTATATTTAGGCCTGTAATTTCAGTTGTAAATTAAAAGTAATTTTCATTTTAAATGTTTTTTAAATCCTTTAAAGTAATATTTTAAAAGTATTTAAATAACTAGCTAGAAGTATAAGATATGATTCATTTAAAATGTTAACATTCAACTGGCTAGCAAAAGAAATAATAATTTCAAATTATATATGTTTTCTAAGTCAATTCTCATTCTCAGAGAAAACCAAACTTCCTTAAAAGCTTAACTATCATTTTGGTCTTACTGTGATCAATGTGGTCAATCTTGTGACATCACTGTTGGGAAACCTGCAATAGGAAAACAAGAATTAGCAATCAGCTGAAGCATACTTAAGAAATTTCAGAAACTAAAAAGTTTGTTTAAAATTTGTGTCTTTCTTCATGCTGTAAGTCATATTGAAATTAACCTACGGTATCAGGGTCCATATAATCAGTATGACAAAAATAAGCATAAAAGGACTGGAGTTTATTTATAGATCATTATTTATTATAGTATGGCAGATCATGTTTTTGTTTATAATCACCAACACCCTAGGGTGAACATAACATATTAAAAAACAAGCTGTAGGACATTTGGGTTACAAGTTTTATTTGTCTTCAAATTACGTACTCAGAAGAGAAAAACAATGTCTTAAATACGTCACAAACTGAAGACAATTAGGTATTATTTATAAATACTTTTCTGTCTATGATTATCAGTACAGATTAGAACCAAAATGTCATCTACTTAATACTGGAGACATTACCACATGCTAATATTTATGAATAGCGACAAAATTATCAAAAGATTGAAAATATCACTGGGAAGAATTTAGAACAGGAAAAAACTATTTCCTAAACTGTAAATGGCTTCAAGTTTATCCCTGTGAAATCTTAATTTTTGGAATTTTTTGTTGTTTTTTCGAGACAGAGTCTCAATCTCACCCAGGCTGGAGTGCAGTGGCGCGATCGTGGCTCACTGCAACCTCTGCCTCTTGGGTTCAAGCGATTTTTGTGCCTCAGCCTCCTGTGCAGATGGGACTACAAGTGTGCACCACCACACCCAGCTAACTTTTTGTATTTTTTGTAGAGACAGTGTTTCGCTATGTTGGCCAGCCTGTTCTCAAACTCCTGGCCTCAAGTGATCCACCTACTTTGACCTCCCAAAGTGCTGGGATTACAGGCATGAGCCACCGGACCTAGCCTGGAAATTTCTTTATTAACAAGGTCTAATTTGAGATGAGCCCTTAAATGTTTAGTATCAAAAAGTAACACATGGTTATGGCATTTTAAGGTTCATAATGGACTTTCATGTATTATTTTATCAGGTCCTCATAACGAATCCTTCAAAGGGGCAGGAAAGAGATATTCCTTATTATAGACTCCAGGAAAACAGAATTTAGAAATGATACATGACTTGTCTAAGCACAAAGAACTGAATTTTTCCTGGTTTCTCTTTTACCTCAGACCTTTCACCTAGTCTGTCCTACCAACTACTCTTCGTCACTCTATCCTTAATTTTACCTTACTACTTCATGATTACTGGCTCTCCTATGTTACCATTATAGCCTCCCTACTTCTATTCTTTTTTTTTTTTTTTCCCTGCCTCAGCCTCCTGAGTAGCTGGGGACTACAGGTGTGTGTCACTACACCTGGCTAATTAATTTTTTTTTTTTTTTTTTGAGATACGGGGTCTCACCATGTTGCCCAGGCTGGTCTCAAACTCCCGGTCTCAAGTACCTACCTCTGTTCTTAAAGCAAGTTAATCAGATCACATCATTCCCTTACTCAAAATTGTACAATGGCTTTAGCAGCTCTTAGAATAAAACCCACAATACTTATTATCATGACCTCTTAGGCCCTCTGTTACCTGGTGCCCTGACTGCATTTCCTGCTTCTACCATGTTCCAGTCACAATCACCCTTTTGATAATCCCCAAACATATCAAATTTGTTCCACTTCAGGGCCTTGACACTTGCTCTTCCCTCTGCCTGGAGCAATTGTTCTCCATATCTTCATAGGACTGGTTTTCTCACTTCAATCGGGTCTCATAACAAACGCCACCTCCTTAGAGAGGCCTTCCTTTACCACCAGAGGCTGCTGTTAGCTTTAACTCCATGAAGGAAGATCACTGGAGCACAAGTTTAGTACCTGGAACCCAATAGCTAATTAGCTACTGAATGAATGAGTGAACAAGTATTTATCAAGTTCCTACTGCATCCAGCATTATGTCAAGAGCTACAAAGGATCCAAAAGAAAGTTTAAATAAAAACTCTTCAAGAATTACTATCTATTTAAAGAAAATATGCCATAACAACTTGGTATACGTTTTTAAGTCACTGCAAGAAGCATTTGGGAAGCTTAAAAAAAAAAGCAAGGCAGGGGGTGATGGGAAAGCGCGGGTAGTGAATTAAAGGTGTATGATAATGAGGGTCTGGATAGTGAAGAAGAGGAAATGCAGAGGGAATGGGAAACCCAAATCTTAAATGGTGAAACCAGAAGGCTTCATGCTAAACTAAGTATTAGGAACAAGGATAGCAAAAAAGTGAAAGATTACTTCAAAGATTCTCACTCACATAATGAAAGAAATCTGAAGTGGCAGGGTGGGGTGACTTTTATTTAGAACAATAGGACAGGCCAGTGTCACCATAGGCCAT
Source organism: Homo sapiens (assembly GCF_000001405.40). NCBI lineage: Eukaryota > Metazoa > Chordata > Mammalia > Primates > Hominidae > Homo > Homo sapiens. The sequence continues at coordinate 159,558,214 of NC_000002.12, forward strand.
TCAAATGAAGACGCTTCCCACCAGCAGGTAGAAATTTATTTATTTATTTATTTATTTTTTGAGATGGAATTTTGCTCTTGTTGCCCAGGCTGGAGTGCAATGGCGCGATCTCAGCTCACCGCAACCTCCACCTCCCAGGTTCAAGCAATTCTCCCGCCTCAGCCTTCCGAGTAGCTGGGATTACAGGCATGCGCCACCATGCCTGGCTAATTTTTTTTGTATTTTTAGTAGAGACGGGGTTTCTCCCTGTTGGTCAGGCTGGTCTTGAACTCCTGACCTCAGGTGATCCGCCTACCTCGGCCTCCCAAAGTGCTGAGATTACAGGCGTGAGCCACTGTGCCCGGCTCCAGCAGGTAGAAATTTAGAAGAGTTCAAGATTTGAAAATCAGTTATATAAAAGTACAGTTCAAGCCAAGACTGTGGGCAAGTTCACCAAGGGAATATGAAGAAAAAAACAGAACAGCCAGCATAATTTGGCAGAGACCTATAAGTAGGGCCCATGGGAAATAAGAGAAGTGGAATTGCAGGGTTTTTTGTTTTGTTTAAGTTCAAGAAGTAGAGACATAGAAAATACAATGAATAAAGGCACATGAAGAAAGATTTCCAAAGAGGAAAACATGTTGAACAGTTTTAGAGGGGTAAAAGTGTTAAGATGGGTAAAAGAAGATAAGACAGGAAACATTCTCTCTAAACTAACCTTCTCTACCCCATCATACCAAATTAGATCAGAAGGTAGCTACATAGGCCAGGCGCGGGTGGTTCATGCCTGTAATCCCAGCACTTTGGGAGGCTGAGGCAAGCAGATTGCTTGAGCCCATGAGTTCAAAACCAGCCTGGGCAACATGGTGAAACCCTATCTCTACAAAAAATAGAAAAATTGGCAAGACATGGTGGCACACGCCTGTAGTCCCGCCAAGCTACTCATGAGGCTGAGGTAGGAGGATCACCTGAGCCCAAGGAGGTCAAGGCTGCAGTGAGCTCTGATCGTACTACTGCACTCTATCTTGGGTGAAGGAGTAACCCTGTTAAAAAAAAAAAAGAAGGTGGCCACGGAGATAAAACACATTACTCTCTCTGTATCCAAAAAACTGCTTTCAAGGACCTACCTGCCTAACATTAAGCTCTCAACTTTAATCAATGCAAAAATAGTCTTTTGATGGTAACAGAGTCAATACAAGAAGTCTTGTGAAGGAAAAAACTACTTCTATAAAACCCTGTGATACAAAACAGGTATTAAAACTATTGTAAATAGTCACATTCTAACTATGCATATCTGAATAAAAGATAAATTCCATTTTACTTTTGATTTTTTGGAAAAATTATAAGTTAAGGATAGATCTACAGTTAAAAATATACAGTTTACTTAAAGCACTAAAGCTCATAGGATAAAAAAACTAGTAAAGGCATTCCTTCCTCATGGTAGCAATTTTTATACATGACTTAATAGGTACTTGCAATTGCATGAGGAAAAAAATATGTGAAATTAAAATGACACTAGAGGATAAAGCCAGACTAATCTTAAAGCTGCTCATAAAAATCCTAAGTGGCTTTTACAAGCAAAAGGTAATTCTTTCAAATCATTTCAAAGCTAAGAAATGTATTCAAATTACACATATAAAAAGTAATGTTACATTTTATGAAAACATAATTCAACTAATGTATTGGTTATATGCTATTTCTCTGCAAGTCACTGTTTTAGTAAATATGCACAGACAAAAATCTCAATAATATTAACCCCCAGAAAACATCTACAAATGTTACCTAACTACCAATGTGGGAAAAGAATTTTAAGTCATGATATGCAATCCTATGAGTATTTTTTCAGCAATCAGCACGTACTATCTTTATTTTTCCTCATGCTCTGCCCCAAAACAAAGTCTTTCTTTATGTACTCAATTTTAACATACTCATGTCTTAACCTTTCCTTGACTATACTACATACCTACAAACTAAAGATATTTATCCATACCTACTTCAATAAAAAGAGTCAATGAAATAAATGAATAGAATACCTATCTGCTTTTTCTCACTTTGCTCAATCTTAACACAGAAGTAATGCTGATTAATCCTGAAATTTGTCTGTAATCATCACAAAATATTTAATCATTCATTTATATATCAGTTTGATTTTGTGTGTGCTCTATGCTCTTTTCAAGGTATGGTTATACAATAAAAAAATTATTTTCAAAATTTACATGTGAAAAATAATCTCACAAATCATGTGCTATTTGTAGACTGTATCAGTGTTGTTATCTTGGATTATGGACCATGGACATGGAGAAGTTAAGGACTGTCATTCTCTTTTTAAAGTGTCAACTGTACATATTTTGGCATTTATTTTTAAGGTTTATAAAGCAACTTTTTTTTTTTTTTCGAGACAGAGTCTTGCTCTGTCACCCAGGCTAGAGTGCAGTGGTGCGATCTCTGCCTCAGCCTCCTGAGTAGCTAGGACTACAGGCGCCCACCACCACGCCCAGCTAATTTTTGTACTTTTAGTAGAGACGGGATTTCACCATCTTGGCCAAAGCTGGTCTCGAACTCCTGACCTCATGATCCACCCGCCTTGGCCTCCCAAAGTGCTGAGATTACAGGCATGAGCCACCGCACCCGGCTAAAACCCTAACTTGCTAATCATTTCAAATACTGACTTCTTAAATTTGAAGATTATTATTCAGTATGGAAAAAAAATCACAGACTTAGGATATAAGCAATACTTTTTTGGCAGGAGGGGAGGATACTTGAAAATAATAGAAAACTATATACTGGGAAACTGGTGACAATGTGATCTATCCAGTGTTGTGCAACAGAACTTTCTACAATGATGGGAATGTTCAGTGTCTATGCTGTCCAATATATACCTGCTATGATTTGGATATGGTTTGTTTGTACCCACCAAATCTCATGTTGAAATTTTATCCCCAGTGTGATATTGCAGGAAAGTGGGACATAAGGTAGGGTGTTTGGGTCATGGGGGTGGATCCCTCATGAATGGCCTGGTGCTGTTCTGGTAGTAATGAGTGAGTTCTTGCTCAAAGACTTGATTGGTTCTCTAGGGAATGGATTAGTTCCTGTGAGAATGAGTTGTTATAAAGCCAAGACACCTTTGGGTTTGGTCCCTCTCACCCATGCCAGCTTTCCCTTTGACCTTCTCCACCATATTTTGATGCAGCCCTCACCAGAAGCTGAGCTGATGACAGCACCATGCCTCTTGTACAGCCTGCAGAACTGTTAGCTTAATAAACCTCTTTTCTTTATAAACTACACAGCTTTAAGTATTCCTTTAGAGCAACACAAAATAGACTAAGACAGTAGCCTATAACCAAATGTGGTTACTGAGCACTTGTAATATGGCTGGTGTTACTAAGGAACCAACTTGTAAATATTATTTAGTTTTAATTACTCAAATGTAAATAGCCACATGTGGCTTATGGCTACCATATCAGATGCTACTACTATGTATTTCAGAAACCATAGCTGGACTGAACTGTAAATGGTGTTCCTAAATATTTGAAAAATTATTTTCTCCATTTTTTATAACTGGAAAAAGAAAACCTCAATTCTATTTGGTAGGATATGTACATTTCAATAAAACTGCTCCAAATTGGGAGGAGAGGAATTCTTATATCTTCAAATGTCTTTCAAGTTTATGTTTGGGGAAACAGGTTTATTTTACCATAGAATCTTTAACGTATAATAGAGCTTAGGAAACGAATCTTGGATTTTGGAGAACTGAGTTTTAAACCTCTTCAGATTGCATCATTATGGCTTGGTATTTAAAAGCTGCAATTTGCTTTACTTTGGTCAGCTGGGCAGAATTGCTTTACTTTGTTTTCTCATGTACTATTATGACTAAAACTAAATTTACATTTCCATAAATTACTAAGAGGTATCAATAATTACACCATCCTTTCTGGAAAAATTGGCATTCTATCAAAATGCATTACATTCTTCATTTGCATCACTTGTCTTTATTGTTCTGTGTGACTGAAACTTCTCTAAAAAAAGGTATAATTCCCATAGGTTGAATCACAAAATTTTCAGACAGCTAACAAAAGCCTTATTACATGAAGTTTAGCGAGACCTGAGATGACAACTTCATTGTTTTGCTTGTGATAAAAAACCATGGAAACAAAGCATAACTGGCTATTAGACTTGGTAAATTTAAAAAACACACACACACATAAGCTGCCTGTTTTTCCACACTTTACCACTCTATTCTTTCAACACTGCTTAGCACTTCGCAACATCTTTACTCATTCCCTCTTAAGTTTCCATTTTAGAGCCATAAATGGGCTTCCAGTAGAGGAAGGAGGTAGTAGCACTGCCAACTGCTATTGAAACATTCTTGAGGTTAATGTATATACACAATATCCAAAAGTGAACCAATCACTTGGGTGAAGTAATACAATGAAGTTTCATTTGAGAAAAATTATGTGTTGTTTTAGTTATATATACTTTTATTTATCTAACTACAAGTTTTTAGGGAATTCAATTCAAATTGTAGCAACCCACAGTGAGCTTTGGGTTAAACCTTTAGGAATTAAGTTAAAGCACATTGCCTGATTATAGAAATTTTTAGTTTTTTATACCAAAATTAGAGTCCATTTTGGTCCTGTCCACAAATGCCAAATTGACAGATAATTTGACCCTCGCAAGATTGCTTTTTTTAAAAAAATCACTCAAATAAGCCAGCAATCAAGACAAACATAAGGTAACAGTTTCATAAAGTTTTCAAGCACCATAGCTAAAGAACAGACATGATGCTATTCCAACCCACACCTTCAAAAATCAATTTCAGACTATGGCTGTGAAGACTGGAAAAATAATCATGCAATCTAATAATACAGCGGTCAAAGAAATATTTAGTTAGGTCAAATAACTAAAGTTATCATTACTAATAAATACAAAGTTTCAGAAAATTTGTATTTTACTGTTTTTATTCAAAGAACATTGCTATGAATATTTAGAGAAATTAAATGATTACTGCTCTTGGTTTTTCCTAGAACATAGAATAATTTCATCACAAACAAAAAATTTGGTCTAATGTTTTCAACAGGGACTACATAATCCTGGTCCTTACTCAGAATTTTGGCATATATTCATTATGTACCTTAGGCAATCTATCAGTATTTCTTCAGTTTGCAATACCATAATTATCGACTTCACAAGGGATATTGTGAAGTTTAGTTAATTATGTTTATAACATTTTTTGAGGGTCACAGATGAAAGAGGAGTGTAAGGCATACATACAATTAATTTATAGTACTTGGTGAAAAAATGCCACTTAAAAATATTTAACAGCAACAACATGGATGAACCTTAAAGACATTATATGTTAAGTAAAATAAGCCAGTCACAAAAGGACAAATACAATATGATTCTACACATATGTGGTACCCAGAATAGTCAAATTCATAGAGACAGAAAGTAAAATGATAATTGCCAGGGACTAGGGGAAGGAGGAGTGGAAGTTCTTATTTAATGGGTACAGAGTTTCGGATTTGGAAGATGAAAAAAAGTAATGGTTGTACAACAATATGAATGAATATACTTAATGCCACTGAATACACTTTAAAATGGCTAAAATGGTAAATTTAATGTTATATATATTTTACCACAATAAAATCACAAGTGTGAAAATCAGAATATGAATCACAAGCCAATTTTAACATTCTCTGATTCACTCATTAAGACATGAATCGAATAATTCTTTTGTTCATTCAGTAAATATTTATCAAATGATTTCTATGTGGCAGGTACTGTGTTAGACCTGGGAGTATAGCACTGAACAAGACAAAGTCTCCGCTTCATAGAATTTACATTTTAGCAGTAGAGACCTACAAAATCATTTTTGCAAACTATCCTTCTTATAGTGATAAGTACTACACTGAAGGGTAAAGAGATGAAATGACAGCAAGGAGGTATCTCTGAGAAGATAATTACCCTGAGAATGAAGTAAAAAGGAACATTCCAGATAGAACAGAAGTGCCAAGGCCCTGAGTTGAGAAGGCCTGGTGTTTTCAAAAAATGACAAGAATGCCCAGGGCTAGTGCAGAGTAAGATAGGGGGTAGGAGAGCAAGGCAGAGACCACAGAGGGCCTGGAAAGCAACAGTAAATACTCTAGATGTTATTCTACATGTGCTGAAAGCCATATGGGATGTTATGACTAAGTGAATGATGTGATTTGATTTAAAAAAACAACAACACTCTAGCCACTGTATATGGAATGATCTTGGGGATATGGGAGAGAAAGGAGAATCAAAACACAGTGACCAGTTGAGCAACTGTAGTAACTCAGGTAGAAATAAGAAGACTATCACGGTAGCCATATTGGTGGTGAAAAAAGTGATTATTTTTGATATTTGATTGCTGATGACTAAACAAGAAAAAAAACAGAATAATTAAGGATGATTCCAAGGTTTTGGTCAGATCAACTGGGTAAATGACATTGCCAAATTTTGAGATAAAGAACAATGGGATAGGAATAGGATTGCTGGTGGTGGTAGTGGTAATAGTAGTAAGGAACCAAGAGTGTGATCTTGACAAAGTTAAGTACTCAAGTAAAGAGTTTCAGGAAAGATAACATGACAAACTGTGACAAATGCTGCCGGGAAAACAACATGAGGACTGAGAAATGACCACTGGATTTAGCAAGATAAATTACTTTATTTTTTGAGGCAGAGTCTCACTCTGTCACCCAGGCTGGAGTGAAGTGGTACGATCTTGGCTCACTGCAACCTTCACCTCATGGGTTCAAGTGATTCTCCCACCTCAGCCTCCCAAGTAGCTGGGATTAGAAGTGTGCGCCACCACAATCAGCTAATTTTTGTAATTTTAGTAGAGACAGGGTTTCACCATGTTGGCCAGGCTGGTCTCGAACTCCTGACCTCAGATGATCCGCCTGCCTTGGCCTCCCAAAGTGCTGGGATTACAGGCGTGAGCCACCATGCCGGCCTCAAGACAAATTTCACTGGTGTCCGTGACAAGAATGTTGTCAGTGAAGTGGTAAGGACAAAAGAATGAATACAGTAAAAAGAAGAGAAAGTGAGATGAGGATATGAAAGCAGCATATGTGGACAACTCTGACGGAGTATTGCTCTGAAGGGTGGTAAAGAAATGGTACTATACCTAGAGGGGGAGTGGAGTCTTCAAAGTTATTTTTGTATTAAAATGGGAGACAGTATAACACACATGCTGATGACATGATCTAGAGAGAGAAAAAATGATGGCAAAAATTGCAGAAGCAAAATCAGTGATTACTAAGCATCTAATAAATGCTTAAGGCCAGGCGTGGTGGCTCACACCTGTAATCCCAGCACTTTGGGTGGCCAAGGCGGGGGGATCACGAGGTCAGGAGTTCAAGACCAGCCTGACTAATATGGTGAAACCCTGTCTTTACAAAAAATACAAAAATTAGCCAGGTGTTGTTGCGCGCCCCTGTAGTACCAGCTACTTCGGAGGCTGAGGCAAGAGAATCGCTTGAATCCGGGAGGGCGAGTTTGCAGCAAGCTGAGATTGTGCCACTGCATTCCAGCCTGGGCAACAGAGTGAGACTCCCATCTCAAAAAAAAAAAAAAAGGAAAAAAAAAAAAGAAGAAGAAAGAAAGCTTGTATCTGTCCTTGCTGCTGGAAATACAAAGGTAATAAATATAAGACATGAAACTAATGGAAGGATTATATGGAAACTATACTGAAAATCATGAAGGGAAATACAACAAATAGACAATTAGAAAATCATTTAGAAACAATACTATTTGGTAATAGGCTGCCATGTTAAAAATATTACATAAAGCAATGTTGACTTTTTTGTTTTTCAGAAGGAGTTTCGCTCTTGTTGCCCAGGCTGGAGTGCAATGGCTCAATCTGGGCTCACAGCAACCTCCGCCTCCCAGGTTCAAGCGATTCTCCTGCCTCAGCCTCCCGAGTAGTTGAGATTACAGGCATGCACCACCACGTCTGGCTAATTTTGTATTTTTAGTAGAGATGGGGTTTCTCCATGTTGGTCAGGCTGGTTTCGAACTCCTGACCTCAGGTTATCCACCCGCCTCAGCCTCCCAAAGTGCTGGGATTACAGGTGTGACCCACCGCGCCTGGCAATGTTGACATATCTTATGATGTGACAGCAATGTCCTTCTAAGCTATATACATGCAGTTGCATAGTGTAAAAACGTCATGTACAGCCTTTGATTTGATTAATCACAGTTAGATTTAGACTGAATCAACCTTAGACAAAAAGCAAAGCCAGCAATTTAAGAAAACATCTCCACTGCGCTTCCCCTTCTCCCTTTGCAGTATTGACCCATTTCTGTTTTTGAATTTTCAGTATCCCTGAATTCTATAATTCACCACCTTACAACAGGAGGCCATTCACATATCAATCATTTACATAAATTTTCATCATCTCCAGAGTTCCCTTCCCTTTGCTTATTTAACTATTTGCCATTTGTTCTCTTGCCTCCTTAAAAAAGTTAAGAATTTTAAAGTTATAAAGACTACTAATTACGTATTTGTGTAAATTAATCTAGATAAGTTACTCAAACACACATTTGCATTTTTAACTTTTCCCGCTCTAATTATAAGATCCTTTTAAACCTTTTGTAATTTTATATCCTTTACTGTTCTAAAATAAGATGTGAGAGGTTATATACTAAGGTACATAATATACAGGTTAAATGCAAACTAAGGAAACGGAGAAAGAAAAATAAGATGAGGTTAAAGATAAGGGTGGAATTAAAAATGCATTCAGGGGCCGGGCGTGGTGGCTCACACCTATAATCCCAGCACTTTGGGAAGCTGAGGCGAGTGATCACCTGAGGTCAGGAGTTTCAGACCATCCTGGCCAACATGATGAGACCTTGTTTCTACTAAAAATACAAAAATTAGCCAGGCATGGTGGTGTGCACCCGTAGTCCCAGCTACTCAGGAGGCTGACGCAGGAGAATCGCTTGAACCCGGGAAGCAGAGGTTGTAGTGAGCCGAGATCACACCACTGCACTCCAGCCTGGGCAACAGGCTCAAAGAAAAAAAGAAAAAAATTCATTCAACAAGACCCTGTAACCTTTGTTACTGGGGGGAACCTATAAATACATGGCTTTTAGTTTCCTGTTCATCAGTGCAGAGAAGAAATGGCTGTCATATACAGCTTTTATTTGTTTATATCACTTACAGTATTCATAAGGTAAAAATAAATCATTTTCTTGAAAGAAGCACAGTTTTTTTTACTGAGACCTAAGGTAAATCATTTTACTGAATTGTCAAAGATACTGCAGCAATAAATTCAATGTGTTTTGTAGGACTACTTCTTTAACATCTTTCAGAGTTCGTCAATGGCATATTGCTTGGGCATTTTAGCTAAAATAAGAGGGTTTGAGAATGTTGCACATTATTTTAATTCCAGGATGAGTTTGCAATATCCAGAGTAGCAGTATTCCACATGTTTCAGGTATTCCTCCCTAAAATATTACAATTTAAAAATCAGGCTGGGTGTGGTGGCTCACGCCTGTAATCATAGCACTTCAGGAGGCTGCAGCGGGCAGCTCACGAGGTCAAGAGATCGAGACCATCCTGACCAACATGGTGAAACCCCATCTCTACTAAAAATACAAAAATTAGCTGGGCATGGTGGCACGCATCTGTAGTCCCAGCTACTCGGGAGGCTGAGGCAGGAGAATCGCTTGAACCTGGGAGGCGGAGGTTGCCGTGAGCCAAGATTGTGCCACTGCACTCCAGCCTGGGGAAAGAGTGAGATTCCGTCTCAAAAAACTAAAAATAAATAAACATAAAAATCACAATAAATTTTTTTGAGATAAAACTCACCATTTTAATCTCTGGAAAGTGCACAATTCAGTGGTTTCAGTACATTCACAATGTTGTGGAACCATAACCACTATCTAATTCCGGAACATTTTATCATTCCCAAAAGAAACAACATATCAATTAAGCAGTCACTCTCCATTCCTTGGTCTGTCTCTGGTGAATTCTCTTCCTCCTCACCCATCAGATGTATTGCCTAGCTAATGAACAGCTGATGTCCATAGAAAATCATATTGTTAACATTCAACAAAAACTTGAAATTGTCAAATAATCAGAAAAAGGTAGATATTAAAGCAGCATGCAGCCTTTCAACAAAAACTATGAAAATCAATAGATTATAGCTTGAAAAAGAAAAAGCATGTAATTTTTTCATCATGACTGGATTAAGGCATGCAACAAAAAAATTATCAGATGAATCAACTGCTGAAAATGATTAAATTTGTACTTATATGTAATTTAACTATAAATTATTTAAATGAGTTCTTAAGTTCTCATTCATGAGAAAGGAGTTCATGCAGACTGAAAAGTTAAAAAAAAAAAAGCTCTTTTATTTTGGAACTTTAAAAGTAATACTAGTTTTATTCTCTTTCAACAGTGTTAGCTAAGATGGTTGCCTGGATTGACAGTGCCTGAATTACTCTGGACTGAACGGGCAATATGTTTCTTTAAAGTTATGGGAATAGAAGATACTGATACATGCTCAAACTAATTAATCAGATTCAATTAGTAGCTAAAGTGAAAATAACACTTCTGAGTTTCCTAATTGTGATTCTTAAGAGCTGAATTTTCAACAATAATACTGGGAGAAGAGGACAAGGTCATGAAAAGTTGTCAAACTTATATCACCTGAATATCTAAATTTGATTAGGCATAAATTGTAATTCACTACTATCTTAGTACATGAGTTTTATTATACTATTTACAAGTTTTCCCTCATATTAGGGTTTTCGTGACACTAGATTACTTGAAATGATCTTTTTTTTCTACTTATTGATGCACTGGCAGCATTTACTAAATAACAGTTAATAGATGTGATCCATTCCATAACAAATTATGCCTTGACTTACAATTTCAACATATATCTCTATTATAAATGAAACATAAGCATTACATATTTACACTACTCAGCGATGTTCTCAAAACAACCAAAAAAGATTTAAATGAAAAATAGATTATTGTTCTCAAACTGCTAGTGAATGAAACAAGCATAAAAGATAGAATTAATCAAAGAGAATGGCTACCCACAGTCTCTGAAAAAATTATGACATGAGCTATTCAAGATGAAACAATGATTGTTTGGGGAGCAATTCAAAGAATATCAACTTTTGCAACACGTGCAGATTCTGTTCTTCCTTTCCTTATATCTAGGCAAGACAGGCAAAAAATTTTTAATAAAAATAAGAAACAAATTTAATGCTAAACTTCTGTAATTACCCAACTCCCCAGCAAGTTTTCTAATATTAAGCAGAAAAAGTATAAAAAGATACAAATATAATATTTGCATTTTTTTGAGAGTTGGTAGATTTAGGATTTTACAAAGTAACATATAATAAAAGATATTTAAACTTTAAAAATGTACTTTTTAGATTCAAAACTCAAAAATGATTTCACTTTTCTAACATTTTTCTTGTCATAGTGTTTCAAAAATGTAGCCAGATGCGGTAGCACACACCTGTAATCCCAGCACCTTAGGAGGCTGAGGTGATAGGAATGCTTGAGCCCAGGAGTTTGAGACAGCAGTGAGCTATGACCACCCCAGTGCACTCCAGCCTGGGTGACAGAGCAAGAGCCTGTCTCATAAAAAAAAAAGTACATAAATGAAAATTAGGTAATTTTCAGCAGTTAATTCACCTGTGAGATCATTTTTATTGTTGTCTACCTTAATTCAAGTAAGCCAGGTCAATAGATTAAAATACAAAAAAAATCCATGATGAAATAAGTCTGTGCACAGTCTCTGATACATAGTACGTTTTCAATATACATGTGTTAAACTAAGTTGTATATATTATCTATGCCTCACCTTCCTCTGAGGTACAATACCAGTGTAAGGAGAATAAAGATTCTTATCTATGGTTTAAAACTTAAAACTTAGAATGTTCTTACTTAGAAACCAAATTCACTTTAGAAAACAGAATTTCATTAAAGTTTTTTTTTGTTTTTTTTGTTTTTTTTCTGGAGACAGACTCTCGCTCTGTGGCCCAGGCTGGAGTGCAGTGGCGCAATTTCAGCTCACTGCAATCTCCACCTCCTGGGTTCAAGAGATTCTCTTGCCTCAGCCTCCCGAGCAGTTGGGACTACAGGCGCACGCCACCATGCCTGGCTAATTTTTGTATTTTTAGTAGAGACAAGGTTTCACTGTTGGCCAGGCTGGTCTCAAACTCCTGACCTCGTGATCCGCCCGCCTCGGCCTCCCAAAGTGCTGGGATTACAGGCGTAAGCCACTGCGCCCGGCCTCCTTACAGTATTCTTAATGGGATTTCACAATATAGAAGAAGACAGGATATAAAAAATGTAAGTAATACTCAATTAGAAAATCTTTCCTATATATCACCCTGAGAAGATAGTGACCTCACCTTGACTGACCCTTTCCTGTCATTTATATCCCAGCACATTTTTCACCCTTTCTCTGTCTCTGTCTTATTTCCACTTGTCAAGCAAAAAGCAACCTTCTCCAGAAATACTTTTTAACCTCTGACCTCTCCCTTCCAACTCTAGTTGTGCTTCATAGCACTCCCTGCAGGTTGGATAAGTGTGGTAATCCTAATATTCCATAAGATGCTGTGCATATCTTTATCATTGAATAATTTATCCCCTATTGTTAGCATTTTCTTTTTTTGTTTTTTTGAGATGGAGACTCACTCTGCTGCCCAGGCTGGAGTGCAGTGGCACAATCTCAGCTCACTGCAACCTCCTCCTCCTGGGTTCAAGAGATTTTCCTGCCTCAGACTCCCAAGTAGCTGGGGTTACAGGTGCCTGCCACCATGCCTGGCTAATTTTTGTATTTTTAATAGAAACGAAGTTTTGCCATGTTGACCAGGCTGGTCTTGAACTCCTGACTGCAAGTGAACCGCCCGCCTTGGCCTACCAAAGTGCTGGGATTATAGGCACGAGCCACCACGCTCAGCCAGGATTTTCTTTTTATCAATTTGTTTTCTGTCTTCAAATTTCATAAAAGCCAGGATTATGTCTGATACTGATGGGGTTCAGGAAATGCTCTCCCAAAAAACATGACACTGTGACATACTGAATATTTTAAGCTAAAGAAATCTGAGAAACAGCATGTGTGGGAAGCTTAGCCATGAATCTAGGATGTGTAGATATATTTTCTTCCCTATAATATATAGTAGATGCTGTGGTGTAGTAATAAATATTTGATCTTTACCCCTAGTTACTGGTACAGAAACCTAAAAACCCTGGAATTTACTGTCTCTTATGCTAAACAGATGATTTATGGGGTGGGGAGAGCTAGACAGCATCATCATGGGTCTGCTCTGCAGAAAAACCAACCACATGATTAGGGAGTTAGAGCTTTCAGGCCTACTCCCTGACATCCAGAGAGGGGAAAGGGGCTGAACACTGAGTTCAATTGCTAATGGCCAATTGTCTTAGTCCCTATTCTGCTGCTATAACAGAATGGCACAGAATGGGTAGTTTATAAATAATAGCAGTTTATTTTGCTCACAGTTCTGGAGGCTGGGAAGTCCAAGAGCATGGCACTGGCATCTTGTGACGGCCTCCATGCTCCATCATAACAGGATGGAAGGGCAAGGGAGTGCCCGAGATAAAGAGAGGATATCTGTCAAATCCATCTCTTGATCAGGAGCCTACTCCCAAGATAACAAACCCACTTCCCAGGTAAGTGCATTAATCCCTTCATAAGGGTGGAGCCCTTGTGGCCTAATCACATCTTCAAGGCTGCACCTCTTAATACTGTTACAATGGCAACATCAAGTTTCAACATGATTTTTGGAAGGGACATTCAAACCACAGCACCAGTTTTCATCAAGCATGCCTATGTAATTAAACCCCCATAAAAACCACTAAATTACGGGATTTGTAGAGTTTCCAAGTTGGTAAACAGATCCATGTGCTGAGAGGGTAGCACACTCTGACTCCAAGGGGACAGAGACTCCTATGCTCAGGATCCTATTACACATTGCCTTATATACCTTACCAACTGGATGCTCATTTGTTATCTGTTATAATAAACTGATAAGTATAGCACTTTCCTGAGCTCAATGAGTCTCTAGCAAATAACTGAAACTGAAGGGGGTTGTGGGAACCTCTGATTAGTTTCAGCCTGTCAGAACTGTGAGTAACTGAGAGACCCTACTGGTGGCTGGCATCTGAAGTGGGGACAGTATTATGGGACTGAGACCTTAAACTGTGGGGTCTACAATAACTTTGAACAGTTACTGTCAGAATGGAATTAAATTGTTGAGACAAAGTTGGTGCTGAATAATTGGAGAATTTGTTTTTGGAAAAGCACACACAATACTCAATACATTTATTTTGGATAAATCAATAAATAAGTGAAAGTGAACAATAAATAGAAGATATATTAAACTACTCATATATTTTATTATTATTATGCATAGGCATGTTTGTAACACTTTTTAGAGCTAGATTTTTGCTGTTCTTGCAATTCATTTGTATTGAATTTTTCCATATAGATAGTGCTTGCTTTTATATTTTACAATTATTTTAACATAAGTACATGCTTTTAAACTATTATTTTCAAGTTTAAAAACACTTAAGCCAACATCCATTACCAAAACCAAAACAAAAACAAAAATCAGATTCTCCTTTATGAAACACAGAGATTAGCATGAATGTACCTGCCTCTCTCTTAATATTATTTATCCTAAGCAACATGAGAATGAGGATTGTGTTTAATTGGAATTTTCTTTTCCAGAGATTAACAGGGTGCTTAGAAGATGAGAAGTGCTCACTACCTGCTGGAAAATAAAAAGAAATATTATGAGGGCAAAATATCAAAAAGAGGACCAGAAAGTGGGAAACGAGATAGTTTTCTAGAAAACTGAAAAAGGACTAAAAAATTAGGGGTGGGGTATAACTGAATTGGGCCAAAGATTATAAGTGACCTTGAAGAAAGTAATTTCAGATAAAATAGCATGAAAAGTTAAATTTTGGATTATTTTGGCCAGGATTGCCAAAATAATCTTGAAAAGGAAGAATAAAGTTGGAAGGCTCACACTTTCTGATTTCAATTTACTACAAAGCTATAGTAATCAAAGCAGAGTAGCATGGCTTAATGCTAGACCTTTAGATCAACAGAATAGAATTGAGATTCAAGAAACAAACCCTTGCTTACATGTACAGTCAAATGATATTTGACAAGGGTGCCAAAACAATTCAATGGGGAAAGAATATCTTTTCAACAAAAGGTGCTGGAACAACTGAATATCCACATGTAAAAGAAGGAAACTGGACCCCTACCTCACACCATACACAAAAAGGAACTAAGAATGAATCAATGACCCAAACGTAAGAGGTAAAAACGTAAAATTCCTGGAAGAAAATAAAGGCGTAAATCTTCTTGACCTTGGATTAGGCAATGTTTACTTAGATATGGCATCAAAAGCACAAGCAATCAAAGGAAAAATAGATAACGTGGACTTTTGTCCTTCAAAGGACACTATCAAGAAAGTGAAAAGACAACCTACAGAATGGAAGAAAATATTTGTATATCATATATCTGAAGACAGTTGTATCCAAAATATATTTTTAAAAAACACTTATAACTACTCAATAATTAAAAACAACACAGCCAGGCACAGGTGGCTCACATCCATAATCCTAGCACTTTGGGAGGACAAGGTAGGTAGATCGCTTGAGCCCAAGAGTTCAAGACCAGCCTGGGCAACATGGCAAAATCCCTTACCTACAAAAAAATATAAAAATTGGCTGGGTGTGTTGGCATGTGCCCATAGTCCCAGCTACTTGGGTGGCTGAGGGGGAGGATCCCTAGAGCCTGGGAGGTTGAGCCTACAGTGAGCCATGATGTGCCACTGCACTCTACCCAGGATGACACAGTGAGACCCAGACCCTGACAGATGGAGAGACTGACAGACACACACACACACACACACATACACACACACACACACACACACACACACACAGCACAATTTTAAAATGGGCAAAGGGTTTGAATAGATATTTTATCAAAAGAAGATACACAAATGGCCAATAAGCATAAGAAAAGATGCTCAATATCATTAGTCATCAGAGAAATGCAAATCAAAACCACGAGATGGCACTTCACACTCACTAGAATGGCTAAAAAACAAACAAACAAACAAAACAAAACAAAAAAAACCTAATAAGTGTTTGTAAGGATGTGGGGAAACTGGAACCCTTACACAATGCCAGTGGGATTGCAAAACATTGCAGCCACTTTAGAAAACATTTTGGCAGTTTCTCAATAAGTTAAACAGAGTTATGTCACCCAGCAATTCCATTCCTAGTTATATGCACAAGAGAACTACAAACATATGTCCATAAAAAAACCTACACGTATGTAGGTTTTGTACATGAATGTTCACAGCAACATTATTCATAATTATTCAAGTGTTCATCAAATAATAAATGGATAAACAAAATATGACACACTCATACAATGAAATATTATTTGGTAAGAAAATGAAATGAAGGCTGGGCGCGGTGGCTCACGCCTGTAATCCCGGCACTTTGGGAGGCTGAGGCAGGTGGATGACGAGGTCAAAAATTCGAGATCAGCCTAACCCCATCTCTATTAAAAATACAAAAATTAGCTGGGCATGGTGGCATGCGCCTGTAATCCCAGCTACTCAAGAAGCTGAGGCAGGAGAATCGCTTGAATCCAGGAGGCGGAGGCTGCAGTGAGCCAAGATCCTACCACTGCATTCCAGCCTGGGTAACACAGCAAGACTCCATCTCAAAAAAAAAAGAAAAGAAAAGAAAGAAAAAAGAAAATAAAATGAAGTTGTAATACATGCTGCAACAAGGATGAACTTGGAAAGCATTATGTTACATGACAGAAGCCAGTCACAAAAAACCATATATTGTATAATTCCACTTACATGCAATGTCCAGCGTAGGCAAATCCATAGAGAGAGAAAGTAGGATAGTGGGTAATGGGAGTTGGGGGAACAGGAAATGGAGAATGACTCCACAGGGAGTCCTATGCTTCTATGCTCAGGACCCTTTTGGACCTTCCCTCATTCATACCAGGGTTACTCCAGCCTGGGCGACAGAGCAACACTCTGCCTCCCAAAGAAAAAAAACCATGCAGAAAGGGAGAGTAGATAGCCTGAAAGAGGTTAAAATATACTGGATAAAAAATAGAAGTGAAGTCAATTCAACAGGCATGTATCAAGGGCTTACCATCTTCTAGACACAGAGTTATAAAGAGTTATAATATTAGGGATATAAAGGTAAATGGAGGAATTCATTAAGTTGAGAAGGCTTAACAAACCTTTGCCTCCAAAGAAGTCAACACCCAAATGATCCAAATGAAATTACAACTGCTTTTAAGGTTGGACCACAGTATTTGCCACTACTTAATTATTGAACCTCTCTAAGATTCCTAACCTGTAAAGTGAGGAATGGAGACCCTAGATCACTCACTTCTAAAATTTGAAGAGTCAAAACAATGTTGGTAGACTAGAAATTGGAATAATAGGTCAAAATCCACAAAAAGCATGATTATATGTACTCCATTAACATGATTATAAAACTCTTGAAGTGATACTAGTATGTACTCAAGAATATCATTTTCAAAAGAAAAAAATTTTAACATGATTGAATATGAAATCTCCAAAAATACATTCTTAGAAAATCTAAGAATCTATATGTTTTCCTTCATTCATTTTAGACTACATGAAGTTTGGAGGACAGAAAGCTCAATTCTACAAACAGCAGCCTAAAATGCTAGGACCAAAATTCACATACATTAGTAAAATATCTTTCCTTTAAGATTTAGAAACTTAAAGAATTTCTGAGAAACAAACAGCTTCACAACATTACTAAGAATATAAATTAGCTCCACAATGTTATTTAAAAGGTCAACTAAACCTAGCTGCTCTTACTAAGAATCAGTAAGGGAAATCTGAATTTGATTCCTAGATTTACTATACACTAGCTTTGTAATCTTGGGCAAGTTACTGAGTCACATCTCAGTTTCCTCAACTGTAAGTAGAACAAATATACCCACCTAAAAGAATTCTTGTGAGGATTACACAAATAAATATATGGAAAGCTCTAACAGCATAACATCGATGTGGTCAAAAGATGTTGACAGATAATTTACAGAAAAAAATAAAAGAGATCAGTCTGGTCAACAAAGTGAGACCCCGTCTTTACAAAAAATAAAAACGAACAAATAAATAAGAAAGAAATAAAGCTGACCAATACATGAAAATAAACTAAATCTTGCAGAGAAATGCAAATTTGAACAAATTTGAGTTATCATCATGCACCAATCAGATTATCAAAGGTTTAAAAAAAAAAAAAAAAGAACCCAGAATTGGTAGTTTTAGAGTGAGTGTAAATTGATACCACCACTCTGAAAGGCAGTTCAGTAACAAGTATAAAAGTTTTGGCCAGGCACGGTGGCTCACACCTGTAATCCCAGTACTTTGGGAGGCTGAGGCAGGTGGATCACGAGGTCGGGAGTTCGAGACCAGCCTGGCTAACATGGTGAAACCCCGTCTCTACTAAAAATACAAAAAATTAGCCGGGCATGGTGGCAAATGCCTGTAGTCCCAGCTACTTGGGAGGCTGAGGCAGGAGAATCGCTTGAACCCAGGAGGCAGAGGTTGCGGTGAGCCGAGATCACGCCACTGCACTCCAGCCTGGGCTACAGAGTGAGACTGTGTCTCAAAAAAAAAAAAAAAAAAAAAAGGAAAGTGTGGCCAGGCACGGTGGCTCACACCTGTATTCTCAGCCCTTTGGGAGAACAAGGTTGGAAGACTACTTGAGCCCAGGAGTTCAAGAGCAGCCTAGGCAACACAGTGAGACCCTCATTTTTCCAAAAAATTTTAAAAATTAGTTGGGTGCAGTGGTGTATGCCTCTAGTCCCAGCTACTCGGAAGGCTGAGGCAGGAGGATCACTTGAGCCCAGGGGGTCAAGGCTGCAGTGAGCCATGATGGCACCACTGCACTCCATCCTAGGTGACAGAGTGAGATCCTATCTCTAAAACAAATTTACTTAAAAAATAACATGTTCCAAAACATATTATTGATTAAAAAGGAAAATTACAAACCAGTAGAGTATGACCTTATTTTTATAAATGTGTGTGTATATTTACAGGGAAGAGCATTTACCACGTTAAAGAGGTTAGCTCCAAATAGTAGAATTTTAAGTGACTTAACTGTCTTTAAAAAATTATTTCTGCATTAGTTACACTTTCTGTAAGTATGCATTACCTTTATAATCAGAAAAAAACTATTTTGATTTCTTTAAATAAATTTGAAAAACAAAGAACTAAAAGAGGATACCAGTTCTTGGTCCAATGATTGTTTTCACTACACAAAATGATCTGCTTGATCCAAGCAAATGTTCAGTTAGGGAGGAAAAATACTTTAAATGTGCCCTAAGATTAGAGAAACCTGACAGCCTAGGGAAAGATGAAAAATAATAACAATTATGTGACAAGACTCAAGAATATCTCTATCTTAAAACGTATCTGCTTCAGTTTAGATTGACCAAAGTCCTTTTATACACCACAAGAAATAAAAGTAGGTACCTTAATGGGAAGGAGAAAGGCTAAAGAAATAGCTAAGAAACTTACTAAACACACTGAAACTTATAATACTGCTTTTCAAGCTATTCTTAAAGTAATTAAAAGAATTATTCAACATGAGAAAAGAACTAGTTCATTTATGTTAGAGGACTTAAGTAATTTAAAGAAAGCTACATCAAATTGTCTGAAACCTCACTTGTTTTCACTTGTCATTAATTACCTACCAAGATATCACCTGCTGACAAAAAGAAAAACCTAAAGACATAGAAACTTTAACTTTCCCTAGTATGAACACATGAAAACTGTTCTTTTCCCTTATAAAAACTCTAGTGCTTAGCTTTCTTATTTGAATTCAGGAAAGAGTACTAAATGAAGACAAAAATTCAAAGCAAAAGGAACAACACTGAACAACAGAGTCAAGAAACAGACTGTGGTTTCAATTTTCTACTAACTCTTAATTTTATAAGTAAAACAAGAAGATTGACAAGAGCTTCAAATACTTTTAATGGAGGATCAGTGATACAATACACTCTTTGAAAAATTCACAGTTCATAAAAAAAAGAAAAGTTCTATGGTAAAATAAGTTCAGAAAATTGTGCACACCCTTTGCCCTTTTTGGAGATCCATAATGCAGAACAGAAAATACTTCTGTATAACCCAATGTTTCCCAAAATGAGAGACAAACAAAATGTCCCTCAACAAAGGAATGATTTAAAAATGCTTACATTAGACAGATCAACGAGACAAAAAGTTAACAAGGATATCCAGGAATTGAACTCAGCTCTGCACCAAGCAGACCTAATAGACATCTACAGAACTCTCCACCCCAAATCAACAGAATATACATTCTTCTCAGCAACACATCGCACTTATTCCAAAATTGACCACACAGTTGGAAGTAAAGCACTCCTCAGCAAATGTAAAAGAACAGAAATTTTAACAACTGTCTCTAGGACCACAGTGCAATCAAACTAGGAATCAGGATTAAGAAACTCACTCAAAACCGCTTAACTACATGGAAACCGAACAACCTGCTCCTCAATGACTACTGGGTACATAACGAGATGAAGGCAGAAATAAAGATGTTCTTTGAAACCAATGAGAACAAAGACACAACATACCACCACCTCTGGGACACATTTAAAGCAGTGTGTAGAGGGAAATTTATAGCACTAAATGCCCATGAGAAAGCAGGAAAGATCTAAAATTGACACCCTAACGTCACAATTAAAAGAACTACATAAGCAACAGCAAACAAATTCAAAAGCTAGCAGAAGACAACAAATAACTAAGATCAGAGCAGAACTGAAGGAGACAGAGACACAAAAAAACCCTTCAAAAAATCAATGAATCCAGCAGCTGGTTTTTTGAAAACATCAACAAAACTGATAGATCGCTAGCAAGACTAATAAAGAAGAAAAGAGAGAAGAATCAAATAGACGCAATAAAAAAATGACAAACGGGGTATCACCACCGATCCCCCAGAAATACAAACTACCATCAGAGAATACTATAAACACCTCTACGCAAATAAACAAGAAAATCTAGAAGAAATGGATAAATTCCTGGACACATACACCCTCCCAAGACTAAACCAGGAAGAAGTTGAATCCCTGAATAGATCAATAACAAGCTCTGAAATTGAGGCAATAATTAATAGCCTACCAACGAAAACAAGTCCAGGACCAGATGGATTCACAGCCGAATTCTACCAGCGGTACAAAGAGGAGCTGGTACCATTCCTTCTGAAACTATTCCAATCAATAGAAAAAGAGGGAATCCTCCCTAACTCATTTTAATGCCAACATCATCCTGATACCAAAGCCTGGCAGAGACACAACAAAAAAAAGATAATTTTAGACCAATATCCCTGATGAACATCGATGCAAAAATCCTCAATAAAATACTGGCAAACTGAATCCAGCAGCAAAAGCTTATCCAACACGATCACATTGGCTTCATCCCTGGGATGCAAGGCTGGTTCAACATACACAAATCAATAAATGTAATACACCATATAAACAGAACCAAAGACAAAAACCACATCATTATCTCAATAGATGCAGAAAAGGCCTTCAACAAAATTTAACAGCCCTTCATGCTAAAACCTCTCAATAAACTAGGTATTGATGGGATGTATCTCAAAATAATAAGAGATATTTATGACAAACCCACAGCCAATATCATACTGAATGGGCAAAAACTGGAAGCATTCCCTTTGAAAACTGGCACAAGGCAGGGATGCCCTCTCTCACCACTCCTATTCAACATAGTGTTGGAAGTTCTGGCCAGGGCAATCAGGCAGGAGAAAGAAATAAAGGGTATTGAATAAGGAAAAGAGGAAGTCAAATTGTCCCTGTTTGCAGATGACATGATTTTTTATTTAGAAAACCCCATCGTCTCAGCCCAAAATCTCCTTAAGCTGATAAGCAACTTCAGTAAAGTCTCAGGATACAAAATCAATGTGCAAAAATCACAAGCATTCCTATATACCAATAATAGAGAAACAGCCAAATCATGAGTGAACTCCCATTCACAATTGCTTCAAAGAGAATAAAATACCTAGGAATCCAACTTACAAGGGATGTGAAGGACCTCTTCAAGGAGAACTACAAACCACGGCTCAACAAAATAAAGGATGACACAAACAAATAGAAGAACATTCCATGCTCATGGATAGGAAGAACCAATATCGTGAAAATGGCCATACTGCCCAAGGTAATTTATAGATTCAATACCATCCCCATCAAGCTACCAATGACTTTCTTCACAGAACTGGAAAAAACTACTTTAAAGTTCATATGGAACCAAAAAAGAGCTCGCGTTGCCAAGACAATCCTAAGCCAAAAGAACAAAGCTGGAGGCATCACACTATCTGACTTCAAACTATACTGCAAGGCTACAGTAACCAAAACAGCATGGCTACAGTAACCAAAACAGACATAGAGACCAATGGAACAGAACAGAGGCCTCAGAAATAATACTACACATCTACAACCATCTGATCTTTGACAAACCTGAGAAAAACAAGCAATGGGGAAAGGATTCCCTATTTAATAAATGGTGTTGGGAAAACTGGCTAGCCATATGTAGAAAGCTGAAACTGGATCCCTTCCTCACACCTTATACAAAAATTAATTCAAGATGGATTAAAGACTTAAATGTCAGACCTAAAATCATAAAAATCCTAGAAGAAAACCTAGACAATACCATTCAGGACATAGGCATGGGCAAAGACTTCATGACTAAAACACCAAAAGCAATGGCAACAAAAGCCACAATTGACAAATGGGATCTAATTAAACTAAAGAGCTTCTGCACAGCAAAAGAAACTACCATCAGAGTGAACAGGCAACCTACAGAATGGGAGAAAATTTTTACGATCTACCCATCTGACAAAGGGCTAATATCCAGAATCTACAAAGAACTTAAACAAATTTACAAGAAAAAAAAAATCAAACCACCACGTCAAAAAGTGGACAAAGGATACGAACAGACACTTCTCAAAAGAAGACATTTATGCAGCCAACAGACACATGAAAAAATGCTCATCATCACTGGCCATCAGAGAAATGCAAATCAAAACCACTATGAGATACCATCTCATGCCAGTTAGAATGGCGATCATTAAAAAGTCAGGAAACAACAGGTGCTGGAGAGGATGTGGAGAAATAGGAACACTTTTACACTGTTGGTGGGACTGTAAACTAGTTCAACCATTGTGGAAGACAGTGTGGTGATTCCTCAAGGATCTAGAACTAGAAATACCATTTGACCCAGCTGTCCCATTACTAGGTATACACCCAAAGGATTATAAATCATGCTGCTATAAAGACACATGCACATGTATGTTTATTGCAGCACTATTCACAATAGCAAAGAATTGGAAACAACCCAAATGTCCATCAATGATAGACTGGATAAAGAAAATGTGGCACATATACACCATGGAATACTATGCAGCCATAAAAAAGGATGAGTTCATGTCATTTGTAGGGATATGGATGAAGCTGGAAACCATCATTCTGAGCAAACTATCACAAGGACAGAAAACCAAACACCGCATGTTCTCACTCATAGGTGCGAATTGAACAATGAGAACACTTGGACACAGAGTCAGGAACATCACACACTAGGGCCTGTCGGGTGGGGGGAGGGGGGAGGGATAGCATTAGGAGATATACCTAATGTAAATTACAAGTTAATGGGTGCAGCACACTAACGTGGCACATGTGTACATATGTAACAAACCTGCACGTTGTGCACATGTACCCTAGAACTTAAAGTATAAAAAAAATGCTTACACATCACTGTATAATCCTTTTAAAGAAAACGTATTTATATATATTCACATGGCAGACTTCTGTTGCATAGGTAGAATATATAATCAAACTGCAGAATGCATATTTAATTAGATTTTAAAAAATAAGTATATATATTCATGTGCATATTAAAAAGGTCTGAAAGAATGTACAGCAAACCATTTTAAAGTAGTTCTGGAAACTGCCATCAGCAGGGCCAAAGGGAATATATTTACTTTATGAATGGACAGATTTGAGTTTCTCCGGTAAGAATATATCGCTTTGTAATACAAATAAGTAGCCACCAGAAAACATAAATGCACTGGGTAAGTTCACATACTTTTTTTTTGAGACTCTGTAGCTCACGCTGGAGTGGTGTGCGATCACGGCTCACTGCAGCTTCAGCCTCCCAGGTTCAAGCTCAGCCTCCGGAGTAGCTGGGACAGCAGGCCAGCACTACAACGTCTAAATAATTTTTGTATTTTTTTTAAGAGATGGGGTCCCACTATGTTGCCCAGGCTGGTCTTGAACTCCTGGACTCCAGTGATCAGCCCACCTCAGCCTCCCAAAGTGCTGGGATTACAGGTGTAAGCCACTGGGCCTGGATGTTCATATTATTTAAAATAAATCTTTTCACAACAAAAATCTATTGGCTCTTTTATAAATATGAAATTTAACACATTTCTTCTAATACAATGTATCTCCAGGTTACTGAATTAAAGACTTCCTAAGATATTCACTGAAGCGTTACCTATAAAAATATACACTGGGAACACTTAAATGCTTATAATAATCAATAGTTAAGTAAATGACTAAATATCAACCCAAGAGAATTTTTCAATTTGCCTATTTTGTTTATGAATTGCCTACAGTTTTATAAGGATTTTGAAAGCTAACTCAACAAAAAATAATGTGTATAATTATATAGAATACATAGCAATACAAAATACTTATACATATAAGTAAAAAAAATTCCAATGCATATTTGTGTTATTTTACCTGTAAAAAATATGAAATATATTCTTTTTTCTTTTCTTTTTTTTTTTTTTTTGTTGAGACGGAGTCTCACTCCTGTTGCCCAGGCTGGAGTACAGTGGCGCGATCTCAGCTCACTGCAACCTCTGCCTCCCAGGTTCAAGTGATTCTTCTGCCTAAGCCTCCCAAGTAGCTGGGATTACAGGTGCCAGCCAGCACACCCAGCTAATTTTTGTATTTTTAGTAGAGACAGGGTTTCGCCATGTTGGCCAGGCTGATCTAGAGCTCCTGAGCTCAGGTGATCTGCCTGCCTCAGCCTCCCAAAGTGCTGGGATTACAGGTGTGAGCCACCACATCCAGCTATGAAATATATTCTTTCATAAATTGAGCAAACATCATGCAAGTCATGTATGTTTACCGCTTATGAAACAGACTGCAGGAGTCACAGCACTTGCCAATCAAGAAGCTTACAGTCAAGTGGAACAAACATAAGTAAATCAATTATTATAGTACAATGGCATTCATTCATTCCATAAAAACGTATGTAGTGCCTACTGTGTACCAGATATTGTCTAGATGCTACTCATTTGTGAACAAAAAGAAAAAAAAATTCTTGCCTTCTTCATGGGGAGAGACAGATAACAAAAATATAAATAAAAAAACATTTATAGCATATTTGAAGGCCATAAGTATATGGGGTGGAAATAAAGCAGAAAAAGAGAGAGTACAGGGCAGACGGTTTATTTTTGTTAGTGTTAAGGTAAAGAGTCATGTGGAAGTGTACATCTGAGCAATGGTTTGAAGGATGTTAAGAACAAGCTATAAGGTTATTTGAAGGAATAGCAAATACAAATAGCTTGAGGGAAGAATGTGTCTGATAAGTATACAAGAAACAACAAGAAGGTTAGTGTAGCTGGCCCAGAGTGAAGAAGAAGTGTATTAAGAAATAGGGGAGAGGTAAAATGCTGCGAGGAAGATCATGTATTGTAGGGTCTTGTAAAGACTCTTGCACTGTAAGATCATTGTAAAGTCATGGTGGGGTGTGAACACAGGAGGGATGTAATCTGATTTAGGGTTTTTTTTTTTTTGAGATGGAGTCTTGCTTTATTGCCAGGCTGGAATGCAGCAGCACGATCTCGACTCACTGCATCCTCCATGTCCCAGGTTCAAGCGATTCTCCTGCCTTAGCCTCCCGAGTAGCTGGGACTACAAGCATGTGCCACCACACCGGGCTAATTTTTGTATTTTTAGCAGAGACGCGGTTTCACCATGTTGGCCAAGATGGTCTCCATCTCTTGACCTCATGATCCTACCCACTCGGCCTTCCAAAGTGCTGGGATTACAGGCGTGAGCCACTGTGCCCAGCCTGATTTAGGTTTTAAGAGGATCACTTTGGTTGCTATGTTGATAATAGACTCTTGGGAGTAGGAGCAGAAGCCCTAGAAGGCTACTACAAATATCCAAGAAATGATTGTAACCTGGGCCATAGAACAGTGAAGGTGATGAAAAGTGGTGAGAATTCAAATATACTTTCAAAGTAGAGTCAACACAATTTGTTGACGCCTTATAAGTGGGATATGAGAGGAGTTAAGATACAGAAAAGAAGAGTCAAGAATGTAGACAAGAAAGGAGTCAAGGATGACAGGACATGGTTTAGATCTGTGTCCTCACCAAATCTCATGCTGAAATGTAATCTCCAGTATTAAAAGTGGAGCCTGGTGGGAGGTGATTGGATCATAGGGGTGGACTTCTCATGAATGGCTTAGAACCATACCCTTGGTATTGTTGTTGCAATAGTGAGTTCTTGGGAGATCTAGTCATTTAAAAGTGTATAGCACCTGGCCCTCTCTCGCTTGCTCCTGCTTTTCACTATGTGATGTGCCTTCTCCCCCTTTGCCTGCTGTCATGATTGGGAGCTTCCTGAAACCTCCCCAGAAGCAGATGCCACTATACTTCCTGTACAGCCTGCAGAACCATAAGCCACTTAAACCTCTTTTCTTATAAATTACCCAGTCTCAAGTATTTCTTTAAAACAGTGCAAGAGCAGACTAATAAAATAGCGTTTTCTTGGTATGTGCAGTAAGAATGAGTTGTCACTAAGATGGGGAAGACTGTTACAGGGATAGACTTGGAGTGGTAAAGTCAAACTTTTGACACTGAACATGTTAAATTTAAGATGCTTCGTCAGTGTGCAGGTAGAGAAGTCAAGAAGACAAGAAGACAATTGGCTGTAAGAGTAAAGTGGCTTGCTCCACTTCAAAGAATGTGATAGGAAACTTCTATTTTAGGGATATAGTTGCAAAAAATACAATGATTTACAATTAGGGGATCCATCTTCACAGATTAAATATTGTCTGGCCCTCAACAGACACATAAAAAAATATGGCAAATGAATGTGAAAACTGTATTAAATGTTTACATTTATATGCATATGTATTTTTTATAATTTCCTGTTTTGACCTTTTTGATTAAATGAATAGCTATCAAATCCAACTGGATTGGATAAGAAGTCTGTTGCTGTACATTTTGCAAATAATGGTTAAAAGCCATTTTTAAATATGTTAAGTATTCATACTAGAAATATTCTAAATATAATGGTTAACAGACTTCTACTTTCTCCTTAATTGTCTATTTCTGATACCCAGAATTATTTAATAAAATCAGTTAGGTATTTCCTATGTGTTAGTTTTATAACTGTAATATAGTGATGCCTTCATTCAATGACTAGGACTTTGTCCCTATGCTAAATGGTGCCAGCCAGACTGCTTTCAAGTTTTTCAGTTTCCTCTCTTATTAGAAGGCTTGTCAGCTGTGACCTGCTTGCTGCCTAAATGCTTACTTAAAGCTAATCTTTTCAACTTTATTGGCTTAAATAAATGACTTTTTTCTTTACATGTCTACTTATGCCAAATTTTTGGCAAAAGTCACCTTTACATTGCTAACTCAGAAACTTTAAGTATGAGTAAGGCAGATTTCATACTCAGAATCTGAATGTACAAGTCAGTCATTTTATATGTGCTTAGAAGTAGATTATTGTTTTTACACTAATTATTTTACAACATCAGCTTTAACTTTAAAATTTCACGTTAAACCTAAGAACCCATTGCTATTTACTATTAATTTATTGATAATCTATACGTTGTGGTAATTATATTACAATTATAATTTTTTATATCTGACACAGCAAAAAAGAATTTGCGAGGATCTCAAGACTAAAAGTTATTACTTAACCCTTGAAAATGTCTGTTTTATTTTGTGACCCAAACAGTTTTGTTTTGATTTTTTGTAGGGAAAGTGCTAGGCTATAGATACAAACCTGCTGAACAAAAATAAATAAATCATCTACACAGAATTCAGAATTTTTCTTATAAATTACTACTAACCTTGCTACCAAGCTACCTTAAAAGTGTTACCAATTTTCAGTTGAACCAGTTTATCAACTTCAGGCTTCTAAGTTTCCTACTGAAGAAAAAAAAATTTAAGGAAGACCAATAATTATTACCTTTGTTCTGTATACACTGATATAAATGAATTATTTATCTTGAACATTAAAAGACTTAAATCCTAGCACTTTGGGAGGCTGAGGCAGGAGGACTGCTTGAGACTAGGAGTTCAAGAACAACCTGAGCAACAAAATGAGATCCTGTCCCTACTTAAAAATAATATAAAACATTTTTTAAAAACTAAAGAATAACTAAAAACATATTGAAAAATTAAAATTATTCCATATAGAATATACTTAGGCTTGCATAATATAAACTCTAAAACTAAAAAATAAATTGATGTATAAAAGCTAAAATTTAGATTTTCCACTTACAGTTTGATCTTACAAGATCTTACAAGTCTGAAGAGTTCACTACCTAAGAAATAAAATTTCTCTCCTCCCTCAAGTACATCTTCCAGAATGCCAATAGACATACCTTCCTAAAACCTAAACCTCACTAAACCTAATCATGTCTCTTCCCCTTTTTAACAACTTAATGTAAAAATGGGAGAAAAAAGCTTTAATAATATCCTATCACCTGCAACTTTTTTTTTTTTTTTGAGACGGAGTATGGCTCTGTAGCCCAGGCTGGAGTGCAGTGGCGCAATCTCGGCTCACTGCAAGCTCCACCTCCCGGGTTCACGCCATTCTCCTGCCTCAGCCTCCTGAGTAGCTGGGACTACAGGCGCCTGCCACCACGCCTGGCTAATTTTTTTTGTATTTTTAGTAGAGATGGGGTTTCACCGTGTTAGCCAGGACGGTCTCCATCTCCTGACCTCGTGATCCGCCCACCTCAGCCTCCCAAAGCGCTGGGATTACAGGCACGAGCCACCACGCTCGACGCAACTTTCTTAATTGCCTATCTAAACCTCACCTTCCAATGTTATTTGCTAGCACTTCCTGCAATACCTGAACTTTAAGCCTGCCTGTCCTTTCCCACTTTTTACATCTGGACATACTTCAATTCACTCATCAAAAATTCACTGAAATCTAAACTTTTTAACCAGCTAATATTTACTGACTAAATTACCAAGTTTAAGGCCCAGTGCTGTGTTGTAAATATGTAACTCTTAAGATGCAGTCCTTGCCCTCAAAGTTTAACAATCTGGTGAAATTCTCCCTAAAACCTTACCCCTCTCAGGGCTACCTTTTACATTAAATCTAATTCTCCGGATGTACTTATCATACTATATAGTAATTATTTACATGACTGTTTTCCCCTACTAGTCTGCGAACAGAAAGAAAAGTAACCACGTTATTCATCTCTGTAGTTCCAGCACCTAGCAAAATGAATTACCAATAGTAGTTGCTCAATGCTGCAATGAATTGTATACAATATATCAAGAGCAAAAACAAAAAATAACAAAAAAAGGCCAGGAGCAGTGGGTAATGCCTGTTAATACCAACACTTTGGGAGGCCAGTGTGAGCGTACCGCTTGAGCCCTGGAGTGTTAAGATCAGCCTGGGCAACATAGTTGAGACCCGGTCTCTACTAAAAATTACACAAATTGGCCGAACACGGTGGCATGTGTCTGTAGTCCCAGCTACTCGGGAGGCTAAGGCAGAAGGATAGCTTGAGTCTAGAGTTTGAGGCTGCAGTGAGCTACGATTGTACCACTGCACTTCAGCGATTGTACCACTGCACTTCAGCCTGGGTGACAGACCAAGACCCTGCATCAAAAAAAAAAAAAAAAAACCCCTGCTTGCCAAATGAAACAAAATGTGACAACACCTTACCATTATATAACCATATTTAAATGAGCCTTCATTTTCATCTACAATATAAGATATATTTATGAATTAATGGTGAATCATCTCAACCAACAATAACTCCAAAATAGGCTGGGTATAGTGGTTCATGCCTGTAATCTCAACACTTTGGGAGATCAAGGTGAGAGAATCACTTGAGCCCAGGAGTTGGAGGCTGCAGTGGGCTATGATTGGTCACTGCACTCCAGCCTAGGCAACAGAGTAAGATCTACACACACACACACCCCTCTTAAATATGACCATAGTCCATTATTTCCCCAATAAAGACAATTCTTTACTGGGGAGGGTCCATCCCAAACTTTGCAGATGTTTAGCACTGCTGGCCCTGCAGACTCAATGTCAATAGCTCGGTTTAGTCATTATGACAAACCAAAACATACAACACATTGAAAATGCTCCCTAGGTGAATAAGCAGCCCCTGAGGTGAGAACCATTGCTTAGCTTTGTGGCTCTTTTTGACTTTATTTACAAATAAATCATATATTCCATAGAGAATGCTCGCCATGCATCTCTAAAACAAAAACAAAATGTAAGTAAAATTAAAATTGTAGTATGAAATTATTTCCTCAAATACTGGGAACACATTTTATATAGTCAGCCACTCTACCTTAGGGAGATATACATAAGCAAAAAGACTAAAGGCAGGCTGAAGCAGTAAGGACGAGAAAGAAAATATGGCATCTAAAGTCTACATGCAGATGCCAGAATTAAACAAACTAATTTCTTCAAAAGTAGGATATTCAAGATGATCTTTTAAAATGTGGGAAGAAATCATAAAGAATCTAACTTTTATTAAGAGAACGAGAAAAATTTGCTAACTACTAATATTTAACACATGGATGAAGACTGCTGCCACTCATAGGATTGAATATTAGGCTTTTTATGGCAAGCTACCTGGCAGGAAGAGTGTGAATTCCACATTGTAGAGGAGCTCACAGTGGTATCCTTACTCACACTGCTCAGAATCATAATTTATGGGTCTACAATGAAGTAGATTTATAAATTATACCATTCTAAGCCAACTTTCATAAAAAATGAGGGGGCTTTAAAAAGATTCCTTCCAAAAAAAAAACATAGATTAAACATAATACTAGTTAACAGAATCACAAGAAATAACACAAAATGCCAAAGCTGATGCTTTTGCTGCTAGTTATCAGCCACACTGTGAGGAAAAAATGATGATCTCAGCCAAAAAAATAACTATAAATTTAAGAAGAAACTATTTGAGTTACAGTATTTATTATTGTTAACAATCGCCTTAGTTTCTAATTCACTTTGAGAAACTGGCTAATAAGAATATAAAGCATTCACAATTAGCAAAATATCTTAAGACACTGTTTATATAATCTTTATCTCATCCTATTTCATTTATATTTATTAGTGTATATCTGACATAAAATACTAGGATATTAGTAAATGTATATAATCCATAAACAAATATACATATACTGGTGATCCATGCTCCAAAACATTTTTACTGATTGGAAACACAAAATAGTTCTAAGACCATCAACATATAAGACAGGAGTCTAAAATAATGTAGTCTAAGAAGAATTTCCCAAACCTTTAAGTCAACCAGATTTAAGGATACCCAGCAAGGCCGGGCCCGATGGTTCACGCCTGTGATCCCAGCACTTTGGCAGGCCGAGGCAGGCAGATCATTTGAGATCAGGAGTTTGAGACCAGCCTGGCCAATGTGGTGAAACCCCATCTCTACTGAAAATACAAAAATTAGCCAGCCATGCTGGCAGGCGCCTGTAATCCCAGCAACTTGGGAGGCTAAGGCAGGAGAATCGCTTGAACCTGGGAGGCAGAGGCTGCAGTGAGCCAAGATCATGCCACTGTATTCCAGCCTGGGAAACAAGAGCAAGACTCCATCTCAAAAAAAAAAAAAAAAAAAAAAAAAAAAAAAAAAAAAAAAAAAACAACCCAGCAAGAACTGGCTATTGTTAATCTTCCACTCAAAAAAAAAAAAAAAAAAGTAAAAATGCCTCAAAAATAGGCCAGGTACAGTGGCTCACGCCTGTAATCCTAGCACTTTGGGAGGCCAAGGTGGGTGGATCACCTGAGGTCAAGAGTTCAAGGCCAGCCTGGCCAGCATGGTGAAACCCTGTCTCTACTAAAAATACAAAAAATTAGCCAGGCGTGATAGTGGGCGCCTATAATCTCAGCTACTAGAGAGGCTGAGGTAGGAGAATTGCTTGAACCCGGGGGGGTGGAGGTTGCAGTGAGCCAAGATCGTGCCACTTCACTCCAGCCTAGGAGAAAGAACAAAACTCCGACTCAAAATAAATAAATAAATAAATAGATAGATAGATAGCTTGGATATAAGAATTAAAAAATTTTAAGGCAACAATCAGTGAAAAGACGCTTTAACTCAGGGTCCTAAAGCAAAATAATTCCAAAAAGGTGTGCTAGTCCCTAATTGCAAAGATGGGGGTGGGCACGGTAGAATGGAAAGAAGCAAATTTTTAGCAATCTCTAGTAGTTCTTCTATTTACAGTCTGGACTTTATCAGATTTATTTACATTTCAAGAGGAAAATAAGAAGTGTAAAACAGCACTTTTAAAAGGCTTCTAACTAGCCTTTAGGAATCATTTTTACATTTAAAATTTTTATTTTTTAAACATTTCTTGAGTTGATAAACATATAACATTAAATATGCTTACATTTAATAGTATTTTAAAGCATTCTTATCAGAGTATAAGATCTACATCTCTGTTTCTAGGTTCACTTAAGTAGTATCTGTGAAAACATTTTGTCCACAGTGGGCTGACATGAAATAATATCAAATCTCATTGCCTAAAACTTTTGTAGATGTTACTACCTATGAATAAAAATCACATTATAAACATTTAAAAGTATAACCATTACACAGAAATGAACAGTTCTTTTCCAACTATTAAGAAAGCTCTTTCCTAAAAGCTTTCTAGGCAAATGAACAACTCTGAAGCAAATGAAAATTAAGTTCCAGACTCTTTTTTTCTGATCAACAGGCTTCCATTACACACTTACTTCCATTAAAACAGGAGTTGTAATGGGACATGGTAACTACAGGTGAAGAGTTATCTCATTCATTTCAGTTGCTGGGTTTCTTGCCAGTTCCCCAGTCTACTTCTGTTTCTATGGCAACAAAGGTAGGATAAGGAAAACAGAAGGAACACTTTAAGATAACAGCTAAGTGGGGAAAGTCAAAGTATTGAATGGCATATACAGTAATTTAATTTTAAGAAAATAATCTAAAATATAAAAAGAAGGAAATTGCAGTTCATACAACCTTAAAAATACTCAAAGGGAGGACCTTGCCATTCCAATATTTTTTCCTTGATTGTTTTCATGAAAACATATTTAACTTTTACTGATAACTTTTCTAGAAATTTGATTCCACTCCTACTATGGGTGGCCCAAAACTCAAAAAAACAGAAACCAGAAATCACCAAATGTCCAGATTCATTTTCCAGCAAAAATCACAGTACTTTAAGTAATGCTTTTTTAAAAATATTCTATCACATTTTGTGATCCTAGTTAGGAATTTACTTTAAACTCTTTCTTTAAAATAATTGATTCTAACATGGCCCTTTAAGCTAAGCAAAGCAGCTACATTCAAGCTTTAGACGAGGCTGGGCAGCAAGGCAAGACGCTATCTCTACAAAAATTTTTAAAAGCAGCCAGGCATGATGGTGGGTGCCTGTATTCCCAGCTACTCAAGAGGTTGAGGCGTGAGGATCTGTTGAGCCTGGGAGGTTGAGGCTGCAGTGAGTCATGGGTGCACCACCAAACTCCAGCCTGGGCAACAGAGTGAGACCTGTCTCAAACAAACAAAAAAACAAAGAAAAAGAAAAAAAAAAGAAATAAACCCATCTGTTAATATGAATCTTTCATATAGATATACTGCATATCAATAAATTACATATAACGTGTCTAGAATAGAAGTTTCTTCCGTAGATTTACTAAGTAATTCTGGGATCATGTTAAGTCTGTAAATATTCAGTATCATGAATTTTATTTATTTATTTATTTATTTTTAGAGACAGGGTCTTGCTATATTGCCCAGGCTGGTCTTGAACTCCTAGGCTCAAGCCATTCTCCTGCCTCAGCTTCCCAGTGCTGGGATTACAGGCGTGAGCCACTGCACGTGGCCCAATATCATGACTTTAACAGATCTTTTAAACTGCTTGTTCTTTTTCAAGTTGCTCTATGTTCAAATTATCTTCTTTCCTCTTTCACAACATTCTCATTCTAAAAAGAGACTCTGTCTCTCTCTCAACTCTCACCCACTCACTTTGGTGGAAGCAAGCTGCCATGTCAGACACAGCACCATGGAAATGACCATGTGATCAAGAACTAAGTCCTCCCACCAACAGAACAGGGACAAGGAAAAAAGGCGTGCCAAGAACTATATGAGCTTGGAAGCAGATCTTCTAGCCCCAGTTGAGCCTTGCAATGACTGCTGCCCCAACTGACAGCGTGACAGCCACCTCTTGAGAGATCTTAAGCCAAAACCACCTAACTAAGCCACTACGAGATTCCTGAACTACAGAAACTCCAATAACAAATATGTTTTACCCTGTTAAGTTTTGAAATATTTACTAAACAGAATTAGATAAATTGATAAAGTATCTTATTCATCTCTTTATTCCCTCTCACCCCAACACTGAGTTCCTTGCCTGGAGAAGATACTTAGCAAATAAATGATGAAGCAAAGCCTTAAGATTTGTGATGCAGTTTGGCCAAAACTCATGCCAAATGGGCTTACTCTACTGCTAAGGGAAACAAAAATTTAAGCCCCCAACTCCATATGAAAACTAAAGTAATAAAAAGAAAATACATGTTCACTTAATAAAACATATGATATGCTAATCTGTACCATCAGAGAACAAAGAGTATGTCCAAAATCTATATTTCCACCTTTAAATCTATCATTATTTTCCTCAGTGATCATGCAAACTTTGACCAAATCTCTGTATTTTATCTTTGTAGAATCTGGAATGTACTTCTATGTATTCCATCAGTTGAAATCTTACCCCTCTTAGGATAATGTTCCTGCGAGGAAAAATTATGGAAGACTTTAACAAAGGGAAAAAAAAGATTATGTCCTATCTAGGGCATCATACCAAGTTATCTGTCCCTTTCACTATCCTTTTTGTTTTGGGGGTTGTTTTTTGTGGTAAAATACACATACCAGTAGTCCCCACTTATCCACATTTTCACTGTGAGGCTTCAGTTACGAGCAGTTGGCCAACGTCCAAAAATATTAAAATGAAAATTTTAGGAATCAACAATTCACAAGTTTTAAATTGTGTGCCATTTTGAGTGGCATGATGAAATTTCATGCCTTCCCCCTCAAACCTGCCTGGGACACAAATCATCCCTTTGTCCAGCATATCTACTCTATAAACGCTACCTGCCTGTTAGTCACCTAATAGTTGTCTAGTTATTAGATTGACAAAACATAGTCATCCACTGGGGGTTAGGCAGCATCCACTGAGTGTCTTGGAACGTATCTCCTCGGGGACAAGGCAGGGACTACTGTAATATAAAATTTGCCATTTTTGCCAGTTTTTTAAAAAGCCTACATTCTCCTATCCAAGTACTAACCAGGCCTGTCCCTGCTTTGTTTTAGAAATTAGAGATCGAGCACATACTTTAACCATTTTTAAGTGTACAATTAGCTGGCATTAAGTTCATTCACAATACTGTGCAACCTCCACCACTATCCATTTCCAGGCCTTTCAATTCTCTTTGAACTAAATTCTCAGACAATAAAAACACTGAACTTCTAATATTCTGCATGTGCATTAAAAAA
Organism: Homo sapiens; assembly: GCF_000001405.40. NCBI lineage: Eukaryota > Metazoa > Chordata > Mammalia > Primates > Hominidae > Homo > Homo sapiens. Next base: position 159,594,113 of record NC_000002.12, read on the forward strand.
CAAAAAGTCGGCCGGGCGCGGTGGCTCACTCCTGTAATCCCAGCACTTTGGGAGGCCGAGGCGGGCGGCCTACCTTGTGGTCAGGGGATCGAGACCATACTGGCTAACACGGTGAAACCCCGTCTCTACTAAAAATACAAAAAAATCAGCCAGGCGTGGTAGCGGGAGCCTGTAGTCCCAGCTACTCCGGAGGCTAAGGCAGGAGAATGGCATGAACCCGGGAGGCGGAGCTTGCAGTGAGCTGAGATCGCGCCACCGCGCTCCAGCCTGGGCAACAGAGCGAGACTCCGTCTCAAAAAAAAAAAGTAATTAGAAAAACTAAGTATTTTAGTTTTTAATCTTAAGAACCCAAGTTTACAAAAGAAAGGTAAATCTTTGGCAAATGGGACTAATTTAATACATTCTAATTTTAAAAATTTATGGCTTTAACCAATCGGACAAGCTAGCATTAATCCTTAAAGTTTACAACATGAAACAGATAAATTCTCATGTTCAAGTAAATTGAGTCATTATTTTGACAGTTTTTTTTTTTTTCTTGACATGTAATCTTGTTTTGTTGCCCAGGATGGAGTGCAGTGGCGTGATTATGGCTTGCTGCAGCCTCCGCCTCACAGGCTCCAGGGATCCTCCCAGCTCAGTCTCCCAAGCGGCTGGGACTACAGGCGCGTGCCAACATACCCAGTGAATTTTTTGTAGTTTTTGTAGAGACAGGGCTTCACCATGTTGCCCAGGCTGGTCTCAAACTCCTAAGCTCAAGCTGTTTGCCTGCCTTAGCCTCCCAAAGTGCTGGGATTACAGGCCCAAGCCACCGGGCATGGCCCAACAAATTTTTATTTCAACAGTAAGTATATTTTGCAGCATGGCAGCTTGAAGATAATTTTCAAATCTTTAGGTAGCCTAAAACCTTGGACTGATATTAAATAATTATTCAATGCGTAATAACTTCTAAGCAAAATACTGAAACATTGATTACTATGCATCCTTTTAAACATATACTTTTTTTTTTTTAAACGGAGTTTTGCTCTTGTTGCCCAGGCTGGAGTGCAATGGCATGACCTCGGCTCACCGCAACCTCCGCCTCCTGGGTTCAAGCGATTCTCCTGCCTCATCCTCCTGAGTAGCTGGGATCACAGGCATGCACCACCACACCTGGCTAATTTTGTATTTTTAGTAGAGATGGGGTTTCTCCATGTTGGTCAGGCTGGTCTCAAACTCCTGATCTCAGGTGATCTGCCCACCTCGGCCTCCCAAAGTGCTGGGATTACAGGCTAAACATACACTTTTGTTTCTTGTTTTTATATACTAATGACAAGCTGTTTTAGGTCATGTTAGTGGAAATGTCAATTTTTGCCACTTTAAGAGGCGAAAAAGAGGTATGCGTGCTGTAAAAAGTGGTGTTGTGTGTGCTCATGAATTCTACTAGTCTGCTAAAATGCTGGTATATGACACAGTTCTCAATTATTCACCTCCAACTTTTCTCTGTAAAACAGAAATTAGTCACTTCGACTAAAAGTTACAATTAATATGATTCATTGAAATCTGTTATGTAAGTTTAGCCTAAAGCTGCCTCTTTACATATTTTAAATTCAACCTAGAGGCTTCTCTGTACATTCTGAACTATATCTAACAAGCGGAGGTACTATCAGTCCATAGCCCACTCTTGTGCCAATCACCCAGTTTTGGCATATCAAATGTGGCCAACTGTTCCAACTGTGTTTAACTAAGGCAAATACCAAGCTGTAACCAATCCAGCTATTTCTGTACCTCACTTATGTTTTCTGTATGTCACTTCCTTTTTCTGTCCATAAATCTTCTTCCACCACTTGGCTACGCTGGAGTCTCTGAGCTTACTCTGGCTTGGGAGGCTGCTTGATTCGTGAATTTTCTTTGCTCAATTAAACACTTTAAATAAATTTGGCTGAAGTCTTTCTTTTAACAGACTATACCAGGAGCAACAATGACATGGAATCACAGCTCGGTATGTGCATTTATTTTAAAGGAAAAGGAGTAGTATTGTCCTAAAGAACGGATTCTTGTGCATTTTGGTCTCCTGGCCTCTTTACACTCTTAGGACTTGTTGAAGACTCCAAAAGAGTTTTCATTGTACATAGGTTGTAAGTCTTGATGTTTACCATATTGGAAATTAAGACTCAGAACTATTTTAAGCGCTTATTTACTGTTTCATTTGAAGACAACAATGATTAATATATTGCATTTTAGCAAATTTTAGTATTTTTATAAAAATATGCGTGACACCACAGATCCTGTTAGAAGCACGGCCCTAAAGTTTGTTCAAGAATATAAAAGACAATGAAGGACCTAACCTAGAAAGTAAATTTGTCTTGATTTATAGCAGCTAACATAGAAAAGAAGCTACCAAACATTTTATTTTTGTTTTTTCTCCATTTATTTATTTTTTTCTATCTTTTAATTTTTTATTTCCATAGGGCATTGGGGAACAGGTGAGGTTTGGTTACAAGAGTGGTGATCTGTGAGATTTTGGTGCACCCAACACCTGAGCAGTATACACTGCATACAATTTGTAATCTTTTATCCCTCAGCCCCACTTCCTACCCTTTCCCCCTGAATCCCCAAAGTCCACTGTGTCATTCTTATGCCTTTGCATCCTCGTATCATAACTTAGCTCCCACTTATGAGTGAGAACATACGATGTTTGGTTTCCCATTCCTCGGTTACTTCACTTAGAATAATAGTCTCCAATCTTATCCAAGTTGCTGCAAATGCCATTAATTCATATCTTTTTCATATAATGACTTCTTTTCCTCTGGGCAGATACTCAGAAGTGGGACTGCTGGATCAAATGGTTGTTCTACTTTTAGATCTTTAAGGAATCTCCACACTGTTTTCCATAGTGGTTGTACTAGTTTACATTCCTACCAACAGTGTAGAAGTGTTCACTGTTCACCGCATCCATGCCAACATCTATTATTTTTTGGCTTTTTGATTATGGCCATTCTTGCATAAGTAAGGTGGTATTGCATTGTGGTTTTGATTTGCATTTCCCTGATCAATAGTGATGTTGAGCATTTTTTCATGTTTGTTGGCCACTTGTATATCTTCTTTTGAGAATTGTCTACTCATGTCCTTAGCCCACTTTTTGATGGGATTGTTTTTTTCTTGCAAATTTGAGTATTTAAAATGTTCGAAACATTTTAAAGTTTAGAAAATTTCACTCAACATTGATGGACTTGCTTCCTTAGAATACTAGTTAATTCCTTCATCTTCAATGTGAAAGGCTATTCTATACCTTCTGTGTAAAGTGACTAAATAGCAGAAATTCTGTATCCTAACAGAATAACTTTCTGTGCTTATGTTGAGTTCATTATGTCCTTGATCATCTAAAGAAACAAAAATGAATAGCTTCCTCCTCAGGTATGAAACAGGTAAGGTCTTACTTTTTAAAATTTTTTTTTGGTGGAGTCTTGCTCCGTTGCCCAGGCTGGAGTGCAGTGACGCGATGTCAGCTCACTGCGACCTTCGCCTTCTAGGTTCAAGCGATTCTCCTGCCTCAGCATCCCAAGTAGCTGGGATTTCAGGCATGTGCCACCACACCCTCAGGTGATCTGCCCGCCTTGGCCTCCCAAAGTGATGGGATTACAGGAGTGAGCCACCTCCTCCAGCCAGGTTTTCCCTTCTATGTGTATGTTTATTGTTACTTTGATTAAATAAGTAACCAAAGCTTGTTTCTCAGGCAGCCACGACTCTATCTCAATCAAACCCCAAATATCCTAACAACTCTCTATTTGCATTCCCCCAATCAGATCCTAAATACAGAAAAATAAAACTTTCACAATACACTAAATACACTAAACTATCTTTCAGATTTCCCAGAGTGCCTCAATAAGACCACATAGACGTATTCTTTTTTTTTTTTTTTCTGAGACGGAGTCTCGCTCTGTCACCTAGGCTGGATGCAGTGGCACGATCTCTGCTCACTGCAATCTCTGCCTCCCGGGCTCAAGCGATTCTCCTGCCTCAGCCTCCCGAGTAGCTAGTACTATAGGCGCCTGCCACCACGCCCAGCTCATTTTTGTATTTTTAGTAGAGACAGGGTTTCACCATATTGGCCAGGCTGGTCTTGAACTCCTGATCTTGTGATCCACCCACCTCAGCCTCCCAAAGTGCTAGGACTACAGGCGTGAGCCACTACGCCTGGCTGACTTATTCTTTCACCTCATAAAAAAAGAGCTGCTGGAAAGAATTGGGTTTACTTGATATGTTACTCTCATAAGAATTGCATGGGAACAGTGTCAAATCAAAAGAGATATTTAGCTTTTCCTAGGTTAAGATTATATAGATAACACATTATTAGTACAAATATTTCAGAAAACTTATGTTTTATGAGAAATCCCTGGGAATGTGTCAATGTCTTTACTGTCCATTATAATTTCACTCTTGGGGGAAATACTGATCAAAAACTCAAGAAATAATTACAGACGGGTGTGGTGGCTCACACCTGTAATCCCAACACTTTGGGAAGCCCAGGTGGGTAGATTACAAGGTCAGGAGTTTGAGACCAGCCCGGCCAAACAGACCAGCCTGGCCAACATGGTGAAGCCCTGTCTCTACTAAAAATACAAAAATTAGCCAGGCACCTGTAATCCCAGCTACTTGGGAGGCTGAAGGAGTTGCTTGAACCCGGGAGGCAGAGGTTGCAGTGTGCCAAGATTGAGCCACTGCATTCCAGCCAGGGAGACAAGAGTGAGACTCTGTCACAAAAATAAGTAAATAAATAAATAAAATATAGCTGTTAACTGGGTGTGGTGGCAAGAGTGAAACTCTGTCTCATAAATACATACATACATACATACATAAAATATAGCTGTTAACTGGGTGTGGTGGCTCATGCCTGTAATTCTAGCACTTTGGGAGGCCAGGGAGGGAGGATCACTTGAGGACCAGCCTGGCCAACATGGCAAAACCCCATCTCTACTAAAAATACAAAAATTACCTGGGCTTGGGGGCACACGCCTGTAATCCCAGCTACTCAACTTATTGAGCAACTGACGTTTTACCTAGAGTGTCATATTTGAGAACGATGCTTACTTAAACAGGTACAAGTTACTTTTAAGGAACTAATGTTGACTTTACGAGCCCTCCCTGGAAAACTAGCCTGGTCCCTGTCTTACAGGGACTCAGCCTTTTAGGTGATAAGGAAGATCACTTTCTGGCAGGCCACACAAACTTAAGAAATCTGAGGGACTGCCGAGCGCGGTGGCTCAAGCCTGTAATCCCAGCACTTTGGAAGGCTGAGGCAGGCGGATTACCTGAGGCTGGGAGTTTGAGACCAGCCTGACCAACATGGAGAAACCCCGTCTCTACTAAAAAGACAAATTTAGCCAGGTGTGGTGGTGCATGCCTGTGATCCCAGCTACTCAGGAGGCTGAGACAGGAGAATCGCTTGAACCTGGGAGGTGGAGGTTGCTGTGGGCCGACATTGTGCCACTGCACTCCAGCCTGGGCAACAAGAGGGAAACTCTGTCTCAAAAAAAAAAAAGAAAAAAGAAAAAAAGAAATCTGGGGCCTGGCATGGTGGCTCACGCCTGTAATCCCAGCAGTTTGTGAGGCTGAGGCAGGCGGATCACAAGGTTAGGAGATCGAGGCCATCCTGGCTAACACGGTGAAACCCCATCTCTACTAAAAATACAAAAAATTAGCCGGGCGTGGTAGCGGAAGCCTGTAGTCCCAGCTACTCGGGAGGCTGAGGCAGGAGAATGGCGTGAACCCGTGAGGTGGAGTTTGCAGTGAGCTCAGATCGCGCCACTGCACTCCAGCCTGGGCGACAGAGCGAGACTCCTTCTCAAAAAAAAAAAAAAAAAAGAAAAGAAAAAGAAAGAAAGAAAGAAATCTGAGGGATAATTGGGGGTACTATAGTAGGTAAAATCTCGTAGAATGTCCCAGGCTTGCTTTCTAGCCTGAGGAGAGGAAATATCAGTAATTTTTAAATGTCCTAGCTCAGATTCCTTAGAAAAAGTTCAAAAGTTAATTTTGTAGCTTTAGTAGTTGTACATAGTGCATAGGCTCAAGGATACGCACAAGTTAACTCAAGGAAGCCTGTGTAGTTAATATTTTTGCACACCTATGTAAATAAGCCATACCTCATGAGACCGGCCTTTTGGGGGTGATCAGGAAAAATCTTTAAGATAATTATTGTATGATCACATTGCTACAAAATCTTACCAGAACCATTCCTGCCAAACAATTCAGAAACAAATATAATTCCCTAACAAATTTAGGAATATATGATTATCCATAAAAATCAAGAATATACAAATTAAAATAATAATATTCCCACTGTTAAAAAAAAACGAAAAAATATTCTCAACTTCCAATTGCAAGAGTATACAAAATGATACTAATTCTTCTGAGGGGGATTTTTGTGGATATGTGAAAAGAGCCTTTAAAATCTGAATAACATACATTCACATGATCTTGTCCCGAAATCCACCAAACAGGACAAAAAGGACCAAAATTAGTGTGGGAACCAGGGAAAATACCAGTACTCTTTTAATAAGACTGATTCTATATGCATATGCCCTAAGAGGGCAAGGTTCACAATTTAGTAAGTAAGAGAATATTCAGAAATGTCCTAACCCATAACTTTCATAGTTGCCGTTTAGAATCATGGGGGGCCTATAAAAAGAAGTGGGGGGAATCACAGATCTTGGGACACATGTTTGCAGAGCAGAAAATAATCGAGCTACTTTTTTGGCCTCATCGTTTTTATTTTTCTCAACCTTTCATTAGAGTTGAGGAGACAGCTTTGAAGGTGAGGATCAAATCTGACTAAGCAGACAAAAGCTCTGACTCATCACACAAAACTCATAATCCACAGGATTACAGAGAGTCATTCTCTCCCTCCTCCCACTCACATCTTCAGGTGTGCCAAGTTCTCCCTAAAGCAGGGAAACTGCTAAAATCGAAGTTCCACCCTCACATATAGAACAACAGCAAAGATCTCAAGAGACTCAGAGAAAAAGTTCTAGGAAAAAATATATGTAAACTATACTTCCTGTTGCCTAGCTCTTCTTGCCTCTTATTCCAAATATTTAAAATGATCAACATCTATACCTGTAGCACAAATCATAAAACAAGGAACCAAAAAAACCCCTTCAACAACACTGAGGTAAACAAGCATTACCAGTTTCCCAAGCATTTAATAAAATTCAACTTCCTTTCCCGATTTTTAAAAAGTCTAAAGAATCACTTGCACCTGGGAGGTCAAGGCTGCAGTGAGCCTAGATTGTGCCACTGCACTCCAGAATGGGTGACAGAGTGATACCCTGTCTCAAAAGAAAAAAAAAAAAGGCTGGGTGCGGTGGCTCACGCCTGTAATCCCAGCACTTCGGGAGGCCGAGGCAGGTGGATCACAAGTTCAGGAGTTCAAGACCAGCCTGGCCAACATGCAGAAACCCCGCCTCTACTAAAAATACAAAAATTAGGCAGGTGTGATGGCAGGTGCCTGTAATTCCAGCTACTCGGGAGGCTGAGGCAGGAGAATCACTTGAACCTGGGAGGCAGAGGTTGCAGTGAGCCGAGATTGTGCCATTGTACTCCAGCCTGGGCGACAGGAGCGAAACTCTGTCTCAAAATAAAAAAAAAGATAGAAATAGATGCATGCTTGCTTAACATGATCTTTAAAAATACATATAACAAACCAAAAGGTAATATCATAAAAAAAGTTTAAGTACTAGAATCATTTCCAAAGTCAGGAAAAGAGTGCCCAATGTTACCAATACATTGCAAATAGTAGTCAGCTTAATTTCATTCTTTATACAATAAAGTTACAAATACTAAAGGTGGCAAAATTATCTTTGTTTGTATATGATTATATATCTAGAAAACCCTAGAAAATCAACTGAAAAATTATTAAAAACAATAAGAGTAATTCAATCAACAGTCGGTAGGATGTTTTGGGGAAAACTGGAGTCTTCTGGAAGAAAAATAAGTTGGGAATCTAAACTTCACTTCTTTCACTTAGACTCCACCATGCATAAAGATTTCAGTTTAAAGCAAGATAAACCTAGGAGCCATAAATGAAAAAAATGATACACTGGTCTTCTATACCCATATTTCTCGCTATATTGGAAACAACAGTCTAGGGGTAAAAAAATTCCACCATACATATCAGAAATGGGAGTAAGAAACAGGAAGAGGAAAGGAGGAAAAGGAGAACTAAAATAGATAACCTAGCATTGGTATGCTAGAGCTTGCTCATAGTGGCTCACAAGAGTCAACTGATAATTCTTGGGAATTCTTGAAATCTAGTTGTTAAAAACAATCATTATTAATTAAATTATATAAACTTACAGTCAATAAATTATAATAGGGTAATAAACACTCAAAACATTACTTCCTAATTATTTTGCATTTTATTATTTATGCTGTAGGAAGTTATTTACATCTATAGTATGGTTATGATGAAAATACTATACAATGATTGTACAACTACATTTCTCAACTTTGTTCAATAGCATTAAGTTGTAGGATTGAAACAGGCCATGGTGGCAGTTTTTACACAAGCAAAAGACACTACAAATCAAGGCTCTCTTTGCCACATATACAAACCAGTTAATATTTTCCAGAATACCATAAAATATTCATATTCTTTGACCCAGCAATTCAAGCTCTAAAAATGAATCCTACAGAAATAACTTAGAATAAAAAAAGCTGAGGGATGTTTGATGATATTTCATCCCATCATATAATAACATAAAGTGAGGCTAGGCATTGTGGCTCACACCTATAATCCCAACACTTTGGAAGGCTGAGGAGGGTGGACTGCTTCAGGCCGGGAGTTCAAGACCAGCCAGGTCAATATAGTGAAACCCAATGTCTAATAAAAATACAAAAATTAGCCGGGCATGGTGGCATGTGCCACTAGTCCCAGCTACTTGGGAGGCTGAGGCAGGGGAATTGCTCGAAACCAGCAGGCGGAGGTTGCAATGAGCCGAGATCGCACCACTGCACTCCAGCCTAGGCAACAGAGCGAGACTCCGTCTCAAAAAAACAAAAACAAAAACAAAAAACTTAAATGCCCTAAGATTGGATAAATTATGCAGTCTTTTAAAATACTTAATGACAAGAGAAAATGCTCATGATATAATCCAAATAATTAAGAGCTAATAAACAACGGAGAATGCAAAAACTACATAACAGCTACTTCGTAAAAATACATACATTTTAAAAATGGAAATTAAAACTTGTTTTATTTAAAATGCCGTAAGGAGGCATTTCTGTTAGAAGAAATGCTAATATTTGGAACTAGGACTCTCTGAAATTTCTTTCCTCAAGCTCCAATTTCACCACTATGCATTCCCACATTTTTTCTTTCCCTCTAGTTACAATGAAAGAGTATCCCTCGTTCTAGTTCGTGATTATCAGTCTAACATGGATCTGGAACCCATTTCTTCCCATTTCTTACAGAATCTCTGAATTATATCCTCTGCCCCTGTATCTTCATTCACCCTGTTAAAAAAAAATCATCTTCCTATATTTCCTTCCCAGAAACTACCAAATTTCTTTTCCTCCTCCTTACAAAAAAAAAAACAAAACCCCAAAACTATTTAAACATGTTTCCATTTCTATAGCTTTAATCCAAACCACTCCACTGAAACTATTAATGCCAAGGTCACTAATGTCCTTGTCACTTAATCCAGTGGATTATTTTAGTTCTTTCTTAGGTAATACCACAGACACATTTCACTCTATGGCCACTCCTGTCATTTTCATCTTTTGCAGGAATAGGTTCATGACACTAACCTGCTGTTTCATTAATGAACACCTTCATTTCAGTAAATATTTCATTTCAACATAAAACAAACTAATAATGCATATAGTAGCCTGTGAATAATAGAATTTTGAACATTTGAAATTTTTATCAATGCTTTTCTGTATTTTTAAAAACTTTTATTAATATTTTATAGTGAAGAAATACATTTTTAATTTTAAAGAAAAGTCAAAGGACAATGAATATGATTAACTGTAAGAAGGAATAAGTAACTGGCAAGTTGTACAGCTGCATATACCCTTTTAACATAAACAGGCAAATGACACAAATATGATATGGGAATTTATTTTTTTTAATTCCAAGTTATATTCTCAAATAGTTTTTTTCCCTTTCTTATACATGTATTTTATATTTTATTTTATTTTTAGAGGTAGGAGTCTTACTATGTTGCTCTGGCTGGTCTCACACTCCTGGCCTCCAGCGATGTTCCCACCTCAGCCTCTCGAGTAGCTGGGATTACAGGTGTGAATCATCATGCCCAGCTATTTTTAATTGACACATAATAATTGTACATATTTGTAGAGTACAATATTTTGATACTCAAATAGTTTTAATTTAGGCATCTAAAATGTAATAGAATTACTTACCAGTATGATAAGCCTGCCTTATCAAAGAAGCATAGTTTGAATACTCTCAATATATTTAATAAAATTAGTATTTTTTCAAAAGATTCCTGTCACAAGAGGTTGAAACAAAATTACAACCAAAACATGACAATGCTTTAAAAAATTGACCTTTAGTTATCTAGCTCAACATTCCTTATAATAGAAATTTTAGAGAATACAATATCACATGAAAATATGGTATAGATAAATGTTGATGGGAAGTTGGGCCTTAACATAGGCATAAAAGGACAGTTTTACTAGCAGAAAGGAATGCAGAATCATTAAATGTCAAAAAATTAAAAATATGAGAAATAACTATAAAAAGTTTGGTGAGGAGGGCATTTTTCAGCTTAAAAGTAGGAAAATTATTGTTAAATCTAAAGAACTGAAAAGTTAATATATTTTGTGTGTGTGTGTGTGTGTGCGCGTGTGTGCGCGCGCTAGGAGAGAGAGAGAGCCAGGATCACACTCTGTTACCCAGGCTGGAGTGTGTGCATGCACAGGAGAGAGAAAGAGAGAGAGACAGAGACAGGATCTCACTCTGTTACACAGGCTGGAGTGCAATAATAGCTCATTGCAGCCTTGAGCTCCTGGGTTCGAGCAATCCTTCCACTTCAGCCTCCCAAGTAGCCAGGCCTACGGGTGCATGCCACCACACCCAGCTGATTTTTTTTTTTAAATTTTGTGTAGAGACCAAGATCTTGCTATGTTGACCAGGCTGATCTTGAACTCCTAGCCTCAAGTGATCCTCCCATTTTGGGCCTCCCAAAGTGCTGGGATTACAGGTGTGAGGCACTGCACCTGGCTTGATAAGTGATTTTTATTTATTTCCATGGGTAGCTGTAGGATTATTTTTAGCTCACTTTTAAAGTGCTGAGATTATAAATATAGAAATAAACATGTATTTTTACCCATGTACATGTAATTAATTTAGTTGGTACCTGCAGTATATTAAATGCTACTTGGAACAAATAAAATATTTGCAAAAATAATCTATTTCACAAAAGGTGGCTCATATTAAAATGCAAAAGGTCAAATTCAAGGTACTACGTCACAGAACACTTCATTATAAAAAAAAAACAGCTGGGCCCAGTGGTGCATGCCTGTAGTCCCAGCTACTCAGGAGGCTAAGATGGGAGGATCTCTTGTGCCCAGTTCAGTCCAGTCTGGGCAACAGAGCAAGACCCTGTCTCTAAAAAATTAATAATAATAAAAATTTAAAAACAGTAAACTTCTGGTCACATTCAATTTAGCTTTTCTTCCCAGGCATGCCTTATTCCTACCTTCCCATTTCACACACAGTACAAAAACATTTTCACGTTCTTTAAAACAATTCTTCTCTTTTGTGAGTTTTGGCAAGTGTACCTACAAACAGGCTTCCTGCAGCGGGAAGGGCAAAGAGAGCTTTTATCTAACTGTCTAAAGTTATTACATGTTCTCTTCCTGGACCAAGTGTTTACTATTCACACTGCCCTTCCCTAACCCTTCAACTTTTACTTCAAATCCCCAAGGCATGATTACAGATAAGAGTTATTTACCCAACAAGCTGCAGAAAATATTAATGACAAGGCACAGAAATTTAATGCTAAAATACTTACACTACTATGGACAAAATCTTGATATGTTCCAAAAGGACTTGATTACATAACAATGCTCCACTCTGACTGCATTTAGAAACCTTATTTAAAATTGTCTCCTTTTTTGTTGTTTCTGCCCAAACCCTAAGAACACTTAACTTTGGCTCCAAAGTAACCCCTCTTTTAAAATAAAGAGATTTGACCCACAACTCTGTCAGTTAATGTTGCCTTGCAGAGCCTGTTTTTCTCAGCATGCTGCACTAACAACCCAGAAACGAAGAAAAGGTCATTTTGTGACTTATACACGGCTCCTGATTTTTTCAAATGTTGAAGATAGGTTTTGGTGCTTCCTATGTCATCACAATGGTTTATGTTAACAGTAATACATTACCCAAAGATCAGAAGCATGTTTCAACAACCATGTCATCATAGAAACCAGAAAAGATAGTAAGCATGGCTTTGAACTAAACTTAGACACTAGATAACTTTTTATTTCCACTGTTTTCCATCTTTAATTTACCTCAAAACTTATCCTTGTACAAGATAAAAAATGGTTACATAAAAGTTTTAAGGTTTTCTTATGACAAATCTCTTGCAAGTAAATGTTCATCACAATACTGCAAATAAAACATTTAATATGCAATAATAATAAATTTCATTATTATTATGATGTAGTAATAATGAAGTTAGGAAAAGACTAACTACTAAAATTTATTGTCCTTGGCCAAGACATTATGTAAAAGATCTTTCATACATTTGTGTTTTGAAAATTTTTTAAATCTTTCCTTTTTCATACTCTTTTTTAGTGGGATTTCTATTTTTTTTTTTTTTTGAGACGGAGTCTCACTCTGTCACCCAAGCTGGAGTGCAGTGGTACTATCTCAGCTCACTGCAACCTCCGCCTCAAAAAAAATAATTTTTATATTTTTAGTAGAGACAGGGTTTCACCATGTTGACCAGGCTGGTCTCAAACTCCTGGCCTCAAGTGATCTGCCTGTCTCGGCCTCCCAAAGTGCTGGGATTACAGGCATGAGCCACCACGCCTGGCCCTCCTTTTTGTCCTTATGGATATGCCCGTTACTGGCAGTCCAGCAGTCTGCTTGTCTTCTGCATTCATCCGAAGGAACTAAAAGAAGTAAAAGTGTTTTTTGAGCCAGAGCCATCATCATGGAGAAAAGGGATACACATATATCACCCTCTGCTCTCTACTCAATGTTCTTAGCAGGGGGGATCATGCATTAGATTTCCAGAAAAACTGTTCACAAAAGCATAGGAAAAGAACCAAGGAAAAGGGAGGGGTTCTGGTTAATCTCAAAACAGAAGATTTGAATACCTCTAACCAGAAAGGGTAGTTTTGTCAGTTTTAACCCGGCCTTCACAAATAAGCCTATCACTGAAATGGAGGATTGAAACTGATTAACCCATCTTCTCCAGAAAAAGCCAAGCAGTCAATTTTGAAAGGAAGGATCCCATGACATTTTCTTTTCCTTCTAGTGGAAGAGGTATGGGTTGGGGTGACCTTGAAAAGGCAGAACCATCCCAGATGTCAAATGGATTGGCTCTAATATAGAGCTCTAGCTCTATATTTGTTCTATAATAGGCTTATGCAGTCCTTCTTTTCTTGGATCTTTTCTTCCTGATCTGTGAATATTCAAAATTTAATTGTTCTTGATCTAGTTCAATGCTACCTAAACCGAAGGGCCTTTTCTAATTATTCCAATGAGAAGCCATCTCTCTCCTACTATGAACTTCCATAAATTGTTATCCATAGCTCTCCCAGAGCATGCTTGGAGATAGCATTCAATAAAAGCTTAAAGAATGAAGGTAGATGCCTCCTCCTTTTCCTATTATTAATACTAGAATAATACAAATGTATCAAATATGTGCAATTCTGTGGTGGATGTCACTGAGTCACTTTACTTTTTCAAACAACGTCTAAATTTTCTGTTTTGCTGGGTTACTAATACAGTATAGAAAAATTCAGTCAGGCCAGGCGTGGTGGCTCATGCCTGTAATCCCAGCACTTTGAGAGGCCAAGGTGCGCAGATTGTTTGAGTCCAGGAGTTCAAGAGTAACCTGGGAAACATGCTAAAACCCCGTCTCTACAAAAATACAAAAATTAGCCAGGCATGGCAGCGTAAGCCTGTAGTCCCAGCTACTTGGCGGACTGAGGCGGTGGGGATCCCTTGAGCTCAGGAGGTTGAAGCTGCAGTAAACTGGGATCGTGCCACTGCACTCCAGCCTGGACAACAGAGTGAGACCCTGTCTCCAAAAAAATAAAAAGTAAAAATAAAAATCCAGTCCATTAACTCACCCTTCTTCTTTTCTAAATATAATTATGTAATGAGAACCAGAAAAGGCAGACAAATAAAATCCCAAACCTGCATTTTAGTCAAAAACTAAGAACCCCTCTTCATCAAGAAGTGGGGAAGGCAGGGAAAACCAGATTTGTTTGAATTTTCCTTCCTTTATTCTGTGATGAGATGCTAAAGAGCAGAGAAATAAATGAAAGGACAATAGTCAAAAGGGAGTGAAGAAGACATAAAATAATTTACAAAATGCCTGATATAATCTCAAATAATGGAAAGTTAACTAATTATAGTTATGATCCTATGCAACTCAAAACTAAAACACAATGCATCATCCTTTAATAACCTTTGGATTTGTTGTTTAAAAAAAAGTACAGCCTACTATCAGCTGGATTAAATTTGGCCATATATTCTGTTATATTACAAACCTATCCAGCCATTTCTGAAGCCAAGAAAGAGTAAAATGCACTCTTAGGACTGGTACTCAACCTTGAAGTGCTGAGAGCTACTTCATCATCTAGTGTGGGGACAAACACATACATGCACATGTGAGCCTAACACCATGTGTGGAAACGCATCATTGTAAATCACTCAGGTATTCACTTATTTTAATATACACAAATCAAAGCACAGCTCCCTGTGATTCCTAAAAGGAGAGCTGAAATAGCATTTAACATTTTCTCCTCCCACCCTTCTCACTAAAAGCTTGAGACACAAAGGTGTTCTCCTCTTTCCTTACAGTTATTACTGACAACATGCAGGAAACTATTATAGCTGGCCTAACTTACCAATACCACCTAAATACTGTAAGAGCATACCTGTGCTTAATACTCCAGAAGTGACTCAAAAAGCAAAAGAGACTCCTTATTAGATTTCTTCTAAAAAACTAGAGTAACTCTATAGTTTTAGGATTAGCATTATTCTAATCCAGTTATAAAGTCATGCCAATTTTCCCTTCTATCTTGCTTTACACCACCACTCATAAGCTAAAAGTATTATACTACTTTTCTACATATTAGATGACATTGTTTTAGACTAATTAATCACAATCTACTGTTAATGTTGTTTCCCAAAACTATGTATAACTAGTAAAATATTATTAGCAATATTTCCAAATCCAGGATAATTCTGTTATTGATCTATGGACAAAATCATAAAACACATATTCCAAAAATTACAATAGTTGTATAATCTAGGTTTGTTTGGTTGATTCTGGCCGTGACAGGTAGGACATGACCTTTTACACTTGTTTCCTTCAAAGCTTCTTCATTTTATTCAGCATTAAGTTTAAATTAAATATTTAAAATTGAACCTGTTCTGTGTTGCAAACACAGCTAAAATAAAGAGCTTCTGTAGCAGCAGTGACCAGATTTTAAATGCAGGTAGATCAATAAAAAAAAAAAAAAATCACCAAGCACAGGCTCCATGTGAGTGGAATGGTTTATAATAGCTTGCAAATGACTATGTGCTTGCTGTAACCAGCTGTTCTTAAATTATGAATATGCAACCAATTCATGTTAAAGCCAAATCCCAGCACTATTTCTACAGAGAAATCCCAGTAGTTTTGCTTGTTCTACATGTTAGCTGTGTTAAGGATACAAATAGCAGTAAGCTTCTGAACAAATAGGACCGAACTATTGGCATTTCATGCACTAGGTCCATTATCACAGCAGGCAATGTCAATCATTGGTACATTCCTATAACAGCTCAGGCAATATGACAATGATCTCATAGGAAAAAAAATCAAAATCTCTGCAGCATACTCAAAGTCCTTCTGACAACCTAATGCTTTCTTACTACAGCCAATCAGATTGTCAGACCTGACCTACTAGAAGACTTTCACCAAGCTTGAAACATTTAAAAACATCAATCATAAAAACAAAGACAGGACACTGAATTATACAGTATTAACCTCTAGGGTTTGCATACAAAGACCTTAGATTTATTTATGTCCTAGCGAGTTAAGAGCTTCAGTACACCGTTCTTTACACCAAACTGACTGCCAATTTGATGAACCTCTCTGCCCTCAGCAGGAGTGCACCGTCTTTGATTAATGAGTGCATGTTTGTGGAAAAGTGTTAAGAGGAGAAAACAGGAAAAAACACCCAATTATGTCTACACATAGCTGAAGTACTAATCCAAGAATTATCTTCAAACCAAATGCTCCTTTTTCTTATATACCATGCACACATGTGCACAACACAAAATTAGTAAAGGTTCTTATCTATGTTGCCATCATTATTATTATCCCCAATATGCAATAGTTTTTATTTGAATGAAAGGCATTCAAAAGCCAAAGTACAAGTTGAATTTTATAAATTATAAAAACTATTTTTAAAGCGTTATCTTTTAAAACAAATTGAAATACTCTTACCTTATATAGTAAAAATTTAAGTATGTGGAATAAAAACTATATTTTCACCTCATATTCTTATAAAACCCTATTAAGGTTAAAAACTCAATGTTTAACTGTAAATATCCATACTTTTAAATATTTTATATTTCAAACTCTATTATGACTGCCACAAATCAAATAGCACTCAAAATACATTTAAAAGTCATATATATTCATTTACTTTTCCTGTTTTCAATAAACATGTGGCCAATATTTTATAACTCAATATGCAGTTGAAAATGAATTAAATATATTTATTACCCATAATTTCATACTTAATACGGTCAACAGAAAAAACTGTAAATCAAAGTTTGAACTTTTAAAATGACCTTTCTATTGAGAATTACCTTCCTTCTAGAAATCTGATGCCTGAAAATTCCTACTTAAACTACAGGATGTTTATGTGTAGTACAATTAAGACTATATTATCTCTAAAGATAAACTAAGCATCAGGAGTCCTTTAAAAAAAAGTTCACATTTCATACACAATTCAATGTTCCTTAATTTGATTTATATGAATATCTACCTCAACAAAAATATGTTATGAGTAAATACATTTCTTAAATATTGAGTCATAGTCAAAGGTAACAGAATGATTTTCTTTTTAAGGAGTTGTATGGCTACTATGTAAAAAGGGTTGAGAAAGCATAATGTCTGAATATAAATCTTAGCTTTAGTCAGTAATGTACAACCTATTTAAAAGGAAAGGGTCCCTATAAACTTTGATTTCAGGAAATCATAATTCTGGAATCAATGGCATAAGTGTTAAAAATTTATATTGTAGAGGAAGTTTTGAGCAAATTATATATTCTAATCAATTTCATATTTTAAGTATTTATTTTTGTAATGGCAAATTATTTTAAGTGTTACAAATTTTATGCTCTTTGAAGAATTATTTAAATGCCTAATACACCTAAAGACCTACAAATTAAAAGTCAATAAATATTGGGACTAGAAAAATTCTCTTAACATAGTAATAAATAAACTATATTATATCCTTAAATCTTATTTACATGAATTTTTTAATGGATGTTTCTGTGTTGGGATTATCACTTTTCATTCTTCCTCTTTTCTCCCTCCCATTTCCTCTACCACCAAAAAACACCATGCAAATAATTAGAAAAAGTAGAATATATGTAGGCACCAATGGGATGACACCATTTTAGTATCACATATTTAGTATGACACCATTTTAGTATCACATATTTAGTATCACACATTTTAGTATGATAGCTGAAACTATCAATAAAAGTTATAACAATAAAAATATAATTTCATTTTTTAAAAATCATTAAATGTCTACTAGTAAGTTATTTTAGATCATAGTTTGTATGAATTTTTAAATAACATTTTAGCCTCATTATAAAGAAAAATTAAATACAAAACTGCCTCTTTCCCCAATAATTATTTCTTTTCTTTTGTGATTACTTCCTAGAACAAAAGTTTAAAGAAACAGCCAAATGGATTAACATTTATTAAAAAGGCAACAGTATTTTTAAAACTTCATGGTAAAAAATACTTAATTTTATGTAACCAAAAAAACTCTTAAAATACCTAACTAGGTAACTTAATTAATCCCCCAGGAAATCAAATATATTAATAATCACTAAAACTTGATGACGTAATTCCTCTTAAGGGTCAAAATCACCATATTAATTTGTGCTAAATCATATCTCTTCTTTTGGTAGTTCTACTCAGAAACTACAACTTAAGATCCCTTCTCTGAGAAACCTTTAAACCTAAAAGTAATCAAGTTCCAAAATATACTTTCACTAATTCAAGGAGATAAGACAGAAATCCTGAACTTTCATGCAACTGTGATATCCTACATCTTGTATAGTAACACAAAAGTAGCAACAAAGACATTAACAATTGCAGTTCAAGCTGGGAATGACTGTTCTGTTTCAATTCAATGACACCACTAATGGCTTCTTAGCAGCTCCATGAAATCAACCAGCTGTCAAGTTGATGCATCAGAAGGAACAGTTATGCACTCCCATAAGAAAAAGCAACACATCAGGATGTTTGGCAAAACATCTGCTCCTTTACACTGCAGTTCTATAATAAACATGCAAACAAAGAAATGGGAGAAAGGGCAACAGAATTAAAATTCTAAGGTTTCCATTACAGTCTTATGTGCATTTTAAATGAATGGCTTATAAAAAATAAAAACAAATTTCTACCAAGTTGAATACTTTAAGCTATTCCCAATTTTTTGAAAATGCTAAATATAATTACTCAGAGACTGTTCTAGAAAGAAAAAACCTGCATAAGAATCCATCTATTCTAAAAATTGTAAATAAACAATATTCAAGTAAAATCAGTATCATAATGTTATGTATAAAACTCAAAAATTAAAACTAAAATATATCCTTCCTTCATTTAATAAGTATTTCATAAATGATGCCAGCAGTATTCCAATAAATGCATTTCCAAGACTGAAGAGTTTAGAAGTATTTTTTCATTAGTGTTTGTAAGAGTAAATGGTACTACAATTCGGCACTAGTTTAACATGTGAGAACAGTGAAGCTACTATTATCTGGATTTTAAAATATGTACCCATTCCTGTTTCTCTCCAACCATTATAAGAACACAATATTAAGTTCTCATAAATAACTTTGTATTTTTAAAGCATACAATCTGATTTTCTAAAAAAAAAAAAAAAAAAGACTCTTCATCATCGTAGGCTTAAAATAATTTTAAATTCAACCACTTGTTTCAAATACTTGTAAAAATTACTTTTTTCTATCTGAACCATACGAGTGTCTTAATGTTGTCCAAATTACTGATTATGCAGCAGAGTGACAATAATATGTACAGTGTTTACAATAGGTGTGAGACATCAAATGTACTTAACTACCATTTTCTTAAACTGCTTATCCTCTGTTGCTTGCCATTTATAATCTGCCAAATCTTCTAGTCCTTTGTTGCATGTATAATTTAGAACCATCTGTTCTATGTGCTTTTAACTATTTAAACATTTTTCACCTACCTACAATTCACATAAATGGCAGACACTCAACTCAGTCAAGCTTTCTATATAGCATATTACATGAAGCAAATTCCTGGATAAATAGATAACACCAAAGAAGACTGCTACAGAAATAAAAACTTACCATATAGAACATAAATTTCTGTGTGTTACACAAACCTTTTCAATGTATTCAGAATTGTTTCTATTAGCTTTTTTTAAGTTAATTGTAGTCAGTGTTTTTCCCTCAACCCAGAAGACAAAGAGAATGCAAATTAAATACAGACAGTTTCATGTCCTTGTTAGAAGAGATGTAAATATGCTGACTGAAAATGACTACAGGAGACAGAATTCCACTTTCCCATTCAATATACAGTGCCTCTTATTTATATACTAGTCAGTGTATCATTAAGCTTGGTCATGTGACCAAACCAACTTTTGTGAGGCGAAAAACTATGTTAGACAAGCAAATTAAAACAGTGCTAGTTTTTGTTTATCTGTTCATAATGGCTGACAAAGAGTTTATAGCTAGCGATTATAAAATAACTTTTAAAATCAATTCTGCCTCTTAAATACTCAATAATTGTTTGACTTAATATCTGCTACTAAATTTTAAAGTATCCATTATCTTAAGGTATTTTCCATAGTCATTTCTTTTCAAAATGTAAATAAATAATAGAAAAAGAAAACCCCAGAACATTTTATTAGAAACGGGGAGCCAGATAATCTAAAATAACCATACATAAATATTAACCAAGCTAATTTTCAAAAAATCCATAAGGGAGAGTGGAGCAAATAAGAAAGGGAATATACTGACTACAGATAACAGTTGAAACCTTTAAATTAAAAAAAAAAGTACACAAAAACCAGATAAATAACAAATGACGCACAAGTTTTTTACCATTTTTTGCATATAATCTTCCACCTGTTACCAAAACATACAATACGCAGACTTCGTATACTGATTTTGAGAGCAAAACACAAAAATAAGCCACACAACTTATCAGTAACCTGTAAGTTACACAATCCTATAAAACAGGAGAAAAATTAAGCAAAAAATTTACTCTTGGGAAAATTTCTCCGTAAAGTTTACATGACGTCACTGGGCCCCCTGAACATTCCCTAAACTTTGAGACTTATCCAGACACACTTCCTAATACTTCTTTCCTTTCCTCAAAAATAAAAAAGAGAGAGACTTGGGAATAAAATTGCCCAAGATGGCGAAACGCTTGTTGTTTAGAGGGCAGGAAAAAAAATGGAGGATATTGTAATATACACAAAGGGATAAATTTCAACAACTCGGCCAAGGACTGCAGCTGCTTCCCTCTTTATAAGGAAGCAACAGACAAAAGATAAATACAGAGGGAGAAAGAAAAGAAGAGAAAATCTCCCAAACAACAGAGCCAGCTCTGACTCTTCAAACACTTCCTTCCCCTTCTCAAATCCCAATTCTGGGGTTCGTGAAACTACTTAAAGGGGAGGGAGCCGCGAAAGAGAACGGGGGCTGGGGGGAGGGGTAGCGACAAGAAGATTAAAAGAGGGAAGCAGAGGAGTTGGGAGCTGGCGGTCGTTCCCGGGGAAGAACTGCTAAAACATGAGACCAAGGCACAGACCTTACTGTATGAGAAGCAATGCTCCTCAAACCTTCTGCGTGCTGACATAGACCTTCCCAGGTATCCAGATCTTTTCCCAATCCCACCTGCCCCACCCCCACCCCCGCTCATCTTCAGTAAACTCAGAGCCTCCAGCTACACACGGGAGAGCTAGAGGCCCAAGCCGGGGAGTGGGGGTGGCAGACGCAGCTCGTCAGTCCGACAGGGAAGAGGGGGCGGAGGCAAAAAAGGGCAGCAGGAGGCGGACGGGGGTGGGGGGTGATCCAGAAACTACCCCGGCAGGGAGTGGGGGAGCAGCGGATATTCCGGGGTAGGAACGGCCATCGCAACGCTGACAGAGGTTGTTTTTTAAGAAGCAAAACTGTTGGCGGCGACCTGAGCGCTGGAAGCCGAAGGGGAAGAGGAAGGAGACGCGAAGCCAGGGCGGCCGGCACAAAGGCGGCGGACTCGCGGCGGCAGCGCCTGCCCGGCCGGGAGCACAACCCACGGCCCTACTCCAGCGAAGTCCCGCACCGGCTTCTAGGAATAAAGTTTACGTTCTCCTGAGGCCGCACCCCCCACCTCCCACCCAGGACGGCACATCTCCGTGTCCTCCTCCCCCAAACTCCACTCGGGACCCCGAGAACCACCCCAGCCTTCCGGCCACCACAACAAAGAGCCGCACCGACCGGCGAGGATAAACAGCGGCGGAGGGCGAGAGGGCGGCGGGGCGAGCGCCTCCACGCAGCAACTCCGGAGTCCCCCGCTTGCCCGAGCGCAGTTTCTCCGCTGCTGTTTCCACCGGCTTTGTAACACTGGGAATTTACATCCTCACCCGCACCCCTCACGCCCGAGGATTTTAAACTCACCTTTACTCTCGAACTGAGAGTTGCGGTAGATGGGATTTTTGCCTTTTCCCCAGATGGTTGAAGGTTAAGATTTTTGGAAACCCCACCACCTCCTTATTTCTATTATTATTTCTGCAAGAAAAGTATAAAGAGAGTTGTAGTGGAGGTGAGATTTGTGATCGGGAAAGCCTTCGACTCCCTCCTTCTCCGTCTTCCGCCTCTCTCTCTCTGATTAGTTCCTATCCAGCAGCAGATTGAAGCAGGAGATGATTCTTCTCAAGGTTTGTTCAGCAGCTTCACTTCTAGGCGAAGGCTTCATGAACCAAGTGACGTCAACCAACAAGGCTTCTCTCTCTCTCCTCTCTCTAACAATGAAAGTTGCTGTTAACAAGGGAAAAAAAGAGAGAGAATTGTTTATACCATTTCAGTTCCAATAATAAATGACCTATCAGCTCCTAAAGGAGCCAAGGGAGGGGGTTGCTTCTTCTTTCCAAGAATACTGTAGCTTTGAGTTTGCACCGTTCCTTGTCCCAGGAAAAAGTTAAGAAACTTAAAATGTTTTGTTTTGCTTTTAAAGAAGACAGGACAGAAAACGGGATTTAAAACTTAGTTTTTAAAAAAACAAAAGCTACAGAGTAGGGAGCATAGGTCAACCATCTCCACCTAAATTTTTTTTGTTCCTAAACTCAGAATTCTACAACCCAACTAAATTAATATGCCAAGATTTTGCGGATGTTAAAACTCAAAAAAAGCAGTATGCAAGACGGTCCCGGGGTAAAATTCTACTGCCTTTCCACGGACAAGTTAAACTGGCTGTAATGTTTATGCACTAAGTTAAAATAAAATTTAAATAAAAGACGTTAAAATAGTCGTTTTAAAGTTATATGCACACACTGTAAAAGGTAATCTCGATAGCTTTTTTTCAAGTTTCTGAGAGATTAGAAAAAAAGCATAGCAAATTGTAGGCACTGAACACTTTTTAAAAATCAAGTTATGAGTAAGACTGGTAGCCCTTTGCTCCTTTAAACTACAAATGCAGTCATATGCTATGGTCTACCCCCAGAATCTCTTCCAACTTTGTTTTTACCCTTCCACTCCCCCAACCCCAATTCCCAAATCCTGCAACCAATCAAGTTAAACTAAAGATACAATAGGCCCCATTCCCTCCCGCACCCCATCCTATAGATTCCTAAAAACAATTTTTTTAAAAGCCTTAATCTTGATAACACTTTATTAGCCAAGAAGATACGTATTTTTTTTTTTAGAAGTTCGTTGAGGTACCGTTTTTTCCCTCCAGAACACAAGAAAGTCTCAAAGTTCATATAATTAAAAATTGCATAATTTAATTTTCAGGATGAAGAGTAAGTAAAAATTAAGCTATCGGAGAATAATTTGATCATCTATGTATATTTTATACATATGTGGATAAATGTATCTTAAAAGATGCTATTGTTTTATGTTTCCTCTTCAGCCACTGGCTGTGATTTTAATTGTGCTGGAGGATCTTCATTAGTATTAACACATGGGGAGATTTCACAAAGCTGCTTCATTAGGAAAAAAAAAAAGCTTGGCAGACTCGGTCTTTTTGCATGCACTGAGAATGTCAGCCTTACCTCGGTCATTTGTAACATAATAAGTGCAAGTACAATGATTGCAATGCAGGAGCACTGGGGGAAGGGCAGAAATACTGCCTGTCTAATAGGGATATCTGAAAAGAAGGCTGCTCATTACAGAGTAAAATGTATGCTAAAAATTAGTGAAGATGATGTCTCAGGAGACTGATGCTAAATAAATTAATGTGCTGATATGTTTTTAATTATTATTTTTGTAGTAGTTTATTTCATTCTCAGGATTCACATTGAGCAGCAAAGCTGTGCTAGCACTTATTGATTTTTTTTCCCTGCCACATTCCCGGAATACAGATTTTAATCATTTCACTACACCACACTCAGTAATTTCATTAAAAACTGGAATCTTCCATCCCCAGAAAAGCATTTAATTTCAATGACATACAATTTCTCTTTTAGCAGCAAACTGTCTCTACAGTAAAAACTGGCCTAAGGTTCAAATGCATAATTTAATCCTGAGTTTTCCATGCTCTGCATTCCTTTCAAGCTATAATTTGAGTAACTACCTAATAACTGTAATAAGGACAATAATTTCCTTATAATATATTATTAACTCATATTTAATTAACTCGGAGGCCAAGCTCTGTACATGTATGACTGGGTCAACAGTTCTATAATCTCAAAATTTACTAATAATGTTCCAGAAGAAAAATATAGATTAAAATATAAGTATGAATGCACTTAGTATCTAAGACTTCTATCCCAAGTCACATACAAAAAAGTTAATGCATTGTTCTATAATGGTGGTCATTAAATAAATAATATTTTTAAGTATGTGGAACTAAAAAATGGAATACACTGATATTTCTATGCGTAAAGTATTGAATATTAATGTTTTAACAATCTATTACTGACACTTTACCTAATCATTAGCATTACTGTTGAAAATATTTAATTTTGAAAAGATAAGGAAAAAGTGCTAGATTCAAGTTATCTTGATTTTCATAAAGAATTCTCCCAAAATATACCTCGCTTGAAATAAAGTTAAGTGGCACACTGTAACTCGAATAATTAAGAATACATCCTTTGCTTAAATACTTCAAACAATATACTGCAAAGCATGGTTCAATTTTTGGTTCCAATAATATTTTGAAATATTGGGATTGCAGATGCCACACTGGTTTCCCAAACAATGGTTTCATAATGATATGTAATTTACATTGCCTGGATTTTAGAAAAGAAACCTGTGAAAAAAAATAATTTAAAGTAATAAAATTCATTAATTTAAATTGTGGAAATATGTCTAATCTACAGAAAAAACAATATATGTAATGAAAGTGATTAACTACTATATAAAAACTCCAGTCATTCCCCTGAGTAATTTTAGAATCATAATTCAAAAATTTTTATAAGAATATGTATATGCAATTTCAAGCTGGAGCCATATACAACCCAAAGTTGTCTTTTACTTGATTGCACAAGGAAGTAACTTATAACAAAATACATCTTATCATCATCAAAAGGTTGGAAAAAAGGGGAAAAGGGGTGACAGTGAAAACCTTGATTTTAATGTCTTCTAAAGACATTTTAAAATATATTTTTATTATGAAGGGCTCGTTATATACTTCAGGAAATATGTGACATTCCCAATGGTGAAGTTATATGGAAATCAATAATTAACAAAATAGTTGCTAAATGAAAGACTGACATAGGTATCTCAAATTCATAAATATATTTCTCTATTTCAATAAAAATAATAAAAACTTTAATTTTATATTAAAATATATATTTAAAATTATTTAATGTTATTTGGTAATTCAGATATACAAATTAAAATTATTCAATTTAATCTGTATTTTTAAACTGATTCTTCTTAAAAAAAAATGATTTCCTAGAAATTTTAAACTGGATTACTCCAAGTATTTGATACCTTCTTACTAAGAAATTGTGCTTAAATTATTTTTAAAATATGATTCCTTCCCTTTTTCATGTTATCATACTTTATCATTTCAGAGATTATAACATAATCATACAGTTGAGGGGGAAAACTTCAGATAAAATAGTTGCTATAGTTATAAAATAATTTAACTCCCAACAGGACTTCGTCTTCTACCCAAGATCATCATCTGTATTAGTGCTTCATCATGTACATAATTGTGATAGAATTTAATGATCAAGCAGATCTTTTCCAATTTTAGTGAATAATTAACTCTGAAATTCTATACCTATTTACCTATCCCACAGACTATGCCACCAATATGGACTAAATTGTTGCACTTTCTTCTGTAAAGCAGCATCTGTTTTTACGACAAAGACAGAACTTCTTAAATAGGTAGATATAGAGTTGGATGGCTATCTAACTTACTACTATGGGTATTGTAGATGGTTCCTCAAAGAGTAAGAAATTGCTATGTACAGAGAATGAAGTCTAGGAAGGCTGACTACAAAGAAAAACAAACGAGAGATCTCAACAGTATAACAAGCTGGCCACTGTTATATCTTGTTTCTGTTTCAATCATTACAGCCTAATGAAGCTTTATTTGTTTTCATTCATTGAACAAACATTTGAGTGCTTGCTATATGCTACGCGCTATGCTAGAGGCTGGAAAAACATGAAAAGCTCACATTCTGGTTGATGTACAAAGTGTGAAATGCCTGGGAGATTAGAGACTCATATAAATCACATTATAAAGATACAAATAATAAAGTTTTGTGAGAATAAAGAGGATGAGGCAACTAATTCTCACTGAGAGACTAGAAAAGGCTTTATCAAAGAGATGTTATTTGAACTGCATCTCAAATACTGAGAGCTTACCAGGCAAAGAAGTTCGGGGTGGGAGGTGGTCTTCTAAGTGAAAGAAACAACAAGTGTAAATATGCAGAGATACTAGATCTGGTGTCCATCCACTAGTGAGAAATTCTGTATGCGGGAATATTCAGTATGGGGAAGGACAGAGATAAAGGAATGATAGGGATGTCATGACCAAGATGAAGGCTGGGACCTGACAGTAAAAGGCCTAAGTACCATGGTAAGGTGGTTGAATTTATCACAAGAGCCAACAAAGGCTAGCAAAGGAGTGGCATGATTGACCTTGTTTTGAGGGAACAGTAACTGTATAGGCAGTGCAAATGATAGACTGTAGTATTAAGAGATTGCTTAACAGTCCGTAAGAATGATGGTAGAGACAGTGGCATTGGAGATTTACAG
Organism: Homo sapiens; assembly: GCF_000001405.40. Lineage (NCBI taxonomy): Eukaryota > Metazoa > Chordata > Mammalia > Primates > Hominidae > Homo > Homo sapiens. Next base: position 159,620,997 of record NC_000002.12, read on the forward strand.
CCAGATATTTCTGAGGTAAAATTTCAGTTTGGTGACTAACTGAAAATAGAATTAAGGAAGAGGAAGGAGTGAAAGAGGACTAGAGAAATTTCTGGCTTACAGTAGTTGCTGCAGTCATTAACTATGGGCCAGAATACATAAGGGAAAACAAATCATAAAGTAGTCTGGAATTAAAACCTGGCTATGACGCTTTATAGGCCTCTTTTAAAAATGGGATTATCAGAATCAACTGTAGAGATTGTTTTAAATATCTAGAATTGTCCCCAGTGTCCAGAATTCACTATGTGAATTCAAATGTCCCCAACGTCCAGAATTCACCATGTCTGGGTGGGGGGTCAAGTATTTCTTTTCTTCTTCAACTCTAAAGACGCTTCTGATAAACATCCCTGATTAAGAACACGGCTGTAAGCACAAATTTGTTAAAAAATTCAGTTGGAAAAAGAAATAAGAAAAACACAGGAAATCTTGAAAAAGAGAGCTTTGCCAGGGGTGGAGGGGACAATCATAACAGATACTAAAGCATTATAAAACCTTTAAAGCTTAATAGTTGGCACTGGCACATGAATAAAAAACCAATAAAACATAATAGGAAAATGAGAAATTGACCCAAGTACATATGGAAATTTAGTATAGATAAAAGCTGTATCTCAAAGCAGTGAGGAAGAGATGGACTTTTTGATAATTGGTGTTCAAGGCCACACATGGTAGTTCATGCCTGTAATCCCAGCACTTTGGGAGGCCAAGGCGGGAGGACTGTTTGAGCTTGGGACCAGCCTGGGCAACATAGCTAGATCCTGTCTCTACAAAAAAAATTAAAATTAGCTAGGTGCCGGGTATGGTAGCTCACGCCTGTAATCCCAGCACTTTGGGAGGCCGAGGCAGGTGGATCACCTGAGATCAAGAGTTCGAGACCAGCCTGACAACATGGAGAAACCCCCATCTCTACCAAAAATTACAAAATTAGCCAAGCGTGGTGGCACATGCCTGTAATCCCAGCTACATGGGAGGCTGAGGCAGGAGAATTGCTTGAAACCGGGAGGCGGAGGTTGCGGTGACCCGAGATCATGCCATTGCACTCCAGCCTGGGCAACAAGAGCGAAACTCCATCTCAAAAAAAAAAAAACTAGCTAGGCATGGTGGTGCATGCATGTAGTCCTAGCTACCAGGGAGGCCAAGGCAGAAGGATCGCTTGAGTCCAAGAGGTCAAGGCTGAAGTCATGATTGTGTCACTGCACTCCAGCCTGGGCAACAGAGTGAGTACTGTCTCAAAAAAAAAAAAAAAAAAAAGGCAAAAACCAAAGTGGTATTCAAATAACTGGGTATTCGTAAGAAAAAGGATAAACTTGGATCTGCTCCAAAAATAAAACTGAAAAAGATCAGATATTTAAACATGAAGATTTGAACCTATACAAGTACTAAAAAAAATTATGGGAGGATTCCCCAATAATTAGAGCCTAAAGAAAACTTTCCCAGCAATGGTCAAAACCAGATACAATAAAGGGAAATACTGGTAAATCTTACTACATAAAATAGCTTTTCTATAGCCAAAACAAAAACACCACAAGCAAACTATAAAGACAAATGACAAACTGTAAAGAAATATTTGCAACTTATATGAGACAGTTGAATAAACTTATATGTAAAGCCTGCCTAAAAACAGAGAAGAAAAAGACTAACAACCTGATAGCAAAATGACTAGAGAGATAAGCAGTCATTTTAGAGAAAAAGAAATGGGGCCAGGCACAGTGGCTCATGCCTGTAATGCCAGCACTTTGAGAGGTTGAGGCAGGCAGAGAATTAAAGACCAGCCTAGGCAACATGATGAGACTGTCTCTACAAAAAATACAAAAAGTAGTGGGGCATGGTGGTGTGCCCCTGTAGTCCCAGCTATTCGAAGCCTGGGAGGTCCAGGCTGCAGTAAGTCATGATCAAACCACTGGACTCCAGCCAGGGTGACAGAGTGAGACCCTGTCTCAAAAAAAAAAAAAAGAAGAATGAAAGGAAGAGAGAAACAGGAAAGGAAAGAAAAGAAGAAAGAAAGAGGAAAGAAAAGAAAGGAAGAGGGAAGGGAAGAGAAGGGAAGGGAGAGGGGAGGGAGAGGGGAGAGGGAAGGGAAGGGAGAGGAAGGGAGAGAAAAAGAAAGATAAAAGGAAAGAAGGAGGGAGGAGGGAAGGAGGGAAGGAAGGAAGGAAAGAGAGAAAGAGCAAGAGCATGCACGAGAGAGTGAGCTGGGTGCAGTGGTATATACCTGTAGTCGCAGGTACTTGGGAGGTTAACATAAGAAGATCACTTGAGCCTAGGTGTTTGAAGTTGTAATGCACTATAACTAACCACTGCATTACAGCCTGGGCAATATGCAAGACCCTGTCTCAGAAAAAAAACAAAAAACAAAAAACCACACACACACAAAAAGAAATGCCCAAGGGCATTTAAGGGGAAGAAATGCCCCTTAAATAAAAACATTTGTAACCTTGCTCATAGTAAGAGAAATGCACATGAAGAATTGCGGAGATACTGTTTCTCATCCTTCAGATTCCCAAAAGTCCAAGTTTTACAAAACAGGCTGCTAGTGAATGAGGCTCCTATAGAAAAAAGGGGCAGTTTTTGTTTCTTTCTTTTTTTCTTCCTCCTCTTCTTTTTGGAGTACAAAATGGAAAAACCCCAACAAGGGAGAATTTGGCAGTATGTAACAAAGTTACATATGTGTTTATTTTATTTTTGCTAGCAAATCTCACTTCTAAAAATCTGACCAACACTGACAAAAATATGAAAATAGGTATATATACAGGAAGTTATTCTTTGAAGCACTTTATAGCAAAAGCCTGGAAATAATCCAAATATCTGTCATAATGAAATGGTTGAATTAATTATGGAACATCCACACAGTGGAGTACTATGCAGTTTTTAAAAAGGCATGAGGCAGAGCCCAGCAAGCTAAGATCCACTGGCTTGAAATTCTTGGTGCCAGCACAGCAGTCTGAAGTCAACCTGGGACACTTGAGCTTGGTGGGGGGAGGGGCATCTGCCATTGATGAGGCTTGAGTGGGTAGTTTTATCCTCACAGTGTAAACAAAGCTGCTGGGAGGTTCGAACCGGGTGGAGCCCACCACAGCTCAGCAAGGCCTCTGTGGCCAGACTGCCTCTCTAGATTTCTCTTCTCTGGGCAGGGCATCTCTGAAAAGAAGGCAGCAGCCCCAGTCAGGGGCTTATAGATATAACCCCCAACTCCCTGGGACACAGCACCTGGGGGAAGGGACGGCTGTGGGCAAAGCTTCAGAAGTAAACGTCCCTGCCTGATGGCTCTGAAGCCAGCAGCGGATATCCCAGCACAGTGTTCAAGCTCTGCTAAGGGTCAGACTGCCTCCTCAAGTGGGTCCCTGACCCCTGTGCCTCCTGATGGGGAGACACCTCCCAGTAGGGGCTGACAGATACCTCATATAGGAGAGGTCTGGCTGGCCTCTGGCAGGTGCCCCTCTGGGACGAAGCTTCCAGAGGGAGGAACAGGCAGCAATCTTTGCTGTTCTGCAGCCTCCACTGGTGAGACCCAGGCAAACAGAGTCTGGAGTGGACCTCCAGCAGACCTGCAGCAGAGGGGCCTGACTGTTGGAAGGAAAACTAACAGAAAGGAATAGCATCAACATCAATAAAAAGGACATCCACTCAGAGACCCCATCCAAAGGTCACCAACATGAAGCACCAAAGGTAGATAAATCCATGAAGATGGGGAGAAACCAGCCCAAAAAGGCTGAAAATTCCAAAGACCAGAATGCCTCTTCTCCTCCAAAGGATCATAACTCCTCACCAGCAAGGGAACAAAACTGGATGGAGAATGAGTTTGACAAATTGACAGAAGTGGGCTTCAGAAGGTGAGTAATAACAAACTCCTCTGAGCTAAAGGAGCATGTTCTAACCCAATGCAAGGAAGCTAAGAATCTTGAAAAAAGGTTAGAGGAACTGCTAACTAGAATAACCAGTTTAGAGAACGTAAATGATCTGATGGAACTGAAAAACACAGCACGAGAACTTTGTGAAGCATACACAAGTATCAATAGCTGAATTGATCAAGCAGAAGAAAGGATATCAGAGACTGAATATCAACTTAATAAAATAAAGCGAGAAGACAAGATTAGAGAAAAAAGAACGAAAAGGAATGAACAAAGCCTCCAAGAAATATGGGACTATGTGAAAAGACCAAACCTACATTTGACTGGTGTGCCTGAAAATAACAGAGAGAATAGAACCAAGTTGGAAAACACTCCTCAGGATATCCAGGAGAACTTCCCCAACCTAGCAAGACAGGCCAACATTCAAATTCAGGAAACACAGAGCACAACACAAAGATACTCCTCAAGAAGAGCAACCCCAAGACACGCAATCATCAGATTTACCAAGGTTGAAATGAAGGAAAAAATGTTAAGGGCAGCCAGACAGAAAGGTCGGGTTACCCACAAAGGGAAGCCCATCAGAGTAAGAGTGGATCTCTCTGCAGAAACCCTACAAGCCAGAAGAGAGTGGGGGCCAATATTCAACATTCTTAAAGAAAAGAATTTTCAACCCAGAATTTCATATATAGCCAAACTAAGCTTCAAAAGCAAAGGAGAAATGAAATCCTTCACTGACAAGCAAATGCTGAGAGATTTTGTCACCACCAGGCCTGCCTTACAAGAGCTCCTGAAGGAAGCACTAAACATGGAAAGGAACAAATACTACCAGCCACTGCAAAAACATACCAAATTGGAAAGGTCATTGACACTATGAAGAAACTGCATCAACGAACAGGCGAAACAACCAGCTAGCATCATAATGACAGGATCAAATTCACACATAATACTAAACTTAAATGTAAACAGGCTAAATACCCCAACTAAAAGACACAGACTGGCAAAATGGATAAAGAGTCAAGACCCATTGGTGTGCTGTATTCAGGAGACCCATCTCACATGCAAAGATGCACACAGGCTCAAAATAAAGGGATGGAGGAATATTTAGCAAGCAAATGGAAAGCAAAAAAAAAAAAGCAGAGGTTGCAATTCTAGTCTCTGAGGAAACAGACTTTAAACTAACAAAGATCAAAAGAGACAAAGAAGGCCATTACATAATAGTAAAGGGATCAATGCAACAAGAGGAGGTAACTATCCTAAATATATATGCACCCAATACATGAGCACCCAGATTCATAAAGCAAGTTCTTAGAGACCTACAAAGAGACTTAGACTCCCACATAATAATAGTGGGAGACTTTAACACCCCACTGTCAATATTACACAGATCAACAAGACAAAAAATTAAGAATATTCAGGACTTCAACTCAGCTCTGGACCAAGCGGATCTAATAAACACCTATATAACTCTCCACCCCAAATCAACAGAATATACATTCTTCTCAGCACCACATCACACTTATTCTAAAATTGACCACATAAGACGTAAAACACTCCTCAGCAAATGCAAAAGAATGGAAATCATAACAAACACTCTCTCAGACCATAGTGCAATCAAATTAGAACTCAGGATTAAGAAACTCACTCAAAACTGCACAACTACATGGAAACTGAACAACCTGAATGAATACTGGGTAAATAACAACATTAAGGCAGAAATAAAGATATTCTTTGAAACCAATGAGAACAAAGACACAACGTCCCAGAATCTCTGGGACACATTTAAAGCAGTGTGTAGAGGGAAATTTATAACACTAAATGCCCACAAGAGAAAGGAGGAAAGATCTAAAATTGACACTCTAACATCACAATTAAAAGAACTAGAGAAGCAAGATCAAACAAATTCAAAAGCTAGCAGAAGACAAGAAATAACTAAGATCAGAACAGAACCAAAGGAGATAGAGACATGAAAAACCCTTCAAAAAATCAATGAATCCAGGACCTGGTTTTTTGAAAAGATCAACAAAAGAGATAGACCACCTGCCAGACTAATAAAGAAGAAAAGAGAGAAGAATCAAATGGACGCAATAAAAAATGATGAAGTGGATGTCACCACTGATACCATAGACATACAAACTACCATCAGAGAACACTATAAACACCTCTACGCAAATAAACTAGAAAATCTAGAAGAAATGGATAATTTCATAGACACATACACCGTCCCAAGTCTAAACAAAGAAGAAGTTGAATCCCTGAATAGACCAATAACAAGTTTTGAAATTGAGACAGTAATTAATATCCTACCACACAAAAAAAGTCCAGGACCAGACGGATTCACAGCTGAATTCTTCTACCAGAGGTACACAGAGCAGTTGGTACCATTCCTTCTGAAACTATTCCAAACAATAGAAAAAGAGGGAATCCTCCCTCTTTTTATGAGGCGAGCATCATCCTGATACCAAAACCTGGCAGACACACCAAAAAAAAAAAAAAATTTCAGGCCAATATCCTTGATGAACATCAATGTGAAAATTCTCAATAAAAAACTGTCAAACCAAATCCAGCAGCACATCAAAAAGCTTATCCACCACGATCAAGTCAGATTCAACCCTGGGATGCAAGGCTGGTTCAACATATGCAAATCAATAAACGTAATCCATCACATAAACAGAATCAATGACAAAAACCACATGATTATCTCAATAGATGCAGAAAAGGCCTTTGATAAAATTCAAAACCCCTTCATGCTAAAAACTCTCAATGAACTAGGTATTGATGAAGCGTATCTCAAAATAATAAGAGCTATTTAAGATAAACCCACAATAAATATCATACTAAACGGGCAAAATTTGGAAGCATTGCCTTTGAAAACCAGCACAAGACAAGGATGCCCTCTCTCACCTCTCCTGTTCAACATAGTATTGGAAGTTCTGGCCAGGGCAATCAGGCAAGAGAAAGAAATAAAGGGTATTCAAATAGGAAAAGAGGAAGTCAAATTGTCAATGTTTGCAGATGACATGATTGTGTATTTAGAAAACCCCATTGTCTCAGCGCAAAATCTCCTTAAGCAGATAAGCAACTTTAGCAAAGTCTGAGGATACAAAATCAAAGTGCAAAAATCACAAGCATTCCTACATACCAATAATAGAGAAACAGAGAGCCAAATCATGAGTGAACTCCCATTCACAACTGCTATAAAGAGAATACAATACCTAGGAATCCAACTTACAAGGGATGTGAAGGACCTCTTCAAGGAGAACTACAAACCACTGCTCAAGGAAGTAAGAGAGGACACAAACAAATGGAAAAACATTCTATGCTCATGGATAGGAAGAGTCAATATTGTGAAAATGGCCATACTGCCCAAAGTAATTTATACATTCAATGCTATCCCCATCAAGCTACCAGTGACTTTCTTCACAGAATTAGAAAAAACTACTTTAAATTTCATATGGAACCAAAAATGAGCCCGCATGGCCAAGACAATCCTAAGCAAAAAGAACAAAGCTGTAGGCGTCACGCTACCTGACTTCAAACTATACTACAAGGCTACAGTAATCAAAACAGCACAGTACTGGTACCGAAACAGATATATAGACCAATGAAACAGAACAGAAACCTGAGAAATAACACCACACATCTACAACCATGTGATCTTTGACAAACCTGAGAAAAAGAAGCAATGGGGAAAGGATTCCCTATTTAATAAATGGTGTTGGGAAAACTGGCTAGCCATATGCAGAAAACTGAAACTGGACCACTTCCTTACACCTTATACAAAAATTAACTCAAGACGGATTAAAGACTTAAACGTAAGACCTAAAACCATAAAAACCCTAGAAGAAAACCTAGGCAATACCATTCAGGACATAGGCAAGGGCTAAGACTTCATGAGTAAAACACCAGAAGTAATGGCAACAAAAGCCAAAATTGACAAATGGGACTAATTAAACTAAGGAGCTTCTGCACAGCAAAAGAAACTATCATCAGAGTGAACAGGAAACCTACAGAATGGGAGAAAATTTTTGCAATCTATCCATGTGACAAAGAGCTAATATCCAGAATCTACAAAGAGCTTAAACAAATTTACAAGAAAAAACAAACAACCCCATCAAAAAGTGGGGTGGGTGAAGGATGTGAACAGGCACTTCTCAAAAGAAGACATTTATGCAGCAAACAAACATATGAAAAAAAGCTCATCATCACTGGTCATTAGAGAAATGCAAATCAAAACCACAATGAGCTACCATCTCATGCCAGTTAGAATGGCAATCATTAAAATGTCAGGAAACAACAGATGCTGGGGAGAATGTAGAGAAATAGGTATGCTTTTATACTGTTGGTGGGAGTGTAAATTAGTTCAACCATTGTGGAAGACAGTGTGGCAATTCCTCAAGGATCTAGAACTAGAAATACTATTTGACCCAGCAATCTCATTAGTGGGTATATACCCAAAGGATTATAAATCATGCTACTATAAAGACACGTGCACACATATGTTTATTGCAGCACTATTCACAATAGCAAAGACTTGGAACCGACCCAAATGCCCATCAATGATAGACTGGATAAAGAGAATGTGGCACATATACAACATGGAATACTATGCGGCCATATAAAAGGATGAGTTCATGTCCTTTGCAGGCACATGGATGAAGCTGGAAACCATCATTCTCAGCAAACTAACACAAGAACAGAAAAGCAAACACCGCATGTTCTCACTCATAAGTGGGAGTTGAACAATGAGAACACATGGACACAGCGAGGGGAACGTCACACACTGGGGCCTGTTGGGGGATAGGGGGCTAGGGGAGGGATAGCATTAGGAGAAATACCTAATGTAGATGATGGGTTAATGGATGCAGTAAACCACCATGGCATTTGTATACCTACATAACAAACCTGCACATTCTGCACATGTAACCCAGAACTTAAAGTATAATAAAAAATAAAATATAAAGAAATAAAAATTAAAAAGTATGAGGGACATATACAGTATGAAGCACTTTACAGTGAATTCCAGTATTTATCGTTAAGTGAAGAAAGCAAGTTGGAGAAAAATGTAGTATAGTATGTCACCATTCATCTAAATATTTACCTATTTTTTAACTGAAAGGATAAATTAAAACCTTTAAAAAAACATGGTTACCTAAAAGGAGGAAGGGAGCAGAGTAGTAAAAATAGGAACAGTACAGTATGTGGGTATCTCATAAAACCTGTATTGTAGATGTGAATTTGGAACCATATAAAGTCATTTACATTATTATAATAAAAGAGAAACAAAGTTAAAAAGCAGGCCAGTTGCACTGGCTTGCATCTGTAATCCCAGTGCTTTGGGAAGCCAAGGCAGGAGGATTGCTTGAGCCCAGGAGTTCAAGGCTGCAGTGGGCTATGACCATGCCACTACATTTCAGCCTGGGCAAGAGAGTGAGACTGCATCTCAAAAAAACCAAAAAAACAAAATACAATCCCATAAAAGTGAAACCCAAAAAAATAAATGAACTTACTTGTATGTGAAGTTGGTGGCATAACCATAGAGAATTATTCCAAGTGACTTTAAAACACAACAACTAAAACACACTAAGTTAACAGTATATAGTATTCAAAGCAACAAGACAAAACAGCAACTGAAATTATCACTAACCGTATTCTTCTCTCTTTTTTTTTTTTTGAGACGGAGTCTCGCTCTGTCGCCCAGGCTGGAGTGCAGTGGCGCAATCTCGGCTCACTGCAAGCTCCGCCTCCCGGGTTCACGCCATTCTCCTGCCTCAGCCTCCCGAGTAGCTGGGACTACAGGCGCCCGCTACCACGCCCGGCTAATTTTTTTGTATTTTTAGTAGAGACAGGGTTTCACCGTGTTAGCCAGGATGGTCTCGATCTCCTGACCTCGTGATCCGCCCGCCTCGGCCTCCCAAAGTGCTGGGATTACAGGCGTGAGCCACCGCGCCCGGCCAGACTAACCGTATTCTTATGCTATTATTGGTGGTGTTATTGTAACACTGTTGCAAGCACAGTCTGAGAAAAAGCAAATGGCCAGGCCCAGTGGCTCACGTGTGTAGTCCCAACATTTTGAGAGGCCCAAGTAGGAGGATTGCTTGAGCTCAGGAGTTAGAGACCAGCCTCGGCAACGTGGTGAAACCCCAACTTTACAAAAAAATTTTAAAATTTACCCGGGCATGGTGGTACACACCTGTAGTCCCAGGTACTCAGGAAGTTGAGGTGGGAGGACTGCTTGAGCCCAGGAGGGCAAAACTACAGTGAGCCATGATTGTGCCACTGCATTCCAGCCTGGGCAACAAAGCAAGACCCTGTCAAAAAATAAATGAATAAATAAATAAAAAGAAAAAAATGAATATGTTGGTGTTTTTGGGAAATTAATTTTTGAATTGCATAAAAACTCTGTGATACTGAATTTAAAATGTATGTATTAGAATGAACTCATTTTATATTTTATACTTAAAAATACATCTTACTTGCATACTGTAAATACCTAGAAACAGGGACCAGTGTATAGCAACCAGCACATACCCACAGTATACAGATTATGGTCTCTATACACCATCTACCCCTAAAAAATTCCATGAAGCAATGGCTGACTCCATATTTGGGTCAAGAAATATTCAAAAATGAGCTTAGAATACCCTGTCACACCAGTAAGCATGGAAATTATGAAAGATTATTGGTGTCATGTCAAAAGGACTTGGTAGCCAATTTGAAGGGTCCAATATAAGGTGGCTCCCATTGGCCAAAGATGAAACAATTTGAATGTTAACAATAACTGCAATGGATAGAAACATAACAAATGTGTATTTTAATAAATGAGTTCATAATTATACTAAAAAAACCTTTTTGTTCACCTTTGAATGATGCTAGGGAACCAACTCATTTTGAAAACTGGTAAATAAAGGTAACAAATCAAGAATTTACTCAACATTTCCTTTCAAATGTTGGTAAGAAACCAAATTTCAAATGGTACATGCAAATATATGTGTCCAATACATGTATGTGTATATATATATATGTACATCTATATATCACAAGATTTCAACATAGATTTCATTTTTAAAAAGAAGAAATTTAAAGATCTCATTGTCCTTTAACAGTTATAGGTAAGCTGCAGACAATTTACCTGTGAGTTTCAATGCAGACAAAATGAAGAGGGAATATAATTACCATTCTCCTTATCTGGTAAGTCAGAAATTTAGCAATTCATTAAGACAAAATTAACAAAATATTGGAGTAATAGAGAAAGTTTTTGAAGTAATTTTACATCAGGTACATAGAGATCATTTGTATGATCTTTCCCATGACAATCCTGTATGAAATCCAAGGGCATAATAACAAATAGAATAAATTGATTGAGTTAACTAACAGACTGCTGTTCACCCAAGCCAGTCACACAAAGCTGTGTAGGTTATGCACAGCACTACAGGGGCATCAATGTGCTGGGCCTGATTCTGCCCAGCTTATAAAAGTCAAATGCTAAATTCTCAGGAATTTTGCAAGCTGGTTATTAAATAGTCATTACCAAAAAATAAATATCTTCAAACATAAAATAAATTTAAATTTATTTATTAAAAACAAGTCCTTAAAACTCATCACATCTTACTCTACTATTATGTATGCACTTGAGGTTATTTATCTCTATTGTACTATGGCAAAGAAACACCTATGTAGTGGTGTGCTACTGTGCATCTCGTCCCAACTCTGTGATAAGTGATGTCATGTTGGAAGCCTGAAATCAGCCATGGTGGGAATGTTTACGCCTCATATATAACTTAATGTGGGCTATAATTTAATGTGGTGCTGATAAACTTAAGAGACAGAAAAAATTTACATAGTGCAAATTAAAGTGATACACTGTAAATATCACAAGAAATGAGGAAATAATCTTCCAATATTTCAAAACTATTAAAAATCTAGCAAGAAGTTGTTCACATCACTGATGAAAAAGTAAAGTTCCAACATATACTTTTGTTGTTTTATGTTCCTCTTACTCGTTTAAACAAAAATATCAATAAACATGCATGTCAGAATTGCATTTGCTCAACAATTGCAACCATAGATTGGCTACCAGTAAGACTACAGACACAAGGGTTGGGTAAAAATCAACTAGGGCATTCTGTGAGAATCAACTGGCTATATGAATTTTACAAGACAGTACTGCATATTTTATTATTATTTGTGAATTGTATGATACTGCTGTTACATCAATAGAATTTATAAACTTAGGTATGTACTTATAAGCATACATTTTTATTCCCAGAAAGTCTTTTTTTTTTTTTTTAGACAAGGTCTCACTCTCCCAGAAAGTCTATTTTTAAAAGAGTTACCAGCACACCTCTGTTGAGGCGGAGCAAAACTGCTAGCCCTTGAAGAATGCACAGTCCAACTGAGAGGCATTCACACCCCAAAGTATCTGATACAATGTGATAACTACTCTAATATAAATATTCAAAATAAAATGATTACACAATTTACTTAGTAAGGAATGACTACTTTTTCTGGGTAGAGACAGGCGAAGGAGAATACATATCCTCAGTGTGTTAAAGAGGCCACCTGACAGTGATTAAACCATGTTTGCATCATAGGTTGTCCTCACATATTATCTTCAGCATTAAAATTCATAATAGTTTAGCCCTGAAGGACAGTTTCAAGCTATTCATGGTACTACCACATGCCATTTGGGAAAGCTCCCTGAAATCACTAAAATGGTCTTTTTTAGGGTCATGGGGAAATGTTTTTATCTCATATCTGATTTTAAAAATTCATGACTACCTTCTCTCTTGATAGCCAGTATGTTTCAGGTTGGAAACCAGAGTTTTTATATTCACTGCCCATTTATTTTCACTTTATTCTTTTTTTTTTTTTTTTTTTTAAGATAGAGTCTCACTCCGTCACCCAGGCTGGAGCGCAGTGGCACGATCTCGGCTCACTGCAACTCTGCTTCCCAGGTTCAAGCAATTCTCATGCCTCAGCCTCCCAAGTAGCTGGAATTACCAGAACGTACCACCACATCCAGCTGATTTTTGTATATTTAGTAGAGATGAGGTTTTGGCATGTTGGCCAGGCTGGTCTTGAACTCCTGACCTCAGGTGATCTACCCACCTCGGGCTCCCAAAGTGCTGGGATTACAGGTGTGAGCCACCGTGCCCAGCCATATTTTCACTGTATTCTAAAAAATATATACACAAGGACCAAAATTCAATAATGAGTACAATTTTCACTACTGCCTTTAATAAGACAACCAAGATCAGAGTTCACATTTATAGACAATTATGTTCTAGGAATAGCACAGTGTGAGAATATTCTAGTGCAATTTCTTTAACGTAATGGTGATCTTTCTTGTTCTATAGCTGCTGCTCTGTTAATACTGATCTCAACACATCATTTTTAGAAAACTTTTTTGACTCACAAAATAATCACAAGCCAATTTTTAAAAATCTCATCCCCTTTTTGCAAGGATTTTCAATATGAAAGGAACAAGCTGTCAAGCACTTCCCCCCTTACATGAACCGCATGTAGATCAAAGATTTGCTCATACCCTTGCCATAGAAAATCTGCATCCAACTGTAATGGTAATTATCCATTAGCATGCACATGTTAGAATAATTGTGCTTTCATATTATACATTGTTGATATTATACTGTCCAAAAGTATCATGTGTATAAAGAATTTTGACGAGTTGATTTTTGCCTTCACTATAGACAAAATATTATTTCGCTGCTGGTTTAATGAATTTAGCAACTGTGTGGTTTTATGTCTGATTTTACTCTGAGGAGTGCAATACTGAATGATAACTTCCTTAGCTTTAGTTTCTTCTCCACCTTTGAAGACAAAAATACTAAAAAGCATTATTTTCTGCTTATTCTGGAAAGCGTTTACTGTTTTACCAGTAATGTTTACTGAAAATGTCACTGAGTTTTGTTTAAAAGATAGTCAATGACTTTAAAACACCCCTAGCCTGAATGACTTAAAATTACTTTTTAAAACTTCTCTCTTTTTCCCTCCATATATTTAATGAAGAGACAATCCAAAGAGAGGCGAATTATCTTTGGAGAAACAAAACAAGTGGCAGAAGTCACATGGCTACAAGGTGCTACAAACAGGATTTTTTCAAATAGCAAAGAAAAATGGCCATACCATGAGAAATTTAGTATGGCTAAAGTCTAGGAATAGAAAGAAGACATGTCAGCTGGAATTTTGTGGCAACTTTAATGTGCAGCTTTGGGTGGAGGAATGGGATTCAGCTGTTTGAGATTTTCTGGGAGGTTTGCCCTATCTACTCAGGAAAGGGAACATACCTTGTTCTCACTGAGAGATAATCCTTGGAATTTAGATCATTCCCTCAATTCAGGAGTCCTGAAGCTTCTGCTTCTGCCAAGAAATCAGTGTTAATTCTTCACTTTTCAGCTTTTAGTCATCTCTTCTCAGCAGCTGTTGCTACTTTTACAGAGTAAGAGAAAGAAAAATGTAAAAAAAAAATAAAAATAAAAAAAATAACAAAACCCAAAACAAAAACTCCATAAATCGATTCCTCTACTATTTCAGGTAAATTAATGATGAGTCTCAAGATCACAGCTTTTTCGGAGCACATGTGGTCCTGGGCGCCACACTACGCTTTAGGAAATTTTCTATTTCTTTCCTTGGCTATCATCTTTTGAAATGTATGATGAAATTCTATCCTGTTTGTTATTTCTGGTTGCTGCTGGTGAATAATTTGTTTCTTTTTTTTTTTTCTTGTCTGGTTCTGCTACTCTTCCCTTCCTCTTTTTAACATTGTTATAGTGCATATTTTTAGGTATCATAGGAGGACATTTCTGTAGCTTCTTTCTACCAGCTTTAAACAGGAGTCTTTTTTCCTAATTGAAAACATGCTTAATTGAAACCATGCAAATATCTAAAGCATTGTTTAGATAATAATGGTCCATAATGGCAAAGCTGATAATCAAGAGGTATCTTACTCTTTAAAACAAAAAGTCCCTGGGCAACATAGGGAGACCCTGTCTCTATAAAAAATTAAGAAAATAGCCAGGTGTGGTAGCACATGCCTGCAGTCTCAGATACTAGGGAGGCTGAAGTGGGAGGATTGCTTAAGCCTGGGAGGTCAAGGCAGCAGTGAACCATGTTCATGCCACTGCACTCCAGCATAGGTGACAGAACAAGACTCCATCTCAAACAAAACAAAACAAATAGAAAAAACATAACATGGATAACGGGGGGCAGAGCACGGTGGCAGAATAGAAGCCTACACTGCTCGACCCCCAAATGGAACACCAAATTTTAATTACTATCTGCACACAGAAAATCACCATCACAAAAACCAAAAGTAAGGTGAGCAATCACAGTACCTGGCTTTAACTTCATATTCCTGAAAGACGCATTGAGGAGGGCAGGAGAGATGGTCTTCAATTGCCACTGCCTCCCCGCTCCCACCTCCTGACGGTAGTTGTGTTGCATGGAGAGAAACTCTCACCACTGTGGGGAGGGAGAATGCAGCTCCTGGGAGAATTATACTGAACTCAGTGATGCCCTGTCATAGTGGAGAATAAACCTGTGCTGGACTCAACTGGCACCTATGCATGGAGGGGGCTTTTGGACTACAGCATTTGGATCAGAACTAGACAGAGGGAAATCACTCATCGCGGTGGTCAGCACTTGAGTTTCTTGACAAGCCTCACCACTGTGGGCTGAAGTGCTCTGGGGTCCCAGGTAAACTTGAAAGACAGTCTAGGACACAAGGACTGCAATTCCTAGGCAAATCCTAATGCTAGGCTGGGCTTAGAGCCACGGAACTATGGTGGCATGTGACCTAGGAAGATACTAGTTGGGGTGGCTATAGGAGTGCTTATGCCATCCCTCTCCCAATCCAGGCAATCCAGCTTGTAGCAATGAAAGTGACCTCCCTCCTTTTGCTTAAGGAGAGCTAAGAGTAATAAAGAGGACTTGGTCTTGCATATTGGAAACCAGCTCAATCACAATAGGATAGGGCACTGGGCAGAGTTGTGAGGCCCCCACTCCAGGCACTAGCTTCCAGATGACATTTCTAGACATACCCTGGGCCAAAAGGGAATCCACTACCTTCAAGGGAAGGACCTAGTCCTGGGAAGATTCATCACCTGCTGACTAAAGAGTCCTTGGGCCCTGAATAACCAGCAGCAATACCGGGGGAGTACACAGTGGGCCTCAGACTCTGAGATGTACTGGCTTCAGGTGGGACCCAGCACAATCCCAGCTATGGTGGCTATGGTGGAAGACTCCTTCTGTTTGAGAAAAGTAGAGGAAAAAGTAAAGGGGACTTTGTCTTGCACCTTAGGTACCAGCTTGTACACAGTGGGGTAGAGCAACAAGCAGGCTCTAAGGGTCCCTAAGTCCAGGCCTAGGCTCTTGGACAGAATTTCTGGACCTGCCCTGGGAGGGGCTCCAGAGGGGAGCCCACTGTCCTGAGTGTGAGTCCCAGGCCTGGCAGCATTCACCATAAGCTGATAAAAGAGTCTTTGGGCTTGAACTGAACATCAGCTGTGGCCTGGCAGAACCTGCCATGGACTGTTGGTGGTGCTGGCCACAAGAAGAAGCTCCGCTGCCTGTGGAAAGGAGAGGAAACACTGGGGAAGGCCTCTATATTGTGGTTTGAGTGCTAGCTTAGCCATAGTAAAATAAAACATCAGGTAAATTGCTAAGGCTTTTTATTTTTATTTTTTTCGAGACCCTCTGTCACCTAGGCTGGAGTGCAGTGGCACGATCACAGCTCACTGCAGCCTCAACCTCCCACACTCAAGCAATCCTCCCACCACAGCCTCTCAAGTAGCTGGGACTACAGGCGCACACCACCATGCCCGAGTAATTTTTTTTGTATTTTTCTGTAGAGACAGGGTTTCACCATGTTGACTACACTGGTCTCGAACTTGTGAGCTCAAGCAATCCATCTACCTCAGCCTCCCAAATTGTTAGGATTATATGTGTGAGCCACCACACCTGGCTGTAAATTTCTAAAGTTTTTGACTCCAATCCTTGGCTCCCAGACAGCATCTCTGGATATGCCGGGGACCTGGAGGAACTCGCCACCCTGAAGGAAAGGTCCTTGGGCAAGGCCCATTGCTGTGCTGGCTTCAGGTCTGACCCACTGCAGTAACAGTAGTGGTGGCTAGAAGGGTGCTTGCATCACCATACCCCCAGTTCCAGGTGACTCAGCACACAGAGAGAGAGAGACTCCGTTTGTCTGGAAGAAAGTAAGAAAAAAGAACAAAAGTCTCTGCGTGGTAATCAAGAGAATTCTGGCTCTTATCCATGACCACCAAGGAGATACCTTAGGCATGAGTCCACAAAAAACACAGCATTATTGGGCTTGGGGCCCAAGTCCCTTTGAATACCTAGAAAGACTTCTCAAGAACGACAGGCACAAACAAGCCCAGACGGTGGAGACTATAATAAATACCTAACTCTTCAATGTCCAGACACTGATGAACATCTATAAGCATCAGCATCATCCAGGAAAACATGACCTCACCAAATGAACTAAGTAAGACACCAGGGAACAATCCTGGAGAAAAAGAGATATATGACCTTTCAGACAAAGAATTCAGAATAGCTGTTGTGAGGAAGCTTCAAAGAATTCAAGATAACACAGATAAGTCATTCAGAATTCTATCAGGTAAGTTTAACAGAGAGATTGAAATAATTTAAAAGAATCAAGCAGAAATTCTAGAGTTGAAAATGCAATTGACATGCTGAAGAATGCATCAGAGTTTTTTAATAGCAGACTTGATTAAGCAGAAAAAAAACAGTGAGCTTGAAGACAAGCTATTTAAAAATACAAAGTCAGAGGAGACAAAAGAAAAAAAATAAAAATACAATGAGGCATGCCTACAAGATCTAGAAAATAGCGTCAAAAGGGCAAATCTAAGAGTTACTGGCCTTAAAGAGGAGGTAGAGAAAGAGACAGGGGTAGAAACTTTATTCAAAGGGATATAAAGAAATTCCCAAAGTTAAAGACATCAACATTCAAGTACAAGAAGGTTACAGAACACCAAGCAGATTTAATCCAAAGAAGATTATCTCAAGAAATTTAGTAATCAAACTCCCAAAGGTCAAGAATAAATAAAATATTCTAAAAGCAGCAAGATAAAAGAAATAAACAGCATACAACGGAGCTCCAATATGTCTGGCAGCACACTTTTCAATGGAAACTTACAGGCCAGGAGAGAGTAGCATAACATATTTAAAGTGTTGGGAAAACACACACACACACACAAAGCAACAACAACAACAACAAAAACCACTTTTACCCTAGCATTCTATATCCAGCAAAAATATTCTTCAAATCAGGAAGGACAAATAAAGATGTTCCCAGACAGACGAAAGCTGAGGGCTTTCATCAAGACCAGACCTGTCCTACAAGAAATCTTAAAGGGATTTCCTCAATCTGAAAGAAAAGGACATTCATAAGCAAGAAGAAATCATCTGAAGTTAAAAAACACTGGTAATGGTAAGCACATAAAAAAACCCAGGATAGTGTAACACTGTAATTGTGGTGTGTAAATTACTCTTAAGTAGAAAGAATAAATGATAAAACAATCAAAAATAATAACTACAAGCATTTCTAGACATAGACAGTTAGAGTGAAACAAGGAGAAACCACAAAAAGTTAAAAAGCAGGGAGATGAACTTAAAGTATATTGTTTTTATTAGTTTTCTCTCTCATATTTGTTTGTTTATGCAAGCAGTGTTAAGTCGTCATCAGTTTAAAATAGTGGGTTATAAGGTAGTATTTGCAAGTTTCACAGTACTCTCAAATCAGAAAACATACAATGGATGCACAAAAAATAAAAAGAAATTAAATCATACCACTAGAAAAAAATCAAACTAAAAGGAAGACAGGAAGGAAGGAGAGAAGGAGGAGAAGACCACAAAACAAATAAACAAACAAACCAGAAAACAAGTAGCAAAGTGGCAGGAGTTAGTCCCTACTTATCAATAATAACACTAAATGTAAATAGACTAAACTCTCCAATCAAAAGACACAGAGTAGCTGAATGGATTAAAAAAAATAAGATCCAGTGATTTGTTGCCTATAGGAAACACACTTCACCCATAAAGATACACATAGACTGAAAATAAAGGGATGGAAAAAAACATTCATTTGGTGCCAATGGAAACCAAAAAAGCAGGAATAGCTATATTGACATAGACAAAATAGATTTCAAAACAAAAACCACAAGAAGAGATACAGAAGTTCATTACATAATCAGAAACGTTCATTCAGCAAAGGATATAATAATTCTAAATACTTATATATCCAACACTGGAGCAGCCAGATATATAAAGCAAATATTATTAGAACTAAAGAGAGAGATAGATTCCAATACGATAATAGTGAATTCAAAATCCCACTTTCAGCATTGGACAGATCTCCCAGACACAAGATCAACAAAGAAACATCAGACTTAATCTGCTATACACAAAAAATGGGCCTCATAGCTATTTACAGAACATTTCATGCAACAGCTGCAGAATATACATTCTTCTTCTTGGCATATGAATCATTCTCAAGGATAGACCATAAATTAGGTCACAAAACAAATCTTAAAACATTCAAAAAAAAACCTGAAATAGTATCAAATATATTCTCTAACCACATGGAATAAAACCAGAACTCAATAACAAGAGGAATTTTGGAAACTATGCAAACACATGAAAATTAAACAATATGCTCTTGAAAGGCCAGTGTGTCAATGAAAAAGTAAGAAGGAAATTGAAAGCTTTCTTGAAACAAATAATGGAAACACAACATATCAAAACCTATGGAATACACTGAAGGCAGTAGTAAGAAGGAAATTTATGGCTGTAAGTACCTATATCAAAAAGAAGAAAAACTTCAAATAAATAACCTAATGATGCATCTTAAAGAACTGGAAAAGCTCAGCATCATAAGACAGGATGAAACATTTAAAAAAAAAACTAGAAAAGCAATAGCAAATCAAATCCAAGATTAGTAGAAGAAAAGAAATAATAAAGCTCAGAGAAGAAATAAATGAAATAGAAATGAAGAAAACAAAACAAAAAATTAGCAAAACAAAAATTGTTTTTTGAAAAAAATAAAATTGACAAACCTTTAGACAAAGAAAAAAACCAAATAAATAAAATCAGAGATGAAAAAGGAGACATTACAACTGATATTGCAGAAATTCAAAGGATCATTAGTGTCTACCAGGAGCAACTATATGCCAATACATTGGAAAATCTAGAAGAAATGATTTATAGCCACACTGTCTTCCACAATGGTTGAACTAATTTACACTACCATTAACAGTGTAAAAGCATTCCTTTTTCTCCACAACCTCACCAGCATCTGTTATTTTTTGACTTTTTAATAATAGCCAGTCTGACTGGTGTTAGTATCTCATTGCGGTTTTGAGTTGCATTTGTCTAATTATCTGTGATGTTAAGCTTTTTTCCACATGATTGTTGGGCCACATGTATGTCTTCTTTTGAAAAGTGTTTGTTCATGTCCTTTGCCCGCTTTTTAGTGGGTTTTCTTTTCTTGTAAATTTGTTTAATTTCCTTATAGACGCTGCATATTAGACCTTGTCAGATGCATAGTTGGCAAAAATGTTCTCTCATTCTGTAGGCAGTCTGTTTACTCTGTTGATAGTTGCTTTTGCTATGCAGAAGCTCTTCAGTTTAATTAAATGCCATTTGTCAATTTTTGCTTTTGTTGCAATTGCTTTTGGAGTCCGGTCATGAAATCTTAGCCTGTGCCTATCTCCTGAATAGTATTGCCTAGGTTGTTTTCCAGGGTTTTTAGTTTTGGGTTTTACATTTAATTCTTTAATCCATCTTGAGTTGATTTTTGTATATGGTGTAAGGAGGGGGTCCAGTTTCAATCTTCTGCATAATGGCTAGCCAGTTATCCCAACATTGTTCTTATTTTGAAATTATAAACATACCTTAGTTATCTCTCAAATATAATATTATTTTCATATTTTTCCTTTTTTCTCCTCTGCTCACAAGGTAAACTCAGTATCACAATGTTTGCACATTTAGGTACATATTCCCTCTAATATAGACATAAATAATTCTACCAGTGAAGCATTAATCTACTTAGAATCTTTCCTTGTATCATTCAACTCCCTTTTATCTAATTCTGAAATTTTTCTATTTTAGTTTGCATTTTCTGCTCAAGTTCTATTAAGATCAAGCTTACTCTTTAACTATAGCAGAAATTGAAAATGTGGATTTTTCTTCTACTTAATTTTCAGTGTTATATACATTGAATTTTGACGAGAATGTTTCTCTTGTTCTACAGTATGTTTTCCATAGATTGATTGTTTTCTATTTTCTTTTTCCTTTCTTTCTTTCTTTTTTTTTTTTTTTTTGAAACAAAGTCTCGCTCTGTCACCTAGGCTGGAGTGCAATAGCACCATCTTGGCTCACTGCAACCTCTGCCTCCTGGGTTCAAGTCATTCTCCTGTCTCGGCCTCCCAAGTAGCTGGGATTATAGGTGCCAGCCACCACACCTAGCTAATTTTTGTATTTTTAGTGCAGATGGGGTTTCATCACGTTAGCCAGGCTGGTCTTGAATTGCTGGCCCTCAAGTGATCCACCCGCCTCGGCCTCCCAAAGTGCTGGGATTACAGGTGTAAGCCAGCGTGCCCAGCCAAAACATTCTTAATAACTAATGGGGGAAATTATAATTGTCCTGTGACTTTTACTAATTTTTGGCAAAACATGGAAAACTTTCCTAATGTAGGAATAAATTATAGAAAAATGAAAAAAGATTACAACTAATATTTATTTTGTATGAAATAATTTAAAACATTAAAAAAGAGAATTAAAATGTTTTATCTTTGTTAAAAATCCTATCAAGAGTAGGATGAACAGTGCTTCCCTTCTTCTCCTATAAATTAACGTAGGGAATGTTCACCTTTTCTAAGCCTCGGTGAATTTCATACTCCTTTCTAAGTATGGATCACGTTCCATCATTTTATCCTTTGTGTTTTCAATATTATCGAGTATCTCATGAGTTATCTTGAAACTTTTTTGCTGTATCACTTTCCTTGGGACATCTTAATACTTCTCCTCACAATCACTTCCTTCATTTATGTTGATAACTTCACCAATACTAAGTTCCTGACTTAATATCTAGAATCTTTTGAATGACAGCAATGTCAACATTTTCATAATCAGCCATTTTTTCTATAACTCCATTTATGATAGACTTGAATATCACTAATGGCATTATCACATTTTACTTGTTTGCTTCACTTTCATCTTTGTGAGTGTATTTGTCTGCTTGGGTTGCCACAACAAAATACAATACACTGGTGGTTTAACCCACAAAATTTTTTTCTTATAGTTCTAAAAGCTGGTTAAGTCCAAGATCAAGGTCATGGTAAGATTGGTTTCATTCTGAAGCCTCTTCTCTTGGCTTATACGCAGCCACCATCTTGCTCCTTCCTAACATGGCATAGGGGGAAAGTGAACTCTCTATCATCTCTCCTTATAAAAACACTAATCCTATCAGATCAAGCCTCATTCTTACAATCTCACTTACCCTTACAGGCCCCATTTCCAAAAACAGCCACATTGAAGTTTAGGGCTTCAACATATGAACTTTCAGAGGATCTAAATATTCAGCCCAACATTCCATCCTTGGTCCCCCGTAATTCATACCCTTCTCATATGCAAAATACATGCCTTAAAAGTCTTAACTTGGCTGGTGCGGTGGCTCATGCCTGTAATCCCAGCACTTTGGGAGTCCGAGGTAGGTGAATGACCTGAGATTAGGAGTTAAAGACCAGCCAGGCCAACATGGTGAAATCCTGTCTGTACTAAAAATACAAAAAATTAGCCAGGTGTGGTGGCGGGCACCTGTAATCCCAGCTACTCAGGAGGCTGAAGCAGGAGAATCGCTTGAACCCAGGAGGCAGAGGTTGCAGTGAGTGGAGAATGTGTCATTGCACTCCAGCCTGGGCAACAAGAGTGAAACTCCATCACAAAAAAAAAAAAAAAAAAAAAAGTCTTAACTTATTCAAGCATCAACTCAAACATCTAAAGCCCAAGTCTCATTTAAATATTATCTAACCTGGGTAAAGTGGCTGTCACATGTATTACTAGCTACATGGAGGATGAGATGGGAGGATCTCTTGACCCCAGGAGGTAGACACTGCAGTTAGCTATGATTATGCCACCGCACTACAGAGCAAGACCCCATCTCTAATAAAGGATTAAATAAGTATCATCTAAATCAGATATGGGTGAGACTCAAGGTACTATTCATCTTGAGGAAAAATTCTTCTTCAGCTATGAACTTGTGAAACCAGACAAGCTATATGCTTCAAAAATACAATGGTGGGCTATGCATAGGATAGACATTCCCATTCCAAAAGGGGGAAGTAGGGAAGAAGAATATGATGGCAGGTCCCTAGCAACTCTAAAACCTAGTAAGAAAAACTTCACTAGATCTTAAGGCTGGAGATAAGTGTGTTTGGCTTGATATCCCACCTTCCAGGCCTACTGGGATGGCAATATCATGCCAACAGCTGTTTGGTCTGATCCTGCATGCACCTGTGGCTCTCTGTGAGGGCATTACCCTCTGAAACCAACTAAGAAGCTGTCTTGCCCCTTAGGCTAGTGCTGGTAGTAGCAGCACTCATGATTTCTGAATCACCTTTGGTGTTATTCTTCCCTTTCCTTGAGAATAGTGCACATTTGCAGCTGAACAGCTCTACGTTCCTGCCCAGTAGAATTCAAGAAGTCTGAAAGCCTTCCTTCATTCTGTCTTGTCTTTCTCTGTCCTCAGTTCAAACTGGCAGTGTCTTTGTTGTTATAATTGCATTTCTATTCCTAGCTTCTGCTGAGATTGACGAATACACCCAGGAGGCGCACCCACTATTTCTTTATCAAGTGGTTCTTCAGCCATACCACCCTTCGTGTTCTCTTCAGAACAAGTTTTGTGCAGTATGGACAGGCTAAGAATTTTCCCAATCTCCATCTTCTGAAAACTTTTTCCTTAATAATTCCTTTTTCATTTCTTGCCTCTCATATTTTACTATAAGTAGTAAGGAGGACCTATGCTATATTTTCAATACTTGGCTTTAAAAATCACCTCTGGGCCAGGCACAGTGGCTCACACGTGTAATCCCAGCATTTTGAGAGCCCAAGGCAGGTGGATTGCTTGAGCCCAGGAGTTCGAGACCAGCCTGGGCAACATGGTGAAAACTTGTCTCTACAAACAATAAAATTAGCCAGGCATGGTGGCATGCACCTATAGTCTCAGCTACTCGGGAGGCTGAGGTGTGAGGATCACTTGGGCCTGGGAGGTAAAGGTTGCAGTGAGCTATGATGGTGCCATTGTACTCCAGGCTGGGCGACAGAAAGAGCCCTGTCTCTAAAAAAAGTTTTTTTTTTTTTAAATCACCTCTGCTAAATACCCAATTTCATTGCTTAAAATAGTGGTCCCTAACCTTTTCGGCACCAGGGACCAGTTTCGTGGAAGACAATTTTCCCACAGATGGAGCAAGGTGGGAGGGTGCCATGGTTTCAGAATGAAACTGTTCCACCTCAGATCATCAGGCATTAGTTAGATTCTCATAAGGAGTGTGCAACCTAGATCCCTCCCATGCACTGCTCACAATAGGGTTCACATTCCTCTGAGAATCTAATGTCACTGCTGATCTGACAGGAGGTGGAGATCAGGTGGTAATGCTCACTCAACTGCTGCTTACCTCCTGCTTGTGTGGCCCAGTTCCTAATTATCGGGAAATCTGCCCCCGATAGTCACGTAGGTTCTTTTCTATTTTCTCTAAGCATCAGCCAGGTTGAAAAATAAAGGGACAGAGTACAAAAGAGAGAAATTTTAAAGCTGGGTGTCCGGGGGAGACATCACATGTCGGTAGGTTCCATGATGCCCCCTGAGCTGTAAAACCAGCAAGTTTTTATTAGGGATTTGCAAAAGGGGAGGGAGTGTACGAATAGGGTGTGGGTCACAGAGATCATGTACTTCACAAGGTAATAGAATATCACAAGGCAAATGGAGGCAGGGCAAGATCACAGGACCACAGGACCAGGGTGAATTTAAAATTGCTAATGAAGTTTCGGGCACCATTGTCATTGATAACATCTTACCAGGAGACAAGGTTTGAGAGCAACCAACGGGTCTGACCAAAATTTATTAGGTGGGAATTTCCTCATCCTAATAAGCCTGAGAGCACTATGGGAGACTGGGGCTTATTTCATCCCTACAGTTTTGACCATAGAAGACGGCCACACCCAAGGGGGCCATTTTAGAGGCCCACCCTCAGGGGCGCATTCTCTTTCTCAGGGATGTTCCTTGCTGAGAAAAAGAATTCTGTGATATTTCTCCCATTTGCTTTTGAAAGAAGAGAAATATGGCTCTGTTCCGCCTGGCTCACCGGCAGTCAGAGTTTAAGGTTATCTCTCTTGTTCCCTGAACATTGCTGTTATCCTGTTCTTTTTTCAGGGTGCCCAGATTTCATATTGTTCAAACACACATGCTCTACAATTTTTGCAGTTAATGCAATCATCACAGGGTCCTGAGGCAATATACATCCTTCTCAGCTTATGAGATGACAGGATTAAGAGATTAAAATAAAGACAGGCATAAGAAATCACAAGGGTATTAATTGGGGAAGTGATAAGTATCCATGAAATCTTCACAATTTATGTTCAGAGATTGCAGTAAAGACAGGTGTAAGAAATTATAAAAGTATTAATTTGGGGATCTAATAAATGTCCATGAAATCTTCACAATTTATGTTCTTCTGCCATGGCTTCAGCTGGTTCCTCTGTTTGGGGTCCCTGACTTCCTGCAACACTAATAGGCCATGGGCTCATACCAATCTGCAGCCAGGGGTTGGGGACCCCTGGCTTAAAAATTCTACTTACTGCAAAATACTAGAACATAATTCAAACAAGATTTTTGCCCCTTTATAACAAGGATTGCCACCTGTTCCTCTTTTACATCTGAGAGCTTACCAGAATGGCCTTTAACATACATATTTCTACCATTCTAACATTCTATTCATGATTATTTATGTGTTCTCTTAAAGATAGATGCTTTCTCTCCTGCTCTGCTGTTTTCCCTCTGAGCCCTCACCACAATCATTCATTAAACATATATATTTCTAGGATGCATATCAAAACTTCCAGCCTCTACACTTACCCAGTCCCAAAGTCATTTCCACATTTTAGGTATTTGTACAGGAGAACCCCACACCTTGGATCCAAAATCTATATTAGTCAGGATTCTCCAGAGAAACAAAACCAAAAGGATGTATGTATAAAGATATTTATTATAAGGAATTCACCCATACAATTATGTATTAGTCCCAAGACCTACAGTCAGCAAATTGGAAACCCAGGAGAGACAATAGTTTAAGTCTGAAAGCTGGCAGACTCAAGACCCAAGAAGAGCCAACGTTTCAGTTCAAGTCTGAAGGCAAGAAAAGTCCAGTCTCCCAGCTCAATAGTTAGGCAGGAGTCGTTTCCTCTTACTCACAGTAGGATCAACGTTCTTGTTCTATTCAGGACTTCAACTGATTCACATCCACATTAGGGAGAACAATCTCCTTTACTCAGTCTACTGATTCAAATGTACATTTCATATAAAAACACTCTCAGAGACACACTCAGAATAATGACTGACCAAATACCTGAGCACCCCATGGCCCAGATTAATTGATACACAAAATTAACCATCACAGTTAGCCAATTCCCTTGATTATTCATTTTGGTAAAATGTCATGTAGATTTATTACTGAGAGACAAGAAGACAACACAACTACATGCTTTGCTGTCTGTGCATGAACTGAACAACGACCAATAAAATAAAAAAATCATCACCAGATGACTTTGAAAAAGTAATGTGATGGGTCACTGATCATGCCATGCATCTGTTATTTATAATGATGTGTGGACTGAAGAGCTAGCAGCAAACATTTTACTTTATGCAATTATTCATAATAAATATTCTGTGGTAAATTTAAAGGTTTCTAGGGGATGGATGAGATTTAACTGAAGTATGCTGACTGAAATTTTTGCATACTGGAACCATGCAAAGTGAGAACTTACTGTAATTTGCATACAACAAATTGCACATATTTAAAATGCATAATTAGATCATTTTGTCACACGTATGTATATACTTGTGGAAACCTTAACATAGTAAAGATTATGGATATATCCTTTACCTCCAAAGTTTCCTCTTGCCCTCTCCCACTATTTGTTTGTTTATTTATTTATTTATTTATTTTTTGAGAAAGAGTCTCACTCTGTCATCCAGGCTGGAATGCAGCAGCATGATCTTGGCTCACTGCAACCTCCACTTCCCAGGTTTAAGAGATTCTCCTGCCTCAGCCTCCCAAGTAGCTGGGGTTACACGCACATGCCACCATGCCCAGCTAATTTTTGTATTTTTAGTAGAGATGGGGTTTCAGCATGTTGCTTAGGCTGGTCTCAAACTCCTGACCTCAACTAATCCACCTGCCTCAGCCTCCCAAAGTGCTGGGATTACAGGTGTGAGCCACTGCCTTCAGCCCCTCTTGCTCCTTTATAGTGCTTCCCCCCACTCTTCCATGTTACCCAACTCCATGGATCCCAGGCAATGACTGATTTGCTTTCAATCACAATAGATTACTTTGCATTTTTGGAAGTTCATATAAATAAGATCATATACTATGTATTCTTTTTTGTCTGGCTTCTTCCATTCAGTATAATTTTCAGATTCACTCATTGTTTGCATGTTTAAATTGTTCGTTCTCTTTTATTGCTAAATTGTATTTCATTATACAGATATCAGGTTTTATTTACCTACTCTTGGGTTAATATTTAGATTTTTTTCTACCTTTTAGCTATTACAAATCATGTTGCTATGAACGTTTATATAAGAAATTTTACACAGACTTATGTCATTACATCTCCTGGGTATATACCAAGGAGTGGAATAGCTGGATCATATGGTAGGTATGTATTCAATTTTTTTAAAAAACTGCCAAACTGTTTACCAAAGTGGCTATAACATTTTACATTCCCACCAACAGTGAATAAGTACTCCACATATCCCACATCCCTAGCCAAAATGAGGGGGTAGTTTGTTTTTTAAATTTTAGTCATTCTAATAGGTGTGTGGTGTTATCTGGTTGTGATATTAATTTGCATTTCTCTAATTACTAATGATGTTGAGCATTTTTATATGTTTATTTGCCACCCTTTTATATTTTTTGGTGAAATGTCTGTTCAACTCGTTGGCCATTTTAAAAACTGTGTTATATGTTTTCTTATTATTGAGTTTTGGAAGTTCTTTATACATTTTGGATACAAGGCCTATACAGCTCACCATAATGTAGAATGAGGGGAGCCCTGAGCTTGTTTTCCTGCAACTAGATGGTCCCATCTGGGGGTGATGGGAGACACTGACAGATCATCAGGCATTAGATTCTCATAAGAAGTGCACAACCTAGATCCCTCACATACACAGTTCACAATAGGGTTTGTGTTCCTGTGAGAATCTAATGCTACCACTGATCTGACAGGAGGTGGAGCTCAGGCAGTAGTATGAGTGTTGGGGAGTGGCTGTAAATACAGATGAAGCTTCTCTTGCCCACCACTCACCTCCTGCTGTGTGGCCCAGTTCCTAACAGGTCACAGACCACAACTGGTACCAGTCCATGGCCCAGGGGTTGGGGACCCCTGCTGTAGGTCATATGTCTTTTTTTTCCTCAAGCTGCTTTCAAGATTTTCTCTTATTACTATTTGTGAACAATTTGATGGTGACCTACACTGACGTAGTTTTCTTCATGTTTCTTGGTTTTTGGTTTGAGTTTCTTCAGTTTCTGGGTTTAAAGCTATCATCAAATTTGGAAAAACTCAGCTATGATTTTTTTCTGCCTTCCCTTCCTTAAAGGGGTCCCATTACAAATATATTATGCTATATTTATAGTTGAATACAAGTGATGCACATCTGTTATTTATGAAGGTGTCCCACAGCTTAGTGCTGTTCTATTCATTTTTTAATAATTAATTCTTCTCTTTATGCCTTCCTTTGAATGTTTTCTATTGTAATTTCTTCAAATTCACCAATCTTTTTCTTCTACAAGATATGTCCTCTAGTTAATCCCATCTCTTGTGTTTTCCATCTCAGACATTATAGTTATCAGCACCAGAAGTTTGTTTTGGATTTCTTCTATATTATTCATTTTTTTACTTAACATGTTTGATCTTTTCTCCAGCTTTATCTTACATACAGAATACACTTATAAGAAGTTTTGGTATCCTTATCCATCAATTTTACAATTTTAGTCTTTTTTTTTTTTTGCTTGTTTCCATGCCTGCTAGTTTTTTTTACTGGGTGTCATATATTGTGAATTTTATCTTGTGAGGTGCTGAACATGTTTGTATTACTATAAAGATTCCTGGGCTTTTTTTCTGGGTTGCAGTTAAATTGGAAACGATTTAATCCTTTCAGGTCTTGCTTTTAAGATATGTCAGACAGAACCACAGGACCATTTAAGTTTAGGGCTAAGGATTCCACACTATTGATGCAAGATCTTTTAAAACATTGTACCCAATGCCCCATAAATAGTGAGGTTTTCTAGTCTGGTAGGTGGCAAAAGGCACTATTCCTATTCCTGTGAGAACTGCGTACAGTCTTCCCTCTTCTAAACCTTTTCAGTGGTTCTTTTCCTAGCCTTGGGTAGCTCCCTCATATTCATATACTGATTAGTACTCTACTGTAAACATGACAAGGATCTTCTGCAGATCTCTGGAGTTCTTGTAGTGACTCTCACCACTTCAGTACTGCACCCTGTGATATCTAGTGACCTTGGTCTCTACAGACTATCATCAATGTCTCCTCAAGTCATGAGTCTTTGAGTGCTTACCTCTGTTCCTCTTTTGTGTGACAGAGCCTGGAAAGTCTCTCACAGCAGTAAGCTGAGACCATAATAGGGCCAACCTTGTTTGATTAATGTCTCTCAGCAAACAATGTCCTTTGTTGCCCAATGCCCAATGTCTTAAAAACCACTTGTTTCACATATTCCTATTATTTCAGGCAGCAGGTTAAATTTTGTCCAGTTACTCCATCTCATCTAGAAATATAAGATCCTATTCGTTTATTTTTAATTGATAAAAATTCCTTTTATTAACTAGCCTTAAAATTCCTTAAAAAAACATTGTGATTATAATCTCCAGCACATAATGTTATCAAGATACTTTCTTTCCTCACTTATGTGGGGAATCATATATCCAAGAATTGCAATGCACTTATTTTACCATTACTCTTACATTGTGAATATAGAAAAAAATAGAAATGGGTTGGTACAGTATTATGGCCATCTTAAAAACAAGTAATGAGATGGCTATAGAGCCTTCTGATTATTACAAACCTCATTTCAATCAAGGGGAGTTAATAGTAGGAGAAAAAGTTTCTCTCTTTTTCAAGGACCAGAACTGATTTTATTTTATGAGGAAAAGTATGTGCTTTATGTTTTTTCTCATCCCGGCTCTCTCCTTAGTGTTAGTGAAAAAACCTTGTATATTCTCATAATCACTTTTCTGCCAATCTTAATCTTTGGCAGTAGTGTAGGTTTTCATTTATTATGTTTTCAAGAGTACATTCATGGGGTCAACTATGTCAGGATTGGTAGGAAGATATAATTTTTTGAGGTTTTAAAACATTATTGAAATATAATTCATTTACCATAAAACTTACCCCTTTGAAATATATAATTTAGTGCTTTTTAGTCACAAATTTGTACAACCATCACTACAGATTTTCATCACCCACAAAAGTTACCCCACACCCATTACCCATCACTACTGACTCCCCTCTTCCCCCAGTTTCTGAAAAATATGTGGACTTTGCCTATTCCACATATTTTATATAAATGGAGCCATAAAATATGTGGTCTTTTGTGACTAGCTCCTTTCACATAGCATAAGTTTTCAGGGTTGATCCATATTGTAGCATTTATTGGTACCTCATTCTGCTTCATTGCTGAATAATATTTCATTATATGAATAGATCACATTTTATTTTTCCATTCATCTATTAGTGAATAAATTGTTTCAAATTTTGAGCTATTATGAATAATACTGCTATAAACATTCATATACACGTTTTTTGTGTGAAAATGTATTTATTCCACTCTTTTGGGTATATACCTAGAAGTAAAATTGCTGAGTCATATAATAACTATAATTTTCTCAGGAACTGACAGACTGCTTTCCAAACTGGCTATACAATTTTACTTTCTCCCCAGCAATGTACAGGGATGCTAATTTCTCTCCATCTTTACCATCACTTGTTACTCTCTTTTTTTTTTTTTTTGAGATGGAGTTTTGCTCTTGTTGCCCAGGCTGGAGTGCAATGGCATGGTCTTGGCTCACTGCAACCTCCACCTCCCGGATTCAAGTGATTCTCCTGCCTCACCCTCCCATATAGCTGAGATTATAGGCGCGTGCCACAACACCTGGCTAATTTTGTATTTTTTAATAGAGACAGGGTTTCATCATGTTGGCCAGGCTAGTCTCAAACTCCTAACCTCAGGTGATCCACCCACCTCGGCCTCCTAAAGTGCTGAGATTACAGGCGTGAGCCACCGCGCCTGGCCACTGTCTATCATTTTGATTACAGCCAATCTAGTGGGCACAAAGTGGCATCTCATTGTGGTTCTGATTTGCGTTTCCCTATAATTAATGATGTTGAGCATGCAAGAAATATTTTTTTTTGAGACAGTATCTTGCTCTATTGCCCAAAGGCTTCATGCATTGTTGAGTGGTATAAACACGATTTACTAACAGCCCTAACCTCCTGGGTCAAGTGATCCTCCTGCCTCGGCCTCCCAAGAAGTTGGAACTACAGGTGTGTGGTACCATGCCTGGCTAATTTTTTTGGTTTTTGTAGAGATGGGGTCTCACTCTGTAGCCCAGGCTGGTCTCAAACTCCTAGGCTCAAGCAATTCTCCTATCTTGGCCTCCTAAAGTGCTGGAATTACAGGCATGAGCCACTGTGCCTGACCCAAATGTCCTTTTTTATTTTTATTTTTATTTTTTTTTTGAGGTGGAGTCTCACTCTGTCACACAGGCTGGAGTGCAGGGGTGCCATCTCAACTCACTGCAACCTCTTCCTCCTGGGTTCAAGTGATTCTCCTGCCTCAGCCTCCCAAGTAACTGGGATTACAGGCGCACGCCACCATACTTGGCTAATTTTTTTATACTTTTTGGTAGAGACAGGGTTTCACCATGTTGGCCAGGCTAGTCTTGACTCCTGACCTCAAGTGATCCACCCGCCTTGGCCTCCCAAAGTGCTGGGATTATAGGCGTGAGCCACCACACCTGGCACCAAGTGTCCTTTTTAATTAACCTCCCACAGCACCTTTTTATTAAAAATTCTGTAAGAATTTTACCTAACAAATATTCAATAAACACGTGATATTACTATTCTTTTTAAAAAATCATTTCTACAACATTTATTCTATTAAAGTATTTTGGAATTTGTTCAAATGTATACCCAACCTCACATATGCAGCTGACCCAGATATTCTATAATTCTTTCAATAGAATATATCAAAGAAAAAGAGTTGGAAAGAATCGTATAGTATAGGTTTTGTGTTACCTAGTACCTCTAAACAAAACTTGAGATAGTCTTTGCTCGGCACCCTAGAAATCAAAACAACTTGAAATTGAATTTTACAAGTGAAAAAGATCCTAAAGAAAACCTGGATCTTCTGGCTTATATGATACGTGATGTAATTACACATAAGGTTCAGTGACTTCTAAAATCATTTAGCTAATTATTGACATGGTTGTCACTAAAATCTAGATATGCTGACTTCTATATTAGTGTTCCTTCTAATGGAATTATTGACAAACTCAAATAATAAAAGATTTAACATGAAACAATGGCAAGGGCAATGGACTAGTAATCAGAAAATGTGCTTGTATCTTACAATATTTGGTTGAGCCTATAGAATACTAATTTAACCTCTGTACCATATCTTCATCAAATAGGAAATTCTACTAGATAATCTCAAATTCTTCCACATTTAAAAGATTCACTGGAATATAAAAAAGCATTAAGTAGACTTGGAAGTTAACCCCCAAAAAAGAGTACAGGAGCTTTAAACAACAATAAGCCAAAATCTTAGTGGAATTTTTCCTGTTATAATAGTGGGAATGCAATCAGAAATATATTCTATCAACAAGAGCAGCTTGGACTAACATAGGCAGGAAAAGAACTCAACTCTCATTACATGTTGTAATATATTGATCAATAAAAAGATAGCCGTTTCCCAACTGCACGGAGTAATATTCTGAGGAAACCAGAATGAGAAGCCTGCCAAAGATTCCACCATAGCCTCTTTTCTTTGTTATATCTACAGAGTTTATAACTCCCAGCATGTAACACATAAAGAAGCAGGAGCACAGGGTTGAAATATATATGTTGGTAGTAGACAAAGGATGGAAAGATAGGCTTGAATATATCACATATTATCAAAGCATTGTGAACTGAGATCTGACTAATTTAGACAGAGAATCCAAGACAAAAAAACCCCAAGAAGGGCCAACAAGATCCATTTAAGATAAATGTCAACAAGTATTGCAGAGAGAGGTAGAAACCTGCCTTCTAAGGTAGCACTAAGAGCACAATTTGCTAGCAGTTTAATATGAAAGTGAGGAAGTATAAGTTTTCTTCTTCAATGCTCTCTATTGAAAAAAATGCCAGAAGAACTTACTAAGTATGTAGGAAAAAAAGAAAGAAAAGAAAAGAAGAGTGTTTTGAAAAGAAACTACAGGCCGGGCATGGTGGCTCACACCTGTAATTCCTGCACTTTGGGAGGTGGATCACTTGAGCTCAGGGCTTCAAGACCAGCCTGGGCAACATGGTGAAACCCCATCTCCACAAAAAAATACAAAAATTAGCTGGGCATGGTGATGCATGCCTGTAACTTGGGAGGCTGAGGCAGGAGAATCGCTTGAGCCTGGGAGGCGGAAGCTATAGTGAGCAGAGATAAAAGGTAAAAAGACATGTAAAATAGCATATATTCTGTAAATAGTTTCCTCTGAGGAAAATATAAACATTTATTTTTCATGTGCTTGGTTATTTCAAAGAAGATGCAACAGGAAAGTCAAAGAGAGGAATTAAAATAAAATGATAACATGAATTCAAAGGCAATTAGTACAGTGTAAGGAATTGGCTAATGGAAAATAACAAAATAACTTAAACAAACATGCACTATAGTCACATTAAAAGTGAAGAAAGAGGCTGAGGCAGGTGAATTACCTGAGGTCAGGAGTTTGAGACCAGCCTGGCAAACATGGCAAAACCCTGTCTCTGCTAAAAATACAAAAATCTCTGTTTTTATTTTCTTGGAAACATCTTTATTTCACCTTCATTTCTGAAAGCTAATTTTGTGGTATATAGTATTCTTTGTTGTCAGTTCCCTCCATAAACCCACCTCCAGGACTTTAAATATGCCATTGTATCGTCTTCTGGAGATCACTGTTTCTGAAAACAGCTGATTTTTCTTGCTTCTTTCAAGAGTTTCTTTTTGACTTTAGCTGTCAGCACTTTCACGATAATGTTTCCAGGTGTGGTCCTTTAGTGTTTTTCCTTTATGGGATTTGTTGAGCTTCTTGAATCTCAAGTTTCTACCAAAACTGGGAGGTGTTCATTAATTATTTCTTCAATTATTTTTTCTCCCCCCTCACCCTCATACTGGGATGCCCATTACATGTATACTGGTTACCTGACATTGCATTGGATAATTTCTAATGATCTCATTGGGTAATTTTTAATGATCTTCAAGTTTACTGAGTGTTTCAATTTGCTGCTAAGTCCATCAAGTAAATTTTTCATTTCAGTTATCTTACTTTTAAGCTCTAGAATTTCTATTTGGTTCCGTTTCTATAGATTCTATCTATCTATTTAGAGTCCCCCTTTATGTTGAGTCACTGCTATTATGTTTCCCATTACTTCTTTGAATGTAAGTTTTTAAAAATTTTCAACATATTTTTAATAGCTGTGTTGAGGTCCTTTGCAAAATCTAACATCTGGGCCCACTCAGATTCAATTTCTAGTGATAGTTTTATTTCCAGAGCATGTCTCATCTTTGCATATCTAGTAGTTTTGACTTTTAGAGAGCATGTAGCAACTCTAAATTCTGTTGTATTTTCCTGAAAGTTTTGTTTATTTATTTTTAGTAACTTGCCTGGACTTAAAGTTCAGAATTTGTCTCTCATGCAGTGTGTAGCTACTGATGTCTCTGATTATTCTTTTAAAAATTAATATACTTTTTAAAGCAATTGTAGTTTTACAAAAAAATAAGTTGCAAGTACAGAGAGTTCCCATATAAACCCTCAAATCTCTTCCCCAGTTATTAATATCTTGAATTACTGTGGTACACTGGCCACAACCAATGAGCCAATACTGACACATTATTAACTAAAGTTACAGATTACATTGGGGGTATGTTTTCTGTTGCTTTGCATGAGTTCTGACAGATGTATAATGACATGTATCTACCATTATTGTATCATACAGGATAGTTTCACGATTCTAAAAATTTTGTGTTACACCCATTTATCCCTCTCTCTCTACTTCACCCTGAACCCCTTGACGACCACTGCTCTTTTTATTGTCTCCATAGATTTACCTTTTGCAGAATGTCATATAGTTGGAATTAAACAGTATGTAACCTTTTCAGATTGGATTCTTTCACTTGGCAATACGTGTTTAAGGTTTCTCCATGTCTTTTCATTTCTTAATAGGTCATTTCTTCTTAGTACTGAATAATATTCCATTGTCTGGATGTAACACTCTCATTTTAATTAACAATTCCCTAATGGCATACGATGCTGAGCATCTTTTCATATGCTTATTTGCCATACGTATCTTTTCTTTATATGTTTAGATCCTTTGCTCATTTTTTAATCAGGTTGTCTGTTTTCTTATTTTTGAATTTAAATAGTACTCTGCATGTTTGAATAACAGTCATCAGATACGTATTTTGCAAATATTTTCTCCCACTCTGTGGCTTGTTTTTTCATTCTCTTAATGGTGTCTTTTGCAGAGAAGTTTTAAATTTTAATCTTGTACAACTTACCAATTTTTTTCTTTTATGGAGTATATGCTTTTGGTATTGTATCTAAAAATTCCCTGCAAACTCTAGGTCACTTAGACGTTCTCCAGTGTTATCATCCAGGAGTTTTACAGTTTTGCAGTTTTACATTTAGGTCTATCCATGCTTAATTAATTTTTCTGAAAGCTGTAAGTCCTATGTTTATATTCTTTCTTTTTTTGCATGTAGATGTCCAGTTCCAGAACCATTTATTGAAAGGACTATCCTTTCTACATTAAATTGTCTTTGCTCTTTTGTCAAAGATCCATTGACTATTCTTTGCGTAGGTCTATTTCTGTGTTCTGTATCAATTTGTTCTTTTATCAGTACCACACCGTGTTGATTACTGTAGCTTTACAGTAAGCCATGAAATTGGGGAGTGTCATCCTCTAACCTTGTTCTTCAATATCGTCTTGGCTTTTCTGCATCTTTTGTCTTTACGTATAAACTTCAGAATCAGCTTGTTGATGTCCCAAAAATAATTGGCAATGACTTTGATTGAGATTCTGTTAAATCTATAAATCAAGTTGGAAAGTGCTGACATCTTGACATAATAGACTCTTCCTATCCATGTACATGGAATATCTCACAATTTACTTAGATCTTTGATTTCTTTTGTCAGAGTTTTATAGTTTTCCTCATATAGTTCTGGTACATACTTTGTCAGATTTATATCTAAGTACTTCTAGGGTTTGGTGGTAATGTAAAAGGTATTGTTTCTTTAATGTCAAATTCAAATTGCTCATTGCTGGAATATAAGAAAGCAACTGGATTTTGTATATTCACTTCGTATCGTGCAGCTTTGATACAAGTATTTATTAGTTCCAGATTTTTTGGTTGATTCTTTAAATCTGCAAACAAAGACAGTTTCATTTCTTCTTTCCCAATCTGCAGGCATTTTGTTTCTTTTTCTTGTCTTATTGAATTAAATAGGCACTTCAGTATGACACCGAATGGGAGCGGTGAAAGTGGACATCTCTGCCCTGTTTCTGATCTTAGTGGGAAAGCATCTATTCTCTCACTATTAAGTATTTCAGAGGTAGTTTCTCTGTTGATGTCTTTTATCAACTTGAGGGAGTTCCCTTCTATTCTCAGTTTGAAAAAGATTTTTGTCATAAATGGGTGTTGGACTTTGTCAAATTGTTTTTATGCATCTATTGATAGGATCATATGATTTCTTTAGCCAGTTGATGTCATGAATTTCATTAACTGATCTTTGCTAAACCAACCTTGCATAACTGGAATAAATACCAGTTGGTCATGGTATATAATTGTTTTTGTGCACTGTGGGATTTGATTTGCTAATATTTAGTAGAAAAAAAACATTTTTTCTGCGACTGGGTCTCGCTGTGTCACCCAGACTGGAGTGCAGTGGCACAGTCATGGTTCACTGCAACCTTGATCTCCTGAGTTCAAGAGATCCTCTCACCTAGGCCTCATGAGTATGCAGAACCACAAGCGTGTACCACCATGCCCAGCTAAATTTTATTTTTATTTTATTTATTTATACTTTTTTGGAGACAGAGTCTTGCTCTGTTGCCCAGGATGGAGTGCAGTGGTGCAATCTCAGCTCACTGCAACCTCTGCCTCCCAGGTTCAAGAGATTCTTGTGCCTCAGCCTCCCAAGTAGCTGGGACTACAGGCACGCACCACTGAAGTCTGGATAATTCTTTGTATTTTAGTAGAGATGGAGTTTTACCATGTTGCCCAGGCTGGTCTTGAACTCCTGAGCTTAGGCAATGCACTCACTTTGGCCTCCCAAAGTGGTCTGATTACAGGCGTGAACCACTGCACCTAGCTAAATTTTATTTGTATTGAACAGATGGGGTCTCCCTATGTTGCCTGGGCTGGTCTTGAACTCCTGGGATCAAGCAATCCTCCCGCCTCGACCTCCCAAAGTACTGGGATTACAGGTATTAGCCATTGTGGCTGGCCTTAGCTGAAGATTTTTGCACCTATACTCATGAGAGATTTTGATCTGTACTTTCCCTTTCTTGTAATGTCTTTGTCTAGTCTAGTTTGGGTACTAGAATAATTCCAGCTTGACATAATGTGTTAGGAAGCATTCCCTTTGTTTCTATTTTCTGGAAGAGATTGTAGAGAATTTGTATAATTTCTTCCGTGAATGTTTCTGTTCCGTTTCTTTATTCCTACTATTATTTTGTAATCTGGCTTCCTAGAAGTTGCCTGTTTCAACATTACTCAGGGGTCAGCCAACGGTTGTGGCTCAATCAGCCTCAAGGTTGTGCTCAAATATCTTGAGCCAGTAAGATTTCTACCACTTGCCAATTATCTGTGTGTGGGTTGCAGAACCTACTAAAAGTTTGAGCCAAATATTTAGTGTCCTTTGTCTTTTTACTTTTTGCCAGATGCTCTTGGGTATTCTTTGAACATGTGTAGTTTGCTAGTTAGCAAGGGATGTGTGGAGAGCCCCTATACAGATCTCATTTCCAGGTCTCCCAAGTGGAACTAACTTTTGGTTAACAAAACTGGGGGTTTTCCCCACCACTTTAAAACTAATTTGACAATTTTAGCTGGCAAAGACACAAATTTTTATTCTCCACTTCTGAGTATTCCTCTGACATCAAATGTCATAGTATCCATGACCACTCAAAAGCTGGTAAAACTACCATTCTTGTCCACTAAGTTCCCTGGCGTAGGGGTATAGGAACAGCTCCAGACAAGAAGGCCACAGACTCTCACTATTCATACCCAAAACTGCAACAGTTTTTCAAGAATTAATGTTTCTCAATGTGTTGTCTGCTTTGGGTTGATTTCCAGGGCACAGAAGTTGTTGTTTCTGACAAATTTATCCACTTTTATACTTATTTTTTTGTGAAGAGAAGTCATTAACTATTTCCATTTACCATAACTGGAAGTCCTCTATTCATTAAAGTATCATAATTTCATGTATTACTTTTTCATTGAGGTAAAATAAATATAACATCAATTTACTATTTTAACCATTTTGAAGTGTACAATTCAGTGGAATTAAGCACATTCATAATTTTGTGCAACCACCATAATTTTCCATTTCCAGAACTTTTTCATCATGCCAAACAGAAACTCTATACCCATTAAACAATAACTCCCCATTCATTTCTCCCCATAGTATTTGGTAAGCTCTATTCTACTTTGTCTCTATTAATTTGCCTCTATGAGGTATCATATATATCACAAATAAGTGAAATTATACATCTGTCCTTTCATTTTTGGCTTATTTCACTTAGCATAATGTTTTGGAGAGTCAACCATCTTGTACCATGAATCAGTACTTCATTCCTTCTTACAGATAAATAATATTCCACTGTATAGATACATAACATTTTGTTTATCCTTTCTTCATTTAAAAGAATTTGGGTTGTTTCCATCTTTTGGCCATTATGATGCTGCATGAACATTAATCTGTGACTTCTTCTGTAGACATATGTTTTCATTTCTCTTGAGCATATACCTAGTTGTAGATGTGATGTATTTAATGGTAACTCTATGTTTAACTTTTTAAGGAACTGCCAAACTGTGAAAAGCAACTACACATTTTTCTCTCCCATAAGCAGTGTACAAGGGTTCCAATTACTCCACATCCTCATCAATATATATATATTTTTTGAGACAGAGTCTCACTCTGTTGCCCAGGCTGGCACAATTTCAGCTCACTGCAACCTCCACCTTCCATGTTCAAACAATTCTCCTGCCTCAGCCTCCTGAGTAGCTGGGATTAGTCGTGCACCTCCATGCCCAGCTAATTTTTATATTTTTAGCAGACATGGGGTTTTACCATGTTGGTCAGGCTGGTCTTGAATTCCTGACCTCAAGTAATCCACCCACCTCGGCCTCCCAAAGTGCTAGGATTACAGGCATGAGCCACTGAGCCTGGGGCCACTAATATTTTTATTTTAAAAATAGCATTATTAAAGTATAATTGATATACAAAATACACATATGTACAGTCTACAATTTGATAAATTTTGACTTATGAATATACTTGTGAAACAATACCATAATCAACATAGTGAATATATCCATCACTCCAAAAAGTTTTTTCATCCCTTTTGTAATCCTCTTTCCCTCCCTACTCCCCTTCTTCCTGTCCCCAGGCAACTAACAATCTATTTCTTGCCACTAGAGATTTGTCTATTTTGTTTAGAGTTTTATATAAATGAAATCATATAGTATGTATTCCCTTTTTGTGTGGGTTGCTTCACTTAGAAAAATTACTTTGAGCTTCAGCCATATTGTAATGTGTGAATAGTTCATCTTTCTATATGGCTGAGTAGTATTCCATTGTATGGATATACTACAGTTTCTTTATTCATTAACCTGTTGGTGGACATTTCAGATGTTTCCAATTTGGGGGCTATTACAAATAAAGCTGTTAGGTATATTCTAGTTCAAGAGTCTGTATGCCCATATCCTCTTTTTTTCTTGGGCAAATTCCCAAGAAAAGAGTGAATGAATCATGTGGTTGGGTTTTGTTTAGCTTTTTAAGCTTTTTAAAGCCAAACTGTTTTCCTAAGTAGTTTTACAATTTTATATTCCCACACATAGGGTTCTAATTCCTCTATAACCATGTCAAAACCCAGTGCAATCAGTTTTAAAAGTTTTATTTCATCTATTTGATGTGTAGTGATATCTCAATGTGTGAGTGTATGTTTGTATGTGTGTTTTATTGTGTAAATTCCCATAATATAAAATTAACCATTTTAAAAGGAACAATTCAGTGGCATTTAGTACATTCACAATGTTGTAAAACCATCATCTTTTTTTTTTTTAATTGAGACAAGGTCTCAGTATATTACTAAGGTTGGTCTCGAACTCTTGCGCTCAAGCGATACTCCTGTCTCCACCTCCCAAAGTGCTGGGACTACAGGAGTAAGCCACCATGCCTGGCCAACAATCTTATCTAATTGCAATACATTTTCATTACTCCCTGACCACCCCCCACCCAAAATAACCCATGCCCATGAGACAGGTATTCCCTTATTTCCTCTTTCCCCTGGCCACTGGCAACCACCAATCGACTGTCTGTCTCTGGATTTACCTATTCTGGATATTGCATACAAATGGAATCATACAACATGTGGCCTTGTGTATTTGGTTGCTTTCACTTGGCATGTTATCAAGGCTCATCTGCACTGTAGCATGCACCACTATTCCTTTTTGTTGGCCAAAAATAATATTCCATTGGATAGATTATACCACAATTTGCTTATTGATCTGTTGATGGACATTTAGTTCTTTCCACCTTTTGGCAATTGTATATAGTACTACTATAAACATTCATGCACAAGTATTTGTTTGGGTATCTGTTTTTAATTATTTAAGGTATATACCTAAATGTAGAATTGTTTGGTTATATGGTATTTCTATGTTTAGCTTTTTCATGTACTGCCAAACTGTTTTCCACACAGTGGCTGAACCACTTTACATACCTGCCAGCACCATATGAGAGGTTCCAATATTTCCACATTCTCACTGGTTCTTGTTTTTTACTTTTGTTTGTTTGTTTCGCTTTGTTTTGTTTTTGAGATGAAGGCTTGCTGTAGCCCAGGCTGGAGTGCAATGGCGTGATCTCTGCTCACTGCAATCTCTGCTTCCCGGGCTCAAGTGATTCTCCTGCCTCAGCCTCCCGAGTAGCTGAGATTACAGGTGCCCACCACCATGCCCGGCTAATTTTTTTTTTTTGTATTTTTAGTAGACATGGGGTTTCACCATGTTGGCCAGGCTGGCTTTGAACTCCTGACCTCAAATGATCCACCTGCCTCAGCCTCCCAAAGTGCTGGGATTACCGGAGTGAGCCACTGCGCCCAGCCCTTACTTTCGGTTTTTAAACAGCCATCCTAGTGGTTGTGAATTAGTATCTTATTGTCATTTTGATTTTCATTTCCCTGATGGCTAATGATGTTGAACATAATTTCATGTGCTTATAAACCATTTATATACCTTCTTTAGATAAATATGTATTTTGATTCTTTGTCCATTTTTTAAAATGAGCTTTTTATTGAATTGTAAGTGGTATTTATATATTCAAGATACAAGTTTCTTATTAAATGTATGATTTGCAAATATTTCTCCCATTCTGTTGGTGGTCTTTTACCTTTTTGATGGTGACCCTAGGACAAAAGTTTTAACATTGGCAAAGTCTAATTTATCTAATTTTCTTTTGTTGTTGTTTTTTTTTTCTTTTTTTTCTTTTTTTTTTTGAGACAGAGTCTCACTGTCGGCCAGGCTGGAGTGCAGTGGCATGATCTCAGCTCACTGCAACCTCCGCCTCCCAGGCTCAAGCAATTCTCCTGCCTCAGCCTCCCAAGTAGCTGGGATTACAGGTGTGTGCCACCACGCCCAGCTAATTTTTTGTGTTTTTAGTAGAGATGCAGTTTCACTATGTTGGTCAGGCTGGTCTCAAACTCCTGACCTCAGGTGATCCTCCCGCCTTGGCCTCCCAAAGTGCTGGGATTACAGGTGTAAGCCACCACGCACAGCCTGTTGCTAATGTTTTTTTTTTTTCTTTTTTGAGATGGAGTCACACTCTGTCACCCAGGCTGGAATGCAATGGCGTGGTCTGGTTTTGGCTCACTGCAACCTCTGCCTCCTGGGTTCAAGCGATTCTCCTGCCTCAGCCTCCCGAGCAGCTGGTATTACAGGCACATGCCACCACGTCGGCTAATTTTTGTATTTTTGGTAGAGACGGGGTTTCACTATGTTGGCCAGGCTGGTCTTGAACTCCTGACCTCGTGATCTGCTTGCCTTGGCCTCCAAAAATGCTGGGATTACAGGTGTGAGCCACCGGGCCCGGCTGCCTGTTGCTAACTTTTAAGAAACTGTCAAACCATTTTCTTTTTTTTTTTTTTTTTTTTTTTTTTTTTTTTAATTATACTCTAAGTTTTAGGGTACATGTGCACATTGTGCAGGTTAGTTACATATGTATACATGTGCCATGCTGGTGCGCTGCACCCACTAACGTGTCATCTAGCATTAGGTATATCTCCCAATGCTATCCCTCCCCCCTCCCCCGACCCCACCACAGTCCCCAGAGTGTGATATTCCCCTTCCTGTGTCCATGTGATCTCATTGTTCAATTCCCACCTATGAGTGAGAATATGCGGTGTTTGGTTTTTTGTTCTTGCGATAGTTTACTGAGAATGATGGTTTCCAATTTCATCCATGTCCCTACAAAGGACATGAACTCATCATTTTTTATGGCTGCATAGTATTCCATGGTGTATATGTGCCACATTTTCTTAATCCAGTCTATCATTGTTGGACATTTGGGTTGGTTCCAAGTCTTTGCTATTGTGAATAGTGCCGCAATAAACATACGTGTGCATGTGTCTTTATAGCAGCATGATTT
Source organism: Homo sapiens (assembly GCF_000001405.40). NCBI lineage: Eukaryota > Metazoa > Chordata > Mammalia > Primates > Hominidae > Homo > Homo sapiens. The sequence goes on from NC_000002.12 coordinate 159,664,370, forward strand.
ATAGTCCTTTGGGTATATACCCAGTAATGGGATGGCTGGGTCAAATGGTATTTCTAGTTCTAGATCCCTGAGGAATCGCCACACTGACTTCCACAATGGTTGAACTAGTTTACAGTCCCACCAACAGTGTAAAAGTGTTCCTATTTCTCCACATCCTCTCCAGCACCTGTTGTTTCCTGACTTTTTAATGACTGCCATTCTAACTGGTGTGAGATGATATCTCATAGTGGTTTTGATTTGCATTTCTCTGATGGCCAGTGATGATGAGCATTTCTTCATGTGTTTTTTGGCTGCATAAATGTCTTCTTTTGAGAAGTGTCTGTTCATGTCCTTCGCCCACTTTTTGATGGGGTTGTTTGTTTTTTTCTTGTAAATTTGTTTGAGTTCATTGTAGATTCTGGATATTAGCCCTTTGTCAGATGAGTAGGTTGCGAAAATTTTCTCCCATTTTGTAGGTTGCCTGTTCACTCTGATGGTAGTTTCTTTTGCTGTGCAGAAGCTCTTTAGTTTAATTAGATCCCATTTGTCAATTTTGGCTTTTGTTGCCATTGCTTTTGGTGTTTTGGACATGAAGTCCTTGCCCCATCGTCTCAGCCCAAAATCTCCTTAAGCTGATAAGCAACTTCAGCAAAGTCTCAGGATACAAAATCAATGTACAAAAATCACAAGCATTCTTATACACCAACAACAGACAAACAGAGAGCCAAATCATGGGTGAACTCCCATTCACAATTGCTTCAAAGAGAATAAAATACCTAGGAATCCAACTTACAAGGGATGTGAAGGACCTCTTCAAGGAGAACTACAAACCACTGCTCAAGGAAATAAAAGAGGACACAAACAAATGGAAGAACATTCCATGCTCATGGGTAGGAAGAATCAATATCGTGAAAATGGCCATACTGCCCAAGGTAATTTACAGATTCAATGCCATCCCCATCAAGCTACCAATGACTTTCTTCACAGAATTGGAAAAAACTACTTTAAAGTTCATATGGAACCAAAAAAGAGCCCACATCACCAAGTCAATCCTAAGCCAAAAGAACAAAGCTGGAGGCATCACACTACCTGACTTCAAACTATACTACAAGGCTACAGTAACCAAAACAGCATGGTACTGGTACCAAAACAGAGATATAGATCAATGGAACAGAACAGAGCCCTCAGAAATAACGCCGCATATCTACAACTATCTGATCTTTGACAAACCTGAGAAAAACAAGCAATGGGGAAAGGATTCCCTATTTAATAAATGGTGCTGGGAAAACTGGCTAGCCATATGTAGAAAGCTGAAACTGGATCCCTTCCTTACACCTTATACAAAAATCAATTCAAGATGGATTAAAGATTTAAACGTTAGACCTAAAACCATAAAAACCCTAGAAGAAAACCTAGGCATTACCATTCAGGACATAGGCGTGTCAAACCATTTTCTAAGGTGGATTCCATTTTACACGTCCACCATCAGTGTTTGCAAATTCTAGTTGGTGCACATCCTAAACAGCATCCCATATGGACATCTTTTTTAGTTTTAACAATTGTAATGTGTGTGAAATGGGTGTCTTTGGTTTTAATTTGCATTTCCCTGTTGACTAATGATGTTGGGCATATTTTCATGTGGTTATTTTCACATTCATGTATCCTTTTATGATGTACCTAGGCAAAACTTTTGTTCATTTGTTAAATGGGTCACGTTCTTCTTGTTATTGAGTTGTAAAAGTTCTGTTAATATCCTGCAAGCAAGTCCCAGTCCTTTGATATATATTTACAATATTGTTCCTCCATGCATGCACTGCATTTTCATTTTATTAAGTGTGTTTTCAAAGAGCAAAAGTTTTAAATTTTGATCTTTAAAAAAAGGCCAATTTATTATATTTTTTTATGATTCTTTTTTTTTTTTTTTTTTTTGAGACAGGGTCTCGCTCTGTCGCCCAGGCTAGAGTGCAATGGCCCAATTTTAGCTCACTGCAATCTCTGCCTCACTGACTCAGGTGATCTTCCAACCTCAGCCTTCCAAGTAGCTGGGACTACAGGCGCACACCACCATGCCTAGCTAAATTTTTGTATTTTTTGTAAAGATGGGGTTTCACCATGTTGCCCAGGCTGGTCTCAAACTCCTGGGCTCAAGTGATCCAGCGACCTCAGCCTCCAAAGTGCTGGGATTACAGGCATGTGCAACCATGCCCAGCTGATTCATACTTTTAAAATTCTAAGAACAGGCCAGGCATGGTAATCCCAGCATTTAGGAGGCCAAAGTGGGTGGATCACTTGATGTCAGGGGTTCGAGACCAGCCTGGCCAACACAACAAAACCCCGTCTCTACTAAAACACAAAAATTAGTTGGGTGTGGTGGCACATGCCTATAATCCCAGCTACTCAGGAGGCAGAGGCAGGAGAATTGCTTGAATTCAGGAGGCGGAGGTTGCAGTGAGCCAAGATCAGGCCACTGCACTCCAGCCTGGGCAACAGAGCGAAGACTCCATCTGAAAAAAACCAAACCAAACAAAACAAAACACACATGGACACAGAGAGGGGAACATCACACACCAGGGCCTGTTGGGGGTGGGGGGCAAGGGGAAGGATAGCATTAGGAGAAATACCTAATGCACGTGGGACTTAAAACCTAGATGATGGGTTGATGGGTGCAGCAAACCACCATGGCACATATATACCTATGTAACAAACCTGCACGTTCTGCATATGTATCCCATAACTTAAAGTATAATAAAAAAAAAGACTAAGAATAATTTTCCCATTTCTAGATTGCAAAGATTTTTCTCCTGTTTTTTTTTTTTAATTTTTTTCTCAGCGATTTACAGTGCAAGGCTTTAGATTTAAGTTTATAGTTAATTTTGAGTTTTTTTCTTCAATATAAGATAGGATTAATAATTTCTCCCCCATTTTGGCAGTCAATTATATCAACAATTTATTGAAAGGACTCTCCAGCCAGACATGGTGGCTAACACCCATAATCCCAGCACTTTGGAAGGCCAAGGCAGGTGGATCACTTGAGGCCAGAAGTTTGAGACCAGCCTGGCCAACATGGTGAAATCTTGTCTCTACTAAAAATGCAAAAATTAGCCAGGCATGGTGGCACATGCCTGTAATTCAAGCTACTCAGGAGTCTGAGGCACGAGAATCGCTTGAACCCAGGAGGTGGAGGTTGCAGTGAGGTAAGATTGTGCCACTGCACTGCAGCCTGGGTGACAGAGTGTGACTCTGTCTCAAAAATAAATAAATAAATAAATAAATAAATAAATAAATAAATAAATAAAAGACTCTCCATTCCCTCACTAAATTACCTTAGCATCCTTGGTGAAAATCAGTTAATTATATATGTATGTCCCAGGCCTATTTTAAGATTTGATTCTGTTCCATTGGTCCACGGGCTTTTCATTTTGCCAATAACAAATAGTTATGATTATAACTTGAAGTCTTGAAATCTGGATAGGTTCTCCAATTTTATCATTTTAAAAACTGCATTGTCTATTATTGCTTGTTTTTATGCATTTTCACATTGATTTTACCATCAGCTTTTCAGGTTCTCTCAAAATGGTCTACTGAAATTTTAATTGAAATTATATTAGTTTTATTAATCAATTTCATTAGAAGCAACATGTCAACAATCTTAAGTGTTGTAATTCATGAACATGGTATATCTATTAAATTCAGTCATTTAAAAATTCTCTCATCAGTGTTTTGTAGTTTAACGGGTAGAGATTGTAGATGTATTTTGTTATATTTATTCCTATTTTTCTTTTGATGAAATTTTTAAAAAATACCAATTGTTTGCTACTAGTATATAAAATATTCAACTCATTTTATATTAATATTATATTCTTTAACATTGTTAATTCATTCACTTGTTCTAGTAGTTGCTTTTGCAGAGGGACAGTTTACTTTGTCCTTTAGGATCTTTATACACATTATTGCTGTTATTCTTTTGCCCTAATGCAATGTCTAGAGCATTTGTTACAATGTTAAATACAAATGGTGAAAGAGGTCATTCTTTCCATGTTTCTAATCCTTGGGGTAATATATTCCATCTTTCACTGCTATGTATGATGTTAATTGGGGGTTTTCCAGTATATACTCCTTTTCAGGTTAAGAAGTTCCCTATCATTCCTGGTTTACTGAGTTTATATTGTGAATGCATGTTGAATTTTGTCTACTGCTTTCTCTTTTATCTCAATCATGTAGGTAGGTACATGTTTATTTTGTTTTTCTTTTCAAATAATCAGACATTGGTTTTGTCAGTTTTCTCTCATCTGTTTTTTGGGTGGTGGATTTCTGTTCTTATCTTTATTCCTTCTTCCTTCTACTTAGTTTAGGTTCAATTTGCTTTTCCTAGTCTAGCTTCTTAAAATCTCAGGTCATTAATTTTAGAGCTTTGTTTTCTAATTTAAGAAACTGAAATGGGTTGACGCCTGTAATCCCAGCACTTTGGGAGGCCGAGGCAGGCTGATCACTTGAGATCAGGAATTTGAGACCAGCCTGGGCAACATGGCGAAACCCCATCTCCACTAAAATACAAAAATTAGCCGGGCATGGTGGTGCATGCCTGTGATTCAGGCTACTCGGGAGGCTGAGGCAGGAGAATTGCTTGAACCTAGGAGGCAGAGGTTGCAGTGAGCTGAGATCATGCCACTTCATTCCAGTCTGGGCAACACAGCAAGAGACTCCGTCTCAAAAAAAAAAGAAAGAAAGAAAGAAAGAAATTGAAGTTATGTCACCCTGTAAGCACTGCTTTATCTACATTCCTCAAGTTTTGATCTGTTGTATTTTCATTATCATTCCCTTCAAAGTATTTTCTAATTTCCTTTTTGATTTCTTCTTTGTCCTATTTTTTATTTAGGGGGGTGTTAAGTTTCAAAATATTTGGTATTTTCCTATCTTACTGTCATTGAATTTTAATTCTGTTGTGGTAAGAGAACAAACTGCATAATTTCATTCCTTTTAAGTTTGTTGTTTTGTTTTATTGTCTATCACATGGTCTCTCTTTGAGAATACACTATGTGAACATAAAAAAATATGTATTTGGCAGTTATTTAGGTATAGTATTCCAAATGTATCCATTAGATCAAATCGGTTCAAATCTTCTATGTCTTTATAGATTTTTTTTTTAGTTGTTCTATCAATTACTGAGAAGGGGGTGTTAAAATCTTCTACCATGATCTCAATTTTTGCTTCATGTATGTTTAAGTTGCTGTTACTCAGGCATTTGTGATTACATTTTCTCAGATTGTGCCTTTTATCGTTATGAAATATCACTCTTTACCTCTGATAATACCCTCAGTCTTAAAAGCGATTTCATCTGATGTTAATATAGCTGTTTCTTCTTTTTATGCTGTTTACCTGGTATAGTTTTGTCTATTCATTTACTTTCAATATATTTGTATTTTTAGGCCTAAGATAAATCTCTTGTAGGAAGTATAGTTTGTTCTTTCTTTTGTATCTGCTCTAACAACCTAGCTTTAAATTTTAGTATTTAGACGTTTAATATTTAATGTGATTATTGTTATCACTGAATTTCATTTAATAATTTTATTACTTGGCTCTATTATCTCTATGTGTTGTTGCAGTAGTTCCTGTTGCTCTTTCTTTCCTCTTTTTTTTCTTGAGATCGAGTCTTGCTCTGTCGCCCAGGCTGGAGTGCAGTGGTGTGACCTCGGCTCACTGCAACCTCCGCCTCCCGGGTTCAAGTGATTCTCCTGCCTCAGCCTCCCAAGTAGCCGCGACTACAGGCATGCACCACCATGCCTGGCTAATTTTTGTATATTTACTAGAGATGGGTTTTTACTGTGTTGGCCACGCTGGTCTCAAACTCCTGACCTCAAGTGATCCACCTGCCTCGGCCTTCCCAAGTGCTGGAATTACAGGCGTGAGCTACCACGCCCAGCCTCTTTTCTACTTTTTAGAAAGATAATTTAAATACTCTTTAGTACTGCATTTTAACAATTCTATTGGCTCATGAACTGTACCTCTTTGTATTTTATTTTTAGCGATTTCTGTAAGGATCACAATATACATCTCTGATCTTTCAGAGTTCAAGCAGAACACTATATCTCTTCTCTTCATGTAAAACACATACACCTTGCAAGCATATAGGTCCCTTTAATCACCTGCCCCCTTGCCACATACCATACGTTGTTATAGTTTTATGTATTTTATAGTAGTTGTATAAGTTACTATTGTATATTAACAATGTAAATATGTATTACATCTGCATACATTGAAAACTCCAAAACTCCAATGTTATAATTTTGTTTTAAATACCCAAAGGTCATTTTAAAGGACTTAAGAGGATAACAGTCTTTTATTTTTATCCAGATATTTACCATTTCTGATGTTCTTCATTTGCTTCTGAAGATCCAAGTTTTCTGTTAATATCATTTCTTGCTCAGTTGAAGAACTTCCATTATCATTTCTTGTAGTATAGGTCTGCTGGAGACAAATTTCTCTTAGTTTCCCATTTGTAAAATTGTCTTAATTTTGCCATCATTTCTGAAGGATACTTCCACTGGACACAGAATTCTGGACTGACTGATTTATTGTTTCAGGTTTTAAGATGATGTTATACTGTCTTCTGGCCTCTATGTTTCCTGACGAAAAAATGTTGGCCTTCAAATTATTGTTCTTTGGTATGTAAAGCAAACTTTTCTCTGTCTGCTTTCATAATTTTTTCTTTATCTTAGGTTTCAGTTTATAAGTGTGTCTAGGCCTGCTTTTCCAAGTATAGTACTCACAGTTCTAAACTGCACCTCAATATGCCTCATCCCTTGATTTTGTCAGGTCAAATACATTGATCCTTTAAATCTGGTCCTCCCTTACTGCCTACTATCTTCACTCATAAGCTGTCAAGGTTGATGTTCAGAACTGCTGACTTACTGGTTAATGTTTTATAATTCATTTGGGTCACTGGAGCTCCTCGCAATACTTTCGTTCTCCCAAAGAACCATTTCAAATAAAAAAAAATGCATGCAAGGGTGATACATATTAAGACAGAAAATAATTGGTAGCTATACGGGACATAAATAACTAATTCTTTCTAGAAGGTACTACCTCAAATACTTTTCAAAGTGAACCCAGAGAGGCAATGTTTTTAAAATGAGTTTAAATATAAATATCTCAATTTTAAAAATAAAAGAACATATCAGGTACAACAGTTATTTATTGGGACGATTTCACCAATTAGACAAAAAATAATAATTGCCCCATCCTGCTGAACTTTTCAGAGGCCTGGTCAGTCAATGAATACGAACTCTTTCTGCTCAGGAATACTCAGTATATTAGTCAAACTAGCAGAAATAGTTTATGTATTCTTAGTAAATAATCTGATATATTTATATAATGAAGACCAAACACTAGAGATGCTTAAGCTAATGGCCTTTCAGATTTGGATAGCACGTTGTTTTTCCCTCTAATGGCCACTTCTCATGGATATATAATTTTTAATCATATCAACAAATTCCTTTATAAAACAACTAATCCTAACTGTATGTAATATTGTTCCACAACTCTTAGAATAGTTCTCTTGGGAGCCGCTGAAGAATACAACCATGTTGTCAAACTTTAGCATGACTTGAAAATTCTTCACCTCATTTTCATCCCAGAAACATTTTGCTTCTTTTTTCCTTTGTGTACATATTGTTATGTTATATTAGGCATTATTATTTCATTTTCCATATAAACATTCTAAACTTTTGTATAAAGTTTATATTAGGCATTACTATTTCATTTTCCATATAAACATTCTAAACTTTTGTATAAGACGTGAGAATAGTTTTCTAGTTGCAACAAAATAATAATTTTGCTTTAGAATATAAGCCTGCTTATAATCAATTGAGACAATTAGGATTTATGGTACACATTTCAAAAATGTTGAAGAGGAAGCGGTGTTAACAACCGTGAATGTACTTAAGGATTTTATTTTAGCTGATTTATACCAGTCAATCACATAAACACACAAATTGTAAAGTTTTAATTGTTAAATCCAAGGGATCTCACCCACATAAACAATGTTCAACAATGGCCAATATTGTCTTTTTCTTTCCCATAAATCTCCCAAGTTGGAAAGATAAAAAGAAGAAGATAAAACTATGCAATTTTCATTAAAATAGAAAGTAAACAACAACACATCCTGTACAGAATCCTGGGGCCTTAGAATCCTCATGGAAATACAGTTGCCAGTGATGCTAACCAGAGTGAAGGTTTTTCCAGGTATGAGCAGCATCTACTTTATTCTTTTGGAGAGAGGGAGGTGTTATGGCTTCCTGACTCCTCCCCCTGAATAGACAGAAGACCAGTGAGGAAGAATAAGATTCTAAAAACTGACAAGTATAGATTTAGAAATTTAGTATGCAATAAAGGGGTTATCTCAGAAGACTAGAGGAAAAATGCACTTTTTGATAAATAATGTTGAGATAACTAGATAGCTATTTGGAAAATGATATATCTGGATCAATTCTGCACACCAAACATATGCGTACACCTCAAGTAGACCTAAGTTCTAAATGTAAAGTATGAAATGATACAAAGAGTGAAAGAAAACATATATTAATTTCCTTATAACTTAGGTATTGAGAAAGACTTTATATATATGACTCAAACTCTAGATTCATTGAAAGAAAATATTGACAAATCTGTTACATAAAAATGAAAAACTTCTGCATGGCAAAAAACATCGTAAGTAAAGTCCAAAGACAAATGATAAGCAGGGAGGAAATACTTGGAACATAAACTACAGGTAATAGGCTAATATTCCTAATATATAAAGAAGTCTTAGATAACCAATTAAAAACTCTAAAATCCCAATAGAAAAATAGGCAAAAAAATTTAAACAGATGATTCAGAAAAATAATATGAACTGGCTCTTAAACATATGAAAATACATTCAGCTTCACTTTCATGAGGCAAATGCAAATTAAAACTACACTAAGATACCATTTCTTACCTTTAGACCAGTAAAAACTCTAAAGTTTGACAATTACTCTGTTGGTGAGGCTGTGAGGAAATAGGAACTTAACCATTGCTGGTGGGATATAAAATGCTATAATCTCTATAGGGAAGAATTTGGCAACGTCAAACAAAACTACAAAAGTGTTTATCCTTTGATTTAACAATTCCATTTCTGGAATTTACCCTGAATATACAGCTCTAAATGCATAAAAATATGTATGTACAAGGTGATGAATTGTAGCATTATTTGTAATTGCAAACCACAGGAAAAACACATAAATGCTCTTACATTAGTAGGTTAAACTATGGACACCCACAGACTGCACATCACAAATTATGTAGCTGTAAAAAAAAAAATGAAGATATCTATGAACTGATAAAAATATATCCACGATATATTAGCCAAAAATCAAACAAATCAAAACTATAAAAAAGTACATAGAGTAGCTATATTTTCTGAAAGAAATAAGAATATATAATTACATGTGAAGATATACATATTTTCGCACACACACAGAATGAAAACCAAAAAGTAGAACAAACAAATCCTGTAGAGGAATGATAACCAGAAATGAAAAAAACTAGTTATCTAAAGAAGATGAGTGAAAGAGTAGAAGGGACAGAAGAAGGAATGACATTTCATTGATTACATATTTTTGTATAGTTTTTATTTAAGAACATTTAAGAGTAAATGACATAATTAATTTTTTTTTTTAATTTAAAAGAACAGGCACGTCAGATGCAGTGGCTGATACTTGTAATCCCAAGCACTTTGCAAGGCTGAGGTGGGCAGATTGCTTGAGCCAAGGAGTTCAAGACCAGCCTAGGCAACATAGTGAAACCTTGTCTCTACAAAAACTACCTGAGTGTGGTGGCATGTGCCTGTAGTCCCAGTTACTTGGGAGTCTGAGATGGGAGGATCACCTGAGCCCACTAAGTGAGGGCTGCAGTAAGCTGTGATCACACCATTGCACTCCAGCCTGGGCAACGAAGTGAGACTCTGTCTCAGAAAAAAAAAAAAAAGAAAGAAAGAAAAGGAAAAGGAAGGGAAGGGAAGAAAAGAAAAGAAAAGAGAAGAGAAGAAAAGAAAAGAAAAAAGAATGGAGGCTGGGCGCGGTGGCTCATGCCTGCATTCCCAGCACTTTGGGAGGTTGAGGTGGGCCGATCACTTCATGTTATTAGTTGGAGACCAGCCTGGCCAACATGGTGAAACTGCATCTCTACTAAAAAATACAAAAATTAGCCGGGTGTGGTGGCACGCATCTGTAATCCCAGCTACTTGGGAGGCTGAGGCAGGAGAATCACTTGAACCTGGGAGGCAGAGGTTGCAGTGAGCTGAGATTGCGCCATTGCAGTCCAGCCTGGGTGACAAGAATGAAGCTCCGTCTTAAAAAAAAAAAAAAAAGAATGGGGAAAACCTAAAGTTGAATACCTGAAGAAACAAATAAATGTAAGGATTTCTGAATAAATAACATAGCCATATAGAACAAGGAAAATAACTAATCCAAATAATTTCTGAACACAGTATTTGAAGTATATACCTTTCACTGGAAAATAAAGAGAAATGCAAAAATTTCTTGAGCTCTACCTTAAAAGTCTATTGTTTGTAATAACATTGGAGCAGCATTTTTGTATGATTTTGTATTTGTCGCAGCATTAAGCAAATGAGTAAATATATAAAACGCTCTTGGGGAGCCAGAGTACCTCACTGGAAGAGAAGGAACACACAAATACGGAACTGGGGAGGACAAGACAGAATCCTCTCATTTTAGACTGGAATAAGATTTATTATAAGCTGGCACAGAGGCTCTTACTTGTAATCCTAGCACTTTGGGAAGCCTGGGTGGGAGAATCACTTGAGGCCAGGAATTTGAGACTGTCTCTATTATAATAAGTAAATTAAAGAGGCAATAAAATATTAAAAATTTTTTAAAGTTATCAACACATCACACTTCTTCAGTTAAAAAAAAAAACGCACAACAGAATACAGTTTAACAAATGTTAAATGAGCCCATTAACTGTAAAAATCCTCTGATTCCTGAATCATAGATAGGAAAAATTTGTATACATCAGTGAAGCTATTCACTATTTCTGGTGAAGATAGGATATGAGGGAATAAGTTTAAGGTGAAAATATGATAGCAATGTATGTAGAGTTTTATAAAGGGAAACCTCTCCAGTTATAGAATTGTGAAACCAAAGAAAGACAATCTGAAGAAATACTAAAAAACGGATCAATTATTTTTTGGAGATAATTAAGGTACAATTTTATCTAAAATAATGTACAGAAAATGATTCTCCAGATTTCCCCAACTGATTTCATAATTATCTACCTATTTTCATATTTCCCCATATATCATCTCTTTAAAGAATATAACGAAATCCCAGCTTTTCTAAGTGAAAGGTTTCAATTACCTTTGTTTCTTTTTTTTTGAGATCGGGTCTCACTGTCACCCAGGCTGGAGTGCAGTGGCGTGATCCTAGCTCACTGCAACTTCCACCTCACAGGCTTAAGCTATCCTCTCACCTCAGCCTCCCAAGTGACTGGGAATACAGGCGCACCCCCTACGTTCGGCTTTTTCTTTTTTTGAGACGGAGTCTCACTGTCACCCAGGCTGGAGTGCAGTGGTGCGATCTAGGCTCACTGCAACCTCCACCCCCCAGGTTCAGGTGATTCTCCTGCCTCAGTCTCCCGAGTAGCTGGGATTACAGGCACCTACCACCGCACCCGGCTAATATTTGTATTTTAGTAATGATGAGGTTTCACCATCTTGGCCAGGCTGGTCTTGAACTCCCGACCTCGTGATCCACCTGCCTCGGCCTCCCAAAGCGCTGGGATTACAGGCATGAGCCACCACGCCTGGCCTAGGCTAATTTTTTTTTTTTAGTACAGATGAGGTCTTCCTATGTTGCCCAGGCTGGTCTTGAACTCCTGAACTCCAGCAATCCTCCCGCCTTGGCCTCCCAAACTGCTAGGATTATAGGTGTGATCCACCATGCCTGGCTTCAATTATCTTTTCTGAATAAGATATCTTGTAAACTTACTTATATTAGTGACTTGGTTCTTTGTGACACTTCACAGCTATTTGTATATATGCACACACCACTATTCATGGCATTATATTTCTCCTAAATGACAATAGTAAACCTTTACCATATTAAATTTTCTCATTCAAGTGGAAAAATTAAAAATATGTAGTCATTTTAAGCTGAGCACGTGATGGGTGCCTGTAGTCCCAGCTACTTGGGAGGCTGAGGTGAGAGGACTGCCTGAGCCCAGGCGTCCAAGTCCAGCATGGGTAACACAGTGGTATCTAAATGCACACACACACACACACACACACACACACACACAGAGTTGTTTTAAAGTTGAGTAATTCAAGGCAAATTCATAAAGACAGAAAGTAGATTAGAAGTTACCAGAGACTGGGTGCAATAGGGAGTTATGGCTAAATGGTTACAGAGTTTCTGTTTGTGGTGATAAAAAAGTTTTGGAAACAGTGGATGGTTGCACAATAGTGTGAATGTACTTAATGCCACTGAGTTGTAGGCTTTAAACGATTAAAATGGTTAAATTTATGTTACATAAGTGTTATAATTTTTAAAAGTGGTTAAAATAGTTTTGTTATATATATATATATATATATATATATATATATATATATATATTACAATTTTTAAAAATTGAGTTGTCAATTAAAATAAAATTGTCAGCCCTTATTGGATAGAAGTCCTGTATTGTGCTGAAAGGGAATCTTCAACAGTGATAATGATGGATAAAGATTAAAGCTTATATAGTTACCAACAAACACATATATTTGCTTGAAAGGTAATAAAATATATAGTTATATGATAAAAATTCTCAAGAAAAAATTTGAACTCCTGAGAATACACAGCTTCCTTCATTTTAAAGATAAGAAAGAGGAAAAAGTCTACAAAAACAAAAAGCCTTGTCCTTTTCCAATATTTTTTCTAAATTCTTTAAAAGACTGAATACAACACAATGATATTTTGTTTCAAACCTTTGTTTTAAAGAAATTCTTAATATTTTGTGTAACTATGCTTTTTCTAATTATATGTAGAAGACATAAAATAATTAATAAGCCATGAAATTAATATAAGTTTTTACAGTATGTTTTAAAAGAGGCAAGTTATCATTCACTATTTTTTATAGTATCAAAGAAGGGGACAGAAAAACCCAGGAGAAAAAAATTGCTCTGTGTCTTAAGTGCTACATTTTATTTCTAATTTTGTATCTGTCATTAAACATCTGTGAGGACAAAATACACTTATAAAACAAATAATGCCACATATTGCAACAATGGAGAGTCATTCAAAGACAGTCATTTAAAGTCATTCATATTTGGGTTTCACAATATGCTATTTGAGCATAGAGGACTTCATTCTTAATTCAGAAGCTTAATTTGCCCAAATCCAGATTACTATAACATTTAGGAAGATAAAAACAAGTGGATTTGTTCTTTGTTTTCTCCCCTCTTTTCTGGGAATTAAACTTAAAGCTGCATCAAGTTACTTCAGAGCACCAGAAACAAATGCTATATTGTTTACATCCCCATCTAGTGGTCTTAAATTTCTGTTCTGCATAGTATTCAAAAAATAAATACTTAAAGATGAAAACTTAAACAAAATTATCTGACAAAAATTAACACAAACCAAAACTTTACAGCTATGAGAAATACTATTATGTTACCTAGTCTCACGCTATTACAGTTAGAATGGAATGGAATGGCAGAGACTATGTGAAGCCACTAGAAAAAATAAGGAGCATTTTTCTGGAGCATCTATTTTACGTAATGCTAAATAATTTAAAACATTTTCTATTAATGCAAACATAGTCTGGAATAAAATGTTTACTAGTATTTCAGTTTGAGAAGCACAGGGTACAAACTCATTCCATTGAAAAAGAACCTAATAACTTGAGCAATTAAGTTATTTGATCAAGTTCCCTCAACCCAACCATAATAGAGCAGTATCAACAACATAGATATTTTATACTTTTTCCATTACAAAATACAAATACAAAATACTAAATACCAATCCCAAGTGCCTAATTGCAATATACTTTATTCTTTGCATATAGTTTCTTAGACATTTTATTCTAACACCCAGAATTTCCCTTTTACTTCATATCATAGCACAGCACAGTTACAACCTGTACTAAAAGTACTATTTTCCATTCTAGTGGTGCATGCCTATAGTCCCAGCTACTAGAGAGGCTGAGGTAGGTAGGACTGCTTGAGTCCAGGAGTTAGAGGACAGCCGGGGTAGTGAGACCACCTTGTGTCAAAAAAATAAACTTACTATTCTACATTTTTTCCTAAAATTGATTTAAAATTATGAAACTGATCTGATGGTGGGGGAGGCAAATAGTTCTGTAAACATAAAAACATATACAGATTTATGTCACTACCACCACAATCAGGATACAGAACACCTCTATCACATACACCTCCAAAATCCCTTGTACTATTACTTTTGCAGTTTCACAATCCCTAACCCCTGATAACTACTGATCTGTTTTCTAACAATATAGGTTTGTCTTGTCAAGAATAGCTTATAAATGGCATGATACAGAAGGCAACCTTTTTGAGAATAGTTTCTATGCTGCATGACTTTGAGACTCACTACTCAAGATGTTGAATGGGCCGGGCGCGGTGGCTCACGCCTGTAATCCCAGCACTTTGGGAGGCCGAGGCGGGCGGATCACGAGGTCAGGAGGTCGAGACCATCCTGGCTAACACGGTGAAACCCAGTCTCTGCTAAAAATACAAAAAATTAGCCTGCTGTGGTGGCGGGCGCCTGTAGTCCCAGCTACTTGGGAGGCTGAGGCAGGAGAATGGCGTGAAGCTGGGAGGCGGAGCTTGCAATGAGCCAAGATTGCTCCGCTGCACTCCAGCCTGGGTGACAGAGTGAGACTTCATCTCAAAAAAAAAAAAAAAAAAAAAAAGATGTTGAATGTGGGTTCATTCCTTTTTTATTTCTGACTCTGTTAAAGGTGACATGCTTTTTTATTGCTGAGCAGTATTCCATAGTATATTATATACTATATGTGGTAGTATATAGAATGGTATAGTATAAAGTAAAATAGCAGAGTTTGTTTATATATTCATCCATGGAAGAACATGTGGGTTATTTTCTGTTTTGGGTGATTATGAATAAAATGGCCAACTAGGTTCTCTTCTGTTGAATAATTTTTAAATGTAGGTGATTTAACATTATAAGCCTTTCCTAATTTTGACCTTTACACAGAATGTGATATGAAAATGTAACTTCCAAAAAAGTAATAATTTAAATAAATCCTTTCAATGCCTAAATTAGTTCATCACTATTCAGGAATTGGCATTAAGAAGACAATTATTCATATTTATATATGAGAAAAGTGAAATAGGAAAATTAAACTTCTTTTAAGCATGAGGATATGTAATAATTTACTTAAAAACCTAGGAAGGAAATGCCAAATACTTGGGCCACCATTACCTCTTTCTCTGCCCAGGGCATACATCAAAAATCATTCAAAGTGCACTATGCTATAGAGTGCTGATGCAGCCTCAATGCTCAATGCACAGTTCTAGGCAGTAATTACTACATAATCAGAGTTGGGGCTCCCATTGCGATGAATTTTGTATCTCTGGCTTAGGCAAAATTATTCTCAACAAACTGTAATCTATAGAAATTATTTTCCCTTTAAGGAAAAAATTATGTTCTGTAACATTCTTAATCCTAGGCTTATTATGTTAATAATGTGTGATGTTTTACAAGACTGAGCAAGAAAAACTGCTGGGGTAGTTCTGGACAGCTATCAGTACCAGAACAAAATCCAATGTATACAAGAGAAAAAAGTATAATCTTACAAAAAGGAAAGCAAGGACAAAGAGGAAAAGAAGATGAAGATTACAACCTGTTAAGAAATTGAAAAATCTTTTTTATTATCCATTGCGTTAAGCTAATTCTTTGAGCTTTGTGTCTTGTGCTTACTTGACAATAAGTCTGTGCTTTTATGTCTTCATACTACCTATTTGTTAGATACCACGGTTAGATTCTGATAGAATAAGTATATACATGGATTTATTTCCTATATTCTAAAACAGATTAAAATGTCAAATAAAATTTTAAAGTAGAAAACCAAAAGGTACAATCAGGTTCAAAGTCAAAACAAACATGTGGACCAAAAACTGAAGAGTAATATAAATTAATGAATGGGGCTGTTACCCCGGGCACGTTAGTCTCCAGTCCAAAAGCAGGCAGTGACAGCAGCTGAAAATTCAGCCTCTGTGGAGTAACGCTCACTAAATATGCTGTATGTGATAATAAGGGATCAGAGACAGGCTCACTATTTGAAACTACAGGTAGCTGCAGGACAGGAATAATATATATTCCTTATATATATTCCTTATCCTTATTCCTGTCCTTTGCAGTAGGGGCTGTTACCCCCTATTGCAAAATAAGGCTACAAAATGTGCTACCAACCTATTGCCCGGGATCCAGTTCTGTGGAGTTATATTGGCCCAGCAGACAGGAAGACAAAAATATAGCCTCATGATCATGCCTGTCAGGATGAGCAGTATCCCTAAATATATTACAGTGTAACAGCTCTGAAATGATGATACAAAATCTATTGGTAGAATGGGGCAAGACTTGGGTAGAGGTAACCTCAAAATTGCTAGGGAGAGACTTCTGAGTATAGATCAAGAAGTAAAGGAGAAAGCGGGGGGAAAAAACTTCAAAATTTCCTTCTACATAAAATGAGCCTGCTAATCTAAATTCCAATACTGTAAGTTTTACCATAAGAGAAATACCATATGTTTTACTATAAGAGAAAATCTTATGGTAAAATTTATCATAAGAGAAAATTACCGTAAGAGAAAATCTTATGGCAAAACAGCTATCAAAATTAATAATCAGAACACTAGTTTACTATAAAAAATAATTTTATACAAGTCTGACAGATTTTAAAAGTCAGTGTTTAAGTGTTTAAGATGTTCAAAGAAATAAAGAATTCAAATTCATCAAAAGAGGATAATAAATTATAAAACAAAATCAGGCAGAAATGACACAATACATAGATATGAAAAAGAAACAGACCAGACACAGTTTGACCAAAAAAAAAAAAGGAAAAAGAAACAAATCAACATCTTAGACAAGAAAAATATAGCCACTGAAATAAAAACCTTAACAGATCTGATAAATGCTAGATTGAAAGAGAGAATTACTATATTGAAGGATAGTTTTATCAGTTTGGATAATATACAGTCAGGGTTCCAGCAATTAAACAGTTGTTACACCCAAATTAAGATTATTTCAGGCTGGGTGTGGTGGCTCACGCCTGTAATCCCAGCACTTTGGGAGGCCGAGGTGGGCTGATCACCTGAGGTCAGGAGACCAGCCTGACTAACATGGTAAAACCCCATCTCTACTAAAAATACAAAAATTAGCCAGGCGTAGTGGTGGGTGCCTGTAATCCCAGCTACTCGGGAGGCTGAGGCAGGAGAATCACTTGAACCCAGGAGGTGGAGGTTGCAGTGAGCTGAGATCACGCCACTGCACTCCTGCCTGGGCAACAGAGACTCCGTCTCAAAAATAAAAAATAAATTTAAAAAAAGATTATTTCAGAAGGAATTAAAAAGCACGTTAAGGAAACCACAGAGAATAGTGCAGTATCTCAGGATTAGTATAAATGGGAGAGAACTGTGAAGAGAGGGCTGCCTTGAGAGGAGCTGTGACTTTCAGTAAAGGAACGTAGTCAACCCATCAATGGCAATCCTATAGGACTGGGGCCAGGGTAATAAATATCCCCTCAGTCTCTTCCTTCCCTCCTGCTGTTTTCTTTGCTTCCTGCTCAGGCTCTTTTTTTTTTTTTTTTTTTTTTAGACAGTCTCCCTCTCTCACTCAGGCTGGACCGCAGAGGCTCACTGTAGCCTCCATCTCTGGGGTCAAACAATCCTCCCACTTCAGCCTCCCCAGTGGCTGGGACTACAGGCATGGACCACCATGCCCAGCTAATTTTTGTATTTTTTGTAGACAGTATCTCACTATATTGTCCAGGCTGGTCTTGAACTCCCAGGCTCAAGTGATCTTCCTGCCTGGGCTTCCCAAAGTGCTGATTACAGGTGTGAGCCACCAAACCTGGCCTTCAGGCTCTTTCTATTGGCCAAAACATTTGGAACTGGAAGGCAAGAGAGCCCACTAATATTGTTCAACCATCCAGAATGGAGTGCAGAATGGAGAATGTTGAAGTAAATCTGGGGAGACAATAGAAGATACTGTGCACAGAAGCTCTTGGCTATGGAAAATAGCACAGCCAACTATGTAGGGGCATTGGTTGGTGATGCAGGGGCAGAGAATGCTGATTATTTCATATAACGAGAAGACAGAACAGTTCCAGGGTTGACTAATTCATCAACTCAATAATAGAACACCAGCTCAATTTCTCTGCAATTTCCTCTGTTTTCTTCTTGGCTGCAGGAGTTCCAAACACTGCATTCTCTTGCAATTATTCCAGAAGATGAAAAAAAGCACCATTTCTTCTCAAGCATCTCTGTTTTAGAGATAAACTGCCACCCCTCCCCCCCCCCACACACACCTTTCTAGGAGTCCTCCCAGCAGACTTTCCCTTACATCACCTTTTTTTTTTCTTTTTAAATCTCTTTGTTATTTTTGGCTAACTGTGTAAGAATTCGGAGTGCATTTCCCCCATGGAGCATTATTATTTATGCTCTATGTACTTGTATAGAGTTGCCATCTGTATTATACTTTCGACAAATGTATAGGCTTTCCTTGGGCTGTCCAAGACACCAAGCAGCATGTCTAATGTCTAATTTTTTTTCTTTGGGAAAATACGTTCTGAACAAAACATTTCTTTAAAAGTCAGGTTTATTATAGTATAACTAACATACAGTAAGTTCACACTATTTTATTTAGAGATGGGTTCTTGCTATGCTCTCCAGGCTGGTCTCAAACTCTCAGACTGGTATCAAACCTCCTGGGCTCAAGCAATCCTTCTACCTCAGCCTCCTGAGAAACTGGGACTACAGGCATGTGCCACCATGCTTGGCTAAAATCACACTTTTTAGCATATTGTTCTATAAGTTAAAACAAACACATAGAGTCATAACCACCACCACAACCAAAATATAGAACAGTTCCATCACTCCAAAATATTCCCTTATGCCCCTTTGTAGTTGGGTTAGTTTTCTTGTTGCTGCTATAAAAAATTGCCATAAACTTGGTTCCTTAAAATAACACAAACATAGTTCCTCATGTCAGAAGCGTGAAATGAATTGTATGAGGCTAAAATCAAGGTGTTAACAGGGCTGGTTCCTTCTAGAAGCTTCAGGGAAGATATCTGATTCTTGTTCCTTTCAGCTTCCAGGGACTACCAGTATTCCTTGGTTCCTGGCTACATTACTGCAATCTGTGCTATGTCTTCTCCCCTACTAACTCTTTTTTCTCTTTAAGTATCTTTGTGATTAAATTTAGAGCTTACTCAGATAATCCAAGACAACTGCCCCATCTCAAGATTTTCAGTCATATCTACAAAGTCTTTTTTGCTTTATAAGGTAACACTTTCAGGTTCTAGAAATTCGAATGTGGATATCTCTGGGAGGCCATGATTCAGCCTACACAGTAGGCAACCCCTCTGTCCTCCAGCTGCTAGCAACCACTGCTGTTAGTCCTGTCCTATTTTTACCTTTTCCAGAATGTCATATAAATGCAATCATTACAGTAAGGAGCCTTTTGAGTCTGGCTTCTGTCACTTAGCATAATACACATGAGATTCATCCATGTTGTTCTATTTTCAGTAGTTTGTTCTTTTGTATTACTGAATAATTCCACTGCATGGATGTACCACACTTTAACCATTCAAAAGCTGACGAATATTTGTGCTGTTTAGGGTTTTTGACAAGCATGAATAAAGCTGCTATGAACACTGATGTGCAGCTTTTTGTATGAACATAAAATTTTCACTTCTCTTGAGTAAAACCTAGGAATGAGATTGCTGAGTTGTGTAGTAAGTACACGTTTAGCTTTCTAAGAAACTGACAAACTAAATAAAGACTAAATTATTTGACAGACTAAATAAAAACTAAATTATTTAGTGGTTACCCACTAAATAAAGAAAAAGTGGAAGAAGTAGTAATTAGTTGGACAATATTGTCTACACAATGATAGGATGAATTATCTCTTTTTCTCTTTGTAAAGGCTGGAGTGCAGTGGTGCAATCATGGTCCACTGCAGCCTCAAACTCCTGGGCTCAAGTGATCCTCCCACCTCAGTCTCCCGAGTAGCTGGGAAACAGGGATCAGACCATACACTGTAACTGTCTTTACTCATATTCCCCTTTACATTATTTGGTAACATACTCTTAAGTGTCACTAAAAGTTAAAGCATAGCTATACTTTTATTTGCACACATTCCTTATCCATTCTAATATTCTGGAAGAAATCATTTATTTTCTACAATGGCATTCTATGATATAGAATAAAATAATTTGATTTAGTAGTAACCTTTTCATATATCATAGATCAAAAAGGTATTTTTAAAACCTTCTGTAAGAAATGCTATATTTTCATACACAGAATTTCCTGCCAAACAGGCCAAGCTGTCCTCATCATGCTTACTCACTAAAGTGGAATTTGTGGGTGGAGGTATCTTTGCATAAAAGAGTCATGGTAATGTCCAGAACTCCTTCCTTTATGCCCCTGCTATGCCTTTTTATGTATGCATATTAAACTAGACTGCTTACTGATTAGTTTTATTATATAAAGTTTTATGGATTTAATCATAGGTCTCTATGCTTTTCATAAGAAGAACAAAACATGACAAGGTGTTTCCACCTTATGGAAAAAGCTACAAATAAAATATAGAAAAATGTTGCACTGAGGTTGTAGTGTAATTTTATTAACAACTTCCAGATACCAAGTGAAGTATAAATATAATTTTTATTTAGAAAGAAGTATCTATAAATAAGTTAACATTTGGTAACTGAAGCTTAACTAAGGTAGAACACTTAAGAATTACAAATGGGATGTGCATCTTACAACATTCAGCTCTTAAAATTTTTTTTGCAATAATTTTACACTTAAAGAAAACATGTACAAACTACCTAGTGCCAAGATCTTGGTTTCTAAATATCATTCTCTAATAAAAGGAACAAAGAAACCTTGAAGAAATAGCTGATTACAGGGCTGGATGAGAGAAAATAGAAGAAAAGGCAAAAGCATCTTGTAGTACCAGAAAGCAAGGTAATGCTCAAAAAACAAAGGAATGGGGCCATGTTAAAGGGCCACAAAAGCCTACCACAGAGAACTCCCCATGGCCAATGCTGGAATAATTTGAGTGACAAAACAAATAATGGCATTATTACACTATACATAATGCCATATTACACTATAATGCAAAGAATAAAATAAATAAACATAAGTCCATACTGTTATTAATACATGATAAATAATAAATAAGAGTGAAATCTTCCTTACAGGATATGTAAGAGATATAGAAACTCCTCCCTCCAGGAGAAACTTAACTGCACCCCCTGACCTCAACTCCTTCCTTTCAGAGTGGGCTGGACTTAGTGACTCCTTTCCAAAGAAAAGAACAAGAAAAATTGGAATTTAACAATAAAGAATAATAGAGACTGGCCCTGGTGGCCCCCACCTGTAATCCCAATGCTTTGGGAGGCTGAGGCAGGAGGATCGCTGAAGGCCAGGAGTTCAAGACCACCTTGGGAAACATAGCCAAGACCTTGTCTCTACAAAAAATTTAAAAATAGTTAGCTGAGTGTAGTGGCATGTGCCTGTAGTCCCAGCTACTCAGGAGGCTGAGGCAGGAGGAGCCCTTGAACCCAGGAGTTCAAGGCTACATTGAGCTATGATAGCATCATTACATTCCAGCTTGAGCTATAGAGCTACTTTAAAAAGAGAGAGAGAGAGAAAATGGCAGATTACTACCTTAACTAAGATATCAAGGTTTACCTCACCAGAGAGATCATGTTGATAGCATCTACCCTCTGATATGATGTAATGAAAGGGTACTTTGCCTCTGCGGTATTATTTCCAAAAAACAAATAACCCCACTCCAATCATGAGAAATACATAAGGCAAACCAAAACGGAAAAACAGCCTACAAATGTCTCACCAATACTCCTCAAACTGTCAGAGTCATGAAAAACAATACTAAGAAACTATCACAGACCAGAGGAGATTTGAGAGATGTAGCAACTAAATGCAATGTAGTAACCTGAATTGGATCTTGAACAGAAGAGGGATATTAAAAAAATAATAAGTGAAATCTGAATGAAGTCTGGAGTTTAAAAAGACATTAACCGAAAAACAGGTGAAATCCAAATAGTCTGGGGTTTAGATAACAGTAATGTGCTAATGTTGGTTTCTTAGTTTAAAAAAATATACCACAGTAGGCCAGGCGTGGTGGCTCACACCTGTAATCCCAGCACTTTGGGAGGCCAAGGCGGACGGATCACAAGGTCAGGAGATCGAGACCACCCTGGCTAACATGGTGAAACCCTGTCTCTACTAAAAATACAAAAAATTAGCTGGGCATGGTGGCGGGTGCCTGTAGTCCCAGCTCCTCGGGAGGCTGAGGCAGGAGAATGGCGTCAACCCGGGTGGCGGAGCTTGCAGTGAGCCGAGATTGCGCCACTACGCTCCAGCCTGGGTGACAGAGCGAGACTCCATCTCAAAAAAAAAAAAAAAAAGGCACCATAGTAATTGAAAATATTAACACTAGAGGAAACTGAAACTGAGAAGGGTGTATTATACAGTAACTTGCTGTACTATTTTTTTCTTTTTCAACTGTGAAAATAGAGTATTTGGTTTTTGTCTCCAATTCCTGGCACAAACTTTATAAAACTCTGGAAGCTTCTTGAGTAACAATGAGGTGGAGGAGAATGTTTTGCTATTCATAGCAAGCTCCTTTCAACCATACCTGAATTTATGCTACTAAGGTGAACAGCCTCAAGATAGAGGCTGGTTGCCAGGGCAACCAACCATGTGATCAGATGGTTCCAACATTCAATCCTTTCCCCAGACCTCTGAGGGAGGGAAGAAAGGGTGGAGACTGTAGTCAATCACCAATGGACAATGATTTAATCAATCATGTCTCTGTAATGGAATCTTCATGAAAACCTTAATCTAACAGGTTCAGAGAGGTTCCAGGTTGAATGCATTAACATGCCAGGAGGCAGAATGTGTCCAAAGCTCCATGGAGACAGAAGCTCCTGTACTCAAGACCCTTCCAGACCTCACCCTATATGCCTCTTTATCTATTTGCGCATTTGTATCCTTTATAATAAACTGGTAATAGTAAAGTGTGTCCCTGAGTTCTGTAAGCTATTATAATAAATCGTTGAACATGAGGCAGAGGTTATGGGAACTCCCAATTTGTAGTCAAGTTAGTCAGAAGTACTGGAGAACTGGGATTTTGATTGGTGTCTGAAGCTGGAATTGAGGCAGTCTTGTGGGACTAAGCCCTACTTAGCCTGTGGGGTCTGATGCTAACTCTAGGTGGATAGCATCAGAACAAAATTGAATTGCATTGGTGTCCACAGTAAACTGGAGAATTCTTGGTGTGGAAAATTGATACATTTGGTATCAGAAATGTTGTGAGTACAGGACAAATTTTTTCTTTTATCTACTTTTACATATCTTAAATTATTATAAAGTAAAAGTTTATTTTCTATTTTACTATTGTTTTTTAAGGCAGAGTCTTGATCTGTCACCCAGGCTGAAAGGCAGTGTGAGATCCTAGTTCATTGCCACCTTGATCTCCCTGACTCAAGCAATCCTCCTGCCTCAGCCTTCCGAGTACCTGGGACTACAGGCATGTGCCACCACACCCAGCTAGTTTTTTTTAATTTTTAGTAGAGATGAGGTCTTGTTATGTTGTCCAGGCTTGCCTTGAACTCCTAAGCTCAAGCAGCTTCCCAAAATGCTGGGACTACAAGCATGAGACACCAGGTCCAGCCCAGACATTTATTTTTTAAAAACTACAAGGAATTTCCATATACATGTTACTC
The DNA here is from genome assembly GCF_000001405.40 of Homo sapiens. Lineage (NCBI taxonomy): Eukaryota > Metazoa > Chordata > Mammalia > Primates > Hominidae > Homo > Homo sapiens. The sequence continues at coordinate 159,688,379 of NC_000002.12, forward strand.
AGATTGCCCAAACTCAACGTTTTGCCACATTTAACTTATCAGTCTCTTTCTACTCCCTTTATAAAGATATTTTTCATCATTCCCTTTTACTCCTTAATATTTCAATGTATATTTCTGTTAAAAGTACATTTATCAAAATAAGGAAGTTAGTATTAATACAATACTATCCAATACAGACCGTCACATTTCACCAATTGTTTCACTAATGTACTTTATAACAAAAATATGAAAAAAGAGTAATATAAAATAAAAATTGGTTCCATTCTAACCCATGATCCAATCGAGGGTCATACATTATTTTTAATTGTCATACCTCTTTGGACTTCTTTGATCTGGAATGCATTCTTCAGTCTTTGTTTTTCATGACCTTGACATTTTTGAAAAGTACAAACCATTTATTTTGTGAAATGTCCCTCAATTTGGGCTTTACTGATTGTTCTTCATGTTTATGTTCAGGTTATGCATTTTTGCAGTAATACAGCAGAAGCGATGTGCTCTTGTGAATCCTGTCGAGATGCATGCTATTGGTCCCACTACTGTTAGTGTTAACTTTCACAACTTGGTAAAGGTGGTATATGTCATGTATGTCCATTGTATAGTTGCTATTTTTTTTTCCATTTTTGATTAGTATCTTGTGGGGAGATATTTTGAGTATGTAAAAACATCCTCCTTGTAACCAACTCTTCACAAAATACCGTAAAATCCATTAATGATTTTTGCCTGAAACAATTCCTGACTAGAATTCTATTCTACATCAACTTGTCTAGCTCCATAAAAGCGCACGTATTTTTCTCACAAATAGGACTTTTTATTTGCCACTATTATAAGTCTGAACTTTAAACAGATTCTTGGACTGGTGGTTCATATCCATCAACTCATTCAACTTTAACACCTGTCTCATCCCCAGTGGCTTTTCCAGTACTACTACCTTCACCATGAAGCTCCATGAGTTTTCCCAATTCAAACTTGGGCTTCTTCAGCATTTTTACTTTCCTTTTTTTTTTTTTTTTTGAGATGGAGTCTCACTCTGTCTCCCAGGCTAGAGTGCAGTGGCACGATCTCGGCTCACTGCAACCTCTGCCTCCCAGGTTCAAGTCATCCTCCTGCTTCAGCCTCCTGAGTAGCTGGGATTACAGGTGCACACCACCACACCCGGCTTATTTTTTTGTATTTTTAGTAGAGATGGGGTTTCACCATGTTGGCCAGGCTGGTCTCAAACTCCTGACCTCAAATTATCCGCCCACCTCAGCCCCAAAGTGCTGGGATTAGAGGCATGAGCCACTGTTCCTGGCCAGCATTTTTACTTTTCTAACAAAGAAATCATGGAGACGATAAATAGATTGGCAAGACTTTTCTATGTCTTTTCCAATGTTGTCTGGAATCAATTTATTGACCACTTCTTTCAAGTCATTTGTCTGCACCTCTTGGGTCATGATTTCCATCATCTTCTTCCAGATTTGGCAGAATTGCTGGTACTGAGCATAAGAGGTCATCCATATCTGATTGTTGTGTATTTTAGTAAAGTCAACACAGAACAGATGAAGCAAGTAACTATCAGTAGTCTTGACATCAACAGGAGCTTCGATCATTGTCTGCCATTTTTTGACCATAGAACACATTTTGTTACAAGTAAGATCCATGACATGGAAGTTGGGCAGTTTTTGCCCTGAATGTCTTCAGTAATCAGTTTGAATTTTTCTAAATGCAACTTCATCATTCTGCAAATCAGCAAGACTCACTTCAAACACATGACTCTTGAGGCCATCAGATGCAGTTTTGGTTCCTTGGATCCTGGTGACTAGCGTCTTTCCAACATTTCTTATATTGAACATAGCAGGTGCTTTCACATTATATCAATCTTTCTTAGAAAATAGATCAGCCACTTTCGTCTTGGCTCCCTTCTGCCACCTTTCATAAGGCGCTCATTCTCGCCAACTGCCGTGGTGCTGCTCATAGAGCCAAAAGGCCATGTTGGTATTTTTATTGAGATTGTCTTTCACAAGTATTTTAAAGCTTTTCTCAAATAGCTTTTACATACTTCTGGTTACATTTATTCCTAAGTATTTTATCTTCCTCATTGTTATTTAATTGGGGTTTCCCTTACCACTCTATTTTCTAACTGGTAGTTATTGATACATATATATATAAAATATTAATTTCTGAATGCCAATTTTATAGGCTACTAGTTACTGATTTATTATTTGAGTTAGTTTTACCATTGATTTTCTAGTGCAGAAGTCCGCACACTGTATCTTTTCAGTAAAAACACCAGACTGTAAATATTTCATTTTTGTGTGCCAAAAAGTTCCTATCACAACTGTTCAACTCTGCTGGTGTAGTGCAAAAGATGACAGAGGCAATACAAAACCAAGTATATATGGCTAAATTTGGCTCTCAGTTTGCTAAACCCTGCTCTAGGGTTTTCCAGATATACTATCATATCATCTGCAAATAGAGATAGTTTTATTTCTTCTGTTCTGTTGTACTTCTACTGATTCCTCTTGTTTAACTGTATTGGCTAATATTCCCAGTAATATGATGAATAATAGCGTAATTACTAGATATCCTTGCCTTGCTCCTGATGGTACTAGTAAAAATGTCCTTGGTGTTTTCCATTATGATGATGACTTTAAGGTGTGTGTGTGTATATATACATATACCTATACATCAAAGGTGTGTATATATATTTATCATGTTAAGAAAATACCCATCAATTCCTATTTTCTTGAGTGCTTTTATCAGAAGATGTTGATTTTTGTTAAAGGTCTTTGCAGCATCTACGGAGATAATTATATGATTTATCTCTATATTTATTAATATCGTATATTAATGGATTGCCTAATATTGAAACAATCTTGTGTTTTTGGAATACAGTTGACCCTTGAACAATGTGGGGGCAGCGGTGCTGACTCCCTACTCAGGTGAAAATCTGCACATAACTTTTGACTCCCCAAAAACTTAACTAATAATTGCCTACTATTGACCAGAGGCCTTACCTATAACATAGTCAATTAACACATATTTTTTATGTTACATACAATACTGTATTCTTACAATAAAGTAGGCTAGAGAAAAGGTTATTAAGAAAATCATGAGAGAAAATACATTTACAGTACTGTACTGTATTTACTGATACTGTAAGTTTATGTCATCTGTTTACAAGATTGTTTACAGAATTGCCTGTCTGAAATGGAAAAAAAGGCATCTGCAGCTGCACACCTCAATCTATAGTACATCTCAAGCAATTCGACTTCTTATTGTAATGTCATGACTTCACTGCTTCTTGGTAGCAACTCCAGCATCACTAGTAGCGCTTGGTATGGATCCTATAGTGTTACTCAAGGTTTACGGTATTACACTAAACAGGATAAAGAATACATGAGAATTGCAAAAGATCACTTTTTACTGTGATACAGTGCCATTTACTGAAGAGATGAACTGCTCATCTGGAGATGATAAGTATCATAAGGACTTTTAAGCATATACTATGAACACTTGAGCTCACCACAATAGCAATAGGAAGCAGCTGCAAAATTACTACAGCAGTACAACGTGCTACAATTAACTTTATGCAGTTATTAATACTGCATCATTCTGCTTGCTTACATTTCTCTCCACTGTGAATGATGCCATGTATGATCTATGTTTATATGTGTAAGTTTTGACAAACTTTAACTTTTTATATCAGATTTGTGTATATTTTATGGTAGCAAATGATAAAATAGACTAGTACCTACATATATTTCATGCATTCATGATATACCTAACTTTTTCTTAATTTTTTTTTTCTTTTTGAGATGGAGTCTCACTCTGTTGCCCAGGCTAGAGTGCAGTGGCACAATCTCAGCTCACGGTAACCTCTGACTCCCAGGTTCAAGCGATTCTCCTGCCTCAGCCTCCCGAGTAGCTGGGAGTACAGGCACGCACAGTACCATGGCCAGCTAATTTTTTGTATTTTTAGTAGAGACGGGGTTTCACCATGTTGGCCAGGCTGGTCTTGACCTCCTGACCTCAGGTGATCTGTCCACCTCGGCCTCCCAAAGCGCTGGGATTACAGGCATGAGCCACCGTGCCTGGCTTCTTAATTTTTTTCAATATTTCTAGGCTATGTGGTTCATCTGCAAGTTTTTTCAAATTGTCACAAATCTTCAGAAAATATTCCAATATATTTATTGAAACAAGTCTGCAGAATCTGGGCATGGTGGCACACGCCTGTAATCGCAGTTACTCAGGAGGCTGAGGCTGGAGGATCACTTGAGGCCAGGAGTTCAAGATCAGTCTGGGCAACATAGTGAGGCCTGTCTCTTTAAAATAAAAAATTAAAAAATAAAAAAAATCTACAAATAAATGGACCTGTGCAGTTCAAACTTGTTTTGCTCAAGGGTCAACTGTAAATCCCATATGGTCATAATATGTTATTTTATTTTAGAGACAGAGTTTCATTCTGTCACCAAGGCTGTAGCACAATGGTACCACAGCTCAGTAGTACTATCGAGTACAATAGCTCACAGCCTTGAACCCCTTGGCTCAAGCCATCCTCCTTTCTCAGTTTCCCAAGTAGCTAGGACTACAGGTACGTGCCACCATGCCAGTTAATTTTCAAATTTTTTTGTAGACATAGGGTCTCACTGGTCTTGAACTCCTGGCTTCAAGTGATCCTCCTGTGTTGACCTCCAAAAGCACTGGGTTTATAGGTGTAAGCCACCATGCCCAGCTTATTTTCCTAACATATGACATTGGAATTTGTTTGTTAATATTTTATTTAGTAATGGTATCAATACATACAATTGATATTGGTTTGTAATTTTTTTTCTTTTTTTGTGCTGTCTTTAGGAATTGGTATTATCCATGTTCAATGCTCAGCACCAGTTTACGGAGCATTGAGAATATCTTTGAGTGTTTCACAGATTATCTCTATAAAACCATCTGGGACTGGTGCTTTTTTATGAGGTGGATCCTTGATATTCTTTTCTATTTCTTCTACAGAAATTAAACTTTCTCAAATGTGGCCAATTTTGATGAAATATATTTGCCTTAAAAATAAACTTTTTTTTTTTTTTTTTTGAGACAGGGTCTCACCCTGCCTCCCAGGCTAAGCGCAATGGTGAGATCATGGCTCACTGCAGTCTCCACCTCCAAGGCTCAAGCGATCCTCCCATCTGAGTCTCCCAAGTAGCTGCGACCATAGGCATGTGCCACCATACCTGGCTAAGTTTTTATTTTTTGTAGAGTCAGGGTCTCACTATGTTGTCCAGGCTGGTCTTAAACTCCTAGATTCAAGGGATCCTCACACCTTGACCTCTCAAAGTGTGAGTCATTGCACCTGACCATCTTTTTTTTTTTTTTAAGAGATGGGGTCTCATTATGTTGCCCAGGCTGGAGTACCGTGACTATTCACAGATGCAGCCTTAAACTCCTGGTCTCAAGCAATCCTCCTTCCTCAGCCTCTTGAGTAACTGGGACTGACAGGTGTGTACTACTGTGCCCAGCTGAAAATTACTTTTTTCATTTAAGTTTTCAAACTTATTTGGAAAGAAAAGTAGGTTCTTATATTTTTCAAAATTGAGGTATAATTTACATATCATAAAATTCACCCCTAGGTTTTCAAGTGTTGTGTCTCCCTCCCCAACTAAATTCACGTGTGGAAGTCCTAACACCTCTAGTACCTTAGAATGTGATTGAATTTGGAGATGGGACCTTTAAAGAGACAAGTAAGGTAAAATGTCATATATGTGGGCCCTAATTCAATATGACTGGTGTCCTTATAAGAGGAGGTTAGGACACAGACAACACACAGACCAAGGGGTGACCATGTGAGGCCACAGGGAAGTTAGCCATCTACAAGCCAAAAAAGAGGCCTGAGAATGAAAACAACCCTTGAGACATTTTGACTGTGGACTTCTAGACTCCACACGGTGAGAAAATACATTTCTGTTGCCACCAGCCTGTAGTATTATTTGTTATGACAGTCCTAACAAACAAATACATAAAATATATAATCCAGTGGCTTTTAGTATATTCACAAGTTCATAAAACAAACACCACTATCTAGTTGCAGAACATTTTCATCACCTCAAAAAGAAACCCTATACTCATTAGCAGTCACTCCTACCTCTTGCTTTTCCCAGTACCTGGGAACCACTTATCTGTTTTGTATCTCTATGGATTTGCCTATTCTGGACAGTGATATAAATGGAATAATACAATGTGACCTTTTATGTTTGGTTTCCATCTCTAATGATAATGTTTTCAAGGTTCATCCATGTTGCAGCATGCAGCAGAACTTCATTCCTTTTTAAGGCTAAATAATATTCCACTGGATGGATATACCACATTTTGTTTATCCATTCATCCATTGTTGCACATTTCAGTTGTTTCCACATTTTGACTACTATGACATGAACATTTGTGTATAGGGTTTTGTGTGACATGTGTTTTCAGTCCTCCTGAGTATATACTTAGTAACGATATTGCTGAGTCATATGGTAACTATAATTAAACTTTTGAGGACTGCTAAACTGCTTTCCCAAACAGCTGTACCATTTTACATTCCTAACAGCAATATATGCAGGTACCAACTTTCTACATCCTCATCAACATTTTTTACTGTCTAGGTTTTTTATTGTAGCCATATTAGTGTGTGTGAATAAATACTTCCCTTGTGGTTTTGATTTACATTTCCCTAATGACTGCTGAGGCTGAGCATATATTTATTGTCTATTTTTTATGCATTTATTGACTATTTTTATATCTTCTTTAGAAAAATATCTATTTAAATCCTTTGCCAATTTTACAATAATGATTGTAAGCTATTTTACAATTAGATTATTTGTGTTTTTATTGTTGAGTTTTAAGAGGTTCTTTATTCTGGATACAGGTGCCTTGTCATATATAGGATTTACAACCTTTTTCTCACATTCTATGTGTTGTCTTTTCGCTTGCTTAGTGGTATCCTTTGAAGCAAAAGGTTTTTGTTTGTTTTACTTTATGAGGTCCAATTTATCTAGTTTTCTTTGGTTGCTTATACTTGAAGGTGTCATATCTAAAAAAAAAAACCACTAGTAAGTCTGAGGTCAAGAATACTTACATGTAATATTCACATTACAATTTTTTCTACAAGTTGTATAGTTTTAGTACTTAAAGTTAGATCTTTAATCCATTTTTAAATGAATTTTTGTGCATGGTGTGAGGTAGGGGTCCAACTTCATTCTCTGCATGTCAATTTCCATTTATCCCAGCATCATTTGTTAGAGAGGTTTTTCTTCCCCCATTGAATTACCTTGGCATTCTTGAAGAAAATGAATTGACCATAAATATAAGGGTCTAGTTATAAAGTCTCAGTTCTATTCCATTGATCTATATATCTTTTTTTATTTTTTATTTTTATTTTTTTTGAGATGCAGTCTCACTCTGTCGCCCAGGCTGGAGTGCAGTGGCGTGATCTTGGCTCATTGCAACCTCTGCCTCCTGGGTTCAAGTGATTCTCCTGCCACAGCCTCCTGAGTAGCTAGGAATACAGACACGCATGCCACCATGCCTGGCTGAGTCCTTTTGTTTGTTTTAGTAGAGACAGGGTTTCATCATGCTGGTCAGACTAGTCTTGAACTCTTGACCTCAAGCGATCCCCAACCTTAGCCTCCCAAAGTGCTGGGATGACAAGTGTGAGCCACCACACCTGGTCTATATATCTATCTTTATGCCTGTGTTTCTTAGGAGGGGGTTATAGGTATTTTCACAAATGAACCTCATTGCCTATTTTTTATTTTACCTTCATTTTCTATTTTCTTTCAAAATTGTTTATATATAGTTAAAGGTCCTGTCACTTCTTCTTTTCTGTGAACAGGACTGGCTGTTTGAAATAGCTTACAAGATTCCCAGTTCAAAAATGACTTCTGCTTTTACTAAAGTATGGTTTCTTTATTAGTTGGATTTGGGGGCAAGGCAGCGTGAGATTTGTCCTCCAATTAAAAAAATATTTTTCTGTCTTGCAGGATCCTAAATTTTTCCCTTCTATATTTTTCTTAACTGTTTAGTTTTCAGAGGGCATTTATCCCTTCCTTTTTTACCCTCTTCTCCCCTAATGAGTGCCTTTCCAAAACTGCCTTTTTGAGTCCCATATACACTTTTAAGTCCCTTCCCTGTAGTCTCCTCTGATCTATCAGTATTTCTTAGGAGCAAATTCTTCTGGAAATGTCTTTAGATCAGTATCTTAAGCCTGTCACTAGCTTCTTTCTTCTCCTGTGCAGTTTTTCCCAGATCACCCTTGCTTTCCACCACAGCTTGCACAAAGGCATGAATAATGGCTGGCTAGGATTTAGTATGTATTTTTCTACTTACAGATAATTTGAAGTTGGAACATTCTCTGCATTCTAACATTAACATATGGTTATATGCAGTGTTTTTTTGTTTTGTTTTGTTTTGTTCTGAGACGGAGTCTTGCTCTGTCACCCAGGCTGGAGTGCAGTGGCGCCATCTCGGCTCACTGCAACCTCCACCTCCCGGGTTCAAGTGACTCTCCATGCCTCAGCCTCCCAAGTAGCTGCGACTACAGGTGCGTGCCACCACACTCGGCTAATTGTTGTATTTTTGTAGGGACAGGATTTCACCATATTGGTCATGCTGGTCTTGAACTCCTGACTTCAGGTGATTCACTTGCCTCAGCCTCCCAAAGTGCTGGGATTACAGGTGTGAGTCACTGTGCCCAGCCTGGTTATGTGTAGTCTTATTTGTTCATCTTTATTGGTTTTCAGAGGATGTGTGAGGATTTTCAGAGTAATGCATTTGCCACTACTTTAGCTCCCCAATCTTTTAATAGTTTTGTAAATATTTTGCCTGCTTGTTTTTTTTGGATAAAGAATTGTCAGGTTTTTAATGGTCTGGGATATGTCTATTCTAGCATTACAATGGTAATACTGCTTAAGGATAATATTGAAATTGGCTAATCTTAATTGACTCATTGGTTAATATATACTAAGATAAATTCTTCCAAAAGATACTATACTCCTACCATAACAAACAATTCATAAATAATGTGATATCTAATCAGAAATTACAATAGAAAAAAACACTGTTCACTAAAATCCAAAATAATGTAAAAGTCTTTTATGCAAAAGGAGCTACTTGCTTTTTAGGGGCTTTCTCCATTAGGACAATCATTTTTATATTTAAACAGTCAAGTTCAATAAATAAGTAGTTTATCACCCTGGCTATATGAAAGAGTATTTGAATCACAGTCTATAACAATTTTGGCTTTTTTTGCACTTTGCTTACCAGAAGAGAATCTATGTAACTTAATGATCATGATATTAAAAACAAAATATTGAATGAAATTACTATCTTCTTAAATATAAATATCTTATATAAATATGTTTATACTTAGAGGATTTTACCTTGGAATCCTCATTTTAATAAAGACATTTCTTTAAACTGCCATGACAATATTTTTATTGTCAAGTTTATTCTTGGAGGTACAATAGTATTTCTTAGCATTACACTGATTTTATTTTATATGCGGGTTAGAGTTGAGTAACGGAAATTTGGAACTACTCAGGTTCCATCAGTTAAATACTGTGTGGTCTTAGGTAAGTAACTTTGCCTCCCTCAGCTTTTGTTTTTTCATATGAAATATGGAATTAATTTAACAATACCTATTATAAGAGAGATTTTGAAAGTTTAGTGTTTGTAAAATACTTTTAATATCAGAATGAAAAGACTCCATTGCAAATTACTAACGATTATAAATTTGCCCAGTACATATTAGTATGCTAATCACCAATGCTAGAAGTTTCATTGCAGTACCTGGTGAGTTTAAGAGTTTTCCACGAATCTACTCTCTCTACTTAGTATAAAAATATTTTACTAGGCCAGGCATAGTGGCTCATGCCTGTAATCCCAACACTTTGGGATGCTGAGGTGGGAGGATTGCTTGAGTCCATTGAGTTTGAGACCAGCGGGGCAATATAGCAATACCCCAGCTCTACAAAAAATAAAAAATTAGCTGGGCATGGTAGCGTGCACCTATGGTCCCAGCTACTCAGATGACTTGAGCCCAGGAGTTTGAGGCTGCAGTGAGCTGTGACTGCACCACTGCACTCCAGCCTAGGCAACAGAGCAAGACCGTGTCCCCCACCATCCCACAAAAAAAAAAAAACAAAAAAAACAAAGAAAAAGAGAATGTTTAGCCCTTTCTAGTAAGTACTATATATTATATAGTATTGAAAACTGCCTACTTTTTCTCCTCAATATAAAAATATTTTAATATGGACTACTGCTACTTCATATATTAAGAATGTTTAGCCCTTCTCATCACATTTTTATAAAATAGTGAGCTGACTTTAATAATCCCCTAAATCAATGCTTTCTTTCTCAATACTTCTTAGGAGTTAAAAATCTGACTATTCATTTTATAATTTTATCCAAAGCAATAATAATTTTAAAATTTCTAATAGTTATAAATATTTCTTACATAATTGAATAGTAACTTGAACTGAAGATTTTCTTTAGCAAGAAGACAATATTTACTCTGTCTAAAACATATTAGTACATATGCACTGCTACCAGATAATTACTACTTAACTTCTTTAAGCAATTTAAAACACAAAAAACCAAAGCAACGTGTCTGCTCATTATTTCAACATTTATTGAGTGCCTATAGCTTGCAAGGATTGTCTTCTGGTAATCCTGGATACCAGAAGTAGCATGTGGTAACGGAGCAAGGAATATAGGGTGGTAGCAGACACACCCAGTATCCTCAGTGGGGCTGATAACATACAATCTCCCTTGTAAAACTGTGATACACTTTCCTTGGAAGTTTTTGGATTGTATAGAAAATCAATACTTAGGTTGCTCCAAGCACATCAACACTATTATTAAAAAGCTCCAGGGTCAGGCACAGTGGCTCAAGCTTATAATCCCAACACTTAGGGAGGCCAAGATGAGAGGATTGCTTTAGGCCAGGAGTTTGAGACAAGCCTGGGCAACACAGTGAGACCCCACCTTTTTTAAAAAAATGAGCTGAGTGTGGTGGTGCAGGCCTGTAGTCCTAGGTACTTTGGAAGCTGAGTCAGGAGGATCACTTGAGCCCAGGAGTTTGAGGTTGCAGTGAACTCTGATCACACCACTGCACTCCAGCCTAGGTGACAGAGCAAGACCCTGTCTCTTAGAGGACAAAAAAAAAGAGCTGGGGTTAGAAACAAACTGATTTTTCAAAGTTTATTCTTCATAGAGCTTACAATAAATCAGTGGAAAAATGCTGTTCAATATTTTGCCTCAGCACTTTGATTAATCAGTCACTCCTAATGTTGCTTCTTACTTCTTTCTACCCATCTGAATCCTACCCTTTTCTGGGCCCAGTTGTAAAGCCACATCCACAAAACCTACAATATATTTTATTCACTCTTAATTACAAGGAATTTTATCAACTCACAACTCCTAGAACTTTATCTATGCTGCTTATCTGCCATGTTCTGGAGTCTGGGAACTCCAACATCAAGATGCCAGCTGGACTGGTATCTGGTGAGAGCTACTCTCTGCTTTCAAGATGGCACTTTGTTGCTGCTTCCTCTAGAGAGGAGGAATGTTGTCTCTTAACATGACAGAAAAGAAGACAGTGAACCCACTCCCCTCAAGCCCTTTTTCAAGGGCCCTAATCCCATCCATGAAGGCTCTGCCCTTATGACTTAATCACCTCACAAGTGCTCCAGCTCTTAACTATCACATTGGTAGTATTATAATACTATTCATGAATTTTGGAGGACATTCAGACCATAGAACTTCACTAATGGCAGACTTAGAATTTAATAGCAGACTTAGAATTTACAAAACAATTACAGTTGTCCCTTATTATAGGGAGGAATTAGTTCCACAACCTCCAGCGGATATCAAAATCTATGAATGCTCAAGTGCCCTATATAAAAAGGTGTACTATTTGCATATGATCTACATAATCCTCCTGTATACTTTAAATCATCTCTAGGTTACTTATAATATCTAAAACAATGTAAATGCTATGTAAAAGTTGTTATACTGTTTCTTAATTTGTATTATATTTTATAATTGTATTCTTTTGTTTGTTTGTTTGTTTTTGAGACAGAGTTTTGTCCCTATCGCCCAGGCAGGAGTGCAGTGGTGCGATCTCGGCTCACTGCAACCTCCGCCTCCCGGGTTCCAGTGATTCTTCTGCCTCAGCCTCTCGAGTAGCTGGGACTACAGGTGCGTGCCACCACGCCTGGCTAATTTTTGTATTTTTTTGTAGAGACAGGGTTTCACCATATTGGCCAGGCTGGTCTCGAACTCCTGACCTCGTGATCTGCCCGCTTCAGCCTCCCAAAGTGTTGGGATTACAGGCGTGAGCCACCTCGTCCTGCCCTGTATTGTTGTTTCTTATTGTTTTTTTTTCCTTGAATATTTTTTGATATGTGGTTGGTTGAATCCAAAGATGTGGGACATGCAGATGAATTCTATCTAACTTAAGTTCCATTTAGCAGAATCTTTTTACACTAATTGGTAAGACAAACAATTTCTCAATTTCATAAAGTGATGTCTAATTTTTATTAGAGAAAGATGTTCAAATAAAATTTATATTAAATTCCTAGTTGTTACACAGATTAAATATGTGATTTAATCATGCTTAACATTAGAGCAAATTTAATTGGCAAACACATTTTTCATTAAAGAAAAATATTACAAAACTTCGTTTTACTATACTAAATAGAAGAATGCTTGGTCTCTCATAAAAACTACAGAATAAAATGTATTTCTAATCAATGGAAATAAAAAAGTTTTAATATATTCTATAAATGAAACCTCAATGTCTCTAGTGTCTGAGTCACAAACCACCAAGCTAGAAGACACATTTATTGTAAAATACAATTTATACATACAATTTCAAGTGAGAATTTTAAAACAAAGTTAATTTAGTTATAGACACAAACAGAATCTGTTCTTTTTTTATTTTTCTTCTCATTAATTTCTGTAAATAATAATGAAGGCCACTCTAATGTATTTCTTGATTTTTAATAGGAGTATATAGTCTCATTCTTAAGCATTGAGGATCTGTATCATTCCTTTTTTTTAGATACAGGTAACTTACTCATCTGTATGGATTGATGGATGCTAAATTCAAACTTTAAAAAAATTCAGGGAAAAGAGGGAAATGTTCTGTTACAACTAATTAAAAATGTACAATGTATTTTTTAATAGTTGTATTTGTAGTTTTAAAATTTGACTTCATATTTTATTCTTCTTAAATTATATATGTATATATAATATATATTTTTATAATACATATTTTATATTTTATATTGTATTATATTATACTTTTATAATACAATATATTTTATAATATATTACATATTATATATATATTTTGAAACAGAGTCTCACTCTGTCACCCAGGATGGAGTGCAGTGGCATGATCTTGGCTCACTGCAACCTCCACCTCCCAGGTTCCAGTGATTCTCCTGCCTTAGCCTCCTGAGCAGGTAGGACTACAGGCGCACATCACCACACCCAGCTAATTTTTGTATTTTTAGTAGAGAAAGGGTTTCACCATGTTGGCTAGGCTGGTCTCGAACTCCTGACCTCAGGTGATTGCCCGTCTCAGCCTCCCAAAGTGCTGGGATTATAGACATGAACCACTGCGCCAGGCCATTCTTAAATATATTTTATATCCACACCTACCTTAATTTGTGTAGATTTTTTTCACTACATATCTGTGCCAATTTTGTTCTGACAAAGATTAAATTCTACATTTGGTTCTGCTAACAAAAACCAAAAATCTTCTAAGCAAGATGTAAAAGCTTCTATTCAATGTCTAAGAATTGTTTTTCTCCCATTTTGGTCGGTTAAAAAGCAAAGTGTTATATTTTTAATTATTTCTATACATTCTTTCTTTTAATCAGAATTAATGCTAATCATGTCTATGTAGCTTTCTTCTAAGCACAGACAAGAGTAAACACTAGCAGTTTTTATTTCTGGATATTATCAAGAATTATTAAAATTTAACTTAAAAACTCTTTGCCCAGACTTTATAAAGACAAATTTTCATCTGCCCAATTAATTTTTAATGCTACTATTTAATTAATGACTCATTCTTAATACATCCCATTAAAGTCTTGACATACAACTTTACAAAAAAATTTTTATTTTAGTAGTCCTCTAATTTGTATTATTATCAGTAATAACAAAATAGATGGATCTGGAAAGCATTTGGTTATTAACACAAGAAAGTGAAGCCTAATGCAAAACAGTCATATCATTATGTTTATAAAACTGTTAAAGGGCTTACAAGGAAATCAAATATTCATTAAAATTGTTTTTCACATTTTCATTCCTATCATAGGACCCCCAATACGCAAAAACATGTTTAAAACTTTCTTTTGGCCAGGCGCGGTGGCTCACACCTGCAATCCCAGCACTTTGGGACGCCGAGGCGGGCGGATCATGAGGTCAGGAGATCGAGACCATCCTGGCTAACAGAGTGAAACCCAGTCTCTACTAAAAATACAAAAAATTAGCTGGGCGTGGTGGCAGGCACCTGTAGTCCCAGCTACTCGGGAGGGAGGCTGAGGCAGGAGAATGCCATGAACCCAGGAGGTGGAGCTTGCAGTGAGCCGAGATTGCACCACTGCACTCCAGCCTGGGCTACAGAGCAAGACTCCGTCTCAAAACAAACAAACAAAAACAAACAAAACAAAAACAAAAACAAAAACTTTCTTTCTTTTTTTGAGATGGAGTCTTGCTCTGTTGCTCAGGCTGGAGTGCAGTGGTGCAATCTCTACTTACTACAACCTCTGCCTCCTGGATTCAAGCAATTCTCCCTGCCTCAGCTTTCCAAGTAGCTTGGATTATAGGCTCCTGCCACCACACCCAGCTAATTTTTGTTATTTTTTTTTTAGTAGAGATAGGATTTTACCACGTTGGCCAGGCTGGTCTTGAACTCCTGACCTCAGGTAATCTGCCCACCTCAGCCTCCCAACATGCTGGGATTATAGGAGTGAGCGACTGCGCCCAGCCAAGGCTTTCCATTTAAGTAACTATTTGTGATAAACATAAGCTTAAAAAATACCTTAATAAATGGACTTTAAAACAATGAAATAATCACTTCTACCCCCCGCAAAAAAAAAGCTTTCCCACAAATGTAGTCAAAATTAATCCTATGCAAACAAACAAAAAAAGCGCTGAGTTAAATATCCTTTAAAAACTGAATTAAAATTCAATTTTGGGCCAGGCATGGTGGCCTGCGCCTGTAATCCCAGCACTTTGGAAGGCTGAGGTGAGCAGATTGCTTGAGCCCAGGAGGTCAAGACCAGCCTTGGCAACATAGCGAAACCCTGTCACTATAGAAAATACAAAAGTCAGCCAGTAATCCCAGCTACTTGGAAGGCTGAGGTGATAGGATCTCTTGAGCCCAGGAGGTCAAGGCTAGAGTAAGCAGTGATCGTGCCACTGTACTCCAGCCTGGTCAACAGAACAAGACCCTGTCTCAAAAAAAAATTTTTTTTTGAAAAGTACAGAGGTCTCAGCTTCAAAGATAACAATATTCAAACTACAACAATCAACCACTTCCACCAACATGCTTATGTGCCATGCTAAAGTTAAGACTTACATAAATATAAGATAAATATTTTAAGTGTGTTACCATTCCCATACCATTTTATGATGATGTAATAGAAAAATATGAAGGATTTCTTCTATACTGTCCTTGGTATAAATGGCATGCTTGCTGTCAAGAGCACTGAAGCTCCATGGTAAGAAACTTAGAATGGACTCTGGGATAAAAAATACGGTTATTTGAGAAACTAGTTAAGCAGTACATATGTCATATGTATATAGCTTTTAAAGTATTATTATGATATACAAAAGTACAGATGAGGTGTTTTTAAATAACTGGAGTATATGTATTCAATGGCTTTATCCAACTGCTAAGAAAGTGAAACAGGAATAGTGGAAAAAATAAGTTAACATCATTCCCAGGCATGTTGGTAGTATAACATGCACTGCATAATGCAAAATCAGTTAGGTATATTGGGTGATTCTGGAGGACACAGAGTTACCATTTCCTTCCTTCCTCCCTCCCTCCCTCCCTCTCTATCTTTCTTTTTCTTTTTTTTTTTTTTTTTGAGACGGAGTTTCGCTCTTGTTGCCCAGGCTGGAGTGCAATGGTGCAATCTCAGCTCACTGCGACCTCCACCTCCCGGGTTCAAGTGATTCTCCTGCCTCAGCCTCCTGAGTAGCTGAGATTACAGGTGTGCACCACCATGCCCATCTAATTTTTGTATTTTTAGTAGAGATGGGCTTCACTATGTTGGCCAGACTGGTCTCAAACTCCTGAATTCAGGTGGTCCACCCGCCTCGGCTTCCCAAAGTGTTAGGATTAGAGGCGTGAGCCACCGCATTTGGGTTTTTTTTGTTTTTTGAGTTCTCGCCATTCTCCTGCCTCAGCCTCCCAAGTAGCTGGGACTACAGGTGCCCACCACCACGCCCGGCTAATTTTTTGTATTTTTAATAGAGACGAGGTTTCACCGTGTTAGCCAGAATGGTCTTGATCTCCTGACCTCGTGATCCGCCCAGTTCGGCCTCCCAAAGTGATGGGATTACGAGCCACCACGCCCAGCCTCGTCTGGCCTTTTTTGGTTTGTTTTTTTTTTTTGGAGACAGGGTCTTGCTCTGTTGCCCAGGATGCCAGGCTGGAGTGCAGTGGCGCAATCTCAGCTCACAGAAACCTCTGCCTCCTCAGCTCAAGCAATTCTCCTGCCTAAGCCCCCTAAGTAGCTTTGACTACAGGTGTGTGCCATAACATCTGGCTAATTTTTGTATTTTTTTGTAGAGATGGGGTCTCACTATGTTGCCCAGGCTGGTCTCAAACTCCTAGGTTCAAGTAGTCTGCCCACCTCAGCCTCTCAAAGTGCTGGGATTACAGGTGTGAGCCACCACGCCCAGTGTAGTTACCACTTCTTATAACTGAACAAGTAGGTGACAGAAAAACATAACAGTAATAATAAATGAGAAAGATTCAAAAGATAGGTAAGCAATATTTTGTTTTCTGAATAGTTTAACATTTATAGTTCTGAATAGTTTAGTTTTCAGAATAGAAAACCCAGAAATATATTCAGCATAAATTTAAAAATTCAATATATAACAAAGGTGGTCTTTCTAATTACAGAATTAGCCTTTCTAATTACAGAATTGGTCTTTCTAATTACAGAATTAGAATGCTACTGGCACACCTGGCTATCTATTGAGAAGACAAAAAAATTAGATCCTATTATCTTATTCCATATACAAAAATGATAAATTTTTTAAGATGTAAGAGATCAATTGAGAATAATTAAGCACAACCTGGAAAATGTAGGATACTGCCTGATAATATCAAAGGATAAGTAAGATTTTTTAAGCTAAACTGGAAACCTAGAACTTGTTAAAGAAATCATTGACACATTTTACCATCTAAACCTATCTATGGCAAAAAATACTACATGTAAAATCAATAGAAATGAAAAAAACACTGTGAAAGCAGCAGAGTGATAATATCTATTACAAACCAAAAGCAAAGGCTAAACAACTAAACATCAATAGGGATTTAGAGAAAAGGTACTATAGAATGAAAAAAGTTAGATGAAGATGCATGCTTAAATTTGATTTCATTTTATAAATTAAATGGTTAAAAAAACTCCATCAATACCAGTATTTCTGTAAACATATATAACACACACACACACAAACACACACACTCTTTTATGATTGTGTGACCATGCAGAAAGTAAGGTGGGAGGATACACAGTAGTTGGTCAACATGAGCTGCAAAGGATGTTTGTGGAGTAGCAGACAGAGGCAGAAGAGCCAAATTAAGAAGGAAAAGAAAAAGGCAAGGAAAAGGCGAAAAACGGAAAAGAGAAGGACTACACTAAAATAGTAGGTATGATACAATCACATACACAGCTTTTTATAAAATTGTACACAAATGTGGACACGAAAAAAAATTTAAGATAAAACAGGATGCTGCCTAACTTGGCAGAAGGAATGCTCAAGGAATTTATATCTTTATCCCCTTCTGCTTCCAATCTCAAAAAAAATGTAGTCTGAAATGGTCATGGAGGCCAAGCATGGTCCTCGATTATTATAATTCTGAAGTTCGTGTGTGCCTCCGTGTGTGTGCGTGTGTGTTTGTGCACGCACGCGTGCGCATGTGCACACTTGGCTGAACTCTATTACAGGAACAATGATTGCTAGTTCAATTTGGTTTTATGGTTTACTCCAGAGGTCAGCAAACTTCCTGTACTAAATATTTTAGGATTTCTAAGTCATACCATCTCTGTCACAACTACTAAACTGTTCTCATTGTAGGGTGAAAGCAGTTAAACTGTGATGGTTAATTTTATACGACAGCTTGGCAAGGCCAGAGTACCCAGTTACGTAAGTAGCACTAATCTGGGCTGCTGTGAAGGTATTTTGTAGAAGTGGTTAATATCTACAATCTGTTGACTTTAAAGAGATTACTCTTGATAATGTTGATGGGCCTCATCCTGTCAGCCTTAAGAGCAAAAACTGAAGTTTCCTAGAAAAGAAATTCTGCCTTAAGAATGCAGCATCAACTCTGGTCTTAGTTTCCAGCCCTACAAATTTCAAACTTATCAGCTTCCACAATTACGTGAGCTAATTCCTTAAAATAAATATTCACAGACAGATAATGTATTGTATACTACTGGTTCTGTTTCTCTGGAGAACCCTAATATATAATGCACAACAATAGACAATACACAATCTAAATTACATATTTAAATTAAATATATAATTAAATCTAAATTATGTAAAATAACAGGTAGTGGGCTACATTTGGCCCATGTACCACAGTTTTCCAACTCCTAGTTTTATCAATAATAAAAAATAGGGCTGGGCATCGTGGATCGCACCTATAATCACAGCACTTTGGGAGGCCAAGGCAGGAGGGTCTGGGAGGCCAGGAGTTCAAGGCCACCCTGAGCAACATACTGAGAACTCATCTCTATTAAAAAAATAATTATAATAATAAAATATAGCTGTTGGCCTGGTGCCTGTAATCCCAGCACTCTGGGAGGCCAAGGTGGGAGGATCACCTTAGGTCAGGAGTTTGAGAGCAGCCTGGCCAACATGGTGAAACCCCATCTCTACTAAAAATAGAAAAATTGGGGCTGGGCGTGGTGGCTCACACCTGTAATCCCAGCACTTTGGGAGGCTGAGGCGGGTGGATCACAAGGTCAGGAGTTCAAGACCGGCCTGAATAACATGATAAAACTCCATCTCTACTAAAAATTACAAAAATTAGCCAGGCATTGTGGTGCATGCCTGTAATCCCAGCTACTCAGGAGGCTGAGGAAGGAGAATCGCTTGAACCTGGGAGGCGGAGGTTGCAGTTAGCGGAGATCACACTATTGCACTCCAGCCTGGGCGACAGAGCAAGACTCCATCTCAAAAAAAAGAAAAAATTAGCCGGGAGTGGTGGCAGGCACCTGTAATCCGAGCTACTCGGGAGGCTGAGGCAGAAGAATCACTTGAACCTGGGAGGTGGAGGTTGCAGTGAGCCGAGACTGAGCCACTGCATTCCAGCCTGGGAGACAAGAGTGAGACTCTGTCTCCAAAATAAATAAATAAAAAAAATAAAATATAGCTGTTAACTGGATGTGGTAGCTGATGCCTGTAATTCCAGTACTTTGGGAGGCCGGGGAGGGAGGATCACTTGAGGCTTGGAGTTTGGGACCAGCCTGGGCAGCAAAAAATTTAAAAACAACTAGCCCCACACTGTGGTGGCACACCTGTAGTCACAGCCACACAGGAGGCTGAGGCAGGAGGACAGCTTTAGCCTAGAAGCTTGAGGCTCCAGTGAGCTATGATGGTACCGCCGGGTACTCCAGCCTGGGAGATGGAATGAGGCCTCATGTACTTAAAAACATGAATAAAATGTATCTGCTTTTCTTAAGCATTCTATATATTTCAGGCAGTGTGCAAGGTTTGAATTCCAAGTGTTCCACAAATTGGGGATTATTCCTGGTGAGGCCAGATATTCTAGAGCAACTAAAAGCAGGAATGATCTTTCTAGAAGCAGTGAGATCTAGCCTGTAAGCTTAGATGTAAGAGAGGTTTCTCAGACAGGGTTTCAAGATGGTATTCTCTTTACGTGTTTTAATAACCTTTTATTTATTTATTTATTTATTTATTTATTTATTTCTTTATTTATTTATTTTGAGATAGGGTCTGTCACCCAGGCCTGAATGCAGTGGCATGATCCCCGCTCACTGCAAGCCTCAACCTCCTGGGCTCAAGCAATCCTCCTGCCTCAGCCTCCCAAGTAGCTGGGATTATAGGCATGCACCAATGCACAGGGCTAATTTTTAAAATTTTTTTGTATAGATGGGGCCTTGCTTTGTTGCCCACGCTGGTCTCAAGCATCCTCCTGACTCAGCCTCTCAAAGTCCTGGGATTATAGGCTTGAGCAACTACATCTGGCCTCTATATCCTTTTAAATACTGGCTTGGGGAATTGAAAGTTTTTGATGCTAATCCAGTAGAAGTCAACCAACAGAATTTTTTGGATGTTCATTTACTAAATATGGCAACTTTAAATAAAACTTGATGTGGGGAAAATAAAAATTTATAAAGGCACTAAATCGAGAGTTTATTATTTTTGTTATGAAAGGAATCCCTTACATCAAAGACTTAGAACAATGGACCTTTAAGTAATATATCCCTTAGAAGTAGGAGTCCTCATGACATTTTGGGCTGGATAAAAAAAGAAAAAAAAAAAGAAGCAGGGATCCTTGGCCAGGCGCGGTGGCTAACGCCTGTAATCCCAGCACACTGGGAGGCCGAGGCAGGCAGATCACCTGAAAAAATTGTTCTCAATCAGGTAGACAGTAGAATGATAGTTATCAGAGGCTGGGAAGAGTATGTGTGTGGTGGGGGTGGGGACAAAAAGAGGATGGTTAATGGGTACAAATATAAAGTTGGATAAAAGGA
Organism: Homo sapiens; assembly: GCF_000001405.40. Classification (NCBI taxonomy): domain Eukaryota; kingdom Metazoa; phylum Chordata; class Mammalia; order Primates; family Hominidae; genus Homo; species Homo sapiens. The sequence goes on from NC_000002.12 coordinate 159,709,369, forward strand.
GTAAGTTCTAATGTTTGATAATAGAGTAGAATGACTATAGTTAACATCATATTGCATTATTTCAAAATAGCTAGAAGGGAAGACTTGAAATACTACCCACACAGAAGTCATAAATGTTCTAGATGATGGTTATCCTAAATACCTTGACTTGATCATTACACATTCTATGTATGTAACAAAATATCCCATGTATCCCATAAATATATACAAATATTATGTATCAATAAAAAATTATATGATTTGCAAAAAGCAAATGTAACCACATCTTTTCAATGTCCCACCATTTATGCAAAGTAAAGGATATCTCTACAACTACCCTTGCCAAAGAGAAGCTTTTTAGAAGATTAGGTTGTGGGATGAATAAAAGAGGGGAAAACAAGAACTTTGAAATTCAATATCTGAAAGAGCATTCTAAGCTATCAGGTGGAAGAAATGCTCAAAACATAAGAGTAAAGGGTTGAATGACCATGGGTAAATAACAGACAAGTTTATAAAATAAAAGGGGGAAAATTGGTTAATAGTCAATAAGATGCTAACTTAGAGAAGAAGCCAAGTTTAAAAATGAAAACTAAGGTGAGTGGTGAGGGCAAGTGGTGAACAAAGATATTTAGATACAGAAAGGTATGTCAGAGTCACTCATAAAGGATAAAAAGTAGCAAGGGAAGGTCAAGTGGGGGAACTCTGTGGATAAAAGGCAAGCACGGTGTCTAGATTGTCTGGAACAGTTTTGACTTCAAACACTTGCCTGTCAAATCACTTTGTGACGATTTTTAGTTAAGAAACTATGGTCATTTTCCATGACCATGTTTTACCTATTCACATCCATAATTCCTAGCAAAATGTCTTTTTTTTTTTTTTGAGATGGAGTTTCACTCTGTTGCCCAGGCTGGAGTGCAGTGGCATGATCTTGGCTCACTGCAACTTCTGCCTCCTGGGTTCAAGTGATTCTTCTGCCTCAGCCTCCCAAGTAGCAGGGACTACAGGCGCCTGCCACCACGCCCGGCTAATTTTTTGTACTTTTAGTAGAGACAGGGTTTCACTGTGTTAGCCAGGATGGTCTCGATCTCCTGACCTCGTGATCCACCCACCTTGGCCTCCCAAAGTGCTGGGATTACAGGCATGAGCCACGGCGCCCGGCTGCAAAATGTCTGCAGCATAGCAAAATCTCAATAATTATTTATCACTCATGATAATTACCTGAATACTAAAATCAGAGAGAGTACATTAAAAAGAAACACAACGAACCATTCTTAAATAATAAAAACATATTCATCAGTGGTCTTTATTTACTAGCACCAATAAAAAACTAGAAGCTCTGTTTAGCATAGGAAATTGGTGTCATACTCACTTTATAATATCATCAGTGCTGGGTGGGGACAAAGCCATAATCTGCCAAAATCTGCACCATCCTTGCCAGGTTTGGGAGTTCTGTAGAGTAGTTACCACTGCCAGGTCTGACTGCCATAGCTCAGGAAAAGGGTGCAGTCATTTCTCTTAGCATAATCTTGAGAAGATGTCTAAGAGACCTATGTAATATTAAGTCACAGAAAGAAACAATATTATTGGTGGTTTAGACATGGAATGTAATAGCTAACAATTACGGAATGCTTACTTGTTTCAGGAACTGACGTGTTATCTCATCTAAACAATGCTACAGAGCATGGGTACTGTTATTAACCCCGTTTTACAGGAAACCTAGGTTTAGCAAGGTTAAGGAATTGCTTGAGATAACAAAGGTAGTAAGAGGCAGGGGTGGAATTTGAAGCCATATAGTCTGGTTCTTCAGGGTGTATACATCCGTGTATCTATAACCACAATGCTGCAGGGGCACTCGAACAGGCTGGAAAAGAATTATTTTTCTTTAAAGGGCAAATTAATTTCCTCAAAAGTAATCTCTGTTCACTTTATCCCATACCAGATGCTTATTTTCATTTCATATCCTAAAAGTTAGATTGGCACTTACATGCCAACTTAAAATACCTTTAAGTCTTTAAAATTTATAGTATTTTAGAATTTATCATAGTGAAACATGTACAGTCTGTTAGTCCCCAAGACAATAAAATAAGGATGATAGTGACTGATACTCCATTCCCTTCCGATGTAATGACAAACACGTAGAAACACTGTGTTTCATTTATTGGAATTATTTGGATCCAAAGGATTGCTTTTAATACCTTAACAAAATAGGTCATTAAAAAAAATCAAGTGCCTTTCAGTATTCTTCCAAGTTTCAATAACTGATCTTTTCCATTAAAAAACTTTTGATTCATTATTCCAAATCAACATATCATCTAAATATTTACACATAGTTAGATGTAGCTTTTCCCTAACCTACTCCCTTTTATTTATTAGTACTCATTTACATCTTAGTTTGCCACATTTACAGTTCTTTGAAAGTTTCATCTAATATTCACCAGACCATTCACCTCACAATTTTCCTCCCTCTTTCTAAATAGGTGAATTTGTTTACTGCAAAATCGATGGCTACGCTATTAAAGGTTACTATCACGATTTTAAAAGACATGATCACCATCATTTACCAAGATTCTTACCACAAGGAAATGATCACAAGGTTGGACAAACAGGCTCCAACTCTTAAGGGAAAGGGCTTGCAGTTAGATCACACAGGGCGGGCAGGGAAGCAAGCGGGGAGGGGTAGGTCGGAAAAGGCAGTGCTTGATTCAATTCAACATTCACTGCGCCACTTACCAAGAGCCAGAAAAAGAAAAAAAAAAAAAAAAAAAGCCAACCAGCTGGGCGTTATTTCGAGCACGGGGCCCTGCAGGTGGGCCTGTGGGCGGGGACCCGGCGCCCGGGAGGGAAGGGGCTGGCTCAGAGACTATAGACGGGCGGGGACCGCCCCGGCCCGGGCCTCCAGCGCCCGGCGCCCGCACACTCGCCAGCCCAGCTGCCGGCACGCCGGCCAGCCAGCCGCTGCCGCTTACCAGTGGCGCCTCGCTGACTCCCCGGGGGCAGCTCTTCAACGGTTCCCGCAGTCAGAGCACCACCCCGCGGTGGGGTACCTCCAGCCCGCCCGCAGCTCTCGGTCCCCGCCGCGCCGCCACTCTCGCGAGAAGCCAGGAAGTCCGCGAAGTGGGGGGAGGAGGAGCAGGGAGGGGCACTTAACGGTGGTGGCTGGTTCTGCGCCGGATCCGGGAGAGGGGCGGGCGCCATTGTGCTTCGCTGCCGACTGCATTTCCTCAGTCACGGGCCTAGAACTCCAAGGAGAAAGGCGGCGGTGCGTGTTGCTGCGAGTGGGACGCGCACTGGTCGGTGCCGGCTCAGGAGCCGGGGTAATGAGCTGCGGAGCTAGTTCTTCTCCGTCTTGGGCGCTAGTTCGGGACCAGGCCGCGAGTGGGGGAGGGGAGGAAACGAAGAGGCCTGGGGACGCGGAGGCCGCTTCCTCTCAGGATGAGGTGGAGAAGCTTGGTCCGGGGCCACCGGGGCCAAGGGGCCACAGCGCAGGCCTCCCTTGCCAGGGGCCTTTGGTCGGGTGGTGGAGTTTGTGGCGGGTGCAGGGGACAGATTGTGTGTCTTCCTCAGGGACGTGTGGCGGGTGACGGGAAGAAGCCTGAGCCCTCCTTTGGCGCGGGGCGGCCTCCTCTTGGGCCGTGGGGCGGGGGGTCTTCGGAGCCCTGCGGGCCGCGGGTGTCGCGCGTGAGCTCGCCGGTGAGCGCGGGGCAAAGGCGGGCAGGGCTCCGGCTCGGCCAGCCCGGCCTCGAGTCGAAGTGACTTCGGTAGCCCCTTAGATTCGGCCAAGATTGTCTTATTGGTAACGTCAGTTTTTGAATATCGTGACGCCCTGAGAGTTATTTTTGTGTTGTGGTGAATTGTGGGTTCTGCAACTCGAAGTAGGTGATTGTATTAAAAATGGACCTGTTGGCCTAAGAAGTAAAAATATAGAAGGCGCCGGGAGTAGGAAACTCCCTCATTTTGGTGAAACTGCGTATTGAAGATGTGTGTCCACCCCCTCACCCCAAAATGCTGCACTTAATACTTTTTCTCAAGTACCAAAGTAAATATATTGGGAAAGTCTATCTGGGTAATAAATTCGTCACGACTAATGTTGTTTGTTACTATTAGTTAAATGTGTGAAAACTGAAATTTGGCGAGGTTTTCTCCCCCATTTTGTAGGATTGATTAGCTATTTTTCTGATTACATGTTATTTTAAATCTCCACCTTTCTGTCCAGAACCAAGATGTAGGATTAAAGATGAATTTTCGATTTAAAAATCCAATAGTATACAGTTATTAAGAAGGCACACATGTAGTGTAACTAGATCTTTTACTTGAGGTAGCAAAAAGTTTGTTTGAGAAATGAGGTCAGTATAATATTTTTATTTAACAGCTCTACAGCATTTTGGGAGACAGGACTGGTGCATGAGGCAGTAGCACCAGACTCAGAAGACCTGGGTTTGAGTCTTGATTTTTGCCATAGTTATTTAAGTTCACGAGATTGTCTCAGAAACATGGCAGTTAATTTCTAGAGAGGATTAAATTTGCTGAGGTGGTGTGTGAAGCAGTCACTAGGGGACATAATACTAGTCTTGGTTTTTTTCCAAGTTTAGTGCTGGGTCAGGTGTCTTGAATTAAGAATTCCTACTTATTCAAGTACAAATGATTTCTTTTTTCTGCCACCTGGAAGAGGGCTATTTTCCCAGATAAAGCACGAGGATGCCCAGGTTATGTTCTACATGAAGGTGTCAGGTAACGAACTTGGACACAAAAGTCATCCATGACTCTCATGTAGCCAATTTTTAGTCCGCTCCATACCCACCTTACACAACTCTTTTATCTGCTCTATGTTCAAGAATCGTCTACATTTTGACATTTTATTGTAGGAAAATAATTTTATAATGCAAAATCTGTCAAATATCTTAAAACTTTTTTAGATAATTTGTAATTTGTTGTAGTCAAATTACAAATTATGGAGAGCTTCACATTACAAGAATGAGCTTGACATGGCATCTGCCCTCCACAACTCACTGTTTAGTCATCAGACTAATGTATAAACAACTATTATTATCTTAATATGACTGTACAGTGGTTCTGTGGGAGCATAGGGGAGGGGTGCTTAATCTTGGAAATTTTACAGGATTTATTTATTTATTGCCTGAACTAAGATGTGAAGGCTCACTAGGACTTTGATAAAGAAACTGCAAAGTCATGATATTATGGTTTGTTTTAGGAATTCATGATTTGTTCCTGTAGCTGAAACATACATTGAATGGTAAGTTAGAGCCCGACATAAAAGACTTTCTGTACTGTACTAGAAAATTAGTGTCTGGGTGTGGTGGCTCACTCCTGTAATCCCGTCACTTTGGGAGGCCAAGGTGGGAGGATCGCTTAAGGCTGGGAGTTCAGCCAGGCCACAAAGACCCCATCTCTACGGGCATGGTGGTGCGGGTGTAGTGGTGCGCACTGCTACTACTAGCTACTTGGGCTGCTGAGGCAGAACGATCATTTTGAGCTCACGAGTTGCAGAGACTGCAGTGAGGTATGATAGAGCTCCACTGCACTCCAGCCTGCACCACAGAGTGAGACCCTGTCTCTAAAAAAATAAAAATAAAGTTAGTGCTCTATGCTGCGGAATGGAGAGCTATTGTGTTCCTTAACAAAATAAAAATAATTTTTAGATAATCTTTGCTGATACATCCTTCTGTTACCACAGATAATTAAGTGCCAGTAATAAAGAACAATGGGACATGAATGAATGAAATGCACAGCGTTGCATTAGACTTTACTTTTAAACAACAAATTAACTAATGAAGCTTTTAACTGTTAAATAAGTGAATCAACTGATCACATTAGAATGATTACAATTTAAAAAGAATCGGATTTTGAGTTCCTACTAAGATTACTTGAATTCACCAAAGCAGAATTCAATTGCAGTCAAAAAATTTATCTTAATATACAGCATTTGCTAATCATAGGATGAGCCAAAAAGTCTGAAGTTGGGGAGAATGAAATTATAATTTGAGAGTTTAGGTGGGGGGGGTAATAATTTTGTGTGTGTGAGTGTGTGACAGGGTCTCACTCTGTTTTTTAGGCTGCTGCAGCCGCAGTCTCCCAGACTCAAGCAGTTCTCCCACCTCAGCTTCCTGGGTAGCTGGGACTACAGGTGCGCGCCACCATGTCTGACTAATTTTTATATTTTTTTATAGAGACAGTTTCACCATGTTTCCCAGGCTGGTCTCCAACTCCTTAGCTCAAGGAATCCTCCCACCTCAGCCTCCCAAAGCGCTGTGATTACAGGCCTGAGTGTGAGTCACTGCATGCTGGGGTTTAATTTTCATTAATCTTAATTTTCAGCTTTCTGCCCTGGCATGAACTTACATGGTCAGAGCTGGTTTTTCCTGCCCTCAAATATATTTCTCTGACTCTACCGGTTAGACTAGGTAAGTTGAACACCTGGTTTTAAAATCACCTGCTGCTCTACACCCATTTTTGTCAACAGCTTAAAAAGAAGGCAAGTTTTGAACCTTAAAAGTAGTTATCTTTCCATTATGATCATTGTTCATTAGTGTGATGTTTCATACTTTGTAGAAAGAACCCTAAAATGGTTTCTACTTAAGATCGAAACTTGATGCTTAGAGATTAAATTCATTTCAAGGAGAACAGTTTGCCTTTTACAGTGGTGTAGTGTAGACTTAACATCATAGTCATATTTTCTCATGGGATGTTAAGCTTTTTTCTAATTTTTTAAGATTTGGGCATGTCATATTTTTGTGTTTTAAGTATTTGTCAGCTAAAAGTTAGTTAAGGGAGACTTTTTTTTAAGGCCCAAAATGTTGTATACTTTCAAAGTGATTCCCTCATTGACCCACCCTTAGCTTCCATGTCTCCATGTTTACTATGATTTCCCACTAAGGAAAAAAAAAATTTCCCCAGAAGCAGATTTTTTTTTTTAAGAAAAGGATATGCAAAGTATATGTAAATAATGAAATAGTAACTGCGTGTTTGTATTTCTGCAAGACTCTTGAAATATTGCATTGGGGCTGGGCATGGTGGCTCACTCCTGTAATCCCAGCGCTTTGGGAGGCCGAGACAGGCAGATTGCTTGAGCTCAGGAGTTCAAGACCATCCTGGGCAACATGATGAAACCCCGTCTCTACTAAAAAAAATACAACAATTAGCTGGGTATGGTGGTGCGTGCCTGTAGTCCAGGCTACTCAGGAGGCTGAGGTGGGAGGATCACTTGAACCCAGGAGGTCGAGGCTGCAGTGATTGCACCACTGCACTCTGGCCTGGGCAGCAGAGTGAGACCCTGTCTCCAAAAAAAAAAATGATAGATTACATTGGTATTTTGTGTGATTGCTCTGGCCTTTGTGCCATGAGTTTATCCTATAGTAGTGGTGTACTTTTAGTAATTCAGTACCTGTAATCTTCCCTGGATATTTAAGATAGTTCCCAGGTTAGACTCAGTTAAAATCAGAGTTTTCAGAGACTGCAGGCATAAGATAATGGTATGGTAACAGTAGAAAATAAGGATAAGTAATGAATCTTTGTTCTATGGCTGCATAACAAACCACCTCGGGACCTAGTGGATTAAAACAACTGTTCACTGTTTTTTACAGTTCTAGGTGCCTGTTGGGCAGTTCTACTGATTTTGCCCGGGGCTTACTCCTCATGTACCAGCATTCAGCTGGAGGATTTCCCTGGCTGGGAGATCCAAGATGGCATCACTCATGTTTGGCAGCTAGTGTTGGTGGACATATAGGCCTTACTCTTTGTGATCATTTATGACACAGGAATCTTGGGACAGTATTCTAAGAGAAGCTTGTAAGACCTCTTACAACCTTGAAAATCTTACAGTGTCACAGTCCATTCTCTTAGTCACACAAGACTGGGGTGGGGAAGTAAGACTGCCTCATCCTAGGCAGTGCAGCAACGTTGCATTACAAAGGGGGCTAATACTAGGATGGGGGACATTTGTAGCCATATTTTGTAATTTACCATAGGTTCTTTAGACCACTATAAGAATAGATAGCCTCAAAGATGTCATGCTTGGGATTGCTTTAAAATAATAGAGTGGGTGGTAAAATAGGTTAGGGAGGTTGAATGTGGATAATAGTTGAAGACTTGATTGGTACATGGAAGCTCATTATTGGCTGTACCTTTGTGTATGTTTAAAATTTTTCATGATAAAAACTTTAAGTCATACTCAGGTAATCTGAACTTCATTTTGTGAAGTATTTTAACTTTATCTTTCACTTAGTCTTTACTAGAGTTATTTTTGTGGTAAGTAGCTACTAAGGCTGTAAACCAGCAAATTAGAAAGGGAATTATTCTCCTTAGGACTTCTGTAATACAAGTTATTTTAAAAATGCCTTTTCCTCTGGCAAATAATTGTTGCCCTCAATTAACAAAGTACATTAAAGAATTTTTTTGAAAACTAAGTATAAAGAAGAAAAAACACATTAATAATACCATCACCCGAGATAACAGCAAAATAATAAAAATGGCTATTTCTTTCCAGTTGTTTAATGCATATACTTAATATAAGTAATCTTGTATAGGTTTCTTTACCCTGAAGTGAATATCCTGTATGTAAATCTGAATGACTTTGAAAGATGTTTTACTATGTGTTAAAGACAAATTTCAAATAATGAAAAAGCCAACAAAATTTCTACTGAGCTGTTTATATGAAAACCTTCATGCTGATGGTATTGGTTAATAATAGCTAGTATTTGCTGAACACATGCTGTGTGCCAGCAAACCTCACAATATACCTGTGAAGTTGATACTATCATTATCACCATTTTGTAGGTGAGAAAATTAAGCATTAGATTATACCTAGAGTCATACCCAAGCATACCAAGTGAGGGGCAGACTTTGAAGCTTGCACTCAGCTAGCGTATTTCTACAAATAGAAATTGGCTGATGTGCAAAAATTAGGCAAAGATTGACTTATTTCCTGCCTAGCCTAGCCTCAGTTTTCTATTTTGGAAAAAAATAGGAAATGAATTTTATTAATATATTAAATACATATTTATTAATACATTAACATACAGGAAAAGACTTTTAGGTGTGGGAGGTAGCATGTGTTAATAGGGCTGAGGCATTTTTGTTAGACTGGTTATTTTATGACTACTGTGTGACTCTTGACAGATACCTGATCAAGGCCATTATTGTAATAATGGGACACAGTGATCCGTAGCATAATGGAAGGGGATACATAATACTTGAGAAAAACCTTCATAAGCAGAATCAGAGAAAAACTTTTGGACATTGTACTGCTTTTAGGAGTTCACAGCTTTCCAAATTTGATAAACTAAAAATCCAAGCTCTACCTGGTAGGCAGCTTGTGGTTGTGGTCAGAGAAAGCTTTAATCATAAGTAGGGTAATTGGTAGAACTCCTTTCCTCCTAATGTTCTCTTAAACTGCCTGAAGTTTTTCAATTTACTTTTTCATAGTACCCCAAATTCTACTAGAGATAAGTTTGTGGGAAGAGTGCCAAATAGAAGGTACAGTATAAGTAGAAGGCAAGGAGGTAGCATATGTATCTGGAAAACAGTAAATAAATCAGTGTATGTAACTGAAAAATATACCGTCAGCCACACTGCTCTCCAAAACTGTATTTCCAGCGTTCTCCTGGACCTTCTGGGCACTTCTAATTGCTTATTATTATTATTTTCAGAAAGTGTCTCACTCTGATGCAGTGGCGCGATCTCCGCTCACCACAACCTTCACCTCCCCAGGCTCAGGCAATTCTCCTACCTCAGTTTCCGAGTAGCTGGGATTACAGGTGTGCACCACTACCGCCCGGCTAAATCTTTTTTTGTATTTTTAGTAAAGACGAGGTTTCACCGTGTTGGCCAGGCTGGTCTGCTTATTCTTTTTTAAAAATATTTTTTGTAGAGACGGGGTGTCAATATGTTACCCAGGCTGGTCTTGAACTCCTCGCCTCAAGCAATCCTGCCCTGGCCTCCCAAAGTGCTGGAAGCCACCACAACCAGCCAGACAGCTCATTTTTCAAAACCAACTAATCTTGGTGTGCTTCCTTGACCACCCCCCACCACCACCCCGCCCACTCCCAATCCCCTGAAAGAAAAACAGTAAAATGTTTGTTCTTCATCAGTATTATAATTGCCTCCCTTCCCAGTTATTAGGTAAATCCTTTCTGACTTGAAGTATGTATTGAATCTGACTTTTATCCATTTCCACGACTTTGGGTCCTCATCCTTGGAGCCATGTCTCTTCCCGTAATGATCCTAATACTAATTTAGTTTGAGGGGATTTTTTTCTAGCTTATTTCCTCCTTCCCCAGTTTTTCAATTTTACCTAGTCTATTGTTAAACCCATCAGTTTGCTTGTTTGTTGACATTGGGGCTATGTCTTGGTCTGGTTCTGCCATTTTATCTCTTGGTAATGGGGTGATTTTTTTTCCTTGCATTTTTGTGTATCATACAAGTTTTGACTAAATGCTAAACTAAAAACAGAACAGATTAGAGACTGAGATAAACAATATTTATGCATTGATATGGGCATATTCTTCTGTCGGGGCATTAGTATGGTGGGTTGACTTTGTTTTGTCTGTAGTCGAGATGGATATGACCTTTATTATTGCTTTATTTACCTTCAGAGTATTCCAGTAGTGGACTGCCGCTGCCTAGTGCTTAGTATGAGGCCAAGAATGTTGGAGCAGTGTCCCGCCCTCCCCCCTCCAGCCCCAAGATGGAGTCTTGCTCTGTTGCCCAGGCTGGGGTGCAGTGGTGCCATCTCGGCTCACTGCAACCTCCGCCTCCTGGATTCAAGCGATTCTCCTTCCTCAGCCTCCCAGGGAGCTAGGATTACAGGAACGCAACACCATGCCCCGCTAATTTTTGTATTCTTAGTAGAGATGGGGTTTCACCATGTTGGCCAGCCTGGTCTTGAACTCATGACCTCGTGATCCTCCTGCCTTGGCCTCCCAAAGTGCTGGGATTACAGGCATGAGCCACTGCACCCAGCCATGGAGGATTTCTGAAGAGTCTAGGCCAATTATCTTACATAATGTCTTCCATTTTGGGTGTCTCATCCTCATGGTGGTATTTATATTATGGCTATTGTATATTTGTTAAAAAGTGCTCTTTTTGCAGTTTCCTGTTCCTTGCCTGTATTTTTCAAGCTTCTCTTTATTCAAACACACTAAGCATAGTTTTATAATCTGCCTGAAATGCTTGATTTGATGTTTTTGCTACCCTATTTTTTTTCTCTCATCTTGTGTCTCAAAGACCTTGTTTGTAGTATCTTATTTTGCTGTATACTTAGTTATCCCTTGTTCGTTATACTTGAAAAAATACTTGTAGAAATAATTTGAAAGTTAGCATGAAGGTATATTCCTCTAGCAAGATTTATGTTGGCTTCTGCCATGTTCCTGGTAGATTACTAAATTGGGACCACCTTAAACCAAATTCAGGATTTGAACTTCCATTTACCAAGCAGGCAACATTAACCTGGGCTGCAAATCTGCACAAGAGCTGGTTTACTTCTATTAATAGCTTAACTCTTTCCGCAACCGCTCAAGACAGAGTCTTGCTCTATTGCTCAGGCTGGGGTACAGTGGCATGATCTCGGCTCTCTGCAACCTCTGCCTCCCGGATTCAAGCAATTCTCCTGCCTTAGTCTCCGGATTAGCTGAGATTACAGGCGCGAGCCACCACACACGGCTATTTTTTTTTTTTTTTCTGTATTTTTAGTAGAGGCGGTTTCGCCATGTTGGCCAGGCTGGTCTTGAACTCCTGACTTTGTGATTCACCCTCCTCGGCTTTCCAAGGTGCTGGTATTACAGGCATGAGCCACCACACTGGGCCTAATACCTTAACTCTTAATCTGAGGTTGTGGTCTTTTGGAGTCCACCTTATTGTGAGGAGGTGGCCTGTTAAGATTCCTTACCTTGTTTATGTCCTGGATATCTTCAGAGTTTCTTAGGATGCCCAGAGGAATGGAGTCACTCATTTAAAAAAGCAGTTCATTTTTTTCATAGCTAAAGCAAGCCCACAGGTTTGTGAGATATAGACAGACTACATAAATTGTTGAATTGGTATGAATACAGGTTTTTTACTCTTGTTGCTGTGTCAGCCACTATTAAAATGCCTTAAGGTGAAGACATACTTAACAGAGTAAAAGTATGTCTTATTAGGTAAACTAGCAGCTGCATTATCAGCTTCAGAGAATCTTCATCCAGAAACTTCATCTCAGAAGTCAAAAAGTTCAATAAGTGAAAAATCTCAAATACCAATCGTACGATTTTTGTCTGTGTGTGTGTGGCTTTGTAGCTAATTAGATTCCTTACACACTCAATACCAGTTCTGGAGAATAGAAAGTGTAGCCTCTTGTCAGTGCCTCCCCTTCCTCAGTCATAGACTTGTTGATGAGGAACATGAGGATAAAATTCTAGTGGATCTATCATGACTGGGACTTCAGTGAGGCATACTTCACTGCCCTATCTGACTCCACTTATAAAACACAAATTCAAAGATAGAATTTCAGGATGTCAGTTGCAAAACTTTTAATGAAGCTTGGAGCCCACACCTACAAAATCAGCCCTGGTGATAAGTTTCTTATCACCAAACAGGAAGATAGCCTAACTGTCCAGCTCTGAAATGAAATCTGAATTTTAAAAAGCATGACATAGTGACAGAAGGAAAAGACCATTTCATTGACCATTGAGGAAAGATTGTACATGTGAACTTTTTTTGCGCTATTTGTTTTTAAGTCTTGGTTTAAAACATTAAGCTTCAAATGCCTCTTTCCAGTAGTCTGCTCTTGCTTATACCTTTTTCTTTTTTCTTTTTTTGTTTTTGAGACAGTCTTTCTCTGTTGCCCAGGCTGGTGTGCAGTGGCCCAGTGTTAGCTCACTGCAACCTCCACCTCCCGGGCTTCAAGTGATTCTTGTGCCTCAGCCTCCTGAGTAGCTGGGATCACAGGCGCGTGCCACCACACCTGGCTAATTTTTGTATTTATAGTAGAGAGAGGGTTTCACTGTGTTGGCCAGGCTGGTCTCGAACTCCTGGCCTCAAGTGATCCACCTCGGCCTCCCAAAGTGCAGAGATTACAGCTGTAAGCCACCATGCCCAGCCTATACCTTTTCCTTTGTAGCACTTAGAACTATTGAAGTTATGTGATTATTTGTGTAGTTTGTTCCATATTAGACTACAATTTCTTTACAGGCACCATCTCAGAACGTTTAGTGTTGTCCCCCTACCTCATTCGCTTGTTAAGTATTAATTACTGTGCTTAGTGCATGAGTATCCAAAAAACTTGGTTAAATGAATGAATGGACTTGAAAAGATGTCTCTTAGAACCTTCTAAGTGATTCGATAGAAGTTTTTCAAGGACTGCACATTTTTGTTTTTCACTATATTTTGTGCTTTTGACCTACAACTTACGCAACCAAATTACATAAGTTTTCATGTAACACCTACATTGTCAAAATTCAATCAATTTATGTAGAGGAGTTGCCAAAAATAGTTCCATACAATATCAAATTATCTCTCTCAAAGGACTCTGCCTCTTTGCCTTCTCCCAAGGAGGTTTGTTTTAAGCAGATTTCCTACTAGGTTAGTTTAGTTCTGCAAGTAAGAACTGGGTGTAAATGTAGTCAGAGTAAACTATAAGAGGTATTATTAGGAAACATTATTGTTGTTATAGAACTTAATATTGACGTATGTCTTTTAAAAAGCATTTTGTTTCCCAAAAATCCTCTGATTGCAAATACAGTCCCTTTAGTGTCTTCATAGCTGCCTTGATAAAATACCACATCTGCTACTTGTTAAATTGTTCATGGGCTTTTGCATTGTCACTGTTTAACCATTAATATTCTTTTCTCTAATGAATGCCTTTAAAAAATTTCCAGTTCAGAATTTACCTCTTTTTAATGAAATATTTTGTATGGACTTACCAAATACGTATATAGTTTGTAAAAAGCCGATGGTAGAAAAGATTTCTAAGTTAGGTGACCATATGCTTTATCATCCAAATGAGGCCACTTTTAAGAGACAGCGTAGGTACTATTAATAATTATTCTGGGATAATAAGCATAAATTAGAATTTTTCAGCACATAAACTGGGACTGTTCTGGGCAAGTGGGGAAATATGGTCATCCTGCTTCTAAGGAAAAGAGCAGTCCTTTTCCTTACCCTTTACCCCATCTCTAGTCCCACTTTGCAAAGGCAGTGCCCCTCTGCTATTTAGCTATTTCTTTTAGGACTTACATACTTTCATTTTTCTAAACAGTGTGCTTATACTGTTATTTCATGGTTTTTCATTGTTTCCTACCATTCTTATTTCCACTGCCCACTTCCATCTCACAATATGTAGCAAATTGATTCAGTAGTCTATATTTACATTATTAAGACTATGTAAATATTAAAGAGCTCACCTAATAACAATCATGCCTTTCATGAACAGCTAAGTTTTTCCAAGTTAAAAAATTAATTTTTAAAATTGCCTTTTCTTCTATATACACAGTTTTTTCAAGTTGTACCACCATCTCTACCACATGCCAATGAGATGTAGTTTCCATGTGATGCTTTTTCTTTTCTTACAACTTCTGCTACCTGAGGTCCTGCTCCAGTCCGAATTGTTTGCTTGCCATGCTTTCTGCATAGCATCCCCCTTAAGTTCCCCTTTATCGCTGCTTCCTGGGTTTCATATCTTGTTATTTCCTGCCTCACACTCCCATTTTTCTAGGACACGCTGTTCATTTAGCTTCCTCTGGTAGTGTTTTTGGTCGTTGTGTTTTGTTGAGACCTTGCATGTCTGAAAACATGTTCTGTTCTCCACTTCAAATGTACTTGCTAGATTGGAATTCAAGGCTAAACATTTTTCTCAGTATTATAAGCATTATTTCATTGTCTTAAGACTTTATTGTTGCTGTTAAGCTGTTCTGATTACGTTCTCTTTGTATGTGACCCATTTTTTCCACTCTAGTAACTTATAGGATCTTCCCATTACTTCTGGTTTTCTGCAGTTTCAAGATGGTATATTGTGCTTAGTGTTGGTCTTTTTTCTTTGATGCTCTTATGTAGTCTTGAGCCCTTTCAATTTGGAGAGTTCTGTCCTTCGTTTCTAGAAAAGTTTATTTGGTAATTTTCTCTATATTTTTCTGTAACCACAGTCAAATTATAACTCTCTAGATAATTATTTTCATGTTACATTTGCTATTTCTTTTGGTTCTGCTTTCCAGGAGGTTTCTGCAACTTACTCCCAGTCCTTATGTTGAATTTATTTCAGTATATCTCATTTTAACAAGTATATGGCATTTTGAATTTCCATAAGCTCTTTATAATGCTGTCTTTGTATTCTCACACATCCTGTTCTTATTTTATGAATGAATTTTTTTTATACTTTAAGTTCTAGGGTACACGTGCACAACATGCAGATTTGTTACATATGTATACATGTGCCATGTTGGTGTGCTGCACCCATTAACTCGTCATTTGCAATAGATATTTCTCTTAATGCCATCCTTCCCCCTCCCCCTACCCTAAAACAGGCCCCAGTGTGTGATGTTCCCTGCCCTGTGTCCAAGTGTTCTCACTGTTCAGTTCCCACCCATGAGTGAGAACATGCCATGTTTGGTTTTCTGTCCTTGGCGATAGTTTGCTGAGAATGATGGTTTCCAGCTTCATCTATGTCCCTACAAAGGACATGAACTCATCCTTTTTTATGGCTGCATAGTATTCCATGGTGTATATGTGCCACGTTTGCTTTATCCAGTCTATCATTGATGGGCATTTGGGTTGATTCCAAGTCTTTGCTATTGTGAGTAGTGCCACAGTAAACATACTTGTGCATGTGTCTTTATAGTAGCATGATTTATAATCCTTTGGGTATATACCCAGTAATGGGATGGCTGGGTCAAATGGTATTTCTAGTTCTAGATCCTTGAGGAATCGCCACACTGTCTTCCAGGATGGTTAAACTAGTTTACAGTCCCACCAACAATGTAAAAGTGTTCCTAATTCTCCACATCCTCTCCAGCACCTGTTGTTTCCTGACTTTTTAATGATTGCCATTCTAACTGGTGTGAGATGGTGTCTCGTTGTGGTTTTGATTTGCATTTCTCTGATGACCAGTGATGATGAGCATTTTTTCATGTGTCTGTTGGCTGCATAAATGTCTTCTTTTGAGAAGTGTCTGTTCATATCCTTCGCCCACTTTTTTATAGGGTTGTTTGATTTTTTCTTACGAATTTAAGTTCTTTGTAGATTCTGGATATTAGCTCTTTGTCAGATGGGTAGATTGCAAAAATTTTCTCCCAATGAATGAATGTTATTTGATCCCTGTGAGGATAGAAATAAGCCCCTTTCCCCCAAATTTTCCTCTCCCTGCAACATCTTAAAGTTTTGTTTTTATTGTTGTTTACTTTGGTCCTTCTTTCATATTGGAGGCCTTCCTTGATTACATGGTAGTCCTTGATGTTTGTCAGTTAGAGGGAAGCATTAAAAATTCTGATGAGAAACTCCTGGTGACTAGCAGCCTTTGTTGTAGGATAGAATGGTCTAGTGGAAGGCTAACCTTTAAAGTGGAAACATTTCAGATGACATTCAGAAATCTTATCACGGGTGTTTGGTGATCCAAGAGTAGAATCCCTTAGTCTCCTGACAGCATTGTAGAAACATGACCACAAAAGAGTCTGTGGGTCTCAATACTGAGTATATAAATTTTCTTTTATTCCTTATACTGACCCCATGCCTAAACTCCTGCGGAGATTATTGCATGTCGTGTGTGGGAGATGGGGGGTGGTAGGGACACAAGAGTGTTACCTAGGAAAGATTTATTTGCCAGAGAATAAATATCCTACCTTTAGGGGAATGGAACTGGGGAAGAATCTGAAGCTCTACTACTGCTCCAGATACAGGTTTTGTTTTGTTTTGTTTTGTTTTGTTTTGTTTTGTTTTGTTTTGTTTTGTTTTGTTTTTTGATACCGAGTCTCGCTCTTGCACCCAGGCCAGAGTGCAGTGGCACGATCTCTGCTCACTGCAAGCTCCGCCTCCCGGGTTCACGCCATTCTCCTGCGTCAGCCCCCTAAGTAGCTGGGACTACAGGCGCCCGCTACCACGGCCGGCTAATTTTTTGTAATTTTAGTGGAGACGGGGTTTCACTGTGTTAGCCAGGATGGTCTTGATCTCCTGACCTTGTGATCCGCCTGCCTCAGCCTCCCAAAGTGCTGGGATTACAGGCATGAGCCACCGCCCCCGGCCAGATACAGGTTTTAATTTAACAACTTGCTTTCCAGCCACATGCACCATTACCCCCAACCTGTTGTTATTTTTTTGTGATAAAATACAGAGAACATAAAATTTTACCATCTTAACCATGTTTGTGTACAATTCAGTATTATTGGATATATTCATAATGTTGTGCAAACATCACTATCATCTATCTCCATAATTCTTTTCATCTTGTAAAACCAAAATTTCATACTCATTAAACAACTCCCCATCCCCTGCCAACCACCAATCTTCTTTCTCTATGATTTGACTATAATTATTTTTAATGTATCTTTTCTCTGTTTAGTTATATAAATACTTACCATTGAATTACATTTGTCTACAGTATTCAGTACAGGAACATGCTGTAAAGATTTGCTGCCTAGAAACAATAGGTTATACTATATAATCCAGGTATTAGACTATACCATCTAGGTTTGTGTATGTACACTATTATTTTTGCACAGTGAAGAAATCACCTAAAGACGCATTTCTTAGAATATATTCCTGTTCTTGAGTGATGCATAACTATGCATACAATACAATAATATTCAGCCTTAAAAAAGGAAGGAAATTCTGGCATATGGTACAATATAGATGAACTTTGAGAACATTAGGGTAAGGGAAATAAATTTGCCAATCACGAAAAGACAAATATTGTATGATTCCACTTATATGAGATACAGTCAGAGGCCTTGTAAATCCTTGCCTCAGAATATTTTAAAAGCTTTTTAAGGCTGGGCACGGTGGCTCATGCCTGTAATCCCAGCACTTTGGGAGGCCGAGGCGGGCAGATCACGAAGTCAGGAGATCGAGACCATCCTGGTTAACATGGTGAAACCCCGTCTCTACTAAAAATACAAAAAAATTAGCTGGGCGTGGTGGCGGGAGCCTGTAGTCCCAGCTCCTTGGGAGGCTGAGGCGGGACAATGGCGTGAACCCAGGAGGTGGAGCTTCCAGTGAGCCGAGATCGTGCCACTTCACTCTAGCCTGGGCAACAGAGTGAGACTCCGTCTCAGAAAAAAAAAGCTTTTTAAATTATAGTAGTAACGTGCTTATAGTAGCACTGTTACAACTCCCAAGTGGAAACAATCTAGCGTACATTCATGGTAGAATGGGAAAATAAATTGTGTGCCATATGGTGGAATGCTATGTAAAGAAATTAGAGTGAACTGAAGACTGCATGCAACAACACAGATGAATCTCACAAATATAGTGTTGAGCAAATGAAGTTGGACACAAAAGAGTACTTATTGTATGATTCCGTTTATACGTATTTAATAATCAGGCATAGGTAATCATTACTTTCGTCGTGGGTTTAGAAATGTTTAGTGAGGAAAACTTGGAAATTATTAATCTATAAAGTGGAAAGCACTCAGTTCCACAAAATAACATTTTGTTTTTTTCTTAGAAGTTTTATTCATTTTATTTGCATAAATAGAATCATACTGTATGTGTAGTTTTATAGATTGACCTTTTTACTTAAAATGTTACTTTCCAATAGTACCATAAACAATCTTTGAAAACATTTTGAGAAACACTTTATTAGCTGTGTGATCATGTGCAAATTGCTTAACCTCTCAGTGCCTGTTTTCTTATTTATAAAGTGGAGATAATATAGTACCTGTCTCACAGGGTTGGTCTGGAGAGTCAGTGAACTAACAGATAATCAGAAGGTCTTTACTGTCAGACCTTGCATATAATACTTAATAAATATCAGCTATTGCTATTATTTTTGTTATAATTAAGAGATCCTATGAGTGGTAAATAAAAAGAAAGTTCATTCATTCTTACTTGTGTTTATTGAGTACCTATTGTATCCCAGGCAGTGATTTTAAAATACTTTAAATGATTCTGACCTAGAAAATTCATTGTTGAGATGGGGAAATAGAAAGGTAAACAAATTACAATGCATAGTAGTATCAAAAGTATGTATGAAGTAGAAACATATACAGAGAAGAAAGGTACTTGTGTTTAAACAGATGACCAAGAATTGGGTGGGGAATGTATAGACTTTCCAGGCACATATAAAGGTTTGTAAGAACATAGTGTGTTAAGGGGTATGCAAATAGTACAACAGGTATGATCATTGAACACTAAAAATAGAGAATACCAAGAGAGTCAAGGACAAATTCATGTAGAATATGTAATAGACAAAATTGAGTAAGGAAAAGAGCCCAGATTTTGGAAACAACAGACCTCAGAGTTCTTCATTCCACTTTTACCATGTTTGTTTGCTTCCTTTTATGGACGATAGGAAACCTTTGATGAACTTCTGCTTTGCGGAAGAGAAGTGGTGATCATTTCACAATTTACGTTGTCAGATATGGTTAATTTGTATGGTTAATTTTTTATTTGAGCTGATGATTAAGGAGGATTAAGCATTAAAGGCTTTCATATTTTCCCAAAGGCAATTAATGAAAATTTTTATTTCACAGAAAAATCTTTAAGAATGGAGTCTAAACCTTCAAGGATTCCAAGAAGAATTTCTGTTCAACCTTCCAGCTCCTTAAGTGCTAGGATGATGTCTGGAAGCAGAGGAAGTAGTTTAAATGATACCTATCACTCAAGAGACTCTTCATTTAGATTGGATTCTGAATATCAGGTAACATTTTTATTTGGAATATATGTATACAGCCTTTTTCAAAATCCCTAGGGCCACTCTTTTGGGGGTATTTAAAAAATGTGTTAGCTGGATCTGAGGCATCCTGTAATCAAAACCAATATATATGTAGCAAAATGAATAACATTTTTCAAACTTTTTGGACTTCAGAATTATGGATAACAGATTGTAACCTCATATAAAATCATACTTTTGCGCTGGGAACGGTGGCTCACGCCTGTAATCCCAGCACTTTGGCAGGCTGAGACTGGCAGATCATTTGAGGTCAGGAGTTCGAGACCAGCCTGGCCAACATGACGAAACCCCGTCTCGACTAAAAATACAAAAAAATTAGCTGGACATGGTGGCACACACCTGTAATCCCAGCTACTTGGGAGGCCGAAGAGGGAGGATTGCTTGAACCCAGGAGGTGGAGGTTGCAGTGAGCTGAGATCATGAGACTGCACTCCAGCCTGGGTGACAGAGTGAGACTCCATCTCAAAAAAAAAAAAATGCTTTCCAAAGACTTGGAAAACCTTGTACGTAAAAACATAAGTATAAATTTAACTAAACTGGTCAATCAATGTGAATGGCTTTGTCAGAGGAACAAAAACTGTACCTCCTTTCCCTCTAAGATCACACTGATTCATCTGACTTTTCTCTGCATATACACAAAGCAGTGGTGAAATAACAAATGTTAAGTGTTTTTCTGTGAGATTATAACTTCTAAATATTTTGCTTTGAATGTTGAATAATTTTTAAATTAACAGGTTATCTTTTTATGAAAGTGCTAAAAGTCTTTTACATGAATTTTTAAATTTGATTTTTATGGTGAGTAATGAGTTTGTATTGGTATGTCCATCTACTCTTATGTAGCTAGTTTTCGTTAGGACCACAAGCTTTTTGTTTTGTTTGAAACAGGGTTTTGCTATGTTGCCCAGACTGGTCTCAAACTCTGGCTCAAATGACTCTCCCACCTCATTCTCCTGAGTAGCTGAGATTATAGGCACATGCCCACCATGCCTGGCTAGTTCTTTGGCTTTTGAAATGGCTTATCATTGTAGCAAATTTAAGCTCATTGCATTTTTGGCTGAATGTTATAATTAATGTTTGATTTGCAAAAGTCTGATGTTGAGGTAATCTAAAAGAATCCTTTGAAAATTTCTTTGTGTTAAGTATTTATATATTTATATGTTATGTGATCTGATATATGACAAAGTCTCATAAAAATGTTCGTACACAGTAGTAAGCATTCTTTAAGATATTCAGAGCAAGACTGAAGTAAAAAACAAAACAAAACAAAAAATGAAAATGCTCATATCTACTACCCATTTCTTAATTGACTTTATATGAACTGTTTACCTGGTCTCTATTTTATTTTAAACTGCAGCTCAGCGGAACCTAGTCTCATTTTAAATGTCAATTGATACTGTACATTTTCTGCTTCTAGACAAGTTTATGATTCCTAGAGGTGTAGAATCATATATTTTGCCTTCTGTAGAAATGTCATGGTGACATATAAAGGGCACAGAATTGTGTTTTCCTGTATTGTCTTCATAAAATTTTGTCTACTCATTTTTGTCTAATTTTAAAAATATATATAGCTTATTAATGAGGAACACAAATTTTGAAACCAGACTGTACTGCCTAGAGAGGAGTCATGTTTCATGACTTACTAGCTATTGACATCTTTTTCTGTTGTGATTGTTTTTGATTGTTTGTTTGTTTCTTTTTTTGAGACAGGATCTCACTCTGTTACCCAGGCTGGAGTGAGTGGTGCAATCACGGCTCACTACAGCCTAGACCTCCCAGGCTCAAGTGGTCCTCTCACCTCAGCCTCTCCTCCAGCAGCTAGGACTGCAGGGACGTGCCACCATGCCTAGCTAATTTTTGTGTTTTTTTGAAGAGATGGGGTTTCGCTATGTTGCCCAGGCAGGTCTCACACTCCTGGGCTCAACCATTCTGCCCACCTTCCCTCCCAGAGTGCTGGGATTACAGGTGTGAGCCACTGCACCTGGCCGACATCTTTTTGTATCACCTACTTTATCCAGTTGTTATAGTTACATGACAATGCTTTATGTTAAATGATAATAGTGCCTGGCATATGATAAATACTATATAAATGTTAGCTACTGTTGCATGTTTTTTATAATTGTTATAATAATTATTATAATAGTGTAGGTGCTAAAATCCTGAATATATTTAGTAAATTTATTGACATTCTCCTTAAGATATGACCGTTTTCAAACTGTTTCTTCTAACTTGTTAATGTTGTAGATTATTCAAAAAAGTTCATTTCTGGCCTGGCATGGTGGCTCACGCCTGTAGTCCCAGCACTTTGGGAGGCCGAGGCAGGTGGATCACCTGAGTTCGGGAGTTTGAGACCAGCCTAACCAACATGGAGAAACCCCGTCTCTACTAAAAAGACAAAATTAGCTGGGCGTGGTGGCGCATGCCTGTAGTCCTAGCTACTCGGGAGGCTGAGGCAGGAGAATCACTTGAATCCTGGAGACGGAAGTTGCCATGAGCCAAGATCGCGCCATTGCACTCCAGCCTGGGCAATAAGAGTGAAACTCCGTCTCAAAAAAAAAATTCCATTTCTTATTATGTTAAACAAATAGCATTTTTTAAAAAAAACCATTTAAATTTCAGCCGGGCACAGTGGCTCACGCCTGTAATCCCAGCACTTTGGGAGGCTTAGGCAGGCGGATCACAAGGTCAGGAGATCGAGACCATCCTGGCTAACACAGTGAAACCCCGTCTCCACTAAAATTACAAAAAATTAGCCGGGCGTGGTGGCGGGCGCCTGTAGTCCCAGCTACTCGGGAGGCTGAGGCAGGAGAATGGCATGAACCCTGGAGGCAGAGCTTGCAGTGAATCAAGATCACGCCACTGCACTCTAGCCTGGGCGACAGAGCGAGACTCTGTCTCAAAAAAAACAAAAAACAAAAAACAAAAAAAAATTTAAATGTCATGTTAATGACTTCAAAATGACCCCACCTAAATGATGGTTGTAGTAACATATTAGTGTTGATTTCATTCTGTTCCAAAATTTTCATGTATTTAAGTACCCAAGTAAAATTCAAAAATTACTTGCAAACATCCAAAAACCAAGTAGAATTTTTAAAATCTTTATTGATTCTTAAGATAAATTATTTTTATAAATTTTAGGTATTTTCTAAATGCTTTTTAGTTGCTTTAAGTTGCTTACAATCAGTTTTTTAATCGCTTTTTTCTTTTTAATGGTATGGGAGCAGTTTCAGCCATAAGTCAACCATTTTTAGGCTGCTTTGCTTATTTAGTTTTGATTTAGAAATTGAAACTCCTGTGTTCTTGAACAAAGTGTTACACTTTTTAAGAGACAGGGTCCTGCTCTGTCACCCAGCTTGTAGTGTAGTTGAGCAATCATGACTCGGCGCAGCCACAACTTTCTGGGCACAAGCAATCCTCCTGCCTCAGCCTCCTGAGTAGCTGGGACTACAGATGCGCAGCCCCCTGCCACACACACACACGTGGCTAATTTTTTAAAAAATTTTTCTTATAGAGATGGGGTCTTGCTGTGTTGCCCAGGCTGGATTCAAACTCCTGGCCTCCAGCAGTACTCCCACCTCAGCCTCCCAAAGTGATGGGATTACAGACATCTGCCATCATGCCTGGCCTGTATTTTATTTATCTGTATTTTCTTCTGTGAAATGGTGATAGTGATAGCGGTTTCTTCATACAGCCACATCTATATGTGAGATGTAAGATGAACAAGATTGTTCATCTTAATTGTTAAGATTAATTGAAAGAAAGAATACATGTGAAGCACTTGGAACAGTGCCTAGAACATAGTATAGGGGTTCAGGTGTTACTAATTATAATTATTTATAATTGTTATTTTTATTTAGTTATAATTATTTATAATTGTTAACTTTTACTGTTACCATTATTATTTCCTGGCTTTACATTGGTTTAAGATAATATCTGTAGGGTATAGTATAATGTTATCCAAATATTAAATTACATATAGTATGTTTAGTTTTATTTAGCATTGTTAAGATTACTCAGTGTCAAAGGGAGCATTTTAAAATTATTTAGTTTTTGAGACGGGTTCTCACACTCACCCAGGTTGGAGTATAGTAGCACAATCTCAGCTCACTGAAGCCTCTGCCTCCTGGGCTCAAGCAGTCCTCCCACCTCAGCCTCCTGAGTAGCTTGAGAATACAGGTGTGCACACCACACTGCACTGCTTTTTAAATTTTTTGTAGATGTGAAGTCTCACTGTATTGACCAGGCTGGTCTCGAACTTAGGAGATCAAGCAGTCTTCCTGCCTCACCCTCCAAAGGTGCTGGGATTACAGGCATGAGCTACTGCACCTGGCCAGAGGCAACATTAAAAAAAAAAAAAAAAGATTGTTGAGGCTTTTTAACTCACAACTCTTGGAGACATAAAACTTCTGTTATCTCAGGCACTTGGTAAATCTGAAGCTTCAGAGAAAAGAGGGTCAGGGGGTAGGACATGATCAATTTCAGTTATGTTATAGACTTAATATGGGAACACCTTATATAGTGCTTGACATTTTATAGAACATTTTTTACTTCTGTTTTTAGTTAACATGGATATTTGTGTCAGTTCATCGATAAGGTTCTGAAATCTAGAAATATAGGTGGTTTCTCTCACTTACACGATTATTATGTAATATACTTGAGCTTAAGAATCCAAGATTCTGGATAGCATTGTTTCTTTGGGAAAATGTAGATTCTAAGTTCCGAACAGTTGATTTCCTAAATATCTTTCAGTTCTCAGCCATTTGTAAGCTGCGCTTCACCTGCTACTAATCTTGCTGTTACTTCTGCTATCCCATCTTTAAATTTTTATCACAATTTGAATGATTGGCAACTATGATCATCTTATGTCTTTAGTAACAGTAAGCAAAATTTACATGTTTTTAAAGGAAAATTTAATTTCTATAAATATTGTTAAAAAGGGGTTATTTGTGGATATGTAATTTTGTTTTGGTGTATTTTTCTGTAACTTTAAGGAAGCACTAATCTGTTTAGTGTTTGTTCTGTTTTGCCTTGTTGAGAGGTTGATTACTTTTAATATGAAATAATTTTAAAAGGAGGCTTTTTATAAGGTTGTAGGGGCTTTTTAAAGTTATTGATACCTTTTTTTTTTTAGTTTGTAGATAACTGCTATAGAGATCAGTACCATTGCATATTTTGCATAGTGTAGAACCAGTGGTCATTAATTTTTAAAACTACCTTATGCAAGTGTAGTTTTCAAGGAAATAAATACATAGATGCATATACAATTAAACAAGAAAATGAAAACAGTTTAAAATAGGATAAGGAAATATACAGATAGAATACTGAGAGTAATAAATATGGAGAGTGGGTCAGAATTGTAACATTGATAGGCATTGCATAAACCCTGCAGCATTTTTAAGTTAAACTTGCTCTCATTTTGGGTATCAAGAAAATTGCAGGAAAACACAACTAGCTCTATAATGAGTATTGCATATAAGAAAAAGAGACTGGACATGGTGGCTCACTCCTTTAATCTCAGCACTTTGGGAGGCCAAGGTGGGAGGGTCACTTGTGGCCAGGAGTTCGAGACCAGTCTGGGTGACATAGTGGGACCCCTCTCTAAAAATAAAATGAAAAAAAAAAAAAAAAAAAGCCAGGCATGGTAGCACACATCTTAGTCCCAGCTACTCAGGAGGCTGAGGCAGGAAGATTGCTTGAGCCCAGGAGGTTGAGGTTGCAATGACCCTTGATCATGCAATTGCACTCCAGCTTGGGTGACAGAACAGGACCCTGTCTCAAAAAGAAAAAGATTTACCATTCCTCCAAGGAAACACAGCTTGTCAATTTGGTCTTAAAGTGTACAGTGGAGTGACATGAGTTTCTTCTGCATTGGTGTGGAGATGGGTACTCTCCATCACATGAATATTTCAAACAAGGGAGAGCTCAAAGTCTTAAGTTGTTGCTCATGGCTAAGGTAATGTTGTTCTGGAAGTCTTTCAAAGCAGGATTTATTCACTTCACAGTCAAGTCATTAACTCATGGAAATGAGGAGCCCAGGAAAAGAATATCATTCTGGGCTAGTTTCTGTTCCTGTGCATTACATGATTTTTAATTAATCATTTGCCAGTGGATAACATTGATGTAAATTTGCAAGTATCTTTAAAGTTCTTTTTTAAGAAATGACTTTATTAAGTTGTAATTTCACATACCATATAGTTTGCCCATTTAAAGTTCAGTAGTCTTCAGTATATTCACAGAGCTGCACAACCATTATGGTTATCACTGCACTGCTCCTCTAGTCCCTCTTCCCCTACCAGTGCAAAGCAACCATTAATCTACTTTATATCTGTACATTTCCCTATTTTGGATTTTCATATACATGAGTAGAAACAGGTACTATGTAGTCTTTTGTTAGTAGCTTCTTTGACTTAGCATATTTTCAGTGTTCATCTATATTGTAGCATATGTCAGTACTTTATTCTTTTTTGTGGCTGAATACTATTTCATTGTATGGATATGCCATATTTTGTTCATTTATTTTCTGATGGACATTTGGGTTGTTTCTACCTTCTGACTATTATGAATAATGCTGCTATAAACATTCATATGCAAGTTTCTGTGTGGACTTGTGTTTTCACTTGTGTTTGGTATGTACTAAGTGGAGCCAGGCATGTTGGCTCATGCCTGTAATCCCAGCACTTTGGGAGACAAAACGGCAGGAGTATTTAAGGCCAGGAGTACAAGACCAGCCTAGGCAATATAGTGATAGCCCATCTCTAAAAAAATTTCAAAACTAACCTGATATGGTGGTGCACACCTGTAGTCCTAACTTTTTGGGAGGCTGAGGTGGAAGGATCCCTTAAGCTCATAAGGTTGAGGCTTCAGTGAGCTATGATGGCACCACTTCACTACTGCTTGGGCCATAGAGTGAGACCCTGTCTCTTAAAATAAGGGAATGGAATTGCCGAGTCATGCATAACCTCTGTGTTCAATCGTTTGGGGAACTGCCATACTGTTTTCAAACTGGCTAGATCATTTTACATTCCCTTTTGTGTGTATGAAGATTCCAGTCTCTCCACATTCTCATCAGCACTTATCTTACTTTCTGATTCTAGCCATCCCAATGGGTATGAAGTGGTATGTATCTCATTGTGGTTTTGATTTGGATTTCCTTGATGACTAATGATGTTATACATCTTTTCATGTGCTAATTGGCCGTTTACTGTACATTTTTCAGAAATGCCTATTTATAATAGTTCCTTTGCTCATTTTAAAGTACACTTGTCTTGTTACTCAGTTGTAAGTGTTCTTTATATATTCTAGATACAAGCTCCTTATTGGATACATGATTTGCAAATATTTTCTCCTTAAGTTTTTTTATTTTTTTAATTGCATTGTTTTAAGGGCATTTGTGTTGGGAAAATATTTTAAAACCTTAGAAATAATTTTCTGAAAGCAAATATTGACTTATACAATAGTAATAGTAAATGATTTCATTGACTATACTTCCAGTAAACCTCTTGTTGGAAAGGTGGTATGAATAACTATTATGAAGGTAAAAAGAAATAAAATGAAAATTGGATGCCTGCTAGTTATATAAAGTCTTGGAAAGTTATTTTCTATTCATTGTGCATAGAGTATCTATAGCTATTAAGTCTCCAAGCTGTCTTATTGATGATTTCTCAGATACACTATATAGTATTTCAGCTACTTTGGTTGGGCTAGATAGCCCTCCACCTCTTCCCTCATTTTATTGAGTTATAATTCATATACCATACAATTCACCATATCACAGATAGCCTTTTGAATTGGAAATAACTGATGAAAACTATTTACTCTGGGAGCCAAATCTGTTACCTGTCTGGGTAGAGACTGGAAAGTTAATGAAAAAGAAAGAAACCTCTTTAAACTCCAGTGTAAATTTAGTTGCTTCCATCTAGTTTCATACGAGTGCTCATAGTCGGGAGGCAGGAAATGCAAAAAAAGATTGATTAGTTTTCATAAAAATTAAAATTTGTGTGCATCGATACCAAGAGAGTGAAAAGACAATCCACAGAATGAGAGAAAATATTTGCAAAGTATATATCTTACTGGATACTGAGACTTGTATCCAGAATATATGAAGAACTCTTACCTCTCAACAATAAAAATATAACCCAATTTCAAATGGGCAAAGGACTTTAATAAACATTTTTCCAAAGATATATTAATGGCTGATAAGCACATGAAAAAATATTAGTCATTAGGGAAATGCAAGTCAGAACTACAGTGAGATACTTAACACCCACTAGCATAGCCAAAATAAAAAAGATGGATAGGCTGGGCACAGTGACTCATGCCTGTAATCCCAGGCCTGAGTTGGGAGGCCAAATCTGGGAGGATTGCTTGAACCCAGGAATTTGAGACCTGTGCAACATAGTGAGACCCAGTCTCTACCAAGAAATAATTTAAAAATTAGCTGTGCATGGTGTCGCATGCCTGTAGTCTCAGCTACTCTGGAGGCTGAGGTGGAAGGATTGCTTGGGCCCAGGAAGTCAAGGCCACAGTCACCTGTGATTGCATCACTGCATTCTAGCCTGGGCAACAGAGCTGAGACCCTGTCTCAAAATTAAAAAAAAAGATGGACAATCACAGTGTTGGTAAGTGGTGGAGAAATTGGAACCTTCATACATAGTTGATGGGACTGTAAAATGGTACAGCTGTCAGCACTTGGAGTGTTGCTTTTCCAGCTAGAAGCCTCTGTGGCTGGTGGTGCCTTTGCCCAGGTTTTGCTCGGGCCTGCTGGGTGTGTTCTGCCTACTCGGACTGGCAGGCTTTGTTCGACTCGTGCTATCAGCTCGGATCCCACGCCTGCCAAGGGTGAGCCAGACATGGATCGGCAGGGGGTGCATGGGCAAGTGAGCGCAGGGTCCGGCCACCGTTTACAGCCAGGCACACTGGGTGCAGTGGGGCAGGCAGCTCTAGGCACTGGTGCCCTATGAGGCTGTGGATGGATCAGGTGTACCACAGGCAGCAGCTTCTGTGGGCACTGAGGAACGCAGTGGCACCCAAAAGCTTGGAGACACAAGGAACTACAGAGCCCCAAAGAGGTTGTCACAGCCCTGGTTCAGGGAGCTCCTAGGTCTGGACTCCCCAAAGGGTCAGAGCTCTTCCGTCCTTGTCGCCGGCAGCATGGTGAGTGGGGGGTAGGAAGGGATGTTTCAGCACTGTTTGTGTTACAGCTCTTCGAGTCCCACCATTTGGCGGGTCCCGAGTTCTTGTCCCACGTCCAGAGAGAATGAGGTACACAGACAGTTGGAGGGTTAGCAAGGCGAAGAGGGGCTTTATTGAGCAGTAGCACAGCTCTCAGGAGACCCAAAGTGGGTGGCTCCTTTCCACAGGCAGGTCATCCCAACGAGTGTGTAGCTTTCAGTGGAGAGGAGACCAGACAGGAGTGGGTAGCTCCTGTCCATAGGGAAGTCAGCCTGACATCTGGCTGAGTCAGATTTTCATGGGCTTCAGAGAAGAGGAAGTGCATGCTGATTGGTCCATGGGAGGCAATGGGTGGGCCTGGGATAAGCACCATAAGTTCTCACTCCGGTCCGTGGAACTGGCAGCCCAGCCTCCAGGCTTCAGGCCATCCCAGGCTTAAAGGTAGGGTTTCACTAGGGACCTGCCCCTTTTCACCCAGGAGCATGTCTGCCTCCTGCTACTGTTCATGGCACCCAGGCTGTTTGTGCCAAGGGATGCCTGCAGACCCATGCCAAGCCACCCTCAGTTCCCCCTTGGCTTCCCTTTGTGCTTGTTGGTGCCCAAAGTCCAGACGGGGGCCAAGGTAGCAGTGGGCTGGTGTGTCGGCACTGCCCCAAGCATGCGCATACACACCTGGATCGTGACAGTGCCCAAGCTTGGCCAAAACTTTGCTCCAAAATCGGAGCAGGAGGCGGGGGCGGGAAGGGAGGCTTCTCAGGCCCCTGAGAGCACAGGGATACCCAAGTCTACAGCCACAGCTGGGTCAGGGAGCACAGGGCTCCCACCCCACCAACTTGGAAGTGGTCAGGGCTCCCACCTGTTGCTGACTCTGTGGAGCGCACAGACCCTGCCACGCCTCCCCTGCTGCAGCCGGCGTCTTTGTGGCAGCCGCTCCAGATGAACTGCTGCTGCCATCACAGCTGTTAGCATCAACCTATAGTTGGAAAAATAGTAATTCCCCCAAATATCAAACATCAAGTTACTACATGATCTATCAGTTACACCCAAGAGTATTGAAAACATACATCCATACAAAAATTTACAGTTGTTCATAACGGCATTGTTTATAAGTGAAAACAACCCCAAAACTACTTGTTTAAGGATTCGTCATGCCCAATGTGGTATACTTTGAAGACAGACTTATTCCCTGATTTCATTTGGCCTATAGTTCTGGACAGCAGAAGAGATAATACATTGTTAAATGAATCTGACACTTTATTTAATTGTTCAAAGAATTCCGAGGGAAAAAAACAATTGCTTCAGACTGAGGATATTTGAACAAATATGGACAAAATTGGATTGTAGGAACCAGGAAAAGGTTTGATTTTGAACTCAAGCCAATAGCAAAACTAACCAAAACATTCCTTCTATATACTGACATTATGTATACTGATATGTATATCTATATGCTGATATTAACAAACATTTTTTGTCTTGGATATAGCCATATAATCTACATGTTGTGTCGTGAGTCATGAAAATTGTTTAATGAACAGTGAGTGTCACTTTAAGTCTTTGGACACTTCAGCATTCAAGAATCAAATGAAATTCATTATCTAAATCTGCTCCCCTATAATCAGTATTTTTAATGAATGGCATAGTCATTTATTTCACCAGTAGACAGTACCAAAAAACTTTTTTCTCTATTTCTCACATTGTCCCTAAATCTGATGAATTTTTATCTTTTATAATTGCCCTCTATTCCCATTACTTCATAGGGACTTATTTCTTGATATTCTAATGGCTTCCTAATTGGTTTTCTTTCTGTTCATCTATTTCGTCTTCCACATGCCTCTAAAAGTCTTTCTATATAGTAGTAGATCTGATTTATCCCCCCCTTCATTAGTTCCCAAAATCATGTTTGCAGAAGTGCTGTTCAGTAAGTTTATGCAGTCTGTGCAAAATGAGAAAAATAATGACAAGTTATGGAGTTTGTACAAATGTATTCAATTTAAAGTGCTCATTCTGAATTATATCCTTTATTCCTTTTTTAAAAATTGGGGACAGGATTAGGTATTAGTTGCTATTTTAGATGTCCTACTGGTCAAAAGTGACAGTTCTTTCTCAATTTTAAATTAAAACATTTTTTTATTTTGGTCTCTGAAATCCAGAGGTTTTAGAACCACTGGCCTGCAGGATAAGGTCCCTGATACCTTGATGATGATGGCATATGAAATGGTTTGATTCTAAAATATCAAATTAATTTCATTTCTTGTGCTAGCTCCAGTTCATTGATTGGGTGTCTGTAATATTAGGTACAGAAGGCTTGTGAGACTAAGTTTGTGCTAAGCTGAAAAATGCCATTATCAATTTACAAAATATTCTCTAGGCAAAGGATGGGCGAATTCCTGATGTAGCCCATTCCTACCTTTTCAGCCTCACACCTTCTACTTTATTTTCAAAGTTTCTTTTCCAGTGTTACCATGAACTAATACATCCCCTGAATGCAGGCAATATGTTTCTCATAATTGAACCATATTGGCTGGGTGCAGTGCCTCATGCCTGTAATCCCAGCTGTTTGGGAGGCTGAGGCAGGAGGATCACTTGAACCCAGGAGTTCAAAACAAGCTTGGGCAACATAGTGGGACCCCATCTCTATAAAAAATAAATTTAAAAATTAATAATTGAAGTATAATAGAAAATAAAGTATAAATAGTAATGTCTTAGAAGAAAGCCAGGCCAGATGTGGTGGCTCACACCTGTAATCCTAGCACTTTGAGATGCTAAGGCAGAGGATTGTTTGAGCCCAGGAATTCAAGACCAGCTAGGCAACATGGTGAGACCCTGTCTCTACAAAATAAAAATTACCTAGCCATGATGATATGTGCCTGTGGTCCCAGCTACTCTGGAGACTGAGGTGGGAGGATCAAGGCAGCAGTGAGCTGTGATTGTGCCACTGCACTCCAGCCTGGGCAACAGAGTGAGATGCTGTCTCAAAAAAAAACAACAAAAAAATCTGATGGTAAAATGGTTTATACGTCTTTTTGTGTTGTTTATTTGTAATGTCTTTTTTCATTCATCTACCCCGTGAACTTCAGTTACCATCTTTGACTCTTCCCCTGTGTCCTTCAAACATAGTTAGGGTCTTTCTGTAAAACTTTCACTGTACTTACTATTATAGTACTTATTTATAGTGTAATTATTTATTTACTTATCTGTTACCTGTACTGTAGAGCTTTGATGGACTACATTATTTGGGTTCTCATGTTTATCATGTGAATTTTAGATGAATGTAGACTGAAATTATGGCCCATGATGCATTCCATTTTAACTCTTTTGTTAAACAGAAGAACACTTAAAAGAATTTGGTTTCATTTTAATGTTCTTTAGCATAATAAACTATTTACCACATACTTAACTCATGGTAACATGCTTTAAAAAATTATTTTTCTTTTATATCCTGAAAAATTACTTTTATTTTAGAGGTCCTTACTGTCTCTGAGCCATTTAGAGATTATATGCCAAATCTGTGTTTCTTAGTTTATCTGTGTCCTGTCTGTGTGTGTGTGTCCAGATAATTACTTTGCCATGATGGAAACATTTTTGTAAAAAGAATAGTACAATTTCAATAATTGTGGTTGAAATATGTTGTCAATTAAACCTAAATATTTAAGGAGACAAACTGTTGCCTTTTTAATGCATTGTAGTGAGTGAACTTAACAAATTAAAGAATTGGAGAGAAGTAAAATAGTTTGTACATTATCAGTGATACTTGTTTACAAGCTTTATTTTGTGTACATATATGTTAAAAGAGAAAACCATGAGCCATGTTTTAAAATATGTACTTGTTTTAGTTGTTGATTCACTGATGAAGAAATTTCTGATGTTAGGATTTTTTTTTTTTGTTTTTTAGCATACTGTTACTAGTGTTGTATGACCGTATTCTGGAGACTAGGCATCAGAACAAGGATAAATTTGTTATTAGTTGAAAAATCTGATTTTCATGGTAGGGTAATTCACAGTTTCTTTATAGCTTAGTGTTCTGTCTACCTCTAAGAGGTGGACAGGGTTCCTGAAAAGACTGAAATATTAAACCAGTACAACAAGGATTTCATTTTCAAAAAGAAAAAAACAAATATTAGGAAAAATGATTACAGTTTTTGGTCTTCAGTGTTTCATAACCAAGTGTTTATAAAAAAAAAGGACTTACTCTGCATCAGATTGAGAGCCCAGCAAAGTACAATTATAGTGTATAGTAAATGGACAAGTGGGTAGAAGGAACAAAGACTAAAGAAGAACTACATGGTGGAGGCCAGGCACAGAGGCTCGTGCCTGTAATCCCAGCGGCCGAGGCAGGCAGATCATGAGGTCAGGAGTTTGAGACCAGCCTGACCAACATGGTGAAACCCTGTCTCTACTAAAAATACAAAAATTAGCCGGGCGTGGTGGCACACACCTGTAATGCCAGCTACTCAGGAGGCTGAGGCAGGAGAATCGTTTGAACCCTGGAGGCAAAGGTTACAGTGAGCCAAGATTGCCCCACTGCACTCCAGCTTGGGCAACAGAGCAAGACTCAGTCTCAAAAAAAAAAAAGAACTACGTGGTAGAAAAATTGATGCTTGTGGGAATTTATTAGAGGACTGTGGGTTAAATTTAGTACTGAATGCAGCCTTTTGTTGTTTAAAAAATTTTTTTGAACTCACAGTCTACATCAGCATCAGCATCTGCGTCACCATTTCAATCTGCATGGTATAGTGAATCTGAGATAACTCAGGGAGCACGCTCAAGATCGCAGAACCAGCAACGGGATCATGATTCAAAAAGACCTAAACTTTCCTGTACAAACTGTACTACCTCAGCTGGGAGAAATGTTGGAAATGGTTTAAACACATTATCAGGTAAGAATGAGTTTCTGTAGGTATTTTAAGCCGTTTTTCTCCAGGTGTAACACAGTTGTTCTTAGTTTTGGAATGAGGCAAGTAGATTTTATATGAAGACAGTGGGTCAGAAATGTAGTGGAATTTCCAAAATCTTACTTTAAATTAATGCTAGAACTGATACTCTTCTGCATTTTTCTTGTAAAATTGATATAGATATCCTAAACAGGACATTAGCAGATTTTAATTAGAATAGCTGGTATTTTATGATAATCAAATTGGTAAATGTATGTATTCTTTTGGTTATTATATTTTGTAATTGTTACAAGGAAAGCTAAATCTACTGATATGTTTAAAATATTGCTTAAGCATGTCTTATATAAATGATAAACATTGTAGTACATAATATTTATTTTCAGAAAATACGGAGGCTAAGGCAGGATGATCGCTTGAGGCCAGGAGTTTAAGGCCAGCCTAGACAACATAGTGAGACCCTGTTTCTACCAAAAAA
The DNA here is from genome assembly GCF_000001405.40 of Homo sapiens. Taxonomy (NCBI): domain Eukaryota; kingdom Metazoa; phylum Chordata; class Mammalia; order Primates; family Hominidae; genus Homo; species Homo sapiens. The sequence goes on from NC_000002.12 coordinate 159,743,744, forward strand.
AAAAAAAGAGAGAATTAGCTGGGCATGGTGGTGCATGCCTGTAGTCCCCAGCCACTTGAGGGGCTGAGGCTGGAGGATCGCTTGGTCCCAGGAGTTTGAGGTTATGGTGAGCTATGATCATGCCAATGCACTGTAGCCTGGTAGACAGAGCAAGACTCTGTTTCTTAAACAAAAAACAAATACAGAAACTCTTGAGTTACAAAAAAATGGTGGTTATTTTAGTAGGAGTTCTTTTTTTTTTTTTTTTTTTTTTTTTTTTTTGGAGACGGAGTCTCGCTCTGTCGCCCAGGCTGGAGTGCAGTGGCGGGATCTCGGCTCACTGCAAGCTCCGCCTCCCGGGTTCACGCCATTCTCCTGCCTCAGCCTCCCAAGTAGCTGGGACTACAGGCGCCCGCCACTACGCCCGGCTAATTTTTTGTATTTTTAGTAGAGACGGGGTTTCACCGTTTTTAGCCGGGATGGTCTCGATCTCCTGACCTCGTGATCCGCCCACCTCGGCCTCCCAAAGCGCTGGGATTACAGGCGTGAGCCACCGCGCCCGGCCTAGTAGGAGTTCTATACAAGGGATTAGAAAGTCATAGTTTTAGTCCTCTAACTAGATGAGTGGCATTGGGCAAGATACTAACCACTCTGGGATTTGGATGGTCTATCCATAAAGCTTCATGCCTGGTATTATGTACTGAGACACATATTTTTCACACACGTTGAAAAGATCTTTTGTTGAAAGGTCAGGAGGCTACCGTCTCACTCATACTCCTCTTCCAATGAAATGTTAGCCAGTGCCAGTGTTTAAGAGGAGCCAAAACTTGTGGTGACACAATTGGAGGTAAAATTCTTTAAATGTTTGTGTATTACCAGTTGAAGTAGTGTAAGCAGTTCCTGTCTATTTTGATAAGCTGGAATGCCATGGGAAAGACGTGCCTATCTGAAGGATATTAAGAATGTTGTGATAGCTAAGAGCAGACTGTTAATAACTTTGTAGACAAACACCACTGTGCCAGAGATATTTTTGTTCTCTTCTGCTATGTGAAAACGTTATAAATACTCTAGGCCATTTCTCTTAATAAAGAGGAATTATTAAGGCTACTAAGATTAGGGAAGAAAGAATCAAAATTTCAAGGTAAATAGTGAAGGAAAGAGGTTTGAGACTTAATGTTTAATTTACTTTTAAATCATATCTAATAAAATTACGATAACTGTAACAATACTTTGATTCTTAGAATTAAGAATTCTAGAATAAAAAATCAAGCAACTGTGGTAGCAGTAAAAATAATTCTGATGAAATTGTGTTGTTCACATCTTCCCTTTCCGGATGCCTTTGATTTTGATACTGGCAGTTCTCCAGCATCACTTTCATTGACTTTTTTTGTGAAATTCTCCATCTTTGGCAAGATTTACATTTTTGTTCTGTAATCGTTTTACATAATGTATAGGTAGATGTTGTGAGAAGTGATTGAGACATTGACATTGTGTATGGGGTAGATTTTAATGTTAGGCAGAGAAGAATATGTTTAGAGTAGGAAATAATTTTATAAGTGATTAGTTCATTTGTGAATAGTTTTATGTTTTACTGAATTGTGTTTCTGATAACAACTATATAACCGGGGATTCTCATGATAAACAACAGTAAGGCCGGGTGCGGTGGCTCGTGCTGTGATCCCAGCACTTTGGGAGGCCGGGGTGGGCGGATCACTAGAGGTCAGGAGTTTGAGACCAGCCTGGCCGACAGGGTGAAACCCCATCTTCACTAAAAATACAAAAATTAGCCGGGCATGGTGGCACGCGCCTTGTAGTCCCAGATATTCAGGAGGCTGAGGCAGGAGAATCACTTGAACCCAGAAGGTGGAGGTTGCTGTGAGCTGAGATCGTGCCACTACACTCCAGCCTGGGTGACAGAGTGAGACTCCGTCTCAAATAATAATAATAATAATAAATAACACTAACTTTCCTCTCTATTACTGAAGATTGTCATCATCCAAAGCCTTGAAAGCTTTCTCTGAAATAAAACTTCTTCATTTATTTTAAGATTCATCTTGGAGGCATAGTCAAGTTCCTAGATCTTCATCAATGGTACTTGGATCATTTGGAACAGACTTAATGAGAGAGAGGAGAGATTTGGAGAGAAGAACAGATTCCTCTATTAGTAATCTTATGGATTATAGTCACCGAAGTGGTGATTTCACAACTTCATCATGTATGTATAAATTACATCAAGTATAACTTCTCATAATGTTCCATTTTCCTCTTTATGCATGTTACTAAAACAACAGTACAAAGGAGTAAAGTGTATATTTTGTCTTATGAAGATTTCAGAATACCTTAATATTTTTTTCTAGTACTTGTTTTGACCTTAAAAAATAATTTAAAATACAGTCGATGAATATGAGTATCTAGATTCCATCTACCTTTACGTTGTTTAACTTGCATTTTTCCTTTTAAGAACGTCTGTTAGAAAGTAACATACTAAATCGTATATCCTCAAATAGAATTTGCCTGTAACAGATGTAGTTTAATAAATAACTACTTCTGATTATTCTTCTACTTCTGAAATAACTGAAAGTTGAAATCACCATTTTAAGGCATAATTTGCAATTACTTTAGTATAACATGGATGTGCCTCTAGTTTTATTAAATTGACCTCAAGACCCACACTTTGTTTTTGGTTTGTTTGTTCTGAGATGGAGTTTTGCTCTTGTTACCCAGGCTGGGGTGCAATGGCACGACGTCAGCTCACTGCAGCCTTCGCCTCCTGGGTTCAAGCGATTCTCCTGTGTCAGCCTCTCAAGTAGCTGGGGTTACAGGCATATGCCACCATGCCCAGCTAATTTTGTGTTTTTAGTAGAGACTGGGTTTCACCATGTTGGCCAGGCTGGTCTTGAACTCCTGACCTCAGGTGATCCAACCGCCTCAGCCTCCCAAAGTGTTGAGATTACAGGTATGAGCCACTGCACACAGCCACACTTTGTATCATTGTACATAGCCTTAAACTATCATACTAAGTAACTGAAGAAAAAGGTGCTAATTGAAGTTGACAAATATAGTAGGCAGAAATGGAGTTTGATTTACATAGTAGGAAATAATGTTTTGTTTTTAAAGGTTTAGGTTATTTTAATTTATCTTACTGGGGGAAATCTTTATTTATGACAAATGAAAACATTTTATCTGCTTGGCTTTGGATGGTAGAGCTTTAGTAGACAGTATCAATAGCTTTTAGGTTTTGGAGTATAAAAGTACAGGATAGAAATAGATTTAGTTCCTAACATTTACCCTTTCATAAAGCTCCATATATCAGCAGAGTAGTAATTTAGCTCTTACACAGGTTAATGGGTAGTTTCTTTGCAAAGGAATCCTGTAGTATTTCTCATCCCATTTGAAGATTTAAACCACCAGTTAAGGAATCCTTTGAAAAGTGCAGATGTCATAGCCCTATTCTGATTCATAGTTCCTAGCCAGTATTTTAGCAAATATAACACACGTAATTCTAAATATTGGCTAGGAACTATAGGATAAGAACCACAGCTGTTAACCTGAAAGAAAAAAAAATTGGAAAAATTTTTAGCTATTAGCAAGATTTTTCATAAAATTACAAGGGTTTAAAACAGCTTTTTAATTTATTGCACAGAGTAAAAAAAAATCTCCAAAACAGTCTCCCTAGGATGGATTTGCTTTTAATCATTTTAAGAGTCATTTACATTGTATTATTTGGCCTGTTCAAAATCGTCTCAATTTAAATACTAGATATTATTGTATCATACCAAATAATTTCTGATCAATAAATTCAGCTGTTTTAATTTTATCAAATAAAATTTTCATAAGCTCATAATACATTTCTTTTTTATATATTTGTAATGTTGACTTTACACAGCAGTACTGGATTTTACCAGTAGGAATAGAAAGAGAAATACATTTATGTTTTTTCTATAATAATAGTAAACTCTGTAGTTACAATATAACAGTATTAAGTTTGAATCCAGTGCTTCGTTTTGGCATTCAACATAATAAATGCAAATAATAATGCTCAAATTATTTCATGTAATTGGTTATCTTCCTTTCAAAAATAGATGTTCAAGACAGAGTTCCTTCATATTCACAAGGAGCAAGACCAAAAGAAAACTCAATGAGCACTTTACAGTTGAATACATCATCCACAAACCACCAATTGCCTTCTGAACATCAGACCATACTAAGTTCTAGGGACTCCAGAAATTCTTTAAGATCAAATTTTTCTTCAAGAGAATCAGAATCTTCCCGAAGCAATACGCAGCCTGGATTTTCTTACAGTTCAAGTAGAGATGAAGCCCCAATCATAAGCAATTCAGAAAGGGTTGTTTCATCTCAAAGACCATTTCAAGAATCTTCTGACAATGAAGGTAGGCGGACAACGAGGAGATTGCTGTCACGCATAGCTTCTAGCATGTCATCTACTTTTTTTTCACGAAGATCTAGTCAGGATTCCTTGAATACAAGATCATTGAATTCTGAAAATTCTTACGTTTCTCCAAGAATCTTGACAGCTTCACAGTCCCGTAGTAATGTACCATCAGCTTCTGAAGTTCCCGATAATAGGGCATCTGAAGCTTCTCAGGGATTTCGATTTCTTAGGCGAAGATGGGGTTTGTCATCTCTTAGCCACAATCATAGCTCTGAGTCAGATTCAGAAAATTTTAACCAAGAATCTGAAGGTAGAAATACAGGACCATGGTTATCTTCCTCACTTAGAAATAGATGCACACCTTTGTTCTCTAGAAGGAGGCGAGAGGGAAGAGATGAATCTTCAAGGATACCTACCTCTGATACATCATCTAGATCTCATATTTTTAGAAGAGAATCAAATGAAGTGGTTCACCTTGAAGCACAGAATGATCCTCTTGGAGCTGCTGCCAACAGACCACAAGCATCTGCAGCATCAAGCAGTGCCACAACAGGTGGCTCTACATCAGATTCGGCTCAAGGTGGAAGAAATACAGGAATATCAGGGATTCTTCCTGGTTCCTTATTCCGGTTTGCAGTCCCTCCAGCACTTGGGAGTAATTTGACCGACAATGTCATGATCACAGTAGATATTATTCCTTCAGGTTGGAATTCAGCTGATGGTAAAAGTGATAAAACTAAAAGTGCGCCTTCAAGAGATCCAGAAAGATTGCAGAAAATAAAAGAGAGGTAAATTCGAATACCTGTCTTAAGCCTATAAATCAAAAATAGAGAAAGAACTCTTCATTTCTTTTTTTTCTTTTCTTTTTTTTTTTTTTTTTTGAGACGGAGTCTCAGTCTGTCACCCAGGCTGGAGTGTAATGGCACCATCTCGGCTCACTGCAGCCTCGGCCTTCCAGGTTCAAGCAGTTCTCCTGTTTCAGCCTCCCGAGTAGCTGGGACTACAGGTGCACTCCACCACACGTGGCTAATTTTAGAATTTTAGTAGGGACGGGGTTTCACCATGTTGGTCAGGCTGGTCTCAAACTCCTGACCTTAGGTGATCCACCCACCTCGGCCTCCCAAAGTGCTGGGATTACAGGCATGAGCCACTGTGCCCAGCCTAAAACTCTTCATTTCAAAATTGGCTTCTTATAAAATTGAAATCTGAAGGGTTGTTTTGTTTTTGTTTTTTTTTGTTGTTGTTGTTGTTGTTGAGATGGAGTCTCTGTTGCCCAGGTTGGAGTGCAGTGGCACAGTCTTGGCTCACTGCAACCTCCGCCTCCCTGGTTCAAGCAATTCTCCTGCCTCAGCCTCCCAAGTAGCTGGGATTACAGGCGCCTGCCACCATACCTGGCTAATTTTTGTATTTTTAGTAGAGGCAGGGTTTCACCACATTGGCCAGGCTGGTCTCGAACTCCTGACCTCAAATGATCCACCTGCCTCCACCTCTCAAAGTACTGGGATTACAGGCATGAGTCACTACTTCCAGCAGGAAATTTCATCCCTTTACATCCAGTAAGATGTTTCATTCATAGGTAAATAGATAAGAATTAATAACTGAAGGTAGGCAATGGTTGGGGCGGGGGGGGCGGTTGTGAATTGTGTCAGAAAGTAAAGGTTATTTTAACCGGGTTGGAATACATATACATGCAAAGACAAAAACCTTAATGTCTTACCCAATTCCTTAGTAGACTAATGCTAAATGGGGTTAGTAAGAGGAACTGGATGACCATGGATTACCAATAAATCTGTCTTAGCCTTTATTAAGATGATTTATTAACCATTTATTTACATTTCTCACTGCAAATCTTTTTTTGGAATTTGATGCACAAAATTTACTTTGATTCACAAGATAAAATTTGATGCACAAAATAATTTTTGTGTTTGAAGTCCAAGTATATACTGAATATTCTCTTTCTTTAAACTTTTTGTAGAGACAGGGTCTCGCTTTGCTTCCCATGCTGGTCTCAAACTCCTGGCTTCAAGCGATCCTCATGCTTCAGCCTCCAAAAGTGCTGAAATTACAGGCATGAGCCACCATGCCCAGCCAGTTCTTTAGATATTAGTATTTAACAGAGATACCAGTTTAGGCCGGGCGCAGTGGTTCACGCTGTAATCCCAGCACTTTGGGAGGCCAAGGTGGGCAGATCACAAGGTCAGGAGATTGAGACCATCCTGGCTAACATGCTGAAACCCTGTCTCTATTAAAAATACAAAATTTAGCTGGGTGTGGTGGCATGCACCTGTAGTCGCAGCTACTCAGGAGGCTGAGGCAGGAGAATTGCTTGAACCTGGGAGGTGGAGGTTGCAGTGAGCTGAGATTGCACCACTGCACTCCAACCAGGCGACAGAGCAAGACTCTGTCTCAAAATAAAATAAAATAAAATAAAATAACAGTTTAAATGCAGGGCATAGAATCTTTTTATACAAAGAAATCTTTATAGAGTTGAAGGTTGCTTATAAATCACTGTTAAGAGTGAAAAGACAAAAAAACAGAGATCTTAGTCCCAGCCTGACTCTTAATTTAGTCATCCTAGTCTAATTACTTAGTATTAAAATAGTTATTAAAATGAGATAAATTAGTTTATTTGAAATACACTTGGAGGAAGAAAAGACTTATATAAAGTTAATGTTGTGGGATTTTTTTTTTCTTTTTCACAAAGGCCTAATAGAATTGTTGGGAAGCATAATTGTTACTGTTATTTTTAGATTTTTTTGTACTTTAATAAGAAAATACTTTCAAATCCAACTCTGGTGATAAAGGAAACTCTGCACACTTTCTGAGATGTTGGGCATTGGGCTACCATACTCCTATTTTTCATTTTATAGGACAGATTTTACCATGTGGCTGTTATTTTCCTGCTTTTAAACTTGCTATTTTTCCTTTTTTGTAGAAAGAGATTTACTCTACCCTGGTAGTGTTTGCTTTAATGTTTGCTTGTTACAGCAGCTTCCTCCAATTGCAGGCTGTCTGCTGTCTGCTAAGGGATGTAGTAACATATTTTCAGCCCTTAAGGTTAGATTAATTTAAGTACAGTAGTGTAGGCAGAGAGCAAAGCGTTACTTTAGTTATCTTCAGAGAGAAATGATTGAGCCAGTACCACTCTATCTGGTTAATTAAAAAGCAGCATTTGGTTATTTTGCCAGAGAGAGTGTGTGTGTATGTTTGTATTTCTGTATTACATCTTTCCTCATACCTAAGGATTTTAAGACATTCTACAATTAAAAATGGTACAGAAAAATTGAATCCACCAAGTGAATAGTTGAAACCAGGAAGGGAAGAAAGTTAAAGGTAAAATGTAAATACCATGTTTTCAATCTTTAAAAATAATTTATGCTTGAGGTTATGTCTGATTAACCCAGGGCATGAAAGTCTCCTAGCGGCTGTATATCCATCTCTTTTCACAAATCTTTTGCTAAGTTCATTTAGGAATCCATGTATTCCAGGTTGTATTTCAGTAACAGTTCAGCATTCTGTATTACCAATTTACTGTATACCTGTTTCATGCCAACAGTGGACTAACGCAGTAGGAATTTTAACAACTACTTACCTTATTATATAAAACTATTACTCTGCATTTATATATTAAGCAGTACACAATGGCCTGTTAAATAGAGGACGTAGGTTAATGGAATCTTTTATAAGATTGCTGCGCCGAGGGGGCAGATGGAGAATTTTAAAGCATTCTTTCAAATTTTTTTCTGTAATACAAAAGTTTATCAGTTTAAACATGGTTCTGGTAACATGTAAATGAGAATCTACAAGCCAGTATGTGTTTAATTCATGGAAGTAGCCCTAAAATTTGAGGGGAGGCAAGGGGCAAAAGTGATAAGTTTATCTTACCTTTATACTGTTGGACTTGAAGTAGTCTGGAATACTACAGAAATTAAAATCTCTTAGGGGTACTTGTAAAGTCATTGAGAAAAATATAGATCTTAAACTGTCATTTGCCAATGACAAAATTACTTAAATCATTTGAAAATAAATGATAGGTTAGCCTATTTTACTTACCTTTAAAATACTTGTTACAATTTTTATTCTCAATGAGAGAGTTTTTCATTTTCAATCAGAGGGTTGCTGATGAATATAATTGTTATTGTTTTGTTGTTGTTACTGTTTGCTTTTTTCCACCCAGAGACAGTGTGAGTAGAAATAACAAAAAAGAAAGCTTGTGATTATGTATGACTGAAGTAACCAACCAGGATGAGTTATGATAGCTTTGGGAAATGTGCCTTCTTTTCCAGCCTCCTTTTAGAGGACTCAGAAGAAGAAGAAGGTGACTTATGTAGAATTTGTCAAATGGCAGCTGCATCATCATCTAATTTGCTGATAGAGCCATGCAAGTGCACAGGAAGTTTGCAGTATGTCCACCAAGACTGTATGAAAAAGTGGTTACAGGCCAAAATTAACTCTGGTAAGATTTACCCTTTTGTGTTTTCACAATTTTTCTAAGAGATGCATGTATGTATGCGTTTGGTTAACAAATTTATAGATTGTTGAATTTAGACTTTTAACAAGTGTCTTAATCATTTTTGAAGTCTCAGCAGAAGCATTAAAGAGCATTAGTGTTTCTTTGTAAATTTTTAGTAATGTGTCTTATGTTTCATTTCCTACCAAACTGTTTACTACTTCATACATGTATAATACAGCTGTAATTTGTGATCACTAGTGTGTCCCTTAAATCATGGAAGATCCTTTTGAATCAAGGAAATAGACTCACCATTTACCAGCTGTGTGTCCTTGAGAAAGATTTATTTCTAATGTTGCTGTTGTGTCACTTGGCAAATTACGATTATAGGCTACTGTGGGGATTTATTTGTTCATTGAGTGCCTGTAATGGAGCCCAGGCACAGTAGTTCTAGATGTTGGTTATAGGATGGTAAAAAGACAAGGCACCTGCTTCTTGTAGTGATATTGGGTGTTAAGGAAGTGCCTTTTTGAGGTGAGAACATGTAAATTGAGAGCTGAGCTATTCCATAATTAGGGGAAGAGCACTCTAGCATAGGGAACAGCAAGTTCAAAGACTTTAGGGTGGGAATCAACTTAGGTCTATTTGAGGAGCTGAATTATGCATAGTGTGGCTGGTGTATAATTAGTCTTAGTCGGGGAGGGGAGATAAAGTTGTGATGAGAGGCCGGGCGCGGTGGCTCATGCCTGTAATCCCAGCACTTTGGGAGGCCGAGACGGGCGGATCACGAGGTCAGGAGATCGAGACCATCCTGGCTAACACGGTGAAACCCCATCTCTACTAAAAATAAAAAAAAATTAGCCAACCTGGTGGCGGGCGCCTGTAGTCCCAGCTAGAATGGCATGAACCCAGGAGGCGGAGCTTGCAGTGAGCCGAGATTGCGCCACTGCACTCCAGCCTGGGCAACAGAGCGAGACTCCATGTCAAAAAAAAAAAAAGTTGAGATGAGAAAGATTAGCAGAAGTTAGTTCGTGCAAGACTTTTAAAGGCCCAAATCTTGGATTTAAATATGATGGGAAGCTGCTAAAGAAAAAGGGAATGAAATGATCTTATTAATATTTGGCTGCTTTGTGGAGAATGGATTTTTAGGGGGACAAGAGTAGTACAGGGAGACGAACCAGGAGTCTATTATCAGAGCACTTGCTAGAGTTGGTGATGATTAACATGTAGCAGTGTGATCGTGATGATAGAATGGATAGATAGATTCTGGTATATTTTGTAGGTAGGTTCTGTAAGACATCCAGTTCAGTAAATTGGATGTGATGGAATGAAGGAGAAACAACAATTAGGGAAGCTCGTATTTTTGCCTTGAGCAGTTAAGTGAATGGCAGTTCCTTTTACTGAAATAGGAAGCTGAAAAGGGAACCAAGTGTTCTGTTTTGGACATTATATTTGAGCTACTTATTAGATAACCATTTGGAAATGTCATGTAGGCCGTTAGCTAGACAAGCCTGGCATTTCAGGAGATACACTGAAAGTTAGTTTCAGTTATGAACACGAGAGTAATAATGTTTGAGGTTTTGGTATTAAATAAGGTCAGCTAGAGGAAGAGCAGATATCAAAGAAATAGGCCCAGGACAGAGCCCTGGGATACCCAGATGTTTAGTGAGAACAGAGGAGATTTGAAAAAGCAGCCTTTAGGAAGGAAGAAAACCAAGAAAATGTGTTGTGCAAGCCAAAAGAAGAATGCTTTAAGGTATATGTGATCAACCCTGCACTTCTGAGAGGTCAGGTAAAATGAGAAGAAAGAATAATTGGATTTGATAGCATAGATGTTCTTGGTGGTTTCAGTCTCTGGAATGGTGGGTTCCTAAGCCTGATTAGATTAGACTGAGTAGAGAAAAGGAGGTAAGAAAGGATAGACAGCAACATAGGTTCGATACTTTGAACAAATTTACTACCAAGGAGACTGGAGATAGGGAACAGGAATTAGAGTTACATGGGATCACAAGAAGTGTTTTTGTTTTATTTTGAGGTAGGGGATTTTAAGGCATGTTTTTATTTTGAGACTTCTAACAGAAAAAAAAGTACGAAAAGAGGAGAAAGAAGATGGGGTCCAGAGCACAAGTTGAGTGGTTGTCCTATAATACGAGAAAGGATATTTCCTCTTCAGAAGGCTAGTGTTGATATGGGTGTTGATCAGTTTGTTGCTTTGATGGGAAGATTTATGACTCCCTGTGTTAATTGCATCTGTTTTCTTAGAGGTAAGGTCTTTAGCTGATAAGGAGACAGGTTAGGAGGTTTTGAGGTGTGAGGAAAATAACATTTTAAGGATGTGGATGTGTAGTAGGATTTCCAGATTGTATTAGTGTCTATAAAAGTGATTTTAAAGTGAGGTACGTGTACAATTTTTTTAAAGCAGTTTTCAGATGCTTGGGATATAGCTATGGACTAGAGTTCAATGCTGGTGGGTCTTTTGCCAGGCAAATATGATGAAGGGAGTTAAGGGTATCTATAAGGACATAATTGTGGCAACCATAGAAATTAAAACCAGGAGGAAAGTAAGGACCTCAGGAAGTGTATAGTGAGAAAGAGGTAGAGTATCTTTGGATTTTATTGACATTGACGTAAGTAGGCTAAAATAAGAATTGGTACACAGGAGGGGACGCTTAAAATGGCTATTTAGGGGTAGTGCAGCAAATTGTGATGAGGTCAAGGGTATGAACTGAGTTGGTGACTGAGGTGGGGAAGGGTAATATTGGAAGCAAAGATATTGAGAAAGTTATAATCCAGTGGGTCTGGTCTTGGATGTTGAAACAACCAAGGATTTAGTTGGCAAAGAAGGGTAGAGAGCCAGGTGCTGAAGTCATTAATGAATGAAGGGGGAATTAAGATTTGAAAACAGTAATGGGTGTGTTGGGTGGGCAACTACTCTCACTTCTTGGTCCTGAGTTACAAGGGACTGTGGGGATAAAATGGCTATAGAAGCATATATATAGGTATCGTTAGTCAGGAGGCACTGTGGTTCAGGCATGAAAGTAAAGAGATAGTTCAAAAAAGAAAGGTTGGTGGTTAGAGGAATTTACTGATATTAGACCACGAGTACCAGGGGACATAGAAACAACTAGTAAGGTAGAAAATTAGATCAGATTTTAAATGTACATAATTGTGAAATTGAAGATCTGATCATTATAGCATAGTAACATAGACAACTATGTTGTGAGGTATGATGGCACTGATTTTGATTTTCATAATCTGTTGGAGGAGTTGGGTTCAAGTTGGAGATTATGAGGATACTGGGAAAATTCCTGAGGCTCCCAGTAATGTGGTAGTCAAGTGGTGAGCAGTAGACCCCTAGGGGGCACAAGAGGAGAAAGCAGTATCTTTTCTTCTAAGCTAGTCTGAGCTCAAGGGCTCTGAACAAGCTGTCTCACCTGGAACTGCCTTTTCTCTGAGCTATATGGTGTTACAGTGACTCACAGGTTTTGTTAGTCACTGCCCTGAGGTGTTAGAAGGACTAAATGAGAGATTACATGTAAAGTGCTTAGTATTTTGACACTTAAGGGCCCAGAAATGTTAGCTATTACCAAAATGAACAACAACAACTTGACTCAACTTCTGATACACACAATTGAATTATTAGTGCTGGATATGGAGGAAAACAGATAATACAGGTTATTGTTTAAGAACATTGGCTTTTTGAAGTTAGACAAGCCCAGTTTGGAATATTTACTGGAACACTTAGCTAGCTATAGGGTCTTGAGCATGTTTCTTAACATTGGTTCTAAACCCTGGCTGCTGATGAGAATCACCCACTGGAGTTTTTAAAAATACAGATGGGCCAGGCATGGTGGCTCACACCTGTAATCCCAGCACTTTGGGAGGCTGAGGCAGGTGGAGCACCTGAGGTCAGGAGTTCAAGACCAGCCTGGCCAACATGGTGAAACCCCGTCTCTACTGAAAATACAGAAATTAGCTGGGTGTGGTGGCGCACACCTGTAATCCCAGCTACTCGGGAGGCTGAGGCAAGAGAATCGCTTGAACCCAGGAGGTGGAGTTTGCAGTGAGCCGAGATCACCCCATTGCACTCCAGCCTGGGTGACAAGAGTGACACTCAGTCTCAAAAAAAAAAAAAAAAAAAAAAAAAAACAGATGATTCAGATTCACTCTTAAAGATTCTTAAGTAGGACTAGGGTTGGGCCTCAGTTCCATCTTCAGTAAAATTGAATAATACCTCATAAAGTTAATGAATGTCAAAAGAGTTATTGTTCATAGTTTCCCACTGTACCAGGCACATGGTAAGTATGCGATTAAATTAAATGGGAGTTAGTTTGTTTTTGTTTTTTGAGACGGAGTCTTGTTCTGTCACCAGGCTGGAGTGCAGTGGCACAATCTCAGCTTACTGCAACCTCTGCCTCCCGAGTTCTAGTGATTCTCCTGCCTCAGCCTCCTAAGTTAGCTGGGATTATAGGTGCACACCACCACCCCTGGCTAATTTTTTGTATTTTTAGTAGAGATGGAGTTTTGTCAAGTTGGCCAGGCTGATCTCGAACTCCTTGCCTCAAGTGATCCGCCTGCCTCGGCAGCCTCCCAAAGTGCTGGGATTACAGGCGTGAGCCACCATACCTGGCCTGGAGTTAGTTTTATAAGGTTATAATAAGTGCTTTTCAAGATATGGCCAATTGAATGTATAGGTCTCAGCAACTGAACTTTCCTGATAGGCATCTGAGAAGTATTTCTCAGAGCTGCACAAAGATCCCATCTGGTAGAAGGTTCATTCTGGTAGAGATTTATTTAAGCATTTATTAAGAAGCTACTATGTTTGGATTGCTAAAGTCTACAGGATATACAAAGATGAATAAAATAAGTCTAGTACAAGTTTAGGCAGATGCAATTCAGGGTGTAATGGAGAGAGCCCTGATTAAGAAATATAGGAGTAGGCTGGCTGTGGTGGCTCACGCCTGTAATCCAACAGGACAAGGTGAGAGGATCCTTTGAGCCCATGAGCTAGAGGCTGCAGCGAGCCGTGATCATGCCACTGCACTCCAGGCTAGGCAGCAGAGTGAGATCTTGTCTCCAGAAAAAACATGTAGAAATAAATGGGTTGCTCCCGGCTGAGTGTAGCCTTTTTGAATGACCTTAATAAGTCTCTTACTCCATAGAGGAAGAAAATGAAGCCCTAAGATATAAGAGAATCTGTAGTAAATTATCTCCAAGGTCCATATTACATTTTCATGTATGCTAGACTCCAAAAAGACGCTTGGTTTCATTCATATACTCAAAATATAGTGAAAACTCAGTGTAATTTGACTACAGCCCATTTTGAGACAGCATACTTCTTCAGATTAGCACTCACTTTCAGCTGTTTTCTAGAAAATGTACATAAGTTACTGCTGTCTTGGACCTTATGCCAAATTTTACTCTTAAAAAATTCTGACACTGGTTATTAGAGTTTTATGAGCTCCTTGAAGGCAGGGCCTACTACTTAATCTTTTTTGAATCTCCAAAACCTCTAATTAATTGCTTGCACCTAACAATCACTCAACAAATGTTAGTTGAATTGAATTTAAACCTATCTACCCTAATTTTAAGGCCATTTTCCCATTTGAAACCCTCTCTAAATATAAACAAACAAAGGAAAAGGCAGAAAGAACCTACAAGTTTAATTACACAAGACTACTACCTACCAAATTGGAACCAAAAAGCTTAGGAATAATCAAATGTTGAATGAATATGGAAGTTTTCTTTTTCTTTTTAAAAAAAGGTTTGGTAAAAACAAGTAGATAAATAACATAAAATATGCCATTTTGACCATTTTTAAGTATACAGTTGGATCCATTCACAGTGTTGTGCAACCATCACTCCTATTTCCAAAATTGTTTATCATTCCAGACAGAAACGCTAACCATTAAGCAGTAACTCCTTACTTCCTATTCCCTTCTCTGCCAAATCCCTAGTAACTTCTGGTCTACTTTCTGTCTCTGTGAATTTGCATATTCCAGATATTTTATGTAAGTAGAATCATAAAATATTTGTCCTTTTGTATCTGTCTTATTTCATTTAGCATAATGTTTTTAAAGTTCATGTTGCAGCATATATAAAGACTAATTCCTTTTATGACTGAAGGGAGCTGTTTTTATTTGGACAAGGGTGGGGTCCCTTTTTTCCCATTCTAGCAAGTAAGGCAGACATATTCCTTAAACTCCAAAAGGTCTTAGGTATGTGAGGTATGTGTTGTCACATCAAAGATACTGGCTTGGGTGTGTAACTAGGTGTTTGAGATGTTACATCACTAAACATTGTTTTCATGGCATCACGTCAAAGTACTTAAGGAGGAAGTAGGAAGTACAGATGACATTCCATTGCCTCTGTCTGCTTCCCATGATCAAGGATGTATGAGTATCTGGGAGGAAGAAAACAACCAAGGTATCTAAATAATGGTGGTGGCTTATTATCATAGGGCAGGACCTGATGTGCACATTGGATATTATAGACTGCTGTATTAGGGGACATTACTGGTTTACTGCAGAAATGTAATATTTCCTTTTCTTCTTCTTTCCTTTAAGGTTTTATTTATTTTAAGCTTAAAACTTAACGAGGAAAAGTGTTTTATGAAGACATTATAAAACTAAGCTTTATTTGTAATTTAATTTTTACCAGGTTCTTCATTAGAAGCTGTAACCACCTGTGAACTATGTAAAGAGAAGTTGGAGCTTAACCTGGAGGATTTTGATATTCATGAACTACATAGAGCTCATGCAAATGAACAAGTTAGTATATTTTGCCTAATTTGGTAAGTGTCTATTCTATGCTTCAAGGACAGCTCTTGAAGAAAAGATTAAATCATGGTCAGAAACCTTGCATTAAAATAATAATAATAACAGTGATAATGTTCTTAACATAATTCTGTTACTGCATTAGGTGTTAGAATTTCATAATTTTTTTTTTTTTATTTTTCCCTTAAGCTTAGGAAAGTTGTTCCAAAATAGGGATGCCAACCTTATTTCCCCATAGCTGTAAGTTTTTTGAGATGCATAAATGATACAGTTTAGAATGAAGAGCTCAATAATTTCCTCCTTTTTCTTTACTGAAGGAAAATTCGGGAGGTGGGGCAGATGTGTATTTAAGGAGATTACAAGGGTGACTTTAGAGCCAAATTGTTGAAGTGTGGTTAGCATATTTGTTTAAAAAAAACAAACAAAGATATGCTGTAAAAGGAATGCATGAAGTGCTTGAAAAACACTTTTTGGCCAGGTACTACAATGGCTCACACTTATACCTAGCACTTTGGGAGGCTAAGACGGGATGACTGTTTGAGGCCAGGAGTTTGAGACCAGCCTCAGCAACATAGCAAGACCCGGTCTCTACAAAACAGAAAACAAAAACACTTTTTAAATGTAGGGGTAATGGGCCTCCCCTCTTTTATTATATTGAATGAGATTTACAAAACATAAAAACCATTTTGTGCAGCCGCCATCTCTGTTTAGTTCCAAAACATTTTCATCACTCCAAAAGAAAACCCTCTACCCATTAAACAGTTGCTCCCCATTCTGTGCTCTCAGCCCCTGGCAACTACCAGTCTGTGTTGTTTTATGGATTTACTTATCCTGGATATTTCATACAAATAGAATCATACATTAATATATGATATTTTCTGAACCACTTTTTTTTAAATGTGGGAATAATAGATACCCTTTGAAAATCTGATTAAAACTATGTACCCTTCTTATAAAATATATAGACACAAATTCTGTCTCTAAGGGATTCCCAGATCCTTTGAAGCTAATTGCTTGGATCCAGATAAAGAATCACTGATCTAAAGAATGAAAACATTAAGCAGTTAATGTAGCACAGGTGCTACTCTAATGCCAGTTATGTTGTTTTATTCTCTGATGCACTAGTTGTCCAAAAAGAAAATCACTTTCAGCAATGAAATGTTTTAAATCCCCAGGGAGTTCTCTGTAGCTGGCTGAGCATTGGTATTTAAAAACCAGGGGAAACATGGAAAAGTGGAATCATGGAGAGATAAATATAAATACATAACTTGTCTTCTCAAAATGAGAGTAGCTTTCAAAAGGTTTGTTTCTCCTGCCATCTTCCTTCCTGAGATGCTTCATCCTGTCTCTCAAAGGCAGTTTTTTCCTTTTTTGTTTTTGTTTTTGTTTTTGTTTTTTGTTTTTGACTCGCTCTGTCATGCCTTTTCCTTTTTGATCTCAGGAATGTTTTTATTTTCTAAGCATTTTAATGACCCATATTCTTTAGAAGTTTTAGGAAATATTAGGTGGAGTCATTGTAAAAACAGTGACAGCCTTGATTAAACTTTCTGGTTTTAACTTGTTTGTTCTGTATGAATAATAGATTCTAGTGGCCTGATAGCTACACTGATTTTAAGTGATTAGTTTAATAAGTCTATTTCCACATTAACCAGTGGCTTGATCTTTTGCAAGGTGATAACCATTTAATTTTTTTTTTTTTTTTTGAGATGGAGCCTTCCTTGTTGCCCAGGCTGGAGTGCAGTGGTGCAATCTCAGCTCACGACAACCTCTGCCTCCTGAGTTTAAGCGATTCTCTTGCCTCAGCCTCCCAAGTAGGTGGGATTGCCACCCGCCTCCACACCAGGCTAATTTTTTGAATTTTTAGTAGGGACGGGGCTTCACCATGTTGGCCAGGCTGGTCTTGAACTCCTGACCTCAGGTGAGCCACCCGCCTCGGCCTCCCAAAGTGCTGGGATTACAGGCGTGAGCCACCGTGCCTGGCCCCGTTTAAAATTTTTTAAAAATGTTCTGGATATATTATTTCAAGTTAAAAATAAGCAACAATAATTATTAAGTGAATCATTTCTTTTTTTTTTTTTTTTTTTTTTTTTGAGACGGAGTTTCACTCTTGTCACCCAGGCTGGAGTGCAATGGCATGATCTCGGCCAACTGCAACCTCCACCTCCCGGGTTCAAGCGATTCTCCTGCCTCAGCCTCCCAAGTAGCTGGTGTTACAGGTTCCTGCCACCACACCCAGCTAATTGTATTTTTAGTAGAGATGGGGTTTCACCGTGTTGGCCAGGCTGTTCTTGAACTCCTGACCTCAAGTGATCCACCCACTCCAGCCTCCCAAAATGCTGGGATTATAGGCGTGAGCCACCGCACATGGCCTCAAATTTCTTGAATACTCAGTAGACTCTGATAATCAGTTACTTGCTGAAGTTGGTACTAAGAACATAGAGTTCTTAACGTCTGATGAACCAGTTGCCCAATTCAGTTTGTAAATAGTTCACTGTAAAAATTACAGGACAGATTAGATTATTAATAATACTATATTTATGATTTGTATTCATGGCTTGAAAACAACTGTGGGGGGAAAAGAGAAACTTTTAATCTGAGGAATATGAGCCCCTTTAAATTGTCAGGTTCAGAGAGGTATTTAAAATGTAACAGCATTCTCATCTCACTCTCCCTTGAGCTAAATACGCCACTTGCTTTGGGGCCTCTAGACTAACTAGTGCCAAGTAGCTATAAAATGTCATATACCCTATAGTTCAATAGTGTATAGCCAATCACTAACCAATGTTATTTCTGTAAACCAATGTTGAGAATTCAGAATGAACAACTTTTGTTATCTCTCCCTTCCTGATTTGTCCTTTTTTCTTTAAAAATTTGAGCCTTTCTTTTGTTCTCTGGAGCACTCTCCCCAAGGCAGCTTGGAAGTGGGAGCCTGGCAGCAGTCCTGAACCTTGACTAAAATAAACTCTGTTAAATTTCGTCTCAGTTTCTTCCTTTTAGGTTAACACAACAGAACAGTTTTGAATTGAAGAACTGTTTTTACCAACTACAAATTTCTGTGTGAATGATTAATCTCTTACCTTTATTAATTCATTCTTTTATTTATGCCTTTATGTTCATCATATTACACAGAAAAACACTTGAGCTATCAGAATAGATTTTAGTTACAGCAGTATATTGGCATAGCTATAGATGAAATGTAATTTTTAACTAAATATATATAGCTATAGCCATTTGTATAATGAAATCTATGAGCTTTATAGAAAACCAAAGCATTCATTCCACCATCAAATTATTTAAAAGTTCCATTTTTATATAAAGTCATTACACTAAAGAAGACTATGTGAGAATAAAAAGTAAAATTTTATGAAATTATAAAGATATTCTTTTTTTCTCAATAAATGGCATTGTGTCCCTTATTAGGAACTGGATATGAATACATTTCCTCTAGTTTATCAGTGTACTGTGAGTATCAATCTCAATTCTACTAATTTTTCATTCTCTGTATTTTTCTTTTCTCCTGTTTGCTTCCCTGTTGAAGGCTGAGTATGAGTTTATCAGCTCTGGTCTCTACCTAGTGGTGTTATTGCACTTGTGCGAACAAAGCTTTTCTGATATGATGGGAAATACAAATGAACCAAGCACACGTGTCCGAGTAAGTAATAATGAAGTTGGGGAGAGGGAGGGTATGATGCAGCAAGTGTATGCCTTGGAAAGCAGATTGTTTCATATGTTGACATCTTATTTCCTTTGGGAAGCTTTTATTTTTTAAATGTTTCTTAAAAATAAAGATACCGTAGATTTAATGGAAATTGCTGTCTTCTATAACAAGCAGCCTGATTTTCTCATAAAGTTATTTTAGAGAAAGAAGTAATTTTCTAGCTCTCAAAGGTAATTGGAATGTATTTCATTGAAAAACAGAATTGGAAACATCGAGGGAAAATGGGCTTTTTATTATTAAAACAAAACCTCAGTATTATCACTTAGAAACCTGAAATTGAACTCCAAAAGCCAAAGAGTATGGGAAATTAACTTCAATTTATTTGTTACTGTTCTACAAAAGATTACCAGTGTACTAATTTTTAAGTGTCCATATTACAAAGTATTTTAGATATGGAATAGTTGGTTGTTTACTGTGTGTGCTATTAGCCATAATACAACATTTTGGCCAGCTGTATGTTAGGTATTTATAAGTAAATGATGCTCTTTGTGTCAGTGTACCAGAGGAAACTTTATGCTTTGCTGTCTGGGCCATTTTGTGTAGCAAGGGCTAGGGTCTCTATGTATCTGCCATTATTGTAGCATTCTGAACACTTCATGTCTTGAAATGTGTTCATAAGTATATCCTTCAAACTTTCTTACATGTTAACTTCGGTGATAAAAGTGTAGTAGAGTTCATGTAATGTTTTTATTTTGAAAATTATCAAATAACTGCAATTCAATGTATGTAATACTCCTTCTAAATTAGTAAAAAATTTTTCTTTATTTTATCATGTGGACATTATTCCAGTGAGCTGGTTAACAGATAATTACCATTGAAGAGCATTCATATTATCTATCAAGAGCATTCAGAATTTGAGCAAAGATCTCTTGACTTCTAAGTACTTTACAAATTGTGAGCCCCTAAAACCTTAATACCGTAAAATGATTTCTAAAAAGGTACCTTAAGTCTTCAGGATGAATAAACCATATAAAACATTTAAGAACTTCTGAATTCATGTGTTTTTAAAAGTTCATATTAACAAGTTTTACAGTGGAAAATTACAGAATTTTGGATGATACTCCAAAGTGGAAGTCATTAGGATTTTTTTTAATGTATAGAACTGTATACTTTTATCAAATTTAGGTAGGAAAATATTGGTTCTTGGGAGTTTTGTGTGTGTGTGTGTGTGTGTGTGTGTGTGTGTGTGTGTGTGTGCGCGCGCCCACTGAAACTGAATTTATTTGGGTCCAAATACAAGGGTGGTTTTTTGTTTTTTGTTTTTTTTCCTCCATTTCGTAATTTTTTGAAGTGTTTATAAGAAGACAATATCATTGGATAAAATTATTGTATCTGCTCCCAATTTTAAAAAACTGGTTTCTACATGATTATAAAGATTATATAAAACATTTAAAAATTAATGCCATTAAGCTTGTGATTTTTGATGTTAGGGGGAGAAAAACCCCTATTTAAAGGCTTAAACTGATGTTTGACTTTTTAAGTAGAAATGAATCTCCTATACTGATTCTCTCTTTAGATCCATTTGCAACATTTAAACTACTGTATTTCTTTCTGCATTGTTTCTAGTTTATTAACCTTGCAAGAACTCTTCAGGCACATATGGAAGATCTCGAAAGTAGGTGGAATTTCCCCTCCCCAGACTTGTTGAATTTACTTTTGCAAATTAAACCCAAAGCAAAACCTAAGTATATACTCTGTTCTGCCAAATTAGAGCTCATTTATAGGCTTAGTAATACCAAAATGATTGATTTGGGAAATATGGGTTGGGAAACTGACATTAGTTGTTTTTTTTTTTAAGCATATTTTAAGGTATGGAAGCATGTAATTTTAACTGCATTTTACTTTTTTTTTTCAAAGAGAAATTTATTGTTGATCACCTTGATTTCAGGATTTATAATAAAAAAGGCATAAATCTTAACTACTAATCAAACCAACATTTCTTAATCTGTTAGGATTTTGTTTTGTTTCGTTTCTGGTAAGAAATTTTACCTGTTACTCAGGTTTGTTAGATCATAAGAGATTATTCCTGGGCTTACCTATGATTCCAGGAAAATATGGGACAAGGAGTCCTAATTCTGAATCCATATCAGAAGCCATGAAGGGCTTTGTTTTGTGGGTTTTTTGTTGTTGGTGGTGGTGGTAGTGGGTTTTTTTTTGGCTTTTTGTAGGTCCTCATGGACCTTTAATAGGTAGCCAGCTCTGCCAACAGCTCAAATCTCTTAAGATCACATTCCAGCATCAGGATTTCTGGCTGGGATTATAAGTGAAGGCACTTAATTCTCAAATCTCTACAGGCATCTATACAGCCTACCCTCTTCTTAATGTCCTGTAACTTCCAGTGTGCTTCATACCATGTGGGCATAGGTATTGGTGGCTCTGGAATAGTTTCTAGAAATTGAAGATTACCCCACCCAACCCCTACATATTTTACTTTTTCACCCTTTGTTGCCCATTCCAAAACACTATCCAAAGTGTCTTTTTAAAATACGTATTCTTCAGTTGAATACTTCTATACTCATCTTCAGACTATTTGGAGTGTTATCTATAGTGTGCATAACATTTTTACTTTTAGAGAAAGCTCAGCATCCTTTGAAGTAAGGTTTAAAAAGGACTTAGTCCTCATAGGAACTTTTTAATTCTAGATAATCTAAAACATAGATTTTTGTCATTGTCTATACTACTTTCAAGTTTTTAAAGGTTTTGAGATGAAACCAGGTAACATATTTTCACAGTTTTAATTAGGATATGTGAAAAGAAAGGAGTCAGTGTGAATTCACTTGGTATAAAATTTTTTCCCTTTATACCTTCTTTCAGATCCCTTAGGTTGGCCTAATACAAAGGTCTCTTCTTTGTTTTTTTAAATTACAATTTATACTTTGTCCAACGTCATGATAGTAATTTGTTTCAGTGTATGTTTTCCCCAGATTTCTCCATTTTAAAAAACTAACATTCTCGTTTAAAATTTAGTTTCTTAAACATAGTATTGTCTGCTCCTAACATGTGGGAAGAAAAAGATGGAGGTGAAATATGTCCATACTCAAATAAGCATGAAAGACAAGGGTGCTGCAAGTTAACCCCTAAATATCAGAGTATTAGTACATTCTGAAATGGGTTCTGACTAAATTATCCTCTCCTGTGGAGTGGAGTTAAATGGAAAAACACAAGAAGTTCCTTAATAAGCTGTAATTTTTTAGTTTGGTATTTCTCAGTGATAGAGCATAAAACTTAACAGTAGAGTTTATTATCAGTCATGACTTAGTTATATGCTTTGTCATTTATTAAATGGATTTAAATCTATTAGTGTTGCATAGTTTTTCTGTGCTTTGCCCTAGGTTGATTCCATTTGTTGGATGCTCTTAATTTGTCCAATGTAAATATAAAAAGAGAGGGCATTAAACCGTTTTGCCCTATAATGGGGGAAAGATGCTGGTTAGATGTTTATTTTAGTGAGCTTGCATTTTCTTACACGTGCAAAGCAGTTCATAGAATTCATAGTTTTACACTTACTATGTCTTTCCTAAAGACACCCAGGATGCTTTATTTTTAACTCTTGAGCCACTAGTGACTCTTGAATAAATTGAGGTCAGAAATGTTGCAAAAGTGGTAAGTTTCTGGCAGTGTGGAGACAGGGGAATAATCTCAACAGTAGGTTTTTACTGAATCCAATTATTTTAATTTAGGCTGTGTCTATATGAAGCTTTTTTGACTTACTAAATGAACTTTTATCTTGGCATTGTATAGACATAGCTTTGATGTAAATTGCAAGAACACCCATAACCTCTTATTCTATGTACACTTCTTTTCATTCTCATCGGATGCACCAAACATGCAGCGGTAATAAGCCAGATTTTACTCAGGTGTGTGAGAGCACTTGCCTTAAGTTGACTTTTTTCCTAGTGTTTATATATCATTAGCTACTATGAACACAGATTGATCTCAGAAACATTTTAGAAGATGCTCTTGAACCACATTTTTAAGCACTTTCATTTTTATAAAAATTGATATAACATTACAAAACGGTGTGGGGGCGGGGAGAATTGTGGTTGGGTATCACCCACAGGCAGACCACCCTAACCCTGTCATACAACTTATCATTTTGATCAAACAATATACTAAATTGGGATTTTTGTTTTTACAAGTCATTGCTGTTCTGGCTTCATATTTACACTTCCCATTCTTATCCCCCTTAAAATCATTCTTGATCATCCTGTTTTCTTTCAACAGCTTCAGAGGATGATTCCGAAGAAGACGGAGACCATAACAGGACATTTGATATTGCCTAACTTCATATAAGACAGATGGATGATCTGTGAACATAAGTGTTTATTAAAAATGGCAATTAAATATAAATTACTTTTGTGGGGGAATGCCTAATAAATACATTGACTATATATAAAATGAATATATACATACACATGTATGCCTGTATATATATATTCATTCTCCAGTGTTGCTGAATTAAAATTCTGCTGGACTTTTTAACATAGCAAATCCGATGTTTATAAACTGGTAATCAAAAAGGTTTTTTCTTTTAGGTGAGTGGGAAAGTATTACCCTTGTTTTAAATATCTAAGCAATGCCTATCAACCCTTTTTTGTGTTATGATTACTGTAGTCATATTTATGAAAAAAGGTTTGTGTTTTACTCTTGCTAGTGAGAAAAGTGGGACAAAATATACTTTTGAAATAAAATGCTATATGGCACCTAATTATTTTTTCTTTTAAAATGCCTTAAGTTGCAGTCTCATTTTGATAATCATTTGCTTCCAGTGTTTAAAAATTAAAAAAAGAATGGGGAGAAGGTTATGAGAAGAGCATTATTAAGTTTCCAAATTTAATTTGAATTCCAAATTCACCTAGCAATAAAATCTAATTTTTAAAAAGTATATAAATATAAAATGTATAAATGATGGATAGATTTTTGTATTGATTTGCAAAATGCAGATTATATTTGATAGGCTATAGTATGTAGATATTCCTTTTAGGAATATTACAGCTGTAAATTATATGAGACTTGCCAGTCAAATGCTATTTGGTTTAAAAAAATTATTGCAATCTCAAGTTAATGGAATATTTTTAAATCCCACATTCAGAGTTTAAAACACTGGTTTTCAATGTGTTTTTTAGTGTTGTCACTTGTTTATAGATAAATATATAAATAACCTGTTTGGATCCTGGTCCTTTTTAACTGTTCCTTGGTAATTCTGAGCATTTATTTGATGACTTAATATTTTTCACTACCTTTGGAGAACAGATGAACATTATTCACCATGAATGGATCTATACTGTGTGGTCATGAGTTGTGTATACTTCCATAACACTGTATTTTTCTTCTGTCAGTACCCTTAGGATACACTTTAAAACACCTTAAGGTCTGATGTTATGGCAACAAACTACTTTTTCAAACCTAAATAGGAACCATGTAATTTCTCAAAAGTGATTGAACAGTTTGCCCACACTTAGTTTGTTGGTCTTATGTAAAACATTGGCTCAAAATAAAGTACACACTGATTTATTTTACTGTTTGAAATGTTTCCTTTTAAACTGGTGCTCAAAGAAGACATCAGACTTCATAACCAAGAATTTTATTACAATTTCAAATCTCATTTTAAGCAATAATATAAATGTTCTAAAACATTTGCTCACCTCTTGCCAGTTACCTTTGCATTGTCTGTCTTAAAGCAAAAATATAAAATTTAAGGGTGGTAGTTTTAATATATTCTGTGGGTCCTAAGGGATGCTTTGAATTTGAAGTATATATACTTTTAATAAAATTCAGTATGACAGTTGTCTTCTGCTTAACCCATAAAACTTTATTTAAAAAATTTAACTAGATGGTACAAAACATTCATTGGTATGCACATAATTCTGTATAGTTTTGTTATTAAATGCTAAATGACAGTGATAACAATGGCTTAAGCTTTACAGTATTCTTGTAGTTCCCTAGTACCACTTAGTATTTAAATATTGTCATATTAGCTTCAGATTATCATGTAAATGACGGTAGAGGAATAAGAGAAAAGGCTTTCATTGGTTATCAGTTTTAAATTCTGAACAAAAGAGACCATACACTGCTCACTACAAGAATGCAATTTTCTAAGAAAATGTAGTTTAAAATGTTATTCTGAATATCTGCCAAAGAATTATATTGTTATTACTAGCTAGAACCAAGATGTTGAAGAAAGCAGTTTCTACATTCTGGATGTAGTAAACAAGCCTGCCTGTGTAATCCAATTATCTCTTCACTAATGAGTAGATAAGGTGCCTGTTATAGATGTTCTGGTATATAAAGAAAAAATGTAGGCCAAGTGTGGTGGCTCACGCATGTAATCCCAGCACTTTGGGAGACCAAGGTGGGTGGATCACTTGAGGTCAGGAGTTTGAGACCAGCCCAGTCAATATGGCGAAACCCCGTCTCTACCAAAAATACAAAAAGTTAGCTGGGTGTGGTGACAGATGTCTGTGGTCCCAGCTACTAAGGAGGCTGAGGCAGGAGAATTGCTTGAAAACCTGCAAGGCGGAGATTGGAGAGAGCCAAGATCGAGCCACTGCACTGTAGCCTGGGCAGCACAGTGAGACTCCATCATATATATATATATAGCACTTCATTACCAGAGGCCTCTTGGCCTGTTGAAAAATGAAACCAAATATTGAAAATTAAATCAGAGTTTAAAGCAGCTATTTTGGAAGAGCTGCCATTAGGTAGAAAGTATCAAAATGTACAAAAGAAAGTTGTATGGGAGTTGAGTGGAAGGTAGGATTTAAGAGCAGCACTGCCCAATAAAACTTCCTATAATGAAAATGTTCTATAATGTATGTTGCCCAGTACAGTAGCCACTAACCACCTGTGATTTGAACACTTGACAATGTGGCTAATGTAATTCGAAAACTGGATTTTAAACTAAATTTACTTAAATAGCCTCATGTGGCTAGTGGCTCATTGGACATTGTAGTTGTAGACGTTTGAGACTGTTGGTTTTAAGTTGGACTTAATCACTTTCCTACCCAAATTCTACCACTCCTTTAAGAACTCCTTTAGAACTCTTTTAGTTCACATAATACGCCATATTTTTTTTACTGTGCCTGTAGTTCTTCAAGGAGTGGTACAATTTGGGTAGGAAAACCAGGCAGGAATTCCAGGGTAGTGTTCAATATTGACATTAGTAATAGTCTATCAATAATAAAATAGACATCTCAATCACTATACAAAATCTCAGAAATGTAAAGCTCTTACAGAGCATGCTTGTGCTTGTGTAACAGCTGGTGTAATGCCTGCATTTTCAGTACCATGTAGCCGCACTGTTAATAGTTTTCTATCACTTTTTAGTTACTCATGTCTCATTAATGATAGTGCCATTAATTGTGATGAGTGTTTTCGATTCATGTGGTCAATAAAAAGAGACTACACAAGCTGGAACTTTGTTGCCATTAGTCAAGCTAGTGAGATAGTATATCTATCTATCTCCCCAGAAGAAAGTAAGATAATTGATGGGGTGTGGATTCAGAAGAGGGATTACTTTTCTTTGAGCCTCAGACTTCTAGACAGTATACTTCAGTCAGTAATGGACCACATATAGAACAGTGTTTCCTTAGTAGACCATATTTTTACTGTACCTTTTCTATATTTAGATACACAAATATTGTGTTACAATTGTCTGCAGTATTCAGCACAGTAACATGCTGTGTAGGTTTGGGACAAAATAGGCTCTACCATCTGGGTTTGTGTAAATACAAGCTGATTTTCACACAAGATTCCCTAACTATGCATTTCTTAGAACGTATCCCCATTGATAAGTGATACGTGACTAATTTACGTGAAATTTATACATTCTTTATCTTTCCTGTTTTTGGTTTATTGATGGTGAGGAAAATTACTCGTTTCAGCTTTTTCATTTTTTTACTCCCCAAATGATTTTCACCTTTTTCTTAAAATGTACAATAAATGCACTGAAAACTTTGATCACTGTCACTACAGTTGTACTTAAGTGTTTTTCTTCGGTTTTTGCTTGCACAGTTTTCATGTCATTGAAGGAAAAATTTATAAATGCTTGAGGAGAATGAGATACATCTTGTATAGGGGAAAGTACAAAAGGTATGGTGGCAAGAGAGAAATCCTTAAAGGGGCACTATAATATGTAAGTGTTAACCTAATTGCCAGCTTTCTCTATGCCATCCTGGACACAGCGATCATATTTTGTTTCAAATAATTTATAAACATTCATTAAAACTTGAGTCATTTGTGATAAAATGGTGTGTGTAAAAGTAATGAAACTAAAATTGGTGTGGGGTGTTAAAAGTTGTAAAATTTTCTTCATCTAAATCATAAAAAGATACACATTCTAGAGGAATTATCTGCCAAAAAAATAACAATTATCAAAGATATTTAAATGTATGGGATGTACTTAAAATCACTTATTCCCCATTTCATGTTTACTAATAAACATATAAACTAAAGTGGGTCAACTAAATAGGGAAGATACAGCAGGCAAGACAAATAGGCTGGGCTTTTATTTTTATCTGCTTGGGCTTTAAGCTTTCCTTCATTCAAGTGACAGATTCTGCCTTTGACGGGATGCTTAAAATCACTATATTAGATCTAAGATCATTTCTAAAACCTGTTTTTTTAATGAACCTAAAGACTTTTCACAGCAGATGAGTACATAAAAATGTTACTGGAATAAGGAATACCATTAAAGCTCTAATATCCAATGTCAAGTTTTATATTAAAATCTTTCCCAAGTTATCTCTGCCAGGGCATTTTGTTGATGTCTTAGTGCAAGATTACCAAAAACTTAGTCAAATTGAACAGGATATTCATTTTCTTCTCCAACTACCAAAACACAGTCTTCATTATAAGGTGATTGGGGTGCGGTTGAAAAAACTGTGGTGAAACGAGAATCAGAATGTTTTTTGTACAGGAACCAAATGATTGCTCCCAAAACTGTCAAAATTACCGTGCTAGCAATCACCAATGCTGATATTAAAATGTGGTTATCTGAAAAGGAAAAGACAAAAGAGTATTTGGGAAATTAGGGTACACAAGTTGCAAGTATATTTTGATGAGCACAACTGTAGTTTTGTGTAAACATTTCTCTGTGTTGAGAATTTCCCACACTGATGAGAAAACCAAAAATTTCGCATTTGTTACTAACAAGATTTATATTTCTTAGCCTGAAGAATAGTACTCAAATTTTCTAGGAAGTTGTGCACTTCTCCACTCTACTGAAGACCCCATAGTGGAAATCACGCAAGTATATACCATGCTCCAGTTTGTCTTCCTTCGCTTTACTTTCTGATCTAAGACTACAAATTCAGACCTACTGTTCCCTTTAGGAATTCTAGTATTTAGATAATGTGTTACATTATTGAGGTTTAATGGTTCACCTGGCTTTGGGGATTTAAGATTTGTTTAACTGAAAAAAACACCAAGACCTGCAGTAAAGTACCTGGTTTTGTGTGTCTTTGCATTCATTCATTCTTTGTGTGTTTCCCTAAATTTCTGTAAGTATGCACAACTTTGCAGTTCTTGCCTATTCAAACCCTTGTAATCTTTCTATAAGAATCCAGTTTAATAAATTGAGGAAAATAACCTGGTTTAGGAGAACAAACATACTTTTGGGCAGGTACTTGTATTATGTATAGTAATCGACTCTAAAGAATGTGAAAACTTTTCAGAATTATTTTGACAGATTTTTTATTATTAAATATATTCATAATACCCATTATTTCAACTGGTGCTTGTTAAAATGAGACCTGGAAGAATTTAAGATTAGTGAGAGAAATTTGGCCAAATTATTTGTTAAAGTGAGGGAGAGCCATTGATACTTTTCAAATATTGACAGGATTTTTTGGGAGGAGTGAGGAAATGGCCCCAAGTGAACTATCTTTTTAATTCTGAAATAAAATTTGGTAGTAAAGATTTGGTAAGGTGTGAGGGTGGATTTGGTGGTGGTATTATTAAAGACATTAAAATGAAAAAAAGCCAAGAATTCCGTAAACTGAGTTCAAATGGGGTTCTTCCATAGTTTTTGGCTACGGCAACCTCCGCCTTCTGGGTGCCAGGGATTCTCATGTGTCAGCCTGGGTAGCTGAGATGACAGGCGCACGCCATGATGTCCAGCTAATTTTTGTATTTTTAGTAGAGACAGTTTTGCCATGTTGCCCAGGTTGGTCCGAAACCCCTGGCTTCAAGTGATCTGCCCCCCTCGGCCTCCCAGAGTGCTGGGATTACAGGTGTGGGCCACCGTGCCCAGCCCCGTAGTTAGTTTTATTAGAATTAACATAGTCCATTTTCAGTGTAGAACCTCAACTTTACCAGTGTGAACACACTTTATTTCAGTGTACTAATGATTGTACAATAATGGCTTCATAATCGGTAGCATCTACTTTAAATAGGAATTACATGATAGTAATATAGAAAAGTCTGAAAGATCATAGTAATTGAGAAATATTTACAGACTCAATCATAATAGCTTTAAAAGACCGGGTATCCTAAGAACTGGACAGTGTCCAAGATGGGCGAGACACAGTAAGTATATATGCTGCTTTTCACATTCTGCAAGTGACCTTTAGCCAAAGTTGCCTCCAGGGGTTTTAGTTAGCTAGCTGCATACTACTAAAATGTGTGACAAAGTCAATTGTCAAGGCAACTGATAAGCAGTGTATTAAAACAATGTGTAGTTTATATCTGGAGGTTAGGATAGTTTTACATTAGGAAATGTATTATCTACCTCATTAATTAAAGGAAAGGTCCATTGCTTGCTTGACAGCATATAATAGCTATTTACCATGAAATCCTGTTTTTTTTAAAGAAACAAAATTTAGGAAAAATACTTTTTAGCCTAACAATGTTCCTTACTTGAGGAAACAGCAAACACTGAAACAAGCTCACTTTTTCATTTCTTAAGCCCATTTAATCCATTTTCTCAACATTTCTTCAGAAATTTCTGTGGCAGAGGTCACCAATGATCTCTTTATGACTACATGCTTAAACACGTGGATGTTTTAGTTCATCCTGGGGCAACTAGATTGTTAGCCGTCCAGCCTTGAAGTTATCTCCTACTCACTTGGCTTCCCTGACTGCTCTATTTTTCAGACGACTGCTTCCTAGTCATCTTTGTGGACTCAAAGCTTTCCATGGTTGATCTCAACCATTCAAGTCTTTTATGTAAATCCATAGATAAATATGTGTGTGTAGCCCTACTTCCAAATTTCTTCTAACCTGAATTCCTGCAAATAAATAGCCACTGTCCAGTCAACCAATCTGGAAATTTATAGACTTCCTCTCTATAAATTGTGAAGACTACACATTTTTCTTCTGTTTCCTATTTATCTATCTGACTGCTACCTTAACGCTCTAGTTCTAACACTGATCATCTGAGGCCCGAACTATACATAATCCACCTCAAAAACTATATGAAACATTTTGTTAGGCTGTAGCCTCAGGTGAGAGTGCCAACTGTGCATTTAATTCTGAGGCACAGGGTTTAAATGACTTGCCCAAGTCCATTTAGTAAGTGACAGCAAAAATTCAACCCTTCACCTTGGTCCTGATTTGTCACCTCAGATAACCTGTCCTCTGTCTCCTGCCTGATGTCTACTTATCCTTGAAGATTTAACTCCTGCATCCTCTCCAGTAACCTTTGCTGAACCCAGCTTGGACTAACTTGACCTTTCCTGTGTGCTTGCCACACTAGGTGCATCCGACTATGGACACCTTAATTCTGTTGAAAGTATTCTTCCCAAGGGAGTCTTCCAGCTTACCCTTGGTATGAAGGGGAACTCCCTGTTTGCCAAGATGGCAGCTACACTTAACTGTTGGGTTGTTTCCTTGCTGCTTCAACTCCATGTTCTCTACTGTTTTACTCCTTAAAGTCAGACTAAGCCTAATCCCTATCTACATGACAGGCTTTCACTTTGACTTTAGGTCTTCATTATGCAAAATCATGGCCTTATTAAATGAGGCCTTCCCTGGCCACTGTACTAAAAATAAAAATAAAGTGCAACACCTCCCTTCTTGCACTGGAATTCATCCTTATCTGCCTGTTTTCCCTATAGGATGTGTCACCATCTCACATAGTTTTGTTTTACCCTTCCCACTAGAATGTATGCTTGAGAGCAGAGGCTTTTGTTTTGTTCATTGCTCTGTCTTCAATGTCTAACTTTAGGAGAAAGCCTGACACATAGTGTTTACTCACTAAATTACATACACATATTTAATACAGATTTACATGCACATATATACATGCATACATGTAATGAATTCAGAGATTACTTTTCTTGTAGTCTGAAGACCATATGTTGCCAGATCTTTCAACTATTCGTTTTTGAAGCCACAGACCTATTTTTTTCTAAATGTTCCAACTTATGTGTATCTTTATTTTTTCCAAAGTAATACATTTACGTAGCTTAAAAGTCATAGTTCTAGAAGATACGTAGTGAAAATACTGTGCTCCTGCTCCACTACTCACCTGAACATCCATTCCTTAAAGTTAACTACTACTGTTGCTTCAGCTATTTATCTGTCTCCATGTCTAAATAACATGCTTCCGCTGCTTGATTTTTTAAAAATGTAATTTAAAGAAATACATGTAACAAATACCATCTTAGGTGTGCAGTAGCATTAAGTACATTCACTTCGTTGTGCTACATCACCACCATCCATTCACAGAACAACTCATTTTGTAAAATGGAAACTGTACCTATTAAACTCCCATTTCTTCCTGACCTAACCCTTGGCAAAGAGTTTCTTGGTGAGGTTGACTACTTTAGGTACCTCATACTATAGGTAAGAATTATACAGAATTTGGCCTTTTATGACTGGCTTATTTTTCTTTTTTTTTTGTGGTGGTTTTGTTTTGTTTTGTTTTAGATGGAGGCTTGCTCTGTCTCGCCCAGGCTGGAGTGCAGTGGAGTGATCCCGGCTCACTGCAGCCTCTGCCTCCGGGTTTCAACTTTTTTTTTTTTTTTTTTAAAGTAGAGTCGGGATTTCGCCATGTTGGCCAGGCTGGTCTCAAACTCCTGACCTCAGGTGATCCACCGGTCTCAGCCTCCCAAAGTGCTGGGATTACAGGCGTGAGCCACTGCGCCCGGCCTGTGCCTGGCTTATTTTGTTTAGCCTAATGTCCTTCAGGTTTATGCATGTTGTAGCACGTGTCAGAATTTTCTTCTCTTTTAAGGCTAAATGATACTCAGTTGTATGTGCAGATTACATTTTGTTTATCCCTTCATCAGTGGACACTTGGGTTGCTTCCACCTTTTGGCTATGGCAAATGATGCTATGAACATAGATACACAAATATCAAACAGATGGGTGTACGGATATTAAAGAGTCCTTGCTTTCAGTTATTTGGGATACATACTCAGAATTGCTGGATCATACGGTAATTCTTTTAATAATTTTTTTTGAAGAACCACCACACTGTTTTTCACAGAGGCTGCACCATTTTACATTCCTACCACAAGAGTTCCAATTGCTGCATATCCACACTAATGCTTGTTATTTATTGTCTTCTTCCTATAGATTAATGAGGATGTAATTCCTGTATACACACAAACCCAACACTTCTTTTCTCCTCCTCTGTCATAGTTCTATCGTAGTAACCCCCAAATAGAAAACTGGCAAAGGACTCACATCCAATTTTTTTTTTTTTTTTTTTTTTTTTGTGAGATGGAGTCACTCTGTCGCCGAGGCTGGAGGGCAGTGGCGTGATCTCGGCTCACTGCAACCTCCGCCTCCCAAATTCATGCAATTCTCCCTGCCTCAACCTCCCAAGTAGCCGGGATTACAGGCGCCCGCCACCGTGCCCGGCTAAGTTTTGTATTATTTAGCCCGGCCCATATCCAAATTTAAAGAAACAAAATTTGTTTTAAAAATTCCTACCAAAAATATAGGCAACTCAAAAAAAATATGGGTGGCTGGGCATGGCGGCCCAACGCCTGTAATCTCAGCACTTTGGGAGGCTGAGGCGGGTGGATCCTTTGAACCCAGGAGTTTGAGACTAGCCTGGGTAACATGGTGAAACTCCATCTGTACAAAAAAAGTTAGCTGGGCATGGCGGCCCACACCTGTAGTCCCAGCTACTTGGGAGGCTGAGGTGGAAGTATCGCTTGAGCCCAGGAGGTCAAGACTGCGGTGAGTCAAGCTCACACCACTGCACTCCGCAAATGGGTAAAAGCCTTTTCACAAAAGATATACAAATAAATAATCATCTGAAAGGTGCTCAACATCATTATCAGGTAAATGAAAATTAAAGCCACAAGAAGATCACTACACACCTGATCTGAATGGCTAAAAATAAATTGACAATACCATCATGGGATGAACATGGAGCAAATGGAACTTGGACGCACTGCCAGTAGTAACATGATTCAAGCATTTTGAAAAATTATTTGGTGGTTTCTAATAAATCTAAATATATATACTTGCCCTATGACCCAGCTTTCTACTTTCTAGAATATACTCAAAGAAAATGAGAACATAGGTCCAAAAGAAGATGTGGGAGAATGTTCATAGGCAGTTCTATTCAAATTAGTTTAAAACTAGAAGTGATCCAAATATCCATAAACAAGAGAATGGACAATATATGATATATTTATAAAGTATTATGACACTTAGGGAAAAAATTCAGTGAATGTGCACAACACAGATGAATCTAAAAAAATATTCCCGAGTAAAAGAAGCCAGACAAAACTACATATTGTAGAATATATTTAAAATGTTGAGTCTTATTACTAAGAGACCTTTCTACATTCTTATAAAAATTGTTCTACTTTATATTACATAATTTTAAAAAGGGATCTGTAATGTATTTTAATATGCCAGAATTTTGATATATTTTTAATTGTGGGAAAAATTTAAAGACCAAATCATTACTTACCTGATAAATATTTCCTTTTGTATGGGACTAAAATACAAAAGAAAATAAAAATTAGAATTTAATTATGCTTTATTATAGGATTGACTTTAAACATGTTCACAATCATTAAAAATAAACCCTTTTATTAGTAGCTTAATATCAATATATTCATAGCCTAAAATCCATATTTCTTTGCCTCATTAGTTGTCTCTGTTGTCTATTTTGAACTTAGTTTTTAAAGAAAGATGTAGAGGGCTAACAACATGCATTAGCTTGGTTGGTGGAAAAGAATACGGGATCTTGAGGAAAAGACAATAATGAGGTAAAGGAAAAAAGAGGATTCTGGTTGGAGAGTCTAGAAAACAAATGTCATAAAATTAAACAACTGTGACCCTAACTACCTTAGTATGGATGTACTCACTATTTCTGATGTTTTGAAGTTATAGTTTAATTAAAAACTTTGTTTATGTAATGGCACCCTGAGGTGCAGAACCTGAAAAGAACCAATTTTTTAAAAAACAAATATTTGAAGTTGAATACTGCTACCATAAAACTATGACGAACATTTTGATAATCACTGTAAAACTAACAGTAGTCAAGGATCCTGCTGTAGCAAGTAAAGAAATGTACATACTTCCATATGTAAAGAAAGGAAATAAAGCAGGATGTGGAGTTTTGGTTTACAGTTGAAGTAGAAGGGGAAAATACTGAGGATGCAAAATGGGGAAATGGTTGTTTATATCATGTTTTAAGCACCCTAAATTCATATTTTGAAACATTAAAAAAACTAAAAACTTTTTTTGTAGAGATGGTGGTCTTGCTATGTTGACCCAGGCTGCCTCAGCCTCAAAAAGTGCTGGGATTACAAGCATGAGCCACTGTACCCAGCCCACATTTTGAAAATTTAATTTTCTTTAATGAGAAAACAGTTACTTTCTAAAACTTAGAATAACAAACTGTGTAGTGTTTTAACAAATAACATCAAAATACTGTTGTGGGCCAGGATAACTTCTGTTCATTAAAAAACCTTCTGGGCCGGGCACAGTGGCTCACGTCTGTAATCCTAACACTTTGGGAGGCTGAGGTGGGCAGATCACAAGGTCAGGAGTTCGAGACCAGCCTGGCCAATATGGTGAAACCCCATCTCTACTAAAAAATACAAAAATTAGCCGGGCATGGTGGCGGGTGCCTGTAGTCCCAGCTACTTGGGAGGCTGAGGCAGGAGAATCGCTTGAAGCCAGGAGGCAGAGGTTGCAGTGAGCCAAGATCGCGCCACCGCACTCCAGCCTGGGCGACAGAGAGAGACTGCATCGCAAAAAAAAAAAAAAAAAAAAAAAAAACCTTCTGACGGGTCAGAAGAAAACATTTTAATTCCAAATAAATTATAAACTATGATGTAGTTTTTGTTTGCCTAAACAAAGGATGTTCTTATGGAGAATCTAATTCCTTGTAAAGTAACACGAGAATTCTGGAATTATACATGATTACTCTTCACCACTTCTGCTCACTCAAATCACATGCAAAGAGATTATAATAATTCCTCTGAACAAGAAATTTTTGACCTCTTGGAAACACTAAGCAGACAGAATAAAAGTATGCCTATTTCATGTGATCTGGCCTTACCTCCTAAATGTAAGAGAATTACAATTTGAGTTCCAAGAGACTTAAGAGCAAACCATCCTATTAATATATTCTGAAGTCTTATTCCCTCTATTTTTTTTTTTCTTTTTGAGACAGAGTGTTGCTCTGTTGCCCAGGCTTACTGCAGCCTCAACCTCCCAGGCTCAATTGATCCTCCCACCTCAGGCTCCCATGTATTTCGGACCGCAGGTGCACGCCACCATGCCCAGCTGATTTTTGTATTTTTTGTAGAGATGAGTTTTCGCCATGTTGCTCAAGCTGGTCTTCAACTCCTGCGCTCAAGCAATCCAGTGCCTCAGTTTACCATAATGCTGGGATTGCAGGCGTGAGCCACTGTGCCTAGCCTTATTCTATTTATTGAGGCACACTTATCTCAAAATTATTTTAAAACCAGTCCTACTTTCTCTGCCCCTTCTAGAATGGAAAAACACCTTCGGTCATACTTACTAGCTGTTTTGCATAGTGTTCCTTCCACAGAAGAAACTTCACAATTTCCTTTTTTCCATTCACCTGTCTTGATGTGCAGAAAAGCACAGGTGTCAACTAAATCCTCATCATCATCTTGGTCTGTCCACTTATCAAATGTCATATTTGAATTATCAAACCACTTGAAACTCGCATCTGTCAATTAAGGAATATTTTCAACATTATGACAGTTTTAAAAGGAGTTCAAGCCAAAAAGGGTGTAGGATTAAAGGT
The DNA here is from genome assembly GCF_000001405.40 of Homo sapiens. Classification (NCBI taxonomy): domain Eukaryota; kingdom Metazoa; phylum Chordata; class Mammalia; order Primates; family Hominidae; genus Homo; species Homo sapiens. The sequence goes on from NC_000002.12 coordinate 159,780,257, forward strand.
GGAAAGTTACTAAGGTATGTCTGGTCTAAACTTCTGATTGTAGGATTAAAATTAGAAGGAGGAATATATCCTGTGTACAGCCAAATCATCAAAAGCTATCGATTTAAGAGGTTTCTGAAGATGATCCAATTTTCGCAAAAATATATACATGTATAATATTCTCATGGGAAAAAAGTCAAGAAAAATAGTTAAATATTAATAGTAACCTTAGTAATTTCATTTCATTTGAAAATGTTTACATATGTACTTTTATATTTGTACATATGTACTTTGTCTACAGTAATGATAAATATGTTTATATAATAGAACCGTGATAATTTAGTCTATCCTTAGCCTATTAGTTGCAGACACTAATACTTACCTTTATGATCATGCTATATTACAAAAATACTGAGCCTTAGAGCCACATTTTAATCCAGACAAGAATCAACTGTGGCTTTCATCTGTGTAACTCATTGAGCTATGCAGATACAAGCTGTGGTATGATCATAGGTGCACACTGAAAATTTAACACCTGGAGGCCACAGGAATCATCAACTTGAACCAGAGAATTGAAAAGCCATCAGTTTTGCTACATTAAAAAAAGAACAACAAAGTCACGTCCCACGAGGTAAATATCACTTACCATCTGTGTCATAAAACATGCCTAGTAGGATATCATCTGGGCCTTTCCATTGCTTTTTCAAAGTATCCAGTATAAAAGCATTTTCTTCTTCATTATGTATGCTTATCATGTCCGCTCCTGAAATTATTTTAAAGAGAAAAAAAGTCAGCATATTCCAGAATCAGTGAAAATCACTAGGTACATAAAAATAATAAATAGTTGCTTAACTTTCTATATATATTAGAGCTGGACAATAAACTTTGATCTTACAGTTCATACAAGCTAATAAGGTTACAGGGACATGTCTTGGCTCTCAGCCTCTAATATGATTTATGTCATTGAAATTATGTTTATGTCTCAGTATACTTTACATAATTTTTTTTAAGGGATGGAAAATAGTTGTAGGGGCTGGGCGTGGTGGCTCATGCCTGTAATCCCAGCACTTTGGGAGGCTGAGGCGGGTGGATCACCTGAGGTCAGGAGTTTGAGACCAGCCTGGCCAACATGACGAAATCCTGTCCCTACCAAAAAAAAATAAAATAAAATAAAATTAGTTGGGTCTGGTGGCACCCACCTGTAATCCCAGCTACTCAGGAGGCTGAGGCAGGAGAATTGCTTGAACCCAGGAGGTAGAGGTTGCAATGAGCTGAGATCACACCACTGCACTCCAGCCTGGGCAACAGACTGAGACTCCATTAAAAAAAAAAAAGGGAAAGAAAGAAAGAACAAATGAAAAGAGAGAGAAAGAAAGAAAAGAGGAAGAAGAAAAAGGAAGAAAGGAAAGAAAATAGTTGCAGGGGAAAACTTGTTTTAAAAATATTCTAAGACCAGCAAAATTGCTATTATTTTATTTCAACTGCCTTGAAATAAAACCATATTGGCATGTTGGAAATTTCGTCTTGTTTTCACAGAGCCAATGTTCATGTAAGACTTTTTCAAAGGGAAACAACATATATGTATTAAGTACTATGTGGCGCTTTAATAAGATTAATAACTTTGGTGTTTACATTTATTCCTTCTATAATAAATGTATATGATTTTGATTAAGGTATCCCTAGTACAATTTGATACATTCTTCCAAATGTTATTGTTGAAGAATATAACAGTAATAAAAAGCACCTTTAGGCTGGGCATGGTGGCTCACACCTGTAATCCCAGCACTTTGGGAGGCTGAGGCAGGTGGATTGCCTGACCTCAGGAGTTCGGCACCAGCCTGGTTAACGTGGTGAAACCTTGTTTCTACTAAAAATACAAAAAATTAGCCAGGTGTGGTGATGCACCCCTGTAATCTCAGCTACTCGGGAGGCTGAGGCAGGAGAATCACTTGATCCTGATCACAAGGTCAGGAGACGAGACCATCCTGGCCAACAGTGAAACCCCGTCTCTACTAAAAACACAAAAAATTAGCCGGGCCTATTGGTGGGCGCTGGTAATCCCAGCTACTCGGGAGGCTGAGGCAGGAGAATGGCGTGAACCCGGGAGGCGCAGCTTGCAGTGAGCCGAGATCACGCCACTGCACTCCAGCCTAGGCGACAGAGCGAGACTCCATCTCACAAAAAAAAAAAAAAAAAAAAAAAAAGACATTTTTTTGGCTGGATGCAGTGGCTCACACCTGTAATCCCAGCACCTTGGAAGGCCAAGGTGAGAGGATCACTTGAGGCCAAGAGTTTCAGACCAGCCTGGGCAACATAGTGAAACCCTGTCTCTACAAACAAACAGATAAAATAGCTAGCGCACGCCTGTAGTCCTGTCTATTCAGGGGGCTGACATGGGAGGATCACTTGAACCCAGGAGTTCAAGGCTGTAGTGAGCTATGATCATGCCACTGCACTCAAGCCTGGGGGACACAGCAAGACCCTGTCTCAAAAAAAAAAAAAAAGACACTTCAAATATTTTACAATGTGATGTTATAAATCTATTTCCTAGAGAACACTGAGTGTATGGTCTAGCAAATAGCCTTTTTATAATTTTTCCTTAATGTACTCTTCTTTACTACAGTCTTACTTCATGGTCCTATGTAATCTGACTTCAGCACTTTCCAGGCAGAATAACTAAGTGATTAAGAACTCTAAGCCTAAAATCCAACAGATCTGGGTTAAAATCCTGGCTTTGTCAATTATTTCCTGTGTAAGCTTGAACAAATAACTGAAGTTAATTTCATCTCTCAATAAAATGATAATAATACACTACTTGATAGGTTTGTTATGATAAAGCCAGGTAAAGTATATGAGGTGCTTAAGCACAGTGCCTGGCACAGGATATGCATGTTAAATAGACCCTGCTTTGGACAATATTGTCCAACAACTGTCTTCCAACTCCAGGATTAAATATATACCCAATTCCACTGCCTGTAGCTTGTGTGTTGTCAAATAAAAGTTGTACATTAAATCTCAGGACCCAGTTAAAAGTCAGATGTGACAAAATCAATTTTTAAAGAAATTAATGAACACTGTTCACTAATTTGTGAAAAAACAAACAGAAAAGAATAAGCCTTTTACCATGGTCAGTACACTGATTTCTGACATCCTCTATGCTTTCTACTTTGATGGCTTCTTGGAGAAAAATGTAACAACTGTCTTGGAACTGAATCCAAGTAGATGAAGGACAGTCTATGTAGAAAAAAGAAGAACACTGTTAAATAACTTGAGAAAAAGAATTACATGAATTCCCAAAGATAAGGATATTAGATACTAAATTTTCACACACACACAAAGGCAATTTCCTTTGTTAAATCTTTATTAAAATAAGAAATCAACCAGTGTAACAGGAATTTGTTTCTCTCCATTATTCATACGGGAAAAGAGAAATGTGCCAATGATTCTCTTCTGACTTTACAGAGCAAAGATACAAGTTTTTAGGTTGTTTAGGAATTCAGACATGTAAATTAGTGTTATCACCAAGGCAACAAACTATCTAGAAGACAGCCAATCAGGATTACACACTTCTCTTTGAAGGTTATCTTTGCAGTATTTAACAATTTCAAAAGTCTTAAGACTTTTACAAGGCCCTGTTGTTCAAATTATACCTCCAAGAACAGAGAAAAGAAAAACAAGTTGCTAGCCTATAAATATTCACACAAGTTTTCATATTGCACAGGAAAACAAGATTGATGTTCTTATGAATGTTCTTAATTTAACACCTCATCAAAGTAGATTATTTGAGGTAGTTCAATGAAATAGAACCATAACTCTTCCTCTACTGCTCTAAAGGGACATCTCCTTCACCTCTATCTTAGTCTCTTTTTATTATAAAGATTTGCATTTTTAAGCCTAGGCTCTAGAATTTAATTGGTTAGTATTAAAAGCAAAAGTAACCCTGCAAGAGTTGATTTCACTGGCCAAAATGGAAAGAGAATTTTACTTAATTCCAGTGAATAAAGAAGTACAAAGCAGTAAGCGTCCATATTCTGTTAGGTTTGTATATAGGTAAAAATCTTAGTGATTTCATCTATATAAATATGTAGCAATTTTATGTTTTAAGTTCTGCTTTTTTTTTTTTTTTTTTTTTTTTTTTGAGACAAGATCTTGTACTGTCGTCCTGGCTGGAGTGCAGTGGCGCGATCTCAGCTCACTGCAGCCTCTGCCTCCTGGGCTCAAGGGATCCTCCCACCTCAGCGTTCCGTGTAGCTGGGACTGCAGGTATGTGCCACCATGCCCGGCTAACTTTTGTATTTTTTGTAGAGACAAGGTTTCGCCACGTTGCCCAGGCTGGTCTCAAACTCCTAAGCACAAGCGATCCACCCGCCTTGGTCTCTTAAACTGCTGGAATAACAGGTGTGAGCCACCACGCCAGGCCTAAGTTCTGCATTACCTTTTTAATATAAACAAGTAGAAGCAAGCCCTACCACAAAGATCAGAATTTACCAATCAGCTACATTAATCTAAATTAATTCAACACTCTCAAGTTTACTAAGCTCAGAATATGGCAGAGAGCATTGGTTGTCCCCAGTACTGACCTCAGCTTCTTATATAGCACAGAGCACATGGCCACCAAGCTAGATTGCTTCGCAGTCTTATAACTTCTGGATAATTAGGGTTTAGCAGAAGTGGAATGTTCAACATAGCGGTCTTGCCTTTAAAAGGAAGCAGTGTGCTCCCTGTATCCGTACAGACTTTTTTTTTTTTTTTTTTTTGAGACAGAGTCTTACTCTGTCACCCAGGCTAGAGTGCAGTGGCATGACCTTGGCTCACTGCAACCTCCGCCTCCCAGGCTCAAGTGATTCTTGTGCCTCCGCCTCCTGAGTAGCTGGGATTACAGGTACACAACACTACACCCGGCTAATTTTTTAATTTTTTTGTAGAGACAAGGTCTTGCTATGTTGCCCAGGCTGCTCTGGAACTCCTGGGCTCAGCAATTCTCCCACCTTGGGCTTCCGAAGTGCTGGGATTACAAGTGAGAGCCACTGTGCCCCACCTATAATTTATTTTATATCCAAATTTTTTTTCCTTCCAGCTGTTTTATGAGCACTTGAATTACACATATGACTACCTTGGGTTTAACTCTGGCAGGAATCTAGAACTCTCCCACAATGCTGGCTTAAAGATACGGTTGTTTTGCAACAAGCAGTTTGCTTTGGGAAAATGTTCATTATGAAACATTAAAACAATCTGGCTATAAAATTACATGATACCAACATTTACAAAGCAAAGAAGTCCAGAACAGAGTCAGGAATTGGAGACGCCAGACAGCTTTGTAGGAGGAAGGTCTGAAAACAAGACACTTGGTTGAAAGTCTGTATATGGAGCAGGTAGATCCTTTCCCTGAGAAACAGCACTCAGTCGTCTCAGGTTCATTATACATTTCTGCCACCTTCTTTGAAAATCTGGCCTTTATTCAGAGAAAAGACTCTTCTTCCTTCAAATCCACTTCCAGGCCATCAAACATTATTCTCTGTCTGCTCATCCTTTGAGGCTCAGGCCATCTATACCACCTTCTCCAAGACATCCCCACTAGAATTGATTGTGACTGTTGCATGTAACCACACACCATCCAATGGCAGTGTAAAGTACCAGCAGGAACACGGCTTTAACGTCAGACAGACTTATGTTTTTATCTTGGTGGTGAGACCTTGGAAAACTTATATTATTTCCTGTGTTTCATCAGGAAAAGGGAGATAACATCTACCTCATTGGATTGTTGTAAATATCAGGTAAGATACTGCAAACCTGCACAGCACAGTGTCTCGTACAAGGAAAGTATTAAAAATATGTAGTTTTTACAGACATCATCATTGGCATCTTTTGCTCCTGGACAGTGACCACTCTAAAAATAGGGACTAAGCCTTATTAATTTTTGGATTCCTAACACCTCAGATAGCTCTTGGATTATAATAGGGACTTAAAATATTCAGCTGAATGAATGAATCCTCTTATTTGTCCTTAAGTAGCTTAATTTATCATCTCTTCAGCATCTTCAAACACTCCCTTTCCCTGTGGGTTCAACCTTTCCTTCTTGAAGCATGTTGTCTTTTTCTTTTTTTTTTTTTTTTTTTGAGACAGAGTCTCACTCTGTCGCCCAGGCTGGAGGGCAGTGGCGCGATCTCAGCTCAATGCAACCTCTGCCTCCTGGGTTCAAGTGATTCTCCTGCCTCAGCCTCCCCAATAGCTGGGATTACAGGCTCCCGCCACCACACCCAGCTAATTTTTGTATTTTTAGTAGAGACAGGGTTTCACCATGTTGGTTAGGCTGGTCTTGAACTCCTGACCTCTGGTGATTGGGCCACCTTGGCCTCCCAAAGTGCTGGGATTACAGGCATGAGCCACTGCGCCCGGCCAAGTTTCTTACATACTAAAATATAACTGAATTGACCTTGCTGCCAATTCTAATACCTTTCCTGATACACTTTTTAAAAACTAAACTTTTTATTCAAATAAAACATACATGCAATGCACAAGTCATAAATATACAGGTTGGTGAATTTTTTTCTTTTTTCTTTTATTTTTTGGTGAATTTTTTATAAAGTAAACATACCCATATAATTATCAGAGGAATGAGGAACAGAACATTAACCCCTTTTGCTCACCATCCCTTCCAAAGGTCATCTCTAACCTAACTTCTAACACCATCGATTAGTTTTGCCTGTTTTTGAACTTTATAGTTATGGAATCATACATTGTGTACTCTTTTGTGTCTGGCTTCTTTTGATAAATGTTACTTTAAAAATCATTTTATTTAAGACTTATCTAAGAACTTATTCATTCTTCTGTTGATGAATATTTGGGTAGTTTCTAGTTTGTGGCCATTGTAATGCTGCTTTAAACATTCTATGCATACTTCTTGTGAGTACCTTTGTAGAAGTAGATTGCTGGGGCCATCGAGTATGCATGTGCCCAGCTTTCACAGATACTGCCAAACACTTTTTCTAAGTAGTTATAATTCTTGCAAGCAGCAAGTAGTTTTTTTTTAAATCCAGCTTGATCACCTTTGTCTTTTAATTGAAGTATTTCCAGTAATACTTAATGTAGTTACGATGAATTGGAGTTTATATCTACCATCTTAATATTTGTTTTTCATTTGTCCTACTTATTTTATGTTCCTTTTTTCTCATTTATTGTCTTTTTTGTATTAAACATTTTATATTTGATCCTTTTTCTTTTAGCTTGTTAATTATATATTCTTTAATTTTTTTTCTGTAGTAGCTACCCTGAAAATTATAATATGTGACCTTGATTTATTAATACCTCAAATAAATCAGTACTTTTACCACTTCCTAGGCAGTCCTAGAAACATACAATATTTTAATTTCATTGGCTTCCTTTCCTTTATCTTATTGTTTTATTACTGTTTTGCCTGGCCGGTGTTCTTTTAGATTTAAATACATATTTACCCTCTCTGTTGCTCTTCATTCCTTCTCGCATTTCTGTATTACTGACTGGGATAATTTTCCATTTGCCTAAAGAAATCTCTTTGGTGTTTCTTTAAGTGCAGGTCTACTGGAAACTCCCTCAGTTCTTGATACTCTATAAATGTCTCCACCAGGCACAGTGGCTCACGCCTGTAATCCCAGCACCGAGGTGGGTGGATCACCTGAGGTCAGGAATTTGAGACCAGCCTGGCCAACATGGTGAAAACCTGTCTCTACTAAAAAATACAAAAAATTAGCTGGGTGTGGTGGCGGGTGCCTGTAATCCCAGCTATTGGGGAGCCTGAGGCAGGAGAATCACTTGAACCCAGGAGGCGGAGGTTGCAGTGAGCCAAGATTGCACCACTGCACTCCAGCCTGACAACAGAGTGAGACTCCGTCTCAAAAAAAAAAAAAGAAAAAGAAAAAAGGTCTTTATACTGTCTTCATGTTTGATGGCTATCTTTGCAAATACAGAATTGTAGAATGGCAGCTTATCTTTCATTTAAGATGTACATAGTCATGCACCATATAATGACATCTTGGTCAATGATAGACTATATATGGCAGGGTTCCCATGAGGTTATAATACCATTATTTTTACTGTGCTTTTGCTATGTTTAGAAACACAAATACTTATGTTGTGCTACAATTGCCTACAGTATTCAGTATAGCAACATGCCATACAGGTTCCGCAAGTTACTGCAGAGCAATAGGCTCCAGCACGTGGCCTAGGTGTGTAGTAGGCATACCATCTAGGTTTGTGTAAGTACACTCTACGATGTTTGCACAATGACAAAATTGCCTAATGAAAAATTGCATTTCTCAAAATGTATCCCTGTTGTTAATTAAGCAATGAATCACTATAGTTTTGTTGCTTGGGCTTCCATCATTTCTACTGAGAAGTTAACTGTCAGTCTCACTGTTGCTTTTTGGACAGTAATGTGCTTTTCCCCCTTCTTGCTGCTTTCAAGATTTTCTTTGTCTTCGGTTTTTAGCAGTTTTACAGTGGCATGCTGTTGTTTTAGTGTTTTTAAATCCTGCTAAGAATTCAATGCACTTTCTGAATCTGTGGCTTATTTTCATTGGTCACTTTTGAAAAGTTCTTGGCCATTATCATTTCAGATGCTACTTTTGCTCCATTCTCTCTCTCTTCCCTTTCTGGGACCAAAATTACATCTATGTTAGACTTTTTACCATGTCCTGTATATCCTTTTGCTCTTTTCAATACTGTTAATACTCTCCATAATATAATCTCATTCTTCCTGGTTTATTAATGCACTCTTAAGTTGTAACTTAACTGGGGTAAGGGTAACTCCAATTTTTTTTTTTTTAAGACAAGATCTCTCTCTGTCACCCAGGCTGGGGTACAATGGCATGGTCATAGCTCATTGCAGCCTTGAACTCCTGGGCTCAGGTGATCCTCCCACCTCAGCCTCCTGAGTAGACAGGATGGCTAATTTGTTTGATTTTTTTTTTTGTAGAGACAGGGGTGTCACTATATTGCCCAGGCTGGTCTTGAACTCTTGGTCTCAAGCAATCCTCCTACCTTGGCCTCCCAAAGTGCTGGGATTACAGGCGTGAGTCACTGTGCCCAGCCTACTTCAGTTTTTCATGCTGTTAAACCCCATCTATTGAGTTTATAATGTCAGTGATTTTTCAGTTATAGAATTTCAACTTGATTATATTTTTAAAATTTCAATTTGATTATATTTTAAAATTCTCAATCTTAGTATTTATATTCTTTAACTTATCGTAGTTATTTTGAAGTCCATTTCTGAAAACTCTAATTTCTAGGTCAGTTATTAGTCTGTTCTCTACTCTCCTACCCTGCACCCTCACACCCCCTTAGGCCTGTTTTTTTTTTTTGTTCTGTCTGGTAGTTTTCTATCAAATGCCAAACACTGTGTATGAAAAATTGTAGTAACTCTAAATGATGTTATCTTCCTTTAGAAAGGATTCTGATCAGCAGGGACTGAGTCTATGTGAAGAGGTGTTCTAGACTTTGTAGACTTTTGATCCGTAGGGATTGCCAGTTGAAAGCCTGGATATTAACTAGAGCCACCTCCTCTTTGGTGAGCTAAGACTCATGTTTTTTCTTTCCTCAACACTATGAGATTGCCAAAAACTCTGCTCTGCTTTTAGCTATTTAAGATTTTACCAGCTCTCCTAAGGAGAAAAGTAATACACAGACTGTTGGGCTCACCTCAGCAAACTGCCTTAGCAGCTCTCTGATGCCAGCAAATACGATTCTTATGGAATTTAATCTAGATTTTCTAGTTGTTCTTAATGGGAGTGTTAGTCTCCTACTCCATGATAGCCAGATGCAAAATTCCATCTTTTATACTTTTCAACAAGTTGTCAACAGTTGGTCACCCATCTACCCATCATCCATATCAGACATTTGCTGAGCAACTCCTATGTGTTAGGTATAATGCTTAGTGTTAAGGGGTGATGAGAAAAAGAGTAAAAGTCTTCTACACTTGAAGTGGTCAGTCTGATGGAAGAGTCGGACAGACAAACAGATATTCCGAAGGTAGGATAGGTAAAATGCTATGAGATGTAGGAGAAGGAGAGTATAACTTTGTAGAATAAGTGAGCATTTCAAAAAGTAGGCAATATTTAAGCTACAGCTCACTGGATAAATAGGAAGTTGCCACGGATAAAAGGAAAAAGAAAAAAAAAATCCAGGCAGAGGGCATATGATAAAAAGCACAGTTACAGGTACCTAGTAAGGTCTCCATAAATATTCATTGAATGAGTGAACTAGGATAAAAAGGCAGGTTTCTTCCCTCCTTCCCCTCTCTGCTGCCAGAGACATGACAGAGGACACAGAAGTCATTTCCAGAATAAAACTCAAACTGAAAGTCAAAAGGGCAGAGGCTCTAAATTGCAAATTTTGATTATTCTTTCTCTTCTTTTTTCCCTTTTTACTTTCTTCTGGTTCCTTTTATTGCTCTTTTTCTTTTACCTTATGGAATTTTAAAAAAGTGAAATGGAACTGCATTACCACACTGAATGACACCTGAAACACTTTTATAAATCATTGGCAATTATTGAACCACAGGTTCAGAAATGCACTTTTGTATTATTTCTAGTCAAAACTACAGATAGTGTTTTCTACTTATAACAAATAACTCGACAATATATAAAAATGAATTAATTTTTGAAACACCATTTATATAAAATAAAATGTCTAATAAGTCCACAAAAATATAATCAACACTCAAGTCAAGCACTTATAGTTCTTTTTTTCATCTTTTGCTCCTGGCATGCTGTGAAAACATGTAGTTCTTATACTTTATAAATTAAAACGATCTGAAGATATGATCTCTAAAACACTGATTAAGGTATATTCTTATTTCAGTGGCAGCTCATGTGTCAATTCTCCATGAAGTGTCTCAGCCTTATCTTCCTCTAACCTGTGACTCCTTTGAACATCTGTAGGACTTTTAAACTGCATTATGCATGAGAGACCTTTTCTGGCAACAAGGACTAAAGACATGCTCAGGCTACCAGATGATAGATTTATTGTACAGATACATGGCCAATAAGAAAACTGAGGATACTATCTCAACAGTCAAATAGGCTTAGCGTTCATATACTAGGCCCCATATTGGGCTGATGCCTAGCCTAGAGTAGCCAGCTTTTGACTAAGGAAATTATCCTTATTCCAATTAGTTGTGTCTAGGGTTTTAAAAATAATATGGCACAAATCATAAGAACTATGGGTAGTCATTCTTCTTTGGAAAAGGAAATGTGTTACCCTCTGATGGCCTATACATGTTTACATAGCACTCATTAGATCCTTCTTTATATAGCGGCTATCTGATATGCATCCTGTTTTCCCAAATGATTGTTAACGCCACGACAGCAGAGACCATGTCTGAGATCTAACTACTCTCAATAATAACTATCCTTCTGTCTTGAACATAACACTGGAAGGGATGCATAGAAGTGGGTCAATACAGGACTCTGGTTAAGCCCATTAGACTGTGGAGAAAAGTCTGGCTCTGACTACACAATCGTGGACATGTTATTTAACCTTACTGTGTCCCAGTTTCCTCATCTGTATAATGGGAATAACAGTACCTATCTGAGGGGGTGCTGTTAAAAAATTGTGCAAGGTGCTTGAGATTCCACAGTGAACAAAAAGGAAAAGAAATTCCTGCCCTCCTGGAAATTTATGTTCTAGTTGACGCAGTTATGCAAAAGGAAGACAAATACATAAAATAATATGTTAGATGGTGTATTGTGGTCTATTGCTATGTAAAAAATTAGCAGCTTAAAACAAGAAACACTTATTATATACAGTTTCTCTGGGTCAGGAATTCTGAAGCAGTTGCTTGTCTGGGTGATTCTGGCTTGGGGTCTCCATGAAGTTACAGTGAAGATGCTGGCTAGGGCTGCAGCCATCTAAACACTGAACTGGAGCTGAAAGGTCAGCTTCAAGAAGCCTCACTCATATGGGTGGTGAGCTGGTGCTGGCTGTGGGCAGGACACCACAGTTCCTCACCACGTGGACTTCTACACAGGGGTGCTTGAGGGTCCTTATGACATGGCAGGTAGCTTCCCCCAGAGTGAGTGATTCAAAGGAGGGCAAAGGTGGATATGCAATGCTTCATACAATCCAGCCTTGATTGTCACACTGTCTTATTTCCATACTATCTTATTGGTTATTGTATTAGTCAGGGTTCTCCAGAGAAACAGAGAACCAACTCTGTGTGTGTGTGTGTGTGTGTGTGTGTGTGTGTGTGTGTGTGTGTCTGAAAAGATAGGGAAAGAAGTCACATGGATATTTCAGGCAAACAGAGGGAGGAGCAAACACAATGCTACTGTGTTGCACAGTATGGGAATGACTATGATGATGATAATGATAACCAGCTACTCAAAGACCATTGCTGAATAACTAAGTTAGCAATACAGAAATGGTCCCGAACTTAATAATGGACAACTTACGATTTTTTGACTTCACAAGTTTATTGGGATATAGCCCCATTCTAAGTCGAGGAGCATCTGCATGTGACAAGACCAAAAAAAAATTTTTTTTTAACAGGGTATGTATAGAAAAATAGAAAACAGACTGTTGACTCACTTCCCCAAAACTTTCAACTGCCTTCTCCTTAGGCTCATTTCAGCATTAGCAGTAACTCCAGTTAATTCAACATGGAACCCCTTTTCTCATGCTATAGATCCCCGATCAGAGTGTGTGCCCCAGAAACAAGTTTTAAGCACTACTCAAAAGATATATTTTTACTTTGAGAAGAACAGTGCTCAAATAGAGGCTGGATAACTCCTGTGAGGAGATTGTTGACGTTCATGCACCTCATGAACAAAAGACTAAACTAAGTCGTCTTCAACGCTAAGTATCTTTGCCATAATCCTAATATAATTAAAAACCTGCCCACTAAGCTCTCTGCAAAGGGCCTATTACTCTTATTTCTTCACAGCAGTCCTGAATGATAGGTTGTTATTAATAATGCACTTAAATGACTCTTAGGGATTTTATAATTTTATAATTCTTTAATACGTACAGAAATTCAGGAGCCTCATGAATATTTTAAAAGCTGTACTTAGCATAACTCCAAAAGTTTCTATATAGATCCTCTGCCTAAAATTATCATGTGCTAAAAGAAGATAATGTCATATCCACAGGAATACTTTGCATTACCAGTCAAATCTAATAGAACTCTCTGTTCCTTTATAAGTTCTCTGTCTCTCTTTTTTTTAAAAAAAGAAAAAAAAAACAGGCACAGCATGAGGAAGTGATTCTTGGGACATACTTGTTCTAAATGTTAACAAAGGAAAAGGGAAAGACTTCTTTTTCATTTTCATTGTCAATAATAAGACCTTTGCTCCTCTCCCATTAAGATATGAGTTGTAGTCACATAACTTCCGCAAGGGCAACTGTGGCACAGACAGATGAAGAAGAGGGGCTATTTATTACATTTATAATGTATGGAGGAGGGAGTGGCTGTTCCAAGTCCCTGACTAATCCAGAGATTCTGTGGCTGTACTCTGAGCTTCAAGATCTCTCTGAATCCCAAATAAATTGAGGCACTCTGACACCTCATCCCCTCTCCATATCACTCTTCCCAATCTAGCTTTCAAGACATCCATCTCCATATTGTCCCATCACTTCCCTCTTCAGAAGGGCTGTTATAATGTATATTCATAGAAGGGGTGTGCCATTGTTAATCTGTACCTTTCTCTTTGGGCATCACTGGTCTATTTTTTAAAGATTTGGTCTCAAGATTTGCTCTCAAAATCTAAAATAGGCCAGGCGTGGCAGTTCACACCTGTAATCCCAGAGCTTTGGAAGGCTGAGGTAGGAGGATCACTTGAGCTCAGGAGTTTGGGACTAGCCTGGGCAACAAAGTGAGACCCCACCTCTACAAAAAAAAAAAAAAAAAATTAGCAGGGCATGGTGGCATGCACCTGTAGTCCCAGCTACTCAGGGGGCTGAGGTGGGAGGATCACTTGAGCCCAGCAGGTCAAGGCTGTAGTGAGCCATGATTGCACCACTGCACTCTAGCCTGGGTGACAGAGTGAGGCCCTGTCTCAAAACAATAAAATAAAATAAAATAAAATAAAATAAAATAATAAAAAAAAAAACACTAAATAACCCACAGAAGGAATGAAATACTTGATATGCACAATAAAAATTATGGAAAGTAACCTTGCTGCAAAACTAGTTTTCAACACATAAGCAAATTGTTAAAAGATTCTCAACAGTAAAAGAAGTCCTGAAATAATACCTAATTGAAATTTCACTTTTTCATTGGAAGAAAAATAAACATTAACATTTCAAAATTAATTAATTTATTTATTTATTTATTTATTTATTTATTCATTTATTTATTTTGAGACTGAGTCTCGCTCTGTCGCCCAGGCTGGAGTGCAGTGGCGCGATCTCAGCTCACTGCAAGCTCTGTCTCCTGGGTTCACGCCATTCTCCTGCCTCAGCCTCCTGAGTAGCTGGGACCACAGGTGCCTGCCACCACGCCCGGCTAATTTTTTGTATTTTTAGTAGAGACAGGGTTTCACCGTGTTAGCCAGGATGGTCTCGATCTCCTGACCTCGTGATCCACCCGCCTCGGCCTCCCAAAGTGCTGGGATTACAGGCGTGAGCCACCACGCCCAGCTCAAAATTTATTTTAAAATACTCTAATATTTAATCTGAGATAATTTCCCCTGAAACATAACTGTGCCATACACAAGAGTCAGAAAAGGTGGCATCAGGCCGGGCACGGTGGCTCACACCTGTAATCCCAGCACTTTGGGAGGCCGAGGTGGGCAGATCACGAGGCCAGGAGTTTGAGACCAGCCTGGCCAACATGGTGAAACCCCATCTCTACTAAAAATACAAAAGTTAGCCAGGCATGGTGGCGCATGCCTGTAATCCCAGCTACTCGGGAGGCTGAGGCAGGAGAATTGCTTGAACCCAGAAGGTAGAGGTTGCTGTGAGCCGAGATTGCGCCACCGCACTCCAGCCTGGGTGACAGAGTGAGACTCCATCTCGGAAAAAAAAAAAAAGAAAGAAAGAAAAGGTGGCAGCAATAGATTAAGATGATTTAAGGCTTTGAATTCATTATGAAATGAGTGCATAGCAGAGGTAATATAATTTGAAAAAAATTGCAATCCACTTATCCTACCTACTTTTTAAATAACTCACCTAAATTTTTTCATCCTTTTATTATAACTTAGAATAAAGTGCAGAGACACAAATCAAAACAAAACAAAAATCCACAAGATGGTAAAATCTCTGTTATGGAGCTTCTTTCCCCTGGTAAGAGAAGCAACAAGCAAGACAGATGAATAAACACAATGCATTCAGAAAGGCTTGGAAAAGATAAAACATGGACATGTGACAGAGAATGTGGGTGTTCAGGGAGGCTTCGGAGAAGGTGACATATGAACAGAGATCTGAATGGTGGAGGTGGGGGCAGCCATGCCAAGGACTGGGGGAAGGTGGTGTGCACAGAAGGACCAGAGGTGTTGGAGTACCCAGATACTGTTTACTCTGTGGATACACAGAGTGAATGGCAGGAAGGGTGGTAAGAGATGACATCAGGGAAGAAGGCAGAGGCACCTCATCTAAGGCTTGTAGGACATGGCAATTCAAAATCCCTAGATTCTGATCCACATGATGATCACAGAATGAGGACTTACTCGGAACATGCTTGTTCACTCAGCTCATGCCAGGCATAGGAAACCACTGACCAAATAAATACATACTGATCATCTATTATGTGCTTAAGCACCCTTACGGAAAAACTTTTTAAAGCGATGCCATGGATTTTCACTCAGGAATTTAAAGAATGTTTTGTCCACTGTGATTTTCAAAATAATAGCTAAGAACAAGGTTAAGATCACTTCACTAATAACCTCCAGAATGACAGACAATAACAATGATTTCCGTTTCAACATCACATTTATATGCAATACCCATATTTATTATGCAACATCATAAGAGCTTTTCTATTAAGATCTTGGTATTCAGCAACAAACTCTTTCTTGACTTAGTTCTAAGCCAAATATGACCCCTGATCTTGCTTGGATGGGAGATTTGTAAAGTATTATGAAAAACACACTTAGTTTTTCAGCCCTATAACATTAGCATACATATGAATGTGTTCAGTAACCATAAACATCCAATATACATAAGGTGGTATTCATACGTTTTCTGGTTGCAACAATTACCCTTCATTTTGTATGAAGAGAATAAAGGGAAGGAAACCAAGATGAACCACGCCTGTAATAGGGACTAGACGTGGAGTTCCCACTTAATGCTCCCAATAGCCCCATGAGTAAGTATTATCTCTGTTTTACTGAAGTGCAGATAAGTTGGTTAACTAGCTAGGTCAAAGCTCACACTCATTTCCAAATTAATCCTTAAAGCTTCCTGACTGGGAGGAGCTGATTAATTAACATTAATTTATTCATCATGCACTTTTCTAAAGCTCTTGAAAAGCCTATTGATCCACACTGGACTTATCAAAGGAAATGCACAAAAATTTCCAAAGGGAAATTTGCCCTCTATTGCTGGTCAAAACAGCTTCACTGAAGAAGAGACATACCAAAATCTAGAAACTGATTTTCTTTAAAAGTCTGACAAGAAAGAAAAATCTGACAAGAAAATTCGACTAGCCTAAAGTACAAATGCACAGCCTCGCAGAGGGTGGTTTACATGAGAGTTGAGATGTTACTGGCTCGCAAAATGAGGGTGTGCAGAAGGAGGGTTCAGAGACAGCCCAGCTTTGTCTTAGACAAAATTAATGTTCCCAGTCTGAACAATGTGAACATGGGCACATCTTGTTTCTGCCCCTTTGATAGGCAGCAGATGTCACAACCAGTCATAAATGCAGGTCCACAGAAGTTTTCAAGAAAGGAACCTTGGGTTTGTATCCAAGTTCTGAGCTGCTGCTGCCTCCAACACTGAGGTCCACTGAAATATTCCTGTCAGTAGACTTCGAGCAGGCAGTTATTATAAAAACGCAGTGAAATCTGGGGCAAGGGGTGGGGGGGGGGAATCTCTTGCATTTTATTTAAATCTCTTGCACTTTATTTAAGCCCACACAAGTACTCATTTAGTTCTTGTTTATTTTGCTCTTTAATTCCTGGAATTATTCAGTCAGTGGTGTTTTTGGAAGTCTGTGTTCTCCAGAGTCTCCCCATCCACATATTTTTGACATGCTTGTATGGAAATTTTTTAAAAATAAAGACCACGGTCAATAGAATTGTGCATTTTCCTCACGAGTCGTTTTGTAAATGAATGATCACGTGTGTGATTTTTCAGATGTCACTTGCACAACAGCAGACTAGAACTTTAAAACTCCTTGATTTCAGTGAAATCCAAGCTTTGCCTATTCCCGTTCCTCTTCCATCCAGGGGTTATTTGGCTGAACTGTTTTCCTGTTTAAACAACTTGAACACCAACCAACTAGACAAACAGCGCTGCTTGCAAAAGAGGGCCTACTTCCTCCGGCCCCCACCCCCATCCCAGCAACCCCACTCCGGCCGCGCACCAGCAGGGGAAATCGCCACCAACGTCCCCGCTTCTCATTTCAGCCCGAAATTGCCCTGAAACGGCGCCCGTCGTGCGACTCCAAGTCCCTCAGTTCTCCGGCCAACTGGCCTAATTTGGGGGTTCCCTCCCCGCGGAGTGGGGTCTGCGGTGAGGATGTGGACTCCGAGGAAGACAGAGCCCTCCCTTATTCTCGGCCACCTCCCCTCCCCGAGGGCAGGCGGGTGAGAGGTGACCCGGAGCCAGGACCCACGGGGGACGGGCGTGCAGGGAAGGGCGGGATGGCCGGCCGGGTGTTGCGTCTGCGGGCCGCCCTCGGGTGCGCGGGGACGAAGAGCGTGCGTTGGGAAGGGGGCGAAGGCGGTCGCGCACGGTCCCGGCGAGGGACTACGTAAGGGCTTACCCGCGACGGCAGCAGCGGCGAGGCCCAGCAACGGCAGCAGGAGCGCGGGCAGCGCGGCCCGGAGCATGACGGCGGGTGCGGGTGGGCGGCAGCGGCTGCGCGGCCGGAGAGGAGCGGGGCGGGGCGGGAGCGGGGGCGGTGCTTCTCGCGTGCGAGTTTAATCCCCCCCCCGGGCGGAACGTGAACGGCACTGGGGGCTCCCACCAGGAGAACCCGGGTGTCCCGTCCCGCAGGAGCGGCTGGCGCGCGGCCTTCTGGAACTTCTAATTTTTGTTTTTTAAACTTTTCATTTGAATTGAAATAATTTAGGACTTTCGAAAATGTTGCAAAAACAGCACAAGAGATTTCCGTAACCCTTCAGCCAGCTTCTCTAAATATTGACATTGTATATAACGCCAGTGCAGTGATCAAACACAGGGCACTCGCACTGGGATAATGCGATTAGCTAATCTACAGCACTTACCACATTTCATTAATTGCCCCTCTAAGGGTCCTTTTCTGTTCCAAGATTCAATCCAGGATCATACATTGCATGTCGTGTCTCCTTAGTCTCCCTTTAATCTAGGACGGTTCTCTGTCATTCTTTTTCTTTCACGATCAAACCACATTTAAAAAGTACTGGCCAGTCGTTTTGTAGAATGTCCCTCAGTTTCATTTTGTCTGACATTTCCTTCTAATTGGATTCAGGTTGCGCTTTTTTGGGAAAGAGTTCCCCAGAAGTGATGTACGTGCTCGAGAAGGACAAGATGTCGATGTCTCATCACTGATGTTAACTTGGATCAGTTGGTTAAGGTGGCGTTTGCCAGCCTTCTTCTTTGGATCTACTGGCCAGAATCCTCCTTTTCAAAGACCCCTTTCAGTGGACTATGTCTCTTAGACAACTTTTCTCTGTTACCAGCTCCTGGATGAAGAGTCTTTAAGCTATGTTTGCTACAATGTATGCATAAACTGTGCAATTATACTTCACCCATGAGGGCCTCTGGACAACACTAGCCAGGGTCAAGCAAGGGTGCTTGTTTAAGCCTCATGTCATTGGCAAAAGAGTTCTATAAAATCAAGTCTAAACTCAACAACGTGAAAACAAATGACCCAGTTAAAAAAAATGGTCAGATGATCTGAATACACACGTCATCAAAGAAGTTATATAATGGCAAATAGATGAAAAGATGCTCAACATCATATGTCATTGCTGAATTGTATATGAAAACAAAAATGAAATACCACTACATACCTATTAGATACCAGAATCCAAAAACACTGACAAGACCACATGCTGGCAAAGATGTGGAGCAAAAAGAACTCTCATTCAATGCTGGTGCAAATGCAAAATGGTACAGCCACTTTGGAAGACAATTTGGAAGCTTCTTCCAAAACTAAACGTACTCTTACCATACCATCTAGCAATCACAACTCCTTGGTATTTATCCAAATGAGTTAAAAACTTACATACACACAAAAACCTGCACATGAATGTTGATAGCAGCTTTATTCATAATTGCCAGAACCTAGAGGCAAACAAGATGTCCTTCAATAAGTGAATGGATAAACAATGGCACATCCAAACAATGAAATGTTACTCAGTACCAAAATTAAATGAGCTATCAAGCCACAAAAAGACATGGAAGAACTTTAAATATGTATTGCTAAGAGAAAGAAGCCAATCTGAAAAGACTGCATACTATATGATTCCAACTATATGACATTTTAGACAAGGCAAAACTATGGAGACAGTAAAAAGATAAATGGTTGCCAGGGGTTGGGGTGGGAAGAAGGAGGGGATGAATAGATGGAACACAGAGGATTTTTAGAGCCATGAAATTATTCTGTAGGATACTGTAATGGTAGATGTGTATCACTATACATGTGTCAAAACCCATAGAATGCACAAAACGAAGATGAACCCTAGTGTGGACAATGGACTTTAGTTAATAATGTGTCAATATTGGCTCATCCACTGTAACAAATGTACCTGCTAATGCAAGATGTTAATAATTGGGGAAACTGGGGTATGTGTAAGGAGGTACATGGGAGCTCTGTACCTTCTGCTACATTTTTTGTATACATCTAAAACTGCTCAAAAATTAGTCTATTTTTAAAAAAATAAAATCTGACCCTTTCCAACTCTTTCTAACCCTTTCCACACTTCTGATAATCCAGAGTGGTTACACCAAGGAAATTTGACCCAAGGGGTCTATAAGGAGAGTCATAGAGTGTTAGAAGTGGTACTAGTAAGGAAATTGAGTGACCCAAAGAAGGGATGTGATTCCCCCGTGGGCTCACAGAGAATGCCAACAAATGAACCAGAGCCCAGCTCCTCTGCTGGACTCTCCCACCTATTCCAGGTTCTGCCCCTTTGCCAAAGTATTAAGGTCTTGCTTAACTTATTTACTTCCATTTTTCTTCTCAGGCTGCCAATACTGAGTTTATTATATACCAAACTCCAGACCAGAGCAAATCCTTCCAAAGATACTCTATATTGGAATATTGACACATCTTGATTCTGGACCCTTTTGCCCTCCTAACTACAGAAGTAAAATGAACAGTTCTAAGCAATCATGTAATTGTGAAAGTTATCTCTTCCACCCCCACCTCAGGCACCAAAGTATATTTTATCAATGTGGTTTTGTGTTAAGCTACTTTTCAAATATTTTTATATTTACAATAGAATTGACATCCTAATGAATCAATCTAATTAAGGCAAAACCCATTTTAACACTGTCATTTTAAGTCATTTGTACTAAAGAAAATTATATTATTTTATTGTTAACTCTGGTGCACACTGCCTCATTTTTGATGCTAATCTGATGAAATAGACTACTTATTGCCTGTATGTGGGTACTGTTATATTTCGCTCTCCCATTTACTCTCCAGTTACACCTCATACCCTTAATTTTCCTTCACTCTGTCTCCAACTTACATCCTCTTTTGGCTCATGCCAGACTTCAGTCCCTTGCCTGCATTTTTCTCAGCCTTTTATTTCTCCCTTCTCCACCCAGCCGAAATACCACATCCTCTGTCCCCTTGTTCCCCTGGTGTGCTCACCTGGCCAACTCGGAATCTGTGGTCTCCGCTTTCTTCTTCATGCTTTTTTTTTTTTTTAGACGGAGTCTCACTCTGTCCCCCAGGCTGGAGTGCAGTCGCGCTATCTCAGCTCACCTCAACCTCCACTTTATAGGTTCAAGCAATTCTCCTGCCTCAGCCTCCCGAGTAGCTAGGATTACAGGCGTGTATCACCACACCTGGCTAAGTTTTTTCTATTTTTAGTAGAGGTGGGGTTTCACCATGTTGGCCAGGCTGGTCTTGAACTCCTGACCTCAAGTGATCTGCCCGCCTTGGCCTCCCAAAGTGCTGGGATTACAGGCATGAGCCACCTCGCCTGGCCCGTGCTCTCTTTTTCCTCAACTTTACTGAAGTTAACTGAGGACAGGTGGAGGAAATCAATCAGTTCTCCCGATGGCTGTCACTATAAACAATATGGCTTTTAATTTCATCTGGGCCTTCTATGCCTCTTCTGCAATCCTTGTATTTGATTTTACCTTAGTCACTGTCCTCTCCTATTTCTCTCATTGAGTCTTTCAAATTTATTACTCTTTTCAAGCTAAGATCCCAGGCTGGGTATGGTGGCTCACACCTGTAATCCCAACACTTGGGAGGCTGAAGTGGGAGGATCACTTGAGCCCAGGAGTTTGAGAGCAGCCTAGGTAACATTGAAATCACCTGTCTCTAGGGAAAAAAAAAAGTTAATGTTGGAGGTCGAGACTGCAGTGAGCTAGAGTTGCACCACTGCATTCCAGCCTGGGCAACTGAGACAGACCCTGTCTCTAAAAAATTAAAAAACTTTTTAAAAGACCCCATCTGCTACCCATCTTTCTCAGCAGACCTTGCCTTCTAGTACACAAGAAAACAGGTGCCATTACATATAGACAAACATCTTCAAATGCTTATCTGCAGTTCTTCTCTTGTGGTCTCAGAGAGGAAGGCATGCTTCTCCAGCCCACCCAAACCAGTTCCTCTTTCTGCTTAGGACTGCCCCTCTCATTTTATCTTCTCCAAGATCTTCCATTAATGATTCCCTCTCCCCACTGCATCATCAACTTCTCTCTGTCCATTATTTTTGTTTTTGTTTTTGTTTTTTTCATCTCAGCTTCTAAACTTGTGAACCTCTTTCTCTCCCCTTTAGAAAAAAACCCTTTTTCAACCCTTCTTTCCCCTCTGGCTATGGCCCAGCCCCTTTCCTTTCTGTCTCCATCATACTTCTCGAAATCTCATGTTCCTCATCTCCTAATTTCCCTTTCAATTTTTTTTTTTTTTTTTTTTTTTTTTTTGAGACAGAGTCTTGCTCTGTCACCCAGGCTGGAATGCAATGGTACGATCTCAGCTCACTGCAGCCTCTGCCTCCTGGGTTCAAGAGAGTCTCCCGCCTCAGCTTCCCAAGTAGCTGGGATTACAAGCATGCACCACCACACCGGGCTAATTTTTTTTTTTTTTTTTTTTTTTTTTTGTATTTTTAGTAGAGATGGGGTTTCACCATTTGGCCAGGCTGGTCTCAAACTCCTGACCTCAGGTGATCCACCCACCTCGGATTCCCAAAGTGCTGGGATTACAGGCACGAGATGCCACACCTGGCCTTCCCTTTCACTTTTAAACTCACTTCCATCTGGATTCTGGCTTCACTACTCTGCTACATTTGCATTGGCTAAGATGGTCATTGGTTTCCTAATTCCGAGAATCCAGTTTTATCTGACTTTGCCTTTCCAGTATTCAGCAATTGGATCAATATCGACTTGTTTTTCAAAACAGGGTCTTGCTCTGTCACCCAGACTGGAGTTCAGTGGCACGTTCATAGCTCACTGTAGCCTCAAACTCCTGGGCTCATGGGATCCTCCTGCCTTGGCTTCTTGAGTAGCTGGCACTACACATGGGTGCCACCACACCTGGCTAATTATTTTATTTTTTTTTAGAAATGGGGTCTTGCTTTGTTGCCCATGCTGAACTTGAATTCCTGGGCTCAAATGATCCCCCTGCCTTGGCCTCCCAAAGTGTCAAGAGGGATTACGGGTGTGAGCCACTACCCGCCTATTTATTCTCTAAAAAATGCACACAAAATCTCTTAGCAAATGCCTCGCTTTACAATAGGTGGTCAATTTATTTCTTGTACTATATGCCTAACATAAAAAACCCAATCTAGAGATTTTTTTTTTCAAGAAGGATCAACTCCAGCACTTTTACTTTTACTTAAAAGATAAAACAACTTTATTATGACATCACCATTATATACAGCTGTGCTTTTCACATCAAGTTGGCTTAGTTCTTGGAGGAAAGTCTTAGTGACTAAAATTGTACACAGATCACAGGACAAGAGAACTAGTCTAACAAATTCAATAAGAAATCAGGACAACTGTAGACTATATAAAAACTGTCTTAGAAAATTATTTACAACTTTATCATAGTGTAAATACTCTAAATGTAAAATAAATCTATGGATTTTATACAAAAATAAAGTACAAATGTAAGTTAAATGCCGAATAAAACATTTTCACCTTTTCCAGTGGATGCTATTACTAAGACTATAATCTAGGTGTCAAAACTTAAAGTGATAACCACAAAGCAATGTTTTCTTAATCACTCATAATTTTACATTTGTTAGTAGTCATCACAAGGTTTAGAGTTCCACTGAAAAAGTCTCATTTTTACAAATGCAACTCATACACTTTCCTTCATGGACCCTTTCTCTGTTTAACACATGTTAAAAAAGTAAAACAAAATTCTTAGTCAAAAGTTGACATGCTATGTGAAGCATATAAATTGTAAAATTATCAGTCTTAAATACCTAGTTGATTCTCTTTACAAAAGAAACAGTCATGTAATACATCAGAAAATGCAAAGCACACTGCTACAAGGTACCTACTCAATCTAAAAATAATGTTCCCACACTTGGGAAAATGTTAAGCACTAAATCTTTAAAAGTCATTGTTTTATAAACAATTATAAACAGAAAAAAACTCTTCATATTTACATAATAATGGTATGAAATAACTTTGGAATAATATAAGAAACATCTTGCCAAGAGGAATCATTTTGCTATATAAAAAGTAAGCAGAGGCCAGGCGCGGTGGCTCATGCCTGTAATCCCAGCACTTTGGGAGGCCGAGGCGGGAGGATCACCTGCGGTCACGAGTTCGAGACCAGCCTGGCCAACATGGTGAAACCCCATCTCTACTAAAAATACAAAAATTAGCCGGGCATGGTGGCAGTTGCCTGTAATCCCAGCTACTCAGGAGGCTGAGGCAGGAGAATCGCTTGAACCTGGGAGGCGGAGATTTGCAGTGAGCCGAGATCACGCCATTGTACTCCAGCCTGGGCAACAGAGAGAGACTCAGTCTCAAAAAAATAAAAATTAAAAAGTAAGCATGTCTTATTGTTTATTTTTCCCCAGTGCTAAAAATGACTATTTTGAAACAATGCTGATAGAGTTTACAGTTCAATTTTTACTTTGAGGTACTAATTTTGCATTTGGCCGGATGCTCTTAAAAATTAAAAAGTAGACATGTCACCTAGTAATATGCCTATTTTAATTTTCTAAGAAGTTTTGTTAAAAATTCTATTAAAATATACATATCCTAGTTACCAATCACATTCATACAGAGAAAATGAACATTAAACATATTACTGTACAAACAATTTGGACTTCAGTTCCAGCTTTGGAGTCCCCTCCATTCTATTAATTAGGGTGATAAACATGGCATTTAGCAGGGAATTAACTGTGGATACCAGCACATGCCTAAGATCTAAACAACTGAAAAAGTATTTAAGAGTTCTACTTTGGAGCAGAGTAAATACTGACACTGGGACATTTTAAGTGACTAATTTCTCATAACACATTAGTGCAAATTAGAAAACTTTTAGAAGAATTTAGTCATGGAAAGAAGGAAGCATAATCTCATCTTCATTCACTCCTTGTGCATATCGAACTGATGAGAAACCCGCCAGGTGCAAACGGTGCCTTTGGAAGAGGAACCAAATCAGTCCGCCCATGAGAACTAAGATACTTAGTGTGGCAACTATGATAGCTATTGCTGTGTAATCAGGGCCTGGAACAGGAAAAGGTTTGATGTTGGAGGAGAGAATACAAAAGTGATCATTATTGATTTTATACATTATGGGTTGTGTCACACATGTAAACCTGTAAGCTGTATACAGACATAATAAATCTGATTGTTTCATAGCGCTAACATAGAATTCAAACTCATCGTCAGATCAAAAGAAACACTTAAGTGATTTCTTTTCAAATGTAAGTGTTTTCCTATTCATTCAAATCCTCTTCATTGTGATAGGAATTTTCTTCCAAAGACATTAATGCGCTATGATTATTCTCACATTCCCCCTTCCTAACACCAATTTGGGAACATCACTACTTGTATATTATCCTACTTTGATAGCAAATTGCTAAAAGCTATAAATTTTTGTTTTTGACTTACCTGGGGCTAAATAAAGTGTTATTTGCTTCAAAATGATTTAAGTCTCTCAGATGAGTTCATTTAGTGCAGCTGCTGTTCCAAGACCCTTATCTGCATACTGCCCAGATGGATTCGCTCTGTTCCATGACTTTAAATACCATTGCTATGCACACTACACATCTCGTCCCTCTATGGATAACTCAAAATGGCCAACGTAGAACTTTTGATTTGCAACACCCTAACTCTGCTCCCACCCAACCCCCCAAATCTTCCAGTTGCTTTCCATTCCACTCAGAATAAAACCAGAACTCAAGCCTTGCTTCCAAAGCTCTGTATGTCTAGCACCTGCCTACCTTTCAGTTCTTCCCTGAGCGCTCAGCCAACTTGTTCTGCCTTAGGCTCTTTGCTCCAACTGGTACCTCTGTCTGTTATGCCCTTTCCCTTGAAGTTTGCTTGGCTTGATTTTTTAGATCTTAGCTTCGGTGTCTCCTGCTTCTAGGCTTCTTCCCTGGTTTCCTAATCTAGAGTAGCTATCCACTGAGTCTCCATCACATAGAGTTTATAACTATTTGATATTTTCCTCTCTTTAAAAAATTGACCTGTTTACTTATCTTTCTTCACCAGATTGTAATCTCTGTGAGAACAGGTACCTTATCTGTCTTGTTCTCAGGTGCATCCCAGTGTGCAAAACAGGGCATGGCATATAGTAGACACTCTATTTACTGTCTCAGTGTGTGTATACATGGATACTGATTACCTAGAATTGAGGTTTTATCTTTAATATTTATATACAAGAAGCAAAAGTTTTATGCAAGATCTTTAAAAATGTTACTGTGAAAAATTTGGAGCTCTTTCTCCAGAAATGAAGTTAATATAACATTTTAATGGTAATTTTATGTATCAATTCATAATGAAATGTAAGTTCAAATTATGATTTTTTATAGATACCCTGAATGTTTTCAATAACTAAATCCAGTTTTGCATTGTTTTAAAATTAACCATGAGTTTTATGGGATTAGGAAGAAAGGAAGCAAATTAACTGCAGAAATAGACCTTTAAGCTTTTATATAATCAAACTATAGAATAAAATACATCTCAAGAACATTTTAAAAGAAATTACTTCCCTAATACCCTGGCAACTTCTGTTTTTCTTAGGAAAGAATTATATAAAATGTAGACTGGAGTCCTGGACATCTTGTGCAGTTATCGTCCCTTGTAATCTATTTTTCAGGGGGAAATCTCTATGACTTAATCAAGATAGTTGGATATACTTTAAGGACTAAATACTTCAAGACTAAATACAGAATTTTGTACATAATTGGATTGTACATTTATTTCCTGACTGTTCTGCAAAAAGTCTCCTAAGGACAGGTTCCATACTTACCCAGAGGCACTTTGCAGACAACTCTTCCAAAACCATGTTCACATTCAACTTTTTTCCAAGTTTCATTTGAAGCTATCAACATGCTACATCTTCCAACACCACTCTTACTTTTATTTTCCCATTTGACAAATGTCACTTCTGATCCATCTAACCAACTCCAAGACTGGTCTGAAGAAAGAAATTAAATACAACTATGTCTACTGCCACTAAACTAGTAAGTTACAAGCATGGGTTCATGTAACTCATCAGAACTGTGCTGTCCAATATGAGAGCCACTTGTTAAAATAAAATGCATTAAAAATGAAAAAAATAAAATCAGTTCTTCAGTTGCACTAGTCACATTTCAAGTGCTCAAGAGCCACATGTGGCCAGTGACTACTATATTGGACAGTGCAGATATAGAACATTTCTGTCTTTGTAGAAAGTTCTATTGGACAACACAGATAGAGAATGTGGTGTTTCCGTTAAAGTGCAGAATGCTTGCACATTTATTTTGTGAGGGAGAGATTTCTAAGGACCCATATCCTTCCCCTACTCTAATTGTAAAAAGTCATATCATTAAAGATATGCTGGTGGAAGAGGAAGGGTGCAGGAATCTCCATCCCCACCTTTCTCCCACACCACCACCAGGACTCCATTTTTGCTTTCCAGCTGAAGTGGCACCACCTTGTGGTGACAGTGTAAACACGATTTAGGATTCATTTAGATGGACAACTTGGAATCCTTTTATTTTTTGACAAGTACTTAACATTTTAAAATTCACATTTTAATAATTTAAAATTCAACTTTGCATAAAATGTGAAAAACCTTATCTTCTGTCATATTTGTACTCTTATTTCTACCAATTCCAAGTTCACCTAAACCCTGTATCTACTATTTCGTATTAAAAAATCCTTCCACAAATTTTCTTTGAATCAATTATCTGCAATTTTATAGGTTGGCGCAAAAGTAATGGCAAAAGCTGCAATTACTTTCACACCAACCTAACACTAAGACAGTTTTTAAAGATTACTATTAAGACATAATTTTAACCAGTGGTAAAAATATTCTTAGAGAGAAGGGAATAACAAGAAGATAACTTTCTGAATAACGAAGTTATAAGCTGCAAATCCATGCGGTGACAGGCACTAGAACTCTAAGAGAAGGCAGGCATGGGTTCCTTGTGGGGACACAGACATTCCTGTGGAGAAGAAAATGTCCTGATGTTGATCCAAGGATCCCAGAAATAAGCCTCTAGAAAGATTCCACTTTATTTAACAGGATTTTCTGTGTCATTAGTGGTTTCCGTCATTGCTAAGTTAACTCATGGATTCATTCAAAATTTATAACCATCCAGAACAGCCAGCGACCTAGCTTATTTATCCAGAAGAGGCATCTGAATTAGCCACTACTTAACATTCTTTAGCAAGGACGACTTGTTATTTAGGATGAGTTAGAACTCTCTTTGCACACTACACATACAATTATTTCACTTACCAACAGAATGTTGAGATAATCCAAGCCAAACTCTCATGGTAATGTTATTATTTTCCCTCATCAGTCTGCTCACAAATTTATTCTCATCTTCATCTTTTATGGAAACGATAGTTGCAGAGTGATCTGTTGAAAGAAAACACATTCTCAATTAGCTTTATGGAAACTAGAGAAGTAGTTTATTCTCAACTAGCCATTTGAAAAATACATATATTATTAACAAGATCATTGATAAATTCAAGCCTTACACAGAGACAGTTTTTAAAAACTGGTATTTAGGTCAAAATTTTATAAGTACTTCAAAAAAATTACTTCCAAACACGTATAAAGAAATTTTGTGTTTCTTCAAAATATTTATCTGGCAATATTTTTTTGGCCCTGGAACTGCCTACCCCTGAGACCTCTCTGACTGTTCAGATGAGAAAAGAGAAAGAGTTGTGTAACCTCCCAATGCCACTTAGCTAGGATATGTGGGAACTGGGATTTGAACCCAGACCCTCATGCCTCCAAGTCTTAAGTGCTTAACCTACATATTAGTTTTACAGTAAACCATTCTGTTTTCTCCTTTAGGAGAAAAAGGTTTATGACTTTCAAAACATACATATATCTTACAACAGTTTCCATCATGTGTATTCAGGTATAAAACCGAATGGTTCCCACACAAAAGTTCCCGGTAACTACAAGATTTTTCAATCAGTCAAGTGTCTCCACAACGGTTATCAGAATAAATTAGATAAATGCCATCCATCTACCTGGCTAATTTGCTACCCAAGGAAGCAGGTAAACAAGTTTTGGTCTTTGAAATACTCTAGGTAGTTCCCCTAGAAGTCATTTTACAGTTTGACTATGGATCAAATTTGTCACGGGAAAGAGCCAATCATTGCTACTCTTTCTAAAATAGCTAAATCTGAAGGCAAAAAGCACTGCCCTTTATGGTGGTCAGAGGATGTGGCCAATCCTATTGCAGAACGGATGGACAACCATACTACTTTGATTTGTTACCCTGGTGAGGCTAAGCTTATGTATTAATAACTAAGCAATGGAACAACTATAATTTTTATTTACTACTTAGCTAACTTTACAAAAATTTTACCTCTTAATTCCTTTTTCTAAGCATATCTAGCTATAGGTAAAACCGTTTCCAATCATTTGTCAGTATTTTTACTTAGCAGTTCACTTAGCCACTTTTATTTTATTATTTTACATTTATTATTATTTTTATTATTTATTTTATTTATTTATTTATTTTTGAGATGGAGTCTTGCTCTGTCGCCCAGGCTGGAGCGCAGTGGCACAGTCTTGGCTCACTGCAACCTCCACCTCCCTGGTTCATGTGATTCTCCTGCCTCAGCTTCCCAAGTAGCTGGGATTACAGGTGCACGCCACCACGCCCAGCTAAGTTTTGTATTTTTAGTAGAGACGAGGGCTCGCCATGTTGGTCACGCTAGTCTTTAATGGCTAACCTCAAGTGATCCTCCCACCTCGGCCTCCCAAAGTGCTGGGATTATAGGCGTGAGCCACCGCACCCAGCCACCACTTTAAAATTCTACTTCTTCCAACTTATTATTTTCCATGTACTTATTATTAACATTGATAATTTTTTTTTGAGATAGAGTCTTGCTCTGTCACCCAGGCTGGAGTGCAGTGGTGCCATCTCAGCTCACTGCAACCTCCGCCTCCTGGGTTCAAGCGATTCTCCTGCCTCAGCCTCCCGAGTAGCTGGGACTACAGGTGTGTGCGACCACACCCAGCTAATTTTTGTATTTTTAGTAGAGATAGGGTTTCACCATGTTGGCCAGGATGGTCTTGATCTCTTGACCTCATGATCTGCCCGCCTTGGCCTCCCAAAGTGCTGGGATTACAGGCGTTTTTAATGGCTATTCCAATATTTCATTGAGTTCCTATGTCATCAGATACTTAACCATTTCCCTACCACTGGGCAATTAGTTTATAGCGCTATTAGAAATGGAAAGTGCTTTAAAAATATTTTCAAAAATACAATCATTGCTTCAAATTATATCCTTAAGAAACATTTCTAAAAATTATTGAGTCATAAGAAAATCAACAAATTTTAACTCACCATGTTTTGAACACAATTTTTTGGCCTCTGAAAAACTGTGCAATGCCTGATCAGACTTGTAACAGTGACCCTTGTACTGGATCCACCGTGACCCATTCTCTTTTGCTGCTGGACATCTTGATGAATATGTAAGACGGGACAGCTTTTTAGCTATAAAAATGTTAGACACAGTTGTAACAATGCATGGAAAAAAAAGACTGCCTTTCAAAATCTACTTCAATGTCCCTGATTGGAACTGTTGCGTTTGTGGTTGAGTAGCATTTAACTCATACCAGAGAAAGCCACAGCCCACACTCTATAAATACATATTTTAATTAACTTTTTGGAATACCGTTTAAAAAACCTAGGTGATAGAAGTGGAAAGTGCCTTAGCTTTCTAAGACTGATTTGGACTAAAGTAGAAACAATGAGAAAGACAGACTAGAAAAAGAAGTAAAGACAGGCCAGGCAGACCTGAAAGTACTCTGAAATAATAATTAAAATTATTTCTTTCTTTGGATTCCTTTTTTTGTTTATTATTATTTTTTTTAGTAGAGACGAAGTTTCACCATGCTGGCCAGGCTGGTTTCAAACTCCTCACCTCAAGTGATTTGCCTGCCTCAGGCTCCCAAAGTGCTGGGATTACAGGCGTGACCCCACAGCGCCTAGCCCGTTGGATTCCTTTTTATTTTGATAATCTAAATAAATCTAGTTTTACTTAGTCATAAGAAGAACTATTTTTTAAAAATAGCTAATTTGTTTTACAAAGCATAATACATCAGCACCGCAACATCACTCAAACAAAAAAAGACTAGGAGTGGCTTCTTAGCTCTTAAAAATGCCCCTGGTTTCCATTTAAATTGATTTTTAATTGTGCTGAGTAACAGAAGCAGCCTGAGGAATGCAGCTTGTGCCCTTTAACACCTGTTTTTAATTCCAACCGAAGAGCATATGAAAACTGGAAAGTAAATTGTCAATGTCGTATTAGTGCGGTACAGCTTATCTGAATCAAATATCTGACCTGGTACCAGTCAGTAATCTCAACCCAAACTATTGTTTTGTAATGCATTCTGTATGATCTTTATGTCCTTCAGTAAGTAAAGGCTTTTTCTGTTTTTTTCTCCAAATCTCCACTTGGCAGAGTCCTTATTTGTGGTCTCTGTGATTAGAGAGGAATGGCGGCTACTGTGAGACTCTTTAGTGGCCCTTAGTTCCTTCTGCTGCTTCTCTATCTTCTGTTAGAAACCAGACTTGATCTTTTTGAACTTCGGTTATTTGATTGGCTTTTGCCTCCATTCTTCTCACTAACACACCAATTTGAGTACTAAGTCTTCAGTTCAGCAGTTGGACTCCTGGGTAAGTTTCCCAGCTGCTGCAGATCAAAATGCATTTGCCAAATTCATCTATACAATCTATAAAACTTCTCACAACTCCTCATCAATGCTGCTGTTGAAAAGAAATGTTACTAGTAAGTTCTTGTTTTTACCACCTTATGAAAATAGTTGGTTGGGCAAAGGTATATTGCTGATTACTCATTGTTGCACTGGGCTCAATTGTTAATGCAAAACTTGTTGAACATTGATTATTATGGCATCATTAGGATAGGGAACTTTTCTGAATGGTTTGACCTTTTTTTTTTTAACATTACTTCTTGCACTGGCAACATAAGGAACTGCCTTATCTTTGGTCTATTTGTTTCTAGTATAGTCTGCAACTGGGGTCTCTTAGGCTGCGTACATTTTTTTTTCTTCTTGTTCTTCATGAAGTTTTGCTTCCAACTCTTTTTTTTTTTTTTTCTGTAAGGGCTTGCATCGTGGTAAGTGTGTTACATTCCTGTTCAAGAAGATCCATTTTTTTTAATTGTGGTAAAATACACATAACATAAAATTTACCATCTTAACCATTTTGGTTTTGTTTTGTTTTTAGAGACAGGGTCTTATTCTGTCACCCAGGTTGGAATGCAGTAGTGCAATCATAGCTCACTGCAGTCTCAAACTCTTGGGTGCAATAGATCCTCCTGCCTCAGTTTCCCAAGTAGCTGGGATTACAGGCATGTACTACTGTGTCCAGCTAATTTTTACACGTTTTTGTAGAGACGGAGTCTTACTGTGTTGCCCAGGCTGGTCTTGAACTCCTGGGCTCAAGCCACCCACCTGTCTCAGCCCCCCAAAGTGCTGAGATTACAAGCATGAACCACCACATCTGGCCTTAACCATTTTTAAGTGTACAGTCCCGTGGTGCTAAATGAATTCACTCTGTTGTACAACTATCACCACCACCCATCTCTAAAATTTTTTATCTTGCAAAACTGAAACTCTATACCCACTAAACAATAACTCCCCATATTCCCCTCCATCTAGTCCCTGGTAACTGCCATTCCACTTCCTGTCTCTATGAATTTGACAACTCTGGGTACTACCTCATATAAATGGAATCATAGAGTATTTGTCTTTTTGTGACTGGCTTATTTCACTTAGCATACTGTCTTCAGGGTTCATCTGTGTTGCAGCATGCATCAGCATTTCCTTCCTTTTTAAGGCTTCTTATCCATTCGTCCATCCATGGACACTTGGGTTGCTTTCATCTTTTGGCTATTATGAATTATGCTGCTATGACATGGTTGTACAAACACCTGTTTGAATCCCTGCTTTCAGTTGTTTTGAGTATATACCTGAAGTGCTGGATCACATAGTAATCTTATGTACATGTTTTTGAAGAATTGCCACACCATTTTGCACAGTGGTTACACTGTTTTATATTCCTACCAGCAGTGCATAAGGGTTCCATTTTCTCCACATCTTCACTAATGCCTGTTATTCTCTGTTTTGTTTTTTTTTTTTTTGAAGATCCAGTTTTTAAAGTTAGCCCTTGTATTCGTTTCCTTGGGCTGCCATAATAAATTCCACAAAATTGGTGGCTTAAAACAACAGAAATGTATGCTCTCACAGTTCTGGAGGCTAGAAGTCTGAATTGAAGAGGGTGTTAGGATTGGTTTTCATTGGAGGCTGTATTGGAGAATCTGTCTCGTGCCTCCCTCTCATCTTCTGGTGGTTGCCGACAGTCCTTGGTTTATCACTCTGTCACTGCAATCTCAGCCTTTGTCATCACGTGGACTTTTTCCCTCTGTGTGTCTGTATCTCCCTCTTATAAGGACACTAGTCATTGGATTTAGGGCCCACCATTATCCAATATGTCCTCACCTCAACTACCTAGATCTGTAAAGACTATTTCTCAGTAAAGTCACATTCTAAGGTTCTGACTGGACGGGAATCTTTGGGGAGGAGGCACTCTTCAACCTGGTAGAGCACAGAACTTATGTCTGGCCATCTTATCATTCTCTATCCTATAAAGCCTGTTTCTCTATTTCTGCATGCCTTATTTCTCATGTATTCCAATTGTTTTTCTAAAGAGTTACATTTGTTTTCTGTGCCTAACAACTGAGAAGTCAGTTCTTGATTGTACCTTGATTCCTCATCCTTTATATCATTCTCCCTTTCTTTTATTAACCTGCTTCTCTAAAGTTTTCACATTTTCTTCGGCCTGAATCTGTTCAACCAAATGTTGAATCTGCCGTTCAAGATTCTTCAGAGCAGAAAACATGGTGAGCATTGAGAACCAGAGTCTTCGGAAACCAATGCCACCACCCCCCAGCCTGTCCTGCAGGCCTCTGCAGTCCCCGGTAGTTTGTTTTTTTGTGGTCTTCCTCAAGGTTCATGCTTTATCCACCAGGGGTGACCCTAAGTCCAGCCTCTAATGGAAGAGGCTCTTCCCTTAAACTTTAAGGATCATATAAATTTGGAAAATGCTTGGTTACACAAAGTTAAACAGACTTCATTATTACAGAAACTCTCTTAGAACCTTTGGCCAGGCGTAGTAGCTCACACCTATACTCTCAGCACTTTGGGAGGCTGAAACAGGAGGATTGTTTGAGCCTAGGATCCTAGTTCAAGACCAGCTTGAACAGCATTGTGAGACCCTAACTCTACAAAATATTTTAAATATTAGCTGGGTGTGGTGGCATGTGTATGTGGTCCCAGCTACTCAGGAGGCTGAGTTGGGAGGACTGCTTGAGCCTAGGAGGTCAAGGCTGCAGTGAGCCATGTTCATGCCACTGCACTCCAGTCTGGGCAACAGAGCTGAAACCCTGTCAAAAAAAAAAAAAGAAAAAGAAAAGATAAGAAAAGAAAAAAGAAAAGAAAAGAAAGGAAAAGAAAAGAAAAGAAAAGAAACTCTCTTAGAAACTTTAATACGGTAAATCACATGAGGTGTTCCCCAAATTTATATGTTGTGGGACCCTTTTTTGAAATAAGCATCTCAGCCTTTGAAAAACATTGCTAAGTGAAATTAGAATTCACAAATTCTAGGGTAGAATTTACCTGGTGACAGAACAAATGAAAGTCATTGGGAATAAATTCCCTGAGTGCTTATACTGTATTTGTTTCCATTTACAAAGTATCAAAATTATTTTCACAAAAATTATTTGTGAATACATCTTTTTTTTTTTTTTTTTTTTTGAGACGGAGTCTTGCTCTGTCTCCCAGGCTGGACTGCAGTGGCGCAATCTCGGCTCACTGCAAGCTCCGCCTCCCGGGTTCACGCCATTCTCCCGCCTCAGCCTCCTGACTAGCTGGGACTACAGGCGCCCGCCACCATGCCCAGCTATTTTTTTTGCATTTTTAGTAGAGAAGGGGTTTCACCTTGTTAGCCAGGATGATCTCCATCTCCTGACCTCGTGATCCGCACGCCTCGGCCTCCCAAAGTGCTGGGATTACAGGCGCGAGCCACTGCGCCCGGCCCTTGTGAATAAATCTTTAAATAAAAATTCCACTGAGCTTTTAATTATGTGCATAAATTATGTCACATTTTCATAAATGTACTGTTACTGAAATTGAAGTCTTACATTTTGTAGGTTTATAACAAATAGCACCATCCTTAACAGAGTTGCATTTTTCATGTTTCCAAGTTCCTTTTGGATCCAAGAGAACACAATTTCCAGGAGATGTTTGGCCTTTCCATGGGATATAGTCAAATGTACTACCATCAGACCATTCAAAACTTGATTCACTTCCCTGTTGTAAGAACAATAGAGATAACCTGAATCCAGATGTTTGACTTCAAAAAGAATACAAAGAACAACATACATACTTTAAGAAATATTATAATGGAATATTAATTATTTGCTTACAGTATTGTAGGTCTGAACCTACTATTATTGTAGGTCTGATTTACTTCTGATGCATTGATTTGGGACATTTGCTCTGATACAGTTTATGGAGAACTTTAAACTTACAGACAGAGTTACTACACCTGGTCTTCAGATTTTTTTGAAGGATGAGTTTATGTGACACTCGAAATTAAACAACATGCAAATGGCTTCCATTTGTCATAATTACAAATTTACAATCCCAACCTTCATATTGTTCTGAATATTGTTTTCTGTGTTTTATAGTTTTGTGTTTTGTGTCTCTGGCTACATTTTTCACACTACAGAGGACACCAAGCAGTAGGGAGCTAGAAAAGAGAAACACTTCCCAAGAAACTCAAAATGGGAAGACTATTTTTGAATTTTCCTTGAATTTATAATCTTAACTTGCCATGCTTTTAAAAAAAAATCTTCCCCACTCTGTTCTAAAGATTATTTAAATTAAAACTACAACTCTAGTCTCAATAGATAACCATTTTTTGTACACAAGACCCTACTGTAAGTACATAAATGATTAAATAATATGATTCAAATAGTGGCACAGATGTCTTTACTAGCAGAATTAATCCTAAGTAGTATAATTTTCTAGAGGAAAAGTGGGAAGAAGGTATACGTTTATTAGTCCTAACCATGTGGAGAATTTTAGATGGTACTTTGTATAAACTTTTGTGTTAAAATCTCAGTGAAATTATTATTACCCTGATTTTCTACATGAGGAAATAAGGTTGCAAAGGTTAATGATCACCCAGCACATAAATGGAAGATCTGCTACTGGTACTCAAACTCAGGGTTTTCTGATTCTATGCTATTTCATTTTTATCAGCTTTCCAATTTGTCTGTCCCAAATAGGCTATAGAGGTGTTGTTGAGATAGTCATCCACTGGGCCCTTGGGATGGCCTGATCATTTGTCCTAGTGCATGCTACAGTAAAATTTTCTATTTGTTCTGTGTTGTAAAAGGTAAGAAAGCACCATGCTATGCAAGCGGAGTCCCAGTACTTCATCTAATGTTGTACTTTGTGTTAATACTTTACGCTCAAATTTCTAACCCTCAAAATAACACATTTGAAAAGTTTCTGGAAAACGAAGCAAGACTTACATCATGACTTGAGAGCCCAACCCATAGTGGAAATCCATCACGTTTTACAATATCTTCCAGAAAGAGCTGGCCATTTTGGTTGTGAACGCTTGCCAAGTGACCTCCACTTTGAGAACACATGTTTAATGCTTCATACCATGTTACCTTTTTTTGAATAACACTGTAAATACCATCTTCATATGGCATAAACTGTGGCAGTGTAGTATTATATTCTTCTTTGTAGTCAACTATAATAATTAAAAGCACTGGTGATTAAAATTTAAATTATTTCAAATACATCTTTTGGATGAGACAACATGCAATCATTTCAAAAGTTAAATAAAACTGGGTTTCTTATTAATAAGGGAGGTCAAATGTATATTTTATTTTTCTTACTGGTATGACACATATCTTAGGCTCTTAAAGTTCTCTGATTGATATTTTAAAAGGCATAAACATTTTCTTTGATTTAAGAAGCTCATATATTAGTTGGAGACAGAAACAACAATGGCTGAAATGATGGCAAAACTGTTAACCAGTAGGGTATGTGAAATTGGTAGAGATTCATTTGAATGAGAAGAGTCAGGAAGACTACTTGATAAACCAGGTCTCAAGGGTTAGGTGAAATTAAGACTAAAAAGAAATAAGGGAACCAGAAAGTAAGGAAGTGCTTAAAACAAGCACAAACAGCAAAGCCACAATGACGAGGTTATTTCAAGGGACATGGGAGCCAAGTGAAAGAGCTCCCAAGGGCCAAAGCTGGAAAGACTTAAGCAAAATATTACAGAATGCAGTATGTTAGATTATAATCCAAAGTATAAAATAAATAACAATGAACCTATACTAGGTCTAGAGGATTGGGGGAAATCAAGAATAAAAAGAAGGTAAGGAGAAAGTATGGAAGTGCTACAAACAAACAAATAACAAAAAAACTACAATGATGAGGGTATAAATAAATGACTGAATAAATTTAAAAATTGGGGCCAGGTGCAGTGGCTCACGCCTGTAATCCCAGCATTTTGGGAGGCCAAGGCGGGGGGATCACCTGAGGTCAGGAGTTCAAGACCATCCTGGCCAACATGGTGAAACCCCGTCTCTACCAAAAATACAAAAAATTAGCTGGGCATGGTGGGGCGTGCCTGTAATCCCAGGTACTTGGGAGGCTGAGGCAGGAGAATCGCTGGAACCCAGGAGGCAGAGGTTGCAGTGAGCTGAGATGGCGCCACTGCACTCCAGCCTGGGTGACAGAGCAAGACTCCATCTCCAAAAAAATAAATAAATAAATAAAATAATAAAATAAAATAAAAATTGGAGAAAATAGACAAATATCCTGTGCAGAAGAATTTCAAGTAATTTATATCGATACTCCCCTCATAGGAAGGTGGAGGATAACTTTCTACCCTATTAAGTGTGGACTCAACATAGTGACTTCCTTGGAAAGAAGACAGTATGGAAAGGAGGAAAAGAGGTAACTTTGCAGCAGAGAACCTAACAAACACTACCTTGGGCCAGGTGGCCAGTGATAAGTCATATGAATAGTACATGCTGTCCATGTGAAGTGAGAATGCTCCCTCACATCTTTGGTCTTCCCTCAAAAACTTATAACCCCAGTTTAATCATGAGAAAAACATACGCCAACCCAAACTGAGGGACGTTCTACCAAATACATGACCAGTGTTCCTCAAAACTGTCAAGGCCAGCAAAAATAAGAAAAGTCTGAGAAAACAGCCAGCCAAGAGGAGCTTAAGGAGGCAGGAGAACTAAAGGTTAGGTGGGATCCTAGAAAGAAAAAGTATGTTAAATAAAAACTACAGAAATTTGAATAATGTGTGGACTTTAGTTAAAGATAATAATGGATAAATATTGGTTTATTAGTTGTGACAAATGTACCATACTAAAGTAATATGCCAACAGTAGGGGAAATTGATTGTAGGGTAGATGGGAATGCTCTGTACTATCTTTGCAACTTTTCTGTAACTCTAAAGCTATCCTAAAATGAAAAGTTTATTAAAGATGTAAAAAAAATAAAGAAAGAAAGAAATTGGAAAACTTCTTGGCAGAAGGAAAACATAAAGGTGCAAGTATGAGGATGGGCATACACTGTGCCTGGGACAATGAAGAGACCAGCTTGATTGAGAAAAAGATGCTTTGCTGAGCAAGAATGGGGAAAAACAGGGAACTGGGAGAAGGCCTAGAAACTGGGGATAGAGACTAAGTTTCTAAAATGTCTCAAAAGTTTACATGCACTCAAAGTAGGTTAGAATAAGGAATCCCTGGAGGTTGCTGGTGGACACGGTCTTGGGAAGTGACTGCGGCGCTGTAAGTGAGCCAACTAGCCAGCACTCCACCTTTACGGGCTCCCAGTGAGCAGGGAGCTTTGGGCACAGTGGGAGTAATGACAGTTTTAGGGCACAGTGGTAATAATTAACAGTTTTTAAGCTGTGAAAAAATTAAAACTAACATATATTTAAAAATAGATTTATTTAAAGATTAAGCAAGGTGGAGAGACATTCACTTTGCACGGAATGTTAAAACTCGTTCCCCAAACACTTTCTTATTTATATAAACCCTATCCATTTTTCAAACCCCAACCAAGTTTCACCTCTTCTTGAAGCCTTTCCTTTTTTTTTTGTTATTCCCCTTTCCAATGTATCGGTTTTGACTTCCCCACAATTTAAGCCTGTATCAATTAATCTAAGACCAATTTACATTAAACAATGATAAGGAATTTAATGCTGTCTCCACAACTACATTTTACTCCTTAGGGTCAAAACCTTGACAGCAGGGCCCGTATCTTTTCCTTCCTCGATAACCTCTGTAACACCTCGCACAGGACTGAATACAGAGGAAGCATTTGATTGTATGATTCCCACTGGTGGAACTAATAGCCTTATATTCTTTCCCTGGAGTGAAAGAAAACTCTATATTTTACTATACTTACCCATTTCAATTTTACAAGCAAGAATGCTGTGCTGGTGAAAATAAACTGCTTCTTCAATAACTTTAAAGGTTTGAATATCCCAGAAGCCGTCAGTACTTAAACCAGCCAAAAACTTCTCATTTTTTATAGTTGGTCTTCCTGCTCTCCAATGTGTATATGACAGTGGGGTCTTATCAAACCACATAAGAGACTTATCTAGAGAAGAAACATTTTTTCCTATGCTTAGAGATTAAATCAAGACTTGAATTACACTTATACAGTTAAGATTTCAAACTTGACTAATTTTCTCTTTTCCCAACCTTCTAAAAGGTTGTATGATTATGTATAACCCTTTAAGATATTTTCTGATTATAACAGTAAATCATGCTCATTTTTAATTTGAATATAAATACAAACTATAAATATTGACCTATAATTCCACCATCCTTCAGTAATAACATTTCATTTTTGTCATCAAATATTCTTTTCTTGAAGTCATTATATGAAAAAGATACTTGCACATGCATGTTTATAGCAGCACAATTCACAATAGCAAAAATATGGAACCAGCCCAAATGCCCATCAATCAACAAGTGAACAAAGAAAATGTGGTAATGTGGTATATATGTACCATGGAATACTACTCAGCCATAAAAAGGAATGAAATAATGGCATTCGCAGCAACCTGAATGGAAATGGAGATCATTATTCTAAGTGAAGTAACTCAGGAATGGAAAACCAAACATTGTGTGTTCTCACCAAGTGGGAGCTAAGCTATGAGGATGCAAAGGCATAAAATGATACAATAGACTCTGGGAACTCGGGGGGAAGAGTGGGAGGGGATGAGGGATAAAAGATTACACACTAGGTACAGTGTACACTGCTCGTGTGATGGGTGCACCAAAATCTCAGAAGTCAACACTAAAGAACTTATCTATGTAACCAACCACCACCTGTTCCCCAAAAACCTATTGAAATAAAAAAATATTATTTTCTCTTACATATACGTTTAATTGCATGGAAATGAACATAACTATTTTATTTATTTAAAACATGATTGATAAGTTATAA
Organism: Homo sapiens; assembly: GCF_000001405.40. Classification (NCBI taxonomy): domain Eukaryota; kingdom Metazoa; phylum Chordata; class Mammalia; order Primates; family Hominidae; genus Homo; species Homo sapiens. Next base: position 159,820,776 of record NC_000002.12, read on the forward strand.
AAGTCACCACAGAAATCTCTTCTCTGGACATAAACTGTTCACAGTTGTGCATACTTATGGTCAATTAATATTTTTTTTCTTTGAGACACAGTCTCACTCTGTCACCCAGGCTGGAGTGCAGTGGCACGATCTCAGCTCACTGCAACCTCCACCTCCTGGGTTCAAGCAATTCTCTGCCTCAGCCTCCCGAGTAGCAGGGATTACAGGTGCCCACCACCGCGGCTGGCTAACTTTTGTATATTTTAGTAGAGATGGGGTTTCACCCTCTTGGCCAGGCAGGTCTTGAACTCCTGATCTCATAATCCATCCGCCTTGGCCTCCCAAATTGCTGCGATTATAGGCATGAGCCACCGTGCCTGGCCAGTCAATTGATTTTTAAGAAGGATGCCAAGACAATTCAGTGTGGAAAGAATAGTCTTCTAAACTGGATATCCACATGTAAAAAAAAAAAAAAAATGAAGTTGGACCCCTTTCTTTCACCACACACAAAAATTAAAGTAGATCACAGACATAAATATAAGCGCTACAGCTATAAAATCTTTAGAAGAAAACATGGAAGGCCAGGCATGGTGGCTCACCCCTGTAATCACAGCACTTTGGGAGGCTGAGGTGGGCAGATCACCTGAGGTCAGGAGTTCGAGACCAGCCTGACCAACATGGTAAAACCCCATCTCTACTAAAAATACAAAAATTAGCTGGGCGTGGTGGCGGTTGTCTGTAATACCAGGTACTCAGAAGGCTGAGGCTGGAGAACTGCTTGAACCTAGGAGGCAGAGGTAGCAGTGAGCCAAGATCATGCCACTGCACCACTTCAGCTTCGGTGACAAGAGCAAAAGTCTGTCTCAAAAAAAAAAAAAGAAAAGAAAAGAAAGAAAACATAGGAGTAAGTCTTCATAACCCTGGGGTAAGCAAAGCCTTCTTACATATGCACAAATGACAAAAGAAAAACACTTTTGTGATGGATTGCTGGCAAGATGGCCAAATAGGAACAACTCCAGTGTGCAGCTCCAAGCAAGATTGATGCAGAAGGCAGGTGATTTCTGCATTTCCAACTGAGGTACCGGGTTCATCTCAATGGGACTGGTTGGACAGTGGGTGCAGCCCACAGAGGGCGAGCTGAAGCAGGGTGGGGCATTGCCTCACCTGTGAAATGCAAGGGGTCGGGGAATTTTCTCCCCTATCCAAGGGAAGCCATGAGGGACTGAGCCTGAGGAACTCTGGCACAGATAGTGCACTTGTCCCAGGGTCTTTGCAACCTGCAAACGAGGAGATTCCCTCTGGTGCCTACCCCACCAGGGCCCTGGGTTTCAAGGACAAAACTGGGCAGCCATTTGGGCAGACACCAAACTAGCTGCAGGAGTTCTTTTTTCCCCATACCCAAGTGGTGCCTGGAATGCCGGTGAGACAGAACTGTTCACTCCCCTGGAAAGGGGTGCTGAAGCCAGGGAGCCAAGTGGTCTGGCTAGGTGGGTCCCACCCCTATGGAGCCCAGGAAACTAAGATCTACTGGCTTGAAATTCTCGCTGCCAGCATAGCAGCAGTCTGAGATTGACCTGGGACGCTAGAGCTTGGTCGGGGGAGTGGCATCCGCCATTGCTGAGGCTCGAGTAGGCAGTTTTACGCTCCCAGTGTAAACAAAGCTGCTGGGAAGTTTGAACTGGGTGGAGCCCACTGCAGCTCAGCAAGGTTGCTGTGGCCAGATGGCCCTATTTCTCCTCTCTGGGCAGGGCATCTCTGAAAAAAGGGCAGCAGCCACAGTCAGGGACTTATAGCAGAGTTAAACATCCCTGCCTGATGGCTCTGAAGAGAGCAGCGGACCTCCCAGCACAGTGTTCGAGCTCTGCTAAGGGTCAGACTGCCTCCTCAAGTGGGTCTCTGACCCCCAGGTATTCTGACTGGGAGACATCTCCCAGTAGGTGCCGACAGACATTTCATACAGGAGAGCTCTGGCTGGCATCAGGCAGGTGCCCCTCTGGGAAGAAGCTTCCAGAGGAAAGAACAGGCAGCAATCTTTGCTGTTCTGCAGCCTCCGTGGGTGATAACTAGGCAAACAGAGTCGGGTAGACATCCAGCAAACTCCAGCAGACCAGCAGCAGAGGGGCCTGTTAGAAGGAAAACTAAAAAACAGAAAAGAATAGCATGTCCACTCAAAGACCCCATCTGAAGGTCACCAACATCAAAGACCAAAGGTAGATAAATCCACAAAGATGGGGAGAAACCAGTGCAAAAAGGCTGAAAATTCCAAAAACCAGAACACTTCTTCTCCTCCAAAGGATCACAACTCTTCACCAGCTAGCGAACAAAACTGGATGGAGAAAGAGTTTGATGAATTGACAGAAGTGGGCTTCAGAAGGTGGGTAATTACAAACTGCTCCGAGCTAAAGGAGCATGTTCTAACCCAATGCAAGGAAGCTAAGAACCTTGAAAAAAGGTTAGAGGAACTGCTAACTAGAATACCCAGTGTAGAGAAGAACATTAGTGACCTGATGGAGCTGAAAAACACAGCATGAGAACTTCGTGAAGCATACACAAGTATCAATAGCTGAATTGATCAAGCGGAAGAAAGGATATCAGGGATTGAAGATCAACTTAATGAAATAAAGAGAGAAGACACGATTAAAGAAAAAAGAATAAAAAGGAATGAACAAAGCCTCCAAGAAATATGGGACTATGTGAAAAGACCAAATCTACGTTTGACTGGTGTACCTGAAAGTGATGAGGAGAATGAAACCAAGTTGGAAAACACACTTCAGGATATTATCTGGGAGAACTTCACCAACCTAGCAAGACAGGCCAACACTGAAATTCAGAAGACACAGAGAACAACCCAAAGATACTCCTCGAGAGGAGCAACCCCAAAACACATAATCATCAAATTTACCAAGGTTGAAATGAAGGAAAAAATGTTAAGAACAGCCAGAGAGAAAGGTCAGGTTACCCACAAAGGGAAGCCCATCAGACTAATAGTAGATCTCCCTGCAGAAACTTTACAAGCCAGAAGAGAGTGGGAGCCAATATTCAACATTCCTAAAGAAAAGAATTTTCAACCCAGAATTTCATATCCAGCCAAACTAAGCTTCATAAGCAAAGGAGAAATAAAATCCTTGACAGACAGGCAAGTGCTGAGAGATTTTGTCACCACCAAGCCTGCCTTACAAGAGCTCCTGAAGGAAGCACTAAACATGGAAAGGAAAAACCGGTACCAGCCACTGCAAAACATACCAAACTGTAAAGAACATTCACACTATGAAGAAACTGCATCAACTAACATGCAAAACAATCAGCTAGCATCATAATGACAGGATCAAATTCACACATAACAATATTAACCTTAAATGTAAAGGGGCTAAATGCCCCCAATTAAAACACACGACTGGCAAATTGGATAAAGAGTCAAGACCCATCAATGTGCTGTTCAGATGAGATGGGTTCAGGAGACCCACCTCATGTGCAAAGACACAAATAGGCTCAAAATAAAGGGATGGAGGAATATTTACCAAGCAAATGGAAAACAAAACAAAAAAAAAGCAGAAGTTGCAATCCTAATCTCTGATAAAACAGACTTTAAACTAACAAAGATCAAAAGAGACAAAGAAGGCCATTACATAATGGTAGAGGGATCAATGCAGCAAGAAGAGTTAACTATCCAAAACATATATGCACCCAATACAGGAGCACCCAGATTCACAAAGCAAGTTCATAGAGACCTACAAAGAGACTTAGGCTCCTGCACAATAATAGTGGGAGACTTTAACACCCCACTGTCAATATTAGATCAACGAGACAGAAAATTAACAAGGATATTCAGGACTTGAACTCAGCTCTGGACCAAGTGGACCTAATAGCCATCTACAGAACTCTCCAGCCCAAATCAATAGAATATACATTCTTCTCAGCACCTCATCGCACTTATTCTAAAATTGACCACATAATTGAAAGTAAAACACTCCTAAGCAAAAGCAAAAGAATGGAAATCATAAGTCTCTCATACCACAGTGCAATCAAATTAGAACTCAGGATTAAGAAACTCACTCAAAACCGCACAACTACATGGAAACTGAACAACCTGCTCCTGAATGACACTGGGTAAATAACGAAATGAAGGCAGAAATAAAGATGTTCTTTGAAACCAATGAGAACAAAGACACAACATATCAGAATCTTTGGGACACATTTAAAGCAGTGTGTAGGGGGAAATTTATAGCACTAAATGCCCACAAGAGAAAGCAGGAAAGATCTAAAATTAACACCCTAACATCAAAGTTAAAAGAAGTAGAGAAGCAACAGCAAACAAATTCAAAAGCTAGCAGAAGACAAGAAATAACTAACGTCAGAGCAGAACTGAAGGCGATAGAGACAAAAAAACAACCTTCAAAAAATCAGTGAATCCAGGAGCTGGTTTTTGAAAAGATGAATAAAATAGATAGACCACTAGCCAGACTAATAAAGAAGAAAAGAGATAAGAATCAAATAGACACAATAAAAAATGATATAGGGGATACCACCACTGATCCCACAGAAATACAAACTACCATCAGAGAATACTATAAACACCTCTATGCAGATAAACTAGAAAATCTAGAAGAAATGGATAAATTCCTGGACACATACACCCTCCCAAGTCTAAACCAGGAAGAAGCTGAATCCCTGAATAAGCCAATAACAAGTTCTGAAATTTAGGCAGTAATTAATAGCCTACCAACCGAAAAAAGTCCAGGACCAGACAGATTCACAGCTGAATTCTACCAGAGGTACAAAGAGGAGCTGGTAACATTCCTTCTGAAACTATTCCAAACAATAGAAAAAGAGGGACTCCTCCTTCACTCATTTTATGAGGCCAGCATCATCCTGATACCAAAACCTGGCAGAAACACAACAAAAAAAGAAAATTTCAGGCCAATATCTCTGATGAACATCGATGCAAAAATCCTCAAGAAAATACTGGCAAACCGAATCCAGCAGCACATCAAAAAGTTTATCCACCAGGATCAAGTCGGCTTCATATCTGGGATGAAAGACTGGTTCAACATATGCAAATCAATAAACATAATCCATCACATAAACAGAACCAATGACAAAAATTACATGATTATCTCAATAGTTGCAGAAAAGGCCTTCGACAAAATTCAACACCCCTTCATGCTAAAAACTCTCAAACTAGGTATTGATGGAACGTATCTCAAAATAATAAGAGCTATTCATGATAAACCCACAGCCAGTATCATACTGAATGGGCAAAAACTGGAAGCATTCCCTTTGAAAACTGGCACAAGATAAGGATGCCCTCTCTCACCTCTCCTGTTCAACATAGTATTGGAAGTTCTGGCCAGGGCAATCTGGCAAGAGAAAGAAATGAAGGGCATTCAAATGGGAAGAGGGGAAGTCAAATTGTCTCTGTTTGCAGATGACATGATTGTATATTTAGAAAGCCCCATCACCTCAGCCCAAATTCTCCTTAAGCTGATAAGGAACCTCAGCAAAGTCTCAAGATACAAAATCAATGTGCAAAAATCACAAGCATTCCTGTACACCAATAACAGACAAATAGAGAGCCAAATCATGAATGAACTCCCATTCACAACTGTTACAAAGAGAATAAAATACCTAGGAATACAACTTACCTGGGATGTGAAGGACCTCTTCAAGGAGAACTACAAACCACTGCTCAAGGAAATAAAAGAGGACACAAACAAATGGAAAAACATTCCATGCTCATGGATAGGTAGAATCAATATCGTGAAAATGGCCATACTGCCCAAAGTAATTTATAGATTCAATGCTATCCCCATGAAGCTACCACTGACTTTCTTCACAGAACTGGAAAAAACTACTTTAAACTTCATATGGAACCAAAAAAGAGCCCGGATAGCCAAGACAATCCTGGACAAGAAGAACAAAGATGGAGGCATCATGCTACCTGACTTCAAACTATACTATGAGGCTACAGTAACCAAAACATCATGGTACTGGTACCAAAACAGAGATATAGACCAATGGAACAGAACAGAGGCCTCAGAAATAACACCACACATCTACAACCATCTGATCTTTGACAAATCTGACACAAACAAGCACTGGGTAAAATATTCCCTATTTAATAAATGGTGTTGGGAAAACTGGCTAGCCATATGCAGAAAACTGAAACTGGACCCCCCTTCCTCACACCTTATACAAAAATAAACTCAAGATGGATCAAAGACTTAAATGTAAGACCTATGACCATAAAAATCCTAGAAGGAAACCTGGGCAATACCATCCAGGACATAGGCATGGGCAAAGACTTCATGTCTAAAACACCAAAAGCAACGGCAACAAAAGCCAAAATTGACAAATGGGATCTAATTAAACTAAAGAGCTTCTGCATAGCAAAAGAAACTATCATCAGAGTCAACAGGCAACATACAAAATGAGAGAAAATTTTTGCAGTCTATCCATTTGACAAAGGGCTAATATCCAGAATCTACAAGAAACTTCAACAAATTTACAAGAAAAAAACAAACAACCCCATCAAAATTGGGCAAAGGATATGAACAGACACTTCTCAAGAGAAGACATTTATACAGCCAACAGACACATGAAAAAATGCTCATCATCACTCGTCATTAGAGAAATGCAAATCAAAACCACAATGAGATACCATCTCATGCCAGTTAGAATGACAATCATTAAAAAGTCAGGAACAACAGGTGCTGGAGAGGATGTGGAGAAATAGGAACACTTTTACACTGTTGGTGGGACTGTAAATTAGTTCAACCATTGTGGAAGACAGTATGGCAATTCCTTAAGGATCTAGAACTAGAAATATCATTTGACCCAGCAATCCCATTACTGGGTATATACTCAAAGGATTACAAATCATTCCACTATAAAGATGTATGCACACGTATGTTTATTGTGGCACTATTCCAATAGCAAAGACTTGGAACCAACCCAAATGTCCATCAATGATAAACTGGATAAAGAAAATGTGGCACATAGATACCATAGAATACTATGCAGCCATAAAAAAGGATGAGTTCCTGTCCTTTGCAGGGACATGGATGAAGCTAGAAACCATCAATCTCAGCAAATTAACACAGGAACAGAAAACCAAACACCGCATGTTCTCACTCATAAGTGGGAGTTGAACAATGAGAACACATGGACACAGGGAGTGGAACATCACACACTGGGCCTGTCGGGGGGTAGGGGGCTAGGGGAGGGATAACATTAGGAGAAATACCTAACGTAGGTGACGGGTTGATGGGTGCATCAAACCACCATGGCATGTGTATACCTATGTAACAAAACTGCACGTTCTACACATGTACCCCAGAACTTAAAGTACAATAAAAAAAGAAGAAAAAAAAAGAAAAACACTTTTGTGGCATAAGTAAAGTCATGGGAGAAAATATTTGGAAATTATTTATATCCAGAAATATAAAATTTTATATTTTATATAAATTTTAAAATAATTTGGAAATTATTTATATATTTATATATAAATACTGGAAAGTATTTATATCCAGAATATATAAAGAATTCTTACCCCTCGACAATAAAAAGACTCAATTTAAAACATGAGCAAAAAATCTGAATAGGGATTTCCCCAAAGGTGATATACAAATATTCAATAAGCACATGAAAAGATGCTTAATATCATTAGCCATTAGGGAAATGAAATAAAAATCCCAGTGAGATATCATTCCACACTCACTTAGATGGCTATAATGAAAAACACACAAATGTTGGCATCGATACGGAGAAATCAGTACTCTCATATACCGGGAATGGAAAATGGTATAGCTGGTTTGGAAAACAACCTGGTAGTTCTTCAAAGGGTTAAACAAAAGATGCAGCAATTCTATTCCCAGGGGTTTACCCAAGAGAAATGGAAACATATGTCCATGCAAAAACTTGTACGTGAATGTTCAGAGAAGCATTATACATAATAATTAAAAATGGTTTAAAATTTAGGTTGTTTTACCTAAATGTCCATCAAGTGATACATGGATAAATAAAATGTATTATATCCATAGAATGGAATTTTATTCAGTCATAAAAAGGAATAACGTACTGATACATGCTACAATGTGGATAAACCTTAAAATCTTTATGCTTAATGGAAAAAGCCAGTCACACGCAAAAAGCACACATGGTATGATTTCATTTATGTAAAATGTCCAGAATTTTACATTCAGGCAATCTGTAGAGACAGAAAGTAGATCAGTGGTTGCTGAGGACTAGGAGACAGGGAGGGAATACTAGTGGGTATTGTGTTTCTTTTTGGGGTAGTGATGATTGCAATAAAGCTTTAAAAAAAGGTGCTAGGCATATTACAATTATAAATTGGTATAAAGATTGATGCCATCACTACCTACACACACCCAATGTTGTCCTGGTTATTTCTGGTCTTCATTGATTACCATCTCCCAAGGCAAGACCCCTAAACATCTGCCTGCAGCAATGACACATTAGAAGCACTGCACACACGATTTGGTTCTTGTTTGCTGCTTTATATCATCTCATGCCTTCCAGTTCCTCTTCCCTTCTCCTAAACTTCAAAGTTATCAATTTTCTGACCAATATGATGTGCAATGGTAGATTTCTAAAGTTGTTTTAAGAAAAAGTCACTTTTTTCACTTGGCTTAATGTATCTCTCAGTTGACATACTGTGGCTTCTCATAGTAATTTCTATTCATGGCCCTGCTATTGAAAAATCAAAAATGTTTAAAAAAACAAACTTCTTTGGGTAGGTGCCAAATACAATTAAATATTCTATATCAACGTAACCAAAAACAGTGACTTACAGTGATTTCTATTCATGGCCCTGCTATTGAAAAGTCAAAGCTGTTTTAAAAACAGAATTCCTTGTATAGGGGCCAAAAAATTAAATATAAGTATATCAAAGTAACCCAAAACAGTAACTTACAGATGTAAATTAAGTCAGTAAGAATGAGATTCAAATCAAATGTGCCATTTGCCTGAAATGTCTTTCTATATGTCCCTCATATGCCTGTATATTTTAATAGAAATTTTATTACTCAAACATTTTATGAAAGAAGGTAAAACAATAAGGGAGTCTTCTGATCTAAAAATGCTTTTTCAGAATTTATAATAGATTTTCAGTTGCTTCTGATAATATAACTACAAAGTATACCAAAGGGTACAATTTCAATCTCTCTGTCCTGGGTGTGGTCTCTATGGCTCAATACAAGACCATTGTTTCTTCAGTCACTTTCAGGTGAAGCCTCAGAATTTTCCAGCTAGTTTTTCTCCATTTTAATTCAAGGGTAGTTAAGTGTCATCAGAGAAAAGGTTTGGGCCAACTAAGTCCTACTATGATGAACTTATCCTCACTTGGTAAACCAAGTCTTTATCTATTGCTTGATAGTTTAATTTCCATTAACCCCTCTGCCAACCATAAACATTTCAGGAAAACATTGGTAACCCCAAGAAACAGATGGGTTAGAGAGCAAAGGAGAAGCCTATTTTTAAAACAGGCAGATTTGAGTAATTTAGCTTCTTTTCCTTCCCTACCCCTGGTTATCATTGTCCTGTGCCCCTTATCAAACCCTCTTTAGAGTAAATGTATGCTTTTGATGCTCTATGGCCGTGGAAAGGTTTTCCTAATTCCAAAATGTCTATGATTTTCAGGACATTTCTGAGCATCTTTCTAAATGCTCAGAAGCATTTAGAAACAAGACCTTGTTTCCTCTATATTAGACTGTTTTAAAAAATTTTGTTATCAATCATATTTTGGATTGGTGGTATTTAGTCCAAATTCCAAATATTCGAGCCCATTGTCAGACCATGTGTCTCATTTTTCTATTCTTTTTTTTTTTTTTTTGAGATGGAGTCTTGAGTCTCTGTTGCCCTGGCTGGAGTGCAGTGGCACCATCTTGGCTCACCGCAACCTCTGCCTCCCGGGTTCAAGTGATTCTCCTGCCTCAGCTTCCCAAGTAACTAGGCACACGTCACCATGCCTGGCTAATTTTTGTATTTTTAGTAGAGACAGGGTTTCACCATGTTGGCCAGGCTGGTCTCAAACTCCTGACCTCTGGTGATCCACCCGCCTTGGCCTCCCAAAGTACTGGGATTACAGGCGTGGGACGCTACACCTGGCCATGTGTCTCATTTTTCTAATGCTTATCATATGTGGGCCAGTATAAACTAAGCCAGGGTTATAAACCCAAAACTGCAACACTAATAGAGTGATTCTGTTCTTGCTCATCTCACATAGTTAGTGGAAACAAAAAATAAGTATTGAAGATTTATATGGGATGGTGATCATTTTTAGTTAGTCTTGAGTTGCTACATAAAAGAGTGAAAAAAGAAAATTGATATGGTTTGGCTCTGTGTCCTCATCCAAATCTCATGTTGAATTATGATCTTCAGTCTTGGAGGAGGGGCCTGGTGGGAGGTGATTTTCCCCCTTGCTGTTCTCGTGATAGTGAGTGAGTTCTAATGAGTTCTGGTTGTTCAAAAGTGTGTAGCACCTCCTCCTTCACTCTCTCTCCTGCTCCACCATAGTAAAACCTGCTTGTTTCCCATTCGCCTCTGACATGATTGTAAGTTTCCTGAGGCTGCCCAGCCATGCTTTCTGTAAAGCCTGTGGAACCGTGACTCAATTAAAGCTCTTTTCTTCATAAATTACCCAGGTTCGGGTAGTTCTTTTTAGCAGTGCGGGAACAAACTAATTCAGAAAATTATTTTCCGCCATTTAACTTTAAACTCGATGATAAAGGCAGAGCAGAGACATAAAAACTGTCTTGGTATTTATGTAAGTTATGCTAAGTACATAATTATACTTTCACGTATTGATAGACATGTACTTTGAAGAACTATGGCTTGATAATTATGTTATAATGAAGTACAAAAACAAATAGAGAAAGTTGGCAGATTTACAACTTACTTCTATAAGTTATTCCTAACATGACCCATGAAGCCATATAATTGAAGTACAGCAGTTGCTCAAGAACAAAGTTATTCTCCTTTTCATCTCGAATACTCAGAATATGTGATTTTGGATCTGTTGAATAAAAAATAATCAATAATTTTAACAATTACTTATCTAGTACACTTCTATTTGATAAGTTTAAAACATTTTAGTTCTCAGTTTAATATACTTCAAAATATAAACAATATTGGACAATTAGAAACATATGTAAAATAAAATTATCCCATTGTACTAAAATTAATAGGTTAAGGAGTTTTCAAATGTTTTGATGTTAAATTTGGTCTTATGGTATAATAGAAAACTAGTAGCTGAGTAGAGAATTTAAAACATTGATTCACTTCACTTTCCCCTATTTAAAGGTAATTTTTCAGTTGGTATAAATCCACCCATAGTAATGATATACTGTCAAAGATTACGCTATAATAATTAGAACCTCTTAGATGAACTATAACAGGGGTTCCCAACCCCCGGGCCACACACTGGTACTGTTAGGAACCAGGCCTGTTAGGAACCGGGCCTGTTAGGAACCGGGCCATACAGCAGGAGGTGAGCAGCAGGCAAGCGAGCATCACCGCTTGAGCTCTGCCTCCTGTTAGAGCACTGTGGCATTAGATTGACAGAGGAGTGCAAACCCTCTTGTGAACTATGCATGCGAGGGATATAGCTTACATACTCCTTATGAGAATCTAACTAAGGTCTGATGATCTGAGGTGGAACAGTTTCATCCTGAAACCATCCACCCCTCCCTGTCAGTGCCAAAAAGGTTGGGGACTGCTGGGCTATACGACAGATCTTCCTTTTCCTTAGTTTTCAGTATGAGGGTTAAAAAGGCTTAATATTTCCCAAAGGGTGTTCCTCACAAAATTAACAAGGAAGTTTCAGAAAAGATCTACATGGATTTTAAAAAAAGTTTGCAAACATTGGTTTAAACAAAATTAAACTAGTTTATGCCAGTATTTCTTAAGGCATATGTTAATGTACATTTGTTAATGTCCAACAGGAAGCTATGGTGTCTAGTGTTTCTCAACCTTTTTCTTTTTTGTTGGTTATTTTTTTCAACCTTATTCTAAGGACTTTTTGCAGACCATCTCTCAAGACTGATGTTATACGGAGCATGCTTTGGGAAATACTGGTTTGATATTTTCTATAGCAACTTTCACTAAGTTCATTGTTCCATTGGTTCCAACAGTTCCATCATTTGGAAGTCACAAATCCTTAGTGGATCTCATAGGAATTATCTGAAGACTCTTGAGAGCTGAAAATGTGAAATGTGCACTTCTTTAAGCTTAGCTGCTGCCTTGTGGTGTATCTAAGCTTTTGACTGCTCCAACTAACTTATTTTCACTTCCCCATAGCCTAGCTTGATTTAATGTCCAGTTCTCTGCTCTCTTGTGTGTCATTTCTTTCCCCCTTCCTTTTTTTTTTTTTTTTTGGAGATAGGGTCACCTGTTATCCAGGCTGGAGTGCAGGTGGTTCAATCACAGCTCACTGCACCTTCAACCTCTTGGGTTCAAAGATCCTCCCTCCTTAGCCTCCCAAGTAGCTAGAATTACAGGCATGTGCCACCATGCTTTTAATTTTTTGCAGACAGAAAGTCTCACTATGTTGCCCAGGCTGGTCTTGAATGGTTGGCATCAAACAATCCTCCCACTTCAGCCTTCCAAAGAACTAGGATTACAGGCATGAGCCAGTGTGCCTAGCCCATTTCTTTTCCTTTTAAAGGAGAACCTGCCTTCCTTACAAACATAGACTAGTTCTTGAATGGAAGAGTAAAGAAAGGAGTTATGCCTATACTTTCCATTTTAACTAACACAAATTTTAATACTTTGTCACTGATAATGTAGATATTAGGAGATGAATATTTTTGTCATCTAGTTACTAGTGCTAATTAGAAATATTTATAACACAGGAAATATTTTTTTAATTAGCAAAATACAATAAGTAATGACAGTATAATATACTTGATATGGTTTGGCTGTTTCCCCATCCAAATCCCATGTTGAATTGTAGCTCCCATAATCCCCACATGTCATGGGAGGGACCTGGTGGGAGGTAATTGAATCTTGAGGGTGGGTTTTTCCCGTGCTGTTCTCGTGATAGTAAGTCTTATGAGATCTGATGGTTTTACAAAGGGCAGTTTCCCTGCACATGCTCTCTTGCCTGCTGCCATGTAAACATGTCTTTGCTTCTCCTTTGCCTTCTGCCATGATTGTGAGGCCTCCCCAGCCATGTGGAACTGTGAGGCCATTAAACCTCTTTTTCTTTATAAATTACCTAGCCTCGGGTATGTCCTTATAGCAACATGAGAATGGACTAATATAATACTTACTCAGTTTCTGGCATTTAGTATGAACTTCATCCTGTGTTGTTGCCATATGCCTATTCTTTGTTATTATGAAATTGTAGCAACAGTTCTGAAATGGTATCCACGGAGTATTTAGAACAGGAGATGGACATTTAACACTGTCAACTGGTTTGACCTCTTTTTCAGTCTCATCTAGAAAAAGAGTTAATGGTAAGAATTCTAATTTGAGATATAAATGTTAAATCCTGTTTGCAGTCATTAGGCTTGATTTGTAGGAAATATTCAGGAAGCCGAGAAGTAATATCCTGGTGAAGCCTGTCTCTGTTTATACTCAGATATAGCACACAAAAAGCCAGCTTTCTATAGGAAGGAAATTACTTGACACAATTTTCTTACCCCTGCTGTGGCATGGAAGAATGTAAAAAATGAGGTGCTATTAGGTTAAATGCAGTTTCTGTCTTCCTGCATTACCAAATGTCAAGTACAAGGGACCACCCCTAGAGATGCTGTACAAACATATTCATTATTAAAAGTCACCTAACTATAACTCTGAGAATTTATTTTAAAGTTTCTGTCTACTGATACTATTAATTTTAAAGGAACATTTAAATGAAACATTGATGTTCTAAATAAGTTATTGCTTTAACCAAGTCAAACAAAAATAATATTTAAAATCTGACATCTACAGTATCTGATTATGATCTTTTTCCATTTTATGAAAAGGCCATACATTCACAAAGATACAAATATAAACATATTCCACTCAAATACATTAAACTGATTTAATATGTGGCAGAGATCACTCAGTATCTCTCCTGGATCACAATAAGTCCCTTTGTCCATGAAGCAGTGTCTTCTTTCTACCACAGACCCACAAATGTGACCTTGCCAGTTGTAAAAACACTTTCCTCTGACTGGGCTAGAGACTGCACACCTGACTCAGGCTAAGTTCATGAGATGTTCTCTAGGGATTTACAAAGTGAAATTTAGAAATTGTCAACTCATCTCCAGTTATAGGTTCAGCTCTATCCCCGTTTTGGGGATCCTAAATTTCCCCTTGTCTTAAGCTAGCTTGAGGTGGTTGCTGTGAATCTTAAGACTCATAAAAGTCCTGTTAGTTGTGATATTATGAATCACAAAAGAATTCTCACAAATGTAAGCTTTCTACAACTATAAATATATGCAGAAAGAGGTAGAGTAACAATGGGATTTTAAGTGTTAATCCCCATTGTCAGCTGACATAAAAATAAAACATGCCTAAAATGACCCATTAATAATAATATATGTAATATATAATTCTACTTGAATACAAATTTTCACAACAAATGTTGCCATAAAAAGACATGACTATAATTTCTTCACAATTCCAAAACCAGATTTTATAAAACCACTCCTCAGAAATTCTACCACTTATGGGACTGTTAATAATTTAAGAATTAAAAGATCTGAAATTCACATACTTCCTGAATAGTAGCAAATAGCACCTGGTTGATTGTCATTGCAATCAACTGTTTTCCAGAATCCATCAGTGTCTAATACTACACAGTCTTCGAGTTGCCCATTAGTTTCAGCCCAGCGACTAAAATGAAGACGTTTCCCATCTGACCAACCAAAGTTGAGTTCATCCTGTAAGGAGCAGAAGTACATTTCAGGTGGCAATATTGATGTTAACCCTTTGTATTATTTTGACTCCCATGGTCAATCTAATGATTTTTAATTTTTTTAATATTTAATACACATTTACATACCATTTACTACATAACAAGCATTGTTCTAAATGCTTTACAAATATTGGCTTACTTAATCCTTGTAACAACCATATAGGAGAGGTACTATTATTATCTCCATTTTAAAGATGAGGAAACTAAAGGTATGTAACTTGTGCAAAGTCCCACAGAATACAAACCACAGTGCTGGGCCTTTCTGCCAGGCTGTCGATCCCCAGAGTCTATGTCCTAACCATTATGCTACGCTGCCTCACACATAATTGGATCCACTGGTTATCAGAAATCAGAAAGCTAAAATGGGGTGAGGATCACTATAAGTACTGATTAGATCAGAGACCACCTGGCATAGTGGAAAGAATATGGGCTACGGAGCTAAACCTACATGGTTTTGAATCCTGATTCAGTCACTTACTAGCTTTCATGTGCCATCTCTCCAAATTTCCATCCCCTACCAAGTTAAGTGTGACACTTAACTTCGTGGGGCTGGAATTAATGGGATAACATGTGTAAAGCCCGCAACCCAGGGGCTAGCTGGCACACAGAGAGCTGGTGGTTCCCTTCCTCTGAACTCTTCAGGCGCTGTGGCTCTCACATCACTGTTTTCACACTTGTTGGGGAGAGAAGCTTCTTCATTCACTAGATTCTGTTGTGTGCTAGAGGTCTGTGAACGTCTGCCTTTACACCCTGCCAAGGTCCTGACCACCCATCTAGGTACAGGAGATGGATTGTGGGGTACAGGCCTGTCTGAGCTTCCCCATGGTGCTGCCAGAGACCTTACATACCCACTGGTGGGCCTGGTGCTGGCCTAACAGACCCACTGAGCTAAGCTTTCCTGAGTCCCAAGACAATCTGCATCACTAGTTTATTTGAAATATGGAACGAAGCGACACAGTCTCCTTAGTAAACCATAAACAGCAACACAGTCAAGCCTCAACACCACTCGCTGCTTCATTCTGAAATGTTCATGACCAGAGTTCCAGCTGTAATCCTAGCCCCTAACCTAACCCAGTTAGGGCCTAAGCCACTGTGGCCTCCAGTGTGGCCCTTCGGCCATGCGACTTTGCCTGCACTCATTCAGACTGCCCTGCATTTCTTCCCCTTTGCTGCACTCCCCACCTAACCCTGTCCCTGATCCTTTGGAATTTCCATTCCATCTAAATAAATCATCCCACACCTTTTATCTTTTTACTGAATACAAAGTATGAAGACTATAAATATCTTTTCACTAAATTCTTGATCTTAATTGATCTTAATTTAACTCTGGCTTTTCCAGGGAATGCTCACACATTGTTGGTGGGATTATAAATTAGTTCAGCCCCTGCGGAAAGTAGTTTGGAGATTTCCCAAAAAACAAAAATAGAATTACCATTCAACCCAGCAATCCCATTACTGGGTATATACCCAGAGGAAAACAAATCGTTCTACCAAAATACACCTGCGCTCATATGTTTATTGTAGCACTATTCACAACAGCAAAGACAGGGAATCAATCTAGATGTCCATCAGCAGTGGATTGGATCAAGAAGATGTAGCACATATACATGATGGCATACTGTGCAGCCATAAAAAAGAACGAAATCATCTCCTTTACAGCAACATGGATGTAGCTGGAGGACATTATCCTAAGTAAATTAATGCAGGAACAGAAGACCAAATACCACATGTTCTCACTTATATAAGTGGGAGCTAAATATTGGGTACACATGGATGTAAAGATGGGCATGATATTGTCTGGGGACTCCAAAAGTGGGGAGGGAGTGGAGCAAGGGTTGAAACACTACCTATTGGGTACTGTGTTCACTATTTGGGTGACAGGTTCAACTGAAGCCCAAGCCTCAGCATCCCACAGTGTATGTATTGTAACAATCCTGCATGTGTACCCCCTGAATCTTAAATAAATACATAAATCTGGCTTTTCCAAGGGAATAATCTCCTTTCAGCACCCACAGGGGAAGACTATTTGATATTCTATTCTCAGATACCACAGGACTATGAGAAAGGAGTAGTGGATATTTTTATCTCCTTTTATTTCCTTTCAGGATTATTCCCCTTGTATCACTGCAAACTCCCCATGACATTCACTGAGGACTTGGTCGCCTTGCTCCTCCCTGACATTCACTAAGATGTCCCAATTCTTGCTGTCCTCCCGGTCCTACCATTAACTTGGGATGCCTGTGTTCATGTTTCCAAGCCTTCTTGACTTCCTTTAATTCTATGTATTTTTATTTCTTCAAGCTGGGTACTTGAGTGACCCACTGCATGGCCACACTCTGCACTTCACATAACCCAGAGCTGCCTCTCCTCAGACACTGTAAACGCCAACAGCATTTCCTGCATGAATTTATAGAAAAATAACTGCTCTCCCTCTCTCCAGCTGCTTGCGTCCTCCCCGGCCTTCCACACAGTGTCGTCTACTTAAGTAAAGTCTTATATTGCCACTACTCTGTTTAAAATCTTTCAATATCTTCTCATTGCTTTCAATGTAAAGTATTTATTAACATCCTGTCATTTTCAAAGAATTAAGGCAGCTATTAGGATATATAGTTAAACAGCTACACAGAATATGTTAAAATTAAGGGTGAAAGGGAAAAGAGAACCATAGGTAAAGGTTGAAAATAGGATAAGAAGTAAGACCCAAATCATTAAGTGGGGAGGGGAGTTACAAAATAGTCTGATTCCAACTGTCTAAAAAATAAATAGGTACACATAGAAAAATAACTTGAAAGATCCATACCAAAATATTGATTGAATCATGTTTATTTTTAGGTACTGGCATTACAGGTGACTTTAATTTTGTTCTTTTAATTACTGACAAATTTTCTACATTGCAATACTGTTTTTGTCTCAAAAGATTTAGGGTGACTGAAACTAGGAAATGTAATCACCTATTGTTTCCTCACAACAGACACAACAAAGCGTTTCACAGAATTTCCAATGCTGAAGATAAAGCAAGTAAATGCAATGCTATAAAACAATTGAGACTGTGAGGACTGAGTAAGCAGCTTCCCCATCTCCTGGCTTGCTCTGGGTTAATTTAATTTAATTAATTAATTAATTTTTTTATTTAGAGATGGAGTCTCACTCTGTCGCCCAGGCTGGAATGCAGTGGTATAATCTCGGCTCACTGCAACCTCCACCTCCCAGGTTCAAGTGATTCTGGTGCCTCAGCCTTCTGAGTAGCTGGGGTTACAGACGCCCGCCATGATACCCAGCTAATTTTTGTATTTTTAGTAGAGACAGGGTTTCACCATGTTGGCCAGGCTGGTCCCAAACTCCTGACCTCAAGTGATCCACCCACTTTGGCCTCCCAAAGTGCTGGGATTACAGGCATGAGCCACCATGCCCGGCCGATCTGGGTTAACTTTAGAATACCCTGTGGCTCAGAGAGACTATTCTTTAAGCTATTCCTAAATGCTACTTTTAATTGAGCTTTTGATAACAATTCTTGTTTTTCCATCCATTCTTCAGTTCAATTCTGAGTCTTCAATCGCATTTTTTCCATGCATCCCTAGACCCATCCTGGTATACTTTGGGATATACCATGGCTGAGAAAAGAGGTGGCCTATAATGCCAATAGGAATACCACAGCTTTATTTAAAAATCCCTTATTTAATTATAGCCAAAACTTCAGCTGTGTAATGATTCCGGTTTGTGCTACATGTGCAGAGGTTAGTGATGCGAATTAGTAGGAGACTAGCATTCTTTGTTGGGCTCTGAAATGAATGAGAAGTGCTTGAGACATCTATCTAGGATCAGCACTTGAGATGGAGGAAAACACTATTCAACCTCCTTTTCAGAGTTGCTTAATTTTACTTTGCTGAATTTTTTCTTCTTAAACTAGAGACTGGGGTTTTGCTATGTAGTCCAGGCTGGATTTGAACTCCTGGGCTCAAGTTATCCTCTTGCCTCCAGAGTAAATGGGACTACGGGTGTGCACCACGGTGCCCAGCCATGCTGCTGATGTTGAAAGGGATGGAAGCTGGTCGTGGTGGCTCACACCTCTAATCCCAACACTTTGGGAGCCTGGGGCGGGCGGATCACTTGAGGTAAAGAGTTCAAGACCAGCCTTGCCAACATGGTGAAACCCCATCTCTATTACAAATACAAAAATTAGCTGGGCGTGTTGGCGCATGCCTGTAATCCCAGCTACTGAGGAGGCTGAAGCATGAGAATCACTTGAACCTTGGAGGTGGAGGTTGCAGTGAGCCGAGATTGCACCACTGTACTCCAGCCTGGGTGACAGAACAAGAACCTGTCTCAAAAAAAAAAAAAAGAAAAAGAAAAAAGAGAAAGGGATGGAAAGGACTCTTTAACACTATCCATAGTGCTTCCACACAACTGATTTTTAAATTCTTCCCTTATCTTTTCATTGGCTGAAGAGATATGGCAGCTCCAGATTCTAGCTCGTCTTTGATTAGAATAAATAAAAAGAAGTGCTCAAATATATATATATCTCCACCAGAACCTTTTCCTCATTTAAACAATGAAGTACTAGATCTTTCAATAGTGGAAAGATAATTGCCTCTAAAAACCACATATTGCTGCTAGGTGCCATGGCTCATGCTGGTAATCCCAGCACCTTTGGGAGGCCAAGGTGGGCAGAGTGCTTGAGTCTAGGCATTTGAGACCAGCTTGGGCAATATGGCAAAACCTCATCTTTACAAAAAATACAAAAATTAGCCAGGTATGGTGGTGTGTAACTGCAGTCCCAGATACTCAAGAGGCTGAGGTGGGAGGATCGCTTGAGCCCGGGAGGTCAAGGCTGCAGTGAAGTGTGATCACACCACTGTACTCCAGCCTGGGTGACAGTGTGAGCCTTTGTCTCAAAACAAAATTTAAAAACCCCGACATATTCCATGAAATTTACTGGAGTAAGATTTTCAGTTCTTCTGTTTGTTTTAGTCTGCTGTGAGAGAAGCTATGCACAATAAAAAATGTCGCTTTCCATCACCCAGTCCTGGCAGTTGGGACTGAACACTTACATCTTGACTGAAGAGTCCGATCCATAAGGAAGAGTTGTGAAGGAGCGCCTGCACACTGAGGAATGCCTGCTGGTAAGGGTCCGTGATGCTCACCAGCTGCATGTTACTTTTCAGACACTCCCTTTTAGCACTGTGCCAAGTCAGAGTCTTTGGGATTATTTTGTACAGATTATTTAGATACTTTACAGTTTCTGAAGCATTCTGCAACGTCTGTCTGCTTTTAACTTCTGCATGTAAAAGAAAACAACAACAACAACAAACCCTTCCCCACACTCTGCAAGTTATGGGACATTTTTTTCACATTTCTCCCCATACTAATCTAATTTAGATATTATTTGCCTATTTATTTTAGATTTTGGGTGAGAGAATTAGGTATGTCTTGCTGTATACCTTAAGGAAAATGTGTGAGCTGCAACATTTGTTTTCTAAAATCAGAACAACATTCTGTTTCATTTTTCTGATTTATGAAGAGAATATCTGCAAATAAATGTAACCTGCATTATCATGTCATGTCGGTGCTAAATACCTCTTTTGTTTGAAGGAAATAAATGTATTAAGTATCCCCTTACAAAGTTTTCACCTGGGAGAGCTAGCATGAAGAAATGTAAGAAACCATCCACAAGAGGAGGTATTTGAATTATTGCTTTATAGTACTTCGCTAATAAAGGAGTTAGTTAAAAACATGGAAAAAATGGGTAAAGATTAATTTAGCAAAAAAAAATTCTGCCAAAGCACATGAGATATCTACTTACAGTTCTCATTATATGACAAAATTTTTTCTTGATCATTTGTTAAAAACACATTGTGATCAATGAAAAATAATGTAATACTTTTTTAAAAATATATTTTTCAAAATATGGATGATGCCTACTTTTAAGTATGCATTCTACTTTTATTTGGATTATGGAAAGGCATAGACAGTGATCTGTTTATAATGTTTCAAACCCCCACTTGTTTATTTGTTAATGCTAAATTTAACAGTGAATACTATTAGTGGACTTAATACTCAATACTGCACTCAATTAAAAATATGAAGTTTTTTTCTCCTTTTCCCATAATAAAATGTAAAATCTGAAAAATGCCAGAGTAGAAAAAAGAACAAAATTCAATTACTATAATGGGATAACTACTATTAACAAATTCCATCAGATACAATTAATTAATTTAATTAATTATGGCAATGATCCTTTAAAAAAATCACATTCCATTTGATAAACTCTGACTCACTAACCCAATATGGATTTAGCCATGCTGAAATTTTAAGCCATATGATTATAAATTAATATAAATTCTTTTATAGTATTAAAAAATTTTTTCGGCTTTTATTTTAGATACAGGGGGTACATGTGTAGGATTGTTACATGGTGTATTGGACCCAGGTGGTAAGCATACTACCCAATAGGTAATTTTTCAACCTATGTTCCCCTCCCTCCCTATAGAAAGTGACTCTCTCTCTCTCTATATATATATATGTAATAGCATAAAGTACCATAGTTATCTAGATAATAATTGTTACCTGAATATTTCTGACAGAGAGACACAAAGTGGCGTTCACTGCAGGATGTAAAATTCCACGTCCCAGTAAACGGTGATTTTTGGAGGTTGAGTATTAGGGCACAGTGGTAGCGAGACTCTTCCTCAAAAAACTAAACAAAAAGGCAAATACATACATGCAATCATGTAACAATGGTCTGAAGCTCCTAGCAAGAAAAGTTTAGATTCTAGATTGAATTTGTCCCCCTATAAAAGAATTCCATGAAGGACCTGACCATGACATTTCCTAGAAAATCTTTAAAAACTTTCAAAGCATGGATAAAGGGCAATTAACTTTATAAAAAACAAAATAGTGGCAATCTTGATAAACATATTTTTAAAGAGATAAACTATTAGAAATAAGATAAAACACCTCCAGCAATATTTAACACTCGACTACAGTATAAGCAAAACATAATGATTATTAATTCAACTTATTAGATTTTTATAGACTTTTTGTAACAAGTTGTGTACCACATAACAGAATATACCTTAAAGCTCTGATCCTATACTAGTCACTATAAAAATCTCCATATATTAAAACAGAAGTATCTAGATTTCATTTTCTAATCACAATCAATAATATTAGATATGAAAATTTATTCCAAGTATATTATCCCTATCATTTTCTGTATGTTTGAAACATATCACACTTAGAAAAATAAGAAAAGTAAGTTTATACCAGGAGATACTGACAAAAAAAAATGCTACTCAATAAATAGTAAACCAAAAATGAACTAAAATAATTATAGGAAAGAATAAAATGAGAAATGTCAAAAAAATTGGTATGAGTAAAACTTTATGTGGAGCCAAATGTGTATTATTAAATATATTCTCTTTTTTTTAAAGGAAATATGAACTGAATTCAATATAGGAGATTGGAAAATGAACAAAAACAGAACCCCACGAAAAATGGGGTAGAAAAAGGTAGAAATAGTATTTATAACACAGGTCAAGCAATAGGAGTAGAGGGTGGAGAAGAGAGTGGACAAAACCAATAACATGCATCTGTTTTTGTAAAAATGTAAATAATGCAAACTAAAAATGTTAGCAAAGATAATGGAGATTTTTTAAATACCATAAGCAACTTTACTTCAATACATTTGAAAATCTAAATTAAATAGACAACTTTCTTGAAAAATGCCAATTAGCATAATTGTCATAACGAAAAATGGAAATACCAAAATGTAACAATCACTTTGAAGGAAATGGAAAATTAATAATGGCCATTTTTTTTTTTTTACTGTCTGTCAGGTACTATTGATAAAGCTTTAAATAAATTATCTTATATAATCCTTATATTGACCTTATAAGGTAATGCAACAGAATTAGAGCTTGCAGATAAGAAATTGAGGCTTAAGAAAAGTTAAGTAAACCTCCAAAGGCATAGTAAATGGCTGAACTGGAATTCAAACCTAGGCAATCTGACTCCAGAGCTTGGGCCCTTCACTGCTGCACCAAATTCCTTTATCATTAGAGTATGATCTCTGCAAAGAACAATGTAGTGTATATTTCAAGACACATAGAAGAGAAGGTTTTGAATGTTATCTTTACAAAGAAAAGATAAATGTTTAAAGTGAGGAATATGGTAATTACCCTGATCAGATTGTTTATACAACACATGCATGCATTGAAACATCACACTGCACCTGATAAATTGGTACAATTATTATGAGTCAATTATAAATAAGGAATAATTAAAATTTTTTAAAAAGCAAAAATGCTCCTGGATAAGGGTTCTAACATTTTGTAGGTAGTTCCCCCAAACTTTCAGGGAAAGAGAATTCCCCAAGCTGAGTCAGAATTTCAGAACACAGAAAAGATGGAAAGCTACCCAGTCATTTTATGAGGCTAACATGATCAGAAAAAAATATGACAATATAGCATAAGAAATTGACTCTATGAAGAGAGAGGAACACATTCCCAAGTAAAATTCTAACAAATATAATGCAGAATAGTAAAATATTAATCCACTCTGAGCACCCAGATTTTACAACAAGAATGTAAAATGGTTTAATACAATATCTACTAATATATACCACGTACAAATAGGCCTAATGGTAAAAAAAAAAAAAAAAAAAACTATATGGCAATCTTAACAGATGCTGGGAACAAGTTTTAGAAAACCCAGTACTTATTCCTGATTAAAAGTTCTAAACAAGCTAGTTATAGAATGCTATATCTTAAACCAAGAGTCAACATAATGTTTAACAACCTGTTGAGGTCCAGATCAAGTCTACAATGGTGGCTACTACTGCTCCTGGTATTTGCCATGGAAATTCTGGAAATTCTAGCATATGTGGTGAGGCATGAAATGAAAACGAGAGAGGTAACTATAGGAACGAGGGTCACTGTTGCTTGTATATTATTATTAGCTACTTAGGAAACCCAAGAAAATCTAATGAAAAACTCAGAGAGAAAGAGCTTTTAGTGAGACAGATGCCTATGGGGGAAAAAAAAACCCATAACAAATTCAAACAATAGCTTCCCCACAAATCAGTAAGAAAAATTTTTTAAAGCTGTCATTCTTTTTTTTTTTTTTTTTAAATTTCAGCTTTTATTTTAGATATGGGGGCACATGTGTAGGATTGTTAAATGGGTGTGTTGGACCCAGGTAGTGAGCACAGTACCCAGGAGGTAGTTTTTCAACCCAGGTCCCCCTCCCTCCCTCTCCCCTGTGCTCAGTGTTTAACCTCCACTTGTACGTTAGAACATGCAGTATTTGGTTTTGGGTTCCTGTGTTAATTTGCTTAGGATTATGGCCTCCAGCTCCATCCATGTTGCTCCAAAGGACATGATTCCATTCTTTTTATAGCTAAAGTTGCCATTGTTAATGACAATGAGAAAGAGATGGAACTATAAAACTTCACAGAGTGATCTAAAGGAAGAGTTGAATAAATAGATATATCAAATTCATGAATTGGAAGATTAATAGAAAGATGTCAATTCTCCCAAACATGTAGTCAAATTCTCATCAAGAGTTTTAAAATTTTAACTATTTGGATGAAAAATGACTAATAATTCTAAAGTTTTCCTGGAAAAATGGACAAGAATATCTAAAAGTATGTTTTAAGGGCATGTAATAAAGTATAATTAATCCTATTATAGTTTTTAAAAATATGGTAAAATTATAATATTTAGATCAGTATGGTAGCTATTTAAAAATATTTCTCATATATATAATATGTGTATGTGTGTATATAACATATCAATACAGTCAGCCCTTCATATCCGTGGGTTCTGAATCTGGATTCAACCAACTGCAGATGGAAAATATTTGAGAAAAAATTTTTTTTGTCTGTACTGAACATGTAGACTTTTTTGTCATTATTCCCTAAAAAATACAGTATAACAACTATTTACATAGCATTTACATTGTATTAGCTATTATAGGTAATCTAGAGATGATTTAAGTATACAGGAGGATGTAGGTTAAAAAATTTTTTTTCTCAAATATTTGCCACCTGCAGTTGGTCGAATCCAGATTCAGAACCCATGGATATGAAGGGCTGACTGTATTTGTATGTTATATACACACATACACACATTATGTATATGAGAAATATTTTTAAATAGCTACCATACTGATATAAATATTATAAAATACAGTATATATATATACACATACACATATATATGCATACACACACAGTCCTAATATATGATAAAAGAGGCATCCTATATTGCTATATTGTTTTCTCTCTCTTTTTTTTTTAAACATAGACAGGGTTTTGCTGTGTTGCCCAGGCTGGTCTCTGGTCTCAAATTCCTGGGCTCAAGTGATCCTCCTGCCTCAGCCTCCCAAAGTGCTAGCCCAGGCCTATATTGTTTTTAACAAATGAAAGTATATGTAATAAATGATGCTAGAACAAGTGGCTAGGATTAGGGAAAATAATTAAGCATGCACTGACAACATGTATCATATACCATGGATGTAACATGCTATCAGAAAGGGGAAAAAAAAAACACACAAAAAACAGAGGCTGGGTGTGGTGACTCCTGCTTGTAATCCCAGCACTTTGGAAGGACCATGTGGGAGGATCACTTGAAGCCAGGGGTTCCAGACCAGCCTGGGCAACACAATGAGACCCTGTCTCTACAAAAAAATTAGAAAATGTAGCTGCGCATGGTGGTGCGCTCCTGCAGTCCTAGCTACTTGGAAGGCTCAGGCAGGCGGATTGCTTGAGGTCAGGTTATAGTAAGTTATGAATGCACCACCACACTCCAGCCTGGGTGACAGAGTAAGACCCTGTGTCAGAAAAAACAACAAAAAAAGGCAACCTATGAAACAAAACTAGAAGAAAATATGGACATATATTTAACTAATATTTACAATTTACATGATGGACTTTCTAACCTAAAAGCAACAGAGGAAAAATAAAAAGGAAATATACAGATTTGAACATATTAAAAAATAGTCAAAATTTATTTCTGTAATATTTTTGGCATTCAGACTTAAAGAAAACTTAGGAAAGTATTTGCAATAAACACAAGAAATACAGGATCAGCATATTTGATATTTCCAAAGTCATAAAATCAATAAGAAATACATGAAGGGTTTGATAGATAAATTTGCAAAGAAAAAGAACACTCCCACTTGATGAACTACGAATGATTATTTAACTTATTGAAGTTTGTTTTCATTAGAAATCAGAGAAAGATCAATGAAAATACGATATCAAACTACCAAATTAAGAAGAATTTTAAAAACCAAGTGCTCTTTAAAGGCAATTTTATTTTCTCTCTCTTTTATTTTATATTATTTTTGGAGATGGAATCTCGCTCTGTCGCCCAGGCTGGAGTGCAATGACACGATCTCAGCTCACTGCAACTTCCGCCTCCCAGGTTCAAGCCATTCTCCTGCCTCAGCCTCCTGAATAGCTGGGAGTACAGGCCCACACTGCCATGCCCGGTTAATTTTTTGTACTTCTTAGTAGAGACGGGGTTTCACTGTGTTGCCCAGGCTGGTCTCGAACTCCTGAGCTCAGGCAATCCGCCCACCTTGGCCTCCTAAAGTGCTAGGATTACAGGCATGAGCCACCACGCCCAGCCTTTTTTCTCATTTTTTAATTAAAACAATTTTTTTTAGAGACAGGGTCTTGCTCTGTTGCCCACATGGGAGGGCAGTGTTGCAATCATGGCTCACTACAGACTTGAACCCCAGGGCTTAAGCAGGCCTCCCCCTCTCAGCCTCCAGAGTCTCTGGGATTACAGGCGTGAGCCACCATGCCCACCCAGAACCAGATGTCAACCGTGACTCTGCATGCATAGGCTGCATGATCTCTGGCAAGTTACTGACTCCATCTTCACTTTTCTAAGGTGGGGCAGGGGTAACATCTTTATTTCATAGCTATTGGGCAAATTAAATGAAATAATGTATGTGATACATTAGCAGAGTGCCTGGCACATCTTAACTGCTTGATATATGTTGGAAATTAATAATATGCTGGTGAGGATAGAAGGACAATCACAATATGCTGTGAATAGGAATGTAAATTCATAAACCTTTCTGGAAGCAAGTTGGTAATCAGAGCTTTATATTACCTATATCCTTTGATCTGGCTACATGACTTCCAAAATCTCTCTGCAGGTAATGTGAAATATAGGCTAAGATTATACACAAAGGTGTTCATTGCAGCACTATTTATGATTGTGTAAAACTGGAAACAACCTAACACCCAGCACTGGTTAGGTAAATGATGGCATATCAATCAAGAAATATTGTGCAATCCAATTCGCAATTATAAAAATGTGGAACCAACCCAAATGCCCATCAGTCAATGAATGGATAAAGAAATTATGGTGTGTATATATATATATATATATATATATACACACACACATACACACACCATATATACGGTATATATATGGTGTGTATTTATATATGGTGTGTGTGTGTGTGTATATGTATATATATGTATGTATGTATATATATATGATGGAGGAATACTACTCAGCCATAAAAAGGAATGAATTAATGGCATTCACAGCAACCTGGATGAGATTGGAGACTATTATTCTAAGTGAAGTAACTCAGTAATGGAAAACCAAACATCGTTATGTTCTCACTAATAAGTGGGAGCTAAGCTATGAGGATGCAAAGGCATAAGAATGACACAATGAACTTTGGGGGACTTAGGAGGAAAGGATGGGAAGGGGGTGAGGGATAAAATACTACAAATTGAGTGCAGTGTATACTGCTCAGGTGATGGGTGCACCAAAATCTCACAAATCACCATTAAAGACTTTACTCGTGTAACCAAACACCACCTGTTCCCCAGCAACCATTAAAAAGCTTATCAAGTAGATCTTTTAATGGCTGAAGAAACTACTTATGATATAATACAAACTGAGAAAAGCAGAGTAATAGTATATATACTATGATCTCACTTATATCAAGAAAACAGTGTATGGAAAAGCCCTAGAAGAAAAGATGCTCAAGTACTCATTGTAATTCCCTAGTCTAGGGCTCAAATATGGTTGAGACTCATTTCGTATATCATGAAATCACTTAAGTGGATTTTGGCAAGTATTTGTGATAATGAAATAGAACAGAATAGGAGATAGTAGGATTGGACAGTAAAGGATAGGATAAGACAGGAGAATGGAACAAAATAGAAGAGAACGAACATATCAGAGTGCATAAATTATAAGGGTAAGTATTGTTTCTTGAAACTTTTGTTTCAATTAATATTATATCTATATCTATATACTAGATGGTGATTTAAATGTATTTCTTACTATAGATTATGCTTAAAAGTTTAAACTGTCTTAAGATTAGGGTTGACATTTTTCATTGCTGCGTTTACTCTAACTTCCACATCTTCTATAATAACCAAGTAATAATTTGATATTTATATTGTACATAGTTACTCACGATTGAGAACTTCCTTTGCTACCAACATCAACTTTGAGCAAAGTAACATTATGTCAGGAATATCAGTTGATTACTGTCTAAGACATACTTTTGGAATTAGACTTTTATGTTAATTTCTCAATCTTTGCCCTTTGTGCAAAAGGTAATCTGCATCCAGAAAGTATAGAGAACAGAAGCAGTGGGCGGTAATACTGTGGTGTCAGCATAACTACTGTCAGTATAATGCCCTCTTCCCTTCTCTGACTTCCCTATATTTAGCTCTTGGGGAAAAATGATCACCAGTTACCAATTTTGTACTTTTTGCCTCAGGAGACTGAGGCTGAGAGCCCAAAGTCCCAAAATGTAAAGCAAAACATCTGTATTTGCTTCTATTTACAACTCACTACATGATGGTTTTATATGGTTATGAAATAAGTGCTATGGAATCTGATGCTACTGTGAAAAACCAGTACATCCATCAGAAGGCTGGGGAGGCACCTGTTGTTCTTGCAACAGCTTTACTGAGCTATAATTCATATATGAGACAATTCGCTCATTTAAAGTACATATTCAATAGTTTTTAGTATATTCACAGAGTTACACAACCATCACCCCATAAATCTTAGAACATTTTCGCCATCCCCAAAAGAAACTCCATACTCTTTAGGCACTATTCTCAATCCTTCCATCCCCCGTAGCCTCTAGCAATCACTAACCTACTTACTATCTTAGATGTGCCTATTCTGGACATTTCATACAAATGGAATAATACAGTGGGGTTTTGCTTAGTCCAAAAATGTATGAAAGACTCAAGTATTTCACAGAGGTATGAAGAGTATTGGTTTTTAAAAAAACTTACATTTTCTGGTATTCTCAGCCTCCCACTAACCAATAATGGGTGAAAGTTACTGTACGTCAGCTCTCTGTTATCTGTCCATTTGTTTATCTTTTCATAGGCAGTCCAGCGCAAACCAATCCATAAAGTAGCTTCCATATCCGGAAGCAAGGATGTAATAAAGTCTGTTAGAAAGAGATTTTTAAAAAGCATTTGATTTATTCAAATTAAAGATACATTAAAAATGTCAATGAATATATTTTGTTTATCTATCAACATAGTCTTTTATCTGTTCCATAACAAAAGAAGTTTAATAAGAATTTTTGTATGTTAATTCCCCATAGCCTCCTAAAACTAACCTGGCCCCAGATCAGAATAAAACATGTTTCCCAAATAATTCCAGTACCTTGTTCAATCTGGCTCAACACTGAAGGAAGGGTGCCACCATAGGAGTGACAGGTATCGCTTGCTTGAGAAAATGTGAGAGACACGGGTTTGATCTTTAGAAAACACTGCAAACAAAGACATATGTGAAGCATGAGATTCCAGACACAGGAACGCTCACATAGGAAGTAAAATGCTTCATCTTTTAGAGGGCTGCTAATTTTCGGTCTGTGAGATATGGTAATTTGCAATGTAGTACCATAAGAATTCAAGTTTATGCTCTCATTAATTATTTAATTTTTTAAGAGACAGAGTCTCTCTCTGTTGCACAGGCCGGAGTGCAGTGGTGCAATCATAGCTCACTGTAACCTTGAGCTTCCAGGCTCAAGCTACCTTCTCAATTGAAACAACTGAAGAGCGGTCTTCAAACTTTCATATATATATATATATATATATATATTATATCTTA
Source organism: Homo sapiens (assembly GCF_000001405.40). NCBI lineage: Eukaryota > Metazoa > Chordata > Mammalia > Primates > Hominidae > Homo > Homo sapiens. Next base: position 159,850,809 of record NC_000002.12, read on the forward strand.
TATATAAGATATATATTGTATATTATATCTTTAATATATATTTTATATTATATCTTTATATATTTAAAGATCTCTCATTTATTGAGTGCTTCCTATGTGTTAAGCAGTTTGTGTAGTATTATCTCATTTAATTCTCACAATGGAGACAGAAACTGAGGCACAGGGACATTAAATAACTTCATCCATAAGTGAAATAGCCACACAATAGTAAGGTCAGTATCTGTACTCTGTTCCACCTAATTTCAAAATCTGTGTCCTTAATCATCATCTCCTTATGTCAAGAAACACTGTTGAAAAATTCATCTCTTTCTTGGCAGGATATTTTAATTCAAATTTATATCAGCTATGCAAATTAACACAGTACTATTACCTTGAGGAATTAAAAAGATTGTCCTAATTTTAAAAAGTTAAAATGTACCCCTAGCTTTACTACAGATGCTTTCAGCTGTCAGACACATCTCTTTTTTCCCTTTTTCACATTATGATCACTTTAGTGTAGAGTGGTATGTCCCAAATTGTGTTCCTTGAAATATCTTACAAAAAAAATTTTTTTTTCAGCTTTCTTATAGACTGGAGTGGCCAATGAGCCAAGCTACCCAATGTGGACAAACTCATCGGGTAACTTCTAGAAAAGACCCTAGAGAGAACACCCTGAATTTAAGCTCGGAAGCCTTATATTAAGGATGGCAGAGCAAAACCAAAAGAAGCCTGATTTTGAAGACTTCATGGTGTTTCCACACAAACCTGCTTATCTTCAAATGTCTTTAATGTGACAGAATAAATCTTTTCTCATACTGTAGCAACCTCTTTTCAGAAGCCAAATGCATTTCCTAATACATACATATACCAACATGGATTATGCATCTCAAAGAGGCAGATACAGAATGCAGCATTTCTCAAACCTATTTAATCATAAAACCCCCATTTGGAGGCAAGATCAATGATTAACATTTTGTAGCATGTGTGTAGTCCCCAAAAAGTAGTTTGTGAAATGCTGGTCTAATTTGATTGGCAGATGCTGCTTGGATGCTCTCCTTGAGGGGAAAAAGAAAACACAAGCCAGAAATTAAGTCAGTTTCCTATAAGGCCATAGAGACAGTCCTGACTATTCAATGCATCCCAATCCCTCAACAGATCAACTTAAGCAATTTAAGTGTTAGTAGCAACAAAATAGAAATGCTGCACTTTAAAAGACCTGTAGGCATGACCAACTTGAGAGTTAATTCTTGATATCATCCACGGTTTCTGGCAACACAGAGGGCCAGGTGGGATCCTGAAACATGCAGAGTCTATTTCAGTGATGTTGTCACTAATGGGTTGCCATTCTGCCATAGGCTATAAAACCAGCATGGAAGCAATCATTGTTGCATAATGTAGCAATTCTCTTTTTACCTTATTCTGAAAAGGAATCCATTGCTCAGAACATTGCACTTTAGCTGCAGAATCTGGGCTGTATTTCTCTAACGAAGAAACATTATATTTTTCACAGATGAAGGGCAACTTGGTACTACAGTCTGTTGGTTTACCTAAGTCTGAGAAATGAAAAGCCAGGATTACTATGGTGAGAATTTTTCAGTCAGTACATTTTTATTTTGTTTTGTGTGTTTTTTTTTGTTTTTTTTTTTTTGAGACAGAGTCTCGCTCTGTTGCCCGGGGCTGGAGTGCAGTGGTGCAATGTTGGCTTACTGCATCCTCCACCTCCCAGATTCAAGTGATTCTCATACTTCAGCCTCCCAAGAAGCTGGGATTGCAGGTGCATGCTGCCACACCTGGCTAATTTTTGTATTTTTAGTAGAGACAGGGATTCACCACGTTGGCCAGGCTGGTCTCGAACTCCTTGCCTCAAGTGATTTGCCTGCCTCAGCCTCCCAAAGTGCTGGGATTACAGGCATGAGCCACCGTGCCCGGCCAAGTCAGCACATTTTAAAAGCAACCCAGTAGTAAAGAAAGGCTCTTGAAATCAATCTTTCCTAAATGCTTAAAATATATTCCCTTTCTTCTCTAGCCATTTCTGTCTTCTATGATTATTTTTATCAGTAGGTTACAGCATACCAATACTGTCTATGAAACAGCACACATTTTGTGTGACTACCATACCATCCCAGGGTGAAGGCAGGAGGTAGGAAGAGAGTTGAAGGGGCAATGTAATCAGGGGGAGGGGACTTAAACTATATTTTAGAACTGCTGCCTGCTTATCTTTGAAAATTTGCTTAGACACTTATCAGTTAGGAAAGTGGTAAGTTTATTACTAAGTAACTGCTTTAGGATAAAGGAAGTTAAAATATTCACAGTGAAAAGTACCTTTATTTGCATTGGGAATTTGAGCTATTGTTGCTAATAATAAATCAGAATAAGATGAAATTACCAAACATATAATTAAAAGGAAAACAAGATTAAGCTAGAAACTGAACCTGAACTTCACATATTACATAATCAGCATTAAAGGATTTAGAATTAACTTTACCGATAAGCCAAGTCTTGGCAGACATGTACAAGCATTCCTCTCCAAATGTCACAGGAAAGCGGTGCCATGGATATCGTGAGCTAAAAGAAAATGACAGATTTGACAACTCGTAATGTAATTAGGTGTTCCATTTTTTTCTTTTTACTGTAAGTTATTTTATTTCTAAATTTAATGTTAATACCATTACTCTATACCCCTTTTTTCTTGATGCTAACATGCAAAAGGGCTTGGTTTCTCTAATTTAGGCAGTTTATGGATTAATATTCAAACTACTTATAAATAGAAATCCATTTAGTAAAAGGAACTGCTTCTTTTAAGTGATAACTTTACAAAGGTAGAATCAATGATGTCACCTACTATGTAAAATGATCATCTATTGGCCACTCGCTAATTCTTATCCACCACTTCTGTCCATCACCAGATATCTGAAAAACAAGCCAAACATCCATCCTTATATGTGCTGAGCTTTCTTGAGGGTTTTGATTCGAATACATTGTCTTACTATAATCACTAACCACTAAAATTTCCAGACATTCCTTACTTAGATTTCAAAATTATACAAACTAGAACCTTTTGCCAAAGAGTAGTTGAAATTTCTCAGTATATTTACAGATCCTATTGTGGGTACAGGAAATATGGTAGCTGTAATTATGGGCATATATTAATTAGACTAATACTTTAAGTGGGCATACAGTATCCTATTGCAATTGATTATAAATTTAAAAATACAGAAATTATTTTTCTTCCCAAAAATTATTTTGCAAAGTTACTTATTAGTAGAAACAGAAACTCAAGTTAACTATAAAGTTGACTTTTAGTAAAAAATGTGACAGGAAATTAGAATGATCTATATTATCTACTGATGTTTACCTTATAAAGTGACATTTATTATTAATCTTGTATATTTTAAAACATAAGCAATTCTACTTAATTTTTCTAACATGAAACAAATTTGGATGCTGTGAGGCAGATTTTACATTAAAGAAAAATTTAACTTTTGTAGATTTTGGCAAAATTTTTGTAATATTTTTAAATGGAATAAATACAAAAATAAGAAATATATTTAAAATATATTCTTTTAAATTACATTTGCTATTTTGTTTTTGATGGCTTTTAGTCCCACAAAAGATGTTATAGTTGCAAGAAAGCTGTGATTGCTGGCACAGTACAGGACGGCTTCTTCATAGTTTAGGTGAAGATCAGCAACAAACCAATATTCACTTCCTTCAATTATAAGTGGAGGTCCATGAATTCCAGCACGGTCTAAAGAAGAAGAAGAAAAAGATTAGAATTATGACTATGCAAAGCAAACTGTGTCCTCTAAGCATGAGTTAATGTTCAAAACTATAAATAGTAATTCAGATTACCGGCCCTCTCTGGCTGGGGCAGTACTGACTACAAGGAACAAGAGATTCCTGAGCCAGTGACTCTGCCACTCCCCTACACTCACAGGGAAGGAAAAAGTCACCCTCATCACCTCATCCCATACCAGTCGCTCACCTTCCTTGCCTGGAGAAATTTTGTCTCACTTGAAGATGTATAGAGAAGAAGCTGGCACTTAAATAATTAACTAAATGCATTAGTGACAAGGTAAAAGCAGCTTTGGTTAAATTTCAGTTTTCTTAACTCACCTGGATTGTACCAGTCTGGTGTTTTTGGAGTACGGCCTGTATGAGGAAGAAAGCAAGTGGCATTAGTATTCCATGACAGATCAGGGTATACTATAAGTACGGCCTTTAATGTAGCTCGAAAGGACTTGCAGTATTGTTGAGTCTTGTCCATTTCTGGCCAACCCACTTCACGTTTTGATCACTTTAGTTGTATTTTGTAGGGCCGATGCTAAACCTGCTTCAGGAGAAATCCAAAAGGCAGATACGTTAAATATTAATGAAGTATTTCTAGCAGTCTTTTACCTTGTGTCACAGAGGTCACAAAAGAAGTAAGACAGATAAAATATAGCTAAGAATTAGAAAGTAAAAACAAGTAAATAATGATATTGTATGTGTTACACAGAAGCATAAGAAGTAGGAACCAAAATAACGGTCATTGAAAAGGGAAGTTATTCAGGAACCACTTCTGCATCTAATGAAACAGGTTAACTGTTCTGTAAACTTAGGTTGATAGAGTTCATTGTCTTCCAAGATATCCTTGGAAACAATGTACAATGCTCCAGTGTTGAACCTTTTGAGAAGATGAGACAAAACTGAGAGGAAAATAATTAAAAGTGACTCAGGATTCCCAGATGGAAACGGAGTAAATAATGGCATGCTACACAGAATTCCGGGTTGGAAGCTGGGCGGGTCAGTGTGCAAATGCCCTTATGCATTTTGCTGCCATGGTATTTCGGATGAGTGGCTTAACCCTCTCTGAGCCTTGATTTTCTCCTCTATGAAAACTAGATGGCTACCTGACTCACAGAGAGTGAAGGTCACGTGTGATGCCCTGGAGGAAGTGGCCAGCACAGGACCAGGCACAGGGAAGTTCCCCATGGGAGCCTATTTGCGTTCCTCCCCCTTTTCATTCTGGCCACAGATCACACTGGCTTCAAGTCAAAGACATCATTTGCTTAATCTTAGAAATTACAGAGTAAAATAGCTGGTCTTAATTTTGGTGTGGCATGTGAGCCTCAGGCAGGCATCAGAAGACCTGACTCAGAGGACTGCCTGAATAGCCAGCATCTTTAGTCTCTCTCTGAGCCAGTTCTATTCGTATTGGATAATTTCCAACAATAATGTTGCAAGTCAGTTCAAAATGTACATAGTTTCTTGTCTGTAATCTTGTCAAAGACTTCTGATTATTTGTGTGTGGGGGAGGGAAAGCTATGGCTAACCTTTAAATATCTTTAAATTAGTGAGAAAAGTAGGATGCAAGGTGTTTTTTATACAAGATTGCAAACATGTATGTGTGTACAAGGTATCAAGAAATACAATAAAAATTGCTATGTCTGGGTAATGGCATCATAGGTAATTTTCCTAAAAACACTTTTATGAGCCTTATTTTTGACACAGTTTTCTCAAAAAATAATATTTAAAAAGTACAAATATCCACTGTGGTTGAGGTAACTTCAAATTTACAGGTTGTCAAAATATCTCTTTTAGGGAAGAGAGGATTAATTAGAACCAAGTAATAAAAAGGCAAGAGCCAGAGAAGAGGCATGGTGATTTAGAATACATAAGAGGAAAACTTCTTTAAGAAAACCAGAAAATACAGATGAATACAAGTTGAGTAAACTTAGGCTGCTCTAATAACCAAGAAAATATCCAACCAGCTGAATGCATCACATCGTAACTTAGAAAGTTAGGTACAGTACGGTCAAAAAAGGGTGAACATAACATTTAAACCCTGGAGCAAGCAATCATTGATTTCTTCAAGTGATTGGGACAGGCTGAGAACAGGAGTTTAGTTTTTTATTTTATTTCTGCATGGGGATAATGGAGGTGGAATTATTTAGATTTGTTCGATTAATTGATTTATATTTTTAAGTGGGTTAATTCCTTTCTCTCTTGTTAAAAAATATATATTAAAAAAAATATATATACACCTCCACATGCCCTTCATACTATTTCCTCTGGTGGCTAATTTGCCATTTCTAAGGTTGCCCTTGTTTAAACTCTGGGGTCTGCTCCACTGCTCAAACAGGAGGTGGGGGCAGCAGCTCCCATCGAGGGCACTTTGGTTGGAACAATGACACTGTCTGTGGAATGCTAACAAATGCCAGAGAGTAATGGGAGGCTCACATTAACACTTCAAAACAGAGACATTGTCCGAATTAATTATATACAAGTTACTTTTCCACTTGTTTAAAGGATATCCAAACTGGTTTTCCTTTGTCCCTTTTTTGGGTTTAATAAAATAATCAAGAATAACTTAGGCATAATTTATCCTTTAGAAAAACCCATCAACACAACTGTCTTTCCCTTACAACTGGTTTGACAGTTTGCCTTTGTGAAAGAGATTTGCTACTACCTGATGTCACATCTGAAGCTCTTTTAACTATTTTAGGAATAACAATCTTCTAATAGGCAGTTCCATGATGTGAACTTTGGGTTCTTTGAGAACTTGTAGGAGGATATACCTTTAGTTTCAATGATCTGTTTACATTCAGTTCAGAGATTTCTTTAAAAACCTTCTATGGGTTTTCTGCTAATTAATTTCATACAGCCAATCTCTGCTTAAAAATAATTTGAGGCTGGGTGCAGTGGCTCATGCCTGTAATTCTAGCACTTTGGGAGGCTGAGGCGGGCCAATCACCTGAGGTCAGGAGTTCGAGACCAGCTTGGCCAACATGGTGAAACCCTGACTCTACTGAAAATACAAAAATTGGCTAGGTGCGGTAGTGGGTGCCTGTAGTCCCAGCTACGCCAGTGGCTGAGGCAGGAGAATCACTTGAACCTGGGAGGCAGAGGCTGCAGTGAGCCAAGATTGTGCTACTGCACTCCAGCCTGGAAGACTGAGCAAGACTGTCTTAAAAAATAATAATAATAATTTGAGAATTAAAGTCTTAACATTTTTCTTAATATTTCATGTTTTCCTGGAAAAAGTAAAGTAAAATGGTATCTACATTTCTCCCCACTCTCCCTTCTGTTATCAAAGGCTATACTATCAATCTAACTGGCTTCTCAAATTTGAATTTATATAAAGTATTAGCAGTTTTATAGTTCATTGAAAATTGCTTCTAAATTTTACAGGGACCTGCCAAATTTTTATTTCTTGACTTCTGCCTTATTCTTCCCAAGATTATCTTTATTTTTTCATTTTGCATCAAAATAAAAACGAAAATGATTCTGCATTTCTCCTTTTGCTTAAAATAATATTTCATCCAAAATCTAATCTCCCTGAATGAGCCTCACATTTTATCTTCTATGCAAATTCTTCCATGATCAAAGAGTAAGATATCACTAAATTTCAATAAGCTAGCCTTCTATTAGAAGCCGGAGTCAGGCAGGGGGTGCTCCACATATTAATTGCATCATCATCATAGGCTTTTAGACATCAGAATTATAGATCAAAATGCTCCCCTAGCTACTTTGAGCTAGGCATTCACAATGTTAACATGAGAAGGTTGTGAAAAGGAATAACTACCACTTACCTTTTGGAATTTGGCACACCCATTCAAGTTTTGTATCACAAGCAAAAGGCCTCAAATAAATAAATTCTCTATCATCATAGAAATGCCAGCCTCTTCGCCATGGCCTATGAAATACCTATAAGAGGAAAAGTATTGCAGAATATTTTGAAGTTGATACATCCCTTATGGAACACTAAACTGTAAGCCCTATGACTTTGATCTCTATTTTAGCTCTAGCACCTAAGATATTTGTTCGATAAATGAACACATGAATTAATGGAATATTTAAACAGTAATACCCTGAGCAAGAGCCCTCAAAGGGGCTAACAAAGGAAATATGTTGTAAAGTCATGTTTATGTCCAAAATGCAAATTTTCTCCCCCACACCTGACAATTTTTGTTAGAATATTTATTTCAGAGGTATCCAAGCACCAAGCTGTGATCAAATTAGATCAGAAAGCGACATAAAGGTCCAGCCTCAGTGGCTCAGGCTCCTTCTCTGGTGTTACCATGCCATTTCTAGGATTTTGCCCTTCTCCACATGGTCCAGGATGGCTCATTACAAATTCCAGTCAGCAAGTAGGATAAAAAGGATAGGGGAAGGCATTACTTGGGAGAGACATCCATCACTTCTTAGACTATTTTCTCTTAAGACCAAGTTTCTGGGGGTTCTGTGGCAGGTGAGGTAAGATTTTCCTTACAGAACACTGCCCTGGCTGGGCTTGTTCCTGATGCAGGTTGCATTAGTATCTCTTTATTTATTTGGTAGATTTTCAAATCTCTCCATACTTGGCAACTCTATTTCCCTAGAACACAGTTTATTGTACCAGTGTTCTCAACACTACTAAAAATTCCATAAGCTTCTCTGAAGTTTTCACCTTTTCCTGTGTTACATTGGGAATTCTATAAAAATGACATGTACTACACAGTTTATTACTAGAAGAGTTACTTTGAAAACAGTGCTTTCCTGTGGTTTTGTCAGTTCTTATATCCCTCAGCCTTCCTGTAACATTTCTGGTCAGCCACCTTGTTGAATCTCTTTCTTGGACTACAAATCAAAGATATTAACTGATGTCTCCTCCATCTTCATCTTTTTTCACTCTATATATTGGCAGTTCCTCCAAATCCACTTCTTGGCCCTTTTTTTAAAAATATACATTTTCCTTTCAACTCAAGACTCTTGATCTCAACTTACCATAGCATACATCTTATAGCTAGCTTGGATTCAAAATATCTGAACTAAAACATACAATTTTCTCATAAATCAATACCCTTTCTATTTCTATAAATGCCTAGTCATATAGCATAGTGGTTAAGAGTACCAGACCCAGACACACATGGGTGTAAATTTCAGTTCTTTCAGTTTAAATTTACTCCATGTAAGCTGGGGTAAATTACTCACAGCTCAAATTTCCATGTGAGATGAATACAGTAACAGTGCCTACCTCACAAGATTGCTTATGTGCTATGTGACATATGTGACATGCCTAGTATAGTGGCTGGCTCATAAAGGAGTTAATCAGTGTTAGCTGCTCCATCATCATCATCACCACCACCATGGACCATCACCATCACCATCCTTATTATTCTTTCATAATATTCTTGTTCTTGCATAAAACTTGTATTTCGCATGTCATAGTCTTTACTCAGTGGTGTTGTAATTGCTTGTTTACTTGTCTTTATTTCCTACTAGACTTTAGTTTTGTGAAGACAATGGCTATGCTTTGTACCTTGTCATTGTTCTATCACCCAGTGCCTCACTGACTCCTTGGACTGTTTATGAAATGGATACATGAATGCATTCTGCAAAGGAAGATGCCTCACTGGTCTTCTATGCCTTCCAATCTTACCTGTTGCTTTTGACATCTGTCTCAAGATGAATCTTCCTCATACCCTCCTTAGTTCATGTGACCCTCCCTACTCAGAAACTTTAAAAAATGCCCTGTTGCCTATCAAGAAGTGTAGAAATTCCTTAAAGTGGCATCAATCTGATTTCCTAATACTGTTATCAAGGACAGCACCAATGAAACTTCTTGATCTGTATTCTGTTCTCCACTGCCCTCTTCCACTTCCACCTTATTTTATACCACTTTCTCATACCATCCCCTCATGAAAAAACCTTACCCTATCCCATTTGTAGAAACTCTATCCATCCTTAAAGTCCCAGTTCAAGTCCCACCTCTTCCTGGGAAATGGCCATGGGACTCACTTTCTCCTCTGAATTTCATTAGCCTTCCTCAGCCCCCTCATTTGGAGCATATTACTGCGTGGTAATGAGAGAGGTTTTCTTGAATATGAATTTTATCCTCTCAAATGAAGTGTAAGTTAGGCTGCTGAGGGCCAGGCCATGGGTGTGCTTATCTCTCACTGCATCTAACATCATGCTTCACATAAAAAGACACTCCATGGATCTGTTACTTGACTGCATATGATGATGGACTTATGTTTTAAATATGCAGATTTTCCAGCATTGTACTGACCTTGACAGCAGCACAGTCTCTGATGTCATAATCCTGCTGAAACTCATTTGGCATGATAATAGTAGACACCTGAAAAGACAAGAGAGGCTTGAGAATTTAAGACTGATGTATAAATATTTGCAATTTAGATGTAATTTAGGCAGCCTTAATCACTCAAGTGCGTTGATATGCCACAGAAAGAAAACTTTTCCATCTCTTTTTTATATCATGATGCTAAATCATGAGAGGACTTAGCAAATGTCATAATGTCATAAGTTTCCAAACAAAGGAAGCCACAGTTTCAGAAGTGGAAGTTAATAGTGTATTAAGTTCGCCGCTGGAGTCATAGAGAATCAGGTTTGCAAAATACTTTTTTCTTTTTTTGCATGTGTTGAAATGCTCATTATTTGATTAACTAATCTCAGATATGCTCCAATTTGAAAATAAACTCAAGGAGTTTTACATTTAGAAAGAATAAAAAAGGAGGTGACATTGGAGTCACCAATTTTTGGTGACAAAAATTGGAGTAAATATTGAATATCTGAGAATAATTTTGCTCCTATAACTATTACACTAATATATCCTTATAATATAAATGTGGAATAATAGCAAGGATTTTCTAGAGGTTTCTCCAAACAAATAATTTCCTCCAATAAGGATACTTTTGGCCAGGCACAGTGACTCATGCTGGTAATCCCAGCACTTTGGGAGGCCAAGGTTGGCAGATGGCTTGAGCCCAGGAATTCGAGACCAGCCTGGGCAACATGGTGAAACCCCATCTCTACAAAAAATACAAAAATTAGCTGGATGTGGTGGCATGTGCCTGTACTTGAGAGGCTGAGACATGAGGATCAATTGAACCCAGGAGGTTGAGGCTGCAGTGAGTCATACTGGCACCACTGTATTCTAGCCTGGGTGACACAGTGAGACTCTGTCATCCCCACCTAGTCCCCCCAGAAAAAGATATTTTATTTTTTGTATAACTCTTCCATATTTAGATAATAAAAAGAAAAGCTTCTTACTATAAAAATGAAAATAAACAGTATAAAGAGAAAGCTTTGAAAACAATCACTTGTGGCCAGATGTGGCTCACACCTGTAATTCCAACACTTTGGGAGGCTAAGATGGGTAGACTGCCTGAGCTCAGGAGTTTGAGACCAGCCTGGGCAACATGGTGAAACCCTATCTCTACAAAAAAATATAAGAATTAGCTGGGCGTGGAAGGGCACGGTAGCTCACACCTGTAATCCCAGCACTTTGGGAGGCTGAGGCGGGTGGATCACAGGGTCAGGAGTTAGAGATCACCCTGGCCAATATGGTGAAACCCCATCTCTACTAAAAAATTAGTTGGGCGTGGTGGCACATGCCTGAAGTCCCAGCCACTCAGGAGGCTGAGGCAGGAGAATGGTGTGAACCCGGGAGGCGGAGCTTGCAGTGAGCAGAGATTGCACGACTGCACTCTAGCCTGGGCGACAGAGTGAGACTACGTCTCAAAAAAAAAAAAAAAAAATTAGCCGGGCGTGATGGCATGCATCTGTGGTCTCAGCTACTGGGGAGGCTAGGTGGGAAGATCGCTTGAGCCTGGGAGGTGAAGGTTGTAGTGAGTTGAGATCGCAGCACTGCACTTCACCCTGGGTGGCAGAGTAAGACCCCATTTCAAAAAGAAAAAAATCACTCATACTACCCAAAGATGACTACTATATTTATAGCTTTACAATTTTTTGACTATATATAGAGAGACTATACATATGGGTTTTTAAAAATAAAAAGAAGACTTGTAACTTGTCTTTTCCTTACTGCCTATATGAGACTCTATTTTCATTTCAATAAAGACACATAATTTTAATGGTTGTATGATACGTGAATGTATTTATTTTATTTTTTAAATTGGCAGATAAAAGTATATGCATTTATCATATACAACATGATGTTTTGAAGTATATATACATTGTGGACTGACTAAATTTAGCTAATTAACAAATGCATTATCTCACACAGTTATTTCTGTGGTGAGAACACTTAACATCTACTTTTAGCATTTTTCAAGAATATAAAATATTAACTATAACCAACTTGTTGTACAATAGATCTCTTGAACTTATTCTTCCTATCTAAATGAAATTTTGTATCCTTTGACCAACATCTCCCCAGTCCCCCACCTCATCTGCCCCAGCTCTTGGAAACCACCATTCTATTCTTTAGCTCTATGAGATCCTTTTTTTTTTTTTTTAAATTCCACATCTCAGTGATATCACGTGGCATTTGTCTTTCTGTGCCTGGCTTCTTTCATTTAACATAATGTCCTCCAGGGTCACCCATGTTGTCACAAACGGCAGGATTTCCTTCCCTTTTATGGCTGAGTAGTACTCCATTGTGTACATGTACCATACTTGCTTCATCCATTCATCTGTTGATGGACACTTAGGTTGATTTCCTATCTTGGCTACCATGAATAGTGCTGCAGTCACCCTCCGAGTATCTTAAACATTCTCATTTCACTTCCTCTGAATATATGCCCAGTAGTGGGATTGCTGTTCATGTGGTTAGTTCTATTTTTAATTTTTTGAGGGACCTTCATAGTGTTTTCAATAATGGTTGTACTAATTTACATTCCCACCAACAGTGTGCAAAAGCTCCCTCTTCTCCACATCCTTACCAACATGTATCTTTTGTCTTTTTTATAATAATCATTCTGAGAGGTGGGAGGTGATAACTTACTATGGTTTTAATGTGCATTTCCCTGATGATTAGTGATGTTGAGCATTTTTTCCTATGACTGTTGGCCATCTGTATGTCTTCTTTTGAGAAATGTCTATTCAGTCATTTGGCCATTTTAAAATCAGATTGTTTTCTTGCTATTGAGTTGTTTGAGTTCCTTATCTACAGTCATGCATTGCATAATGGCCTTTCAGTCAACCACAGATGGCCTACATGTATGTTCCTGCCTCCATATGCTTGTGTAGATAGTCTTCCTTGGAAGGCCTATCCTTCCTCCTCTTGGCCAGTGTGAATACTGGCATTCAGATCATGGCTAGAAAGAAATGTTAGCCATCCCTTGAAGATGTGTTCCCACGAGATTATATCTTTACTGTACCTTTTCTATGTTATCATTGTGTTACAAATCCCTATAGTAGTCAGTACAGTAACATGTTCAACAGGTTTGTAGCCTAGGAGCAATATAAAGCCTAGATGTGTAGCCTATGTGTGAAGTAGGCTGTACCATCTAGATTTGTTTAAGTATGTTCTATGATGTTTGCACAAAAACACTGCCTAACTAACAATGCATTTCTCAAAATGTATCCCATTGTTAAGTGATGTACGACTGTATTTTGGATATTAACCTTTAATCAGATGATAATTTGCAAATATTTTCTCTTATTCTGTGGGTTGTCTCTTCACTCTGTTGATTGTTTCCTTTATTGTGCAGAAGCTTTTTAGTCTGATGTAATCCCATTTGTCTATTTTGGTTTTTGTTGTCTGTGTTTTTGAGTTCGTATCCAAAAAAATCCTTGTCCAGACCAATGTCATGGAGCTTTCCCCCTGTGTTTTCTCCTAGTAGTTTCATAGTTTGGGGCCTACCATTTAGGGCTTTAATTCATTTGGAGTTGATTTTTGTATATGGTATGAGATAAGGGTTTAATCTCATTTTTCTGCATGTGGAAATCCAGTTTTCCTACTATCATTTATAGAAGAGACTGTCCTTTTCTCATTGTGTGCTCTTGGTATCTTTGTTGAAAACCAGTTGGCTATAAATATATGGATGTATTTTTGGCCTCTCTATTCTGTTCCGTTGGTCTAAGTGTCTGTTTTTATGCCAGTACCATGCTGTTTTGGTTACTATAGCTTTGAGGTGTATCTTCAAGCTCAGGTAGTGTGATGGCCTCCAGCTTTATTCTTTTTGCTCAAGATTTCTTTGGCTATTCAGGGTCTTTTGTGGTTCCATATAAATTTTAGGTGTCAATGTATTATTTAACAATCAACTTGTTATTGAAACAAACAGTGTTTCCATACTACCTAAAACAATAACGTTTTAACTTACTGGTGTACGATCACTCCATTGCCAGGATCCTTGTAAATCTGGGCTCCTTTTATTCAAACCAATCCACAGCCAATGCTGGCCACTATGTAAAAAGCAAGTGTTAAAAATACAGGACAATGCTTGGCAAAAATATTTAGCACTCACATGTCTAATGTGCATCACTAATTGAAAAGCACAGTTTCAAGCAACATAAAGAAGTCTTTTGAAATGAAACTAAGCCCTTAATGTGGGGTAGTTACAGAAAAAGTACCATACTTTTAAAACTACATATTAAGCTGTTTTCTTCATATGAAAGGCAAAAACCATTCTACTTTGAATTTTAAGAGGAAAAAAATGGAAATTATTCCAAGACTTTTACTGTAGTGCTTGAATATTAAACAATACTTTCAGATACAGTCAAAGGCAACAATGGCATTTCTTTAAAGTGTTTGTCTATAACACTATCAAATATTCTTCTTTAAAATGCAGAACTATTTGGCTAAATTTTTGTTAAACAATATTTGAAACATAGTTGAGTTCCTACTATCCACTAAGTTTAAACAAGCATTTGAGTATTGCCTATGTGCCAAAGAAATATACCAGAAAAATAAATTAAGCAATAATTTAAGTGATTATACTTATCACCTATAAGTATTATACTTTTATGTAAAAGGCATTGAGCTAGGTGCAATGATGACACAGAGAAGTATAAGACCTACATCTACCCTGAAATGTAATATGAAATAGAGAGATAAGATATATATGAACAAAAAAGTAAAGACCATTTATGAAAGCTATCAAATGAGTTATATACATTTTAGGTGACACAAAAGTTCAGAGAAAGGAGAGGTCACTGCGGACTGCAGAAAATGAAGAAAGACTTTGTGAGGTTGGTAGGACAAAAGATATTCTTCAAGGGATGGCTAACATTTCTTTCTAGTCATGATCTGAATGCCAGTATTCAGATTGGCCAAGAGGAAGAAGGGTAGGCCTTCCAAGGAAGACTATCTACACAAGCAATATGGAGGCAGGAACATATGTCTAAGTAATCCTTTCCCCTCAAATACATTTATGCTCTGGCCAGGGATAAATATCCAGCATAAGTAGATGTAATATAAGCACAGAAAATTTTCTCTGCCTCTAACTCCATTTGAAAATGTTTTCTAAAATTTATTACACTTTTAGGCGACCAATAATATTCCACATAATTTAACCTTTTGTTGGTACATGGTATGTATGATCAGTACATATGTGTGTATACATATATATAAATGTAATATGCCTGTAAGTGTAATACAGATACATTTTAGAGAAGGGGTAGATTCCAAATCTAAAAACAATGCATACTCTCAAGTTCAGCAGAATATATGGAACATATAGCTACAAGTCTACAGAGAAATATAAGTGCATTTTAATAAAATGTACTAGTGAATCAAAGGCTGAAACAAAGAATTTTAAACTGATTTCTTATTTTTTAATAAATAATTGCTTTTCTTTATTTCTTACCTTTGTTCAACATTCCCTCATATTTTAACAACAATAAGTACTTTTTCATCTTTTCAACCTCAAGGCTTTTGGACTTAATGCAATGGAATATGAATGAGGACTGTCCTGTTTTGGTTTTTATTGTTATCTTGTTTTCTTTCATAGAGACAGATCCACCAATTTGTGGACCTAAGATATATCCAGTGGAGACAATTAAATCCAGTTTAAATTTAGTAGCTACAAGAGGAATTTGCAGTTTATGCCTTCAGCTCATCGGAGCTCTCTTACAGGCTTCCGAGTGTATCATACTGCCCGAGTGCTGGATTTCTAAACCACAGGGTCTAGACAATTGGCATACACAGCACAATTAAAGCCAGACGGCTAAAATAGAGAGGCAGTTAAGTTTTCTTCCTCATATTTACTTGGGGAAATAACTGCATTTCTCCCAAATCTTTGCACATTATATATTTGGGCCTGGGGAATTCGTGTAGAATTTTGTGTTTCCCTAAAGTAAGCATTAGCTATTTTATCTTCTTTACACAATCCACAATACAACCAGGAAGACGATCAAAGATCATTTGTCACCTGCATTGTAGAGGCTCCCACTGGTAGCCTTTTTAGAGGTTCATCCTCAACTTTCTAGGCTCCTCAAGCCCTTACCCAGTCTTCTCTCAGCTAATAGCTCCCCTTCCTTCCACTTAGAAACATCTCTGCTTTCAAGCCCATTTCTGGCTCCTTTGCTGCACCTCAGAGGACAGCTTCCTACAGAAAAGAGTTTGCTCGATTGTCCAAAATTTCTAATCTCCACTACTTTCTGAAACTGTATTTCAGAAATGTTTCATTTGAACACAGAAATTTACAGATTGAAAAAAGTTTCATTTGAACACAGAAATTTACAGATTTCAGCTTCATTTTAAAGAACTCACTAGCATGTCATAAATACAGAAAATAATAGCGACATGTATGTATTTTTTTTGTGCGGGATCAGAAGTGGAAAATATTTCCTCAATTGTAACTCATTCCTGGTTTGGCCTAGTTTAGCTGTAGGCAGATAAAGGGAAGAAGAAATTGGATATCACATTGATCATTGCACACTTCCAATGTTGATTTTAGAAAATGTGAAGGAAAAAATTGCACCTGATCATAACTGGGGAATCAAGTCAAACTGAGATTCCCTCTCTCTCTTTATAAGTTCCTGGTACTCCAAGCACTAAGTATATGGTTTTAAAACTATTGGGTTAAGAAGAGATAGCGTAAAAGGTTAATATGTGTAATTGTGTTAAAATTCCTATTCTCAATCAAATTTCCTGCTGCATTTGGTTGCTAAGGAAAACAGTATCTCAGCCATAAGCCCCAATAAATACTATTTGATGAGGGTGCTTATTCTACAAAGCCTTAGATTTATGTCTAAATCCATTCTTGCCACATCACAGGGGGTAGTGTACACAGCAGCAATGGCATTGCAAACAAGGCTTTCTTCTCTAATCCTATGGCTATTTTTGCCCTACAGTGGCTGTCCCTGTTGGGCTGCCATTAAGAGTTGCAAAGATCTCAGAGCCTTAATGATTTGGTGCACCATGAATCCTTTTCACTGAAATACAAATAGAGATGTGGAACTTAGATTGTGAGAGGTACAGCAGTAATCTGACTTAACTCCTTGGCATGCAATACACAATTTGGGCAATGGATATCTTGCTGAGAAAGGTCAATTCCTGCAATAAAAAGCCAAGGCATTCAAGGAGTATGCTTTAGAATCATTTTCTAATATAAATGGGTTTGCTTCCTTCTTTCCTTTAAGCCATGGTTACAATTTTGGTTTTAGAATATGTTCTCTAAGCACAGCACAGGCAAACAATTTCTTTATTATGGAGAAGTTATTAAGCAAACAAAGCAGTCTGCTTACCATGGCATTGTGTTAACTGCTAGGATCAGAGTACAAATAAAATACAGTTCCTATAAGTGAAGGGATTAAGGAGATTTGTTTTTTCTCTGTGCTGTTCTGTTTTCTAAATTCAATGTGCATTACTTTTATGATTAGAAAAAAATTAAACATAGTACATTCTATGGAAAATAGGTTTTGTAAAAGCTAAATGTGTAGAGATGTAAGTAAACAGAAAGGGTTTACACTAAGGGTTTACTATGTTTATAATCAGGAGCTAGGATTTGAGGTGATTGTTTGCTTCATTACTCATTTTTATATTTTCCAAATTTTATATAATGAACTTGTATTAATTTTTTAAAGAAGGGAGTGCTCAACAAGTGTGATTCAAAACAAAGAAACAAATCATAAAAATTTCCTTTCATGTTTTGTTTCCTAGTGTAATTCGTTCTGTATATGGATGCTCTTAATGGTCATTTCTATCACATATGATATTCCAATGTTTTCTACTTATTGTTTCTCACAAATATCTACAACCTCATTCATTAGTACTTATCCATGGCTCCTCGTTCCAGTTAGAGTTACTAACCTCTTGCTTGGAATCTAGAGCTTATGTCAGCATTTTACTTAAAAATACTTTATCTGGATAATATGATATTGTGTGTGTCAAGCTTGAAATCTAAGGGCCATTAAGTTGCCCTGCTTGAAACTTACATGTCAGGAAGTATTGGTGGTGTATTTGAAAGGCCATGCCCCACACATATACACCATGGAATACTATGCAGCCATAAAAAAGGATGAGTTCATGTCCTTTGTAGGGACACGGATGAAGCTGGAAACCATCATTCTGAGCAAACTATCGCAAGGACAGAAAACCAAACACCGCATGTTCTCACTCACAGGTGGGAATTGAACAATGAGAACACTTGGACACAGGGCGGGGAACATCACACACCGGGACCTGTTGTGGGGCAGAGTGATGGGGGAGGGATAGCATTAGGAGAAATACCTAATGTAAATGACGAGCTAATGGGTGCAGCAAACCAACATGGCACATGTATACATACGTAACAAACCAGCATGTTGTGCACATGTACCCTAGAACTTAAAGTATAATAATAAAAAAAAAAAAGAAAAAGAAAGGCCATGGTCCAGAGGTGGCCACCATGAGGACTTCCATGATCACCAAAGTCACACTGGAGGCTTTGGTCATGAGCAGAATGAATGTGAGAACTGGGTTAATGTCAGTGAAATCGGAAGCTTGTTCATCAGCATGATGGTAGGATTGGGCTCTCACTGGTGAAATATAAGTTATTTGAGATGCAGGGATTAGCTAAAATATTTAGAGAAACTCTCACACTTCTCAAGAGTGTATTAGAATCTTGCGAGGCCGCAGCCTGTATCTTAGTAGGGCTTGATTCGAAACAACCCCACATCCAGTCATTGGGTCAGGTGATTGTGATGGCCTGATACTCACTACAATGGGAACAGAATGCTGCCACAGAACACTGCCACATCTGCTTCAAGTAAATCTGTGCAAGGTGATAGTTAAAACACCAAAAAGGACAGATTGCTGGAATGTTGTCAAGCTTACAAAACACGTTGTATAAAATGTTTTGTGTCTGCTTCAATGAATGTTTGCATAGCAAATGTCTGTATGTGTGGAAAATTTTGGTCTGAATTTTGCATTTGTTATAATCTATTCTCAAGGTTGAGGGAATAGCTAACACTCACCTCACAAAGAACCCAAGAGTTAGTATTTAGTATATACAAATTGCCTTGGGTCAGTCTGCAGTGAAATTTTGTATATTAATTTCTAACACTGGACAATGATGTCTAGAATACCTGAGATTCTACGATAGATGCTTAATAAATAAATATTTATGGAACACAGGTATCATATTTTGCATTAGATTCCCAGTACACTGTAGTGAAACTACATTCTCTAATGAGAAAAACACAGCAGAAGCTATATTAGAGCAAATCTGGGCCAGGCACTGTGGCTCACATCTGTGATCCCAGCACCTTGGGAGGCCAAGGAAGGTGAATCGCTTGAGCCAGGAATCTGAGATTAGCCTGGGCAACATGGAAAAACCCGTTTCTACAAAAAAATACAAACATTAGCTGGGTGTGGTGGCATGTGATTGTAGTCCCAGCTACTTGGGAGGCTGAAGTGGGGGGATTACCTGAGTCTGGGAGGTTGAGGCTGCAGTGAGCTGTAATCATGCCACTGTACCTCAGCCTGAGTGACAAAACAAGACTGTCTCAAAAAACAAAACAAAAAGCAAATCTGGAAAATATAGAAATTTTCAAAGAAAACATTCTATTCATTTATTTTTTACAGACAGCATCTCACTCTGTTGCCCAAGCTGGAGTGCAGTGGCACTATCTTGTCTCACTGTATCCTTGAACTCCTGGGCTCAAGTGATCCTCCTGACTCAGCCTCCTGAGTAACCAGGACTACAGGTGTGTGCCACCATGCCCAGCTAATTCTTTTTTTTTTTTTTTTAAATAGAGATAGGGTCTCCCTATGCTACCCAGGCTGGTCTCGAACTCCTGGTTTCAAGCAATCCTCTCACCTCAGGCCCCCAAAGTGCTGGGATTACAGGCATAAGCCACCACACCCAGCCCATAGAAAAGACTTTAAAAATCACTCAAAATCTTACTTCCTAGAGATATAATAGCCATTACCCTTTTTGCAGTCTAGTTTTAAATGTAAATAGTATATTTTTTACTCTTTGATAATCTGTCTTTTCCTCTGCTTAATATATATAAACATTTACACATTATAGTATTGTTTTTATCTTAATGTGCAGGAGTTGAATTTCAAACCAAGATTAACAATAGTGATGATATAGGGATACTTACCTTTTTCTGACTTTCAGGGAAATGCACTTAACAATGCTTCATCATTAAGTGTGATATGGCTATTAATTTGAGCTATTCTTCTATTCAAATAAGAATTTACATATTAGTTATATTTACTAAATATAAGTGTATATTTATGTATTAAACCAGGAATGAATAGTGGATTTTACCCAATGCATTTTCAGTACCTATTAAGATGATCACATGACTTGTGATTATTAACTCAATTGCTATTTGAGTAAATATAAGACAAGCACATAACATAAGCAAGTGAAGTGGGGTCAAGAAGTAATAAATTAGAGACCTGGCAAATTGGAGAGTCAGGCCCCATTTCAGGAGGCCACCAGCTACTCAGCACTAACTTTTATCTGTTGCACAATGAAAATGTTGCTAGTTGCTTTAATTTTTAAAATTAAAAAATTTAAAAAATTTTTAAATTTTTAAGGATTTTTATTAGAATTTCACAATTTTGTAGTATTTTGTGGCCCCTTCCTCCCAGGAAAAGAACATTATAGTCTTAGAGCTGGATAAGTACTAATTGGCAAGCTTTGTTTTAAGTCTCTTTCAAAAGTGCAGAATTGGACTTTATTATTATTGAACAAATTTGCAGACTCACACTTAATCAAAACTGATAATGGGCTGGGTGTGGTGGCTAATGCCTGTAATCCCAGTACTTTGGGAGGCTGAGGTGGGCAGATCACCTGAGGTCAGAAGTTCGAGACCAGCCTGGCCAACCCCTTCCTCTCTGTGTATATATGTATATATGCAGGTATATGTGAGTGTGTGTAGATATAAATACACACACACGCACCTTGTTTTTGTTTTTTGTTTGGTTGTGTTTAATTACTTAAGATCAAACTCCTTCCCTTGCAAACAAGGACATTCCAATTTCATATCCAAATTCCATTTTCTAGCTAATTTGTATGACTCATTTCTCCTTGACCATATCTGTATATTCTGGTCTTAGTTCCTTTGCTTATGTTCTGTTTTTTTTCTGGCTCCTTCTCCTTCTCCTATCTTGCCTTTTGAAATAATACCTACCTTCCAAGAATCAGCCTTCTTTATGACATTTTTCCTGATTATACTCCCAGAAACACTCCCTCCCTCCTCTGAATTCCCAAGGCCCTTCCTTGCCTATATTCTAGATTTTCTGCCATACATTGCTGTTGGACTTTATTAAACAAAGGGTAGGGAATACATCTCATTCATTTTTAGATTCCTCATAGTGTCTGCACATTAAGAGTGCTTAATGTTCCATGACTGCTAAGCACCAAATGACCTTTTAGATAATAAAACATGTCCATTTTTTTTCCAACAGAGAGTGAGGGTAAGAACATGTCAATTTTGAATATCTAGAGGACATCAAATTCAGCATAGAAATTCTCATTCTTAAAGTATTACCTGAACTGGTCCGTTAAAAAGTGAAGAAATTCCTTTATTTCATCCACATGGCTGAAGCTAGAAAGGTGTGCTCCAAGGGCTTGGCAGAATCGTTCAGCTTCTTCCCAGTTCCTCTTTCTTACAATTCTTTCTGCATGGAATACCTTAGCAAAATATAATATTAATTTGTTTTATGGTATTATCATAAAGTATTTCATAGTGCTAAAGTCAATTACTGTCACATGTGTGGGCCCCTGAAATGAATTCTTAAAGGTGTAGTGAAGGCATAGGTAAATGCACATATACTGAGACACAGACAGGTCCTGCTGAAAGTGTCAATTCAACTAAAGGCCAGCACAGATGCCAGTCCTTGTGGTCAGATGGATGGCCTTCCTCAGCCAGGCTGGGGAACTATTCCAACAAGATCCACGTTCTCCTGTATTCCTAGGACCTTGAAAGATAAAATGAACCAGGAGGCAAGGCTGTAAAGGATACATATAAATGCTTTGGGAGTAGCCTTTGGCAAAGAAATGTGCTAACAATAGAAATTTCGAATATAAGACACAGTGACCCACACAAAAATAGCACTATTTTCTGACGAGGAACAACCAAAGAGCAGTCTGCACTGGTGTGTGAATATTGACAGAAAGTGGCAAAAGTAAACCTGGAACTTGGGCTGTTTCAAAAGAAGAAGAAAGGAGAAAAAGAAAGAAGAAGAAAGAAGAAAGAAGAAAGAAGAAAAAGAGGAGGAGGAGGAGGCAGAGGAGGAAGAAGAGATGATGACACAATGACAGGATGAATTATATTTGTCCCAATTCTTCAGTTCCTTGTAATATAATTAGATGGTCTTGCCACAGCCCCCTGGTGGGCGGAGTATACGTCTTTGTACCTTGGCATGGGGCTTGGCCATATGACTTACTGTGTTGATGGGATATTAGTGAAGGTAAACTGAGCAGAGGCCTGAAATGTGCTTATATGGTTGGCTTGCCTTCTTGGGCTCCAGTGATATACCATGAGAACAACAAACCCCTGTGAGCTGTTGCCCTTTTAGCCTGAGCTCTAGAAGGAAGGGCTGGAGCCCAGCACAGCTGACCTGAAGTTGGGAGCAGAGGTCACCATTCAAGCCCAAACTAGATCAGTCAAACTCTAGCTGGCCTGAAGATCTGTGAGAATGTGAGGCTAAATGTTTGTTGTCATAGCCACCGAATTTTGGGATGGCATCTAGTGGTTTGTTTATGGAACTAGCTGACTGATGCAGACCAAATATATATATAAATATATATACATATAATAAAAATACACATAAATATATACATTTTGTAAAAATATACATAAATATATACATTTTGTAAAAATATACATAAATATATACATATAGTAAAAATACATATAAACGTATATATTTTGTAAAAATACATATAAACGTATATATTTTGTAAAAATACATATAAACGTATATATTTTGTAAAAATACATATAAACGTATATATTTTGTAAAAATACATATAAACGTATATATTTTGTAAAAATACATATAAACGTATATATTTTGTAAAAATACATATAAACGTATATATTTTGTAAAAATACATATAAACGTATATATTTTGTAAAAATACATATAAACGTATATATTTTGTAAAAATATATAAACGTATATATTTTGTAAATATATAAACGTATATATATTTTGTAAATATATAAACGTATATATATTTTGTAAATATATATAAACGTATATATATTGTAAATATATATAAATATATTGTAAATATATATAGTAAATATATATAAATATATTGTAAATATATATATTGTAAATATATATATTGTAAATATATATAAATATATTGTAAATATATGTTTTGTAAATATATAAATATATATATGTTTTGTAAATCTATATAAATATATACATATTTTGTAAATCTATATAAATATATACATATTTTGTAAATCTATATAAATATATACATATTTTGTAAATCTATATAAATATATACATATTTTGTAAATCTATATAAATATATACATATTTTGTAAATCTATATAAATATGTACATATTTTGTAAATCTATATAAATATGTACATATTTTGTAAATCTATATAAATATGTACATATTTTGTAAATCTATATAAATATGTACATATTTTGTAAATATATATAAATATATATATTTTGTAAATATATATATAGTAAATATATGTAAATATATATATTTTGTAAATATATATATATTTTGTAAATATATGTAAATATATATATTTTGTAAATATATGTAAATATATATATTTTGTAAATATATGTAAATATATATATTTTGTAAATATATGTAAATATATATATTTTGTAAATATATGTAAATATATATATTTTGTAAATTTATGTAAATATATATATTTTGTAAATATATGTAAATATATATATATTTTGTAAATATATATACATATATATTTTGTAAATATATAAACATATATATTTTATAAATATATTTATAAATATATATATTGTAAATATATTTATAAATATATTTATAATATATATA
The DNA here is from genome assembly GCF_000001405.40 of Homo sapiens. Taxonomy (NCBI): domain Eukaryota; kingdom Metazoa; phylum Chordata; class Mammalia; order Primates; family Hominidae; genus Homo; species Homo sapiens. The sequence goes on from NC_000002.12 coordinate 159,874,977, forward strand.
TTGTAAATATGTTTATAAATATATATATTGTATATATAAATATATATATTTGTATATATACACACAAATATATATATGTTTGTAAAAGTGTAAATATATATACACTTTTTTTACATTATTAGGAGTGCTGGAGCTGTTAATTTGACAACAAGAATTAGAGGAATATGAGGATCATAGGCATAGTGGCAGTATGGCATATAGTACACCAACTTACTGGGAAAAAAAGACCTTGGGGTGGAGCCACTTCTGGCTTTGGGCCTGCCCTTTCAGGTAGGACACGTGCAGGGTGTGGGGCTGAGGCACCTCACACCAGAGGTTCAGCGATGCCCTGCCAAGGACTCTGTGCTCCAGAGCACTTTAGTTAGGTTACATAGTACTATGGAGAAGAGCATAATTTGTACAAGGACATGAACAAGGGTAGTGGAAAAATAACTTCATTGAAGGATAGAATGAGAATGTCACTTTACCTTATAACAAGAAAGACTTGCGGGGAAACTCTGCCAGCCTTCAGGACAGGGGTCATCAGGCTTAGGGGATGCTTCTTCAGGCCCAAGGGGTCCACTCATTTTCTTGCAAATTGAAAGTGCTTTGAAGCTTCTGCAGTCCTTCACCTCCCACTTTCCAACAGACTTTCCAGTAGACATAGCCACGCAGCCGCCCGGGGAAGCTGGGATTGAAGTGGAAAGCTCAATTAAAAATTAAAACGTTAAAGTTCAAACATTTTCTAGTGTTTCTACTCTTTACTTCAGCCAAGTTGGGGAGAGAGAATAAAAAAAAAATGGAACAAAGAGAGGAAAGAAATATGTTGTTCAGAATAATAATGACAGGTGTTTATTATTTGTAAAGTACTTTTTGAAAAAGATTAATCCTCATAACAAACCTATGGGGGGATTCTATTGTCATAATTTGAGGTACAGTGAGAATGAAGTGACTTGTTCAAGGTCATAGAATTAGTAAGTGGTTGCCCCAGGATTTGTGCCCAGGTGGTCTGTTTCTAGAGCTGTACCCTAAATACTACTGCTGCTTAGGATAGTGGTTCAAATTAGCTTAAAAACTTTGAGCAGTTTTTAAGAAACTTAGTTAACCTCAAAACACAACTCTCCCAGATTCTGATCCAAAGGAAAAGCTGGTACAATAAAGGTAGAAGGAGGTATGTGGTAACATACATTTGTTTACCGTTAATTTTATGACAGTCATAATTTTATGTATTCATAACAGTATTAAAAGGTAGTTTGAATTATCAGTTCCATTTTGTAAATGAAGACTAAGTAACTTGCCCACAGTCAGAGTTAGTGAATGGTAGAGTTGGGGTTGAAACCAGATTTGTCTGACAAAACATCATGTTCCATTTTCCATTACATCACACTGCCTGAAGCAGGTAAAAGACAAGAAGAGTTACATATACTGAAAAGTAATAGGACAACTTCTATCCCACCAAACAGAGAAGCCACATAGTCTCATATACACAAACAGCAAGAGGAATAAGAAACTGGGAAAAATAATTGCCTTGCTACCCTGAATGGGTGTGCTATTTTTCCCTGTTCAGTCCTTCTATCCACGGTGTGCCCATGATAGACCAAGTTGGCTGAGGATGGGTGCAATAATGGTAAAGAGAGCTTCACATAGCCTTTCTGGTCATAGAATGGAGGAAGTAGTCATGGTAGCTACTTCCCAAGCACCTCTCCAACCACCAAGACTTAGTTATCAAGAACGTCACCTTTACTCTTAGTGTCTATAAAACAAATCTGGCCAGGCACGGTGGCTCACGCCTGTAATCCCAGCACTTTCGGAGGCTGAGGTGGGTAGATCACCTGAGGTCAGGAGTTCGAGACCAGCCTGGCCAAAATGGTGAAACTCCGTCTCTACTAAAAATACAAAAAAAATTAGCTGGGCATGGTGGCAGGTGCCTGTAATCCCAGCTACTTGGGAGGCTGAGGCAGGAGAATTGTTTGTACACGGGAGGCAGAGGTTACAGTGAGCCGAGATCGAGCCATTGCACTCCAGCCTGGGCAAGAGGAGCGAAACTCCATCTCAAAAAAAAAAAAAAAAAAAAAAAAAGAAAAAAGAAAAAGAAAAAAAGAAATCTATGTGCTTTATCCATTAGAGTGTTCTTAATCTGAGATTTAACCAGGATCAACATCTGTATACTCTATCTTTTTCAGACATAAAAGGATGACTTTGTTACTAGCAACATCACTCATGTTGATGGTGATGACCATGTGTCCTAACTTTTGTGGGCATTTTCTATTTCAAATAACATGTTCAATTGTAAGCTCATATTTTCCAATCTCTGTGTTATAAAAAATAGTCTTCATGATCACATTAGACCAACACAATAAAATATAAATAATTCACAGGGTGAAAAGTAGAATGCTTTATACTGCTGTCTTATTCAAAGCCACTGGCTTAAAAATCAGGAACTCTGGATTTCATTAATTCAATAACCAGATGATCTTTGTCAAGTAAATCACCTTTTAAAGTCTCTGTTTTCTTAACTCTAAAAGTATTTCTGAGGTCCTTTCCGGCTTAAGTGTTCTGATTCTATGGCAAATTATGGTCAATGCTTTAGGCTGGTTGGAGAAAGAGGAAATAACTTTCAAAATAAATAAGAAGCCAGGCACAGTGGCTCACACCTGTAATCCCAGCACTTTGGGAGGCTGAGGCAGATGGATTACTTGGGGTCAGGAGATCGAGACCAGCCTGGCCAACATGTTAAAACCCCATCTCTACAGAAATACAAAAAGTAGCTGGGCATGTTGGCATGCACCTGTAATCCCAGCTACTTGGGAGGCTGAGGCAGAAGAATCACTTGAACCTGGGAGGCAGAGGTTGCAGTGAGCCGAGATCACACCACTGCATTCCAGCCTGGGCAACAGAGTGAGACCCCATCTCAAAACAAAAACAAAAACAAAAACAAAATAAATAATACAAGATAGCCTCCATAATTCTTACCCATTGAGAATAATGGAAGAAAACACATTCAGTTTTGAAAATAGGTTAAGAAGCAGAGAGATGAAAATGTAAAGAGCCTCACACGGGAGCTTCTAGATTCTATTTGAGATTTACATGGAAAAGATTTTAAAAACTCACACTGGTGCTTCTAGCTCTGAGCCATTAGATGGTGGTTTGGGAGAACTAAGTTTTTGAATTTCTTTCATTGGATTATTCCCAAGGACATAATAGGGAAGACATAGCCACTGCTTCTATTTATGGTTCCATAGATAGACTCCAATCCTGAAGATCATCATGTCCCTCACATTTCAAAAGTAAGTGAGGAACATCTTTGGGAGGAGTGCTGCCTTTCACTAGTCACAGTATACTACTACTTCAAAGATTAAGACACTCACCTGGCTCAAGAAAATTCCAGTTGGAAAAGGTTACAGCCCGCCTTCTTCCACCAACAGTTGCCCAGTTATACTCTCCACAAGAATCTACATCTCTCAGGCCAGTCCAGAAGTATTTTCTTAGAGATTTATCATACTTTTTCATCAAATCATTTAGGTATTCTTGCTCAAATCTACAAAAGGAGAATCAAATTGGCAAGTGTTTCACAATGATTGACTCTATTTGAAGATGCACCTTTTACTTAGGAAGACTGTTTGGCAAAAGAATTCAGAGTTGAAAGTTTATGAGTACAAGTTTACTGATGGTCACACCTGCTAGTGATAGTCAGATTGCAGTTTGTTCCAAAAGGGACCTCATCCTCATAAATCTTGTAACAGGTTTCTCCATGTCTCTTCCAGCCCTAAGTCAGAGGAAAAATATTGTCAAACTCTTTTCCAGACTTGATGGTGTCCCGTCTGGCAAGCATGTTTCTGCTACATTGATAACGTCTTAGAACTTGTGGAAATTGAGGACATGGCTATTGAAATCATACATGTGATGAGGGTGGGATGCAATTTCACAGATAACCTCCACAAGACTGTGGGCCTGTGTCAGACAAAAAGTATGGGTTACTTCTCATATGGGTGGCTGGCTCATCATAAGAGTATAATATTCACTGGATGAATTATTTTTGAATATTGATATTAGTGGGGGAAGTAAAGACATCAGCCTTGAGGATAGTAATTCTACAAATATTTATAGAAATTTTCAAGTTTCTGCTTCTGTAAGAAGGCCAATATGCTATGACTCACTGCCTTCTGGCTTGTTCTAACTTAAATGAACAGAAGCTAGTAGTTTCCTCTATTTTATAAGTCTGAGTTATTTAAGTCTCAGCTACCATTTCTAACCAAGAAGTTGTAATACTGCTTGAGAAAATTTACATAGGGATTTTACCTACCTCATCTGGAGGACACATCTTATCAGAACTTGCGTCATTCAGTTTTTCTCCCTTTCTCTTGCATACATATTTTAGTTTCTCCTCACATGATTGGACTTTCCACTGACCTAGCTTTGAAAGGAGACAAAAACATTTGCTTGGAAAGGAAATTATTTACCGCATATTCAGAACTGAACTCACAAAAACTATGACAGAGACAGAGAGAGAGAAATGAATATAAGTGAATTATCAAATGTGAGAACACACTCCTAGAAAATGCTACTCAACAGGCCTGCAAAGTGATGGCTCACAGCCAGTTACCTCAGCATCACCTCCAGGTCACAGTGTGGATAAATTTCATTTTCTTATAAGAGTAGCAATAAAACCATCAAAGCACACTTAGTATAAAAGTTGAAGAGAGAAGAACTCAGCCCACAGTTCCAGCATTCTAGTCTTCTAGACTAGAATGGCATAGCCAAAGTTTGAAACTTTTAGGTACATCATCAACCTCCCTTTCTCGGTTTCCTCACGTGTAAAATGATGATGGTGGCTAAAATAGCTATTCTCCATGAATTCTAGGTCAAAAGTTTCTTTCAACTCTACTTCAATCTGGACTTCAAAATTCTCTCTTTCATATATGCTACTTAACATTAATTTGCTTAATTGACTACGTCACTTTGCTTTGTTTGAATTAAATTCTAATAAGTCGATTGTGATAAGGGTCAGTTTTGAACATTGGAATGCTGTCTAGGTATGCCATCAATTCACTCTTGCCCATGGGAACACTTTTCCATTTCTGATGTTCTTCTAAAGACATGTTGGATGTCCTTTTAAATAGAGCATCAAATGTGACACCTTTCTAAACTTCTTTTAAATACACATAATATTTATTGCTTCCACTTAAGTCTCTTTAGATGTCTGAGTGACACAGTCACTTTCATAACCAATTAGGGGTCCACAGGAAAGTGATACAAACAAAACGTAGAGGTACATATATCTTTTCTGCTCAAGACACAGCCTATTTTGGATTATTAAGTAAAAGATGTTCAAAAAATGTTTAAGCATTCTATAGGAGTAAGGTGGTTTCTGAAAAATGTTAGGCCTAGTTTTTAAATAAAACCATTTTTTTACTTCTCAAAGTAGTATCGATATAAAACAATCTGAACATGAATTTGGAAGATGGGATTTTTCAGGTTAAATTGTGGCTATCTGCCGAATATCACACTGATGGCAGAAAGGTGGGTGCAGGCCCTGGTCCTGAGAGAAAGCAGGTTGCTAGAATCAGTCAGCACAAGAATGTGAGTTCTAAAGGGATTCTCTGTATCTGTTTGAGACCAGAAAAGATGCTCTCAGATAGGATATGGGTTGCTTATTTAGTAATTGCTTTTATTTACCTTTTTAAAGTAGCTACCAGAAAGACAGTCTAGACTTTAGATTATTTGTTGCCAACCTTTGACACCAGGGACCAGTTTTGTGGAAGACAATTTTTTCCACAGAGGGTGGGGAAGAGGATAGTTTTGGGATGAAACTGTTCCACAAGGAAGTGCAACCTAGATCCCTTGCATGTGCAGTTCATAATAGGGTTCACCCTCCTAGGAGAATCTAATGCTGCTGCCAATCTGACAGGAGGCGGAGTTCAGGCAGTAATGCTTGCTTACCCGCCGCTCACCTCCTGCTGTGCGGCCCAATTCTTAACAGGTAATGGTCCGTGGCTCTGTACCCTGATCCAGAGTGCTCTTACCTTTTATTTTCCAGCTTATACGCAAACTTCCCAACCAAAGAAGTCTTAATATTATCATTAGGTAAAACAGGAAGAATATAAAGAAACCACAGGAGGTTTCGTACCTCTCCTAAGTAGGAAACACAGTTGGGCGTCTTATTGTAGGGAACATTTGGCTCATTCTCATCCCAATATGTTAGAGTAACTTCAGTACCATCTGACCACTGAAATAAAGTTGGTATGTTTATGTTCTTAAGGCCTATCCACACTTCTTCTTTGATATCTAAAAGAAAAATGTATTATTTGTTTGGTTTTGCTCAATTAAATACTGTAATATGTACATTGTTATACAAATTTTTATATTCTGATATGGAGTTTTAAGAGCCTTTGTAGTATTCTTAATTCGGTTATTAATATGTTGATACGACAGGCAGGTTGGGTAATGAAGGCTTTTCAAGTAACTTATGCAAGTAAAGTACACAGGTAGAACATCTGCAGGCTGGGTGTTCCTGATATCTGGTGTAGATAAACTTTGCTTTGTGGGGTGAATGAAATTCTATAAATACAATCATACATATCCCAATTTGAATAGAAATACTGTCCACTGCTGCCCTGGTATGACTCTGCTGCCTTCACAAGTGAAACAAGGAGCACCAGGCTGGCACTGAGTAGGTACCTACTCTTAGCTATTCTAGCTAAGAGTTCTATTCTAGGAAGAGATCATAATACTGTCCGTCTAGTATATTTTCCTTTACCAGTCTTTAGCTTTCAAATAATTACAAAAGTGAAGTAATTATCACTTAAGTTTTTTGAGCAACTTAAATAGAATTTAGCTCATGAGAAGAGGGAAATCAATCAATGGCAGTACTGTCAAATTGGTTGCCACTAGGCACATGCGGCCACTTAAATTAATTAAGATGAAATAAAAGTAATAATTCAGTTCCTCAGTTGCCCTGGCTACATGCCAACTGCTCAGAAGCTGCATGTTGCTAGTGACCACCATACTAGACCAATTGTAGAACAGTTCCATCACCAGAGACAATCCTATCTGACAGGGCTGATCTGTGGGATCAAACTGTAAGCTTTTCATTCCCACAAAGAGTCTAAAACCAGGGATACTTTAAAATGGCTTAAGCCTCTCAAATAGGGTATTTTTAAAAACTTACCCTCATTATGGAGTTTTGTGACAACCACCTCCACATCTGCTAGAGAATGAATGCTGATTAGGTCACTACTGAAGGCTTTGCATTTCGCATGTGCCTTATCCCAGGAATTACTTTCATTTACCAGCAGATAGCAAAATCCATTATTTGGCAGCCAGCCTGCATCACAGCGGGTATCTGAGTATGTCCAGACATCTGGGGGAAAAGCAGCTATTTATATTCCAGTAAAGATACATCTATTGTGAATCAATAACATTGCAAATTCTTTTTTCTTGAATAATGAGAGTCCTGGAAAACTGGGGACGTGATGTCAGATGCTACGGTGACATGAATTCATGTGGTGCCTACCACATAAATGAGGTATATATAGCATCATAGGAATTCCCGCTGGGATTCAGAAAATGATGTGACTTTAACATGCTTCAATGTGCTATATGGCTGAGCACAGACTATTAAGGGCTTGGACACAGTCAAGGGAGATTGCCCTTAGTCCAAGTAGACAGTAGAAAGATGTGCCTTAAGTCATTTTCTGACAAATTTTTTCCTGGATATGGAATTTGTTAGGTTTCCCTCCAGTCTCTGTCCTTGAGAAGATTATAAGAGGGCAAGCCTCCTTTTCTTGTATGGCCAGCTTAGCAAGGGGATGTAGATTAACGCTCACCGTTGAACAAAGGACAGGCAGAGATTTAAGGGACAGAATAAGACATTTATACACTTCGCATCCAAGAGATGAGAGGGCAAAGGTTACCCCTGGACTTCTTTCCTCCCCTCTGCTAGACAGATGGTCCTCATGGAATTAGTGATTCTGTTTTGACCATGAGAAAGCTCACAATCGAAGGTCTAATCTTTCCAGATTAGAAAAAAAGAATGAAGTATGAAACCCCACAGAATACTTCTATCCCCGTTAACAAAACCAGAAAGTGAGTTGGTTACTCAGACTTCACTGATTTAGAACCATTTGGAATATTTGTTGTAAGAAAACACAGCATCTCTGGGGACTGTTGTGGGGTGGGGGGAGGGGGAGGGGGGAGGGATAGCATTGGGAGATATACCTAATGCTAGATGACGAGTTAGTGGGTGCAGCGCACCAGCATGGCACACGTATACATATGTAACTAACCTGCACAATGTGCACATGTACCCTAAAACTTAAAGTATAATTAAAAAAAAAAAGAAAAAAAAATGTGGACAGTTTGTTTTTTTTACTAAAGGATAAAGTGATTCAGATTCAGCTAGCCTCTTACACTTGCGAGATAACTCAATTAACTTTAATATTCTGAAATAGCATGTATTATTGTTATATTTTATAATTATGATAAAGGAACAGAGGAAAAATATCACCCATAATGGAACTTAATGCAATCATTTTCATATTCTAGTCTTTGTCTCAATGAATACATATTTTTACAAGATTAAAATGATAAGTAGGCATATCATTTGGTTTTGTTCTTTGTATTTTCCTGCTGGCACAGTTATTTTAGTAAATGCATATTATTCAATCATGTGGAAACATCATGATTTATTTAATAATTGCTACTGCAAGGTATTTACTTAATCTATCATCAATTGCTCTAGTTTATTTTCATTTGTGCTGGCTTTTCTATTATGCCTTTTGTTGTATGGACTAAATTTGGTTTGAATCAACTTGGAAGACAAATGTTCATTTCCCCTATTATCTTAAAATATCCCCTCAGATTCTTTATTTTATATCTAGTTTTTCCTTAAAAATTGCTCTATACTCCTTTTTAGATGACAAGACATTTGAATGCTTTATTCCCTTCACTCACAGTTCCTTAAAGCAGGACATTTAAAAATCATCCTTTCCCCTTGATATGGTTTGGCTGTGTCCTCACCCAAATCTCACCTTAAATTCCCATGTGTTATGGGAGGGACCTGGTGAAAGGTAATTGAATCATGGGGGCAGGTCTCTCCCTGCTGTTCTCGTGATAGCGAATAAGTCTCATGAGATCTGGCGGTTTTATAAGGCGGAGTTTTCCTTCACAAGCTCTCTTTCTTTGCCTGCCACCATTCATGTAAGATGTGACTTGCTCCTCCTTGCCTTCGGCCATGATTGTGAGACCTCCCCAGCCACGTGAGATTGTAAGGTCCATTAAACCTCTTTTTCTTCCCAGTCTTGGGTATGTCTTTATCAGTAGCATGAAAACGGATGAATACATCCCTCCAGCTTTGAGTATTAGTTTCTCTCATTTGGTGAGGATGTAATTAAATACCAGGTATACATCAGGCCCTGTGCTTGACAGTCAATACACTCCTCTTCTCCATTCTTTCAAAAACTCCTCACACCCTTCCACTCCTCAAAAACTTCAGCTGTTCTTGTGTCACTTTCATCCCCAAACACCCTGGAAAAACCCCCTTATTGTACACATTTTGTCCCTCTGCACCTCTCCTTTTTTACTTGATTTTTCAATGCAAAGACTTGCCTGACAGAGAAGGATAGAAGAGGGCTGGGTGCTGTGGGGCACAAGGTAGAGAAGCCTGGGCTTACTCCTGTGTCTATAGGTTTTGCCTCATTACGGAGGCATGAACTGCAGTGGTTCTCAGACTTGAATACGCATCAGAACCACCTGGAAAGTTTCTTAAAATACAGATTGCTGGACCCCATCCTGTAGTTTCTGATGTAGCAAATCTGGGGTGGGTCCTGAGAGCTTGCATTTCTAACAGGAAGAGGTGATGCTGATGCTGTTGGTCTGGGGACCACCCCTGGAGAACCACTGCTCTGGAGAAAAAAGAGCCACACACGAACAGAAGTATATTTCCTATCTCGAATATCTCTGCCTTCTTCTGGGCGCATACATATTTATATTTAATATTCTTCATTACCTCAAATAAAGCTTTATTCATATATGGTTGATAATATCTAACCACAGGGTTAAAAATCAAGTACTTTTCTGTACTGTCAGTATCAGGAGAAGGAAAGGTGGAAACGGATGTTGGAAAAGATTTACTTGTTTTCACAAAACTATGATTTTAAGACCTATTTGTCTATTTGTATGAGTATGTGAGAAAGATACCTGTTAACTCCACTGTATTATTTAATGGTTTCCTGCAGACATAGGGCAGTTGAGCTTCACAGGAAAAGCTCTGCCACAGACCAGACTCAGCATCCATTCTTGCACAGCTGGAGCCACCTATAGTAGGTGCACTGGGCCTGTCTTAAAAGGGAACATTTTTCAAAGCATTAGAATGAGAAAGTTAGGGCCAGGATGGTGTCAGAAAGAATAATTTGTATTCCTAATTTTATGCTTTTATGGGAACTCATATTATAGTTAAAACTTAACTAAATTGAAACGTATAAGCCTCAATGAATAATTATGTGCTTAAATATGTCTTTCTTCTAAAATATAGAATCTAAAGGGAAAACATCATGATATGTTGTAGTTAATTTTAAAAACAAAAACCAAACTTTTTCCTCAAATGACTTCCAGGCCATATTCTATGCTTAGTAGCTCTTAATCTGCTACTCCATAAAATAAAAATATTAATTTATCATTGTCATGCCATTAAGGCCTTGAGTTAAAGATTAAATTATCTTTAAATATTCTATTTACTGAAATAATAAAAGTATTACTTCATTTGCTGGTAAGGAAATTTAGCAAACTAAATTAACTAAAGTGGCTAATTTGAATTTTATTGCTCTTAACTCAGTTTTCCTACTATGTGTGCAGGCAGCTTTATACTGAAATTAGTGTTAACTTTAGGTTCTACATTTGTCATAAGCCTAAGATTTTATTTTTCAAAGTTGTCTAATCCTTCCTTTGGGAAGAATGCTTTTTGGCTAAGTGGCATTTTGCTTGTTTTATTCCCTAAAAGACTTTCTTTGAGGTATTTATTTGTATTATAAAATACAACCATTATATTGTCAGTACTTGGGTGCTATAGTGGGGAGAGACCCCAAGAGTTTGAAAACGAGCGGATAATTCCATATTAGAGTTCAGCTGCAGATGAAACACAGCATGGGTGAGTTATAGACATGCCAAGTCCTTTAGGGACATAGAATGGCTCCTGGGCCATGTGGTGGAGCTCATTTTGCTCTTACATAAAAATGTAGGGTTGTTCTAAAGGTCTAGAGGTTCAAATGCTCAGTTGTCCATGGTGTGGTTCAGCTTGGCAATAACAGTACCACAATTAAGAATGGTTTAGGAAGAAAAAATTCTTCTGAGAGGTAACCATAGTAAGAGCTGCCAAGATGTGAAACTTTTCTAAGCTATTGGTGAGTGAGAAGCTTTTGCTTTTTTGAAGATTTGTTCTGTGCAGAGGGGGTAGGGAAAGAGCAGTTACCTGGATCCCAGTTGAGAAAGTTTAATGGTTTGTGGTCTGACCATTCCCAGCCTCTAGCAGAGTATAGCTGATTTAAACCAATCCAGAAAATCTTAGCAATGCCTTCTTTTTCTGTAAGAATTAAAAAATTTTTAAAAAGTGACAAAGTTGCCTAAGTTATTATCTAAATTAGACTTATTCTACTAATAACAAACAAATCTGCAGACCTTGATTGTAAGGCAGCAATCCCTGTAGAGGGCTGTTTATGCATCAAAGGTAGGCAATGCTAATAGACAAAAATCTTCAGACTATTGAGAAACCCAAAGGCTGATAAGTTAATTCAGTTCTGCTCTCCTATTAGCTTGTCAAATTCCCTTTCATCTAAGGTAAGGACAGAAGCTTCTTAGAGTAGCTGTCTCACTATCTATTTTTAATCCTCTTTTATTAATATAGAAGACTTATCAAAAGCAGTTTCCATTGTACTTCTAGATTCAGAAGATCTGACTGTATTCTAGACTGACAATTTAAATTCATTAGGCACACATATTATTTGCCAGGTTCTAGGGATGTAAAAACTGAAATGACAAAGTCCTTGCCCTCATGAGAATTTCAATCTAGTAGAAGGAGACAGACATGGATCCCCATATGATCAAGTTTTTCTGGGACTGGGTCAGAAATATGTATAGGAGCTGTTTCATAGACAATGGAATATATATATATATTATATATAATATAACATATATATATGTGGCTTATGGCTCTAGGGCCCAAAGGGTCCTGTTTAGACTAGAGATACAGAATGAGAGTGAGAGTCACACACACACACACACACACACACACACACACACACACGTGGTACAGTGGAGATAGATCATTCAAATTTGTTATTTGATGACCAGATGCTATCAGCAATTAAGAAAGATAGAAGGCGGGTGGATCACCTGAAGTCAAGAGTTTGAGACCAGCCTGGCCAACACGGTGAAACCCTGTCTCTACTAAAAATACAAAAATTAGCCAGGTGTGGTGGCGTGTGCCTGTAATCCCAGCTACTCAGGAGGCTGAGGCAGAAGAATTGCTTGAACCCAGGAGACAGAGGTTGCAGTGAGCCGATATTGTGCCACTGCACTCCATCCTAGGTGGCAGAGCAGGACTCTGTCTCAACAACAACAAAAAAAAAAAAAAAAAAGAAAAAAGAAAGAAAGATAGAAAGCAGAGTTTTAGAGGTTAAAACACAGTTTTCTTGGGTCTTGGGAAACCAATAGTCATAATTAGGCGTATTGATATGCCTAAGAAGCTTTCACACTGGAAGAGGAACTTGAAACATTAGAAACAGATATACTTCTAAAATTAATGATATGTATTAAATACGGGGCATGTCCGGCCAGGAGTAGGGTACAATAAGGTCCTTTACCATATTACATTACTTTCATGAGTTATTAAAGAAAACTGATGCATAAAGAATCGTGCAACATTTGATTGTCACACTTTGGCACTTTTCTCCTTCACTGAAGTCATCGGTTTCCAAATGTCAATATTCTAGGAAACTTGAATTTATCGGCACTTTTCATTCGCAACAATATTTTTTCTGAGGCTTCAGTGAGGTCTGGAATAGAACTCCAATGCCAAACACTAGCTCATTTGGCTTATTTGGCAGATTTTCATTCTAAAGATCTGAATATTCAAGTGCCAAACAATACAGGAAAAGGGTAAAGCTACAAGTAAGAAAGGAGGTCTGAATAAAGCTGTAAACAAAAAGAGCGACAAAAGACCTGTGGCCTTTTAATGATAAAAAGAGATAAAGATATCTAAGAGGGGTACGTAGTATAACAAAAAAGCTGGGCATGATCCTGTGCTCCTGTAGTCCTAGCTACTTGGAAGACTGAGGTGGGAAGATCGCTTGAGCCCAAGAGTTGAGGCTATAGTGTGCTCTGATCACACCTGTGAATATCCACTGCACACTAGCCTGGGCAACATATTGAGACCCTCTTTCACATAAATAGAGTTCTGCAATTCTATATGTTGATATTCAAATCCCAATCTGATACTTCTTAGCTGTATGCTGTTGGGTATATTATTTCTAAGGATCAATTTCCTTATCTAGTGATAAAACATTTGTTTGATGAGGTTGTAGTAATGATTAATGGATTTATCTGGAGAAAGTAGGGCTTGCTTACAGTAAGCATTTATCAAATATTTCCAGTTATTATAAAATAGTGTGACAGAATGCATCTGAATTACTTAGACAATACATGTTTGCTTAATATATAGCAATAAAGCTTACAGCTTTGTGCAAAAGTGAAAAACAACCCATGAGACCCATTTCTGCCTGCAAAGAACTTACAGTCTTATAAAAGGTGAATCCATTTATATGTGTGATACAATTTGTTTTCAAGTCAAACTGACTCTTCAAATTTAGGCTCTGCTAAATACTTGTGGGTGACTTTGGACAAGTTATGTTTCCTCTCTGAGCCTCGCATTCCTCATCTGCAAAATGAGGATAACAATAACGTCCACCTCATAAGGTAGTTAGATGGGATGAAAGGAGATAATGTATAAAAAGCATTTAGTAGTCTGTCTGGCACATCATCATTATCATATATTACAATTATTTGTCTTTCATTCAAAGAATAACTCATCAGGGACTCAGTAACTTAGGTTCCTTGATTTTTAAATATAATATTAAAATTTGTTTATATAGTTTCTTTTGAAAGATATACAAGACTATGGAAAGAGTTATAGAATTTTACTGAGTACATAAAAGAAGTCCTAAATAAATAGAAAAGCATATCATTTTCATGGTTGAGAAGACAATATTGAAACTGCAATACCTTTTATTTATTTATTTTTTAAGACAAGGTCTTCCTCTATCACTCAGGCTGGAGTGCAGTGATGCCATCATAGCTCTCTGCAGCTTCAATCTCCCAGGCTCAAGCAATCCTTCTACCTCAGTCTCCAGAGCAGCTGGGACTACAGGCACATGCCAACAGCCAATTAAAAAAAAATTTTTTTTTTTGTAGAGACGTGGTCTCACTTTGCCCAGGCTGGTTTCAAACCCCTGGCTTCAAGTAATCCTCCTGCCTTTACCTTTTAAAGTGCTGGCATTGCAGGTGTGAGCCACCGCACCTGGCCAATTCCTCTTTAATGAATCTATGATTCAATACAATTCCAATCAAAGTTCCAATAGGGTTTGTTATTGAAATTAACAAGGTGATACTTAAATTCTTATGATAGGATAAATGGTCTTTTAAAGTTTTTATTTATTCTTATCTATTAAGTTTTCATAATTAAAAATTAAAAAATTACCACTACCATCCCCCAAACAAAACAAAACAAAGTCCTACCCATTCTGTGTCCATGTTATTAAATCCACTTTAAGATTTAGTAAAACACTCCTTGCCCCTGAGGACTGTACCCTTTCACTCAATGTAAGGATGTTTACTGAGGCCATCTAGTGTAACTTAACCATCTTCCTTCCCTTCCTTTAATTCTCTATTTTTCAATGTTCAAAGAGTTTAATTATTCGCTTTTTGAAAATCCTTTCATTTAGGATTAGGGTAGCAGTTTAATCTTGCTACCCAACCTTGTTTTCTGAACATCAATCTCTCTTTAGTTTCCATCACAAGATACATTTCTCAATGGTGAAATATGATTACATTCAGTACTTTTTTGCTTATGGGTTTCAGTGTAGAAGTTTAAATCCCAAGAGAGGTCAGAAAAGTTACATACAAAGAAACACATCTGGATATGAAAACAGAAGAAGAAGTACCTTTACAATTTTAGCCAATTTGCTCTATCACATGCAAATAAAATCTACCTTTAAGGTAAGTTAATTCAGCAGCACTGTTGATGCTCAGTAAATCAGCTCCTTGATTCTGACATGAAACATAAGCTTCTTTCCAAGAAAGAGCCGTCTGAGTATTAAATTGGTAGCAACTTCCAAACTGCTCGTTCTTTTCCCAATTATCTTCACAACCGTTTTCTGTTGATAAAGACACGTTAGTGATCATAAAGTAAGGACATAATGTTTTCTATTACTTAGAATGCTTAGAAATACTGCAAGTCAATTTGCATACTCTTAGGATATGCCCAAAGGGAGACTGCCATCACTCATTTAGACCATATTTTGATCACAATAAAATTGGAATCATGACACACCAAATGACTCAGGCTGGTTGAAGCTTCCACTCTTTCTTATTTTCCATTCTCCTTTTATCCCTATCAATTACAATGCTGTGTTTTCGCCCATGTCCCTGACTGCCCTCTGCCTGAGATATGGGTCTCAGTGTGCACATGTTGTGAACACTGAGCTAATGGAAAACAAGCTCATTTGAACATAGTGGCAGATGACAGAGGGTTTGCCCACAGCCTGCATAAAAACCACTGTATGTTTATGTGTGTGCACAGACATGCTGCTTAAATGGCCAAGATATTGAGCCCAAGTGACTACCTTATTTGGGAAACTATGTCCAAATTTCTCCTTAATACTTTAATAAAGAATATATGATATGTAATTCACATTACATATGCATTATATATGTATTTGTGTGTATATATGTGCATAGAAACATATATACATATGTGTTTGTAGAGTATGCATAATTTCAGACAAAGAAACTGCAAGCTGTTTCCTGAATGAGAAATAAAAATTTCAAAACAACTGGTTCAAAATATATTCAGAGCCTCCTGTGTACTCCCCACAAGAGGGGAAGTCCAATGCAGGCTGTGTCAAGTGCATCCCAGGCTCCAACTGGGGGACTTTCCAAAAGGCCTCCTATAGCCAGTTACATATCAGATGTTATACTCATGATCCTATAAGCTGGAAGGGCCTTTAGAGATCATCTTGTCTAATGTCCTTATTTAACAGACAGGAACAAAGACCTAGAGGTGACTGTGACAGAGCTATAATGAGGGCACTGGTCTTGTTGATCCTCTGATGGCACATCCTGCTGCTTCAGCCATTTTTCTATAGCATAAATAGCAACAGAGATTCTGACATTTGATAAAAACAAAATAGGGTGGATTTGAAAGCACATTGTCTAAAGGTTCATTATTACCACTGAGGCCCTACACTTGTAAATCCAGAAGCTTCCAGGAGTGGGATGGCAGTGTGTTTGCTATACAACATGACCTCCATGATTTAGCAGCCCTCAGGTTTGAGAAACTTTCTCTTGCTTCTTCCATAAAAAGTAACTCTAGGAAGCATATGCATGCATTAACACCACTGTATGTGTCACACCCCCAAAGCCCCAGCACACACACAACACCCACAGGAGGCTAAAGGCACCAAGATACATTCCTGTCAAGGCAGCAAGGTACAGTGGGGGTAAATATGTACAGTGGGGAAGGAGGATAAAGAATCCTTCACTAGTGTCCACAAAAATGTGGTCTGACCCTGACAGGTCATTTCACTGATCTGGGCCTTCTGCCTCTCACCTGAGAAACAGGGGTTTACATTGGATTACCTCTAAGCAAACTTTCACATCTAAATTTCTGATCCAAATGATAAGGAGAGTTAAATGAAGTTGATACCTGGCTGACCAAACTCTGCTTATTATCAATTATAGCTGAAGAAAATACTGGCTTTTTCTATTTTAGTAGGTAGGTTACAGGTGTTGAGAAGCCTGGGCCTCTAATTAGATATGTAATCCTCCAAGTGTGGTTCCCAGACCAGCATTATCAGCACTACCTGGAAACTTGCCAAATTTGGGGGGCCCACCAAAAATCTACTGAATCAGAATCTCTGGGCCCTAGATATCTGTGTTCTAACAAACTCTCCATGTGATTCTGTTGCACCCTGAAATCTTAAGTCTTAACCCAGTATAATCTCTCCAAGCTCTCCAAGAGCTTCTGCATTCTGAAGCTCACATTCCCGAAGGAGGGATCAGCATTACTAATACCACCTGGCTAGCTACTCAATGAGTCAGCCTAGTGTAGCTGTTTGGGACAAGGACTTCATAGCCAGACTTCCTGGGTTTGAATTCTAGTTCTGATATTTATTAGCTGTGTGATCTTAGGCAAGTTACATATCTCCCTTGTGCCTCACTGTGATCATCTGTAAAATGGGGATAAAGTATGGTACCTTTCAGGGTTGCTGTGAGGACTGAATGAGTTAATGTATATTGAGAGCCTGAAACAGTATCTGACACCTGGCAGAGCCCTGTTAAGTATTAACTATTATTACTTAGGTCTGGAGCTCTTTCCTTTCTCTTTGCTATAGATTCTTTCAACCTATTGTCCATTAAGTAATATTTTGTGAGTACCTATCACATGTCAGGTACCGTGATCCCCTGTAACTCTCACCTAATTGGTGAGAAACTGTGTCTCAGTTATGTGCCAGATAATGATGTGATTGCTACTTTGGTCTCTCTCTGTCTTTCTAAAGAACAGCAAATTCTTTAGCAAATCCTGAACAGTTTGCTTCTGGTAAAAAGTAACGAGAAAAAGCACTCTGACAAACACACAGGAATGGTGGAAGGAACAGTGTCACCAATTTTGAGCCAGGAAGATCTATCTCTTCTCTTTCCCGCTCTTTGCTTCAGGCCATAAACATACTTAAGATTTCACCATTCTAAAAGTGTTTTTCAACTGATCTCTTTCTTAAACTACCCTTTGCTTTTTTAAATAAAAAAAAGCCACTGTTTTGGACTAAGCTCCTGATCTAGGACTCAAAAATCAAAATGGAGTCACCCATGCCAAAGTTCCACATCACCAAACTGAAACAGATTGTCATCTGGTCTTTTGAGAAATCAGGAGAGAGAGACAACTGCCTAATTTCCCCAACAGGCCAGTTTCAATCTTTAATTGGACTGATAATGAAGTTCCCTCTGTTTCAATGCTTAACCTGAAGTCACCTGATGTTGACCAATCAATTATTTCTCTATTGCTCTTACAAGGAAAGTTACGTTGAAATGACCAATCCACTCTTCGGTTTCTGTTTTTGCTTTCTTCAGCCCTTTTTCTGTCTACAAAGCCAATCCCCTCTGTTCAACGAACTGGAACACTTACAGTAGTCTATTTTATGAAATGAGGTGTTGCCTGATTCTAGAATTGCAATAAAGCCAAATAAGATTGTAACTACATAAATTTGTTGCAATTTTGTCCTTTGCCAACTGTCTCTTCTTCTGCTCCGTGAAACTTACGAGGCTTACTTCCTTCTGTTCATGCTTCATTCCACTACAATCCAGCTTCTACCCCCTCTAGTCTTCTGAAACTACTAAAGGTCAGCAGCAATTTCCTAATTGTGCATGCCTTTTCCACACTTCCTCTCCCTGGGGTGCTATGGAACACTCCCTCCTCCTCCTCCATGACACCATCCGCCTTGGTTCACTTCCGGGCCTGCTTCTGAAGGCAAATTCATGGCTACACATTACCTCTCTCTTCTCCTCCAAACATACACTTCTTATCCGGGATAATATTTTTGCAGTCACTTTTGAGTCACTTTGAACTCTTCCTTCTCCCTATTGCCTCATATAAATGTACTACCTTTCCACATAAAATTTACCAGCCCATACATACCAGGCTTTAAGCAGATGCCCCACTTTCGGTCATATTCATAATTTAAGGTGGTGGCACACCATGGCCCACTATGATCTTCATCAAGAATGCAATCATGATGCCAGGTCCCATCAATTAAGAATGGAAATTCACAAGGTCTCCCATAAGAGTTCCCATCTCTGGTATAGATCTCTGGGTTGGAGAGGAAGTTGGGGAAAAGAGAGTTAAAAACTGGGTAGTCAGCGTCAGGTGGCTAATTTCTAAAACTGTTTTTAAAAGAAACGTTGTTTAGAATACAATATCCGAGTGTAGGAATTCAGAGCATGGGTGCTGTCAGGTCTGGATATGAATGCTGGCTCCCTGCTAACCCACTGTTTGCCTGTGGGCTAGCTATCCAACCTCTAGTAGCCTCTGTTTCTGCTTTTGCAAACTGGGGATAGCGTTCAGTGATCAACCATGTGAAGCTTCACTTACTGTGGTGTGATGAGGCGCTGAAAGAGCCTGGCTTGATCAGGTGAGGGTCTACTAACTCTGCTGTGGGCCGCAGAGCACTTCACCAGAAAGGGTGCCCTGGCTGAGGTTACATTTACCTCTATTTTCTTTTCTTTAGAAAGTGTTGGAGCCAGAAAAATTCCTTGGAACCACTGAGGGTGGGTGTGGACTTTGGAACCACCTGCGGCATTAGAAAGATGGACAAATAGTCCCATTGTTCAGAGACTGGAGGTAGAATTGAGACTGTGGTTTTTGAGGAAGTAAAAGGAAGAGCTGCTGAATTTCTGAGCAGATTCTTGGGAAGGTACAAGGCATGGTAATTTGGGGTGTGAAAGAAGCAGCAGCTTCAATGGGGCAGTCATGTGACCGGCGGGGGGCCAGTGAGGTAGTAGACATAGCTTTTACTTCAATCATTTTCCCTGGTACATGGGGAGGAACTGAAAAGTGATTCCAACCTCAAATATGCCTGGAAATGCTGGAAAGAATGTTTGATACTTATATCAATACTAATTCTCTTGGAAAGGTGTTTTTATAGAACAGCTATCCCTGTATCCCTGTCACAATTTGCCAAAACCTCGGTCCACAATTTGCTAAAAACCTCAGTCATTAACAGATCAAATAATGGCCATTAGGTAAATCATAGTAATCAGATCTTATCACCGTTTACCAGGCAATTAGGGTTCCTCCAAATGTCTCACAGATTTGCTTAAAAGTGTGCTTAAGACAGTATTTGATTCTACTTTCTTTTCCTCCAGTGTCCGTCTAACTAAAGTGTGAGGCCATTTAACAGCTTAGAATGTAATAAGCAGACCTATAGCAAAAGGTAATAATAATCTGGATGCTTTTCTTGGCAAATAGTCTTTTAAAGATCACTGGTTTTGTTTTGCTGTGTCATAGAAACAGTTTTCAAAAGCGTACTTCTGTTAAAGAGTGTGTTGACCTTATATTTTATAAGGATTCTGCTTATTACCTATGTTTCAGTTTAACCGCATCAAAACCCCCCAATAGCTCATGACCAGTTTCTTTTCCCATATTACAAACCTAAGAGGACAGTCCCTGAACACAAAGACTGTTCCTTGTAGAGCCATCAGTTTTCTTTTCTAAAACCTTTGATTTTTGGAATACAAAGTGCCTTGGTATACATTTCTGTCATTTGTTCTTTATCATAAACCTGTGAGATCATAGGGGAGGTATTATACTTGTCTGGGAAATCCCCATTTTTGCAGAGTAGTCAAGTGATACATTCAGGCACTCAGCTGCAAGTGACAGGAATGAGAATGGGCTCTCTCTGATTAGACTCTTGACCTATAAGGACAACTTGTGACATCAGCGGGTGCCTTCTCAAGTTTCAAGTTAAATTTCATAGCTCAAAGCTGGGCTTCAATTAATAAGCTCTCTAAGTCACAATATATGCTTTGAAGAATGATAAGCATACAACCACCACACCAGAAGCAGCTAAATTACGCTAACTATTCACTAAGCATTTTGTTCCCACACATTCTTTGCTGATGCTGGCCTCTTACACACCATGGGCTTCCTTAGCAAGACAGACTTTC
Source organism: Homo sapiens (assembly GCF_000001405.40). NCBI lineage: Eukaryota > Metazoa > Chordata > Mammalia > Primates > Hominidae > Homo > Homo sapiens. The sequence goes on from NC_000002.12 coordinate 159,895,941, forward strand.
CTGGGAAGAATCTTCTCTGAATGTGCAAATTTATGATGATAGCATCCTTAAAACAACAGCTTTATTATGCAATAGTTACAAATTTGTGAGATGAGGTGATTATGCAGAAAACTAGCAAATTAATGTCATCAGTAACATGAGACAAAATAGTTTCAATGGATAAAGAGGTTGTTGGCAGGCTTCTAAGAGTTGCCCAGAATTCTGATAGTTCTGCAGCCACCCTGCCACAAAAAGTCCATTTCCTCTGCGTGATTCACCAAACATTCAAAATTTGAAAAGTGCTAGTGAGATCAAGGTATCTTAATGATATTAATGTACACCTGGGTGCTAGTCAAAAGCAGTTCACTCATAAAATTTATACAACTTCAGTTTTCTCTGAGATGAACACGACTCACACAGGATAGGAGTTGGGGTGAGAGGCAACCCAAGGCACAGTGATAAATTAATGTTCTTGTATCACAAGTGAAAACTTGGTTTATACTGCTAAAGCCAAGGGGGAAAGAAAGAAGCTATGTTTGGGGAATGGAATACTGGTTTTAAGCCCTAGCTTTGCTGTAACAAACCAGGTAACCTTGGATTTCACTTTGTTGGGACTTGGGTATCTTGTATGTTTTGTTTATATACTGCTAGATAAGAAGGTGGGGACAACAATCAGTATCGAGAGTCTGAGAGCGGAGTCCTAGAGAAAGTCCCTAACTTAAGACAGCAGTCCCTAACCTAAGAACAAGAAGGGATATACATAAATTGAAAAGGGTAGAATTGCCAGGACTTCATATTTGATTATATTGGAGTGGTGGAAGAGGCGAGCCTGAAACCTCTCAGGTGACTTGCTGATTTCTGACATGTAGAACTTAGATGGTACCAGTCACCCAGACAGAAACAGAGAAGAGGTGGCAAGTTTGGCCCTGGTTTCTGTGCAAATTAAAACTTGAGGTATGCCTTGACTAGTCACAACTATATATGCTTTAAAAAAAGCTTTAGTGTTTCAAATATTATATTTGAAAAGGTCAAGAAACACTTCATGCCTTTGGGTTATGCTGGTGGCATTGCTTAGCTCTCTCTGGGTGGTCCCCTGGGTAGATCCTTAACCTTTTTTGTGCTACTGATCTCTTTGGCAGCTGGGTGAAATCCACAGTCCCTGTCTCAGAAGAACATTAGAAATGCATACATAAAATACATAGGATAAAAAGGAAAACCAGTTATATTGAAATGAAGACACTGGGGACTGAGGGAGTTTAAGATTACAACTATGCCCCTCAAAAGAATTAGATCAGGAGACTAAAAGAACCCTGCCAAGAAAATTATCCTTTCTGATCCCTGGACAAATACAATGAAACAAGTTAAATCCAATTAAAAGGCATTTTGTTTGGCTCTGTGTTTCCTCTTAGTTGGCAAGTTGGAGAAGGGCTTTTGTGGCACAGAATTTAAATTTGCCATTAAGTCATATCCAAAAAGCAACTGCTTTACTTTTAGGAGGAAACTGGCTCGCAGAAACAGACTGTCAACTATTCAAAGGCCAGGGAATGATGAAAAGGAAACCCTATCTCTAATTCTCTAATATTTCTCCACAACAGAACTTGACATTCTCAGAATAATTCTTGCATCCTCACTAGGAAATAGAAAGCTAGAAAGAAAAACTTGTGCAGATGGATAATGGAAAGTATGGGAGCAAGCTGCTATAGTGACTTTGAGGCCAAATTTAGCTTAAATGATCTTTAAGAGAAGAAGAAAGCCACTGTAAAGCTAGGGAAATTTGTAAAGAAAGGCAAGGGGAAATAATAGGACTTAGAGGACATAATTATATGCATATCGACATTTGGTGTAATTTAGAGCAACATAATGAAAAATATTTGCTTGGGAGATAGCTAATTACATTTAATGGTTAAAAAAATAAATCTACTCATTCTTTAACTTAGAAATTAGTTGCAATCCAGTCCCTAGACTCAGGGCTAAGTCCATGGTCCGCTCCCCGCAAGGCAATATTAATATACTTATTTTCGGAAGCAACTGAAAAACTCCACTCTTAAAATGCTGAATCATAAATATAAACATCAAAATTTGGTTGCCATGCAAAAATGAAAATAAATAAGAAAATCCACTCAAAATTTTCCCATTTTATTCAAAATCCGTAGGCAAGAAAAAATATATTTTTCCTCCTTCTCCTTCTTTTCTTTTTTAAGGATGGGTGTCTCACTATGTTGCCCAGGCTGAAGTGCAGTGGCTATTCACAGGCGTGATCATTACACACTACAGCCTTGAACTCCTGTGTGCTCAAGTGATCCTGCTGCCTCAGTCTCTCGAGAAGCTGGGACCGCAACCATGCACCACTACGCCTGACCTTTCTTCTTCTTTTAAAACTTAGAATAAGATCAACATTATTAGATCATTTGACTTTTAGCCTGTACAAATCTAATGATTCCTTTCCTCTAGGGTTTCCTTTCCTCTAGGGTTTAGAAGACCATCATAAGAAGTACATATCTATCTGATGAAATCCCAGGTTTATCACAACATGGCTGTGTGACCTCAGACAAGGCACTTTATCTCTCTTAGCCTTACCTGCAAAGTAGAGGCAAATACCATGGACTTGTAAGAATGTCGCTCAAAGTAACTGCACAGTGCCTGGAAGTGAAGAGCTTACTCACTGCCCTTACTAATGTACGACTCTATTTTTACTAAATTGTGCATGTTTAATGCCACATGTGACAAGCACAACAGCAAATCGGTCAAAGTCCCTCTCTAATACTCACCATGATAAGGCTGGTCACAAAGGCTTTCCTCTGAGCCTCCTTTCTTCCAGACATCAGATGCATTTGAGATTGCTGTGCCATGTCCATCCTTCAGAGCCAGCCGGTACCGGGCAGCTCCGTACAGAGAGTGGTGCTCACATTTCCACCACAGCATGGCACTGGAGTCACAGCTGAACATTCTCAGCTCATTTACCGATTTGGTAATATCGAGGCCAAGGCACTTTTGGGAGTGCAAATGAAAGAGCCGATGCTGGGACACCCACTTCCATAACTTGTCCTCAGTTTCATCACAGTCGTCTGCTACTATCCAGCCATACACTGGCTTGATGCACTTGCCCGTATTTCCATGGACGATGGTGAAGGGGTCATTAGCTGAGTCAAATGGACAGACAGATTGTAGATTATGTGGTTGAAGCGCCTTGCTCCCTGCCTGCTGAGGAGAGTCTGAGCACTACTGGACTGTTCCCATCCTCAGTCTGTTCCCACTCTTTTTAAGCTGCAGGGGACTACAAAAGGTGGGACAGTGGTGAGCAGAGAGGCAGTGCAGTGTGTAGGGTCAGAACACGGGCTCTGGAGCCAGTCCGCCTGGGTCCATATTTTGCTCCTGCTACTTGTTAGCCATAGGATCAGGGCAAATCATTTAACCTCTGTGCTCCAGTTTTCATATGATGGTTGTGAGCATGAAAGGAGCTAATCCATGTAAAGCGTGTAGAGTAGCATGTATATTTGTTGTTGCTATTTCATGAAAGATTTTTCCCTTCTCATTTAATAAGACAAAAGAAGCTCTTTAGTTTTCATCTCAATGAAAAGTCTAGTTGGGACCATAATTCTGCCTTGCTTACATGTTAGCTACTACGGCAGGGTAAATTATTACATGAAAAGTCGATGCTTAACACAGCATGTGCACTATATATATGTTCCTTTCTTCAGATCCAAGTACATAGTGAGGCCTCTGTGCTCCTCTGCCTTAGGGCAAGTTAGTGGGGCCACTAAAAAGGAAAACTTAAGGACAATTTTCTTAAAGACCACTTCCCCCTAGATATTTTTTGGAGACCTAAATTCATTGAGGTATCTCAGAGGAAATGGGGAAATTTCTGAGGGAGCAGCAGAACAGTGGGGTACAGAAACAAGAAGAAACAGAGGTCTGGGTTCTGAGGGTAGAACCTGTGGCCAGCTCCACTGTGGCAGTTTCATTGTCCTCAGTTTCATCACAGTCGTCTGCAACTATCCAGCCATACACTGGCTTGTGGCACCCTCAGGAAGGCGACAGGGCCTGGGGAAAGCCTGGGGGGATTGACAGTGTGGATCACCTAAGAAGGCTGAACCCCAAACTCCAGGAACTACCAAAGTGATGGCTGATGAGTCTTGAGCCACCAGATACAAGATCCTGTGGGTTTGGACAATGGAAAACCCAGAGGTAACCAGCGGGATCCAATGACTAAAGAAGAATCCTCCCTGAATGTTCCCCTGGCACTTTGCATGAGCTGGCAAAGACCCCAGTAAGGACAATTATTGAAGTTCTGGCAACCTGGTGGAATGGGAGCTCAGCATCAAATTTAATTTGGATTTCTGAAAATAAAGTAATGCATTGTTTCTTGCACACCTGAGTTTGTGGAATAAGATTCACATCTGTTACAACAAACTATAATCAGATAATTTGGTTAGTTATTTTACAAAGGAAAATTTTAAACAATTACAGCACAAATCATGTTGATAAGAGTAAAGCTGAAATATTTTAGACAAGCTTAAGCAATCACTGTCAGTGAACCAGAGTTCAGCAGAAAGACCTGTAAAATTTTGGTTCCCAAAAGGCACTTTCATTTTGATACCAGCTTCACAGTCACTGGTTTCACTAACACCAGATGCTTTTCCTAGTAATAATTCAAAGGCTTTCAGAGTTAAAAATTCCCATACCAGGGACTGGTGACTTGAGGGGAATTTTACCATGTAAATAATAACTATAAAATTAAGTCTCACTGCAGCTTGAACTTTGGAAGGATTTTTTTGTTTTGTTTTAAATAACAGAAGCAACGACAAGAGAAACAACAACAGCAACAACAATCCTTTAAAGCTTAAAGTTATTTTAAATCTGAATTTTAAAAGTATTCCACAGGATTGCAGCTAAGGATGTTTGCCATAGCAGCTTTCATCCTTCACACTTTTTTTTTTGAGATGGAGTCTTGCTCTGTTGCCCAGGCTGGAGTGCAGTGGCACAATCTCAGCTAACTGCAACCTCCGCCTCCCAGGTTCAAGTGATTCTCATGCCCCAGCCTCCCAAGTAGCTGAGATTACAGGTGCCTGCCACCACACCCGGGTAATTTTTGTATTTTTAGTAGAGATGGGGTTTCACCATGTTGGCCAAGCTGGTCTCGAACTCCTGACCTCAGGTGATCCACCCACTTCGGCCTCCCAAAATGCTGGGATTATAGGCATGAGATACCGTGCCCAGCCACATCCCTCACACTTTCTTCTTTGACATTCCTCTGCCATTTTCTACTTGATGGACACAGGCTGGGAAGACAGTCAACAAAAAAGGAAAATGTGCTATAAGATTACTACTCACACTTTCTCTCATGGCCTTCTCCCACAATTCAATAGCTACTCAGATCTCTGATCTACATCTTTTCCAAAGTATTCTCTCTTGCCTCTCCAAAATAAATCTTGCATTCCAAAGTATCAAAAATTACAGAAGAAAAAAGAAGTCTGCTCCTGCAGGAGACGTGCCCATCACCCTTGTTGGAAACAGCCCCTCTCCTGCCCTGTAGTCTTGCTGCTGTCTTTCCCGGGCATTCTGCTTTGTGTGCTGGATCCCAAACAGGTGAACTGGGGAAGCAGCAGCTTTGCCTTCCTTTGCAGTTTGCAGTTCTGGATTTTTCAAAATTTTTGTAGAATCCAATGGATTAGCTACATTTCTTTATACAGTGGAAAAAGCAGGAGTTAGGAGTCCGAGATTGAAACACTAAAACACTACAGGAGAGGTGTGGAGTAGCTATGTTAAAGTGGAGCTGCCAAACTTCCTAACAAACTGCTACATCTCTGAATATAGATGTTTTTCTCAGACTAATCCCTTGTTTGAACCAAGTATGCAATTTCAATGTGACACTTATAGTGGTCACTTAGTACAGATCTTAATTATTGATATACTTAAAGGAAACTTATTAGCCTCCATATATAAGGTATGTATAAACATACATTAGATAGGGAGAGTCCTATCCTTTCATGATGCTTCCCCGTATCTTTCTTTAACCTTAGCAGGAGCTGTTGAAACTGCCTCAGTCTTACGACCCTTATTGGGATAGTAGGTTGAAGAGCTGGAAGGAGGACTGAGAAAGTGTGAACATAATCCCTTATTTAGAAAATTTGGTACAGAAGGGCATATAAGCTATTTTAGAAATATACTTTGAAAAGGTAATTACAGAGTAGATTTTATTGTATAAAACTTATTTTATAAAATAGATTCTTTATCAATAGCTTTCTACTGGGTTTTGTTCACTTTACAACTTTATACCAGTCCTCAATGGAGTTTTAATATTTACCTCCAAGTACAATATTGGGGCAAATCTAAAAGGCAGAAGTTGATGAAGAGAAGCCTCATTACCCCCTAGATGCATTTTGTATATGCTTCATGTTATATAAATTCTCCAGTGGTGTTTGAGAGAAAATGGCTAAGTAGCATTACCATAAATTGAAAATAAATTTTTAGTATTTTTACATCCATCAAAGGCAAATCATCTCTTTCAGTGTTTTCTTATTGTCTGATCACTAAATAATTCCTGCCTTTGGTCCCTAGACCAAAGAGCTTCACACATTCCAAAGAGAAGCTGGATATTGACATTTATAACCACAGACAAATGGATAGGGAAATAGCTTGGGAAAACAAGAAGGATGAAGATGGCAGCATTTATAATTTCAGGGGAACCGTCCATAGATCACATATTAAGCATTTTGTAGAGTCTCTACCATGTGTTCGGAATGTACAGGTAGGTGCAGCAAGAGAGAATCAGAAGTCTAGGTTTGTTAGTTCAAAAACAGGTCCTGAAGTGACAGTTGAGTCCATGGCAATGTCCAGGGAGTCAGAAAGTCTTCACGCACGATTGGGTGGTGTTGGCTGGTGAAAACCTCAGGAGTCCCTGATGGATTGGTTTACTTCAAGCTGTTAGCTCTCCAAGCAGGCAAAAATGTAAACTAAGCACCTGGCATCTCTCCAAGGACACAGAGGGGCTCCTTCAGTGTTTGGGTAATAGAGGCCACCTGCACAAGCCTAGCCGTGCACATGTGACGAGGTGCATGCCATCACCAGCATCATGAAGCGGACACTCTTGCCAAACAATTGACCCAAATGGCTGGGGGTTCAAAATTCCAGTGCTTCCCCAAACAAGGCCACAAGTCTGCTCTGAGGGTGAGAGAAAATCGATCAGAGTAGCTGCTAGGAGTAAGGAAGGATACAGGATAACAAAACCTGTGGGGACCTAGCACAGGGGGAACAGAGTTAAACCTGGTGCTTTTTGCTTTGGGTCAGTGATAAAGGGCAGTGATTGCAGAGATTGCAAGAATTAGGGAAATCCTGAAATTTGTGAAGGAGATAAAAACAGGACTGAAGCAGATGTCGATGGGAACCAAGAGGTTAGTGATTGAAAAGTTAGTGCATTTTCACTGTAGTTAGTTGCTGCAGTGAACTTTTCCACCTTGGATTGTGGGGCAGGCAGAATAAATTATCAAGGCAATAAAGGATCTTATTTTAAAGGATTCTTTTGGTAGTTCCTAGCACACAGGGTCAAAGGAGAATAGAGAAGTGTGACTCAGAGCAGGGTTCATTTCCAGGTCCTTGCTGTAGATAGGATGATGCCATTCACACTCTGAGAAATCTCTTCCCATCGCTCTCCGAAGGAAGTCTAAACCAGATGGTAACTTAGCTTAGCTGCAAAGAAAATAAGAGCCACCAACAATTTAATGTTTTTCAAACTGCCTGGACAATCTTTTCCTTCCTCATACAGGCACGATAACAGAAGTGGCCGGTGGAGGGTGGCCCATTGAGTGCCCATGATGCAGTCCAACCAAGAAACAAAGTTCTCTGCACACCCCTCGCCCAGGCAAAAAGAGAAAGTAAAAGCAACCGGTTGCTGCCAAGGGGTGTGGTGTGGTGGGGCTGGCACTACCCTGAACATCAATGAAGGCTGTCTGTTTCTGGTCCTGCTTCCGCAGTGAGAGGCAGCAGGTCCCCAAGCAGGCGACCTGCCCTTCACCGTGAGGCTGTCAGCCTTGGGGGAGCGGGGTCATTTGGAGCTGATAAACCAATGAGAAGAAAGGTTTGTTGCTCTAGGCGGTGGGTGAGGGCATCATAGCTGACTCTTGGTCTTGGTCACTTTCGGAGGAGATGGTTTATTTAACCTGACTTCCTTCCTGATGCGCACCGTAGGCGCAGTGAAATCCGGGAATCGTGGGGAATCCTTGGCGCTGTGGGTGGAGGCTCCTCTTGGCCCTGTGGCCAAGGTGACCAAGGGCCGAAGGAAAAGCGAGAACGGGAGGGACGGGACGCAAGAGGGCAGATGGGGAACCCCATACTCCAGCAACATTATATAAGAGAGGCGACGATGGAGCAGCGCACCCGGCCAAAAAAGCCTCCGTGCGCCTACTCTACGGTGCACCGCGTCCCCTCTGCACCAGAAGGGCCCTGTCCTCCCACATCCACCGCGCCCTCCTCCGGGCCCCCGAGGGCACTGGGGCGCTTCCTCTGCCAGACCTCCCCTGCGACTCACTCTTCCGGCTCCAGAGCCCCCCCGCCCCAACAGCAAAGCAGCCGTGACCTGCCCCAGGGGCGCAGCCCTGCCCCAGGCTGGAAGGCAGCAGAGCTGTGGCGTCGAGGCACCCAGCGGACTGCGGGGCTGGCGTGCCCGCGGTTACCTGCGCGGCCAGAGGGCTCCGCGAGATCGAAGAACCAGAAGAGCAGCATGAGGAGCCCCGCCGGGCGGCGAGGGGTCGCCCAGCCTGTCCTCATCCTGAGCTGGCGCAAGCCTTCCGGCCGGGTCCTCGGGCGCACGCGGCTCCCGCCCCGCCTGCTGAGCGCGGCCTGCCCCGCCCGCACCTCTGTCTAGGCCTCTGGGGGCGCCCCGGCCCCGCCCCCGCCGCCCTCGGCCAATCAGACGTGCGTCTCCTCGGCCCCGGGGCGGAGCGGGCCAGGTGTGGGAAATGAACAGGGCTGGGCGCTAGATACCTGCGTGGGGTAGGACCCGCGAGGAAGAGGTACGTGCGGATCGGTGGGAGAGCCAGGCACCAGACAGGCTCCTGCACTGGAGGGTTCGGTCCCCGCCTCTTCATCAGCCAAGCTGGGGAGATGCGGCCCTTACTGGGACTTGGCACCGCCCTGGTGGGTGGGTTCTATCAGTTTAGAACCTTGGCCTCTGCCTGGCGCACTGTGGTCAGGGACGACTTCTCCATTCCAGCCTGGACTGGAAAGGGACCCATGATCTCTTCTACCCCGGAGGAGGAAGTGAGCACCTGCCCTGTGGGTGGCTGCGGCCAAGCCTAAGAATTCAGTCGTCCTTGGCAACGTCTTGGGTATTTTGACAGTGCAAACAAAGGTGGAATAATGGTACACTGCAGTTCTACCCATAGTTGTTAAAGAATTAAAAGCAAGAATTACTAGAATGACCAAACGACACTTCCAAGGATGACTTATGCTTTATAAAAAGTTGACCTTTGCGAGTAAGCTCTTTGCTTAATAATTTAATGATAATAATAATTAGCTGGTAGAAATGTAGAAGTCTGCATGCAGAACCAGAAATTTCATGTCCCACTCACTCTCTTCCTGTGGACACTGCTATCATTATAAAGAGGCCAAATTCTTAATGACCTAAGTTGCTCAAATGTGAATGTTTTATACTTTTAAATCTCGTCTTTGCTGAGCACATAATGTGTACTTGAGGTGGCCTCCATCCTTGTTGCATGAGGATGCAAAGACCTAGGTTGCTCTTCCTGACTCCCACTGCCAAGGTTTCACAGTTGGCTCCCAAACCTGCTCTGTCCTCTCCCCAGGGTCTGGCCTTTCAGTTCCATAGATATAGTGAGCACCTGCCATCACAGGATCTGGGCACGCCATGGAACAGAAGGACAAAAAGACAACATCTCTGCCCTCCCCTGAATACTGGGGAGACTGAGGCACTGTGATGGATAATATTGTCAGCTCGATTGATATGAACGAATGCAAAGTATTGTTCCTGGGTGTGTCTGTGAGGGTGTTGCCAAGGAGATTAACAGTGGACTGGGAGAGGCGGACCAGCCCTCAGTCTGGGTGGGCACCATCTCATCAGCTGCCAGCATGGCTAGAATAAAAGCAGGCAGAAGTTGGAAGGACTTGACTGGCTGAGTCTCCTGGCCTTCACCTTTCTCCCGTGCTAGATGCTTCCTACCCTCGAACATCGGACTCCAGGTTCTTCAGCTTTTGGACTCTTAGACCTATAAAAGTGGTTTGTCAGGGGATCTCTGGCCTTCGGCCACAGACTGAAGGCTGCACTGTTGGCTTCCCTACTTCTGAGGTTTTGGAACTCGGACTGGCTTCTTTGTTCCTCAGCTTGCAGACAGCCTATTGTGGGACTTCACCTTGTGATCATATGAGTCAATACTCCTTAATAAACTCCCTTTCATATATACATGTATCCTATTAGTCCTGTCCCTCTAGAGAACCCTAATACAGGCACACTCAGTGACACAGGGCAGAATGAATGGGGAAACTCTGACAAATGTTGAGGGAAGGCAACATCTTAGCTGGGTCTTAAAGAATGGGTAGGAATTTGAGCAGGCACAGCTGGTGGGAGAAAACCAGTGACAGGGCAGAGGCCAGAAAATGCAAGCAGAGTCAGAAGACAGTCCAGAGTCCAGGGTAGCTGCCCTGCGGGGGGTGTGTCTGTGAGAGAGATCAAAGTGGTTGTGGTGGGGGCCCCAGTGGAAATGACAGCAGAAAGGTGAGTTGTGTCTGTTTTGTGAAGGGCCTTGAATTTATTCTAAGGCACAGATGGTGGGAAGTTCTGAGTAGGAGAACCTGCCACTGACCTGATCCCCTCTGCCTCTGTGGCTGCCTGCCTTTCTTTCTGATCCTGCCCAGCTTGGAGCTCCTTGAGGGCAGTGGTCTTGCCGTATTCATTATCACATCCTCAACACTGGGCACAGGGCCTGTCCCAAAGTCAGCTCTCAATAAATGTTAGTTTAATCGATGGATGGATTCCTAGGGCCACCACCTTAGCCTAGGGCCATATGAGCTCCTACTTGCATTATATTGCAATAATTTATCAATTGACCTCACTGCCAACAGTTATTATCCTCTCTGGCAAATGAATCCTTCTAAACACTGTTTGGAACATGCCACTTTTCTACTCAAATCCTTTCAGTGCTATTTGCATATAGCAGGAGCTCCTAAATGCTACTTAAGGGAAATTATGAAACCCTGAAATTTTATGCAGCTTTATAAATGCACTATGTTTTGAGGAGGAGGAGGAAGGGTACAAGGCTTTCATGAGAATCCCAGAGAAGCCCATGATACAAAAAGAAAACTCTAAGACAAAAAGCAAGTACCTCTACAATTTGACCCTTTCTCTTTCTTTGAGATGGAGTTTCACTCTTGTTGCCCAGGCTGGAGTGCAATGGCGCGATCTCAGCTCACTGCAACCTCCGCCTCCTGGGTTCAAACGATTCTCCTGCCTCATCCTCCTGAGTAGCTGGGATTACGGGCATGCATCACCACGGCCAGGCTAATTTTGTATTTTTATTAGAGACAGGGTTTCTCCATGTTGGTCAGGCTGGTCTCGAACTCCTGACCTCAGGTGATCCGCCCGCCTCAGCCTCCAAAAGTGCTGGAATTACAGTTGTGAACCACCGTGCCTGGCCTAATCTGACCCTTTCTCTTTACTCCCTTCATATGTCACTCTTTGGTTCAAGCTACCTGTCTGAACCTGTCTTGCCTTTTCTTATCTCTGCCCATATATGCATATCCAGAATGCCATTTTCCCTTTGTCTTAGTTCCAACCTTTCTTGAAGTTTCTGTTTAGATCTGACATTTTACGTAAAACACTTCTACCAAGGGGTTAACCTTCTTCCAAATATCTACCTAATAGTGTGAATTCCTTTCACTTGGTATTTAACATGTATTACCTCTTGCCACGATTTTTTCTTCAGGGACATGTGCACTGATTATTTCACCTAGGTTATAGATTCTCAGTAAATATTGTCAATGGTGACAATAAAAAGCAATGTGTCCTTCAGGTCTCACCTTGGACGTTACTTTCTCAAAGAAATTTTTTTTTTTGACTCTACAGTCTAGGTGAGCTTCCTCTATAACAGGTTCTCCAGGCTTCCCACACTTCTTCCTGATAGCACTTAGCACAGCTGGAGTAGATCATTCTGTGCTTGCTCATTTGTTTAATGTGTATCTCCCTCACCAGGCTGCAGGCTCCATGAAGACAGTGACTATGCCTGCTTCATTCACTTCTGTGTCCCTAATACCTGGCACATGATTTGCTGCATGAATGAATAAGTAAATATATAGTAATACCTCATAAATGATGCAGGCAATGGAAGGTCTAGACATTTAAAAGAGGGGAAAATTGGCTTGGGTGGGGGCAGCAGTTTTCAGGCATTGAACTGGATGTCCTTGGATGAGAAGCATTCAGTAGATAGAGGCAATGAAGATGCTACAAGCTGAGACAATGGTATAAACAAATTACAAACATCGGCCACCCACTGGAAGCCAGACCATGTGCTAAGCATTTCCCATGTACTCTCTTGTTTAGGAATCATCCTACAAAGTAAGTACTCCTATAATCCTCATTTTATAAATGTGGAAACTAAGACAACACAGAGAAGACTGATACCTAGACCAGGTTAGTAGCCACAAGTGAAGACACTATGATGGAAATCTAACTATAGAACTTGAATGAGTGTGTGAGAGTGTTAGTGATATTTTATTCCCAATCACAATTAGGGAGGAGGGGAAAAGGAGCTTTTAGAATCTCTGAAGTCACGTTTTTTAATTATAAAATAAATCATACCCCAAAAAAGAATAGCTATGCTTGTTGGCCTCTTGTGGTCATATTCACCTTACTCCCACATAGAGGTAACCTCTCCTCTGAATTATTCATCACTGTTTCTTTACCGTTTTCCCATATATGATTCATTCCTTAAAGAGTACCTATAATTTTACATGTTTTTGAATTTTATGTAAATGAATCATTTCAAGGGTTGGGTTTTTTTTGTCACTTGTCTTTTTGCTTTAAATTCTGTCTGTGACATTCATCTGTGTTGGTGTGTGTAGTTGTAGTTCATTCATTTTTATGTAACATTTCATTATAAGAATAAAGGACACTATGCATTCTCTTGTTGGGGGATGTTTGAGTAGTTTCCCGCTGGGTAGTTTCCATTTGGGTAGCTTGTATTTGCTGCTCTTAATGCTCCTGTGAAGTTTTTGTACCTGTCTCTTGGTGCACATTGCTAGAGTTTCCTGAGGATATGGTCCTAGAAATGGAATTCCTGGAGCACAGGGTATGTGTAGCATTACAATTATTGGACAATGCCAATGAACTTTCTGATTTACACTCCCATTGGTGTGCATAAGCATTCCCACTGCTGAACATCTTCATCAACATTGGCATTGTAAAATTTTTGGTGGGGTGTAAAATGGTATCTGTTAGTGGTTTAAAATTGTATTACCCTGATTGCTAATGAGGTTGGACATATTTTTCTCTGTGTATTGGTTATTTGTATTTCCTTTTCACATTCTTGTACAGGTTATTTGCCTGTTTTTTTCGATCTGTTCCCTGCCCTTTTCTGCTTTGAATCCCAAGTGGCTTGCACTTCCCAGACCCCTCTTGCCTGTTTCCTTCTGGTTAGGGTCAGCCAATGGCCTGAGATAGGAATTTGGAAGGAGTAGAACCCAGGGTATTTCTTTCCTCTCTGCTTTGGGAGAAGAGCAAGCAGTGGCTGTGCCTCTTTGTGGTTCTAGCTCCTGCCTGGAAGCCCCAGCCTTTGTGTTCCAACTCCCACCAGGCAACCTCTGCCATACTACCAGCAACTTTTGGGTTCTCCAACGTTCTAGCTCCTACAATGTATCCCTGGTTCCCGCACTGATAACATCCCTTCCCTGTCCTCAGGCCCCATGGATGTCAGTAGCTTGTCATAGTCGTTGCTTTCAGAGTAGCCTCATAAGCACTTCTTTTTAGCTCTTCCAACACTTCTGTAACTCATTATTTCCCTATATTAGATTTCTTCAATTGAACTACCTAGCATGGGTTTTGTTCTCTTTATTGGACCTTGATGATATTGATTTTACATACAACAGAATTGTACCTTGAGACAGCATCCAAAATTGAGTTAGATGTGAACTAGAGAAACAACACATGGAACATATTCAACTGCATGGGGAGTTGTGGCATGAAGAGAACCAGTGTGGGATTCATATAAACTGCAATTATGACGATGCCCACAGATTGTCCCAGGTGTAGTAAGAAGGACCCAGGAGGCCCAGATAAGGACTTTGTCAAAGAATAAATTTTAAACAATTCTCACTACACCACAACAATTAAGATCTGCATTTATTCCTGGTCATAAGTAAACTCTTGAGGCCTGTAGTCATGGATGTAGACCTCAAAGGGCAAATATAAGGTTATAATTCAACCACTTAAAAAACAAAAGCAAAACAAAAAATTGAGCAACTCATCTTATTAGAATAAACTGAATTTTCTCCACTGACTTTAGAAAGAATTTCAGACAAGCAAATGCCCAACTAGCATATCTACCGAACAGTGACAGCAGAGACTGGACAAGGAGTAGATTGGTAGACTCATCCACTTAGTCCACTCCCTGTCCTCTCCCTTTATAGACAAGGAAACTCTTGGGCTCAAGCAATCCGAATTTGAGGCCTGTCTTTTTTCTTTGTGGTATCTTTTATTGTATAGACATTTTAAGCTTTAATTTATTCAGCTGTATAAATCTTTTCTTTATGATGATGCATTTTATCCTTGTTTAAGAATTCCTTTCCTATTTGAAGATCATAAAATTATTCTCCTATACTTTCTTGTAAACATTAAAACATTTTCCTTTACACCTTTAGATTTTTAATCCACCTGGGGTACATTTGGCTTTATGATGAAAAATAGAAATTGTTAAATGTTTAATTATCCCAAGTTATCCTTTCTACATTGATTCATAGTGCTTCTTCTGTCATACATACACATCCATAAATTAATGGGACAGTATCTGGGCTCTGTATATAGCTTCATTAAAATGTATTCCCCTCATCTTTGCACCAATAGTAGCATAATATTTTTATACATTATACCTTTAGAATAAGGCTCAATTCCTGGTAGAGCAAAACAGTTCACTTGTTTTTCCTCTTCAAAATTACCTTGGCTAATCCTGCCCTTTTGCTCTTCTATCTGAACTTTAGAATCAGTGTGTCCAACTTTCATGAAAAACCTGTTTGGCTTTTCATTGGAACTGCATTTAAGAACTAATTTGAGAAAGATAACATCTTAATGATGCCGGTCTTTCATTCTTTGTGATCTTGGCCTTGCTCTTTCTTCAGTCTGGTCTTATTTGGCACCTGTCTGAATGCTAAACAGGGGATGGGAACCGGATTTGGCAGTTGTTTGGGTCTCACTAAAGGTTTCTGAGTGGAAAGAGTGACATAATGAGAGCCTTGTTTTGATAATATTGGTCTGAAAGTGGTAGCAATTTGATGGGAGACAAGAGATAGAGAAATCGATCAGGACTCTTGCAAAGGTCTAGGGGAACAATAATGGAAGTCTGAATTTTAGTGGTTGCAGTGGAAATGGAGATAAGATAGCTGTGAGAGACTTTCCAAAAATAACACAATTGCTCTCTTTTGTAAGAAAAAGAGCCAATCAGGCTTCCTGCTTCTCTTCTTAAAGAGAGATGAATGAAAAGCTCTGAAAGAAAAAGATGCTAAGACTTGCAGGGGTTACTTTCACCTGAGATAGTGAAAAATGATAATCACTGGAATAAGCCCTTAGAGCATCTATTCCCTACTGCTGCTGCTTCCTCTTCTTGTTTTTTGTTTGTTTGTTTTTTCGCTCTTGTTGCCCAGGCTGGAGTGCAGTGGCGTGATCTCGGCTTACCGCAACCTCCGCCTCCCGGGTTCAAGTGATTCTCCTGCCTCAGCCTCCTGAGTAGCTGGGATTACAGGTGCCCACCACGCCCAGCTAATTTTTGTGTTTTTATTAGATACAGGGTTTCACCATGTTGGTCAGGCTGGTCTTGAACTCCTGACCTCAGGTGATCCACCCGCCTCAGCTTCCCAAAGTGCTGGGATTACAGGCATGAGCCACTGTGCCCGGCCTCCCTACTGTTTCTTTTTGGAAACTATATTGTTCCCTGAAGTCTAGTTCAAATAGACCTCTTCCATGAAGCCAACCCTGATTCTATCAGTTAGAATGAGGATGCCTGACAGGTTTTCCTTTGTTTGACAATTATGTGGATGCTTGTCATTCACGTGGGAGCTGGAACCAAGTCTTATGTTTTTATTCTCTACTCTCTGGCACAATTCCTTTTAATGCAAGTAAAAGAATATCGTTCAGTAACAAGGGAAGATCATTCAAGAATAAAAATGGAAACTTTTGTTTCTTCCATAAATGACACTGGGTTTTTCTTCTCCCTTTTGGGGAGTAGGGTTTGGACCACTGTGCTGTATGAGGCCACTACAAGCGAATTTGGGTAGAATCTTTATGGGTCCTTTTATCCTCAATTCCTTCAAAGACACCTTGTATATTTTGTGACTTCATCGATTGTTCTCCTGTTTTATAATATTGTCTATGTGTGAGTTCAATAGTTATTTGGTTTAAAGGATTTTTTAGCGTTTTATTATTCTTACAGTGAAATAATGTAATGTATAAATCACCTACCAGATTACTCTGTGCAATTTGTAGAATGAAAGATAGATACCTAACAATTCAAAAATTAAAAACAGAATACAGTCATACATAAAAGTGTACCCTGTCTACCACGTAAATAGCTGTAATAGGTTTCTGTCCCATGGGCGCTCAGACTTCCCCTGTGAGTTAATGAAAAACTAAGAATATATTATTAAGGTTCTTAAGTGTGGTTCAACTCACATTGTTCTCAGTGAGAAAGGCTGACTTATGGAGCCTTTCTATGTGTGTGCGTGTGTGCATGTGTGTGTGTGTTATGTGTGTGTTTCCTATTGAAGTTATACTCCCACGTTTGTTTCTTATATTCTTGTCTCATATTTTGAGACAAAATATGTCTCATATTTAATTCATCTCATATTTAAATTACAATGACACATTGTCATTTCCACATTGGATACAGAGAGCACTTTAGTTTCTTTAATTTGACATACTCAGTTCACAATTGTTGCCTGCACTTGTTATCACTTTGCCATTCTAAAGCCCAGCAGACACTATCCAAATGCATATGAATGCATTATCTGGAGAGATCTCTGGTTCTTGCCTTGTGCTTCTTATAGTCTGAGAGGTTGCATGACCCATGTTCAAAGCCCCTGATGAGGCACATATTACAATTCTCTGTTCCACATGGCCCTCAACCCTCGTCATAGCTGATTGGATGAGGGATGGGTGCTTGCTTCAAAGACAAGCCAATCTCTTAAGTGGCTTAGCAGAATATGAAAGAGGCCTTTTCTGAGATGGATGGATTCCCCAGAAGCAGGTACTGGGATGAAGGTTTGTATAAACAGGCCCTGGTGAAAATAAATCTGCAAATAAAATCCAGGGAGTTTGTCTTGTTGCCACAGGACTCTTGAGGTAGGACATATTCCCAGAAAACAACTAGTAGGGTAGTGGGGAACATGCAGCGGGAAAGAAAAGTAAGACAAACAAGGGTAGAATCAAGCAAAGCCCCATGGAAGGTAACTGTCTCAATTCTGCAGGGAGTGGATCTGGAGACTCATGGGTCACATCATAGACAATTCCACCAGGGCTGAGGGAGCTGGGGTATTTATACTTCTATACTTGTCAATCATTGGCTAATGCTGAACCTGGGGGGACATGCATTCCCAGGCATGGTCTGCTGTCTCTGCATGCAGAAAAAGCTGCCTCACGCAGTCTGAGGGCAGCCCTCTGACAAACAGTTGCAGGTGCTGACTGTTGGGAGTAAAAACACACCGGAAGGGAAGTACACAAAGAGCACAGCCATCAGAGGGAATCTGCATGGAGCCTTGTCATTGGGTTCTATAGGCCCAGTATGAGAGGTTGCTCAGCAGGGACTACCGTGATTATTGGAACTAACCAAATCCTCTCTCTTAGGGATTCTGGGTATGAGATACACAGTTAGCAAAAATTAATAAAGCAGCAGCATCTAGGAGCACGAAGAAGCTGAAGGAGTTAAAAAGAATAGAAGCAGAAGTGTACTGTTGTGTGTGTGTGGGTGTGCCCTGGTTTCACTTAGCTGCACTCTTTCATTCCCCTTGGGCAATGGTCTTTCATTACTCTATCACTGCCTTTTGTAATGACAGAATGCCTTAAATATAAAGTAAGGACAGGAGGCATGACTCCCCCCAAAGAACCAGATGGTCAAATCCTTGGGTTCAAATACTTTATTATTCTGCTTCCTTCTGTTTCTTCCTTACTTGTCTAGGTCAGGTGAGGTATAGATCATCACTGAACTCAACCTACTGTGATTTTTCAACATGAGTTATGGATATCTCGGTAGAATTAGTCTAGAAACTGAAGGCGTTTGTAACACTTCTCTACCTCACTGGAAGGGCCAGCTTCATGGTGGGTAGTAGGCAGTTGCCTACAAACTATGTGAATTGCTGCCAAGCCTTGTACTATAAGTACTTCTACTTCTGGCCTTTTACCCAGCCCCAACTCCTCATTTATTATGTTCATTCAAATGTTTTCTGGAAATGACCCATATCAGTTAACAATCTAAATTCATGTGCTCATGTATGATGATACAGCTAAAAATTGCAAAACTATGGTTCCACAGAACAATTAGTTTTTATAATCTAGAGTAACCCTCAAATCTGTCTTAGTAGTGACTTGCCAGAGACAGGATTTAAAGTAGATAAACATCAAATTAGTGCAAGGACTGCCCACTTTGTGATATTGAGGTGAGCATTTTTTCTCCCCAGGCCTAGTAACTTCATTTATGTGTCTGACTTTTTAAGAAAATGTATAAGTAGGACTTCATGTAACCATTCATGTAGATAATGGTCAGGTCCAGATGAGATTGGGGAAGGGAAAAGTGATTTACAATGCCAGTACAGCATGTGAAAACAAAAATAAAAACAAAACAACACAATTAACCTTGAGGCCCAGTATACATGGACCTTCAGCATGGCAGATAATCTAGCTCCTTCTAAAACCAAGTAGCTGTATCCATGTCATTGCATACACCTTACCTGCACCAAGATTTCAACTTCCAGTTGTAATAGTATCTGGGAGCTCCCAGGAGTAATGATGATATGACTACATTACATTTTTTTTTAAAAAGCAACAACATTCATTAACATTTTTGAGCACCTACTCTATGCCTTGCTTTTCTTATATATAAAATGGGGCTAATAGTAATATTCACTTCATAAAGTTATTGTGAGAATTAAATGAAGGAAGCATTTAGATCAGCACCTGAAACATAGTTCTAGTATGTAATAACTGATATTTAATATTATTGTTAGCTATTAAGGTTAGTATTGGAGCTATAAGAAATAGACAAGATATCTCCCTCTCTTCAAGTAGCTCTGAGGCTAAAGGAAAATGAGATATATGAAGGAACATTTATGATTTGGTAGGATTTAGTGCAACAAAAGAGACATATTGAAGTCAGGGTCACAGCTTAAGGGAGGGAGTGGCTAATTTTTCTGGAGTATGCCATGGCATATTTTCCAGAGTGGAAGGCCATGGGGCAGCATATTGACACTGGGAACTTGGGAAGGTTGCCATATGGGGTAGTTGCAAGAACTGAATGTGTAGTGTCATGAAGATATGACACAGTGTAGTGCTCTTGGGATCTGTGAGTGGATGGATACCTAGCAGTGGCACAAGGTCTGCCTGTACAGTAGCATCCATAGGTGATGCTGGATGGTAAGGTGGAGCCATGTCAAGAAAGGTCGTATGTGCAACATTAGGGGGCTTGGTCCTTATCCTCTGTACACGGCAGATCACTGAAGGGTTTTGGCCTCCCCCACCCAAAAAGATATAATCAGATGTAAAACTTAAAAAGATTACACAAAGACTCTGACAGTTGTGGATACCTTTAAAGTTGATAAGACTGGAAGAGCTAATAGGAAAGTCCAGGCAAGAGGTGATATTGGGAAAGGTAACTAGGACAGTATCAATGGGATATAGCAGAGATAAGAGACAAGAGAAATCTTACTAGGATATAGACTATAATAAGCTGCTATTGAAAAGATTAGAGATATGACTGATATTTAAGGTACAATAAGACCCTCCCGATTATTCTAAAGACACTTCTCATTTTAACGATGATCAATCCATGTACAATTGAGACTCCTTGCATTTCTCTTCAAATTGTATACTGTGCTCTTGGGTTTTGTTGCACCGTCCAACTACACTTATCTCCATTTACATTGTAAAAATTGGAAGAGAAGAATAAAGTCAGCAATCCCTTGATGATCATTGTAGCTTAGCTTGTATTTGCCATAGTTTATTGTCCATGAAAAGTGTCAGAATGAAGAATTTAGAAATACTGTCAAGTTAAAAATGGAGAATTCTAGAAGTATAAAATAAAAAATGGGATACTAATGAGAATATGTAAGGATTATACTGATATATGTTAGTGAATTGCTCTATTAGAGTATCAGCACTATTTGGAAAGCCATCAATGTCATCTCATATTTAAACTATTAAGTGCATGTTTAAACTGTGCAAATCTCTTGCATTCATTTCATGGTTAATCAATCCAGTCTGAAATAGTTTGCCAAACAGTAATGGGATTTTCTCTAACAGCCAGATACTTAAGTCACTAGACACCAAATTATGGGATAAAAACAATCAATTCAGCATCCCAGGTAATTATGGGCTTAAAACAATATTGTGTTGAGCCCTGGCACATACCCACTCATAGCAGATGTCTTTGTTTTGGACCATTTTGATTATCTTGGTAACTCTAGCATGATGAATTAACGATGCAAATTATTTTTTCGTTTTAATTTTTCATTGTAGATGGAGCTATTGGCCTTTATTATAACTTATTTTCTGTTTCAGCCAAGGCCTAAATTAGAGCAGTACCAGAGGAGAAGGAGAGCAGGTGACATATTCTAGAGCTATTGGAAGGTATAATATCCAGAAGTATAAACGGTTGTTGGGAGAATAAATTCCATGCTTCTGAAGTGGGCAACTGGTAAATGATGGTGCCATTTGCTATGATGAAGGACTCAGGAAGAGGGGAAGATTTAAGGGAGGATAAATTTATTTTTCAGATTTGAGGAATTTTAGATATACACTGTATGAATATGGAAAAAATTCACTAATCCCTTCAGTCTGGAACTCAGGAGAGAGCTGTGTTGGAGACAGAGATTTGAGCATTATCAGTGCACAAAAAGTAGATAAAAGTTCTAGGAATGTCTAAACAATGAAGAATCTGGGGAATACTAACATGTCAGGAAAAGAGAGAGGAAGAGGAGGCATGAAGGCAGCCAAGAAGAAAACGTCAGAGTGGAGAAAGAAACTATGAGGAGTATTACAGTTTCAAAGGTTTGGAGACCATTGATTTAATGGCCGACTTAATTGATTTAATGGTCTCCAAACCTTTTAAATTGTATACCCAATCAATAAAGTTTTTTTTTGAGAAAATCCCATATATGTATACTTATAAATTATATATATTTTTAATCCATATAATAACTATTAGTAAAATTTAATTTCTTACAAAGTTAGACATAAACTAAATATATTTTTTCTACTGTAAAATGCTTATTTTCCCAATTTTATTGTCTGTCCATAAGGGAATTGTGATGATGTTGTATCTCCGCATAAATGAACTTAGTCACAATGAATCATAGTGTCATTATTTGTAAGTTTAAATAAATTTATAAGTTTAAATACATCTAAAAGAATTCTTGTAATAAATATTAACTAAACTTGTAAATGACAAAAGGAAGCTGTGTCATTTAATTAGAAGTGTTTTCCTTCTTGGTGATAGGTAAAATAATGGCATATCTTACCATCAATAGAAATTGTAATGTTTTCTTCCCACACCCCAGTGGATCATCTATTGTCCTCCACTTTAAGGACTGGATTTAGGCCAGGCGTGGTGGCTCACACCTGTAATCCCAGCACTTTGGGAGGCCAAGGCAAGCAGATCACCTGAGGTCAGGAGTTCGAGATCAGCCTGGCCGACATGGTGAAACCCCGTCTCTACTAAAAAAAAATACAAAAATTAGCTGGGTGCTTTGGTGGGCACCTGTAATCCCAGGTACTCAGGAGGCTGAGGCAGTAGATTTGCTTGAACCCGAGAGGCAGAGGTTGCAGTGAGCCGAGATCATGCCACTGCACTCCAGCCTGGGTGACAGAGCGAGACTACATCTCAAAAAAAAAAAAAAAAAAAAAAAAAAAAAGACTGTATTTTAAGAGGGAGGAGTCAACAGTATGTAACACCTTGAAGAAATTAAATAAAATATTGTCTTAAAAAATGGAAAAACATTAATAAGTTTTAGCAACTAGAAGATCACTGGAGGCCTTGATGGGGGCAGTGTCAACAGTAGAAGAGGAGCAACCAGGTTGCAGAGGTGCAAGGAATAAATAGTAGCAGGTTACATTGAATGTACACTTGTTACATTGAATGTACACTTACTACATTCCAGACACTGTGCTTAGGACTTTGCATACAACACTGAGAAGTTATGATTATCCCTAATTTAAGATAATAATCAGAGACTTGCAAAGTCTAAGTGACTTGTACTAGGTCATAAAGCTAAGTAAGTGGTCCTAGCAGAATTTGAACCCAGGTTGACCATCTCAAAAACTGAGCTCTTAAATAATATGCTCTAAGGTCTCCCAGTGTGAGGTTAGTGGAAACAGTGACTGAGTGTAGACAACGACTCTTCCGGGTAGCCAGGAAGCCAGGTAGCTTGTCTATGGATAAGAGCAGAAAGAAAGGGAAATGGGAAGGTGTAGAGTTAAGGGAACTTCCCCCTCACTCCCTCCTCCCATCTTTTTTTAAAGATGTGTGTGAATTGAGCATTGTTATATAGTGAAGGGACTGAGGCAGGAAAGAGACAGCATTTGAGGCAATTCTGCAAGAGAGGTGATAACTGATACGAAGATTGCCAATGATCTATAGCACAGATGGGAAATTCAGCCTTAAGCAGGAGAAGTCTGCCTCCTCCAACACAGGGAGGAAAGTGGTAAGACTGGAGACTGTACAGAGAAGTTTGTAGGTTTTATGTGCAGGGGAGGAAGGGAACACATGGAAAAGTTCAAGTGTAGGTTACTTATTTTCCCTGTGGAGTAGGAGACAAGGCCATTGCTTAGAGAGTGTGCAGGCTGGGGAGGAGACAGGATAGTCAGACTTGATAGGTGTATTACTAAGCTTGAAACAGTAGTTGTGGGGAATGAGAACTGTAGCTTACTTGGGACTGATTAGAAGCTATAAACTACTAATGACACCAATCTGCATGGTGTAGGATTTTTTCCCCCAATGATACCTGCCAGCTTGTACCTAAGAACCAAACAGGTGGATTGAAACAATGTTAGGATTTTTCGCAGTATAGAGAAGCAACTGTTGGAAGAAAAGGAGGCAAGGGAGTTGAAGATTGCAAGAAAGGTGGAAGGAGCTGACGGACTAGAGAAAATCGGGTTATCGATGTTCTGGAAGTCTCAGTGAAATTACTGGTTTGGCAGATGTAGTGGGAATAGGAGAGTGAGGAAGCTTAAAGAAGAGAAGAGAGTTGAATCCAGGCATTTTTGCATGTCCCCCACGCCACACCTTAGAAGGGGAACAGTTATCTCCCATTCTCCCAGTGACCATCCTTCTAAACTCTTCCTTTTATGGCAGGACTGGAAATTGGAAAGTTACATTTCCCAGACTCCCTTTGTCAGTGGAGTTTCAGTTTAGAATCTACTGATGAGGGACACTTGTATGAGATTTGCAAGGTAATAAAGGAGAAGCCATTTTTCTCCAGCTGCAGCTAGAGGCAAGCTCATGAGCACTGGCAGATGGCAGACATCTGGGAAGACCTCCCTCAGATTTCCAGGCATGTGCCTGAGAATCACTTTGGTGCTGCAGAGCTGAGATCCTCAGTAGTGGTTTCTGCAACCCACGCAACCCTAAATTTCTTGAATTGCAACAGTGGCTTCTCAGATCTTTGCTCCCTTGGACCTTCCAGACTGTATAATCTTCTAGTTTTCCATATTAAATACGTTTTACTTGACATATTTAGAGAGCTGTTTCCCTAATATAACTTTGGCTAATATATCCCCCCAATTTTTCAATTAAGCTGGATCACAAGCTTTTCCATGGTCACATTCATCTGTCAGGATGATCACATTTCTATCAGTCAGTATTTTTAATTGCCAGAAACAGAAAATAAATATAGCTAATTTAAAAAGAAAAGAAATTTAATGAAAGGATTTCAGATAGCTTGCAGAATTGCTGGAAATGGTGGAAAACCAGGCTGTGAGAATGAATCTAGGGAAAGTGGGACACAGGCAAAATCATGCCACAGAACCAGGGAAGCAACTGCCACTGTTAAACGCAGAGGCTGAGTGTCCTTACTTTTTTTTTTTCAAGACAGAGTCTCACTCTGTTGCCCAGGCTGGAGTGCAGTGGTGTGATCTCAGCTCACTGCAACCTCCGCCTCCTGGGTTCAAGCAATTCTCCTGCCTCAGCCTCCCAAAAAAGCTGGGATTACAAGTACACGCCACCACACCTAGCTGATTTTTGTATTTTTTGGTGGAGATGAGGTTTCACCATGTTGGCCAGGCTGGTCTCGAACTCCTGACCTCTTGATCCACCCGCCTCAGCCTCCCAAAGTGCTGGGATTACAGGCGTGAGCCACCGCACCCGGCCCCTGAGTGTCCCTAATTGAGAAAGCCAAGCTGTGCGCCTGTGCCCTAGACTTAAAGATGACAGAGAAAGTGAGCATCTGATCTTTCAGCTCTTAGAGTCATAGCTGTGACTCATAAGATGGGGAACCTCAAGAGATTCAGATGCTGGGAAGCCTCACAACTGATAAATGTCTACTCTGACATCTGGTTTGTATATGTGTGTGTGTCTGTGTGTGTGTGTCATAGTTTTATACCTTTTGTTTTCTTTGGCAAACCCTCCAAATGCTCATTGTCCCCACTAAGTCTCCTTATCCTTTAAGATTCTGCTTCCTCCCTGAAACCTTCCCAGCTGGAAGTGTCTGCCTCCTGCTCTGAACTCCCAATGCAATTTTTATTATTTGACCTTATTAAATCCTCACTTGATTTTTATTGATATTTGCGTTAAAAATATTAAGTTCTAGCATATTTAAGGTTGAACGAACATTAAAGGTCATCTACTCCGATGCCTGGTAGCTCATCAGCTCATTGAAGTCATGACCTGTCTTCCCCATGTTTGAATACCCCACAGTTTTGGGCGTAACACTTGCTTATGATAAACACCTTTAAATATTAACTTGTATTAAAGGAGCCCCTCCAGGATTTGCTTGTCCTCATTTCCCTGTCTGTTCCCAACACTTCCCTCCACCACCACCTCCTTCTCCTTGCTCCCAGACAGTTCTTTCTACCAATAATAACTCTTTCAACCAATTGCCAAACGGGAAAATTTTAAATCTACCTGGAAGGCCCGCCACCCTGCTTTGAGTTGTCCCTCCCTCCAGATAGAACCAATGTGAATCTTACATGTATTAATTGATGGATTATCTCTCCCTACAATGTACAAAACAAGTTGTGCACCGACCACCTTGGGCATGTCATCAGGCTCTCCTGAAGGCTGTGTCACAGATGCGTCCTTAACCTTGGCGAAAAAAACTTTCTAAATTGATTGAGACCTGTCTCAGATATTTTGGGGCTCCTACCTTCCTCACTGCTTTATTGAACAGTGGTCAATTTCTTCTGCTCGGCCTCCGCATCCTAGCCTGTTTGGGAAAATCATCGGGGTTAGGGCTGGGGAGGCAGGCAGGACCCGGGGGACGGTAGTAGGGGCCGTTTCCCTCCCACTCCCCTCCGCTCCTTCCCTGCTGGAAAGCCGGCATGTGACCTGCGCCCTGTCAGTCAGAGGCTTCAGCCTGGGTCAGTCAGAAATCACTTCTGGAGGTGGAAGCCGCGCTGTCTCAGGGCCGAGGGTGCAGCATCAGCCATGGCGAGCTCCCCCTGCAGGCAGCATCGTGGTGGCATTCGCACCAAAAGCTCCTGTGGCCGGAGTGGGCTTGTAGCAGTTCTGGGCTGCCTGCCACACTCGGTTGCCTCTTGTTTTCTGCGCCTGGTTCTCCAGCTCTGGCTCTGTGTGAGCAAGACCATATCCCATCAGTAAATCCTGTCTCAGCTTAGGTGAGCCAGAGTTGGGTGTTCTGTGATTTGCTCCTAAGATCCCTGGCTGGCACATTTTCTTCCTCCTTCTCCTAAATGAGAGTATTCCCAGTGGTTCTTTTCCTGGCTCTTTTTTCCCGCCATCCACACTCTTTTAGCCAGAAAGTTAATCTATTTCCTGGGTATCTGTCATCACCTTTGCACCAATTTCCCCCAAATCTTTTCCCAGGTTCCACCTCTCTCCTGAGTGCTGGTTTAATCTCACATTTCCAATGCACTTCCCATGCTTGTCCTCTGATGCATGAAAATCAACAAGACTAAAATTCATACTCACCAGTTTTCATCTTGCTGATACACCTACTTCTCCTCCAAATTTCTATCTTCCTTGCTGGACACCCAGACTTTAAATTTTAAAATCTACTCTGCCTTTTACATCCCCAAACAAACAGTACCAAGTTCTGTTTGTTTTCCTGCCCAGTAACCCTTACATTCTTCTTTTCTCATGTACCGTCACTACTTTGTTCTTGCCTAACAACTGCAATATGCTGTCTTCTGAGCGCCTCCTTCTAGCTGTCCCTCTGAGTCAACTTGACAACATGTGGTCAGTGTAATTTTCCTAAAACACAGTTCTAGTCATGTCACCCTCCCACCTGCCCCTCCACACACCTTCAATGCCTCAGGCTAAAGTGAAACTCCACCTTGACCTTCCACAAACAAATCCTAAACTATTTCCCCTTTATTTATCTTATATGTAGAATTTCATAAAACACCTTATGATCCCTGATCAAGTCCCATACTTTCCCACCTTCATGCCTATGTTCAGGGTATTTTCTTTACCTGGGGTGTCTTTCTCTCAGTTCAACCCAAATCCCAACTCAGGTGCCATCTCCTCCAAAACGTCCTCTTCCTTGTCACCTTGTAAAGAGCTTCTAACCTTTAAAATGCATATGAATCACTTGAGCATCTGTTAAAATGCAGATTCTGATTTATAAGTCTCGGTTAAGGTCTGAGAGTCTACTAATACATTTCTAACAAGTTCCTGAGTGATGCCACAGGTCCCTGGACATACTTGGGGTCGTGAGGCCCTAAGGTGAGGCATGCTCTATTATTAAACCACAGGGCAAGATAGCAGGGCAGTAACAATGTGGTATTCACTTACAATATTCTACAATGTTTACAGTACCCATTTAGCCTCCTCAAACACAGGGATTGGGCTTCATTCATCATTATTTTTGTTGAATACAGTGACTTGACCAGTTTATCTTAATTGAACATGCTTCTGACATCACCTCCTTTTCTTTTCCACCAAATGGTTTTGCTTACTTTTTAGTTTAACTGGATTTCACATGGATAAATATCTGGGAGAAGGAGATGCCCTACACATGATCTGCTATAGGTGAGGATGGCCCAACATGTTGAAGATCATGCTAATTTAATTATTGTTATAGCCAGCATTCTCAGTTGTAAAAAATGGAATACTCTATAGTTCAGGCAGAAAAGTAATTTGTGAAAATATACTCAGTAGCTCACAGGATTGTAGAGAGGGTCAGAGACAACATAGCAAAAGCAAAGCACAGATTATACTGGAGCACTCCACGGCCAGACCTTGTGGACATAGACTCTGCTGCTCACTGTGAACTAGAAAGCAGTCCTGGAAACTTTGCTACTGCTGCTTCTGAAAGCTGTATGTGGCTGCCACCAACCTCGTTAGACTGCATTCTGTACGGGGCCTACTTCTTTATGTTTGTGTTAGTTTTCAGTATGTAACAAATTACCACAAACTTGGTTGCCTGAAACCACAGAAATTTATTCTCTCACAATTCTGGAGGTCAGAAGTCCAAAATCAGGTATCATTGGGTTGAAATCAAGGTGTTGGCAGGGCTGCGCTCTCTCTGGAGGTTCTGGAGGAGAACCCGTTTCTTCCTTTCCAGCTTCTGGGGTCTACCAGCATTCTTTGGCTTGTGGCTGCATAAGCAGAATCTTCAGGTCCAACATCTTCAAATCCCTCTCTGGCCCATCTTTATATGACCTCCTCCTCTGCATGCATGTTGAATCTCCCTCTGACTGCCTCTTTTAAGGATACATGTGATTGCATGTGAGGCCCACCTGGGTAATGCAGGATGATTTCCTCATCTCAACATCCTTAACTGAATCCCATCTGCAAAGACTTTGCCACATAAGGTAACATTCGGATTCCAGGGATTAGGATCTGATATCTGTAGGGACTACTCTTCAGCCTAGGACATTGTCATTTGCTTCTGAATCGAAGTCTCTCTTATTCAGATCTCATTGGTGGAGCCTATGTCCCATGCCTGCTCCTGAGCTGCGAGGAGGCTGGGGAGTAGCTTCATGTCAGGAAAGGTGTTCAAAGATGAAAGCAGCCAAAATGGATGTCAAATATCAAGTACGATAGTCTTCAAAGATTCATAAAAATGAAATTCTATGTAATGGACCAGCCAGAATCTTTAAACTGAAAGAAGTTACCTATTGCTGAATGCTTTGGGCACCAAATGCCAAGCCATGCAAGTACTGCTAAGGAAAGACCATTTACCTAGAAAACAGTTTTCTTTTACTCTGGGGGCTGGGGGGGGGGCGGTGCGAACAAAAATAAAAAAATAAAAAATAAAAACACGAGAAGTGGATTTGGGGTCGTGTTCTTTTTTCGCTCCCAGGAAAAATCTGTTCCAGACCCCAGTATGGACAATTTGGTTAGATCCTATATTTTGTTAAGAATAACAGTTGGTTGTATGTCACGGTACGTTCCATTTCCAATCTGGTCTGAGGCATATTACTCCTGTGGTGCCCCATGTTGTCCAATACATTTATGGCAATAAGGACTTGGGCAATACGATGTGGATAACTTCTGTTTCCTCAACACTTTGATATGTGATTTTCAAACAAACCAAAATGATCCTTCTTATATCTGCCCCCTTTCCCCGATACACATGTATTTCTCCATGTCAGCAATGAATTTTCCAGCTCCTCTCACCTGTATACCTGTTAAAAACAATGGTGCTAACTCTTATTTTCCACGTCAGTTATAAAAAAAAACAAACAAACAATCAATTAGGATCTTGCATGTCTTAATTGTGTTACGGCAATGGTAAGCATCTTACAGGCTGCACAGTGTCTGCATTACTTCTCCATTGTAGGGGTGCGTATGTGTGTATTGACAAGGGGGAGAAAGCCATGTAAAAGATAACTGAAATTAGCATTTACAGCAACTATGTAGATGTCAATATAAATACATTTTGGGCTCTTATGTATAAATAATCTTCTGAGAACATTGTTTTTATTGTTGACACTTTCCTGCAGGTTTCTGAGACACACTTAAAATTCAATCTGTTCCCTTGAACATTTTTGTGAATTTGGCAGCATAATAAAAACTTTCTTTTAGAAGGCCTGGAATCAAAGCAAAAAAAAAAAAAAAGTTGTGGAAAAAAATGATTTTTTCTTTAATCTTGGAGGCTTCCTATTTCTTTGTTGAGAGGTTTTGTTCAGGAAGGGACTGTAGTAATATGATCTGATTGACAAGGATCCCAGCTCCCCAAACACTAGCTGAAAATTTGGGGCAAATTCCTGACCCTTTCTGGTGCTCCATTTCTCATTATAAGATGAGAATAATAACCAGGTCACCTTCTTATTTTTCAGCAACAGTTACTTTCCCCTTTCTTAGATGGGATTGGCATTTTTAGAAAAGTATATTTTAGTGCTTGTCTCTCCCTTGGGTTCTAGAGTGGTTTTGTGTACATGAAACACTGACAAAATGCCCGTCTCTGTTTTGTCCCTGAACCCCTGATTTGATGTGACCTTTTTGGTGGGGGGAGGAAGGATGAAGGAGAGCTGGAGAGGTTCTGGAAGCTTTACTCTATGAATTAATACTTCTGCTTCAGCATAATGTTGGTATTTGATCAAACGTAAAAAGCTTCAAGCTTTTAATGTCCTGCTGACACCAGTATCAACAAAGCACTGAAGCGGAAGCTTTCTGGCAGCTGATTAGAGGGAGATTTTATTTCACTAGCTTTAAGACTAAGTATACCTTTTAGTAGATCTTTCTCAAGGATAAGCTACCTCATGTATTATAAATCAAATTCAAGAGATTTAATAAAGAACCCTTGATAATTTGGTAATATATTATCACTGTGTTTTGGAAAGGCGATAAATGACTGCTTTTTATAGTGTAATTTAAAATAATAATATGGATTACAGTTGTGTTCAGTCATGAAAGTATAATTTAGCAGTTTGGGCTTATAATAACCTTTTCTTTAGTGTCCACACTTATTTTAGATCAAGAATGGCTTACTTGGGAATGATTTACTATGCTTGCTCCCAGAGTCTAGTAGGGCTGAACATGTGTTTAATTGGAATTTTATGTTGTTGTGTTGGAAAAGCTTCCCACAAAAATGAAATGGAAAGTTGGGGGAAAAAAGATGGCTAAATAGTGAGCCATTCCAATATCAAAAGCATGTGGCATGTTTGCAAGCTTGCTGTATAAGTAGGGGCTCTCCAGGAAATGGGTGGCTCACTCGAAGTGGTCACTGGAGAGAGTTTAATAAAGGGACTACTGTATTTATAAAGGTGTGAGAAGGTTAAGGGAAGTAACAAGGGATGATGAACTACCCCTTCCCCCCACCCAGCTCCATGGAGCAGGGAGCCTTCACCACCCCAGGCCTGAAGAGACAGTGTGTTTGCTGTTCCTGGATCTGGAAAACACTGAAGCTATGGAGAGGAGCAGGTGACCAGCACTGCGTCCCCGGTGGAGGAATGTGGCCAGTGCTAGGTTCCAGCAAGGCAAGGAGGGAGCCAAGGGGTCCCAAATCTCCAAACTTGCTTACTTTCCATCTTCAAATCTCCTTTCCCAGCCCCACACTGGGCTGGACCCAACCAAAACTAGAGGGCAAGGACACCAAGGGACATCATCTGAGGCACAGAGCAGGGTAAAGAAGGGTGGAGTGTGACTTTGGAGGAATAGCCATCATCCATACAGGACTGGGAGGGAGGAAGGGTAAATAAAACTGATGCTAAAAGACTTTGCATTCATATTTGATATACATGTCACCAATTGGAATCTAAACTCAATGATCTTCTAGTTCCCTTTTTCTACTTTCCAGTTATTACTACTGAAAAAAGACTCTTTTAAAGTTCTCTTTTTACCTGTGATTAGGTGACTTGCAGGGCTGTTTGTTTCTATCTTTGATCAGGTTGGATGCAAATCACTAGCTTTTCATAAGAATGCATCAGTCTCTAGAAACATGGAGCAAAACAGAAGCAACCCACTTCTTGCTACTATCTAGGGCCATAGGGGGATATTTTGCCATTCCTAAGATCCATCAGTAAAATCAAATGGGGAACTTTGAATTTAATTGTTTGTCAGGCATTTTGTATATCTCCTCTGGGGTTCCTGATTCTCCCTTCTGTACTCCCTTCCTTTAACTCCCCACTTTCAGAACTCTCCTTGGGGTTTCTTTCCTATTCCACAGACCTATTTGGGTTCCAGTGCATAAATGCAACTATATCTCACCTTCCCAGGTATCTGAGTCAGGTGAGAAGCCTCTTTCCCTTTCTCTGATTTTATGGTCTGATAGCATAGACTCTTTCATTATCCCTGGTCTACGATGACCCACATTCCTCTTAACCTCCTCCTTTCTTGCAGTGTTCTGGGGTCAGTCACACTGCAAGACACCCAGATCAGAACTGGGAATCATGAGATTAGTTCTCATGTATTGCCACAAATTAGCCATGTATTACTGGTGAAATCAAAGAATATTTCTAAGTCTTGCTTTTGTCATCTGTAAAACTGTGCTTAAAACAGATTTGTGATCTCTCAAATACTACCATGTAATAAGAGAGATGAGAGCTGGTAGAAGTGGCCTAGTTGTCTTCAAAGAAAAGGAAGGCTGTGTGGAGATGGACTGGAACTTAAAGATGACCATTATGTCTCAGGCCTGGTTCCTGGTTTCAAGCCACAGAAACATACTCTTTTCTGGTCCAGGGGATGCCATGCTTTGGCTTACTCAACTAAACACCTGCAAAAGCTGAGGTAGATGTCGTAATGCCAATATATGACTGTTCTGCCATCTAAGAAAGCCTGGTGTCCCTGTTGTGGAATCACTGCACCATGACAAGTTCCTCAGGTCTAGACCCCCTTTCTGGTGAGACTGCCCACACCTATGCACCTCCTACAGCAATGTTCCAGAGCTGCCACTGCCCAAACAAAATCATACATGAGACTGAGGAGGACATCACAATGTCAGTTTATTAATTTACAAGGAGAAATAAAATGTTTAGGAATATACTTAACCAAGGAGGTGAAAGACCTCTACAAGGAAAGCTATAAAACACTGCTGAAAGAAAGCATACATGACACAAACGAATGGGAACACATACCATGTTCATGGATAGGTGGAATCAATATTGTGAAAATGACCATACTGCCAAAAGCAATCTACAAATTCAATGCATTTCCCATCAAAATACTACCATAATTCTTCACAGAACTAGAAAAAAAATCCTAAAATTCATATGGAACCAAAAAAGAACCCACATAGCCAAAGCAAGACTAAGCAAAAAGAACAAATCTGGAAGCATCACATTATCTGACTTCAAACTATAAGGCCATAGTCACCAAAACAGCATGGTACTGGTATAAAAATAGTCACATAGACCAATGGAACAGAATAGAGATCTCAGAAATAAAGCCAAATACTTACAGCCAACTGATCTTCAACAAAGCAAACAAAAACATAAAGTGGGGAAAGGACACTCCACTCAACAAATGGTTCAGGGATAATTGGCAAGCCACATGTAGAAGAATGAAACTGGATCCTCATCTCTCACCTTATACAAAAATCAACTCAAGATGAATCAAGGACTTACATCTAAGACTTGAAACCATAAACATTCTAGAAGATAACATTGGAAAAACCCTTCTAGACATTGGCTTAGGCAAAGACTTCATGACCAAGAACCCAAAAGCAAATGCAACAAAAACAAAGATAAATAGACAAGACTTAATTAAACTAAAGAGCTTCTGCACAGCAAAAGAAACAATCAGCAGAGTACACAGACAACCTACAGAGTGGGAGAAAATCTTCACAATATATACATCTGACAAAGGACTAACATCCAGAATCGACATGGAACTCAAACAAATTAGCAAGGAAAAAACAATCCCACCAAAAAGTGGACTAAGGACATGAATACACAATTCTCAAAAGAAGATACACAAATGGCCAACAAACATATGAAAAAATGCTCGACATCACTGATGATCAGGGGAAATGCAAATTGAAACCATAATGTGATACCACTTTACTCCTGCAAGAATGGCCATAACCAAAAAAATATAAAAAAATAGATGTTGGTGTGGATGTGGTGAAAAGGGAACACTTTTACACTGCTGGTGGGAATGTAAACTAGTACAACCACTATGGAAAACAGTGTGGAGATTCCTTTAAGAACTAAAGGTAGAACTACCATTCGATCCAGCAATCCCACTACTGGCTGTCTACCCAGAGGAAAAGATGACATTATACCAAAAAGATAACTTGTACACGCATGTTCATAGCAGCACAATTCGCAATTGCAAAAATGTGGGACCAGCCCAAATGCCCATCAATCAATGAGTGGATAAAGAAATTGTATATGTATATGTATATATCTATATGTATATGTATATATATGTGCATGTATATGTATTATATATTTGTGTGTGTGTGTGTGTGTGTATATATATATATATGAATACTAATCAGCCATAAAAAGGAATGAAATAATGGCATTCGCAGTGACCTGGATGGAATTGGAGACAATTATTCTAAGTGAAGTCACTCAGGAATGGAAAACCAAACGTCGTATGTTCTCACTCATAAGTGGGAGCTAAGCTATGAGGACCCAAAGGCATAAGAATGATATGATGGACTTTGGGGACTCAGGGGGAAGGGTGGGAGAGAGATGAGGGATAAAAGACTACACATTGGTGGCCAGGCGCGGTGGCTCACGCCGGTAATCCCAGCACTTTGGGAGGCCAAGGCGGGTGGATCACGAGGTCAGGAGATCGAGGCCATCCTGGCTAACACGGTGAAACCCCGTCTCTACTAAAAATACAAAAAATTAGCCAGGCATGGTGGCACGCGCCTGTAGTCCCAGCTACTTGGCAGGCTGAGGCAGGAGAATGGCGTGAACCTGGGAGGCAGAGCTTGCAGTGAGCAGGGATTGTGCCACTACACTCCAGCCTGGGAGACAGAGCGAGACTCCGTCTCAAAAAAAAAAAAAAAGACTACACATTGGTTACAGCGTACACTGCTTGCATGATGGGTGCACCAAAAATCTCAGAAATCACCACTAAAAAACTTACTCATGTAACCAAACACCACCTGTTCCCCCCAAACCCCTTGGAAATTATTAGATCCTCCTAGGGGTCTAATATACTCAAAGTCGGAGTCAGACTTTCTCTCAGTGCCAGACACGCCTACACGGAGGACTTAAATCCTAGCTAGAGATTTTTGGTGAACACGGAAATGAAATGAAGGAAGTTGTGCTTACAGCAGATCCTAATGATGTATCCACCTCACCACAGGGATGTCCTTGGAACCCTAAAATCATTTAGCCATATCCCTAGGAGCCTTGGCTTTGGAAGTGCAAGTCCCTTCTCCCAAAACTGCTGAGGACACCTGTCTCTGAGCCTGCTTCCATAGGGGACTGTTTCTCTTCCCACTCCTTCCTCAGCACCTCCGTGATTTCCTTTTTCAGACAAGTTAAATCAAGTTCCAATCTGACAGGTGGCCTGGGGAGCTATTCTCTTTCTTTCTTGCTTATTTATGCTCAGATCTATTCTGTGTGGATTCCAGAGTTCAGTTCTGAGGGAAAGTCTAACTTTCTGTACATGGAATAAGTCTCAAACACGAACAGCTGAAGCCGCAGCTTACCACTTACCTGTGCTGTGGGACCAGCCAAGCTACCTGTGAAATAAGGCAGTCCAGGCTGCTCCACCCATGGGTTCCCTCATACGCTTAGCACCAGTTGGTTGTGTTTGTTCCGAAATCCGTTAATGCCAATTGTACTAGACATTGTAATTATACAGTTTGTAAAACATAAAATAGGGCCAGGTGCAATGGTTCATGCCTACAATCCTAGCACTTTGACAGGGTGAGGAGGGAGGACTACTTGAGGTCAGGAGTTTGAGACCAGCCTGGGTAACAGAGTGAGACCCCGTCTCCACAAAAGTTTTTTTAAATAATAAGGTGGGCATGGTGGTATGTGCCTGCGGGCCCAGCTACTCAGGAGGCTGAGGGAGAAAGCTTGCTAGAGTCCAGGAGTTTGACATTGCAGTGAGCTATTATTGAGCAAGACAACTACAGATATTGAGGAAAGTTATACACATTTGGGGCTTGCACTCAAATTGTTCTACAGCTATCTTTATTTTTGAGACAGGGTCTCACTCTGTTGCCCAGGCTGGAGTGCAGTGGTGCAATCACAGCTCACTGCAATCTCAATCTCCCCCGGCTCAGCCTCCCAAGTAGCTGTACTACAGGCATGCACCACCACACTCTACTAACTTTTTTGTATTTTTTTCAGAGACAGGGTTTCATTTTCATTTACGAAAAACCAGAGATTGTGAACAACACCTTATAGATATACTTTATGCATAAAACCAACAGGAAGGAATATTAAAAGGAATGACATTGTCCCTACACCAAAAGATTAGTGGATAAATGTACGTTTATGTGTTCTAATAGAAAATAAAATGTTTAAACTAATGTTAAAACAATTCTTATGATTCCTTCCTTTAACTGACTTTTTTGATTTCCTGACCAACTAAGTCAGATAAGAGTGATTCAAATGCAGTAACAAATATAGGTTATTATTTAAGTGTAACGTTAACTTTACTTATTAATATGCAATTACAGATTATCTTCTAAAGCAATGCATAAACAAGTGGGCCTTCTTGCTTAATATCTCTTTTTTCTCCCTTCACTTCACTTGGGACGTTTAGTATAAGTTGCAGTAGCAATCGCAGGGAATTTCTACCTTGAGCACCAGTTTCACCAAGCTCTCCAGTCCTTGGCTGTGGTCAGGAGGGTCTGCTTCGTTCACGCACTGTCTGTTTGGTAGTGTGCAGAGATGGTTTTCTTTTGCACCTTTAGGTGTCATCTGGAGTAAAAGGGAAGGAAACAATTCCTTGTCTGATCAGAGGAGCCCTTGCTTAAGGACTGCCCGAGCCAGTGGCTTAGCACATCGATTAAGGCATGCTCTGTCCTGAAGTTTGTCCTCAGCCTCCACAGAACCACATTTTGGGCTAAGAACTCCAAAGCCCTTGGTGACTCACTGAGGCAACATGTCCTGTTACGTTTCCATTCCTCCCCATTCCTTTCTTTGAGTTTTTCCTTGTTCTGCCTTCTGGTTCTCTATCTCTCCGTCCCCCAAGTTCTGATGTCCACAGGGACAAGAACCCACTGTTTCCTAAATCTGTGAGTCGGGTTTCCAGCTCCTACCAAGCTCTGTATACTAAGAAGGTAAAAAGTAAAGTTTAAATAATCTCTTAGAAGTAGGAACTCAAGGAGCTCAAGTTAATTCACAAACAACAGTGTGAAGACAATAATAAAACCACAGTTTCAGTGCTAGGGAGGGCAAGGAGAAAACATTATAAATGGTCCTTTAACAATTTACAATTTGCTGTATTATATTAAAAATATATTTATTTGAAAAATATCCAGGAACATATACATTGGATCTAATATAAATAAGAGACTTAATGGGAGAAACAGAAACACATTTTACATTAATCTTGAAAAATCAATTTCCATTAATAGAAGCACAGGAAACAAGTTGAAAATAGCATAGATCATGATGTCTTTTTTTTTTTTTGAAGAAAAAAGATGGTATTGCTATTCATAATTACAAGAAATGGATGATAATATTTTAAATTAGTTAACTTTGGTCCATCATGCTTACTTCATGGTGTGAAGAAAACAGCACTTGAATGATTTTTTCCCTTAATTTGTTCTAAATTACAGCAAAGTGCTCTGCAAGAAACAAGTGCTTGTGTTAATTAATTCTGAGTAAAGAAGGTCACCGGTATACATAGGGTTCATTTTGTGGTTTTAGTTATTGGCATCCTTCTGCAATTAGAATTCGTCATTAGGTATTAGAGGAACATGCAGATTTTCACTTTTTTAAATCCAGAATTTCAGATTTAGGCACATTTTAAACTTTTTCTCTAAAAATATTCTGACCCCAAGCTAAAAACTTGCTTTCTAACTCAAAAAATACTAAAGAAAGCTGTTTATCTAACATTTCCTACAATTTAATACATATCACTTATCTTGTTAAGCCTTTCTCTACTTCTGACAGAATTAATCAGTCCCCTCTCCTTTTTTTTCTGATTCTCTTCTTCTTGATATTATTTATGTCACATTGCATTGCACTTATCATTTACATATTCCTCTCCCCTGAGACTGAGTTCCATGAGGGGAGAGATGGGGTGTTATTGGTATTTATAGCCTCTGAGCACAGGACACTCTCTGGGCCACAATAGGCTCTAAATAAATGTTTACTGATCATAATTGTTTATTGATATATTTTAAGTGCTGTCCATATACATTAACATAACAGTGCTTGCTAAGATACGTTAAAGTATGTAAGACTTCCCCATTTAGGTTTTCACTTTCTAAATCAGGGGTTGGCAAACTTCCTGTAAGGGTCCAGAAAGTAAATATTTTAGGCTTTGCAGGCCATTCGGTCTCTGTTGCAACCACTCAGCTCTGTCATGGAAGCATGAAAGCAGTCATGCACAGTATGTGAGTGAATGGGGATGGCAGCATCCCAATAACTTTATTTCCAAAATAGGCTGCAGGCTGGATTTGGCCCTGCCAACTCCTGCTCTAAATCCTTATTTTGAAAGGTGGGGAAAGAGGGAATAAATATTCCAAGCATGTATCTTGATAATCACTACAGTCAAAGTTTCTTATAAATGTTGGCAATAAGAATTATGATGTACATGCCATTTTGGAAATGTCTCCAAATTTTTCTTCTCCAAGAACAAAATGGAAACTAAGTGAGTTTTTCCCTGCTGTACCCTATTAATACTAAGGCACGAGGTTGTAGGGGATAGCAGGACTATGAGAATTAGAAGTACTGACAAGTCAGGGAAGTGACACAAAAGAAGAATGCAGGGAAAAGAGAGCAGATGGAAGTGAGCATGGCCTGCAGCAAGACGTGTCTGGCTCCTAATCCTACAGCGGATGGTGTGTTAGGTAAGTTGGAGACACACAGGGTTTTGCCCTGCTTCTCATCTGAGACATGAGAGAAAAAATGTCATATAGCAGTGGTCCTCAAACTTTTTGGCTAGCATACAAAATTGTTAAAAGAATCATGAAAGAAGGCATATTGCTTCACGAATTTCTAAGTTGACAGCCAAAATTTTTTATAATTAGGATGCAATTTTCAGAATATTATAAATAACAACATGTAAAAATAAAAGTGCCTTATCACCCTTTTAATATATCCAGTGGTGTCTAATATCATAGCAAAATGTTAACTTTTTATATTGAAATGATTTTAGGTTTACAGAAAAATTGCCAACTTAGTCCAGAGAGTTCCTGTACAGCCTCCTTCAGCTTCTTCTAATGGTACATCTCATAAAACCATGGTATAATCATCAAAACAAAGAAACTAATACTGGTACAATACTATTAATTAAACCATAGACTTTATTTTACTTTCCCATTTTCCCATAATGACCATTTTCTGTTCCATGATCCATTTGAGGATTTCAACTTGCACGTAGTTGTCATGTCTCTTTAGTGTCCTCCAATCCTTGACATTTCCTCAATCTTTCCTTATCTTTCATGACCAGGACACTTTTGAAGTGATCATTTATCTTGTGGAATGTCCCTCAACTTGGATTTGTCTAATGTTTTTTCATGATTGAGATTATGCATTTTGGGGAGGATACCAAAGAAGTCATGTGCCCTTCTCAATGCCATACCAGGGGGTACATGATGCTGATGTGGCTTATTACTGCTTCTGTTAACCTTGATCCCTTGATTAAAGAAGTTTCTCTACTGTAAAGTTATTACTTTCTCTTTGTAATTAGTGATTATTTTGGGGAAAATACTCTAAGGTTATGCAAATATTCTGTTTTTCCTCAAACATTCACCCACTAACTTTTGCACCAACTGGTAGGTCTTGCCAACAATTATTACTGTTGTGTTTTCCTGATAGTGATTTTTGTTTCTCCCATTTCTTCTACATTTATCAATTGGAATTTACTGGGGAGAAGAACTGTTTCTTCTTTTCATTCATTCATTCACTCATTCAATTGTTTACATCAGTATGGACACACAGATATTTATTGTGTGGGTTATAATCCAATATTATAATTTTTTATTGTTTGCTCAAATTGTTCCAGCATTTCCACTGGAGAGCTCCTTCAGGTTGGTTCCTGTAGCCTTCAGACATGTGCCATCTTTTTGTGAGCACCTCCTTATTTTCTGCCATCACAAGATATTCCAGTTTCATCTTGTATTTTCCTGCCTTAGACCTGCAATCAACCACTTTCTCAAGAAGCCTAAGTTCCTTTGACTGGAGATACTACAACAATTTGAATTCTATCATAATCTATTTAAAAATAGAAATAACCTCTTCAGCAGTCAGAGATATTACTTTCTTTCAATCTTGTATTTCCATTCCAACTCCCCCACAGAATTTTATCCTAATGAGATATACTTTAATTTGTGAAATATTTTATTCATTACCTTGTCATATTTTCCTGCAGTAAAAATATGTATATAAATTAATTTTTTTTTTTTTTTTTTTTTTTTGAGAGAGAGTCTCGCTCTGTCGCCCAGGCTGGAGTGCAGTGGCGCCATCTCGGCTCACTGTAAGCTCCGACTTCCAGGTTCATGCCATTCTCCTGCCTCAGCCTCCCGAGTAGCTGGGAATACAGGCACCCGCCGCAACACACAGCTAATTTTTTTGTATTTTTAGTAGAGACGGGGTTTCACCTTGTTAGCCAGGATGGTCTCGATCTCCTCACCTCGTGATCCACCCGCCTCGGCCTCCCAAAGTTGCTGGGATTACAGGCGTGAGCCACCGCGCCCAGCCTAAAATTATTTTTTAAGAAGTCCCTGTGAACATAGGCTCTAAGTATTACACATTTTCTTCTATATTGAGTTGTCATTTCAATTATTGTTAGTATACAATTGATCAGAACAAAATAAATATGTTACAAAGATTAAGATAGTATATGTCAAACTAAAATGATAGCAAATGGATCTGTTAATGAAATGGATATATCATAGATAAAAATTAATTAGTATTAAAAACTGCTAGTATAAATCAAGGTTCAGCATCAATTCTGTTCTCTCTCTTCTTTTTTTGTAGCTATACATGTTGAGAAACTCTGGTAGCAATTGCTGGTGCTGTCTGTAGTCCCTTATCCTCTCTTTCCTGAGCACACAAAGCAGAAGACTTCCTGGATTTCCTTTCAGTTAGGTTAGGTCATGTGACTAGTTCCAGCCAATGACACGCGAGTGGAAGTGCCACGTGTTTCTTCCTAAACCTGGGAACTTAACAGTTCTCTAGTGCCATAGCAGCACTGGAAGCCCCATGTTCTGGAGGTAGGACACAGCCTGGATCTGTGAGTTACTGCTTGGAGGCAAGTGTCCTGACCATAGCAGGCTTCGCATGATCAATAAATTAACTTCTGAGTTTTGTTTTTAACCACTAGTATTACAGGGTTTGTTTCCACAGCACTCTCTAACTTATCTTAACATAGAAACTTTGTTCATATAAATAAGTAGATGGGAATAAAAGGAGGTTTGTTATAACAATATCCCTCTATTACTTGAATTCCTTTCTCATAGGTGCCAAAAAATCAGTGATTCTACATTAAAAATTATTTTCTATATCAACCAACTGCTTGATTATGTTCTCCTTCAGTTTTTTTTAAAGCATAGAAGTGGAAACACCCTACTTGCAAAGTGATTTGTTACCCAGTCATTAGAATGATTCATGTCAATTTCCTACAAGTAAAATTAAAAGGCTTTACTAAGACTCTTCAAATAACTGTTCATTATGCCTGTTACTCTTTCACTTACAGGCATCTTGCTTTACCTGATATACAAATGAAGGCTGGGAAAAGTAAAATATCACTTCATTATAGTTCAGTCAATACTATTTTTCTATTAAAATGCCTTTACCCTATTACAAGCTTTAATCAGAACACAAGAGCAGCAGATTTAGTTCATTCAATTAATACAAAATGTTCATCATAAAACTTAATGGGTAAAGTCAATCCTTGTTGTCAAACCAATGAGCCAAATAAAAAAAACTTCAGAAAAGGTCTGAATTCATTTTTCAGTTCAAATAAGCTTGTTAATACTCATCCTCACAACTCACATAGAAATCTAAGATAAATCAAGCCTTGGGACTTTCTTCTGGATAACATAAGATGTTAGGTTCTTGGCAACACATGCTTCACTTTGCTTTCACCAGACTTTTTCTACAGCTTGTTCTCTGACAATAGTCAGGCAGTGGATGAGATAAATTTTCAAATGAAAGTAGCACTCCAGCTGTTCCACTGTATAATACATATTAATTCAGAATATGAACATGGGGCAAAATAACTCATTTCTAAGTCATCGCTTCAACTTTAACAGAAAAATGTCCTAACACAGAGAAAGACGTGAGGATCTACAGAATGAGTTTACAATTTCTTTATTAAAAGAAGCTTCACTGACATCAATACTTCGAATATTTTTCTTTGGAGCCATGGAGGATTTTCCCATAGTAAGATCTGAAATGAAAGCCATTTCTTTTTCTTTTTCTTTTTAAAGGTAGAGAAAGGCATTTGTGTAAAGAGAGGTGGGAAAGAAGAACCAGGGGTGCTCTCAGGTAAATCAGTTTTAAGAAAAAATATACATGAAGATTCTGGAAATTAAGTTTCTTAAATACCCATGCTCCTGTATTCCTTAGGCATGTGTCCCCAGTTT
This sequence comes from Homo sapiens, assembly GCF_000001405.40. NCBI lineage: Eukaryota > Metazoa > Chordata > Mammalia > Primates > Hominidae > Homo > Homo sapiens. Next base: position 159,938,142 of record NC_000002.12, read on the forward strand.
GAGGACTTTTGACTTAGAGGATTTCAACAGCCTGTGGAAGCTCCATAATGAATCAAAGATGGGTCTCAAGTCAACATCCTCTGTCAGCCACAGATTGGAGGCCCATGGAGGACTCCAGGCCTTAGGAGACAGAGGGCTGGCTATATAGGAGAAGCATGGACCCATGAATGACTGAACAGAGCAAAGTCCTCTTGCCAGCCCATGCAGGTGTGGGTGAGAAATAAACCTTTGCTGTGTTAATCCACCAAGACTGTGGGATTGTTTGCTATGGCATTTCGCCTTTCTGGACGAAAAGAGTAGCTAATGGTAGCTAATGGGATCTCACCACTGCAGGGGTGAAGTGACTGCCTTGTAGCCAAGAACTGCAGTGTTCGGATAGGGAATTCAACAGGAGACACAGCCAGTTCTCAAGAGATAAGACAGCACCAGGGACAGCCAGAATGAGGCCAAATCAAAGAGAACAGACTACAGATTAAAGCAACTGCAGACTTCACAGCAGATGCCAGCAGAATTCCCAGGAGTGAGGCCAGACAGCTATTCTCAGTGGACACCAGCTAACATACATCCACAGTAAGTTGTCACCTTCTCCCCTCAACACTACCAGGACACAGCAAGTTCTTATATATCCAACCACCATTTTGAGAAGAGTAAAGAAACTCCAAAAGACTGAACGTTTAAGTAAACATTCAGTTCAATCTTATCTTTAATAAGGAGTGGACCCTTCAAGAGAAGAAATATTTAACCCGAAAGAAGACTGTTGTAACTGTAAGAGCCCAATATATTGTTAAATGGAAAAACCCAGGCATTTCCATTACTCAGATTCTATAAAGATCCTCAGGTTAGTCATAGAACATAATTGACTGTTGGAGGGGCACATTAACTATGTGTGAATTTGTGATCCTGCCGCTTTTTTGGCATAAATGTAAGGAGTACAAGTGTAATTTTGTTACATAAATACAGTATGTAGTGGTAAAGTCTGGTGTAACCATCACGCAAATAGTGTATAATATACCCATTACCTGCTACTTTTTTTTCTTTTCGAATTATAGCTATAAAATCTAGTTCACATTAAAAATACAGATGAGGCCAGGTGCGGTGGCTCATGCCTGTAATCTTAGCACTTTGGGAGGCTGGGGCGGGTGGATCACGAGATCAGGAGATCGAGACCATCCTGGACAACATGGTGAAACCCTGTCTCTACTAAAAATACAAAAATTAGCTGGGCATGGTGGCATGTGCCTGTAATCACAGCTACTCGGGAGGCTGAGGCAGGAAACTTGCTCGAACCAGGCAGTTGAAGGTTGCAGTGAGCTGAGATCATGCCACTGTACTCCTGCCTGGCAACAGAGCAAGACTCCATCTCCAAAAAAAAAAAAAAAAAATGAAAAAAAGTTTCAAAAAAAATGCAAATATAAAAATGTAGCAGAATACTTCAGTACTATTTCTGCAAATTCAGTAATGGCAAGAAGTGTGTGATCTGTCCATGGGTCCAGATTATCTGGAGATGTTGTTCAATACTAAACATCAAAGTATGGAGCACTGAGAAGCAATACAGCTTCTTTCTGCAAAATCACTTTCCTAATGGTGTATTTTGTCAAATTATTATGTGTGACTATATACCTTGACTGGAAGGCTGGTTGATTAGCAGTTTTTACCAAGTCCATTGAAAAGAACAGAACTTTAATTCCACTCAAAAGATGGTTAAATTGGGCTTTTATACCATCTGGTGAGTTCAAGCCAATTATTTTTTGAGTCATAAATATGCAACTGCCACATAATATAATATCTTTTAAAAAATGAAGTCCCAATACTTAAAAAAATTATGGAGGTAGACTGTCCCAGTGTGTAAATTATTATAACAGTAGCAAAGAGCTGCTTTTGGAAGCTGGATTAACTGTTGCAGGCCACAAGGATTCCATTCTTAGTGGTATGCTCTTCAAATTGTATTTCTAATGATGATGGTTTGCCTCTTAGAAATTCATTCATACTTTCTCTCAGAGCTCCCCCTTGTGATTAGTGGCCACTGGTTTTGAGGCAGTTGGTTGTAATAATTAAAATGCACACTCTCAGGGAGGCCCTGAGAGTCCCCCAGTTTCTCTCTATCATGGAACCTTACTTCATTTTCATAACCACTTGCTATTTTATGCATATGCATTTCTTTACTGAGTTACTGTCAATTTTCCCTCATTAGAAAATAAGTGGCATGAAAAGATAGCCCTTACCCCAAGTTGCTCACCTTAGTACCTCTGTTTCTAGAACAGCACTTTTTTGAGGTGGGGTCTCATTCAGTTGCCCAGGCAGGAGTGCAGTGGTGCAACCATAGCTCACTGCAGCCTTCAACTTCTGGGCTCAGTTGATCCTCTTCCCTCAGCCTCCTAAGTAGCTGGGACTACAGGTGCGTGCCACCATGCTCAGTACACTTTTTTCTTGATAAAATTCAATAAACAGTTATGTAATGAGTAAATTTTTAGATATTGATTATGAAGCTGTTTTCTTTATAAGGAACTAATAAAGGAAAATAAAATCTGTAATTTTTTATTTACAGACAGTATCATAATCATTATTTACCATCTACACTAACTAGACTAATATAAAAGGAGATCGTTCCCAGAAAATAGTTTATTAAATAGAACACCTAAACTCATTTACATAATAAAGATATCTAGATTACTAATTTATTTAGTACTTCTCAACAACATCTGTCTGGTTCTAATGAGACTATAATTCAGATCTTTAGCTCTTCTCCTTTAAATCCAAGTTACATTTTATATCTTCCAGTTATTAAGAGTGTTACATATTATTTTATATATTTAGTTTTTCAGAAAGTCCATGAGTTTTAACAGTACAACTGTTAAAGTTTCAATATATTACTTTAAGCTTATGTATAAGACATTTTAAAATATCCAACTTAATCATCATTTAGTAATTGAAAGTTTAAGGCCACATTTTAACTATATGGTTGTTTATAAAAGTGTGCTGCTAATGAAGGTCTTTGCCATTTAAAAGAAGGTATTTTTCTTTCTCCTTTAGCTTGAGATGTTAGACCTAATAAAAATGAATGTCACCTTAAATATCAGTTGAGAGCCCAGAACCTGTGACCCTTAAGCACAGAAATTAGTATTTTCCAAATCCTGCTATTAAAAGTGAATTCAAAAGAAACAACTAAGAATCCTCTCAGAAGCCCTTTCCTTTTCCTCTCATATACAAGATTAATTTTTTTTTGCTTCTTTCTGTCTTTCTTAATGGTACGAGTGCAGGTAAATGTCTGAATAGATACCAGATTAGTTTTAAAATTCCCCCAAATTTTAGTAGAGATACATTAATGCAAAAACTATTATTCGCATTGATTTCAGAGTTTTCAATAGGGAGTTTCTTTTAATAGTTCTTGTCTTTCTGAAAAATAACCAATGCATAATTTACCCCTTTTAAGAATGGATCACAGTTTAGGGAAATGAATAAATCAAAACCCATCTGATTTGGTTAAGATTCAAAACCAGTAATCACTTCAAGAATAATTAAAATAGTGACCCAATTCACATTCTAATGGCATCTGTGCTGTAAAGGGAAAGACAGATGAGACTCCTGTTTAGTCTTCTTTACTTACCCTGGTGTCTGTGGCATTCTCTGACCTCATTATTATTGGTCACTCTTCTCAAGATCAGAAATGAGAATATTTTCTTCTAAATATACTGTACTAAAGTTGGTTGCAGGATAGTAAGGATTCCGAAACCCTGCAAGTCTCCTGAAGAAGCCACCGTTATGCTTGTATATGCAGAAGGAAAGTGTGCAAATGGCCACAATGACTATCAGTGTCAGTACAACCGCAAGAGGAATGATGCTGTGACTTGGTCCTGAAAGAAGATATTTTTCTTAAAAAAAGAAAAACTTCAGTGGCGATGAAGTAATATAGATACTGTCATACAGCTGCTTTCTATCTTATTATTTCTAAGAAAAATCAAAATGTTTTGTATGGTTTCAAACGTACCTTTTTCTGGCAGCGCCTCTGCAGTGTGAATATCTAAAATCAAATACAAAAATTAAAATGAGGTTTTTCTTTTAATTCAGCAAAAATATGTCATTACTTACTCAGGGATCAGCAAACTATGGCCCATGACCCTATTTTTATAAAAAATGTTTTACTGGAACTTAGCCACACTCATTCATTGATGTATTGTTACAGCTGCTTTCCTGCTACAATGGCATGTAACAGAGACCATATGGCTCCCAAAGCCTAAAATGTTTACTAGCTGGCCCTTTACAGAAAAAGTTTGCTGACCTTTGATTTATTGTAATCATCGTTATTAGTGCTCACAAACATACACCCTGCTTGTTTTTTTTAAGCCAAGAAGTTTCTATTCAGTCCCAGCACTGTGCTGCAATAAATATAGAGTAAAATATAAACCCTGCATACAAGGAACTCACAGTTTTGTTGGGATCTTATATGGAGTTTGTCCAGCAATGATAATCTGCCTGACTCTTTGTAAGGATTTTTAAATCAGCATCTTCTCACCTTTGTGATCTCATGGGTCTTGGGGAATGAGCAACAGCTTCTCCATCCAAAAAGTTAGAGAGTTTCTGTTTTAAAACTTTCTACTGTAAAAACACATCTTTTAAGTAGATGTTATATCAAAATGTGAACTCTTCTATTTTTGATCTAGGTAAAGATCCAGAGAAAGGTATAGAGAATGAACCAGAGGAAGATGAAGAAATGGATTTGTGAGCAAAAGAACTGCCTTGATGTCCTACTGATGCTCATTCACTCTGATAGACATGAAAAAAATCACAACACTGTTACTAATAGCAAAACCATACTTTTAAAACCAGACTTGTTCTTTTTTTTTTTTTTTTGAGGCGAAGTCTCACTCTGTTGCCCGGGCCAGAGTACAATGGCGTGATCTCGGCTCACTGCAACCTCTGCCCTGGGTTCAAGCAATTCTCTTGCCTCAGCTTCCTTAGTATCTGGGATTACGGGTGTGTGCCATCACACCTGGCTAATTTTTGTATTTTTAGTAGAGATGGAGTTTTGCCATGTTGGCCAGGCTGGTCTCGAACTCCTGACCTCAAGTGATCCAGCTGCCTCTGCCTCCCAAAGTGCTGGGATTTACAGGCGTGAGCCACCACCCCCGGCCCAGACTTGTTCTTTTAATATAAAAACAATGCCATTTAACGTTGCATTAAACTGTCGAAAATATGTATTATTGTGTTTTTATGAAGACACTTCTTTTAAATTGATGCATATCAGATGCACAAATTTTCAGAACACAAGTGATAATTGAATATAGTCATATAATTTGTATAGTGTACTTGGGATAACCATCACTTTAAACATAAAGATACATCTTTAAGAAAGACTGTTAAGAGTGTTTGTTCTCAGGATAGAAGCAGTGGGCGGCATGGAAAGAGCACTTAGAAAACTTAGAGTTTTCTCTGTAGTCCTTGATGTAGCCTCAGTTTGCACAGGCACTTTTCCCGTCTGTAAAATGGGGATATTTAAATTGCTCCACTACCTTGGAAAGCTGCTGCGAAGGATGAAACAGGTGTCATCTGCATTATAGGAAACTTTAAAGTCCTGTAAGACATGAGGTGTTTCTGATTTGTTCTTGATATTTAAAAGCTAGTGATAACTTGGGCACATTATTTATCAGGCTTAGCCATGTTTTTCTTTTTTTTTTTTTTTCTCTCACACAGAGTTGAGACTCACACTGTGGGGGTTTCAAACATTGGTGCCCACACCTGCAGTGTTTTCTTCTTCATTCCCAGCTCAAATCAGTCAACAGGGCCGGTGATTCTCTCTTCCTATTTCTCCCCTCCTCTTTCGTTCCTAGTTTAATCACTCAAATTACAAATGTTTCTCTTCATATCCTCATGAGTTCTACTTCATCACAGGTGTCTACAGAGCACATAGGGGGTCTGTCTCTTCCACCACAAAGTTCAGCTCTTTAGCCTGGCACTCTGTGAAAGGATCCTACATTACCATCCAATTTTATTCCCATCACCCCCTGACGTGAGCCCTTTGCTCTAATTGAAACACATTCTTAGTTGCTGCCTTTAATCAGGCTGGGCCTTTTCCTCCTCTGTTCCAGCTTCTATAATTCTCTTCATCCTTTGGGATCCTAAAACCTCATGTCTGAAGCCTTCTCTAGCAGTACAGGCCACAGCAATCCCTCCTTTATAATACTGACATCTAGAAATTGCTGTAATTATTATAGACATTTTCCCACCATCAGTGACTAGAATTTTCTAGCTTAGATTTCTAAAATTATTGTTTTTTTTAATTACTAAACACTAAGTATGTTACTGATGATTAAGTTAAAATGTGACTTTTATGACACATTATGCTTGCAACAGGGAATCACATCTTCTTGTCTACAGCAAATATACATAAGCCTAGATTATATTTCCTGAGGCCAAACATAAACCTTAAAAATTCTGAGTAGCAGTCACCAGAATGAAGGTTGCTGGTTTACATTCCTAGTTCTATTTGCTTGAGGGAAAATGATTTTTTGCCCATTAGGTGATCAACCTGGGTGACACAAGAAAAATCATAGTCTTTGAGTTGACTTATAATGATTTTTTTTCTCATATCAGAGAAAGAAGGAGCTGAACTATTCTCTGACTTGTTTGGTGCAGAACACAACAATAATGTCAGAATCTATCTGAATACTCTCTCAACTTGGATTTTAAAACCTTTAAATGCTAAAGAAGTCAGTCAACATTAGTTAAGGTAGAATCAAAATGAAGAATTACTCTCTGACTTTACCTACCTGCCTCCATTTTACATATAAAGCCTTTTTTTTCTTGACACGGGGATAGCTGCCATAATCCTTCAGGGATCCTCAAGGCAACACAATGATGGGGCTTGAAGTAGTCTGTGTCTGGCTTCCGAATGCCCCAGTTTGACTGGTCTGTGGGAGTTCCATCAAACCACTTTATGGTTTCATCTGTGAGAAAATTGCTGACTCATTATGAATTATGTGCATGGTTATCAAACATACTAAGACTGGAATTAACCATAAAAAGCAGCCCCTGAATTTTTTTATTTTTTTATTTTTATTTTTATTTTTTTATTATTATACTTTAAGTTTTAGGGTACATGTGCACAATGTGCAGGTTAGTTACATATGTATACATGTGACATGCTGGTGCGCTGCACCCACTAACTCGTCATCCAGCATTAGGTATATCTCCCAATGCTATCCCTCCCTCCTCCCCCCACCCCACAACAGTCCCCAGAGTGTGATGTTCCCCTTCCTGTGTCCATGTGTTCTCATTGTTCAATTCCCACCTATGAGTGAGAATATGCAGTGTTTGGTTTTTTGTTCTTGCGATAATTACTGAGAATGATGATTTGCAATTTTATCCATGTCCCTACAAAGGACATGAACTCATCATTTTTTTATGGCTGCATAGTATTCCATGGTATATATGTGCCACATTTTCTTAATCCAGTCTATCATTGTTGGACATTTGGGTTGGTTCCAAGTCTTTGCTATTGTGAATAGTGCCGCAATAAACATACGTGTGTATGTGTCTTTATAGCAGCATGATTTATAGTCCTTTGGGTATATACCCAGTAATGGGATGGCAGCCCCTGAATTTAATGAGACTCTTGAACTAATACATTCAACTCAGTAAATACAGTGATGTACTCAACATCAAAAGGTAGGCATTAATAAAGTTGCCTCTTTATTTTAGGTACAGTGTTCTTATTTAGGTCATTTAGGTTATCATGTTTCTTAATGTGACAGTTTGAATTTTGAAATATTCCATATATATATATAATCGATTTAAAGAAATCATTTGATAAACAAAACTAATCGAGTAAAGAAAAATCCTTTGAAGTCCTAACATCTTCATCATTACAAAATGGCTCACTTTCTAAAAAGATTTTACAGTGAATTTCTTTAATACCAAGCCAGCCATGTACCAAGGGGGTAGGGGCGGTAGGAGAGTCCATCCCATGTGTGGGCAATAGTGTATTGTCTGAAAATAATTTAAAACTAACAATACAGCTAACTAAAAGTTGGTCTGCTTTTTATTATCACCATCTGCTTGAAATTCTAAACAATGTTGGTGATTAAAATACTCCTCCTCGAAAGGGTAGGCTCACCCCCAACCTTGGTACACCACTGTAACAAGCTCTCCATACCAATTAAAATAATTTTCTTCACAAGTACCTTTCAATAACCATCAATTACATAAAGAAAAGAATACCATGCTTCCATTTTATTACAAACTCTGGTTTTTATGAGTAGCAAATAAGAATCCTAACAGCACAGTTCATCATGGAAACATTTCCATAACTCTATTGTGCTTTTATAACATTTAGAAACCTGGGATATTTTCCAGTAAATATGGTTTTGGTATGCAATGACTAAGTCTGTGAACACAAAGTTCCAGCCAAGCATCTTCCTGCTAAGGGTAAAGATAAACATGTTATTGTTTGTTTTTATTTTTGGTGTTCTGGGATTATTTTAAAAGACAAAAGGGTAAAGAAAAGGGTTGCAATGTTGTTTTTGGAAGAAATGGCTTTAGGCTTCATGCTATTTTTTCTCAGAAAACGTATCCAAGGAGAGTTTTCTGGCTCACAGATGCCATTATCATCAGCTTTAACAACCATGTATTTATTTATGTCCTCTCCTCTACCCAAATCACTTACTGTTACCATCAAATTGAGCATTCAACCAAACCATCTGGACAGAAGAACCAAAAGCAAACAGCTCTTCTAGGAGAAATGCATTTTCAGCCTCATCCTTGATTGTTAAAAGATTAGAACCTATAAGAGAGACAAGTAGCAAAGGAATATTTGTGTTTACACATAAATATACTTTAAAAAATGTTTCCTATACTATTAATTGTAAAGCTCAGGTTTTGAAAAGTGAAAATTTCCATTATAAAGAAGAGACTTTAAATTAAAAAAGTAAAACCACATTTTTTAAAAGATACAAGCTTGCACGTCAGAAGTTAAGGCATAGAATATTAATTTTAGGGAACATTCAAAATTCATAATGCAAATGCATGCAAAAGGAACGTTTTCTTCAGAAAGTGCAGTATGCTGAGACATCATCTTAGGTTTCCAAATTCTACACTGGACATTGTTTCATATAGTAGCTGTCCTCCAAACAAGCAATTTCAATAGTATTTATTTTTTCAATAGTTTAGTTTTTGTTGCTCCTAAAGTCACTAAATAATGGGATGAATAAAGAAATCCACATTGTTTACTGAAATGGCAAGAAGGAGCACATGAAAGCATTTTTACCATCACAAAAACAATTACCTTCCTTTTTGCAAAATTCATGAGCAGCCTCAAAACTCATACTGTCTAGGACTGTAGAAAAACTGTAGCAATTACTTTTAAATTTTATCCAGGGAATAGATGTTTCTGAGCACAACTCTGGGTGTTCAGATTGTCTTGTTTCTGTGAAGAAAAGCCAGTTATGATTTCAGGGTGGTGACTGGGTTTATTTATTGAGATAAATATTACATTACATTCTATAAAAGATCAAGATAAATATATGTAACAAGATTTTCATGGTAATACTCTGAAAGATTGGGTTTCATGTAAATGATTATAAAACTAGGACCAGTTTATAGCATTTCTGACAGAAATAATCTTTACCTAAACATAACAAGATATGTTAAGGCACAGCTTTGTAGGCTTAGTTTGGGTGCTGCCTGGGTGAGGGTGGCTCTTTCATGTTTACAATTAGCATCCTAAAGGTTGGAACAAGCAGGGGCTATGACTCCCAGAGAGAGTGGCAGCTGACTGATGCTGGTAAAAGAGATTTCCAAATGTATGCATTTCATGCAGTGCTGTGTATCACAGATTTGAAAAGTCCTTACCCACTAATAAACCTGTGAAAGAAAATAATGCATTCAATAAAGTATCATAACATAGCATAACATAAAATAAATAAGGGAACTCCAGAGGGACTTTATTTCAGAGAGCAAGCATGAGAGTTAGACACATCCATGCTGAGATCCCGGCTCCACCACTTACTAGCTGCGTGACCATGGGCATGTTACCTTGCACTTGGTTTCTTTATCTATAAAAGAGAGCTAACAACAAAACCTTTAAAAATATTTTTTTTAATTACAAAAAACTTTTTAAAAGACAAAGTCTCACTCTGTCACCTAGGCTGAAGTGCAGTGGCACAATCACAGCTCACTGCAGCCTCAAACTCCTGGGCTCAAGTGATCCTCCAGCCTCAGCCTCCCAAGTAGCTAGGACTATAGGCACGTACCACCAAGCCCAGATAATTGAATTTTTTTTTTTTTTTAACGAGTCTCACTGTGTTAACCAAGCTGGTCTCAAACTCCTGGCCTGAAGAGGTCCTCCTGCTTCTGCCTCCCAAAGTGCTGGGATTACTGGTGTGAGCCACACAGCCACCTTCCTTACAAGTTGAGAAGTTTCAATGAGTTAGAGCCTGACACTTCTTAAGCATTCAATAAATGCATTGTTATTGAAAGGACAAGATTCCAAGAAAAGGCAAGTGCTAACAAAAAAAAAAAAAAAAAAAAGGAGAAAAGGGAAGGACAGCTTTTATGGAGTTTTAGAAGTAGAATTAGCTTTTCCAAGATATATGTGGCTATCATTTACATTTAATCCTGAATTGTTTTGATCTAAAAATATATAATTTGTATGTTATTTGATACAGTACCCAGAATGTAAGTAAATACATGCACTTTTACTAAATGAGAGATTTAAAAGGAGGCCAGCTTGTGTTAGTGAATTCTATGCAGGAAACTTGATTTCTACTCTTGGTACTGGTGATGGACAGCTGTGAGACACTTAGGAAACTATTTAATGCTCTGAGTTTACATTTCATTTTTAATAAAGGGGTTAGGCCAGGTGAACTTTAAGTGTAAATGAGATATTATGTAAAGTGCAGAGCCAGATATCTAGTAAATATCCAAACAATATCACCACCATCATTATTGTAGCTCTGGAATCCTATCAATCTTTTATTTAAACATGAATCCTCAAAGTCCTCCACACATGCTTGAAGCCCATGTTTCTCATCTAATTTCCCACCCCTCCCTTACGCCTAACCTGCATTCAGGCAAATCCCAACATCGGCTTTGTCTTACGTAAGCCTCGTCCTGTCTTCCTTCCCCATTTTCATCCAGCTTTTCTCCTCAGAATGCCTTTCCATGTCCCATTATTACCCATCTACACCCACCTATTTATCAAGGCCCATCTGCACTGCCATGTCCTTCAAGAAGCCTTTCTACCTTTCTCCAAATGAATACAATGCATTCTTTTTCTTGATAACCCCCATAACATTTGCTACCTCTCTTATATCATTTTGTAGTTCTGTTATTCTTTACATCACCAACCAGACCAGAGGCTTCTTGAAGAGAGACTTCTTACTATACTCATCCTCATATCCTTTGCTTAGCACAGTGTCTTGCATACAGTAGTTAAATAAGGTATATTTTTGAGTTGAATAGAATTGAACCTACCAGGTGGCACATGACAAATGGCACCTTGCAGAAATGACTCGCAGGCTGTGCTATGCCAGCGTCCGTTGCTGTCGGCAAAAACGCAGTCACCAAGGAGGGAGGACTCCTCATCTTTCCAAAAAGTGAAAGAAGATTTGGTGCCATCAGACCAGTCAAAATTAAGACCATTCTGTGGAGGAAAACTGAGCCATCATTTCCTTGCCACGACGGCTGGCAGCATCACCCAGTGTTATCTGAGCATGCTACAATTCCCACATCGATTGCTATTTCTGCACACCTTTTTAAAGAGGGGCTAGGACATCTGTGAATACAGCTTGACAAACAGGAATATCTGCCACAAATGAGATCTTTTTTGATTTTTAGGAATTCTTGGCTCCCTGCCACAATGATTTTCTAGTGAGCAATCGGCGTGAAATTGGACCAGTACCTTGTCTTTTACAGTGAAATACATTTCAGATTGATCAATTATTCAAACATAAAATTGAAAACATAAACATGTTAAAGAAAACCTGGTTAAATTTTTTTATACTGTTGGTGTGGGGAAAACCTTTCCAAGTCATAGAAAATCCAGAGGCTATAAAGCAAAACTGACTACATGAAGTTAAAACATTCTGTACTACATGATGCAATAAATAATCATGAAATATCATTCATTTATCTCTCCCACTGGCAAGGATTAAAATTTTGAGAATACCTGGTGTTGACAAGGATGTGAAAAAACTAGACATTATCACATACTGTTGTTGGCATGTAAATTGGTGCAAACTCTTGGAGGGCAATTTGGTAGTACTTGTCAAAATTTTAAGTGTACGCAGCAATTTTACTTCTAAAAAATTATCCTACTGGCACAAGGATATTTGTTGTGCATTGTTTATAACTGTGAAAAACTGAGAAGAACCCAAATGTCTATTCACAGGAGAATGGTTTAATAAGTTGTGGTATATCCTTACATGCTGCGTTCTAAAGAATTCATGAGATTTTTATGTGCTGACATGTGAAGTTGTTAAAGATATATTAAATTAAAAAGCAAGTTTAAAGACAGCATGTAGAATAGGATCTCATTTGTGCTTGAAAAACAATGTACATATTCTTCCATTACATGAATATGTATGTGTATACATGGAAAATTTCTAGATGGCACACAAGACAGTGTTCACAATTACTAACATTAGGGAGTAGAACTAGGGGTCAGGATAGACTAGTTTACTTTTCACTACTTTGAGTGTACAATATTTTATTTAAAAAAATGAAAATAACGTATTCTCTAAACCACATCCCTAGAGGAAAATAAAACCTCAAGTGCTTAATTATAAGTGGTACTAAACTAATTAATAATCACATTTCTAGACAAGAAGCATGATTCGTTTTTTCTTGGGGATTCATTAAATGCCGCAAATTCCCAAATGCAGTGCTTGAGTTTCAGCTGTGTTCCAGTGCACATGCAAGGCAGTATCGGGGTACTTGGAAATTTTCAGAGAACCTTTGAATGGTATTAATTTCCAGACATTAGGCAAGTGGATGTTTACCCTAAAGAGGTGTGCACTCTTATTTTGTAGTCATAGGCTGTTCATAAGGTTGGTCAGGTAATTGCATAAACCAATTATTTAAGTGTTATATTTATTAATATTTTTGGGATCTTTTTTTCAGTGCTAATTTCAGTGGCCAGATCATGAAGGAGGTAGATGCTAAACTTAATTATTCAAGGATGTCTCAAGGGAGTTAGGATACCTACATCTGTGGTGAACAGTCCAATCCAGTGGGCATATCCTAGCCGGTTGAGGACAACAGTGAGGAAGGACTGGTGATACTGGTCTGTGATGCTGACCAGTTGTGCTTTGTGCATCAGGCAGGTTTTTATTGCTGCATACCAAGTCATATTTGCATTAATTATTTTGTAAGTTCTGTTTCCATATTCTAAGGTATTGGGCATTGGATACATATCAGATGTATTTACACCGTGTCCAGAAGTATCTAGAACAAGAACAGCAACAAAAGTCATTTGCAGCATCTGGATGACAAAGGAAGAGGCAAAGCTTAGCATAGATCCTTGTCACTATGATCCATGTTGATCAGAGTGCTTTCTTCTGGAATTGACTGTTTCAAAACAAGAACACTATCTGAAAGTGTAAGTGATGCAAAAAAATGAGAACACTCAGGAAATTTAATGAATTGTTTTTCAAAAACATAAACATAGATTGAACCATTTCTAGAAGATTTCCCAGTTTTGACCATCCTTTATCAAATTGACTGCTTTTTGGTGGAACTGATGGTGATCTTCTTAGGTGGGTTTCACTCCACTAACTACACTTGGCTTAATCCACACTGCTGTGGCAGAACTTAATGCTTATTAATAGCAGAAAGGCACATGTTACATAGTCATATATTGCATTGCAAACCTAATATTACAGGTGCATATTATCAGGTAAAATACTCGATTACACTTTTGAGACTGATAGTCACTATTATGCTTAATGTTTGCATGTATAAATTCTAAAAGGAATTTTAAAAAATAAAGTTAATAAATTCTTAGAAATACACACTGTTCTTATAAACAGTTACTATTAATATGTCACCTGTCAGAGTCAAAGTTTATAAATTAAAAGGCAAGGTTTTCCCACACGTTGTCAAGCATTGGTGCTTGAGAGTCTGTGAGTGGCTGTGATCATGTGAAAACCAAGCCTGTGTTTATGAACACGTGTTTCCTCTCTAATATGTGCATTTGCCTTTCTGTTTACATAGAACATATGTTCTATATGTACTAGGATATGTATAGAACATATGTTAGGATATGTATAGAACATATGTTCTGTATGTTATGTACTAGGATAGACTAAAGGTTTAGAAAACCTAAAGGACAAAAACAAGGTAAGAGTTTTTGTACCTTCTGATCCAAAGTGACTTGAATTTCTGTGTACTGGTTTTACTACATTTGGTGTTGGAAAGAAGCATGTGAGGTGTGGATAGGTCATGAGGCTGGGACTTAATCCTATTCCTGGCCCTAACTGGCTAAGAGCTCTTGGGCAAATTAACCTTTCTAAACCTCAAATTTATGGTCTACAAGAGATGATGAGGGTCTCCCTTGGAGGGGTGTGGATGGAATTGAACGAGATATCCACACAAGGCACACACTATTGTATGGAGACACAGAAAGCATCCTATGAATGTTGCTTCTTGCTCCACTCTCCTCCTCCGGTCATACTCCCCCCAGTAAAAATGGCAAAGTGGGAAACTGACCTTTATCTGAAACCATTACCTCAATACAGCAGCTGTACATATGGAAAAACCAAAGTAAAATGAATCTCTTTAATTTCTGTAAATTGTGATGGATCACACTTTTATCATATTTTTATTCTTTGCTATTAGTCTGTGCCCAGCCTACGTGCCCAGTGTAATGGTTATTCATACAAAATCAAAATAATATCAAAGTAGCTATTTTAAAATGCTAACAATTCATAACATTAAATGACATTCTTTGTATATGTTACCCAAATGCCAATTTGACTGTTTTTTCCCCACTGAGTTATATGTCTGTATTTTTACATATATAAATTTCTCCATATGTAATTGATTCCATTAAGTTTCAAAACAAGTGATTTTGAGCAGCATGGTTTTGCCACCCATTGCCCTGAAAAAGAAAGATCTATTGGAAACCAAGTTCTAAACTGGGGAGTCTTGCTTTGCCCTTGTGTCTCTTCTTATTCAGTTTCTTAATTTTTTTGGCAGATAAAAGACTTTGGGCTCAAGCCCAATGTAAGCACATATGTATCTGACAAACAGAGAAGAGGAGCAGAACTTGAATATTTATTGTTGGCTACAATAACTAGTGTAGTTGAACAATACTTTCTGGAAATAATAGAAAAAACTATATCGTTTGTTAAATATATGCTAGAAGTATGCTAAGTGTTATACATACATAAAGTGTGTGAGATGGCTATTACCACATTTTGCAGATGCAGAAATCATGATCACAGAAGATAAGTAACCTTGACTGAAGCTTATCTACAAAGAAGGGTGGGAACCCATGTGTGGTAGGCACTCCGGTGCCTATGCTCTCAATCACCACTATTCTGTACTATCTCTAAAGGAAAATCTACACTGTTAGTCCCAAAAATACCAAAGAGAGAAAGTGATCAGAGGGCACATTCCAAGAATAAATCAACATCAAGGTAGTGGAATAGAATCATTGTGTTTAACTGAGACACCTTGAGTGTGTTATTTTTGTTTTGTTTTGTTTTGTTTTCCTGGAGACAGAGTCTCACTCTGTAGCCCAGGCTGGAATGCAGTGGTGCGATCTCGGCTCACTGCAACCTCCGCCTCCCGGGTTCAAGCGATTCTCATGCCTCAGCCTCCCTAGTAACTAGGACTACAGGCACCTGCCACCACGCCCGGCTAATTTTTTGTATTTTAGTAGAGACGGGGTTTCACCATGTTGCTCAGGCTGGTCTTGAACTCCTGAGCTCAGTCAATCCACCCGCCTTGGTCCCCCAAAGGCTAGGATTACTGGCGTGAGCCACCGTGCCTAGCAAGGATGACTTATGTTTTTAAGCCTCAAGTTCCTCATCTGTAAAATGGGAGACTTTTACCTACTTCATAGAACTGTCTTGAGGATTTTGTGGCATACCGCGCATACACTCAAGGCACAGGGTCAGGTACTCATAAGTGTGTAAGTACCTGGCATGCTCATATTATTTCTTTCCCTACAAGGCTCTGCTGTTCCCATATTACTCTTGCTGTTACAGATCTAGTATCATTTTTTCAGTTCCTGACCACTATAATGTTTAAGTGGTAACTGAGAACCAGAAATGGAGCTTCTCTGGCACTGCTTTTTTGAGGATGAGTTGATAGTAACATTAGAGACTTCACACGTATGCCACATTAAGAAGTAAAATTCCTATTCCAAATAAGTATATATATATATATATATAAATATATGCTAGGCTGCCCAGAGTTCCATACAGCTCTAGACACCAACTATGGCTTTCTTGGGTGGTGTGGACAGGGATACCCAGCATTCAGTAAAAGCATGAGCTGTTGTTGTTTTTATTTATAGTACTCAAGGTCAGTTATAGTGCATTCACACTATTCATTGACCCTGTTGGCTATTTGTAATAGTGTGGCTTTGGCATTTCACACAGAAACCATTTGGGGGTTCTGCCCATCAGATCTAGAAGATTGCTGCATGCCACATTTAGCCACAGAGACCATTTTCAGGGTTCCAAAAAAGGAGCAAATATGAGTTGGTTTATTTCCTTGATTCTTTCCCAACATTTTCTCAGTGACCTTTAAAAATCACCTGAACAGATACATAATCCCAGAATGAAGCAGTAAAGCCATTTAATATGACTAAGATAGATACATAAATTTGGTCATCACTCAAGTGGCCTCGGCAGTCCTTAGAATCCCACTAAAGGGCATAAGCCTAGGGTAGAGGAGATTAAATAACTAAACTTATGTAAAGCCAAAGAAGAAGTGCCTGACACTGTTAGCCAGGAAACTGTTAGCTACATTAGCTACACAGCTGTGTAAAACCAACATGAAAGAGAAGGATGGACTTTGGAAATGAAAGGAATAAAAACCCAAATATTTCTTACCTTGCATTTTTTCACAAACAAACCCATAGCCTTCCTTTCCACAGTCTTCAAAATACCATTTTCCAGTGAAATGAAAATTAGGATTACTTGAGAGTAAGGCACAGAGAGGAATGTGTTTCTGAACTTCAGTGGTATTGTGACTTGGAATCTTTAAAATAATACACGTTATCAAAAGTATGATAACATATAGCATTATTATAACATTAAAATTTTTATTAAGACATTATTTTTAAAATTAAGACACCATTATTCCTTTATTCGCATTTAATAAACTTATTCACAAGTCATTTCATAACCTACAAAATAAACAATTATTGTGATGAGTAAAGTAATTATATTAATGGAACACATAAAATTACATTAAAAATTAATATATTAATAAAAAACTAATATAAATTTATACCTACAAAATATAGGAAATAAAAAAAGCTTTAGTAAACAAATCTTGAATAAAATATCTTGCCAAAGTGATCTCCAAAAAATAAATCTTAAAACTTACATTTATTATATCAAATGGAGACCAGTTAGAATATACCACAGGCTTTCCATTTAGCCATGTTTCATAATCATCATTTTGTAAACCTATCCACACACTGGTGGTCTGGCCAAAAAGATTCATAGTAATGAAAGCTGAAAAACAGGAATACATTATCTAATTTAATACTGTAGAAAGCATTTGGGTAATCACTGCATCCTATTTATAGCTATGATTATATTTAAATGCCAGCAAAACATAATTATGAATCATTTATAGGAATTTGTTACTTTATCCTTGTTAAGGTAATGCAGTTTCTTTCACTTTTGTTTTAGTTTAAATTGACAGAAATTAGCTGGATAACCTGAGATTTCATCATATCATTAACAAAACAATTTCCAGTGTTCATTAATTACCTTTCTAAACAAAAGAGGATTTATCTGCTATATTTAAACTGAAGTATATAATTGATTAAATATCAAATAAAAGCATGTAGGTAAATGTAAAGGGATCTAAAAATCATACCATGCAATTACATGTAGATCATACTTTTTAGCCATTTTGAAATATAGGCCATGAATATGTCCTTATTCTTTCCACTGCTACTGGTGAGAGACAAGGCTCCAAAACCCAGCAGTTTATAAGCAATGCAGTACACTAACTTTTACAGATATCATGAAATAAAACCTATGGGTCAAACTGCAAACTCGTGTATCATCAGCAACACAGTATTTTAAATGTTGATTTGGGAATGTTAGTATAGGTGGGGGGGATATTTTAATAAATACTTGAATAAAAATGGTTATCTTGGCCTGGTTGGATCTTGAGTACTCTACCTTGCTCCACCTCACTTTCAATGGCGACCAGGGTCCCCCCTTCTTCAGCACAGAAATGTTGAGCATGCGTCCAGTTCTTCCAACTGCTTGGGTCTTTGGGGATATTCAGCAGAAGGCACTATCAAAAAATGTCAAAACAAAACATTCATTTCTGTATCTTTCTAAGTGAATTAAAAATTTCCCAAAGACACTGAATATCAGCTTTGAAAATTCTTTATAATTTTCTTGGGCAGAAAGAACTCATTTTTCTTTCACCTCCTCCAAAGGTGTTACAGTAAAACAAAGAGGAGCAGCTTTTAGGGTGAGTTAATGACTTGCCTGCATTTGCAGCAGGCAGGAACAGAAGCAGGGATGCGTTTTGTCTTGTGAAATGTCAGAACAGTGCCTTCAGCACAATGAAAAGTAGTATTCTTCCTAAAAAGGAGCCACTCTGATTGCAAAGTTTACATGGGCACATTTAATCTAAAAAAAAAAAAACAAAAACATTCTGGGGGTGGCAATGAACAGCTTAGTTCAATTTTATTTACAAACACACTTCCTTACTTTAAGTGAGAGAGAAATAATGGGGAGTCAAACACATCAGGTGTTTAAATTCACTAAATACTTGAGTCAGCCATTTGGTCACTAAGTCTATTGGGAAGAGCCAGAGAAGAAAAATAAATGATCCCAGTGGGACAGAAAGCAAGGGTATGACCAAAGAAACCTGGGAAGAAGTAGAAATGAAGGGGAAGGTTGGCCATCAATGTTAGAGGGAACACAGAAAAGGTTGTGGAATTTGGCAATAAAAGTTGAGTGTTATGCAAGAGAGAATCATGTCTGCATCATGGCAGAGGTTTCTTTTCTTTTCTTTTTAAATTTTTTTTGAGATGGAGTCTTGCTCTGTTGCCCAGGCTGGAGTGCAGTGGTCAGATCTCGGCTCACTGCAACCTCTGCCTCCTGGGTTCAAGTGATTCTCCTACCTCAGTCTCCTGAGTAACTGGGACTACAGGTGCGCACCACCATGCCTGGCTAATTTTTGTATTTTTAGTAGAGATGGGGTTTCACCATGTTGGCCAGGATGGTCTTGATCTCTTGACCTTGTGATCCATCTGCCTTGGCCTCCCAAAGAGTTGGGATTACAGGTGTGAGCCACTGCGCCCTGCCACAGAGGTTTCTTTCTTATGGGATGAGAAATGGAATGATACATACTTGGCAGGACAGGCAGGGTTGAAGATAAGTTTGTTTGTTTTTCCCTGAAAGTTCGATGAAATTTAAGAATGTTGGTAGGAACAGATGGAGTTTGGTGAGAGGAAAAGATAGAAGAGAAAGGTTATAATGGATCAGGCAAAATTCCAGAGAGGTCAGGAGAAACTTTATGCAAAGGATGTTTCATCTGGAACTTGCTGGGGATTCTTCTCTCATAATCAATTCTCTCATCAATGAACACAGATAACCCTAGTCATTGATAGATCAGATCCTAAGATCTCGCCACTACAGGATAATTCTAGGTTAGCGTGGAAACCTACACTTGAAAAAGCATCCTTTCCTACCTTATTTTGAAATGATATCTGATATAGTTTGGATGTCTGTTCCCTCCAACTCTCATGTTGAAATGTAATTCCCAGTGTTGAAGGTGAGGCCTGGTGGGAGGTGATTGGATCATGGGGCAGATCCCTCTTGAAGGCTTAGGACCATCCCCTAGGTGATCAATGAGTTCTCAGTTCATGCGAGATCTGATTGTTTAAAAGTCTGGAACCTCCTCTCACCTCACCCTCTTGTGCTTGCTCTTGCCATGTGACATGCTGGTTCCCTGTTATCTTCTGCCATGATTGTAAGCTCCCTGAGGCCCTCACCAGTAGCAGGTGCCGGCACCATGCTTCTTGTACAGCCTGCAGAACTGTAAGTCAAAATAAACCTATTTTCTTCATCAGTTACCCAGTCTCAGGTATTCCTTTATAGAAATGCAAGACTGGTCTAATACAATATCTTTCCCCATCATTCTTTAATTTCCAAATTTTTCAGTTCTCCACCCCTTCCCCACCATCATACACCCCTTAAAAGCAGAGAGACTAAGTCTTACTCCTCTTTGAACATCACACCAGAGAAGGCCCCTAGTAAACATTTATTAAGCAAAATAAAAGACAACAGACCCTAAAATGGTTGTCAAATGACATTGTCAGTCATTCTAAATTTAGCTCAGTGGTTCTCCAACAGGACAATTTTGCCCCTCAGGGTATATTTTGATAATGCCTGCAGATATTTTTCACTGTTACAGTTGGGGAGGGGATTGCTATTGGCAACTAATGGGTAGAGACAAAGATGCTGCTAACCATTTGCAAAGCACAGGTCAGGTCAGTCTTTCAAAAGAAAGAATTATCTGACCCCAAATGTCAATAGTGTAAGGTAATTCTTTTTAAAACTCAGTCCTGATCATGTCACCCTTTAGTTTAAACCCTTCAGGAATTTTCCACTACTCTTAGGATAAAAACCAGAAACACTGAACTAGCTTGAGGTTGAGTTGCCAACTAAGAGAGAAAATACATTTTCAATTCTTCTGGTCCTTTTTGTCTTGTTTGCTTCACAAATAAACTGAATTGGCTTTCAAGGAGTTTAATTTTATAACAACTATCCTTTTATCTATTTCCTTTCATTTTGCCTCTTTCCTCTAATTACAAATTCTAAAGAGTGGCACATATTAATTATTGGGAAGTCTTATCATTTAATGTGAATTCACCTTGTGTTCAGATAGTTACACTAATGAACCATTCATAAATACCAATGAACCTCATTGGTTCAGTTAGCTCAATAAATCTCTCCAGAAAAACATCTCCTCTGCTTCCTCTATGTTTGCCTCAGCCAGGATTTACTAGCTTGACTACGGAAGTGTGGCCTGCAATTACCACGACTTCATTGTTTCTAAAAATATAACATATTTACTAACACACTCCGAAATTGTGTCATTAATAATTAAGGCAAAGCAGCAAGATGAAGTACAGCATCCTTAATTTAAAATTGTTTACTTACTAATTTGCAAAATGTGATCAAGTTTAATGCATCTCTGATTATTACTGTGAATTAATGGGGTCCTACTGTATTCTAAATGGGTTTTCAATATAAAATTCTTTTTTGTCTCAAAATCATTTCTAGCTCAATATTTGGAAATGAAATTCAGTTCCCTCCAAACTTGGTCCTTTCCCAGTGTTCCTACTCACAATGAATGGCACGGTCTGCATGCACTTATACACATACAATAAGCCTGAAACCTCAGAGGCATCCTTACCTTCCCACTCCATCTCCCCAACAGCCATACCATTTGGACATCTCATTTCCCAAAAAGCCCCCTCACCCATCCCCATTCCCACTGCCTCATGGTCTCTGCCACCACTATCTTAGCCCAACCTACCAGTCTCTTGCCTGCACTACAGCAATAGCTTCCTAACTGCTCTTACCTTTCTCACCCTTGCCCTTCTTCCATATATCCTTGGCACTACATCTAGAGTAACTTTTTAAAATTTGGTCCTGGTCACGTCCTTCTTTAGTTTTAAACCCATCAAGGGTTTCCCACTGCTCTTAGGATAGAGGCCAGAAGTCCAACACGGTATCACCCTTTCCACTTCTTTTGTCTCACCTTTGGCCACTCTAGTTCTCTATGTTTCCTTTAGTTTCTTAAATGTCATACTCCCACCTTGCTGCAGGACCTTAGCACATGCAGCTCCCCCTATTTTTAATGTTCCCTGCCTTTCTGACCACTTCAGTCAGGTCCTCTGGCTATACACTTTTCTAGAACCACATAACTTTCCTTCATCACGTACAGCACAGTTTTAAATTACACAGCCATTTTCCTGATCGATTTACTAATGTTTGTTCTCCCTCTAGTGTGTAAGCACCAAAAGAGAAGGGGCTGTGTCTGTTTTTCCTCACCACTGAATTCCCGACATCGAGATAGTAAATGAATGAATGAATGAAGTGCTCCAATTTGAATAAATTCCAAAAAGAGGTGAGAGTATTTTTAAGAAAAAACTATGTTATGCACAAAATCAAATATTGACTAATCCCAAACTAGACAGTGCAAAGCAGCCATTACCACTCAATCCAGGTCTTGAATAAAAATATGTAAGTAGAAGCACAAGAGTTAATCACACACACACACTTAGAATTTCTTCCTCCCACAGATCTGCTGGGACAAGTATCTTAGATGACTCATTCTTCCTGGGTAAACCCCTGGTCAAACCTCTGTTACATTATCAAACACAGAGAAAACTATTTATGAGACATTAGAAAAGATGCTTAATTTCTGTGTATCTCAGTTTTAAAACCCACTTAATTTGCCAACAAAGTGGGATTTTTTTCCTTAGAAATAACCAATAAAAATTAGTCCTAGGAAATTCACAAACAATAAGCAAAGTTTAATGGGACATAATATATTGGAACTCATTTCAGAATTGTGAAGTAAAGAAGGTCCATCATTGTTATCTCCCAGTTTTCCTTCTGTAGCTTTATTTGTTAATAGGGAAAAACCATCCCACCGCTCTCAGCTATCAACTCTCCTATTAACAGTTTTTCTAATAATCTGATAAACTTACTTGTTTCAAGATGTTGATGACAGATGAGGCAATCTCAAAAATATTTCCCTTTTAAAAATAAAGGAAAGTGTTGAGACAAAGGAGAGAAACTCCAGTGGTGGAATTTTAGGCATTAATGCGCAGGAGAAGGCACTGTGGGTGGGGAGACATGCATGGTGACTCTGACATTGTGCCAGGTGAATTGCCACCTACTTATGAAGCCTGCTGTGATGATATCCTTTGTAATCAAATGCTCCTAATGCCTTGAAGAAAGAGTTGTGGAACTATGACTGTTGAATTGCTGGGTAAATATTGGCCACACATTAGAATAACTGAGGGAGCTTTAAAAAAATACGGATGCCTGGATCCCATGCAGATCAGCTAAATCAGAATCTTCAGGACGTCTCCTGCACTTTGATGTTTTTAAAAAGCTCACCTGCTGATTCTAAATATTTGACCAGGGCTGAAAACTACTGATCTAGCTGTTAGTTATCAATAATTTTTTTTTATAACTCTGAGCTACATGAGGGTGTTTTAATCATGCCCCAGGGCTAGCTTCAGAAGGCGCCTCCCCTCCCCGCCATTCTCATGCACATATTTATTCCCCTCTCTATTCCTTTCATGGGAAGCATTCACTTGCTCTTTTGCCCTGGGTCTGCTCCACCATCACTGCCACCATTCCCATAGATACACACTCTCTACGTGTGTACAGGAGGACACATGGGATGGAGGTGAACTGTGTGGGTAAAAATCAAGTTTGGGGGAAGGATAATAGCAAAAGGCTGAACCAGAAACAACTATTCCAGGTTTCTAAGAATTATTTATCAAATGCTAAGGATTTGACTTGTCATTAATTTCCTTAAAATATCCTCTTTTAATCCTAGAAGAAAACCTGGGCAATACCATTCAGGACATAGGCATGAGCAAAGACTTCATGCCTAAAACACCAAAAGCAATGGCAACAAAAGCCAAAATAGACAAATGGGATCTAATTAAATTAAAGAGCTTCTGCACAGCAAAAGAAACTATCATCAGAATAAACAGGCAACCTACAGAATGGGAGAAAATTTTTGCAATCTATCCATCTGACAAAGGTCTAATATCCAGAATCTACAAAGAACTTAAACAAATTTACAAGAAAAAAACAAACAACCCCATCAAAAAGTGGGCCAAGGAGATGAACAGACACTTCTCAAAAGAAGACATTATGCAGTCAACAGAAATATGAAAAAATACTCATCATCACTTGTCATTAGAGAAATGCAAATCAAACCCACAATGAGATACCACATCAGGCCAGTTAGAATGGCGATCATTAAAAAGTCAGGAAACAACAGATGCTGGAGAGTATGTGGAGAAATATGAACACTTTTACACTGTTGGTGGGAGTGTAAATTAGTTAAACCATTGTGGAACACAGTGTGGTGATTCCCCAAGGATCTAGAACTAGAAATACCATTTGACCCAGCAATCCCATTACTGGGTATATACCCAAAGGATTATAAATCATGCTGCTATAAAGACACATGCACATGTTTGTTTATTGCAGCACTATTCACAATAGCAAAGACTTGGAACCAACCCAAATGTCCATCAATGATAGACTGGATAAAGAAAATGTGGCACATAAACACCATGGAATACTATGCAGCCATAAAAAAGGATGAGTTCATGTCCTTTGCAGGGACATGGATGAAGCTGGAAACCATCATTCTCAGCAAACTAACACAGGAACAGAAAACCAAACACCACATGTTCTCACTCATAAGTGGGAGCTAACAATGAGAACACATGGACATAGGGAGGGGAACATCACACACCAGGGCCTGTTGGGGACTGGGGGCCTAGGGGAGGGATAACATTAGGAGCAATACCTAATGTAGGTGACGGGTTGATGGGTGCAGCAAACCACCATGGCACGTGTATATCTATGTAACAAAATTGCATGTTCTACACATGTACCCCAGAACTTAAAGTATATAAAAAAATCCTCTTTTACACATGAGAGGAGGCATGAGTTAGTAACTAGGACAGTTGTGTTCATGCTTTTGGGTTGTTCACTATCTGTACCAGAAATGTGATTTGGAGATTAGCTAGGCATTCCTTTATGCCTGTTCCCTAGAGACCATGCCAGGATAAACTTGTTCTAACAGTTGTGAAAAACTAATTGTCACATACTGGAGTGAATTCAAAATGTATCAACAACCTAAATATAAATGCTAAAACCATGAAGCTCTTAGACAAACACACAGGGGCAAATCTTCATTACCTTGGATTTGGCAGTGAATTCTTAAGTATGATACCAAAAGCACAAGTGACGGAAGAAAAAGTAGATAACTGGGTTTCATCAAAATTAAAAACTTTTGTGCATCAAAGGACATTATCAAGAAAGTTAAAAGACAACCTACAGAATGACTGAAAATATTTATAAATCACATATTGGATGGGGTTTAATATTTAGAATATACAAGGAATTCCTATAACTCAACAATAAAAAGGCAAATGATCCAATTTAAAAATGGACAAAGGACTTTAATAGACATTTTTCCAAAGAAGATAAACAAATGGCTAACAAGCACATGAAACGATGCTCAACTTCATCAGATAATAGAGAAATGCAAATCGAAATCACAATGAAATAACACCTAACGTGTTCTAGGATGGCTATATAATAGCCAGAGTTGGCAAAGATGTGGAGAAATTGAAACCCTCACACACGGCTAGCAGGATTGTAAAATGGTTTGGTCGCTGTGGAAGAACATTTGTCAGTTCCTCAAAAAGCTAACTACTGAGTTACCATATGACCCAGCAATTCTATTCGTAGGTATACATTCAAAAGAATTGAAAATAGGGACTCAAACAGAGACTTACACACCAATGCTCATTGAAGCATTATTCACAATAGTCAAAAGGTGAAAACAACCCAAGTGCGCATCAACAGATGAATGAATAAACAAAATATGCAATATTCACACACACACACACGCCCGTGCCACACAGGAATATTATTCAGCCACAAGAAGGAAGGCAATTTTGATATATGCTAAAGCACAAATGAACCTTGAAAACATCATGCGAATAGGCCAGACACAAGGACAAATATTGTATGAGTTCGCTAATATGAAATATCTAGAATAGGCACATTCACAGGGATAGAGAATAGATTAGAGGTTACCAGGGGATGGGGAACAGGAAGTTAGTGCTTAATGGTTACAGAGTTTCTGTTTGGGATAGTGAGAATGTTTTGGAAATAGAGATGATGGTTGTATAACATTGTGCATGTAATTAATGCCATTGAATTGTACACTCAATAATGGTTAAAATGGCAAATGTTATGTTACATTATTTAGGACCATAAAGATGCTTTAAAAAACTAATTGCCAAAGGTTTTAATAAAAGACTTAGTAACACTCAGTGTCTTATTGAATATTAGCTACAAGTTTCTCATACTAAAATGTGAAAATAATTTATACCTGGTAGAAAGATTTTATAGTTTGAGAAAATAGGAAGTATACAGAAAGTATCAATGATTAAAAAATAGTGTACCTCATTACTATAGTAAAGTTTTAGAGTAAATTATACTATTCTAGAAAATATCTCATGGTGCCACTGAGCTCACTGTGTCATAGGGCTAAGCTGACATGGCAACCCTTTTTTTTAAAAAAAAATTATTAAATACTTCATTTTTTAAAGAGCAGTTTTAGGTTCACAGCAAAGTTAAGAGGAAGGTACAACTTTGGGAGACCAAGGCGGGCGGATCACCTGAGGTCAGGAGTTTGAGACCAGCCTGGCATGATGAAACCCCGTTTCTACTAAAAATACAAAAATTAGTCAGGCGTGGTGGCAGGCACCTGTAACCCCAGCTACCTGGGAGGCTGAGGCAAGAGAATCACTTGAACCTGGGAGATAAAGGTTGCAGTGAGGGGAGATCATGTCACTGCACTTCAGCCTGAGTGACAGACTGAGAGTCCATCTCAAAAAAAACCAGGAAGGTACAGAGATTTCCCACCTGATCCACACATACACAGCCTCCCGCATTATCACATGCCCCATCACCCCAGAATGGTACATCTGTTACAATCGATGAACCTGCATTAACACATCATAACCACCCAAAGTCCATAGTTTACATTAGGGTTCACTCTTTGTGTTGTACATTCTATGAGTTTGTACAAATGTCTAGTGACATGCATCCACCATTGTGCTATCATACAGAGAATTTTCACTGCCCTAAGAATCTTCCACAACTTCATCCTTCCCTCCCTGCAACACCTGG
Source organism: Homo sapiens (assembly GCF_000001405.40). Taxonomy (NCBI): domain Eukaryota; kingdom Metazoa; phylum Chordata; class Mammalia; order Primates; family Hominidae; genus Homo; species Homo sapiens. Next base: position 159,965,327 of record NC_000002.12, read on the forward strand.
CAACCACTGATCTTTTTACTGTCTCTCTAGTTTTGTCTTTTCCAGAATGTCATATAGTTGGAATCATACAGTATTGTAGGCTTTTCAGATTGGCTTCTTTCACTTAGTAATATGAATTTAAGTTTCCTCCATGTGTTTTAAAGGCTTGATAGCTAATTTCTTTTTAGCACTGAGTAATATTCCATTGTGTGGTTGTACCAGTTTATTTATTCACCTACTAGGGACATCTTGATTGCTTCCAAGTTTTGGCAATTAAGAATAAAGATGTTATAAATATTCATGGACAGGTTTTTACATATACATAAGTTTTCAACTCCTTTGGGTAAATACCAAGGAGTGTGATTGCTGGATCAAATGGTAAAAGTATGTTTAGTTTTGTAAGAAACTGCCAAACTGTCTCCCACAGTGGCCGTACCATTCTGCATTCCCACCAGGAGTGAATGAGAGCTCCTGTTGTTCGGCCTCCTTGCCAGCATGTAGTGTTGTCAGTGCTCTGGATTTGGGCCGTTCTAGTAGCTGTGCAGTGGCAAATCACTCATTGTTGTTTTAATTTGCATTTCTGGAGTGGCAGTCCTTAAGTGCCAACGTGAAGTGGCAGGCATAGGAAAGGGGCAAGACCACCAGACTCAGGGTCAGAAAACAAAAAGTGCGTCTTGGCCTGATGCGTATTCACTGTGAAGTTTCAGAAAAGTCACACAATTTTGTTAGCATCTGTCTTCTCATATGTAAAATGAGGATAGTAATTCTATATATTTTTAAAATTCAGTGATATAAGAAATAAACATACAATCAATTAGCTAAGGGGGGACGTAACTCAAATGTCCACCAATGGATGACTGGATAAACAAAATGTAGTATATCCATACAATGGAATATTGTCCAACCGTCAAAAGGAAGTCCTGTCGCATGCCAGTGTGGGTGAACCTTGAGGACATTATGCTAACTGAAATAAGCCAGTCACAAAAAGGCAAATACTGTCTGATTCCACTTACATGAGGTATCTAAATTAGTCAATTTCAAAGACACAGAAAGTAGAACAGCAGTTGCCAAGGGGTTCAGAGTAGGAAGAACAGGGAGTCGTTTAATGGGTACAGTTTCAGTTTTGCAAGATGGAAAAGGTCTGGAGATTTGTTGAATGACAGTGTGAGTATGTGATACTTAACACTAGTAAACAGTAGACAAAAATGGCTAGAATGGTGAATTCTATATTGTGTGTATTTACCAGATATTAAAAAAATTTAAAAGTCAGTGCCAAATGTCTGGTGGGTACTCAATGAATGTGTGAAAAATCCAAGTGGCCTCATTTCTCAAATTAACAATGGGAGGAAGATCACAAAGGAGAGAAAGCCCTGCCAATATAACTGAACACTTAGATTAAAAATTGGCTGTCCACAATTGAAGAGGAATTTCATATTAGCATATGAAATGATGACACAGTTTGGGTTTTTTAATTTTCTAAGAGTTAAACAATTATAATTTGGGATGCATTTTAATTACTTCCACCTAAGGCCTATAAAGTTATTTTATTATAAAATATGAAGAGTGGAGGGAGACTAGGCCTTAATTGAAGGCAGCATCAGAAATAATAAATCTGGTTTAAAATATCCCCACTGGCAATTTTTTTTTTCTTAATTCAAATCTGCATGGAAGCACCAGCTTTATGAGGCTTAAGATGACATTGACCAAGCTAAGTTATTAGTCCCTCAATTCACTAGTGGGCAGAGCTCTATGCCGGCTCCAGGCAGGGAAAACACAAGAGTAGGAGATGGAGTCTGGGTCCTCTGAAATTTACAGCTTATTTGGGAGCAGAACCTAGACACACAGGCATGCAGGCACATACATACACGTGCACACACACGCACGCACATGAGCACACACACACATGCATATGCACACACACATGCATACATACATATACATACATATGTTACACCTAATGAAACATTCATACAGCACAATAAATGACTATGCCAACAGTAAAACTGAGTATAGAAACGAGGGGCAGTGTCCAGGCTGTTTTTGACAAAAATCTTTTGTTCCAAAAGATTTGTTACTAAATGGAAAACTCAAATTTCTTGAAAGTTGTGACAAAAAAATTCCAGGTCCTATGGACAACTCACAGCTTTCAAAAGCCACTTTCACTTTTTGAACACTTTCCAAAATTAGTGTCTACAAAAGAGAAACAAAGGCAACTTTTGAAAAACAAGCTTACCTTATAGTTAAAATATAGCCATCCTTTGGGACACGTTCCATGTTGTTTTGGTGTATCTTTCTTTTTCTCTATGAGCCAAACCTTTTTTCGCTTACAGATACTAGGCATAGAAACTGAACACTCTTCACTACCCCAGAGTCCTGGAGGAGAAAATGGGTTAGAAATGGCTTAGGAACAATGGCGATTCTTTGAAGGCATTCTCTATTGATCACTATTTTTATGAGGCTATGGTTTTTCATAATTTATTTTTTAAAATCTAGAAACTGAACTAAACTACTGATCTTAGATTTCTCTAGGGACAACAGCTAACTGGGCAAGGCCAACTCAGTAATTTTAATTTAAGAATGTAAAAATTTTGCAAATTAAAAAAATCTAAATAAATACTGCAATTTGAATCATAGAACTGATTAAAATCTTAAGAATATTTGACTTGTGTAGCAAAAGAATACTTTGTAGGGTAACAATTTCATTTTAAAATGTTCAATTTCAATGTACAGAGAGGAAAAAGATTCTAAAACAGTAGATAATTTCTACTTTATAATTCTTTAGAAAATATAATAATTTAGAAAAATTAACTCAAGAACTTCCAAGAAAACAGCATTTAATACTGATCCTTAAGTAAACCAGACTCACATATAGACATGTCTTCAGTAAGAAATATCCTCAAATCCTTAGCCTCCGACAAACTAACTGCTTTTTTTTTTTTTTAATTTAGAAGAGCTATATTTTCAGAATAAGGATTATAGAATGCATTTTATTGGCATCCAAGTCATAAATTCCAGAACAGGGCAGAATGCATGCCAATTGCAAGGGCAGGCTCAGTTTTCTAGATCAGGAATATGAGCCCAAAAGATGTTGGCATTTTGAAGGAAGGGCTGGAATGCTATTTTCAATGCAGATTAGCTGCTATTCTCCCAGACGCTCAAAACAGTCCTTTCTGTAGGCTGTTGTGACACCTGCTGGTAAAAGCAGGCTGATTAACCACACGGATTTTCCTTTCCTAACTCTCTGCAGAGGCCCTCACACCCAAAATTATTTTCTGTGTTTATCCCTCTCCTGGCCTGGGGCACAGGTTAGTTATGAATCTGTTAGAGTAATGGGTATCATTATCTTTTATTGGTTAGAAAGAAGGGGAATGAGTGGACAATCAACCTAACTACACTGCACTGATGAGGAGAATTTAAAAAACCAATCTTCAACCTAAATGTGCTTCTAAATCCAACTTGCAAACAGTTGCCATTCTAAAGCAAGCAGCAATTGATGACAGGTAGTAAAAGAAAAAAGAATACTGACTTGAATCAAAACATTTATTAAATAGGAAAATGGAAGTAAATTTCACAGAGGTTAAAGTTCTGGCCCATTATAAATTGGATATAGGAATAGATTTTTTTAAAAAGTGCTTCCATTGAAATACCATAGAAAAAAGTATTTGTCAGGCATATATTTCTTTAAAGTTTCATTGGGCCCATTTCTGGTGCTGTCTTGATTTATGAGGAAGGACTTATTCAGATGTAAATTATTTCCAAGAACATGAATGCATGGATTGAACAGAAAAAAATGGCCATCCTTAAGCCTTATGGCAGACAAAACTGAACACGTCAACTGAAAAGAGAAATAAACAGAAACTTCTCATGGAAATGATGCAAGGAAAAGACTTTAAGCCTCCTGAAAATTATCAGTTTGTATTATAAACCCAAAAATGGGTAAGTAAAATAACCTGTTATAGAAGAAATAAAGCCACATCTCTGGCTCTGATTATTCACAGTTCTTTCTCTTCCTGTGTCCCAGTTCTGGTATATCACTGGTGTTCCATCTCTCCAGCTGTGGGAAGATTAAAAATGTTAAGGTCTTCTCTCATTCTGCATGTCCAGTCTCCAACATCATTCTTAGAGTTCTGAGGTAGGGATTGAAGATATAATATTCTATTAAATTTAAAAAATATACTCATATGTAGCATAGTACCTATAGTTAACAATATTGTATCATATACTTAAAATTTTTCTAAGGTGGTAGATTTTTTTTGAGATGGAGTCTCTCTCTGTCACCCAGGCTGAGTACAGTGGCACGATCTCGGCTCACGGCAGCCTCTGCCTCACGGGTTCAAGTGATTCTCCTACCTTAGCCCCCCCAAGTAGCTGGGTCTACAGGTGCGCACCACCACGCCCAGCTAATTTTTGTATTTTTAGTAGAGAGAGAGTTTCTCCATGTTGGCCAGGCTGGTCTTGAACTCCTGACCTCAGGCGATCCGCCCTCCTTGGCCTCCCAAAGTACTGGGATTACAGGTGTGAACCACCGCGCCCAGCTAAGAGGGTAGATTTTATGTTAAGAGTTCTCATCACAAAAATGAATGAATTAGTGAATAAATAAATAAATGAATAGAGCAGGAAAGAAAGCTTTTGGAGGTGATGGATATGTTTATGGCTAGATTGTCGGGATGGTTTCATAAGCATATTCTTTAAAAAACACTCATGTCTTTGGTTAGAGAAGTGAAAATTTATAAGTTAATGTTTGAAGGGTATTCAACAAATTGATCACTAAAATTGAATCTAATCATTCTGCAAATAAAACCTGTCAAACAAAATTAAATGCAAATGAATCTAGGTTCATACCGAAATTCATCATTGGCTCTTTCTTCTTGAAGTCCAATCCACCAACTTGCACCATACTTTGATAGCTATTGAAAGAAAAAAAGTCAGCATTTATTCTACTTGTTTTCCTTTTTCACTATTAAGAGTAATGGGGTTGCTGCTAATAGCTTTCTATTCTTCAGTATTTTACCCAATTATCTAAGGAAGAATACACTAAGGCCTAGCATCTTGAGAAAACCTGAAACTTCATTATCCTAAAATATTCCCCCCATTACGAAGAAAAACTGGAATCAAACATGGAAAATAATTTTAGTTTCATACAACTTGAAAAGTAATGTTTCTAACTCTCTAAGAAGGTTTTAAAAAGTAATATTAGAAAATGAATTCATTTTCTGACAAAAAATTATTGGCTCATCCTCTCAGTTATTTACCCTCTCAGTGATTTATAATTCATTGCATATGTCACATGTATTTGAAAAACAATTCAAGGTATCAAGGCATCATTAGTATAAAGATACTGATTTTAGGTATTAGTCTGATTGCTAAGCTTTAAGCAGTATAAGCTTTCCTTCCCATTCAAATAGAGAGACACAATATAGGACAAAAGAATACTACAGAGTGCCCAGTGTTTGACAACTAGAAAATTATCCTTTTGATGAGTTCATGTCCTTTGCAGGGACATGGATGAAGCTGGAAACCATCAATCTCAGCAAACTAACACATGAACAGAAAACCAAACACCGCATGTTCTCACTCATAAGTGGGAGCTGAACAATGAGAACACATGGACACAGGGAGGGGAACATCACACACTGGGGCCTGTCGGGGGGTGGGGGGCTGGGGGAGGGATAGCATTAGGGGAAATACCTAACGTAGATGACAGGTTGATGGGTACAGCAAACTACCATGGCATATGTATACCTATGTAACAAACCTGCATGTTCTGCACATGTATCCCAGAACTTAAAGTATAATAATAAAAAAAGGAACCAGATTTATATGTGTCAACATGGACACATTTCAAAATATGTACTTTTTAATATAAAATTAAACTGTATAACAAAAAATTGGAATTTTAGTAGATTATAAATTCTATGTTAACAGAGTGATATAGTTATCACCAATAAAAAAACCACTTAATCTAAGATTGTATTAGTAATGTTGTAGTGTTCAGAATAAAGGTAGTAAAAATTAGTAAGGAAATAGAAGACTTGAACAACAACAACAAAAAGAAAATTATCCTTTTACATTTTACTAATTTTATACCACTATTAATCACTTGGACCTAAGTACAATAAAGTATAAAATTAAAGCACTATGTGCATGCATGTGCACACGTGTGTGCGCGCACACACACACACATACACACACACACACATTAGGGCAGATGTACTGACTTATGACCCAGGAAATTGAAATTCCCTCTTTAACTATAAAAGAGGAAGAGGAAGTAAGGGTTTTTCTAAGACCTGTAAATCAGTATACTTAATGGGGGTGTGTGTGTGTGTGTTGTGTGCTGAACTGTAAGTTAATTTTTATATGCTAAAATCCTGTTAATTTGAAGGCATTATATATTTAAATTTGTACTCTCGTTTCTTCTGTAAAGACTTCAGAAGAAATTTTAAGATACATTATTTTTCCATAGGAATTTCAGCTCTCCATACAACAGAACCCAATAGCCCTCTAACAATCTAATTTATAAACAGGTATTTTTATTCTGTAAACAGCATGGCTATTTGTCATATCAGCAATTTGAGAATAATGCAAGATGGAACAACTGTAATTTTGTATCCCTGAGGTGTTGTTTCGTGGACATGTTCTTACAGGCTGAATTCAGATTCCCATTGTCAGACGTTGGAATGGGTCCACTGAGACTGGCTGTTAACTCAGTGGGGGAACCACAACAATTTCATTCAATCTAAAGAGGTTTCATGTGCCACGGGACTGGAAATCATGGCCTGGATTGTTCACTGCCCCAATTAAGGACCTCTAAAGAGAAATTATAACTGCTGCATCCTAAGTGGCATATTTATTACCACCTCAATTATGGCGTGGTAACCTCCACATGGCACATCACAACCTGTTGTGATATGGCACAGAACTGAACTTCATAGGAGATGCTAGAAGATACCCAGAATGGAACATCCAATGTGAAAATGGATGTTTGAAATTTTAGCTTAAGAAGGCCACAACAATAGAAGACTTATTAACATGTGTTTGCATAAAGAAATGTGATAGAGAAGTAAGCTCAGGGCTTAAAAAATGTCATATGAACATGCATTTTATAACATCAACTATGTTTTGGTATTTACAAACAGCCATTATAGTTAGCATCATATGGAAACAGCATTTACCAAAAACAAACAAAACCCCACAGTGACAGTCACTACATTAATCCATAAAGCAATATAAGGAAGAACAACCTGTCATCTTTTAAAATGTTCCCATCAAGGATGACAAATGATATTTTGGAGGAGGACTAATAGATTTGATATGTATTTTGAGAAGCATTTAGAAATAAAAATTTAATAATAATGGTAAATTGCCATTTCAAAATGACAATACTGCATAACAGTGTAAAAATGTCAGATAAGCAGACTAATTAGCTAGTAGTTTGTGTCAAACAACTCCTAAAGTGCTTGCAGCGTTTTTTCAGCATTAATGTGATTATCAAGATGGCTCAAAAAATAAATTCACTCTAATCATGCTTTATGGTCTTCTGTTACTCAAAGAGTGGGAGAGAAAATATTGACATTCTTTTTCCAAGATGGAAACATTTTATTAAAATTTTTATTTGCTTCAGATTTTTAAACTGTATCTAGCTTGCTTGTTCATAATTAATTTTTTTGACACTGCAACTAACTGTTATTTTTGTTTTTCACAATTCTAATCACTGCTCTTCTTAGGGAAGCTACACAAAGCACATACGTAATTTTAAAAATATTTAATTACTTATTTGTACTCTTCCTACATTTATAAGATAAATGTGAGACAGAAGTGAGTGGAATCACCTCTACACATCTTGCTCCTCATCCTGGAATGAAGTAACTTCTGGATTGACCCATTCCAGCAGGACGTTCTTAGGTGTGGGGTTTCTTTCTTACAAAATGTGAACACCACTATCACCACCACCAACAATAAGTGCCCAAGGTAGGCACAAATTATGCAGAAATAAGAATTTTTTGGAAAGCAACAGCTTTCTTCTTTCTAATTTGATATCCTTTCCCCTTGGACCCCACTACAGACTAAATGTTTGTGTCCCCCTAAAATTTACATTGTTGAAATCCTAACTCTCAAGGTGATATATTACAAGGCAGATGGCAGATGATAAGGTCATGAGGGTGGGGGGTGGGGGTGTCTCATGAATGGGATTAGTGCCCTTAAAAGGGGACCTTGGAGAGCTCCTTTGCCTCTTCCACTATGTAAGGATACATATGAACCAGGAAGTGGGCATTCACCAGACATCAAATCTGCCAATGCCTAGATCTTGAGTTTCCAGCCTCCAGGACTGTGAGCAATAATTTTCTGTTGTTTGTAAGCTGCGTAGTCTATAGTGTTTTTTTATAGCAGCCTGAAAAGACTAGGACAGTCCCCTGGCCCTGTTCTCAGTATTCAAATCCTATACCTTCCCATAACTTTCTTTTGCAGCACAGTGGGGAGATTAGTTAGCACCTTACCCATGAAACTGATGGGGCATTCTACATCAACGTGGTCATAGGCCAGGTGACAATTTTGCCATATAAGGCACCATAAAGTTTGTCTGATTTGAGGTCAGAATCCTCAACTAGATCATGGCAGTGGCTATGATGACTCAAACTGCTCAGCCTGTGGGGTTTCGCCCTTCCCTTCCATGGGAGGCATTATCTACGCCATCCCCATTGGCTTCCCAACTTCCAAAGATTAGGAGATGAATTAAGAGGAAAGGTGAAGACAGAAGATCTACAGAAGTTCCCAGCAGAGCTAAGCTCTGTTGGAAAGATCAAAGAAGCCCTTCATTGTTCATGTCTGAGACGAAGCTGGCAGCCATGTTTTGGGGAGGATTTTGGAACTAGCTTTTGATGTAATGAAGACGTTGTGCTCTTACATGCCCTGACACTGCTGTTCCACTGTCACAGGCAGCACCGTGTAGGGTTTTTAAATGACTGGATAAATAAGATGGCCTGGGTTTCTTTCCAAATTCCACCACTTAGCTGCTGTGTAACCAAGTTGCTTAACCTCTTTGAAGTCTTAGCCTACTCACCTGTAAAAATGTACTAATAATAGACTTCCCACAGGGGGTTCTTGGGAAGATTACATTTTAGTACTTATCATAGTACCTGAAACAGTTATGGTAAGTATAGCCAAATATCAGCTCTTTTTGGGTTGTATACTTTGCATGCGTATGGATTAGTTTTCAGCCATTCATCTGGTCTCTTGTTATTGCCCTCTGAGGTGAGGAGTATGGTGTCTGGCTAAAGAAATGTGTATTTTCCGACATCATGGTATAGAATTGAACATGCTCATATTGAACATTATGGTTTTGGCTTGAGTGTTCCATTCGTAAGAGTGGAAGGGTGACAAAATAGTGTACAAATTTATGATGGGGAAAATTCCACATCTAGTGGTTGTTCTGCAACTGAGTGTCTATGGGACCATGTGATTGTCATCTAACTTCTCTTTTTCTCGGCTTCTTCATCAGAATGTAGCAGGAGTCCTGACCTGCTTGTACCTCATGGGCTGTATGTGCAACAGACAAGATATAGAGACAGTAAATCCCCATGAACTGTGAGGAAAGACATTTCTTTCTCAAGCCTAGGATGCTTTAATACAGGGCTTCATTTTATAGTCAACTTACAGAGATATAAAAAGATGATAGAGTTAGAAAGGATTCCTGAAGATCATGAAATATGATTAAATTACAGGAAAAGAAAATGGCTTTTTCTTGCTTTCAAAGCTTCCAAGGGAAAGGGGAGTGAGGATTTCCCGCCTTCATGCCCCCATTGTAATTTGCACTTTCTGTGCCCTTTCTATTTACTACATCATATCACTTCCAGCTTTAGTTTTTAAATTTATGTTTTAAAAATTGAAAAATAAAATTGTATGTATTTATTGTATACAACATGATGTTTTAAAGTATATATATCTAGCCTTTTTAAAAACAGAGACTGTATCTCATACATTTTTGCATCTTTGACAAATATCCCAGTGCCTGGCACATACTTGATAATGAATGCTTATTGAAGGAACACACTGAAAAAGTACACTATTCTTTGCCAGTTTATTATTTAATAGGTCTTACATGTTTCTTTCTTACTAGCTTAGTTCTGCAAGGAATTAAGTAGCCTTTCTCTACTTTAAGTTGAAATAGAAAACTACTCCTTACTATTTTCTGTATATTAGTCTTTACAAACTTAAAAATAATGTACTCTTGTAAGATTTGAAAGTTTAAAACTGCCAGGCACCCCCCCAGGTATTCCTCATCCCTCATTTGAGCTTAATTTTCCTCTGTGGCATTTATCCACTTATTTTTTCTAATATATTATATAATTCTATTTACTCGAATTGATTATGGTCTTTCTTCCCAGACGAGAATATAAACTCCATGAAGATAGGAATTTGGGTCTTTTTTAATCACTGGTAAAACCCCAGTTCTACCAGTGATTAAATGATCGAATGAACCTCATGAAACAATCTCGACGTGCTCACCATTGTTGCTAACAAAGAATGAAGAGAAGGGAAATGACTGAGCAATACAGTAAACCTGTACCTCCATTATTTTCTCTTAATCTCTATAATAGGAAAAAAATTCTCAAAAATCTATGGCTTTACTGAAATCTATGGCTTTTACTGAAGTTTAAATAAATATCCGAAGTCAAATCGAAAAAACTATCCCTCCCTCCCTCCCAAGGGCAAAAGAAGGTGCTAAACTCTGAATTTTTCGTGGTGAGTTATGTTCAAGTACCGCTTTTATTTTGCTGTGGATGAATTCTTGCTCATGTGCAGAATGAATTGTGAGAAGATCACTGTGCAGCCAGCTACAGACAAACTCAAAGTTCAACCATTCTGAGGCAAAGGTATGAAAAAGGTATTCTGCATCCTGATAAAAGAGCCAGGGTACATCTGAAAAAGAAACAGTGAAAATAATGCTGAAATGATAAATAGGTATGCTAGGATTGACCCCAAATTTGAGATTTGGTCACTCAACATTAAAAATAATTGTATACACACACACAGGAATTTGAACACACACACACAGACACATATGCACATAAATAGATATATAACTTGCTTTTTTTCTTTGGTCTATCTCTTACAAGATACCTTCACTAGTATTAAAAGGTCGGGGATAGGTACATATTCTAAAATCGCATGTCATGAAAATGATTGATGATACTAGTCCTTAATCATATTAAATGACTACATTTATTAATTATTAATTTGAACAAATTAGCTCTAGGTTGACACAAGAAAAGAGAGGCTCGATTTGAGAAATGTAACAACACATTAATGGTATATAATAGCACTTATATGGTATATATTAATAATTAGAAATTCAAGAGCTGCCAGAGTCATTCTTACCGTACTGGTACCAGAACGGAATCTTGGGTTTCACATCTGCAAAGTGAAAGCAAATCACTTTGACTGATCTTGCTTCTCAAGTGCATTGTCTGTGAATTACTTCAGCTCTAAACACACTATTTTGTCCTTCATCTTTTAAAACATCACTTTAAAACAGGTACATTGTGCTGTTTGGAATATATGGTGAGTTCTCACACTTGAAGAGGAAGCTCCAGAGAGGCTTCTAATTAAAGAAGGAAGGACATGAGCACTTGCTGAGGCCACTGTGTGCCACACACTGTCCCAGGTGTTTCCACTTACTCATTGTGCAAGTAATTCCATTTGCTCTGTAATGTCAAAGTGACATTTTTCCCCGACTATACTTGCACTATAAATATTCTGCAATATTAGCTGGTTACCTTAGTTCCCAATGAACTAACTTGGCATCCTGCATTGGTGTCGCCTTTTCCCATTTCCTATAGAAACATTTTTTGCTAAAGTAGTGTAATTTATTTTATCATGCAATTTGTTGATATTGTGGTTTGGGGTGTTTAAATTGGGAAAGTACTAGAGATTATTAGAAATCAAACATATAGCAAAGATCTTACTACTATTTTTACCTCTTGGGATTTTGCATATCCATTCACGTTTGGAACCACAGTGTAAGGGCAGCAATGTTTTGTTTGCCTTATAAACAGCACAGTTTCTTGCATCTTCTCCAAAATAAGTGTTGTCTAAAAACGAAGAGACAACCTGCAGCAGATGAAGTTCATTATTCCTTAATGATGATCCCCCCACAAAGTTTCAAAAGATCAAAAAGGGCATCCCTGTACATAAGCATTATAGGCTACTCCAGGAAGCTTCAGAAATGTCTGGATGTCATTCTAGTTGAAGGTTGTTTCACATTTGTGAAGAACAAGCTAATCAATATTTAGCATTTTTTTCTTAAAGATGCCTTTTTAAAAAACAAAAACAAAAACAAGAAAACAAAAGGCCAGGCACGGTGGCTCATGCCTGTAATCCCAGCACTTTGGGAGGCCAAGGTGGGCAGATCACAAGCTCAGGAGATTGAGACCATCCTGGCTAACACGGTGAAACCCCATCTCTACTAAAAATACAAAAACAAAAAATTAGCTGGTTGTGGTGGTGGGCACCTGTAGTCCCAGCTACTCGGGAGAATGGCGTGGACCCAGGAAGCAGAGCTTGCAGTGAGCCGAAATCCCACCACTGCACTCCAGCCTGGGTGACAGAGCAAGACTCTGTCTCAAAAAAAATAAATAAATAAAATAAAAATTAAAAAAAGGTATGCTATTCCTTTCTCCAGAAGGAACAAATCAAATGCAAGCTTTGGTCTGAATTTGCACATTTTTCTAACTGGGAAAATTTTCTAGCCTTGGAATCCTGGGTAAACTTAGGGACTCAAGGGTGTGCCAGATCTTGGTATTAACTTTGATTTTGATTACTTTGAACATATGCTAAGTTTTTTGTCTCTAATAACTAAATTCTAAGCTATAGCTAGCTTTAATCAGGAATCTATCAGGTCACTTTCCATGAGTGACCACATAACTCATATAATTCACATTACGGGGGTATTAAAGAATCAACCTTCTCAATTATTTAATGACTATCTCACAGAAGAATGGATGTACCACAAGTAAAATTGGGGTAAAAATTTGGGGAAAAAAAGGATGTTTTAAAATCCTTTATATTCCTCCTCAAACATGTACACTGTCACGTAATAATTCATCTATCTAAAATATATATAGCCTCAGGTTCAGAAAATGGTGTGATTTGAATTCATTTTGTCCAGCAGATATTAGTGAGAAGCTCGGCCACTGCTTCATGGCCTTATCTAATTTATTCTGACCCAGATTGTCTGTTCCTCTCCTATTACTAATGAGTTTGTTATACTAAAACAAAAGAAAGTGTTCTCAACTTCTATGTGTCACATTTCTTTTTCGAGTGCTACATTGACTTGAACCACCCAGCTGTCTCATGTAGTGGCTGCCATTTATGGAGTAAGTTGACCCTGCTATGCCTTTTCTGTTTTCTGAGCCTTGGTTTCTTTATCAGAAAAATGGATTAGTGGGGCTGAATGACCTTTAAAATCTCTTCCTACTCTCTTCTATAAACCTCTTCCTTGACATAAATTTGAAAACCATCTTGGTACGGGGCTTTCTCTATTGTTCTTTACTACTTCAAAGTTTGGCTACTGATATTTTGCCAATCATGAGATATTATAACATTGTGACTTTGGAGTCAGACAACCTGTGTGCAAATCCTGGCTCTCCTATATATTTTAGGCAAGCCACTTAATCATTCTAATACCCATGGCACTGAGTTATTGTAAGGATGAAATGAGATCATGTAGGAGTGCATTCAGCTCAGCGCTTGGAACAGTATAAGGACTCAATAAACAGCAGTTGCATTAAATTCTCACTGCAGGCTCTTAGGAGTCTCCCCATTTCACAGGTGAAAGTGAATAATGTGATTTTTCATGTGCCGTAGGATGGATCCCACTTCAATCTAGGATACTACTTCAGTTTTTTCCCTGTCATTTTGAGAAAAATGTGAGAATTACCCATTGCAACTGGAAAAAAATACAATAGTGAGTTCTCTGTGTCCTTCATAGAGGTTTGCAAGTATGGGAATGAATGAAAACCAAGACTTTTTTTTTCCTTCTGGAATAACTTGCTCTAGAAGGTGATATTTCTAAAACTTGCATTACTGTCCTTTCAGAGTGAGATAAATGAAAAATCATTCTCCAAAATAATCTTCATTTCATTATGACATGGACAAGGTTCCCATACTCAGATAATCAGGTGATATGCAGGATAGGGAGGTATAGGGTAAAGGGAGTCTTGTGTTATTTTAAAGAATAGCTGCTTCTCTGCCAGAGAGACTTCATATGGGAGATGGTTTGGGGGGACTTTTTGGAGGTTTTTGATACTTTTTCAGGCTGAAATTGTACAATGGCCTCAGAACAATATGGCTAGCAAAGATTTCTCAGGACCTTGCCAAATAATTCTCCTGGTACTAAGGTCTGGTGCAGTTTTGTCATGGGAGCTCTGGCCATCATTTCTAGGTTCTCTTGGTTGGTTTACCAAGTGGTCCCAGGCCCACTTGTTTTGAATCCATCCCTTTTCTCCAGTTTGAAAAGACTTACAGGAGTTCTATCAGACCACTCCCATGAGCCGGCATTCAGTGGGTTTCTTTTATTAAATCCAATCCAGAACTGCCTTTCTTCTGTCCTGTAAAGAGAAGAAACAAAAGCTTTGCCTTTCCCATCAAATTTACAGCATTATGTGAAAGGTTCAAAAAATACCAGCATGGCACATGTATACACATGTAACTAACCTGCATATTGTGCACATGTACCCTAAAACTTAAAGTATAATAATAATAAAAGAAAAAATATTTTAAAATATTTATGTATGCAGGAAACAGCTGATGCTACTGGCAGGATTGATCAAGTCAACAAGCATTGAACATTTTAAATGTGCAAAACCCTGTGCTGTGACATGAACTGAGAGAAGAATAAGCCTCACATTCTATTACTCTTGGTTTGTGTGGTTTGCTCACAGGTGATATACAGGTGGGTAAAAGTCAGCTTTTATTGAGAACATGAGTTTCTCATCAGGAATAGCAAAGCCTTTCAGTCAGGACAAGAACACATGAAAAGAAAATTGGTAAGAAACTTTGGAACATCTCTAGCCAAGAGGACCTTTCACTACTTTACTGTGTGTTTGCTACTTCACTATACTATTTATTCTACTTTACTATGCTTTGATTTGTTGTTCTTTTGTTAAACATTCATGTATTCTCTGAAAGTCAACCACCATCATCTTCACTGAATAAAAGGTACACAGTAGGTTTTGGGTTTTTTTCAGATATCAACACAAATAATTCTAAAGCCAGTCACCCTGAGCCATGGTTCATTAACTTCAGTTGTCACCATTGGTTTATACTTGGTGAGAAGCTCCACAGAGAATCACCTTCCCTTCTATGAGGCAGAGTACAAATGTGTCCACAGAATACTCAATAAATCGAGTAATAAAGCCTACCTGTGCAATGAACCATCTCACTAAGATAATTTTCTGAGAATAATTTTGAAGAATCAAAGATTTAAAATATTCAGATGTCAGGACAGATACTTTATTTTCCTTTGTGCAGAGAAGCAAGGAATTCCTTCTCGGATATGTCAGCTACTCTGCCTGGATGACACAAATTAAATTCAAATTCAGCTTAGAAATCCAAGAGATCACTGATGCCCGGTTGGACATTGTCATGATGATACTAACTTTCATTTAAGGCTGGGAGAAGGTGAGAATGGCCACCTTCAGTTTAAGCCAAGCACATTAATCTCGATGGCATAGGCTGAAAATCCATGTCACTCTCCTGGTGTTGTGACCTTTTTCTTTCCTCACTGAATTCAGAGTTCTATGTCTTTCCTGCTATATACTGGCTCCTGGAAGATGAAATGGTATTTACTTTCTCTTCATCAGTTTCCTGAAATTGTACAATATTTAATAAACACACATGTATGTGCATACGTGTGTGTGTGTGTGTGTGTGTGTGTGTCTGATTAATAAAATAGAAATAGAAAAGCAGTGCCATAGGAAGGAAAAGCAGCATACCTGTTATACCTGCTAACTATGAGATCTGGTATGTTTGCTATAATTAAGCATCAGATTTGACTGAATTCTCTGGTAGTCTGGGAATAAACTGAAACATACACAGTTATTGATAATTTTTTTTTTGAGACAGGGTCACACTGTCGCCCAGGTTGGAGTATAGTAGCACACAATCTTGGCTCACTGCAACCTCCTCTTCCCAGGCTCAATTGATACTCCCACCTCAGTCTCCTGAGTAGCTGGGACTACAGATGTGTGCCACTACACCTGGCTAATTTTTTTGTACTTTTTGGTAGAGATGGGGTTTCACCATGTTGCCCAGGCTGTTCTCTAACTCCTGGGCTCAAGCAATCTGCCTTGGCCTCTCAAAGTGCTGGGATTACAGGTGTGGGTCACTGCACCCAGTCAAGAATTTTTAAATATTTTATTTAAAGACGGTTCTCGCTCTGTTGCCCAGGCTGGAGTGCAGTGGCACAATCATACCTCACTGTAACTTTGAACTAGGTTTTGCTGGGACTACAGGTGTGGCCACCACACCCAGCTAATTTTGAAAAATTTTTTTGTAGAAACTGAGTCTCACTATGCTGCCTAGGCTGATCTTGAATTCCTGGCCTTAAGTGTTCCTCCCACCTTGGTGTCCCAAAGTGCTGTGACCCACTGTGCCTGGCTCATATTATATGACTTTTGTGATCAGATATTGAAGATCCATGATTTAGCTTGGGACTAAATTCTGCTAGACATTTCAAGCATGAGAACTTACATAAACAGAAATGACAGTGACATTTGATCTTAAAGCAAACTGGGAAGCAGTGTGTGTGTGGTTGTCATATGGCAAACCTCACTAAAATGCAAGGACAGAATATGCAAATATGTTTTAAAGGAAGCTAAAGTAATGAAGCAAAATGTAACTTTGAACAATGGAGACTATCACCTATCCCTTGGATTTGCGGCCTCACACCTGGCTGATAATCCAATTAGCCAGAAAGCTTCTTAAACTTTTCTTCAGACTCAGAGAGTCTGACTCAGCAGCTCTGGTGTGAGGCCAGAAAGCTCTGTATTAAAAGGTGTCCCGACCAAGTGTGATGAGCAGCCAGGTTCCTGAGTCATGGCCTCATGTCAGCATTTCCCGTAGGGACTAGCAGTTCTGTGGGATGTCAATAAGTGTTCTTAAAAAAGGGAATTGTGGTCAAAGAAAGTGCTTCCTTCTAGAACCCTTTACGATGCTAATGTACATGGCAAATCTCCAAGATTGTACATTGTTTTGCAAACATATTTGACCATAAAATCTCCTTCCTCCCCTGCAGAATGCTGCACAAGACTCACATGGAGAGATGTCAAAAACTCCCAGCTTTAAGGTCATTGCTGTAGATGTGGAAGATGAATAATCTGATAGATGTTGCATGTTAATCTTTTTATGGGAATGTCCTACAAGGAAACTTGTGGGAAAGGCCAGAATTTTCCTGAAAAAATAGTACAGGATTTTTCTCTGGGATTCAGGCCAGTGTTTCATTGAGACTCTAGATTTCCAGAGCCTGAAGCAGAGTACCTATTATTATGGTTGTTTTCATTAAATAAATATACAGAGTCATGGAGGTGTGATGATCACAACATCCTCAGAGGCAGGATCTTGTTTGTCATGTCTATTGAATTATCCAACCAGCTATGCATGTAACTGTGCCCCTTCCACAGAAGATACTCTCACAATGCAGGCTGACTGACAAGAACATTCCAAAGTGAGAGGCCAAACTCGGGGGTGGGGGGCTCACAGGAAGGAGACAAGATGACTGTCTTCAAATATTTGAAAATAGAGTAGATTTGATCTGTATTTGCTCTAGCTCAAACTGAGGGGAGGCAGATTTCTGGCTTATTAGAAAACTACTCTTTGAAACCAGGCTTCTGCAATGGAATGGGCTTTCTCCCAAATAAGAAGCATTCTGAAACTGGAAGGAATTATGCAGACAGCAGATGACCACGGTATGTGGTGGGAGGTAGCACAAGACGGTTTAGAGTTCTTACAATTTAAGCTTGAGTTTCTAACTCCACTGAATTCAAGGTTCTGTAAACTTGCAAGATGGATACAGATAAGGGAAAGCTTGTTTCCTCAAATGAAAACTTAGGAGGTTGGGTTGGAATTAAAAAAAAAATTACTGGGACTCTTTTTTTTTTTTTTTCCAAACAAAATCTTACATAGGCTCCAATTATATACAAAATAATTAGCGGTGGAGCTGGTCAGAGCCGCTCTGGTGAGGCGTGGAAGGAACTAGGAGCTCTGCCTACGTGGCCCTCTCATACTCCTGGGGTTCCAGGATTCTTGGGATCCTTCCACAACACTTTGAAAACCATTGGGGTAGATAATTCCTGAGTTTGGCAGGAAAGCTCTACAGTTCTGACTTGAGGCACAAAGAAAAGATTTCAAATATCTAAACAATTGTCACTTTGTTCTTTGTTTTATGAAATGAGAACCTGGTACAAGATAAACATAAAACTATATGTATATTTATTTTTCTTGGCTTTGGGCATAATACAAATATGGGAATTTTAAACAACTACTTGGGATACTCACCCCTCAGAAGCCATTACTGGGAGATAGAATATTTGACTGTAATTTTTCATAATTAACAAGTATTTACCAATTAAATTTTGAATGTAAGAGCTCATTCACAAAATTCTCTTCCTCAATATGGGCAAAGCTTGCAAGATGAGCTCCAAATTCTTCGCAAAATGCTTCAGCTTCTCTCCATGTTCTTTTCATCAGAACTTTTTCACTATGAAATACCTGTATAGTAAAAGAAAATAAATTAACATTGTTATAGATAAAGTCAGGTTGTTAAACTCTGTTCAAGAAAGTAACAGTAATATTAACATAATCATCATTATTATTTATAAAGAGCTTGATCTAGTGGGAGGAAGTAATATTTACTGAATTAGAATGTGCCTAGTCATCATAAAACTATTAGTTCCTTTTATCCTCATAACAAATTTCTGAGGAGAATATAATAAACTCAGTTTTATAAATGAGCTTTTTGAGGAATTTTTTTTCACCCTAAATCTTCTGTGACTGGCATGTACTTGTCCCTCAGTAAATATTTGTCAAGAGATAAATAAAGTCAGGCCAAGAGAGGTTAAGAATTTTAGGTCACACAGCTATAAACTGGCAGAGCTAGAATTAGACCTACAATACCTTGCTTCCAGAGTCCATAAACTTCCATCCCACCAGATTGCCTTCTGACAGATTAGAATTAGCAGATTGATCATTACTCTGGCTGACCCAGGGCAAGAAATGAGAAATTAGACCTGGGACCTAGGGTAGCTCTATTTCTAGAGTCTTTGGATCTTAGTTGAACTGGCAGTGCAGTGGTTCAGCTGTGCCTAAAATCTCTGCTGCTTCTCAGCTGTCTTCATGGTGGCAGGAAGAAGCCAGATGAATGGAAGGTCTTCTGTTGGCTTTATTTAAGATTGGGGAAAGGGACTGAAGACCCAGAGCTTGCAATCCCAGTCCTCTTACCCTTCTTATTTTTAACTGCCTGGCACTAAGCCTGAGCCTCTGATGCCAGACAGGTACACCCTGTGGCCAGCCCTCACCAGGCTCTTACTTGCTGAGACCAGAATGAATAGCTTTCCAAGTCCTGTGGACCACAGCACAACCTTTCCATCTTTTAAATTATATGTCAAAACTTGCCTCCTCTGGGAACCTCTTCCCGAATCACTATAAGCTCATAAATCCTACCACCATGCCTATCACACACACCATGCATTTGTTGACATATCAGGGTGATATATAGTAGAAAAGGCACCAGACCAGAAGTCCTAAACCAGGCATTTATTCCAACTCTGTCAATAAATAATCGTGATCTTGGGCAAATCACTACATTTCACAGGCCCCAGTTTACTCATCTCTAAGGTTTAACTTATTAATGGGCGAGGCCACTTTTGGGCCTATTATTCTATGAATGTAATGTAGGATTATACATGTGTACAATTTAAATCGAGCACATTCACAGCTGCTTCATGCCATCTACGAGCTACAACAGTTCCAGAGATAGAGTCTGTCTTCATTCTGCTCTGCCTGTGCAGAGATGCTGGGGAACTTTTCCCCAAGATTTAGTGAACCCCTATTTGTAAAATAAACCAAGACAAAACCACCAAACATTTTTAAAAATCATATTTCAAAAAATGTGTTTCTGACAAGATTGTAGGAACTAATTTAAATGTAGGATCTAAAGCTGATTTTAAAAATAGAAATGTCTTCACTTATATATACACACACATACATACACACACACATATATACACATACAAATCAACCGTATGCATCAATTTGTTTGATCTTCACATGTCTGGCAAGCTGCAAAAGCTATCCTTATTAGTAATATTGTATCATTCAATAATAAAAACTTTATTTGTTGGTTTACAAACAATATGAAATTATACCATTTAACACCCTCTGAGTGTCTACCTCCTTCACTTAGTGTATGAACAATATTGACTGGGGCCTCAATATTGCAGGAGGACAGGTCCCCAGATGACCCTTGCTGACCCAGCTCTTCCTCTTTTTCTTGGCAATTCTCAGGCAGAGTGTACCAAGAGTGCAACGTCCTGAGATAAGGAGGAACTGTCCTTATCCCTCCTAGAATAGGATGTCTTGTAATACTTTTGCTCAGTGATTCAGGTGGCACCTGGGATATAAAACCCCGAGAGAAGCGCTTTGGGGAGCCCTCAGCTGTCATGCAAAGTGGGGCATGTGCAGACAAGATTCCATCTTCCTGGGGGTGCTTTCCTGAGCCTTGGGGGAATGGCTCACCATGGATCCTAGACTTCGGTTGCTTCTTGCTGCCTATCTGTGAATACAAGTTGAGCATCCCAAATCCAAAAATCCAAGCTCCAAAATGCTCCAAAATGCAAAACTTTTTGAGCGGTGACAAGATGCTCAAAGGAAATGCTCATTAGAGCATTTTGGAGTTTGAATTTTCAGATTTGGGATGCTCAACTGGTAAGTGCGATGCAAATATTAAAAAAAACAAATCTGAAATCTAAAGCACTTCTGGTTCCAAGCATTTCAGAAAAGGAGTACTCAACCTGTAATAAAGTTACTTTGCCCATCTTGTTGTGTGGGAATTCTGTCTCACCAGATTCATACTCTGGCAGCCAAGTTTGTGCAAAACCTCCTGTCAGAGCTAGGAACTTACGCAGAAACTGGTTAGGTGTTTAGAGTCCTCCCCCAGGAGTGATAACCAGAGCATGGTGCCCTCCTTCCAGGTATTAATATTAGCGCATGCTATTTCTTTTCTTTCCTTTTTTTTTTTTTTTGATATAGAGACTCGCTGTGTCACCCAGGATGGAGTGCTATGGCGCAGTCTCGGCTCACTGCAACCTCTGCCTCCCGGGTTCGAGCCATTCTCCTGTCTCAGCCTCCTAAGTAGCTGGGACTACAGGTGCATGCCACCATGCCTGGCTACTTTTTGTATTTTTAGTAGAGATGGGATTTCACCATGTTGGCCAGGCTGGTCTGGAACTCCTGACTTCAAGTGAGCCGCCTGCCTCGGCCTCCCAAAGTGCTGGGATTACAGGCGTGAGTCACTGTGCCTGGCCCTGTGCCTGGTATTTCTGCTTAACAGATATCAATCTTCATGAGGAAGCCTTCAATATCACCAGGATGTGTCAATTTTTTTTACTTAAAAATTATTTGGAATATGATTGAAAGGATAGAGACAGGCAACAAATGTTGATTAAGCACCTGCTGTCTGTCAGGCACTGTTCTGGAAAAAAAAAGGGCCCCGGAATAAAGGAATTTGGGATACATGGATCAAATTAAAATAGTGTTGGTCCTGTTAAGAATGTCCATGTAACCTTGGTATCACCTTGAAGCAACTGGCCAGACCAGGCTCTGACTCCCAGTCCAAATAGCAGGGGTGAAAGGGCCATCTCTCTTCATACTCTGCTTTTTCCTGATTTTCAACTGGCTGCTTGCACAAGGACATTGCCTTAAAGTGCCGACAGTGCTTCACTTCCCAGCGACCAAGTGGATGCCTTCCTCGCATGGCAACACAGCCACCACTGTAGCCTAAAAGCAGAAAACAAGCATTTTTAATACCAGACGACTAAAACGTTTTGTGCTCAGAAGACTGCTCTTTAGAGTGTTGAATAATTGACATCTCATAATTAAGCACCCAGACAAGAGCAATCAAGATGAAAACGAATGTCTTATTGACCTGATTATGTCATTTCTCTTCATCTCTGGAGAAAAGAATGCAAGATGGGAAAGAGAGAAAAGAGAGTGTGAAGGCTGAAATTTGGACCTTGTCTGCTTTGTGCTCAGATGGCAAATGATGAGGAACTAGGAGCTATTCCTATCTGGAACCAAAATATCCCCCATATTTCAATATTGTACTTCAAAATTCCATTGTGAAAAATCAACAATGAAAGGTGCATAGTGCTCATCCTCTAACAACTGGATTCAACAGGGGAAAATAGGTGAATAACAGATTCAAGGTAGACCACAAAGTATACAACAGAAAACCAAACTGTAAACCTTGGAAGAATGAAGAGAATGAGATGAATTCTCTAAATGAGGTAAAGATCCGGGGGCAGGGACAAGGCAGACATCAGGGAAAAGGAAGACAGAATTAGAGAGAGAGAGGGGCTTTTATATGAAAAGCAAAGTACTGAGATTTTCCCTCCCACCTTCATAGTATATGTGAGATATTGGAAAATGTGATATACTAGTTATGGACAAAACTCCACTTTTTTCTTTGTGTATGCTTGAACATTTTAGAAGGTAAAATGTATTTTTCCACAGAAACAATTTATAAATTAAGATTCTTAAGATTGTCAGCAAAATCTATACAACTCATATGACAGCAAAAAAAAAAAAAAATACACTTCAAATTTCAGTGAAGAACAGTAGAAAGCAATTCTATTCCAAAAATAGAATTAAAATGAGTAAGAATGAGCTTGTTTTTTCTTGAATCCTGGGTGATCATTTAGTTAACTAAATTCACATTCATCAACAACAATAAAAAATTGTACATCCGCAATGTGCTCAGCTAGGCTGTATATTAACTGCTTGAAAAAAAGGATGAAGCAAAGCAAACCAAAAACCAATTCTTAGTTTAGTGTAAGACACAGACACATAAATAAGCAATTCTAATAAATATAATGTGTAAAGTGCTACAGTAAAAGGTGTGTTCAAAGTTCTGGAGGAGACATCAGAAGGGGTGATGGAGCCTGTCCAGAGATGTCAGTAAAACATTTGCAGGAAGTGACATTTGAGCTGAATTTTGAAGGATGAAAAGGAGAAATGAGTTTTCAAGGCATGCTTGTAAAAAGAGAGTGATTATAGATGACTGACGACTTGCGATGATTCTGTACCTGAAGGCTCTTTAAAAAATGTCGTCACTTGCTACTTGATATTTATCTTGCTTAATTTCCCTTCAGAAGTAATGGCTTCAATTTTTTCAGATACTGAGTACCTGGCATTGTGCTTGTCATCTATGTTCTGATTGTTTTATGCTCATGGAAAGACACAAGAGAGGGAAAATGAAGAGTGCAAAGGAGAAGAAAGAAGACAAAGGAAGACATAGAGCATCTCTTTAGGAATGGAATAATTTGCTAAAGAATGAGTGTATGAGTGTTTGTGTCTTCAACAGCGCTGGCTGCACAAGTGTGTTAGGCACCAGCATCGCCATGGCAAGATGGTTCTGATCTGGAAGAACCCCCTGGGCCTCTGTGATGAATCAGAGACCCTCAAAGGTAAAAATGTCCAGTGGTAAAAGAGGAAACACGCTATCCCTCACATAGAAGAAAAGAAAGTCAAGGAAGAGTTGGTGCATCCAAAGGCCATCGGATGGCTCTACTGGCCCAGAACAGCTAGCTGGTGTTAAAGATGCAAGGTTGTGGGCAGGCAAGGGGGAGAGATTATAGTATGCAACTGCCCCTGCCATTAATGGAGCTTTGCAGGCCTGTTGAATAATTTCAGAATGCAGCTCACAGTCCAGCTGGATCATGAACAGTACAAGAGATGCTGCATGCTCTGTGCAATAAAACTGAACTGGAGAAATCCATGTGGAAGCCCCAAATGCAATATACTTGTGGAGCTGCTCTAGTTGAAAGAGAAGGGAACGCACACATCCTGCTCCATTCCCCCGTCCTTTGAGGGGCCCCAGTGGAAACTCCAGTTACTGCACAGCACAGGCAGGAAACCTCATGGAAAGAACTTCGGACTTGGAGCGTGAAGTTTGGGGTTCTAGTCTCAGCACAAATCTTTAGTAACTGGAAACTTGAGGATGTGAATTAACCACAATAGGCCTTGTCTAAAATATGTG